>NC_000013.11:24658106-25908106 GCF_000001405.40 Homo sapiens | reverse complement strand
TATATTAATCATTTCAATTTTGATAGTCTGCTAGGGTAGATGCCAGACTGTAGAGTTCATTTGTCATCACCGAACTTTTATCTGAAAAAAATATCTAAAATAAGTCAAAGTCTTAAAATGAACAAGCAATCCAACAGGACAGTTTAACTCTGAAAAGAACCTTCAAGGTCCTATTTCCTATTTCCTCGTAGAGTTGGCTGTATCATTTCATGCTTGGTCCATCACAGAACTCTAAGAAAATCTCTTTTTACTCAAATTCTACTGTTTTTATTTAAGAGTATACGGTGTTTGGCAGCTAAAAGCACAAGGGCCTAGCCTTGGTGTAGACATAGAGTTAGGACAAGAAAAAGCAGGGGTGGAGTGGAGTGGAGGGAGTGTAAAGAAAGCCTGTGATGGCAAAGATGGGAAAAAGAAAATCTTCAACAGGCCTGTTAAGAAGTAAGGCTTTTGAGTGTTTGTTTGTCTTCAGAAAATGTCATCAACGCTGTTTTACAGTTGAAAGGACCCTTAAAGATCAACGTATCCCCATCATAGATATTACGAAATGGTTGTTGAGTGGCTCAGTCAATAAACCTCTTTACTGTATGAATGAAAACAGCAAGGGATAGAGACAGGTCTAAGACCACTGTCATCTAGAAACTCACCAGAGGCCAAGCTCCTATCAATTGTTAGTAAACGATTATCCAACTGAGCATTCAACTTTAACTTAGCTCCTTTTATTTTATTTTATTTTATTTTATTTTTTTATTTATTTTTGAGATGGAGTCTCGCTCTCCTGCCAGGCTGGAGTGCACTGGCGTGATCTCCACATGGAGTCTTGCTTTGTTGCCCAAGCTGGAGTGCAGTGGCGTGATCTCCACATGGAGTCTCGCTCTGTCGCCCAGGCTGGAGTGCAGTGGCGCGATCTCCACACGGGTAGCACAGTGGTTACTCACCGCAGCCTCTGCCTCCCAGGTTCAAGTGATTCTCCTGCCTCAGCCTCCGGAGTAGCTGGGACTACAGGTGTGCACTACCACGCCGGCTAGTTTTTTGCATTTTTGGTAGAGACGGGGTTTCACCATGTTGACCAGGCTGGTCTCAAACTCCTGACCTCAAGTGATCCGCCCGCTTCAGCCTCCCAAAGTGCTGGGATTACAGGCGTGAGCCACCAGGTTAGCTTCTTTTCAAAGCTATCATTTGTTGGAATACAATAAACAGTTTCGTGAGTCTTTTCTATCTGTTTGACTGTTCATTAACAAAACATACTTATTAAGGATCCATGCTCCAAGTACAGAGTTGATCACCAGGGAGAAAGAGACGAAGACATGGCTTACTCAGGGACTCTGCCACTGAGCTTTAGGCTTGCTTAATAAAGTGGTAAGACTTTAAGCAACATTGGAAACCAGGATTTCCCATCTGAAGGCTCTCATTCTGTCATCTCAATAGTTAAGTAGAAGCAGTGACAGAAAACCAAGGGCCTGTGACAGATGTACTCACAGAAGAACAAGAAGAGAAAGAAAGGAGATATACGGCAAGAGGGGGAGAGAGAAGGCGGGGGAGCGTTTCATACAGGAAGAACAAGAGCATTCATCAAAAGGCAGAGAGGAGAGGAGACAGGAGACCCCACCGCTGCTCAGGCCTCGGGGTGCTGGGAATTGCTAAGGTGGGGCATGCTGTGGAAACCCTTGAAGACTGGGTAGAGTTACCTAATCCTGGAAGAGAAATAAGGGCATCACTGCAGATTCTGAGCAGAGTGACACAATGAAAACAGGCTTTCAGAAAGGTCAAGTTTGTAGCTGTAATACAAAAGAAGAGATTGAAGACAGGAAGTAATACAGGATATGAAAGTTTATGCTAGGATTGGGCGGGGGGCGGGGAGGGTAGTGAAAGGATGCAAAGACTGGCTGGCCATGAAGGGCAAATAAAGGGGGAGGAATACAGAGATGATCAGAGACTTGGGGCACTAGAGTCAGAAGATGAATGACAAAAAGATAGAAATCTGGAAGGACTTATTTTAAAAAGGATGAGGAAGACAAAAGATGTGTTTTAGACATGTAAAGTTTAAGGTAAGGCCTCATCATGCAGGCAAATATAGACTGGTGCTAGAAAAAAAACTGCAGAGAGAGTTGGGAGAAGTGTAATATTTCAAGAAAGAGGTTTGCTTGAGGAGTATAGACAAAGAACAAAGAGGAAATAACCAAGACTTGGGAAGGAAAACACAGTGTGTGGAATGTTTCCGTGGCCTCAGGCTTTCTGGCAAGTTCTCTCATTTATGGTTTGATAGCCCTCAGGGCGAGGAAGGGCTGAGATGGGCATGGCCACTCTAGAGGCAGGAAGGGGCCCCAGGAGAGTGGAAAATCACAGGAACCAACGCCCTGTCCTTCTGGGAATCAGAAGGCAAGAGGTCAGCTGGCAGAGGAGAACCAGGGCAGAGACAGGCACCGAGGCTGGAGAGTAGATTGCAACCTGTGGCCTCTGCACTTCCAGAGAAACCCAGATGGCAGCGGCCTGCAGAGGGCATGGAGAGGGGCCGGAGGTGTGAACAGAAACTCAACACGCACCAACCGCTGTTGGCGAAACTGTGGAGGAGGGAGCACAGGGATAGCACGGGATACCAGGCAGGACGGCTACTGCTCTTGTTTTTATTTAATGCTAGGAGAAACCAGAAAACTGAAAGACCAACAGGGAAGTAAGAGAGAGAGAGAGAGAGAGCATATAAAAATAAGTGAAAGAGGCTTAGAGCAGAATCAGTGTCCGTTAAGAAGTGATAGATCAGGATAATAGGAAACTAAATTCGGAGAGGAAGAGAAAAACTTATCGTTTTAGAAATGAGTGTATAAGAGATGTCACTTAGAAAGCATCCCTTAAAAATTTTTTTTTTAAGTAAGTAAAGTACCTAAGGAGGTTATCTGCGGAAAGAGAGAGTAGTAGAGGCTAAAGTTAGGTCTTCAGGAATGAGGAGAAGATGGGTGATGTCTCTGGGTAGAGAGAAGATACAATGTCACGTTAATGGATAATAACATGACAATGGGTGACGTGCTCTCCCTTCAGGACCAAGGGCCCAGGCTGGGCACACACTCTTCTCCTCGGGGCGGTGGCGGGGGTGGGGCGTACACATGCTTACAGCCATGCGCATGCAGGTATCTGACTACTGAATACTCGGAAAAACTTGATAAAGAGATACCTCACATCAATAACATAACTTTTGTTTTGGCACACTAAACAACCATATTTGGCAATTTGGCAGACACTGAGGGTAAAAGAACTATATGTGATTATTCGCTGAATGTTGAGGATAAATCAATGAAATGTTCTTATCCTTCAGGTGCTCAGAGTCTGATGAGAGAATGAGGAACTCCAATGGTGTAGGATATGGATATGACACACAATGTGTTATATAAGCAACCATTAATTACCGGGGGGAGATGTGAGGAAAAAGAGAGAGCATTAGGGAAAACTATAACACTGACATTTGAATCCAAACTTTATCCTTGAGCAACTCACCCATCAGAGAATGGAAAGAAAGTATTTTCAGCAGAGCAACAGCACAGGCAAAGGCAAGGGAGGGCACGAGGCAGCAACACACCCAAGGGAAGACAACAGCGCTTCCGGCAGGCAGGAAGAGGCGCATGGTGAGGGGCAGGACACGAGGCCAAAAGGCCCCTGGGGCAACGGGTGCGGGTTTGTGACTGTCACTTTGAGTCTGGGCATGATTCTATGAGGAAACGGAGAATGTCGAAGGGCATGAAGGTGGGATGATGTCCACGGTTTAGGAAATCTGTCTGGCAGCAATGGCGCTCAGCCTGAGCTGGGCAGTGGATTACCGGGGAACCTTGAAAAAGTATCATCTCTTGGATCAGACTCCCCAAGGTTTCTGATTTGACAGGTCCAAGGTATAGGTTGAGCATCACGAATCCAAAAATGTGAAATCTGAAATGCTTCAAAACCCAGAACTTTTTGAGTGTGCTATGACGCTCAGAGGAAACGCTTGCTAGAGCACTTTGGATCTCAGGTTTTCAGACCAGGGATGATCAACTGGTAAGTCCAATGCAAATATTCAAAAATCTGAAAAAATCAAAATCCGAAACACCAGTGATTCCAAGTATTGTGGATAAGGGATCCTCAATCTGCAGAGTTTGTACAACAGTTTTTTTTTAAATGCTCCCCAGAAGATTCACATTCATTTACTTAAAAACTACTTATTTACTTCCTGTTAGAAGCTGAGAAATCAACTGCAGAACAGACAAAAACTGCAGCCTCATAGAGCTTATACATTGTGTGAATGTGTGTGGGAAAACAAGCCAAAGAAATAAGTAAATCCCACAGTGTGTCCAGAGGTGAAAAGTGACTTGGAAACAGGGTAAGGTGTCGATGTCGGTCCACTGAGGAGGGCAGTGCTGAGGATCTGAGTGACCCCTCGAGAGGGCTGAGGGCAAAGGGAACAGCAAGTTCAGAACCTAAAGACAAAATCTACCCAGGGACGTTGAATAACGAGACCACCGTGGCAGAGAGCAATGAGCAAGGACAGCAGTGGCAGGGATAATCAACAGTGGTCTGGATCATTGCAAGGACTTAGACTTACTCTCTTAATGAGGCCAGAAGCCACGGCAAGTTTCTGAACAGAGGAATGAATGACATGAGTGATTCAGGTTCTGAAAGGATCATTCCAATGAAGAACAGACTTAGAGGGGACAGGATGGAGGATGGGAGACCAGGTGGGGTTAGTGGGAAGTGACATGTGAGATTGAGGTGAAGGGAAAGAAGAGAGCCATGGCAGTCAGACCTAGCAGGGTCTGTGGTGGAGGGGCAGCAGGAAGGAAAGGAAAGATTCAAATGCAACGGCAGGGTTAAAGCAGCCATATCTGGGGGCTGTTTGCGTATGGAGACTGTGGGAGAGAGAAAAGTCAAGAATAAGTCTCTGCGTTCCTAGTATGAGTAACCTGAAACCAAGACAGGAGCTATGGCAGGAGACCGGAATTTTTTTTGTTTTGTTTCGTTTTGTTTTGTTTTTGAGACGGAGTTTCGTTCTTCTTGCCCAGGCTAGAGTGCAACGGCATGGTCTTGGCTCACTGCAACCTCCGCCTCCCAGGTTCAAGTGATTCGAGACAGGAGTTTTTATCTACTTTGTGCCCCAACCCCTGCCATGTGCATTTACGTGTGTGTGTGTGTGTGTGTGTGTGTGTGTGTGCATGCTGAGGATGTATAAAGTCAGTTAATAGTTTGACAGTTGATTTTCAGGGACCGAAAGACCACAGACATTTAGGAGGAAATGTCGTACTGAAAACTGGAAATTCACTCAACCAGCGTGGGCCTGTGGTTCAGGAAGAGGTCTGGGCTGAACACATAGAATTGGGGTCACTATAAGACGGGTTGAAAGCACAGGAACGTGCAGAGGAGAATGAAGACCTGAGTCTTGGGAGATGAACAGTCAAGGGCAAATGTAGGAAGAGGAGCTGTTTTGCAGCATGGTGCAAAATGCCTGCACATGCACACACACGTGCATACACACACGCAGAATGGACAGTCTTGGGGAATTCTTTTTTGTTTTTTTTTTTTTAAATTGATGTTGTTGCTATAATGTGAACAGAAATTTCACATGAATAGATATAACTGTTTCAAACACTTATGGCCCAAAGTGTAAATATCAGATACATAATATTTATACTCTATTCTTTGCCCACCAGATATGGGGTTTCCTATGGATAGAAGCTAGATGTCCTAGTTCAAAAACACCCGTCATTTGGACAAATAACCCAATCTGCTTATATAGAAAAATGTCCAGTGTTTCCCAAGGCTTTGGGAAGGGGTTAAGAAGATATAATTGAAGCTTCACTGTAAGAGTTAAAAAACACACACAGATAGATTATAAGCATATCACTCCGAAGTAGACAATGTCTTCTGACCGGAATTGCATTTGCTTTTTGAAATGCAGAGGTGATGGCGGGGGAATGGTTTCCTGTAGATCTGTTGAGCAATCTTCCATTCCTTTCCTGCTCAGTGAACTTTTTCATTGTCCTTTTTAAACCCCATACCCCTATTCCACTAGATTGCCAAAAAATTTTTTTGTTATCCTTTTCTATAACTATGAGGCTACTTAATGGATCCCGAATATAGCTTAATATAACTAGATTATTGTGTATTATCTTTACTTAAGCATTTTCAGATTTGGTAGGTCAGCTAATATTGATACGCTGTACATATGATATTCGTACTTGAGTCATCTTTATACGCATGTTTAAAAGGGGATGTCCCCTTGGGCATGCAGTGAGGATCTGTTGTCAGAATGAGTAATGATCATTCACAAATAATCACCACATCCTGTTTAGAGATAGTTTCCCAGCCAACAGGCTAGAACAAGCCTACACGGCTTTACTAGCTTAGCAAATACGATCTAGAGTGAACTCTAATCTAACTTTGAAACCTCAGCCATTCATAGTAGTTTCTTTGTTATCAGCGCCAATTTTAAGCATGTCTCAGAAACTGGCCTTTGAAACTACTCTGTTCCTGCTTCTAAGATTTGTGTATAAAAATAATGGAAAAACAAATAGATAATTAAAATTTTTATTTTGCCCTTGCTGGTTGATTTGATTTCTTCTTAAAAATCACAATTTAAATTATGTATATATAATATATAATATATGAATTCATATAAAATTTAATTCCTAGACATGGGTGCACAAAACTTCCCAATTCTAAGTAACATGTGGTTTTTTTTTTTTCTTTCACATAAACATAAATTCTACTGGAGCTCCTAAATTATTTAGGAAAAGTTCTCCAATCCCATAACACTCCCAAGGCCCTTTCGGTTCAGTCCATTTTCCTTTTTTCGCCTCTTCAAACCACCTTTCTGCTTCCCTTATTCTCAATTCCACTTAAAAACCCTTGACCCAGCACTATTCATCGGCCCCTTCCAGTACAATGCAGTTTGCCTGTAGAAGCTTCCAGAACATTTCCTCTCCAATGTCCCGCATTTTAGGCCTCCCTTAGCCCTCATGGGCTTAGCCAGTTGCTTGGCCTCCTCCACCTGTCTCCCTTCAGCTCCCTGCTCCTCCTTCCTTGCTAGAGCAATGCAGTCATCCCCCAGCCCACCTTTCAGCACTAATTACACCGCCCATTGGCTTCTGAGATGAGGCAGCCTTAGACAACGCATGGGCTTTTCTTCCATCTTGATCCAAACTCCATGAAGATGCTCAGGGGTGTTCCTGCTGCTTCCATGTGTCACCTGCATTCGCAGTGGACGTGGCTAGAATGGAGGTGTGGTTTCTCCACAAGCCCCTCTTCTCCCGTGTTTTCCATCTTAGTCAACAGCGCTAATACCTTCCCACCCCTTTGCTTAGGTAAAACTCTAGCAGGTGCCTTGGACACTTCTCTCTCCCAGGTCTTTGAGAAATAAAAATAAAATCTTAAGCCCCCAAGCAACTGAACAGACCCCCTCTTGGCCAAGGAGACCTTGGAGAAACCTTAAAAACGGAGTTTTTGACCACATCAGACATAAGGTTGAACACGCCTCAGTGTGCCCCTTCCTTATTAACCTTTAGCCAAAACTCTTTCTAAGGAGTAAGCAGAAATCAGCTCTGGAAAATGAGAAATGGACAACTCATTCCTTTATCACCTTAGCCAATCATCTGAAACTGCGACCAGATGCCCCTCCCTCTTCACTTCTTCCACGTGACAGCCCACCTGTCTCACAACACATCCCTTCGTAAACACTGACGACCACCTTGGGACACGTTTTGGCTGACTCTCAGAGGATGCAGTGAGGTTCTGGTGTCCTCCACTGCACCTTTTCATGTCAGAGGGCTGAAAACTCCACCTCAGATCATGCTAACACTGCCATTTTTTGAACATGTAATCCATGAAGAGGCATGGAACTCAATTGTGCCTGTACATGTTTCTCCTCTCATAAATATTCATGACTCCTCCTATAGCTCATTAAATATGTATTTCCAGCCACCCAGAAATTTCAGCATAAATTCCTGTCTTATCCTCCCTCCCTCTCAGCTCTGCCTCCCAGCAGGAGGAATGGCCAGCCTGCAGGCTATAACCCTTTATGAGAAATAAAGCTCTTCCAAATGTATGATCCTGGTTATTCTTCAGTTGACAGCTTCTACTCCAGTCCCTGGGCAGGTCCCAGCATCCTCGAACACAGCTGTGTGCCTCATGTCCACCTGACTCCCAACTCCAAGTCCCCATCACCCAGCTGGACTCCCTGCCTCCACTCTTTCCCCTGTACCACCTATTTTTTCCCCATAGAGAGGCAGGGTGAGCTTTGGAAATAGACATCAGAGCATGTCATTTTCCTATTAAAGCTCTCCAAAGACTCTCCATCCCATCTGCAGGAAAATCAAGTTTCTTGCTCTGTCCTTTACAAAGACCTCCGTGGTCTGGCTACCGTGCACCCCTCTGCTCTTCTTCCTGCACCCTCCCCTGCACCAACCCCTTCCTTCCTGCCTGTCTGACTGTGGCCCTGTCCTCAGAACACACCATGCTCTGTGTCCTCCGCTCAGCTTTGCCTCCCCTGGTGCGGACACCACCGGCTCTGCTCCTCACTCAGATCTCAATCTCAGTCGAGATAGTGGCCCTCCTGGGAGGCCTCTATTATCCCTGCCATCTGCAGGAAGTACCCAGTCACTTGCTATTGTAATTCTCTGTATAACCATAGTATATTTTCAGGAGAGTATACCAGACACCCGTATGCATTATCTGGCAAAACTCTAGATAAATCAGGTTCTATATTCTCAATTTGTCAGACATACCCAGGCAGGGGGTTAAATGAGTTGTGGCATGTCACACCACAAGGAGCAGAAAGGACAGCACCTGTAACACAGAATTGCCAGGGCATACTGGCAGGCCATCCCAAGCTGCCCTTGCTCTACAGAGCTCCAGCACTCAGACAGAAACCCATGCATGCATGTTTCCACGCTCGCCAGCAATAAGCTTCTCTGGACTTGGGGTGGAGCCAACATGGCCGAATAGGAACAGCTCCAGTCTACAGTTCCCAGAGTGAGCGACACAGAAGACGGGTGATTTCTGCATTTCCAACTGAGGTACTGGGTTCATCTCACAGGGGAGTGCCGGACAGTGGGTGCAAGACAGTGGGTGCAGGGCACCATGCGTGAGCTGAAGCAGGGCAAGGCATAACCTCACCCGGGAAGCGCAAGGGGTCAAGGAATTCCCTTTCCTAGTCAAAGAAAGGGGTGACAAACAGCACCTGGAAAATCGGGTCACTCCCACCCTAATACTGCGCTTTTCCAACGGGCTTCACAAATGGCACACCAGGAGATTATATCCGGCACCTAGCTCGGAGGGTTCTATGCCCACGGAGCCTCGTTCATTGCTAGTACAGTAGTCTGAGATCAAACTGCAAGGCGGCAGCGAGGCTGGTGGAGGGGCGCCCACCATTGCTCAGGCTTGAGTAGGTAAACAAGGTGGCCAGCTGGGAAGCTGGAACTGGGTGGAGCCCACCACAGCTCAAGGAGGCCTGCCTGCCTCTGTAGGCTCCACCTCTGGGGGCAGGGCACAGACAAACAAAAGACAGCAATAACCTCTGCAGACTTAAATGTCCCTGTCTGACAGCTTTGAAGAGAGGAGTGGTTCTCCGAGCACGCAGCTTGAGATCTGAGAACAGGCAGACCGCCTCCTCAAGTGGGTCCCTGACCCCCGAGTAGCCTAACTTGGAGGCACCCCCCAGTAGGGGCGGACTGACACCTCACACGGCTGGGTACTCCTCTGAGACAAAACTTCCAGAAGAACAATCAGACAGCAGCATTAGCAGTTCACCAGTATCCGCTGTTCTGCAGCCACCGCTGCTGATACGTAGGCAAACAGGGTCTGGAGTGGACCTCCAGTAAATTCCAACAGACCTGCAGCTGAGGGTCCTGACTGTTAGAAGGAAAACTAACAAATAGAAAGGACATCCACACCAAAATCCCATCTGTAGGTCACCATCATCAAAGACCAAAGGTAGATAAAACCAAAAGATGGGGAAAAAACAGAGCAGAAAAACTGGAAACTCTAAAAATCAGAGCACCTCCAAAGGAATGCAGCTCCTCACCAGCAACAGAACAAAACTGGACAGAGAATGACTTTGACGAGTTGAGAGAGGAAGGCTTCAGAAGATCAAACTTCTCCGAGCTAAAGGAGGAAGTTTGAACCAATGGCAAAGAAGTTAAAAACTTTGAAAAAAAATTAGACGAATGGATAACTAAAATAATCAATGCAGAGAAGTCCTTGAAGGAGCTGATGGAGCTGAAAACCACGGCACAAGAACTACGCGATGAATGCACAAGCCTCAGTAACCGATGCAATCAACTGGAGGAAAGGGTATCAGCGATGGAAGATGAAATGAATGAAATGAAGCGTGAAGAGAAGTTTAGAGAAAAAAGAATAAAAAGAAACGAACAAAGCCTCCAAGAAATATGGGACTATGTGAAAAGACCAAATCTATGTCTAATTGGTGGACCTGAAAGTGACGGGGAGAATGGAACTAAGTTGGAAAACACTCTGCAGGATATTATCCAGGAGAACTTCCCCAAATCCAGCAAGGCAGGCCAACATTCAAATTCAGGAAATACAGAGAACGCCACAAAGATACTCCTTGAGAAGAGCAACTTCAAGACACATAATTGTCACATTCACCAAAAGTTGAAATGAAGGAAAAAATGTTAAGGGCAGCCAGAGAGAAAGGTCGGGTTGCCCACAAAGGGAAGCCCATCAGACTAACAGCTGATGTCTCGGCAGAAACTCTACAAGCCAGAAGAGAGTGGGGGCCAATATTCAACATTCTTAAAGAAAAGAATTTTCAACCCAGAATTTCATATCCAGCCAAACTAAGCTTCGTAAGTGAAGGAGAAATAAAATACTTTACAGACAAGCAAATGCTGAGAGATTTTGTCACACCAGGCCTGCCCTAAAAGAGCTCCTGAAGGAAGCACTAAACATAGAAAGGAACAACCAGTACCAGCCACTGCAAAAACATGCCAAACTGTAAAGACCATCAAGGCTAGGAAGAAACTGCATCAACTAACGAGCAAAATAACCAGCTAACATCATAATGACAGGATCAAATTCACACATAACAATACTAACCTTAAACGTAAATGGGCTAAATGCTCCAATTAAAAGGCACAGACTGGCAAATTGGATAAAGAGTCAAGACCCATCAGTGTGCTGTATTCAGGAAACCCATCTCACGTGCAGAGACACACATAGGCTCAAAATAAAGGGATGGAGAAAGATCTACCAAGCAAATGGAAAACAAAAAAAGGCAGGGGTTGCAATCCTAGTCTCTGATAAAACAGACTTTAAACCAACAAAGATCAAAAGAGACAAAGAAGGCCATTACATAATGGTAAAGGGATCAATTCAACAAGAAGAACTAACTATCCTAAATATATATGCACCCAATACAGGAGCACCCAGATTCATAAAGCAAGTCCTTAGAGAACTACAAAGAGACTTAGACTCCCACACAATAATAATGGGAGACTTTAACACCCCACTGTCAACATTAGACAGATCAACGAGACAGAAGGTTAACAAGCATATCCAGGAATTGAACTCAGCTCTGCACCAAGCAGACCTAATAGACATCTACAGAACTCTCCACCCCAAATCAACAGAATATACGTTATTCTCAGCACCACATTACACTTATTCCAAAATTGACCACATAGTTGGAAGTAAAGCACTCCTCAGCAAATGTAAAAGAACAGAAATTATAACAAACTGTCTCTCACACCACAGTGCAATCAAACTGGAACTCAGGATTAAGAAACTCACTGAAAACCGCTCAACTACATGGAAACTGAACAACCTGCTCCTGAATGACTACTGGGTACATAACGAAATGAAGGCAGAAATAAAGATGTTCTTTGAAACCAATGAGAACAAAGACAGAGCATACCAGAATCTCTGGGACACATTCAAAGTAGTGTGTAGAGGGAAATTTATAGCACTAAATGCCCACAAGAGAAAGCAGGAAAGATCTAAAATTGACACCCTAACATTACAATTAAAAGAACTAGAGAAGCAAGGAAAACACATTCAAAAGCTAGCATAAGGCAAGAAATAACTAAGATCAGAGCAGAACTGAAGGAAATAGAGACACAAAAAACCCTTCAAAAAATCAATGAATCCAGGAGCTGGTTTTTTGAAAAGATCAACAAAATTGATAGACCGCTAGCAAGACTAATAAAGAAGAAGAGAGAGAAGAATCAAATGGATGCAATAAAAAATGACAAAGGGGATATCACCACCGATCTCACAGAAATACAAACTACCATCAGAGAATACTATAAACACCTCTATGCAAATAAACTAGAAAATCTAGAAGAAATGGATAAATTCCTCGATACATACCCTCTCCCAAGACTAAACCAGGAATAAGTTGAATCTCTGAATAGACCAATAACAGGCTCTGAAATTGAGGCAATAATTAATAGCTTACCAACCAAAAAAAGTCCAGGACCAGATGGATTCACAGCCGAATTCTACCAGAGGTACAAGGAGGAGCTGGTACCATTCCTTCTGAAACTATTCCAATCAATAGAAAAAGAGGGAATCCTCCCTAACTCATTTTATGAGGCCAGCATCATCCTGATACCAAAG
This sequence comes from Homo sapiens, assembly GCF_000001405.40. NCBI lineage: Eukaryota > Metazoa > Chordata > Mammalia > Primates > Hominidae > Homo > Homo sapiens. The sequence goes on along the minus strand of NC_000013.11, from coordinate 25,895,518 downwards.
CCGGGCAGAGACACAACAAAAAAAGAGAATTTTAGACCAATATCCTTGATGAACATTGATGCAAAAATCCTCAATAAAATACTGGCAAACCGAATCCAGCAACACATCAAAAAGCTTATCCACCATGATCAAGTGGGCTTCATTCCTGGGATGCAAGGCTGGTTCAACATACGAAAATCAATAACATAATCCAGCATATAAACAGAACCAAAGACAAAAACCACATGATTATCTCAATAGATGCAGAAAAGGCCTTTGACAAAATTCAACAACCTTCATGCTAAAAACTCTCAATAAATTAGGTATTGATGGGACATATCTCAAAATAATAAGAGCTATCTATGACAAACCCACAGCCAATATCATACTGAATGGACAAAAACTGGAAGCATTCTTTTTGAAAAATGGCACAAGACAGGGATGCCCTCTCTCACCACTCCTATTCAACATAGTGTTGGAAGTTCTGGCCAGGGCAATCAGGCAGGAGAAGGGAATAAAGGGCATTCAATTAGGAAAAGAGGAAGTCAAATTCTCCCTGTTTGCAGATGACATGATTGTATATCTAGAAAACCCCATTGTCTCAGCCCAAAATCTCCTTAAGCTGATAAGCAACTTCAGCAAAGTCTCAGGATACAAAATCAATGTGCAAAAATCACAAGCATTCTTATACACCAATAACAGACAAACAGAGAGCCAAATCATGAGTGAACTCCCATTCACAATTGCTTCGAAGAGAATAAAATACCTAGGAATCCAACTTACAAGGGATGTGAAGGACCTCTTCAAGGAGAACTACAAACCACTGCTCAAGGAAATAAAAGAGGATACAAAGAAATGGAGAACATTCCATGCTCATGGGTAGGAAGAATCAATATCATGAAAATGGCCGCACTGCCCAAGGTAATTTATAGATTCAATGCCATCCCCATCAAGCTACCAATGACTTTCTTCACAGAATTGGAAAAAACTACTTTAAAGTTCATATGGAACCAAAAAAGAGCCCATATTGCCAAGTCAATCCTAAGCCAAAAGAACAAAGCTGGAGGCATCATGCTACCTGACTTCAAACTATACTACAAGGCTACAGTAACCAAAACAGCAATGGTACTGGTACCAAAACAGAAATATAGATCAATGGAACAGAACAGAGCCCTCAGAAATAATGCTGCATATCTACAACTATCTGATCTTTGATAAACCTGACAAAAAGAAGAAATGGGGAAAGGATTCCCTATTTAATAAATGGTGCTGGGAAAACTGGCTAGCCATATGTAGAAAGCTGAAACTGGATCCCTTCCTTACACCTTATACAAAAATTAATTCAAGATGGATTAAAGACTTACATGTTAGACCTAAAACCATAAAAACCCTAGAAGAAAACCTAGGCAATACCATTCGGGACATAGGCATGGGCAAGGACTTCATGTCTAAAACACCAAAAGCAATGGTAACAAAAGCCAAAGTTGACAAATGGGATCTAATTAAACTAAAGAGCTTCTGCACAGCAAAAGAAACCACCATCAGAGTGAACAGGCATCCTACAGAATGGGAGAAACTTTTTGCAACATACTCATCCAGAATCTACAATGAACTCAAACAAATTTACAAGAAAAGAACAAACAACCCCATCAAAAAGTGGGCAAAGGATATGAACAGACACTTCTCAAAAGAAGACATTTATGCAGCCAAAAAACACATGAAAAAATGCTCATCATCACTGGCCATCAGAGAAATGCAAATCAAAACCACAATGAGATACCATCTCACACCAGTTAGAATGGTGATCATTCAAAAGTCAGGAAACAACAGGTGCTGGAGAGGATGTGGAGAAATAGGAACACTTTTACACTGTTGGCGGGACTGTAAACTAGTTCAACCATTGTGGAAGTTGGTGTGGCGATTCCTCAGGGATCTAGAACTAGAAATACCATTTGACCCAGCCATCCCATTACTGGGTATATACCCAAAGGATTATAAATCATGCTGCTATAAAGACACATGCACACGTATGTTTATTGTGGCACTATTCACAATAGCAAAGACTTGGAACCAACCCAAATGTCCCACAATGATAGACTGGATTAAGAAAATGTGGCACATATACACCATGGAATACTATGCAGCCATAAAAAATGATGAGTTCATGTCCTTTGTAGGGACATGGATGAAGCTGGAAACCATCATTCTCAGCAAACTACCACAAGGACAAAAAACCAAACACCGCATGTTCTCACTCATAGGTGGGAATTGAACAATGAGAACACATGGACACAGGAAGGGGAACATCACACTCCGGGGACTGTTGTGGGGTGGGGGGAGGGGGGAGGGATAGCATTAGGAGATATACCTAATGCTAAATGACGAGTTAATGGGTGCAGCACACCAATATGGCACATGTATACATATGTAACAAACCTGCACGTTGTGCACATGTACCCTAAAACTTAAAAGTATAATAATAATAAAAAAAAGAAAATTTTCTAAAAGAAAAAAAAATCTTCTCTGGACTTACGCTACAACAACATTTGATTGATATGTCCTATGTTTGATAGAAACAGTCCCAAACCTGAGCCTATCTAATACTAATATTACCAACCACTTAACACTTTGTGCTAACTTTTAATGTTTTCAGCCCTGGGTATTCTTTGAAGAATATTTTCTATCAGGAGTCATCAAATATTTGGTCCTCATTTTGATGCGAAAAAAAAAAAACAGACTAAAAAAAAGTCTGTGCTTCACACAAAGTTGAGACCCAAACTGTGGCCCCATACAGTCACAGACGTCATCAAATAGGCTATGGCAGAGGAGGGGGATGGAGGGAGCATCTCCCAGGCACAAAGGAGAGCATCGCACTGTATGCTGTGTCCCAGTACACCTGCATGACACAGGTGGAAGAAAGGGGAAGGAGAGGAGGAGGGAGAGAGAGAGAGAGAGAGAGGTGTTTCCATTTGTTGTTTCCATTGCCTTTTGACTTATTTTTCATTCCCAGTACATCTGCATAACACAGGTGGAAGGAGAGAGAGAGAGAGAGAGAGAGAGACAGAGAGACAGAGAGAGAGAGAAATGTTTCCATTTGTTGTTTCCATTGCCTTTTAACTTATTTTTCACAGGCATCAAGTAAATTCCACCCATAAAGCCAAATTGAATGTCTCATAACTAAAGAGATGCCACCCTGTGCCAAGATAGGCTGTGCACAGTAAGAACCCAAGCTGACACTACCTACTAATAAAAATGAGAAAAAGGTGCCAGGCGCAGTGGCTCACACCTGTAATCCCAGCACTTTGGAGGCTGAGGCGGGTGGATCATGAGGTCAGGAGATCAAGACCATCCTGGCTAACACAGTGAAACCTCACCTCTACTAAAAAAGTACAAAAGATTAGCCAGGTGTGGTGGCGGGCGCCTGTAGTCCCAGTTACTCGGGAGGCTGAGGCAGGAGAATGGGAGGTGGAGCTTGCAGTGAGCCAAGATCGCGCCCCTGCACTCCAGCCTGGGCAACAGAGCCAGACTCCATCTCCAAAAAAAAAAAAAGAAAAAGGCTTTGAAGGTCATACATCTCCATCTTTTTAAAAGATTATGAAGCCTCAAAATCAAGCAAACCACACACACGCACACACTACCAACCCAGTACAATCATTCTGTTAAATATTTTACCTTGCAATATTTTTTTAAATTGTGTCAGACAAAAGAAAATCTTGTTTGGCCTGCTTTTTGTCCTTTACCCAAAGTGGGACAGTTTGGACATCCCTGGTGAAACACTCATACACTTAAATGCAGAGGCAGGAATTATAGCGCATCCCCTCCAACATCAGTCAGAACCCACCTCACAGAGCCCCCTAATGAATAGATAAATTATCAGTTAATAGGGATGAAGGCAGGGATCAAATGGCTCAGATCTGGCCGGGCACAGTGGCTCGCACCTGTAATCGCAGCACTTTGGGAGGCCAAGGTAGGCAGATCACCTGAGGTCAGGGAGTTCGAGACCAGCCTGGCCAACCTGGTGAAACCCCGTCTCTACCAAAAATACAAAAATCAGGCGGGCATGATGGTGGGTGCCTGTAATCCCAGCTGTTTGGGAGGCTGAGGTGGGAGAATTGCTTGAACCTGGGAGGGGGAGGTTGCAGTGAGCCGAGATCGCACCATTGCACTCCAGCCTGGGCGACAGAGCGAGACTGTGTCTCAAACAAAACAAAACAAAACAAAAGGCTCAGGTCTAACAAGCAACCTGATTTCTATCCCATTCTGAATATGACACACTTTCAACACGATCGTTTTCGAGTGGCGTAACTTTGCCCTAAAGAAACATCAAATACACATTGAAGAAAACCCACAGATAACTCCAAAACTGAGTGAGAGCAACACACAGCATCTATTAAAACAAAAGTAAATCTTAGGGGACAATGTAGCTTGCATTTTCAACTTTACTTTGGCTTCACTCAGTCAACTCAGGAAGAGATGCTCGACTCTTCTAAGGTGATGTGAGGTTCATTTCCTCACCCACAGCTTGACAGAGCACTCGTGGTCCACTGCACAACATGAGTACCCTTTTATCATCACAGACCCTCAATTTCAGAGCACTGCTGAGTTGTAAAAACGTGTTCTGGGTTGTAACTTGGCAAACATGACTTAACCTGAGAGTAATGCTTTAAAACAAATTTCATAACATCTGCTGTGTCATTTTTAAGCAATACCTTCTGTTTCCAAAGAACTTAAACACAGCTTTGTTTTTAAAAGCTAAATTTCATAGGTCTTTCTTTAGCTCTATGGGATATTCATTTCTAGCAATAAAAGGCTCCCACTAAAGAAAAAAGAATTCCCAAATATTTTCGTATTTCTACTACACAGACTTATGCTCAAAATCAGTCTGTCCCAGAAAAATGAAGAAAACAATTATTGTGTAAAATGTCATCTAAAACCCCAGTATGCACTTCTGTCTGATAGAGACTTTAGTTACAAATGGACTAATTGTGAGGCTGGTCTGCTGGTCATGAAGACAGAAGTACAAATACGTATCAGGGAAGGAAATATCTACGTTCATGCTTCCAGTACATCTTCTAGTACAATATATTTCATTAGAACACAATTCTAAAATTGATATAGAAATTAAGAACTTTTAACTGATGTACATTTTTCTTCTATCTAATATTTGTGTACCAGGCGTTCTGTTAGGTATTTAAAGAGATACAAAAGATGAAAAAGATCTGTCTCCACTTTCAAAGGAAACTGAGTTGTTAGCAACTATAAAGTGTTGTGCTAAAGATATATATTTGGAAGCTGCTAGTTTTCAGCTGGAATTGAAACCTTGGTATATATAATGTAACCCAGAGAGACGGTAAAATTTTTTTTCTTTTCTTTTTTTTGAGACAGAGTCTCGCGCCGTCACCCAGGCTGGAGGGCAGTGGAGCGATCTCGGCTCACTGCAACCTCCACCTCCCAGGTTCAAGTGATTCTCCTACCTCAGCCTCCTGAGCAGCTGGGATTACAGGCACGTGCCACCACGCCTGGCTAATTTTTTGTATTTTTATTAGAGACAGGGTTTCACCATGTCAGCCAGGATGGTCTCGATCTCCTAACCTCGTGATCTGCCTGCGTTGGCCTTCCAAAGTGCTGGGATTACAGGCGTGAACCACCGCGCCCGGCCAAATTTGTTTTTAAAGTTTAAAAAGTGTTAAAAAATTTAAAAAAGTATCTGAGGAAAAAAAACCTTCAGACCAATTACATTTAAGGAATGGGCCATGGAGGAGAATGAAGCAATGAAATAGTGGCAAAGTCACAGTCAAGGGAGCTAGGAAGGAATTATGCTTCAGAAGCAAAAAACAGCAAGAATTTCTAGAAGGAACAAATAGGCAGGAGGTAAGTGCTGCTGGAGACTGACCACCGTGAAGGTCAAGGAGTGGTCATGCACTGGGGAAGGAGGATGCAGCCATGATACTGACATCTAACAGGAAAAGAGCTAAGGTGCCTGAAAACCTATACCAAGCCTCAGATAATCATGCTTCTTAAGGAGAGCATTAATCCACCAATGGGCCTCAAGCAAGTGTGAATAGGGTTATGACCAAACCACATCTCTGAGTTTTTCTTAAGAACAGTGAAATTATTTCTTCAAGAGTTCTATAGCTCAGAAATAGATAAAAAAGAAGGTGATTTAAACAAAAAGTATTAATACAAACCTTCACCTAGGGGATTTTCAATCCTTTCAATACAAGGATTTTTGACCATATATTATTTTTTAAAATCATTTAAATTTTATATATATATATATATATATATATATATGACAAAGGATGAGCAAACAAATTTAATAGCAATTAACAGGAAATTGGTTCCTATTAGGAAATGGGGAAAATGATCAGGCCTGAAGCAACAACAGCAAAAATAGTAAAACAAATAAATTACTGTCTGAAGATGGTATACGAAATAACATTGAAATCTTTTGTGGAGAATGTATAAAGGAAGTTTCTCTTATGTGGTAGAACTCACATTGTTTGCTTCTTGGCATAGTCGTTGACAGATTGTAGGAAAAAATTGCCATATTTAGGTGACGAAGAGAAGAGAACTTCAGAAATAGTATTTTCACATACATAAAAGAAAAAAAACTAGTGATTTCAATAAAATTTCCTTCTATACAAATGACCCCATGAACTCTACAGTTTTATTTCTTGAGACAAGAGTTTCCGTCTTGTCGCCCAGGCTGGAGCGCAATGGTGCGATCTTGACTCATCGCAACCTCCGCCTCCCAGGTTCAAATGATTCTGCTGCCTCAGCCTCCCAAGTAGCTGGAATTACAGACATGCGCCACCATGCTTGGCTAATTTTGAATTTTTAGTAGAGATGGGGTTTCTCCATGTTGGTCAGGCTGGTCTCTAACTCCTGACCTCAGGTGATAGCCCACCTTGGCCTCCCAAAATGCTGGGATTACAGGTGTGAGCCACCACACCCGGCTGAACTCTACAAACTTCTATATACTAACTGGGTTGAACCCAGCGGTAAAACATTTGAGCACATTGTATATTCCAAGCCACATCACTCACTTCATTAGTTACTGCATACTGCCCATATTTGGTTGCTTCCTTTTTTGCTTTTAGCTTTTTCTGAACTTGACGCAGAAGAAAAAGGAAAGTCCCCTTATCAGCCAATTCCGGAAGTTTTATACAAAATATTTATAGGCATCTTTTAGATAAAGTTGTTTAAGGAGGACAAGTGCAGTGCTACTAAATTCACATCAGGTTATTGTTTGGGTCCTAACCTAAAATTTCAGACAGAGAATTTCACAACAGCCCAAAGCTATTTCACTTTTATAAAGTGAAAACAAGATTGAATTATCCAAGCATCCTTACAGAGCGATCATGAACCTCTGTCTAGCTGGCCTGTGCTGTGCTACCCTTGTTAAGCAGAAGGCTGTTTATTCGTCCTGCAAATGCCAGTGTTCTCTGGGGGTGGGGCGGGGGGGGGGTCTGGGTTCTTTCCTTTCTGCCTCCTTGCCTACTCTCCATGGGCAGTGCCATCAACTTCCACGACCTCAAAAGTCACTCAAATGGTGGTGATATCCATGTTAGTGTGTTGAAATGAATTTCTAGATTATTCATTGGATAAGCAGCCCACAGAAGCATTTATTCAAAAGTATTCCATTGAGATTCAAAAACATATTGATATGATCATTGGTCTGTTAAAAGAATCAAACTAAAAAAAAACACAAACAAACTGGGAATCCTCAATAGACAAATCAAAACTTAATAAGAAGTGATTAAAAGCTAAATGGCTCACAGGGTGGATGTAAAGAAAGCACCTGGCTCAGGGCCTGCATGTAGAAGACACATAGTATTAACATTTGTTGTCTTCCTTTCCTCTCTTGTCTGAATTTATTAATAATAAAAGTTGGACTGAGGGGCCTGGCGCTGTGGCTCACGCCTGTAATCCCAACACTTTGGGAGGCCGAGGCGGGAAGATCACGAAGTCAGGAGCTCAAGACCAGCCTGGCCAAGATGGTGAAACCCGTCTCTACTAAAAACACAAAAATTAGCCGGGCATGGTGGCCGACGCCTGTAATCCCAGCTACTTGAGAGGCTGAGGCAAGAGAATCGCTTGAACCCAGGAGGCAGAGGTTTCAGTGAGCCAAGATCGCGCCACTGCACTTCAGTCTGGGCAACAACAGCAAAACTCTGTCTTAAAAAAAAAAAGAGTTGGACTGAGGAAGGAAGTTTTTCCTTATGATCTGATGTCATACCTTTAGTGTAAACTTTTTATAGAAGTAGAATATTCATACATAAAGTGCACAGATCACATGTGTGCATCTCAAGTGACTTTCCATTTTCACAAAATGAATACCCATGGACAGAACTTAGATTTGAAAAAACCCCAGACACTTAGCAGAAGCCTCCTCACACCTCTTCCATTTCTTACTCATCCTCTGTTCCACCCAGGCATACCCACGCTCCTGACCTCCAACACCATAAATTAGTTTTGCAAGCTCTGGAACTTTACACAAATGAGTCACACAGCATGGATGTTTATAGAGCCTACTTAGACATTATGCATTGTTGGCTGGTATATGGAAAAGTGTTCTGGGTCAGCTAGCAGACCAGCTGTTGTCAATGTGCCTGAGCTGATTACCCCTTTCTTCATAAATTTGACCCTACAATGAGCAACCAGCAATACCATGTAAATAAAGCCTATGTAGTACTAAGGGCTTGCAGAGTGGAAGCCACCTCATGTTTTTCTCACCATTTCCCACTCTCCTGGCAGTAATCTCTGGCGCTCCCTCTGGAGAAGGCCCTGAGTCTCAGCTGTTTTCCTATACGCTATGGAACAGCTATCAGATGGCACGAAGAGGCTCTGGGCTGCCACTTGGAAGAGATTTCCATGGAGTGGGCCTGGGAGATGCTCTGCCCCACGAAGCCGCGCTCTCAGAGGCTTCCCCTCGTGCTGTCGGCATCCAGCGCACATGGAGCGGGTGAAACCACGTGAGCGAGATTATAGCTGCCTTCCAGCCCCTAGCCTGGAATTAGTGACCTGTTTACAAGATGCATACCACACTTGCAGATGCGACAAAAATAGGGAGGGCAGCATTTGCCAGGCATTGTCCATAAAGCAGAGGCACACCTCCCTTCTAATTACAAAACACAAAACTCACACAGTCAAACCCAGCCAGGGCAAGTGCCACCGTTTCCACACTGAGACTCTTTCAGAACAAGAGTTAAGTTAGCTTTATGACCTCATCCCAGCAACAAATACGCTATTCCACCATCACCACCCCGACATTCCAACTTTTCTTTTGGGAGGGACAGGTGTCCTATTAAGTAATTTGGAAAGCTTAATGTCAGTATTCATTAGTTACAGATACATAAATATATATACTTTATCCAAGACGTGATATAACATTGCTTGTCAATTTCAGAACTAACTACTGTAATATTCTTGGAGGAAAAGCTTCTTTCAAACAAAATGCAGCTTGAATACAGTGGAGCATCAGCAGAAGTACAACATCTGCCTCTTGAAGAGCACTCTCAGTTATTTTCCCACATTCTCTTCAGTGAGGGTGTATTCTCACCCCCACCGAAATTCTCTCTAGAATTTCAAACCTGCAATTCCCTTTGCTTTTCTTTGAAAAATCCCTTCCTTCACTAGGGATCCTGGTTATTAACGGTTAATAGTGGATTACCCAGGGCAAGAGAGAATCGTGTGAGTCTAGATAAATAAACACATTATTAAGGAGTAATGCATGAAAACAAGCCATGTGGCTGTGTCAAAGAGGAGAAATGCCCTGGCTCCACAAATACCCTGCTCTGATTGAATTCCCCTCATATCAGTTTCTGATTGTTTAATTCTAAGAGAAACAAGACCATAGAATAAATAGGAAGAAAATAGCATAATGAAAAACAGCAGGACACTGCAATTTCTCTGGTTCGGGACTGATGTGCTGAGACTGCTGCAGTCGCCAACCCCGGGGGCTCTGCAGATGAGCTGGGCAGGACAGGCACTATTACCCCAGCAGGCTCCAGCCCTCCTCCCCAGCCTTTACGATGGCCTCTGTGAGAAGCATGCCAGCCACCCCAAAAGAAGGAGAGAGGGCCAGGGTCAGGAAAAGAGACATTAGAGAAAAGAAGCAAGCGGGCTTGGTGCGGTGGCTCATGCCTGTAATCCCAGCACTTTGGGAGGCCGAGGCAGATGGATCACCTGAGGTCAGGAGTTCGAGACCAGCCTGGCCAACATGGTGAAACGCCATCTCTACTAATGATACAAAAATTAGCCAGGCATGCTGGTGGGCACCTGTAGTCCCAGCTACTTGGGGTACTGAGGCAAGAGAATTGCTTGAACCCAGGAGGCGGAGGTTGCAGTGAGCTAAGATCGCACCACTGCACTCCAGCCTGGGTGACAAGAGCAAGACTCCACCTCAAAAAAAAAAAAAAAAAAAAAAAAGCAAGCGGAGAAAGGAGACTGACTCTCAGGCTGGAGAGAGGAAGCGAGCCCTGGGCAGACCAGGACATGGAGGCCAGCTCAGGATAGTGGGCCCTGCCACAAAGTAACAGGAAGGCCATGCAGGCAAGGGCACAGCATCAAGCCCCTTACATCTCTGTAGAGAGTTCCTGTGTTCCCTGCAGAGTCAACAGTCGGCAGAGGCCAGGAGAGGGGACAAGAGTGGACTCGTCAGAGGTGATGCAGAAGGGCCCCAGGGATCTGGGATGGCTCGTGGGAGGAGGGCAAGTGCCTGAGTGGGGCAGGAGAAGCCGCAGGGGCAATGAAATCAAACTCTGTTCACCCAGGTGCTCTCATGTTTGGGCCCCATTCTCACGAATTTTACTTTTCAAAGCATGCTTAGGAGAGTCTCAGGCCAAGGTTAGAGTAACAGTTGAAGAGCTCAGAGCAGCGGGGACTGCCTGCATCTGACAGAGGATCAGGAGGGAGAAAGCTCATCACTGTCCCAGACCAGGCGATCACAACATCCTCTATCTTCCCAAGGAAGCTGCTGGGAAGTGCCAGCCAAAGCACTTCTGATTTTGGAGTGATCTCTTGCCTCCTTCTGCAGCCTGCCTTCTAAGAGCCTGCTAATGAGCAAAGGAAGCTAGAAGGCACCCGCGAGAAGTGGGAGCAGAAGCGGGGGATCTGCTTTATCCACAAACAAATTGGCCCTTGAATACTTGGGAGTGGGGCGTGTGGGTGGTGAGTGGCAGGGAATGAGGTCCCGACATGATTTCCTTCCTCCAACACTGTGCAGCCATCATCCCCAATCCCCAAGGACTGACATAAACTTGTTGAATCCTTCCCAAAGCTGCTGTGATGGAGAAGGGAACAGAGACCCATGTAACTCCAACTTGTCCTGGTTTGCTAAGGGCCACTGACCCTCCCAAAGGTGGAGGTTCAGGAGGCAGGAGTGAAAGGCCCCACTGTCCTTCCATTAACCATTCTCCCACCATGTCGGTACAAGGGAGTAACACTGAGGGTGGCCTAGACAGGTAAGTCTGAAGAACCCCATTTCTCATCTTTCTGGCCCCCTGAACTCCATTTCTCCTAAAGGGAAAAGGCCATGTGCACAAAAGGGATAAAATAACCAGAGACCCATACTCCTTGCTCTGCTTCCTGTCATTCTCAGCCAGATTTTAAATCACCTCTCCTAAGGTAAAAGCAGTGTCTCCACCAAGAAGGTCGCTCAAGGTCTCAGGAACTTGCAAGGTTTTCCTGCATGACCCTGACTTGCACACGCAGGCCACATCAACATCCACACATGCTTCAGGCAGTGCAGCAGACTGGGAGGTGGTGAGGTTTTCTCTGGTTTTACCTGCAGTGGCTGATAGGGGAGGTCTTTCTCTGGCTGTGACAAGAAGCTGGGAGAAGCCAGGGGACAAGCGTTCTCCACTCTTCCCCAGATGTCCACTACATGTTGGCAATGCCAGACTGTCTCTCTAGTCATCCCACAGGACCAGTGCAAGGCACAGGAGTGAAGACACGGGCCTGTCCGCATGAAGGAGGAAGGAATTGCTGTGAACCTAGGGCTTATTCCATGCCAGTCCCGTCTCTAAAACTCCTGACAGTCCAGTGGGTGAGAGACTTGCACACACCCCAGTTTGTAATCATAACACAAGTATTTTCTCCTTTTTTTCCTTTTTTTGAGATGGAGTTTCACTCTTGTTGCCCAGGCTGGAGTGCAAGGTGCAATTTCAGTTCAGTGCAACCTCCGCCTCCTGGGTTCAAGCAATTCTCCTGCCTCAGCCTCCTGAGTACTGGAATTACAGGCACCCACCACCACGCCCAGCTAATTTGTATTTTTTCATAAGAGTATGCAGCGAGCTCTGAGAGTGCAGAGAAAGCATGCCACACACTGGAGAGGGAGAGCTAGAGAGTGAGACAGCAGGGGAGCTGAGGGTGAATGGCTGCTGTTAGAAGCCCTGGAGACAGCCTGAGGTCAGAGCCCAGCCCCACTCCTGGCTGTGTGATCTTGAGCAGGGCTGTTAACTTCACTAGGACTTGGTTTCGGTTTCTCATAGAGAATAGGTACAGTGTGAATTAAATATATATAGCTTGAATAAAGTGCCCAGCTTGTGGGTAGCTGCTGCCATCATCATCACCATCACCATCATCACCATCACCATCATCATCATCATCATCATCATCATCATCATCATCATCATCATCTCAGGCACAGGGGCTTTAAGGACAACATGCCCAGTTTAAGAAGAACACAACTCTCTTCATTTATAGCGCCCCTCCATCAGTGAGTAGACGCTTGGGATTTGTGGCTAATTTTTAAGCTGCAAAACAGACATCTCTTTAGAATTCATAATATTCAATGAGCTTCTAAAAATGACAGTACAAACAAGAGCCATCTTCCAATGGTTAAGTGAGCAAGTGTCTTTGCCCAGCATGCCGCATGGGGTTTAACAAACATTAACTGGCTAACTGGTGATCACTGCCTAGCCCTCAAAACAATGAATGAACACACTGTGAGCCAAAAATTAAACAATAAACATATCACAGGTTTATGGTACAATGGAGTTGTTCTTAACCTACATAATTCAATTTTCTCTTTCCTGTTTCTCACGAACTTAGTCTTTTTTGTATGAGAAAAAGTGGATGCGAACAGGTTATTTACTTGGAAACACTGACAGGCTGCGTCTGACCATGGCGCTGTCCTACTCATTGTAACCCCCTGGAAATCCGATCTGTATTGACTTAAAAAATAGAAGAGGGAGCAGTCAAGTAAGCTTAATCTTTTCAAATAATGAAGATTTTATCTATGCTAACACAGCCTCTCCAGTTCCACTTGGTTTGGCACTTAACTCTGCATTAAGACTTTCCTAATACGATAATGATAATACCATCTTTTCCGTCATTATCTCGTGGTTGCAGAAACATCCACCCAATGCCGAGTCAGGTTTTTACGTCCAATGGCCCCTGCATTCCTGCCTGAGCCCTGCGGGAAACAGAGCCGCTGCAGCTGCCAGCGTTTATTTACACACATTCCTGCCTCAAATTGAATTAATGAGCATAATTGAACTCAGGCGAGTCCTTCCAGGCTCTTTTTTCTCTTTGCCCCAGTGGTCAGCCTGCTTTCCCCTCACACCCTCCCATGGCGTCCTTACTGAAATGGACTCAGGCACTCTGGTGGCATGGCGTATCACCCAGGACCTCTCTGCCTTTTAGGTTCTTTGAATTACCTGGGGCTTAGTTAAAATGTAGACTCTAGTCCAGTAGTTCTGGGCTGGGGCCTGAGACTCAGCATTTCTACAAGCCCTCTGATGAGGCTGATGTTGCTGCCTTGGGGACCACACTTTGAGTAGCAGGGGTTACTGAGGGAAACACCTGCAGTGAATAGAGCAAGCAATGTCCCTAAAGAGTACCCACAGGCAAATGGTGACTTCTGGCTTTCTTATCAAGCTGTAAGGTATATCAAGAGCATCTATTCTCTCTCTCTCTTTCTCTCTCTCTCTCTCTTTCTCTCTCTCTCTCTCCATGGAGGACACGTTTACCTAGTCTATCCTTTTTGTATACATAACGAACATTAAAAAATAAAGCCACAAGTCCTATTAACTCTCAAGCACAGTCCTACACAAATTCCAAAGCCAAGGAGCTAAAGAAAGTGTGGAATGGGAATGCTGGGACCCTTAACTTTTACAGAAAAAGCAAAAGCAACCCCACATGAGAAACTTCAGCATGGATGTGGTTAGATGCAGGAGGTCTGTTTATTGCATTGGGCAGACCAATGAGGAATTTCCTGCATGTTATGCCAAAGTCAGAGTGCAAGCAGCTTTCTCTGAAGTCTGTGCAAGAAACCAGCAGATCTCCTGTGTATTAACACATTGTATAGCTTTGCTAGTTACCCCTGGCAAAAATCCTTCCACATTCTACCAAGTGTGGAAAAGGATTAAAAGGAGGGCAGGGAGAAAAAAAAATGCCCCCCAAACAAAAGAAAGTAAATTAATATATTTGAAAACCAGTGTCAAGGTGTTGAATTTTGTTCTTCCTGGATACGAATACATGTAATACCTCCAGCAATAAATATCCTTAACCTTGGACCTGAAACTGTTTGCCCAGGTCTACACAAACTCAATCTTTGGCTGCTTCAACAGAGAAAGGCTTTCATGCTGAATTTTGCACAGAAAAGTAGATTTGGGGAATTTTTCTGAGGAAAGATTGAATTTATCATGAAACATATTTCATCAAGAAACTGGTAAAATGAGCCACCTTTTTACCCAAACCACAAAGACTGCAAATTCCTTTGCTAGAAAAGTTGGCTGCTTCTGTTGAAAAGATTAACTTATGCTGAATAGCTTTGGGGGCATGAAGGGATAGGTGAGGTTGCCTTTTTCATTTAGGGGAACGTAACTTGTAACAATAAATAGTAGCTCCTGGGAATGGAAAAATGGTAGCTTATCAATACCATTTCCTTATTGTAAAGGTTCTTCCAGCAGATTTATATGAACTGACCTGTGTTCTAGAAAGAAGTTCACAATGCCTAAATTCTGCTGCAAAAACAAAAGTCATCTGGAACCTTTCAATACCCCTGAGGCCTGTCAGGATTATGGCTGGAGAGCAACTTTCCTTGCTTGTAATAACTGATTTACTTAAGTGTGAAACTACCAGTGCCTTCATTAATAAAATGACATAATACTAATCACATTTTTCCCCTCTTCCTTTTTTTTTTTTTTTTTTGTTGTTCCTGACTGGACAGTATCCTGTGAAAACAAAGAAATTACACTTTTTAATCTGATGGGACATGTGGCTACTTCACAAAAAGCAAAGTTTGCCAAGAGATAGCCATCTATGGATTAGCCGCTGGATTTTCTTGGAAGCGTGAGGGAAAGGAAAATTGTTATTCAAATTGCTTTAGACACTGACGAATTATGTATGATTACATGTAGTCAATTTCTGATCTTAGGATTATCTGATAACTGATTATTCCTTGCTGTCACTGTGCCCAAAACAGTACCCCATGGACAGGCCACTCCATGGACAGGCCTACGCCGCTGTGGCTTTGTCTAGGAGGCCACCTCTTCTTCACCACCTACCTTTTTAAAGTGTATCAAGCTCAGGTCTGCCTTATTTTTCTCACGGGAAAAACTCTTGCTTTGTCTGTGTGCATTACTGAATTTTCAAAAAAGTTTAATTTCTTAAACTTAATCAATTATCGATTGAGTTAGGCAAATATGTCTTCTCACTGGGAGAAGATATTCAAGAAAAAGTCTAGGATTTTCCTCCTAACTCTTTCCCCTATGGAAGCCAAATGAAAAAGACATTTTCCTCCTATTATTTGCAGGAGAATGTGGGTATCGCCAGGACTGTCCTAAAACACATTTGGGGCTGTTTGCATAAATCTGCTTGAAGAACCACTGCAGAAAGGAAACAGCTGGTGCACAGTGGGAGACCTGGGCTTGTCCATCAGATGCGCCTGCCAGCACTGGCCACCTCAAAGATTACTTGGAGGGTGGAGTCCAGAATCCATCGCCAGCAGAGGTGCACATCCAGTGGTGGCAGTGCTAGGGTTGGGTCTTGATCAGGTGGTCCGAAGTAGCCTCCTTGGCTTCTACCAGCTTTCTCAGCCTGGTTCTTCGGCTTTTTCATATATTCTATGGATTGCATGATAACTGTCTATGCATTCTTTTTCTGTTTATTAAGTAACGTCCATTTTTTTCCTTCATTGTAACCAAAGATCCTGGCTGGCATATTTAATAAAGTTTAGCATGTTTAGGTTACAGCCCTGAACTTCTAAGGTCAAGGCCAGTGGCCAAGAGAGCCTCCTGCTGTCCCTCTCAGTAGCCACCTTCAATTAGTGACACCACTGGAGATATTGTCCCAGGTGCTCGATAAAGCATTTCTCAAAAAGAGTCACTAGCAGAGAATGAGAGTTTAAGATACGCTTTTGTGGGAATAAACCACAACAAAAGAAGATACACAAAGTCCTGATTCTTTGAGTTGACTTAAATTCTTGTCCTCAGAGCCAAATGCCCTCTGCTCTCCTGCCCCGTCCACATGCCCCATAGACCAAGTATGTGTGCACATGGCTTGTGCCCTCTGGGAGCAAATCGCATGGTGATCTGCAAGGAGACCGGTGGTAGAATGCTATAAATGCTGGGACACACAAACGACACAGCTGCAGGAGTGAACACTCATGACCCTGCTCTGGATGTGAGGGATGAGGGAGAGAGAGTGGGAAGGCAGCTGATGGTTTTAAGCTCCTGTGCCTGGGGAAGTGGTGATGGACGTGAGTGGAGACAGAGTGAGTGGAAGGTGCTGGGGCGATGGGAAGGCAGGAACTGTGCTTCAGAGAGTTGAGAGCCTGAGGTACTGGTTGTCAGAGGCGTTTGAACCACAGCAACTCCATCTTGAATAGGGGCTGGGTAAAATGAAGCTGAGACCTACTGGGCTTGCATTCCCAGACAATTAAGGCATTCTAAGTCACAGGATGAGATACAAGGTTGGCACAAAATACAGGTCATAAAGACCTTGCTGATAAAACAGGTTGCAATAAAGAAGCCAGCCAAAACCCACCAAACCAAGATGGTGACAGGTACGACCTCTGTTCATTCTCACTGCTACACTCCCACCAGCTCTGCCTATGGAATAGTCATTCTTTTATTCCTCTACTTTCTTAAAAAACTTGCTTTCACTTTACTCTATGGACTCGCCCTGAATTCTTTCTTGTGCAAGATCCAAGAACCCTCTCTTGGGTCTGGATCGGGACCTCTTTCCTGTAACACTGGGAGGCCAATGTGTGTGGATGACATGGAATTACTCAAAATGATCTAGGTTCATTTGTTTCGACATACCTTATAAAGCAAGTCACAGGGTTGTCTGAAGGAGCCTAACTGGCGGTGACTGAGAAGGGGGCTCCTGTGGTTTCTCTTCTGGCCCTCCCCTCCTTCTTGTCTTCCATTCCTTAGACACTTCCCGAGTTGTCTTCTTCACGCTACAGAACATGCTGTCCTCAAAAAGTTTCTCATCTAAAGGGCGTAAGTGAACCCCCATTCTTCTCTAGAGCTGAGTGGAAGTGAGGGGTTAAACTGATAACATTTTGTTTACAATCCATTTAGCAAACTAGTTATTTTCTTGGGCAATCTTCTGAGTCTGACATACACATATCAGGTCTTTGAGGGTTCTCTGTATACACAGGTGACACTGTTAGGAAGTCGCTGGAAATGCAGCATGTTCCCTTTGTCAGCAATTGAAAGCACTAAGTATTGTCCTTAATGAACACAGCTACTTTCCTTGACATGTCTGAAGGGCTTGGGGGCTTATACAATGGCTTTAGAATTAACTGCAATGGTGATTTTGGCAGTAAACAGCTTAAGAGGAGTCTCTAGGCAAAAATTGGGAAAGATAAACTAAACAGACACTTATGCCACATGGCTAGTATGAAAGTTTAGAAAGGCACTTGCTCTAAGGAACATGGGAGGAGACACCCTTAAGTAACTACTACTGAACTGGAAACAGAATTGTGGGGTCGGGGGGAGGACCAGGTCGGTGCCAAGGACATCAAAAGGAAAGACAACTAAGAACTAACTTAAAGAAGGCAAGAGACATACAACACGAATGAATATAAACAACTCAATGAAACAAAGTAAAACAACATGGAGAAGTCACAAAAAATACAGCTTCAAACATCGCTTTATGAGTCAGATGTTCCATGATTGGAGCTTTAAGTGTTGGAAGCTCATTTCACCCTATCGAATTTTTAAAAACAAAGAGGTGAGCTCTGTAGACCATCTGGACCCAAACTGTAACTTTCTGGACAACTCCTAACTCTAGCATAGTGATACTGAAGAATAAAGAGAATTACTTTCCTTTTTTAAAAAAAGTTTTTGGGGGAGAAAGTGGCCTAAAATGGCATCTGGTAGGTGGCAATCTGTCACTAAGATGACCTATGTCAGAAGAACTACATAAAAGCTTGAATCAAATTTACTTTCATATCATGTATGAGAATATTACTTCATTAGGTTTATTCCACTAAGTTTGAACCACTGAAAACATTGAGGGGAAAAAAGGATTAGTTTTTTTTTTTAAATAAAAATAAATCCCCAAGTAGACAAGTTTGTTAATTATTTAAAGTTGCTTCTTGATTTTATATTTCCTGTTCGAAACAATTTCAGCAATAATGAGCTATTTTCCAAAATCATGCTCATCTTAGATTTTAAAATCTCACTTAGAATCAATTAGTTTATATTATAGAAAACTATTACAATGCCCCAATGCAATATTTAATTCTATTTGAATAGTGGAAAAATTCTTTCTTTCTTTACATTCCAGACAAAGGCTTATTCCTTTTTCTTATTAAGGATTCATTTTAAACGATTTAGCATTCAGAAAAAGAGCACAAAATAAAATTCATATGTTGATATTCCCTCCATTTCCTTTTATTTCTAAGAATTACTTTTCCCACATTAATCATAAAAAGGCAAAATTCCGAGTTACTATGTTAAAGGATCTTTTTTCATGGTCAGTCTTACTCTGTTTTGATGCCATACGTAGTAAAGTTTCTCAACAGGCCTGTAATTTCCTGCGGTGAAATTTTTAAAGCTTCTCCTTCCAGGTTTCATGGCTCCACCTGGCCTTCCCCATCACAGTCAGGCTCCTCGTCCTCCCGTTATCAATCACTGTTTCCTCCCTTGCTCTCCTTTCCCCAGTTCTGCTTCTTTACTGCACTCACAGCCACTTTACTCTCTGCTTTTCCTTACTCTTTCCTTTAATTAAGATGCTGTGCTGGGGATAGACTTTCCAAATCCTAAACTTTTCTTCTCTTGTAATACAGCTTTACTTGCCACTGAAATCCTACGCCTCAACTGAGCTGGCAGGGCCAGATCCACCCTTCACTTTCAGCCTCTTCCAAGGCAGCGGGCCTTGGAGCACCCACCCCCTGATCTGCTGAGGAACAATGCCCCAGAGAAGTTCTATTTCTTCCGTGAAATCATCCCAGATTTATTGGAGGCTGGCTGCTATCTATGCGTCACATTTTTCTCAACCAAAACCTGTCTCCAACTACACGCTTATATTTATGACTTTGGAAATGGCAGTCCCTTGAACATCATAATGACAATGCTGCCCAACCATGTGTTGGTTTAGGGTACATAAACTTCTGCTAGTGCCATCTGTGGCCCACTGTCTTCCTCAGTTTTAATCTCTTATCATAAAACTATCGGAGAATGATTAGCGTAGTACTTCCTGGAATTAGGTGCTCAAAAATACCCATCTTAATTTCATTTATGCCTCTCCTTTAATATCATCTCCAAAACAAACATTTTCCATGAAGTAATTAAGTGTGACTATTAACTGTTTCCAAACGCCAATATCAATGAATATCATGCCACAGACATCACCTATGTGGCTAAAACAGTTGGGCTGAAATTTTAAATGGAAGTGTCTATCATTCTTTGGGTGAAAAAAATATATGGTTTGTGGTACTGACTTTTTGCACACACTTCTCTTAAGAAAAATGCTAAATTCATTAATCTATTAATCACTTCTTAGGTGCAGATCCTGTGTGTAATTTATACAATTATAATTGTATAAATGCTGAAATACTTGGCATCTGTTTGTGTTAATGCAGCAAACAGATACCAGGCACTAACTGCACAGAGCCAACTACAGACCCACCCAATTGTACACGAGAGGTTGTTCAATGTTATGAATTCCTTCATTTAAATATTTACTGAATACCAAAAAAAGATGGGTACTAGGTACTAAGGATATATTTGAGAATATTCACTTCACTCACAGAGCTTCCAGTTTACAGAGAGAAGCTGATATGAATCAGTAAATCACACAAACGTACATTTTTAAAATTGTGATAAAAACTTAAGATTTACTATCTTAGCCATTTTAAGGAAAGTTCAGTATGGTTAACCGAAGTCACACTGTTGTGCAACGGCTCTCTAAAACGTTTTCATGTGGCAAAACTGCAACTCTGTGTCTATTAAACAGCAGCTCTTCATTTCCCCTCCCCCAGCCCCGGCAACTGCCATGGCACTTCCTGTCTCTACGAGTACTCACTATATACAAGCAGAACCATAGAGTATTTGCCTTTTGTGACTGGCTTATTCACTTTGCATAATGTCCTCAATTCTTAATTAACCATGTTAGAATATTTCACTTTACATAATGTCCTCAACTTTAACCATGTTGTAGAATGGTGACAGGATTTCCTTCTTTTGTGAGGTTGAATAACATCCCATTGTGTGTATATATTGTATTTTGTTCATCCATGTATCTTCTAACGGGCATTTGAATTGTGTGTCTACCTCCTGTTTTGAATAACGCTGTTATAAATATGAGTGTGCAATTATCTTTTTGAGGCCCTGTTTTCAATCCTTTTGGGTATATACCCAGAAGTGGGGTAACCAAATTATATGGTAGTTCTATTTTTAATTTCTTGAGCCACCTCCGTGCTGTTTTCCATATTAGCTGCACCATTTTGCACTTCCATTGACAGGTCACAAGCGTTTCGATCTCTCCACATCCTCACCAACTACTTATTTTCTGTTTTCTGTTCTTGTGTTTCTAAGAGTGGCCATCCCAATGGGTGTGAGATGACACCTCATACATTAGTATGTAGAGTTTTAGTTGTGGTGAGTATTATACAACAAGCGAAAGGTAAACTGTGTTAAGAGAACATACAATAGGAGCACGTAGGTCCAGGATGTGAGGAAAGGCTTCCCTTGGGAAGTGATCAAGCATCTGAGATCTAAACATCGTGTAAGCATTAACTTGGTAGGAGGCGGAGACCAGTGCAGTCAGGAAGTGAGAGGAGCAGGCACAAACGCCCTGTAGGAGCTCGCTCCTCACACCAGGAAGTGGGAAGCCACCAGTGTGGATGAGGTGAGGGAGAGCATAAAGGGAGCAGTGGTAAGCCTCGCAGGGCCTCAGGGGCCAGGTAAATGTCCCCAGGCTTTATCCTGAGGGCAACAGGAAGCCAGGGAACAATGACATCAGACTTACATTTGGCAAGATCACTCTGGCTCCGGTAGAGGAATGGGTCCAGGCAGATCAGATGCTAAGAACTAGTCATGAGACTACTGCAATTGTCCACGCAAGAAATGATGCTGCGCAAACTAACTGGATGGGATGAAACTGGGTGGAAACAGATATATTTAAGAGATACTTATGGGGTAAAGGCTGGGTGCGGTGGCTCACGCCTGTAATCCCAGCACTTTGGGAGGCTGATGGGGGTGGATCATGAGGTCAGGAGATCAACAACATCCTGGCTAACACGGTGAAACTAAATATACAAAAAATTAGCCAGGTGTGGTGGTGGGCGCCTGTAGTCCCAGCTACTCGGGAGGCTGAGGCAGGAGAATGGTGTGAACCTGGGAGGCGGAGCTTGCAGTGAGCTGAGATTGCGCCACTGCACTCCAGCCTGGGTGACAGAGCGAGACTCCATCTCAAAAAAAAAAAAAAAAGAGATACTTAGGGGGTAAAAATAACAGAGCCTGGATTCATCATAATAAGAGGGGAGAGGACTGAAACTCAAAAAGGACACAAAGGTGAGAGGTTCCCACAATCTTAGACATTAAATAATAATCTTGCTTAGAAATTGTCACTTACATAATAAAGGAACCATTTAGAAGGAACAGACCTAACCTATTTTCAGTGGCACGGATTCTTTTTGCTCAGCTGGTTGCAGTGTGACACAAGTATGACCCAAGTCGTGACCTCTTCCTTCCAACATTCAGGAGAAAATGATTAGCCAACATTGTGGAAAAATGACTTGAGTCAGATCCACACTTTATAAATCTTGATTTATAAACTCCACTTAAAGCAATTAATAAGCCCATAGATTAAGAGCTCAGTTGTCCCCAAGTTTTATTTTTAGGGAAAGTCTTGCCTAAGAGCCAAAACCCTTTCAATGATGAGTGACTAAAATAGAAGTCAGGCAGTGCACACCCCAAGTGTGTGGGAGGAACCTGGAGGATCTGGGCTGAGGCTGAGTTTCCTACCTCTTGATCTTGCCTGCACTAAATTTAGCGTTGGGGAGTGAATCTGCATTTCCAGATCTGCGTTGGTCAAGAGCTGTGCTGTCCAACACAGCAGCCACTGGCCAGATGCTACTGAGTACTTGAAATACGTCTAGCCTGGCTTAAGATGTGCGGTAGTTACAACACACACACTGGACTTCAGAGATTTAGTACAAAAAAAAAAAGGAACACAAACTATTTCACTAACTTCTTTTTATGTTGGCTACATCTCAAAGTGATAATATTTTGGAAATATTGAGCTAAATAAAATATATCAATAAAATGAATTTCTTTTTGGTCTTTTAATAGGGCCACTAGAAAATGTAAAATTATACATAAGTCTCCCATTATATTTCTATTGGACAGCACTGCTCAGGACTATTGGACTCTAAGCCAGTTAGAATTGTTGGCTGCCAAGAGAAAGAGGCCTCGCTTAGAAAAGCTCCTATTTCCTTCCCTCTCTATTTCAAACAATTCGCTTCTACCCAACGCTGTCTTCTTTTCCTTGGGTAAAGAAGCTGGGGGAAGGACATACTGAAGTCTATAAAAAGTAGACAAAGTCCCTTCCTACTCCAACTTGGTAGATGCATGGTAGGAAAATGGAACCAACTGTGTTTCTGCTATAGAACGACAATATCTAACAGGTCAGAGATGGCTCTAGCTTCAGGCAGAGCTGGATCCAGGGGTGTGCTCAATGCTGATGGCTCTCAGTGCACCCTTCCTCTGTGCTCAATTCATCCTCAGCCAGCCACCTTCTGCAGGGTGTCCTAGCCGCTCCAGGCTGACACCGTCCTCCTATAAGAGACCCAGCAGCAAAAGAGCTCCATCCCCCAATTAGTTTCTGTAAAAAATCCTTGAACTGTCTCTAGGTGATACTCCAGCCTGGGGCACCATGTGCATTCCTGAATCAACTGCCATGGTCAGTGAGGCAGAGGACCCGGCTGACCAGTTTGGGTCACAGATCCAGACCCTAGAGGTGGCAAAGAGGCAGAAGCAGCACCATTTGAATGCGCATTCCGAAAGAGGGCGGGGGGGTGAGGGGAATGGACGCAGGGCAGGCGGAAGATGGCAAGATGTCACTGTACCCTGCATGAGAGATGTCTTTGCTCCTGCTGAGCAAAGTGGATAGGGTTTGTCTTCAGAGCACAGTAGAAAGCACTCTGCACATTTAAATATGCCTGTCTTTCAGTTTCCATCCTGCATTGAAATCAGGTTTCAGTCACTAAAAAAGTATTGCGAATCGAAGTATACATACAAGCACAGACACAAGCGACCTAGATTTCTCTTTCTTGTCTTTAGCCAAAGGAATGCCAACACTTATGACAGCTGGCTAATCAAAGTTCAGAAAGCATCCAATTTACTCAGTGGATGCTTCGATATGTTACAATGATGATGTAAGCAATAGTCACTGAAAATATCCCCTACTTTTAAGTCTGTTCAGTATTTTGGGCCTCTCAGATACTGTCCACAATAGCTTTTGCATCATCATTTATATGAAACAGAAACTTCTTGGTACATGCCTAATAGCATGCTATGCTTCTCTTTTCTCTCTTCTCTAACCTACCGTGGTCATGTTTTCTTGCATAACCGGACTTGGTGGCCTTTCTCTGGCACTTTTATACCTTTTAAATTGGATAAACCTGAAGATCCCTGCCATCTCTGGGTGGGGGAACTGTGATGATGATAACCTCCAGTCATCAGACAAGGCCACCTCCCTCTGAAGATGTTGGAGAAGAAAACCCCTGTGCAGACTCTTAATAAGAGTGGCCCACATACACATTTCCACATGTTTCAAGAAAGGAAAAGTTCAAAACCACATCAGACGTACACTGTGACCACTGAGCATAAATATTACAAACAAACAAAATCAGCATGTAATGTGTACTTTAATTTGCTGACAGATATTTTAAAAATTAACATCAGAATGAATGACAAATGCCAACACCACAACAAAACCTCTGAAGAAAAAAAAAAACCACTCAATCAAAGCCGCGGGGCCTCTAATTAACACACAGCATCCTTGAAATGAGAGGCCAAAAAGAAAATAAACTGCCAAAATGGAGGAAATTGTATACGGGGGAAGGGAGGACAAGGACTAAAAAAATGAGGGCTTTCTATAATGAACGTAAAAAATAAATCCTGTTGTTTGAAACCTGCTTTACTTTAAAAAAGATTGGGCTCGTGGACAGAAGATTGCAGCTCAAACACAAAGTCTGCTTATTCCTTCTAACTCAACATTCATATTTTAAAAATTCTATTGCATTGCGGGGTAAGTCACTTCAGATAAAATTTATTAAAAGCAAAACGTTAAGGAGAATTGAGCAACATTTCTCAAACACCTGGTTCATCATCACTGTAGCTGCTTTCCATAGTCACAAAGTGAGAAGACCCAGCTTGGAGTCCAACCGACTCCAGAAGAATCCCAGCCACTCTACTCCCTGCCTGGTCAAGAGACTGATCCTTTCTCTCTAAGCCTCAGTTTCCTCATGTGGTTGCAGATTACTGAATGAGCCAATGCTTACTTCATTACACATGTAACTGCATATATTAAACATATTTTCATGAATATGTTTTGTCTGATATGTAGTAATTGTGATATGGAAGGGAAGTGCTGGGAAGGGAAGGGAGTGGTCCCTTTAAATGATACAGAATGGGGGAAGGGCATGGTCCCTGGCTAGGGCTCCACCCCCAGGCCTGTGTCCAGGGACCTAGGTGAGGACAGGCATTTTTATTTTCCTGCCCAAATGTTGCATTTCCCAAAACCACCCTGACCTGCCACGCCCCTATCCTGTGCCTATACAAAAATCGAGACCCTAGCCAGCAGACACAGAGGTGGCTGGACGTTGAGAGAAACACATCAGCAGAGGAACACTGGAAAGCCAGATGTCTAGAGGAATGCACGGACAGGCACCCGCGCGCCGTCAGGCCACCTATCGCCAGAATGACACAGAGTTTGGCCAGAACAATTGGAGGACAGCCGGGCTGTCAAGTGGCTCAACTCCAGGGAAAAGTCATCTCCCTTCTGGCTCCCCCATCTGCTGAGAGATACTTCCACTCAATAACACCTTGCACTCATTCTCCAAGCCCACGTGTGATCTGATTCTTCCGGTAAACCAAGGCAAGAACCTGGGATACACAAAGCCCTCTGTCCTTGTGACAAAGTAGAGGGTCTAACTGAGCTGGTTTACACAAGCTGCCTACGGACAGCTAAACTGAAAGAGTACCCTGTAACACATGCCCACTGGGGTTCAGGAGCTGTAAACATTCACCCCTAGACACTACCGTGGGGTCAGAACCCCACAGCCTGCCCATCTGTATGCTCCCCTAGAGGTCTGAGCAGCGGGGCGCTGAAGAAGCGAGCCACTCCCCTCTCACACGCCCTGCCAGGGGGACAAGAGAACTTTTCTCATCTCAATTGTTCAATAAACATTACCTACTGTTACTGACATGTCTTATTTTCCTTAATTTCCCTATTAAATCCTAAGATAGATATTATCTCCTTCATATACCTGAAAAACAAGCTCAGAAATAACGCAAGTATGGATATTACAGACAATAGAATTAGCTTCATAAATGTCTTAGGCATTAGCTTAATTTAGTTCAAATCCTACTTTCACAGTTACAATTTGCACTAAATAAGAAAGAAATCGGATTCGGGTCACTTTAATCCAGGAGGATTCCAGAGAATCCAGAGGCAATTAGGATAACGGGAGTTCTGTTCCCATCACCGCCTGTAGAAAGAATCTGAAACCACTTTAAGGAGCTTCCAACTTAAAAAACTTTCTCCTTTGTTTTTAAGCAGGAGGAGAAAAACAAAAACAAGTTGGCATTATGTGTAACCATGACAAAAGCCAATTCTGACAGAACTGTTGTCTGATGGATGCCTGAGTTTTCTGATTTTAGAATCCAAATATTTACAGGCTGTGAGAACTCACTTAGCTAGCACTGCTCAACTGAATGTTTCTGATTTTTCTTTATTACCAATTAAAAGGTTTTTTTTTTTTTTTTTTTTTTTTTGAGACGGAGTCTCGCTGTGTCGCCCAGGCTGGAGTGCAGTGGCGCGATCTCGGCTCACTGCAAGCTCCGCCTCCTGGGTTCATGCCATTCACCTGCCTCAGCCTTCCGAGTAGCTGGGACTACAGGCGCCCGCCACCATGCCTGGATAATTTTTTCTATTTTTAGTAGAGACGGGGTTTCACTGTGTTAGCCAGAGTGGTCTCTATCTCCTGAACTTGTGATCCGCCCACCCAGGCCTCCCAAAGTGCTTTTGTTGTTGTTGCTATAGTTTTGTTTTTGGTTCTAGGGATTGCCTCAGAAAGGGACTGGTGTTGGGAGCCTTCTAGGAAGGAAATGCACACGGATGGGGGACCCTGGGGTGCAGGCGACAACAGTCATAGGTGCAGCAGAAGCCAGGAAGTCGGTACTGTCTTAACTTCGCTCATTGTGCTTTGCATTCAGATGAGAATGTCATCCAGAAACACAGTGTGTTACTTCTTGCAAATGAGTCTCACTATTCCACAAAATGTATGAGTTGAAAAGCCAGAATGTGAATTGGACTTCAATGAATAATTGGGCCAATTTCAATACTCAAGAAAACTGTACAAAAAGATGTCACGATGTTATTCCAAACCGAAAGGTGAATCTCTGCTGATAGGACTTCCTCCTTGACGAGGCTGACCGCTCCTCACCAGCCATGCCACGGGTTTCTAAAATACGATACTTGAGGAAAACTGGACCGAGTCTATTCAATATTGCATTAAAGATTAATTCCAGTAACCTTAAGATATGCTCATTCAGTGTTTTCTGGAATGTTATCTAAAAAACTAATAATTGCAGTGCTAAAGTAATTTTTACCAGCTCCTTAAACCAATCTGTAACTTTGAGTATAATAAAACAGTTTAAATATGCTAAAGTCCTAAGCTTGTTTTTAACAAGCGTTTATTTCCTTGGCTGAGGAAGCTAAGGGAACATCCCAACACCCGCACTTGGGTGAAGAGAGGATTCCTTGGCCGGGGCTACCCACAAGGCCGGGCAGCACACAGGAAATTCTCACTGAGCGCCCCACCTGGGATGGGCTTCGAGGCTGGCTTCATACAGTGTCTCAACAATTGCATAGAGACTTTTGGAGTCCTTTACTTGTCAAATAAAAAGTAATAAAACAATAAAAAAAAGACACTTTTGTTTTTGTTTGTCTTTTTGTCTTCCTAGTCTATCTTTCAGGCTATAGTAGGATTCTGAGGGTGGTTTTCCTCCTGTGGCTGACCCATTCCCAGCATCACAGCAGCACCCACATGGTTCAGATGGGAAAGCCAGCTCTTTCATGGATTTGTTTTAGGAGCAAACTCGCTGCTATCCTGGAAGCCCCCAGCAAGTGTCTCCCTGTGTCTCCTTCAGGCTTCCTGACCCGCTCACTGTGGCAGGGGGGATGGGATGAAGCTTTCACCTGGACTTAGGGGTGGAAGTCACAGCACATCAGTGAATACACACTAGGCACCCTTAGGAAAGGGTGAAGGAGGATGGATGTGGGACAACCAAACATGCCCCACACAGACCTTAACCTGAAAACAAGTCCTCTCCTGACCCTCGGGTGGATTCCTACCGTTAAGCTCCCATCCTCCACAGACATCCTGGAATGGTAGCTGAGCAAAGATGGCCACCTACTTGACATCACCCCAACTTCTCAGCTTACCTCCTAGAGCACATACAACTGGTAAACAAACATCAGTCTTTGCAAATTTCACATGGAACATACCTAGGCCTGCTACAAATCCAGGGGAGACAATTGGAGAAGATGAGGAATTAATCACTGATTCACTGATGACAGAACCATTCCTCCCTCTGTTTACTTACAGTCCACTGGGATTTGCATTGTGTGTACACAAGTGTGTACATAAAACTCAAGAGTAAACCCATTCCTGTATTTAGAATGAAAAAAAAAAAAAAAAAGCCTGTCCCAGTCCAGAAACTGGCTGGAGTCAGGAGCTTGTCACTGCAGGCAGAGTTGCAGATTGTATGCTTTGAAGTCAAAAGGTTTTCTCCCCTCTCTTACTAGCAATGAAAAGAACTTTAAAGGAAAAGCAGCAAAAGTTAGTGAGGAGAATTTTTCCATGGTTAACGATTTCATGTCTCGTGGTGTAATTCCCTACTTTGAAAGCTAGCTGCCCTTACGGTGGTCACCGTCACCAGCTGGCATCCTACGTAACCACTTAACATGAGCAATCACTCAGCTGTATCTTCAGTGTACCATCTTCTCCTGTAACACCCAGCAGGAGCTAAAACATTCTAATAGAGTCATATTTTAGGTGTTTTAAAGCAGTGGTTCTCACACTTTAAAGGGAAGAATCACCTGGAGATTTACTGAAGCTCACATGCTGGGGCTCCACACCCAGAGTTTGCAATTCACTATGTGTGTCTGTGTATATGTGTGTCTGTGTGTGTGTCTCTCTGTGTGTGTGCATTGTGTGTCTCTGTGTGTGTACGTGATTGCCTGCACATATTTTTGGGGGGTGGGGGTTGTCATTTTGACAAGCAACCCAGATGATTTGGATGCAGGTGGTCAATAGACCTTACTCAAAAACATCCCATTTAGAACCTATAAAATGTTCAAATTCTTTGGCTAAAAGAATTTGGAGTTCAAATCACAGCAATATTCTTATTGATGAAGGTTCAAAAACAATTCATCACTCCAGGAAAAAGAAGAGCATCCATGTTTTAGATTTCCCACAGGTTAGCCTATTATATCTTCATCACAATTCTCTAAAGTAATTAGGTTGGGTGGCATTATTCTGACTTTGCTGATTAGGAGATTAATGCAAGTAAAATGATTTGCCAATGGTTACGTAACTATCATAGCTGGGGCATGAACAGAGCCAGGTCTCCGGACTTTTGAACAGAGGTCAAGTAAGATGGCATTCCCTCCAGCACTACTAAAGTCAGAAGTGCTGGGAAATGCATGAAGAAAACAGAAACACATTTCCTGACCTGGTCTAGGATCAAGTTTCCATCATCTTTCCAATGCAAAGTTCTACTTCAGCAGGCAACTTTGGGGAAGGTGGTGACCTAAGGGATTTTGTCATTTTCCATTTTCAAGTATTTGCTTTGGGGACCCATTTTATCTCATGGTTATTCTACTGGGGAAAAGAAAAACACCTGGTCCCCCACGGAAAAAAAACATCATCATGTATTTTCCATAGCCGAGGACTGGCATTCCCCAGGATAGACACAACCTAAGTTTTTATTACTATAAATCCAAGCTTCAAAAGAGAAAAACGGAAAAACAGGATGCCCCTTAAAATCCCACAAATGTGGCGTATTTTCAGGAGGGGAAGGATGCAGATGACTTCTTTGATTTCAGAAACTTCCACTGGGACTTCCTGACATGTTGTCTGGCTGGGTTTCACATACCATGTCATGAGGTGATTTAGGGAAGATAAAGACTCTTTGATAGTGTAGAATAATTCAATTCTATAGCCCTTCCTTTCCTTTGCCCTCAAGGGAAAACCCATATTCTTCTCCGTGAGAAAAACTCCAAATATAATGGACAAGACAAAGAAATATTTAATCAAATTAGTTTAGGAAACCCCCAGCAGAAACAATGCATCTTTTCAATGGCTGAAGATGTTATGAATAGACAGAATGTTTTGTGTGTCAAATCTCTTTCTGGCTTCTGAGTGAGAAATGCTGTTTGCTATTAGGCACTAGTTTAATTCTAGAACTTCACATAACCAGGTTCACTTGCCAAAAACCTACTGTTTAGTGAACTACAAAAAGTGGTTTATAAAAATCACTAGAAGCATTCTTCAAACAGTCATTTTAAAAAGTGGCCTTTTCCTAGAATACCCTTTACTCCTAAGCAGTTACCAACCTAGACCCCCAGGAATGAACAGGGCGTGGGCATGTTTTTAGTAATTCCCCAAAAGAGCCAATTCCTTTTACTGACTACACCTGAACCCAGTTCCTCTTTTTTATGACAGCATATAAGTCCTCCTGAGCCAGGAGGAAGGCTTTCTGAGACTTCAGGCTAGTGTAAGCCACTATCCACCCAAGCAATCCTTCAAAGGTGTTTAAAAAAATGTTTTGTAATACTTCCCTGCCATTTTTCAAAGAATGAACAAAGCACTGAGTCAAAATACAGAGTGGCAGACTGCAGGTGAAACAGTGTAAAAGTTGGCTGTGACACTAAAGTTACACATTTCCTGGCCCCCTTTACCCACTCAGGAGCCCCCTGCCCTGGAGGAAGGCTAGAGATGATACACAGTTCTTTAGACTCAGACAGCAGAGTACCTACTCGGAAGTCCGGCCACTAGAGAACCACATTAATCCTCTCATGTACTGCTTAATGAAAACCTCGGTTTCACCCAGCTATCATCTATTTCACATCATTATCATCTGCTTCATGGGAACCAACCAATAAAGTGATTAAAATGACATGTTTTAAAGAAAAATAAGCTTTTACAGAAAAATGCAATGTGGTTGAATATGATCACTTCTTTGCTTTCGGATGGTAGAAACAACTCACTAAAGTTCTGCTGGAAGAGTCCTTAAACATGTGAATGTCACCATTAATCTGAGCCTTATAACCATACAGACCATCATGCTTATGTGACTGGTACAGTGAAAATGTCGGCACCTTAGTAGCTGCATGATCAGCCTGGTCCTTCTGCAGTTGGAAAGTCGGTATCTCGATGGGAGTGAGAGTTGGCAAGCAGCCTAATTCACGCACATTTGGAGTTACTGAAGTACATGTGGTTCCCTGGCACAGCTCTCTGTTTAGGACTCAGGAGGAGCTTTCAAAGGAATGGGCTTTGTCTGTCAGTCACATGCCAAGCGACCCCGTCCTGTCAGCTGTCACTCTCTAATTTAGAACACTGTCTATGGCCATTGGCTGAGGCCCCATCTATTGTCCATCACCACAAAATTCCCCAAATGAAATATTCATCACAGCAGATCCATCCTGAACCAGAAGGAAGAGAACACAAAGCAGATATTCTAAGCACCAATGCCTTACCAATGGATCGTTGTCTTGTAGTGGATACTTTTCTTGGTTTGCTTTTTGTGGGGATCAATCACATTGCTTTAAAATAGAACTGATTTATTTAAACACAAAATATCTTTGTTGGAAAATGCTCATTTTGCTACACAACAATCTTCTGGGTTCACTGAACGCCCTCTAATTTCCTCTACTGTCTGGATTTGGAAAAAAACTGAAAAGCATGTTATATGTTTGTCCTCTTTCCTCACAGAAAGCAAAGATGCACTAGAGGACATGCAAGCCCACTCCTATAGGACAGGTCCGTCCTGCTCAGCACCCACACTCAGTGGAGGTCTCAGACGACCTGGGCTATTAGCTGACAGAGCTACCAGGTGAAATGGCAAGTAATGCTACCCTGGGCTATCTCACGAGAAACAGTTGCTAGACATGGTCCAGACTTGGATAGACCCAGGAGGTTTTGCTCATTTCTACAGAGTAAGTAAAGCAGAGATAGCAGCCAGGTGTGCCATGAACAGGCCTGGCCCTAAAGTATGTATCCTGGGGCAGGAACACCAATGAAAGCCTGACCCACAGTTCCCATCCCACCCTGGGTTCTGTG
The DNA here is from genome assembly GCF_000001405.40 of Homo sapiens. Taxonomy (NCBI): domain Eukaryota; kingdom Metazoa; phylum Chordata; class Mammalia; order Primates; family Hominidae; genus Homo; species Homo sapiens. The sequence continues at coordinate 25,863,495 of NC_000013.11, read as the reverse complement.
CCCCTGCACAAGCATCCTGCAAATGTGGGCGGGAACATCGGTGCAAACATCATCTACTCAGTGCACACCCTTGAAAACAGCTGCCCCTTTGGCCCAGTGTGCACACTGGCCTAGATATGGAGAGAGGACCAGGCAGGCCTGGGCAGGAGGCTTTTGGCTGTTTGGGAAGGAAACAAGGGGTCCTGGGAGCCCAGAGAATAGATTACAAGTGGGAAGATGGACTCTGTGCATCATAGCTTTTCACTCCGTGCCGAGGAACACACCCAGCCACAGAAGGCCAGAGCAGAGGTCCTTAAAGTACAGGGCCCAGCAGCCTCTTGGGGTTTAAGGGCAGTGCTGGATGTGGGCAACTCCAGGGTGGGGTCTCTGGGGTGGGCTTGGAGACCTGGGCCTGCACAGCTTCCTTGGTAAACTGAGGAGGTGTGTACCAGAGGACTGTCAGCTCATTCCTCTCCACACCCAATACTGTGGGATTCTAGGATACAGTTTGTCACTGTTGATGGCTCAATCTTATGCACTGGACAAAGATAATATGAAGGAAAAAATAAAAAACATTCAAATGAGTGTAAAGGTCTTCAATCTCAGCCTCTCTAGTTCAAAGAGATGAACAATGAGAGATTCTGGTTTATCAATGATCTGGTTCATAGAGCTGTTAGATTCATCTGTCACAGGTGACCCAGCAGAGTATAACAACAAACCAGAGTACAACATCAAAACTGTAATCAACATAATCAATGGATTAGGAACCATTCAAAATAGCTCCAGTTTTCCAACTGTACATATTGGTACTGTGTGTAATTAACACATAATTTATTATGGAAATGTGGGCATGCCAATAAGCCGGAGGATTTAAGTTGACAGTTTTCATAATACTTGAAACTTCAAATGCCTTTTCTGTGGACTGGATGACCTCTTCCAGGTGCTTTGGTTTGGTTTATCTCCTGATAGATTCTGATGGAAGCAGGAAGGACCAGCCTCTCCTGAAGCTCATCGTGGCTGTAAGACACACAGTGCCTGCTCACCCGCCCATGGAGAAACATTGCTGTCACAAGACACAGAAGACACACTCCCAATCAGGAGTACTTACCTGTCCTCTCATATCTGGAGCAATGGGAATGGTGGGCCAGATGGTCGAGTAGATGCCAAAAAACACCAGCCAGGTCAGCATGCTTCCCCAGACAGCCAGATGACTGAACTGCAGAGGGAAATAGACACTCAGACAGGCTTCTCGACCAGCCTGGCAGATTCACCCCAACTCCACTTGCTGCAGAATCCTTGCATCCAAGCTACCTTTCCTTATGGAAAGACTTTGATGACTCACCAGTTAATGGGAAGTTCAATCTTTCTAATTCCCATGTCTCAGAATTTTTAACAATGAATTCAAGTAATGAATGGCCCCAAAGTACCCTGAAGATGAAGGTGCTTTTGCTGTCACAGGTGACCTTACTCTAAGATTTCTCCCATAGTAACAGCGGGCCCCTCTCAGTTCATAGCAAGTGTTTGCTCCAACCTGCGGCTGTATACAACAAGGACTCATTAATCTGGTAACAGAGTGGCTGAACAGACAAAATAAATAAGATGTTTTTATTTATCATTTCAAGACTTTGTTCCATTCCTTTAGCCAAGAGTTTTTTATTTTTAAATCTGAAATGGATATTGCCTCTTAACAATGCCCCTTTAAGCATCTACTGCGTTGTTCATTTTTTCTTCTTTGTCCTCTTAATGTGATGATCCTTGACTTCTTTCTCTCTTCACACCCCACAATCTAATCCATGTGCAAGCTCTGTTAGCTTTTAGAAAGATAAAATGAATCCAGACTCCGACCACTTCTCACTACCTCCTCCTCTAACATCGTAAGCAAAGTCATCATCACCTCTGACCCGGATTAATTGCCACTGTCTCTTAGGGGATTCCCTGATTCCTCACTGACCTTCCACCCCATCCCCATTTTTCTTAGCAGAGCATTTAAACAGCAGCCAGGTCATGACACTATGAGAGACACACATGAAGCTTTAGTTATAATCTTTAAATGCTGGAAATAACCAAAATGTCTAAAATAAGAGAGTGATGAAGTAAATGGTGGGACATCTGTAAAACGTAATACTCTTTAATCAAGAACAATAACTTTGTTGACTTGTATTTTAAGTCACAGAAAATGTGCCTAATATATATTTAAATTAAAAGGGATTACAAAGTCCTATGTTTTATAATGCATCATCTTATTAAAAAATACACACACATGCAGACATAGAACGAAGTCCGGAAGGTTCCACAGGAAAGCATTAACAGTGACTGTCTCTTGGTGGTAAAATTATGGACATTAAATGTTTTTTGTCCTTCTATATTTTCCATATATGTGTGTGTATAATATGGTTTTTGTTTTTACAATGAGCAAATACATTTGAAGTGAGATGACTGTTAATAGCTTAGAGCTGTATTACGTGCCAAGCAAATGAATCACCAAGAGACTTTGGATTGCAAATTTACCCTGATCAAGATCAAACCACAATTTTTACACAGAAAATCTGAAAGAAGATAGCCAGATATTGCTTATGGTTTCCCCAAGGCTTAAAAAGAAATCCTAGCATGAAAAATATCTATACTGAACAGAGAAACAATTCTAGAGAAAACTTACTTTAGTCCAAGCTGTGGTCTCCAAACCAGCTTTCAGACAAACAGTAACAACAACATACTGTGAAAATAAAAGACAGTTTGGAAACACATTATTCTCAATGAGTTATTTTCACTTTCCATGAGAAATCCCATCTCTCCACTCCAGAACTAGCTTCCCCAAGGCAGCTCCGGTTTGAAAGCACCAGCCATGTCAGTAGCTAATTCTCTAAGGGTTATTTTCAGGGGACATACAGGCAGATTCACTTCCAGAAGAGCTTTCATTCTAGTAACAGTCTTTCTCATAAATAATAGTTTTGCCCTTTTCTTAGCTTGGGAGATACCACCTTCCTGAGTGTTGTTTTCCTTTGCAGGTAGGTGTAAAATGGTCATTTGAAGAATGGGGAAATCTGTTAACCACCTGCCCAGAAACCTTCACTTGGCATAACCTTCAGAAACGATGATGTAAGCATTTCACAACCATTCTGAACTTTGAAGGATATATAAAATACATTTTGAAGATTTGAAATAAATAATAATAATGAGGAAGGCCCTTTTTAAGGGTTTAGAGAAGTGCAAGCCACACATAAGCTGTTTAAGAATGGCTTAATAAACAGAGATAAACTTACTGTGTAAACAATATTTCCAACAAATAAATAGTCGGTAGCATGACCACTTGTCAACACAGTATCTGAAAAACAAAGAAGTTACTATTAACATCCAAGAAGCTGAGCATGGCCACCTATTTAACTCAGAGCATTAAACAGGGAACTTTAGGAACATCAATCAACTCACAGAGTATTTCAAAATCCCATCCTGTGACTCTAATGCTTACTTCTCTTTCTAATGATGAACTTTTTCATCTTATATTCTCTCCAAATGAAGCAAATAAAGTCAAGCTTCCAACCAACCAACCAACCAAACGCTTGATCTGCACTGAAATTTACATTTTTGTAAACATTAAAATTTATCTTTGTCCAGTTTGTTTTAAAAAAAGGAGTAAGAACATACTCATCTATCTTTATTAAGTGCCATCGATGTTGGGGCTTTTTCCAGGTATTCTTTATGATTCATCTTTACATTTTGCTAAATTGGAATTATGGACCAATAAAAAGATAACTACATGCATATTAAACCAATTCATCATGACTGAACTTGGAAAGAATTTTGGGGGTATTTATTACTCATGTTCTCATCTGCAACTGTATGAGCTTCCGGAGTCTATCACCTGGGGGAACGCAAGCACTCCAATGACAGAAGTTTAGAAAATAGAAGAAGGATTTTAAGCCTCAGTTTTCCTATATTTTCCTTTTTTTTTTTTTCTTTTCAAGGATGGCTATGACTATAACAACCACTAAGGCAGAATGCTAATAGAGTTGTTTCATCATCTCCGCTACACCTGCACAGAGAAGTCTGTTTTTTATCCTGAGTGGTCAGAGCCTATTTTAATATCAGGCTTAGTTTCCTTGGATGACACTGCCAACCTTCCTTTATTCTTATTTCTTTCAACTTCTTCCAACTTTTGTTTTAGATTTTGGGGTACATGCGCAGGTTTGTTACAAAGGTATACTGTGTGATGCTGAGGTCTGGAGTACAAATGACTCTGACACCCAGGTAGTAAGCATAGTACCCAATGGGTAGTGTTTTTTTTTGTTTTTGTTTTGTTTTGTTTTGTTTTGTTTTTGAGACAGAGTCTCGGTCTGTCGCCCAGGCTGGAATGCAGTGGTACAATCTCGGGTCACTGCAACCTCTGCCTCCTGGATTCAAGCAATTCTCTGCCTCAGCCTCCCAAGTAGCTGGGATTACAGGTGCCCGCCACCATGCCTGGCTAATTTTTGTATTTTTAGTAGAGACAGGGTTTTACCATCTTAACCAGGCTGGTCTCGAACTCCTGACCTCATGATCCACCCGCCTCAGGCTCCCAAAGTGCTGGGATTACAGGCGTGAGCCACCGTGCCTGGCATCCCAATGGGTAGTTTTTCAAGCCTTTCCTCTCTCCCTCTCTTGTCAAGTTCTCCGGCATCTATTGTTCTCTTCTTTATGTTCATGTGTACTCAATGTTGAGTTCTGACTTATAAGAGACAACATGTGGCATTTGGTTTTATTCTTTTTTTATACTCAGTTCTGGTCTGTGGCCCGCAGGCTGGGTAGATAAGGATGCTTGTGTTCAAATTTCCAACCAGTAGCTGCTATACATACATATCTGGGCTCGCAGATTTTCCCAATGCTTGTTGAACAATCCCACTCTTATTAGAGAATCAATATCTATTTATTTTCCTAAAACAGCATAATGATGGAGTCATAAGTGGAACTGCAGAAGCATGGGTCTCCGAATCCAGCCCCTGGGCACACACAGTCTCCCGATTCCAGCCAGGTAAATCTGTGGATAAGGGAAGATGAACCAGGAAAGCAACATCACGGGCTGCACTAAACGGAGGCCCCGCTGCTGGGTAAAGTAAGAGTTATATCGGGAGAACGGGGCGAGACATGGCCACTGACTTAAAAAGGAACGGTCTCAAAGCTTAGGGGAGAGGGGACAAGGACAGACTGGAGCTTAGGCATGACTTCATTAAAAGGGAAGGAAGGGAGCAAGTTAAAAAAGTAAAAGAAAGGCTGAATTAATCCCAAGAAGGCAACATGCTGATGTATTAGCAAATAGTTACTCAAAATTGTAGGAGTTCACTTTTCAGGAACTGGCCTTAAGACTGTTTTACTAACAGGTGCAACACTTTTAAATGCCTGCCTCAATGAAGAAATACTTCAGTTTAGTATGGAGACCATCTCTTTGATTCTAACATAGATTATAGCCTTGAAATGAATAAGATTCTTCTTTTATGTACTCAACAAATATTTACTTACAGCCTATTTTATGCCAGGCACTATTATGAAAACCGGGAAGAGAAGGTCCCTGTTTTTATACAGCTTGTGGTCTAGTGAGGAGACAGGACATAAAACCTTAAACAGATACACGATAAAATGTCAGGTGTAATAAGTGCTATGAAGAAATACATTAGCTGCTGGGTGCGGCGGCTCACACCTGTAATCCCAGCACTTTGGAAGGCCAAGGTGGGTGGATCACCTGAGGTCAGGAGTTCAAGACCAGCCTGGCCAACATGGTGAAACCCTGTCTCTACTAAAAAAACAAAAATTAACTGGGCATGATGGCACCTGCCTGAATTGCCAGCTACTCAGGAGGCTGAGGCAGGAGAATCACTTGAACCTGGGAGGTGAAGGTTGCAGTGAGTGATCATGCCACTGCACTCCAGCCTGGGCAACAGAGTGAGACTCTGCCTCAAAAAAAAAAAAAAAAAAAAAGGAAAAAAAAGAAAAGAAAAGAAACATATTAGCCAAGTGTGGTGGTGCTCGCCTGTGGTCCCAGCTACTTGGGAGGCTTGCGGTGGGAGGATTGCTTGAGCTCCGGAGTTTGAGGCTGCAGTGAGCCATGACTGCAACAGTGCACTCCAGCCTGGGTGACAGTGTAAGACCCTGTCTTAATAAAAAATAAGAATAAAACACAGGAGCTATAAGGTAGAGTAATAGCATGGCTATTTTAGATAGGGAGCTCTGGAACAATCTTTCTGAGGAGGTGACATTTGAGCAGATCTGAATGGTACGAGGGAGAGAGTTAAATGGGGATCTACAGGGTGAGTGTTCCAGACAGAGGAGAGAAACTGTGCAGAGTCTGAATGCAGACAGCACTTGATGAGCTCAAGGATCATTACGAAGACCAGTGGGGCTGCAGGCACTGGGAGAAGGAAAAGGAGAAGGCAGACAGTCAAAGGGGCAGACAAATGTGGACCACAGCAAAGAGCTTGGATTTCTTTGTTAATTGTAATAGGTAACCACTGGAAGATTCAGAGCTGGGAATGAAATGGAATAAGTTACATTCTTAAAGGAATAGTCCAGCTTTTATGGGAGAATGGACCATAGATAACCATAAATAGGATAATAATAAATGCAAAGCCAGCTTAGAAATGACTGTAGCAGTCTATCTAAGAGGATGATACTAGTCGTGTTATAACTGTGCAGCCCAATATGGTAATCACCAGCTGCATTTAGTTGTTTACATTTAAATTAATTAAAATAAAATACAATACAAACTTCATTCCTACCTGGGGCTGGGGAGGAAGGGGAGAAGGAGGAGTTATTGCTTAATGAGCACAGAGTTTCAGTTTGGGGTGATGAAAATTTTTGGAAAAACATAGTGGTGATGGTTGCATAACATTCTGTAATTAATGTCTCTGAATTGTATGCTTAAAATGTTAAAATGGAAAAGATGATGTTTTTAACATAATAAAAATTTTTAAAAATGGATCATAGAAACAAAGCTATAAAATCATTTTTAATTGATGTAAATTTAAGGGGTGCAAGTGCAATTTTGTTACATGAATATATGGGAGTGAAGTCTAGGCTTTTAGTGTCTCCATCACCTGAACAATGTGCATTGTATCTATTAAAGAATTTCTCATCACCCTTTCCCTTCCCACCCTCTCACCCTTCTGAGTCTCCAGTGTCTATCATGCCACACTCCATGTCCATGTGTACACGTTACTTAGCTACCACTTATAAGTGAGGCCATGCAGTATTTGACTTTTTGTTTTTGAGTTGTAAAACTATAAAACTCTTATGATAAAACATAGCGATGAATCTTTATCACCTTGGATCTGGCAATGGTTTCTTAGATATGGCACCAAAAGCACAGTGAGGAAAGAAAAATGTAGATGAACTGGACTTCTTCAAAATTAGAAACTCTTGTGCTTCAAAGGACAACACTAGGAAAGTAAAAAGACAACCTGAAAAATGGAAAAAAGTACTTGCAAATTATGTATCTGAAACCTGTATCCAAAATGCACAAAGAGCTCTTACAACTCAACAGTAAAAAGGCCACCCAAAAAATTTAAAAATAGGCAAAGGATCTGAATAGACAGTTTTGCAAAGAAGATATCAAAATGGCCAGTAAGTGCATGAAGAACAGCAAAACATCATTAGCCATCAAAGAAATATAAAATCAAAACCACAATGAGATACCACTTAACACCCACCGGGGTGCCTACAGAAAAACAGACAATAACAAGATGTGGAGAAATTAGATCTTTCATACACTGCTGGTGGGAAAGTAAAACGGTGCAAACCCTGGAAAACTGTGAGGCAGTTCCTCAGAGCGTTATGTACAGTTACCATGTGACCTAGCCATTGTACTCCTAGGTACACATCCAAGAGAAATGAAAACATATGAATGAAACCCACAAAGCCTTGTACTTAAAAGCTATAGCACCATTATTATAATTATTCATAATAGCTTAAAATAATGAATAGCATTATTCATTATTCACAATAGCCTATTTATAACCCAAATGTCCATCCACTGTGAAATGGTAAAATGTGGTATATCAATATGATAGAACACCATTATTAGGCAATAAAAAGGAATGAAGTACTGATACATGCTACAACATGGATGAACCTTGAAAACCTTATGCTAAGTGAAGAAGCCAGACACCAAAGGCCACATATTCCATCTCTATGGAATGTCCAGAAATGGGCACATCTACAGAGACAGACAGTAGATCAGTGGTTTCCAGGTACTGGAGGTGCTTGGGAGAAATGGGGAGTGACTCTTTTTTTTTTTTTTTTTGAGATGGAGTCTTACTCTGTCGCCCAGGCTGGAGTGCAATGGCTTGATCTCTGCTCACTGCAATCTCTGCCTCCTGGGTTCAAGCGATTCTCTTGCTTCAGCCTCCCAAGTAGCTGGGATTACAGGCATGCGCCACCACACCCAGCTGATTTTTGTATTTTTAGTAGAGACGGGGTTTCACCATGTTGGTCAGGCTGGTCTCGAACTCCTGACCTCAGGTGATCCACCTGCCTTAGCCTCCCAAAGTGCTGGGATTACAGGCATGAGCCACCGTGCCCGGCCAGGAGTGATTCTTAATGAATATAGGGTTTCTTTTGGGGGTGATAAAAATGTTCTATAATGTATTGTGATGATGGCTGTACAACTCTGTGAATATATTAAAAACCATAGAATTGCATACTTTCAATGAATTAGATGGTATATGAGTTATAGCCCAATAAAGCTGCTATAAAAACTTCAGTTCCTCAGTCATTTTAAATTCACAATAGCCACATGTGGCTAATGGCGACTGTATTGGGCAGTACAGATACAGAACATTTCCATCCTCACAGAAAGTGCTATTGAACAATGCAGGCCCAGAGTGGCTTGGACAGAAGCCACTTGGAAATATTTTGAAGGTGGAAATGACAGCATTTGGCCAGGCACAGTGGCCCACACCTGCAATCCCAGCACTTAGGAGGCTGAGGCAGGAGGACTGCTTGAGCCCAGGAGTTTGAGACCAGCCTGGGTAACCCTATCTCTATGAACAAATTTTTTAAAAACTAGCCAGGTATGCTGGTGCATGCCTGTAGTTCCAGCTATGTGGGAGGATTCCTTAAGCCCAGGAAGTTGAAGCTGCAGTGAGCTATGATCACACCACTGCACTCCAGCCTGGGTGACAGAGCAAGACCCTGTCTCTTATAAAAACAAACAAACAAACAAAATTTTCTTATGATTTGGATGTAGGGTAGAAAAGAATGTGAGGAATCAAGAAAGTTTTTGGCTGGAGTATGTAGATAAACAGCGGTGTTTGGGATGGAGAAGACTGGTTCTGGTCATATGAATACAGGAAGACATATGAAAACTTGGTACCAAATGATTCATATTTTAAGTTCACGAGAGGAAGAAAAGACAGCAATGAAACATGACCATATTCCAAAACAAAGAAAACATGAGGTGGAGAGAAGGGAACTAGGGTTAGTGGAGGCAGTCCCCGTAATAAGAGTTACAAAACCCAATAACAGCCCTGCTCTCTGTTCCAGCTCTGCCATTATTTCATTTTTTAAAAGTTTAGGTTTTGAGTCTCAATTCTCCACCCATAAAATGGAGATTTTTATATCAGATGCAAATGATGACAACTGAGTTATCTCTAAGGCTCCTATCAGATAGGGAACTCTAAAAGGCTAAGGCCTGTATTCTTAGCTGCTAAATCAGCCTCATGGATTTAACAGCAGAAACTTGAGTCTCAGATCTTCTCCCTCCTCAACATAGCTTAGGATGTCTTTCCTCATCTCCATCTCAACCCATCTGCTCATTAATCCATCTGAATTGAGAAGAGCAATGATCTATGTGCTTGAAGTCCCACCTACATTAGCCCTAAGGGGCCCTAGAGAAAACTCTGATCAGACAAAAGGGTTAGCAGGCATGGGAGACTAAGCTGAAAGTCAAAATTTGTAGCTATGGTTTGACAACTTTTTGAATTTTCTTCTAATACCAATATTTCCAATCTGGTTGAGTCAGGGACTAAAACATACAAAGTATTTGTTTAATAGGGAGGACATAGAACATGTTTCATATTTTATGGATATACACACAATAAACAAAATTTTTAGACATTATAAGAAATTCTATATATATATACATATATATATATATTTTTTTTAGATAGAGTCTTGCTCTGTCACCAGGCTGGAGTGCAGTGGCACAATCTCAGCTCACTGCAGCCTCCACCTTCTGGGTTCAAGCAATTCTCCTTCCTCAGCCTCCCGAGTAGCTGGGACTACAGGTGTGCATCACTATACCCGGTTAATTTTTGAGGTATTTTTAGAAGAGGCGGGGTTTCACCATATTGGCCAGGCTGGTCTCGAACTCCTGACCTCAAGTGATCCACCTGTCTCAGCCCCCCAAAGTGCTGGAATTACAGCCACCGCACCTGACCAAGAAATTCTATGTTTAAAAAATATCTTATATAAACACTTTACACAGTTCTAAGCACTTTACACATATTAGCTCCTTTAATACTTTAGCAACTACATGAAATAGTATAATTATGTGCATATTTCACATGAGGAACTTGGTGCAGCAAAGAGAAGTCAAATATGTTCAAGGTCACATGGTTAGTAAGAAACTGTAATTTTTTTTTTTTCTGAGACTGAGTTTCTCTCTTGTTGCCCAGGCTGTAGTGCAATAGCATGATCTTGGCTCACTGCAACCTCCACCTCCCAGGTACAAGTGATCCTCCTGTCTCAGCCTTTACCATGTTAGTCAGGCTGGCCGCGAACTCCTGACCTCAGGTGATCCACCTGCCTCGGCCTCCCAAAGTGCTGGGATTACAGGCACACACCACTGCACCCGGCCAAGAAACTGTAAATTTTGTAAATGAGAGTTTGTACTAATTAACTGAGTTAGAAAAATGGACTCCTAAGAATGACAGGAGATAATTTCAAAGAAAAAAACAATTAGACTAAGAAGTACTCATTTGAAATACTGACACCTAATGGAAAGGAAATATCCAGGAGAGAACTGCGGTGGACAGAAAATTAGACTCATATGACAGAAATTTTATACCACATAAGGAAGCACAGAAAGTGAACAACTCCGGGAGTGCCAGGAACGCCTGGAGATCTGACCTTTTATTCTGAGTTGGTGTGGACATTTCATTAGCCCAGAGTTTATTAAATGTGGCACTACGGACATTTTGGGCCAGATAATTCTTTGTCTGGGGGCTGACCTGTGCATCGCAGACTGCTTGGTAGCATCTCTGGCTTCCACCCGCTAGATGCCAGTAGCACCCATCCTAGTTGTGACAACCAAATATAACTGCAGACATTGCCAAATGTCCCCTGGGAGGCAAAAATCAATCCTGGTTGAGAACCACTGCCTCAGAGGGAAGAAATAGGAGGAGGTGGAGTAAATACAGAGAACATACACTGAAGACAGAATGTCTAACAGAGAGAATTCTCATCTCTCCCGTCAGACTGAGGAGGAGACATTGGGGTCGGATACAGTCCTCTACGCAATCAGGAGAGAGAACCAATATGAAGAAGCCAGGCATGGTGGTGTGTGCCTGTTATCCCAGCTACTCAGGAAACTGAGGCAGGACGGTTGCTTGAGCCCAAGAGTTTGAGGTTATGATCATGCCACTGCACTCCAGCCTGGGTGACAGAGTGAGACTTAGTCTCTAAAAAAGAAAAAAACATTTTTAAAAGAAAATAAAATAAATAGCATGAGGCATTCGCACAGAGCAACGCAATTCATGAAGCTGGATGGCCTTTACATGAGACAAACTCTTGGATCATTCAGGACTGAATGTTAACCTATGAAGAGAACACCTGCATGGAGGGGAACCCTTAAGACTATGTACCAGAGGCTGGCAATTTGGCAGAACAGCAGAAACAGAGAAATCTAAAGGATGTTTTCTAAATGTAGCTTCTAAAGTTTGACAATGCATTAATTTTTTTTTTTTTTTTGAGACAGAGTCACACTCTGTCACCCAGGCTGGAGTGCAGTGGCGCGATCTCAGCTTGCTGCAAACTCTGCCTCCTGGGTTCAAGCGATTCTCCTGCCTCAGCCTCCCGGGTAGCTGGGATTACAGGTGCCCACCACCATGCCTGGCTAACTTTTGTATTTTTAGCAGAGACGGGGGTTTCACCAAGTTGGCCAGGCTGGTCTTGAAGTCTTGACCTCAGGTGATCTGCCCGCCTTGGCCTCCCAAAGTGCTGGGATTACAGGCGTGAGCCACGGCATCCGGCTGACAATGCATTAATTTCTAACTTGTCATGACAGTGAATGCTACTGGCATTCAATAAAATGCTAACACACAAGGTAATTTGAGCATTAAACTTTAATGAAGATGGGCTAAGCCTAATATTTCAGTTCCTTGTTTTGGAGAGGTAACTCAGCATTGCATTTTAGTTTTCAGTCTAGGAAAGAGTACTTCCTTCCCTAGGCAAAGCTAACACCATCTGGAAATAGTTTATTCCCTTGGAGGAGAAAGTCCCAAACCAAGGTGAGATTCTGGGACTTGCCAAGAGCCTCTGAAAAGATAGCATCCTTCAAACAAGTCACAGTCATCACCCTGCACACCCTGTAGGGAAACCCTGGGGACTAGATGGTTCTGTTTCAACAGTTTTAGAGGCAAACACCTGTGGGTGTCGTTTCTTGTTAAAACCTGCCAATAAGCTACTCCTGGAAAAAAGAAGTCCTAAGAAAGTGTTTGTCATGCAGGTGTTTCCAAGCTACAGCTTGCTGTTAATGCAGGCTGGAAAAGCCCCATTCGATTGTCCAGTTTATTCCTAAAGCAAGTTGCTGACAAAATATTCCTTCCCACTGAGTGAAATCTTAACAGCTCTGTTACAATTCTACCACTCTGAGAGTCTTTCCTGTTTTCACTTTAGTCAGATATTTAAAATCTCAAGTGAATTTTTTCAAAGGGGGACAAAACCCCAAACCGGGAATAGTTGGGTTCCCCAAGCCAGCCTTTGGAACAGTATTTATCTACCGTCTGTGCAAACCATGGTAAGAGCATAATTTCAGAGAAAGTAGTATGGGGGGCAGAGATGGATATTTGGGGTGGGGGTCAGTTGAGAGGGGGAAGAACATTTCAGGCAAAAAGAAAACCAGCCTGTATTGGGCGCGGAGGTGGAAAGGTGAGCTGATGAGGTGGGGGTGGGGCTACAGCGGTGAGGTCAGCAGGGGTCAAATGTATAGGCTCCAAAAAAGTCTCTATAAATAAAGAAATTTATCCAAAGTGCATATGGAGAGATGTGATCTCACCAAACCTGTGTTCTCCAAGAGCCAAGCTCTTCCTCGCAGACACCCGTCACTGGTACACAAAGGCCTAAAGGGCAAGGAGAAAGCTAAGAAGGCTTCGCCTCCCCATCGCATCAGTGGGGCTGGCATTTACCGGAACTAGACTGAGATCAGTTTGCCTTTTGCAAATTCAGGATCAGGTCCAACACTGGTGAGGGCTGAGATGAGACAGGAGGGCATTACCCATCTCAGAAATCCAGAGGACAATTTCTACAGGGTAAACAACAACAACAACAGAAAAGGTAACACAAGTTCTCCATGTGCTTGGTTTGATAAAATACTAAGTCACATTTAGAATGATCTGTGATTGCATGTGATACAAACCTAATATAATGATGATGCTTATGGCATGCATGAAAAGTGTCATAAAATGAGAGAGACAGAAACACAGTCCCAGATGCTCTCTTAGAGACAATTCAGTGTTATGTGTGGCTCCAGGATCCCCTGACCCAAGGCAGCAGGTGAGTCTGTTCTTCCAGACTCCTATCAGTCATGAAATCTGGTTGGGGTTCAGGAACAGACATAACTAACATAGGATTAGCCAAATTAGGTCTGGAAACATAGTCACTAAACCAGCCTACTGTGAACATCTGGGACAAAACCACATGAGCTCTCCAACATTAGTAGTAACAGCCCGAAAATGTTGTCTGCAAAAATCTCTTTGAAAATATTTGTGGGAAAAGCCACAATTTATAAGAAAAGCATGTCTCATTTTCTAAAGAGACAAAATGATCAAGGAACTTATTTCAGAATATTCCAAAGAGCTAGGTTGATGCCATTTTATAAAGATGCCATTTCAATTAAATGCTCATTAAAAACATTACATCATCATCCAGCTAAACCACAAAATGTATTCAGAAATGGCTCTGACAAAGGCAAAATTTCAAGACAATGTTATAACATAGTGGTCAGAAGAGACGGCGTTTAACAATCATGAAAACAGATGGGCTGGATTTACATGTATACTTTTGATTTAGTCAGAATCAGTGGAACACCTGAACTGAACAATGCAGGCATCACACTCATGCAGGGCTCAGGAGGGAGAACTGAGGTAGAGGTGGCACCATTCCCTCAACACCAAGACATCTGCCAAGACATTTTTGTCCAAGAGCAGATACCAAGTTTCTCCTGCTTTTCCTCTCTCCTCCTTTCCCTTCAGGAGCTTCCAGCAGCACTGTTTCAAAGCAGCCGGGATTCCAGAACATTAACTGAGCCAGCCCCCGCCCCCACCTTACTCTCTGGGCCTCTCAAGACTCCAGTGGCTCAGAGGAAGCGCACCCCATCCCAACTAGCAACTTCTAGATTTACATCAAGAGTGAAGATATATTCCAACTTCCAGGACGCTAAATTACAAACTTTCAGAAGTTAACCTGCTATGCCTATAGTGCCTGAACTAGAATTAAAATTATGCTTTCTGCCTCCGACACTATGAATTCATGAAGAGAAAATTTATTTTTTTCCTCCCCGTAAAAAGTAGTATAAAGTATCGGAGGTTGCTTTATAAAAAGCAGGGTTTATACAAGTGTTAGTGATTACAATTACATTCACAACCAGCGCTGCCGGGTGAAGCTCCTGGTTATATAAGCCTATTGCTGGATTTTCTCCTCTATTGCCATTTCTGCTGGATAAAGTTAAGGACATGAAACTCAAATTTCAATCTTTCTCTTTTTTCACTTTTGTTTACTAAAAATAAATCTGAAAAAGGAAGTAAAAATGACGCAAAGTAAACTTGATTGCCAATGCCCAGGCAGTCACCCAGTGAGGCCACACGTGTTTCTTACTCCTGGGTACACAACTAAGTGATATCCCCCAGCACCCCATGCCGTGCTAGGCCCTGTGACTAGTTCTTGCCAATCAGATATGGGCAGAACTGATGGATCTCTTCCTGCCAGATGTGGGTAAGAGCAAATGATCCTTGCCCTGCAAACCATCTTGCCTCTCCCCTCCCAGTGTTGAGGCTGAGGGTGTACTCCATGGAGCCTCACTGTGTTGAAATGAAGCAGGCATAGTTTTAACAGATATGGTAAGACAGGCAGACATGGAATGATTGTCATGGAGGCAGAAGTTCGTACTCACAGATGCTAGAAGCAGGAGGCACAGCATGCCTGGCAAGGCCATGCCAGGTAGCGCCACGGAGCTCAGGAGGTTGGAGAGACGCTGAGCATGGCCCAGGCCTCTACTGGGGTTCTTACAGGGAGGAACAGGTGAGGCAGGGTAGGTATGCTGACTGAGGACACTTAGGATTGTACAATGGGAGTAATTCTGGCAGGCTCAGGGCTGTAAGGATGGTCCCTAGTTGTTGGGTACCTGGCCCTGGGGTGCTGCTGGGCAAAGGGAACACCTGCTCAGTGGGTGAGAGTTTGATAAAGGAGGTGGCTGGGGGTGTGGGCTCGGGCTTGGTTGATTTGTATGTCAAAGGCATGCAGGCAGGGGAGGCATTTGCTAACTTCAGGAATTAGCTAGCCCTGGGAGGACAGTGTCTCCGGAATCAAGGCCCCTAATGCCAGTGCATCAGGAATATGGAAAATAAGAAAAACATACTCAACACACCCGCGAACAATGCACTTCTCCACTGGATAGGGACATGGGTGAGAAATAACTCTTTACTGGGTTAAGCCCCTGAGATTCCCTGGCTAATCCATCTTGATTCAACTTCCTGCTAAGGGTGAAATCTAGGAACTCTGGCTCACACTTCTTACAACATTACACCAAACCCAACTGTCTAAAATACGCGCAACACAGAGTTTATTAAAAGAGACATTGAAACATAAGAAATATTTAACTGAATGAAAACAATGGCCCTTCCAGCCCAATTCTGGGTTTCAGGATGTGTGAGGTGCACTGTCACAATACAGGAAAACAGCTAAAGTCAGAGCTTTACCGCAGTTCATAACTGCGGTTTAAAACAAAACAGAAACAAAAATCTTGCATTTGAATTTGGAAACCTGTTTATATTTTCAATGTACTATGATCGGGTTAGTAACCAGTTATGCAGATTTATGAGTTTTAGTTTCATTTGTACAAATCTGAAAGACTCCCAGAATGTTCTGTGTTTCTAGGTCTTAGGGAGCAAGTTCCACTAACTTCAGGATTTTATGAACTTCCACCACACTCTGTCCTCCCTGCAGGTCTTCCCAGATGGCAGAGGCCACATGGAGTTACTACCCTCTTTTCCTCTCCCATTTAGCATTTAATGCTTGACTCTGAATCTTTTAAATTTATTTTAGATCTTTTCCATGCTGCACATAGCACTGTTGGTGACTTTTATGGGGGAACAAAATGTCAGTGTATTGTTTCACATACCTTACTGTAAAATATGGTATTTTGTTGCTCTTTATGACTGCATTAGCACATTCTCCTGGCGGGTTTAGGACATTGTGCAACCAGGTGGAGAAGGGGATTATTAATTAATGCAATACTGAGTCCTTCTAGCTTTGCCTCCAACCCATCCACTTTTCTCAAGTGCCATGATTGCTACATTAGATCAGCAACAGCCCAGGAACAGGACTCCAATCATTATCCTGGCCTGTGTGGTTATATTACAATAAATCAGACTGCACAGCTCCCTGCTTAAAACCTGCCAATGGCCTTATTACACTTATCCTCCAAAAGGCTCATTTATTCCAAAAGGCCTGGAAAGGTCTGACTTCTCTATCTCCACTCTCACCATCCCAAGGCAATCTGTGTCTCACAATCTGCCCCGCAATATCTCCCCCCAACTGCTTCATGTCATCTTTCTCTTGGAACTATTCTATTCCTGCAACCTGAAACTCTTTCCTCTCTCTCCTCTTCTCCTACCTCATTCCGACTCATCCTTCAACTCTGCTGCCACATCCTCCAGGAAGCAGTCCTTAAAGCTCAGCCCAGGTTAGTTTTCCCTGGAAGACATCCCATCTGAACTTGACCTTCTACTTTGCTAACATTTCCTGTTCAAATCCTGCCTTCTCTAGGTGTCAGTTCCATGAGGGTGGGAACTCCTCTATTAACGCACTACTGTGTCCCCAGAACACAGGAGGAGCCTGGCATAGAGAACATATTCTTTAATCTTTTTTTTTGTTTTGTTTTGGGACTGAGTTTCGCTCTTGTCACCCAGGCTGGAGTGCAATGGCACGATCTCGGCTCACTGCAACCTCTGCCTCCCAGTTCAAGCAATTCTCCTGCCTCAGCCTCCCAAGTAGCTGGGGTTACAGGCATGCGCCACCAAGCCCAGCCAATTTTTGTATTTTTAGTAGAGATGGGGTTTCACCATGTTGGTCAGGCTGGTCTTGAACTCCTGACCTCAGGTGATCTGCCTGCCTCGGCCTCCCAAAGTGCTGGGATTACAGGCATGAGCCACCGTGCCCAGCCACTCTTTTATCTTTTTACAAAAATGAGTGAATAATTGAGTTTAAGAAGTTGCAGTCTCAGAGAACACTGGCAATCTTGCCCAAATTTAGCTTAATGTGAAACAACGCAAGTCTCAGGATTTATATGGTATGAAACACTCAAGTTTTCAGTAATAAAGTAAGGGTCAGAAATAGTTTAAACTAATATGACCCAAGAATGCCAGGGGAAAAGAGAGTCACACTGAGTTTTATTTTATACACGTGCACTACTATTTCAGTATACAAAACATGGCTGATCTTACAGGAGCAAATTTATTAAAAATTATAAAATAGACTTCTCCAAAAATGTCGAAAGGCCCAGTTGCGTAATTAGTACCCATACATAAGAATCCGTATGGTATTCTCCTTAAACGGTGAGGGAGCAGTTTCTACGGTGTGGACTCTGGGGAATCAAGAACAAATGTTTTTAGGAGCTCTTTTCTTTTGTTAAGCATAGTCTCTTTCCCATCACCTCCCTCTTAAATTTCATCAAGAAAAATCTGAATACTTCCTTTTTTAAAATCAAGACCGATTTTGTATTATTTTGCCAATAACCACATTACACTTCAAGGAGGGTTGCTCAACTCTGCCGACTGGACATGCCAACAGGAAACCCGGGTGTGGGCTGACACCAGGGCTCCTGATGGACTTGGGTCCCTGTGAAGGTGACATCCTAGGTCTAACCTAGCATCGCTTTCCAGATCAAAGGCGAGGAGCTGCAGGCAGACCATGGCAGTAAGTGTATGGCTGTGATGGTTGGAAGAAATCTGATTTACTGAATTGCTTGAGTGGAAAAATTTATTTTGAAATTTGAAATGAATCATCACAAACTCCATCAGCAAAGGAGTGCTTTGAAAAGTCTCTCCAAAACCACATGAAAATAAGCAAAGCAAAATTCTTGGAAGCATTCTAGGGAATGAACGATATACCTTCTCAAAATATTTCTTCCCAAGAAGAAGTGTGCTTCTGTTGCCTTGCCCAAAGTGAACACTGTTGATATATACCTGAGGTTCTCTCCATAGATGGTGGAGGCAGAATTTTCTAGTAAAACCTCCTGTCTTTGTGACATCATCCATAAGGTATCAAGTGGGAAATGAAACTACTCTAGGGACTTCAGCCCCCGGTCAAACAAAACTCCTCTGGGGCTCTGGGTGTGGGTGGCCATCTGAGGGATGGCTTCAGGCAGCTCTTGCAGGAGGGGAGAGTCCTGAAGGCACCCCTCTGTTAGACCAAGGGCCCCCAGCTTTGACAGTGCCCTAGTTTGTCTCAAATTGGTGCCATGTTCCTATGCCTCTTTGGGGGTGGGGAGGATATACATTCTCCTAAATGACAATTAAGAGTGTAATAAGGCCAGGTGCATTGGCTCACACCTGTAATCCCAGCCCTTTGGGAAGCCGAGGTGGGCAGATCACGAGGTCAGGAGTTCGAGACCAGCCTGGCCAACAGGGTGAAACCCCATCTCTACTAAAAATACAAAAATTAGCCGGGCATGGTGGCATGAGCCTGTAATTCCAGCTACTCAGGAGGCTGAGGCAGGAGAATCACTTGAACATGGGAGGTGGAGATTTCAGTGAGCCGAGATCGTGCTCCTGCACTCCAGCCTGGGAGACAGAATGGGACTCT
The DNA here is from genome assembly GCF_000001405.40 of Homo sapiens. NCBI lineage: Eukaryota > Metazoa > Chordata > Mammalia > Primates > Hominidae > Homo > Homo sapiens. The sequence goes on along the minus strand of NC_000013.11, from coordinate 25,844,253 downwards.
GTCTCAAAAAAAAAAAAGTGTAATAAGAATTCACTTGTACTCAGGACAGCAAATCAGCACACATAAACAAGTCCTCCAGTCAGCTGACATATCCTGGTCCTCTGGTGCTTACAGTCTTTATCCCTGCCACTCCCATCCCTACCAAAAAAATCCCTGCCACCCCCAGTCCCACTAAAATAATTCCCATGGCCTCAGTGGCTCAGGTCCTGTGCAACCGCATGGTCCTGGCATACTCTTGCCAGATCCTATGTGTTTCTCTACAGAGCAGTCTTAATCTTCTTTACAGGCAAATCTCATCACAAAACTCTCCTACCTCCAACCCTGCCCTGAGAAAAAGTCCCCCCCTCCGCCAGGTGTTAGTGATCAGATCCTCTCTCAAGTATTTGTTCCCTTTTCCAGCCCCTACCTCCTCTCTATGCTGTAGTCGTCTTGACTAGGGGTGGTTGTCCACTACAAGGGGGATGCTAGAAATATGTAGAGATGTGTTTTGATTGATACTTCCAGAAGGATAGGGAAAGGAGGAGAGGGAGTGTCTTAGTTCTTTCGGCTGACTATAACAAAATACTATAAACTGCATGGATTATAACCCCTGGAAATTCATTTCTTATAGTTCTGGAGCCTGCGAAGTCCAAGATCAAGGAAGTGGCAGTTGTGGTGTCAGGTGAGGGCCCATTCCTCATAGGTGATGTCTTCTAGCTATATTCCCACATAGTGGAAGGGGCAAATGAGCTCTCTAGGGTCCTTTTTATAGGTACACTAATCCCATTCCTGAGAGATCCGCCCTCACGACCTAATCACCTCCCAGAGGCCCTATGTTGTATACCATCACCTTACAGTTTGAGGTTTTGACATATGAATTGGGCGGGGGGGGCATGAGCAGTCAGATTACAGTAGGAGGTTACTGTTTTTTCCAGTCTGGGGCAGGAATGCCCAGTGTCCCGAGCCTCTCACCAGAGGCTGACAGAGTTCAGAGTCCAGGCACCCCCAGTCCCACTAAAACACTTCCTATGGCCTCAGCAGCTCAGGTCCTGTGCACCTGCAAGGTCCTGGCCAGGAATGTTCCTTCTCCCAACCATGCCCCACATCTCCCTTGTCCCATGTGACCACCCCCTACTCCTCTTTCAAGAGGGAAGCCTCCAGAGGGCAGGAGAGGCAGTGCCTGGCTTGCTGATATCTATATTCACTGTGCCCTCAGAGAGCCTCTTACCTTGTAGATACACCACAATCTCAGCAAACAAAGAAGCTCCTTTCAAAACACCCTCTCCAAACACTATCCCATTCCTGGGTTTAACCCTCCCTAAGCTGTCCCCTGGAATCTCTGCCAGTAGTTTTCTTTCTACCGCTCACCTTACAAGACATGACAGGTTTATTTTCCCAAATTGCCCTGATCATAAAATTCTAGATCTAAATTCTACACTGACCCTTCAATGCCTAAACAGTTAAGTCCCAGTTTCTTTCCTTCTTTCTTCTTTTTCCCTCCTTCTTTCCTTCCAACCTTCCTTCCTTCCTTCCTTCTTCCTTTCCCTCCCTTCCTTCCTTCCTTCTTTCCTTTTCTTTTCTTTTTCTTTCTTTCTTTTTTTTTTTGACAGAGTTTTGCTTTTTGGCCCAGGCTGGAGTGCAGTGGCACGATCTTGGCTCACTGCAACCTCCACCTCCCGGGTTCAAGCGATTCTGCTGCCTCAGCCTCCCATGTAGCTGGGATTATAGGTGCCTGCCACCACACCCAGCTAATTTTAGTATTTTTAGTAGAGACGGGGTTTTACCATGTTGGCCAGGCTGGTCTCGAACTGATGTCAGGTGATCCACCCACCTCTGCCTCCCAAAGTTTTGGGATTATAGGCGTGAGACACCACGCCCAGCCACATCCCAGTTTCTTAACCTCATACTCAAAGCCCTCTGTAATTCAGCTTTTATCTGCCTTCCTAAATTTCCCCATCTTTCACCTTTCAGCTGCTCAGTTTTCCACACCTGTCCTGATTTCCCCACTTTGCTTGATTCTTCCTTCTGCTGGATTTCATGGCTAAACTTAAATATTACCTCCCCTAGGAAGCTATTAATAACTCCAAATGAAAGGCATCTCTCAGTCCTCTGATATCTAATAGCATTTTATCTATGGTTTACTTGAAACAGCTATTTTTTACCTTGTACTGGAGTTATTCATTTGCAAATCTGCTCTGGTTTGAATGCAGCCCGCAAAGCTCATGTGTTGAAAGTTTGATCTCCAATGCAGTGGTGCTGGGAGCTGTGGCCTGATAGGAGGTGTTTGGGTCATGGGGGCGCCACCCTCATGAATAAATTAATGCTGTTGTCACTGGCATGGGTTCCTTCCTTCTCTCTCTACCCCATATCCTTCCACCATGGGATGACACATCAAGTAGGTCCTAACAAGAAGCCAGCTCCCTGACCTGGGACTTCCCAGCCTCCAGAATCATGAGCCAAATACATTTCTGTTCACTATAAATTACCCAGTCTATGGTGCTCTTATAGCAGCACAAAATGGACTAAGACAAAATCTAATCTCCCTTTCCATACTACAAACTCTTTGAAGGTGAGACCGACATTGATATATCTACTGTCACCCTTAGAATCTACCACAGTGTCTTGAACATAACAGGAATAAGGTTAATGAACAATAATATAATGATTTTTTTCTCTGTACTAACAGTGAGAATTTAGAAATTAATTATAAAATATTCAATTTGTTAGGGGAAGTCAACTAATGACCAAGAACACCAATGTCCCTCTGTTGTTCTGATACACTTAATATTTGCAATTTACTTCACTTTACACAGTTTCACTCAATAGATTATTGTTTGCAACACAACTCAAAGAAAACCCCTATGCTGAAGGCTCAATAAATACAATGAAATAATGACATTGATGATGATGGTGATAATAAAAAGAGGAAAAAAGCATCCTATTGGCTGCCTGCCAGGTAATTTGCCAAATTTGGAGGAATTAGATAAGGATAGCACTAATTTAAAATTCATTTGGTGCTGTCTCTTAGGTAAGTTAGCAACTGCTGGGAGTCTACATCCTTTTAAATACTGACCATGGTAGGTGAATGAATGGACTTACATAATGGAATCTGGTTAAACTATAGCAATTTCACCACAAACCACAAGGCACCAACTGAACGTATATGATCATAATTCCAGGATTAGAAAACCATCGTCTCCACTGCAGAACAGCCACACTAGTTCCTTTTGAAGCAGGTAAGTAAATGACCATCTTGTAAAGCTTCTGAGAGTCAAAAGGCAAGCAATTCTGAGTTAGGAACACAGTAGGATGTCTAGATAAGAAGTGGTAAGGGGTCTTCAGAGAGTACTTGTGGCTAGTTCATGCTATTTGCAGACTCTTCTTAAGTACCAAAGCCTGGGCTCAGGTATGGAGGATAATTGCTCAAATTTCTCTTATGCTCATCAGACATACCATTTCCCATCACTAATCCTTCCTGCTACAATGATGGCTGAGTCTGTCACCAAAATATCACAGCCTCTGAAACAAAATCACATCCCAAACTCTTATACGTATACACTCTTATTTATAAAACCATTTTAAAATAAATTAAATCCACTGAGTAAAGATGAATCACAAGAAGGGTTTCAAGTTAAAAGAAAATGATTTCACTGGAATGCTCTTTTTTGGGGTGGGGCTAGAAAGCATAAAATTGTATTCTCTGATTTAAAGACTTATGAACCCTCGAAGGAAAAGGAGTTCTGATGAAATTGAAAGACTATATCACGTGGCATAAGAAAATGGCAGTGCATGCATTTTCTCTGTCAGTATTTAATAGGTTAAAGAATATCAGTGAGGATGAATCATTTCTGTTTGAAGCATAAAACTCACTGACACAGAAACAAAGACGCTTGGAAACTTTATATTCTTTGGTTCTTTGAACAATAAAGGGCCTTGTCTAGTCAACATTTGGAGTAATTTTTCCCAGGGGGATTATTACTATTTGAGAGGGATGAAAGAGTAGCATTCTCATGATACATTTGTATTTTCTGAGAATAAAAATATGTCTCTTTAGGAGGCCACGTTCTGGATGTGTTAAGAAGTGTGAAAAAACGCCGAGTCTGCCACAGTTCTCAGACATCCTCTTCTAGCTGTAAAGACAAACACCAATCTGGAGAATTAGTTCTCAAACTCTAATTTCAAAAGGCGTACATCAAGGACAGGACACTCTTTCAGAAAGCTAGGAATAAGATTCAAATCTTATAAGATTTGAGTTATTCTGCATATGGGTAGGGGAGGCTCAGAAATAAAAGTCAAAGTAATTAAAAGAGAATTTCAAACCACGGACAAAAAGCATCAACATTTCATTACAGTACAGGGCTTTCCTTGAAGATCTCTGACTCAAATAGTTTTTAAAACTGAGTTGAGTATTCCTAGTACTCAAACTATCCAGTCAACTGGAAAGAAAATGGGTTCTCAAGGCCAGAACTGATGAAACCTAACAGCTATAAACCTGGGACTAGCTCTCATTATGCTTTAGGTATGTTTTTCCTCTAAAATGTGTTCCTGTGATCTCTTGTTCTGCAGAACTGGAAAAAAAAATTGTGAACACACAGGCAGCAGAGCGGCTGCAAAGCTCCTTGCTGACAGGTGAAATCACACAGCCCTTACCATGCTCCAGAGCTTTCATGGGAAACCAGAAGAGGATGAGGGAGTGGACCAAGGCGTTGATGCAGTGACCCCAGAAAACCTAAGGAAAAACAAACCAAGGGAGTCAGGAGCTGCCCAAAACGCTTGACCTCTGTGAAACTCTCAACAAACGCCACATTGTGAAGGATCCTGGCCGTGCGCTGCACGGTTCCAGGAGTAGCATATTATTCTTGAATTTGAAAAAAAAAAAACCCACCCAAATCGATTATTTAATTTTTACATACAAATGACTGGATTATCTCCAGATCATATTACTTTAGTTACAAAGACCTAAATATCTACTCACATGTATGCAGACCAACACAATCTATCCACATGTGAAAAATTCACTCTGATCAGTTTTCTTTAGCATTGTAAGAGAGACAACACCATTTTACAAACATCCAGAAAAAGGGTACTAGGTCAAAATTGTTAAGAAGAGACTAAAACTGTGTCTCTTCTTAACAATTAAACTGTGTCGGGGCAGATGGGATGTCTTAAAAGCACTGAAAACATTCCACTTGTAACTTTTTACATGGCATTCTCACTCTTTTGTTTTACTACTTCAAATCCCTCTCACTCAACTTCTTCTTTTATTTTTGGGATTTTAGATAACATGCATATTTGAAAATTCTCTTTATTTTAATGTTTAAAGGTCAGAAAAAAGAACACAAGGTTTAGTTTATTCTAAACTTTAGTTTCACTAATACATCGCAATCATTGTTTTAACCACCGTGATGACAGAGTTATTAACTATTAGAAATCACCTGTCTTCTGCGTTGCTCACGCTGGGAGCTGTAGACCAGAGCTATTCCTATTCGGCCATCTTGGCTGCCCCCCTCGAGTTATTAACTATTAAAGCCAGATTAAATTTATTTAAACCTCTACAAGTTGTCCCTGGAAATTATCATATAGTTTGAGCCTAAGTAGTGGTAAGACAACAGAAAATAGTGAAAAATGTTATAAGACAATGGAATTTTCCCCTGCTTTAAATGTTCATTTTGCACCATCTCTGACCTCTCTACTTAAAAAAAAAAAAAAAATTCTTCAAAGTGCCTGCAGATAAGTTTCCGTGCATTCTCAGCTCTTACTTACTTCCCACCTCAAATGGCCTTTGAATTCAAATTCTGTAGAAAATGGATTTATGTAAATAATGCAGTGAAAATGGGTCATATTTTCCCATTAACGGAATCACAGTCAACAAGGATTGGTAAAATGAGTCCCTCGGGTCTCTTTGGATGTGGGAGACGGTAGAACCAATAAGGAGCCCTTCTGTTTCTTCCCTGCCTCGGATGTAACTAGTGAGCCTCCCCAGAAAAAAGCAGCTGTAAGGGACGTCAGGAACATCTGGCTCAGAAGAAAGGCCCTGGGAGACTGTTCTCTCCTTGAGGCCTGGAGAGGTGACTCCCTGTGTCCTTCTCACTGACGGCCCAGGAACCATGCACGCAAATCATGACCGCCACCAGCACACAGCACAGGAGGTGAACTGTGCAACAGACCTCTGTCTAAACTTCTGAATCCCCCCTGCGCAAAGACCAGAGGCAGAAACAAGGCCGTGCAGCCATGCTCACATCTCGCCCCTCTGTGCCCAGGCACACATCTCCCTTTTCTTTGGATGGGGTCACCCAAGCACTCTGCCACATTCAGCCGCAAATGACATCTGTGTGGCAGACCCCTCTGCTGTCTGAGACTGCACGACCCCTTTAACACCCCACCCAGCTTTGGCGCGGGTTTGTCAGGATCACCTATATCTTTCTTTTTTTTATTTTTTTTTGGTTCCTTTCTGATTCTCTGGTCCAGAAAAACAAAACCAAATCCCCTGCAACTCATGTGATCCCTGAGTTCATATCTAGTCAATTTTACGCACTAGCTAAAGACACATTTTATTTCAAATGACAAACCCAGCAACAGCTAGGTAAGCTGCCAACAGGCCTCCACATGGGGCTGCAGGACCACGCAAGGGGGATCTCTGACAGCGGATCCTGAACCTGGGCTGTGGGAACTGCTGCCCACACTGATGTCAGGGGCTGACGGGGAGAAGCGGGAAGGAGTCAGCATGCTGGGACTGGAGGTTGCAGCCCACACAGCATGGACCCGTCACCTGAGAAGGCGTCTTGAATTCACTGGGTTTGTGGCGTGTGTGTGTGTGTGTGTGTGTGTGTGTGTGTGTGTGTGTGTGTGTGGTGGTGGGGTGAGTGGATCATGTTTTCAGCACTTCTCAAATGTTCTTTCTCAAGCTTCAACTATCTCCTAGGCAGATGACTAGAATCAAACAGCCACGCCTTTCTGAGGTGACAGTTCTGAGATCACACTCTGTTTACCTTTGTGTTGAAGCCTTCGCCATTCTGGGTGATTTTGTAGAGCTGGGGAAACCTGAGCATGCTCTCCTGAGTGCAAGACCTCTCAAAGATTCCCAGAGTGAAGGGCGGCAAAGCGGTGAAAATCTGCAGGGAGAACAATGAGCCATTAAAAGCAGCCCTTCGGATCCACACGGCTTCATTGTTCCCTTCTACCAAATGATGACTTCACTTCCAGTCAAGTCCAAACCTGAGACTCCATGATTCACAGATCCCCAGACACCCTCCAAACAAAGGAAATAAATGAAAGACCATTTTTACGTTAATCACTATCAAATGAATACACTGAACACTAAAAACATCATACATTATCTGATTAGCCAAGATTTCTTGTTAAATTAGCAACTACCTTCCTTTGTAAAACGAAGACTGATGTGGAATCATGCCACAGTTAGCTGTCTGAAGTGTTGCTTTGTTTTCTGCTCACGCTAGCTGACGTAAAATTTACAACTTTCCACCCTGACGTTATACTCAAATTTCAGGAAGCATAATGTACTTCATCCATTTATTCATTCAACAGACATTTACAATAAACAAATTATGGGCTAGATACTGTGATAAGCACCAGGAATGGAGAGATTTACAAACAGAAGAAAGAAGGAAAGGAATTAGGACCTCCAGGAACGCCATCTACTGCAGAAGTGGAGGAGGGCAGTGGGGCAACAGGCATAGAGGTAAATATACAAAACGCGGAGCTCTGCAAAACTATTAATACCTGTTAGGGGAGGACGCAGAAGGAGAAGGGAGAGTCACCAAAGGATTCTTGCACCAAAGAGTATCTGACCTGCAAGGTATTAGACCAACATGATTTGGCAAGATGACAGGGATGTGGGCGAGGAAGGAGTCCCATGAGAGATGCACCCCTTACAAAGCTCTGAGACATCAGCATGCCTGTTTGGAGGTGTTGAACAACGTTTATAGGAGGCCACTGTTTGGACTGAGCTCCTGCACTCGGCCCCAGCAGACCTGACCAAACCAAAATGGAGTTACTTGTGCTAAGAGCTGTGTCATCAAACTAAACTTTGAAACAGGCCAGTTTTCCAAAAACAAACAAACAAACAAACAAACAAACAAACAAACAAAAAACAGGAGATTCACAGCAACCAGTTTACCTAGGCACCAGAAAGGGCCCAGTTTACCTGAGGCAGCATGATACAGAAGTCCCCTGTTTGAACTCTGTAAAGAAAGCCACTTTGAAACAACCAATCACTTTTTGTTCTACTTCTGTTTCCTTAGTCCCTTTCTGCCTATAAAGCTGGCCTCCTCTGCTCAGCTCATCGGAGCACTCATTCTGTTTCATGAAATGAGATGTTACCCAATTCCAGAATGGCTAATAAAAGCCAATTCGATCTTTAAATTGTTGTCATTTAAAGGACGAGGAACTTTCTAAGATACACAGGATGGTGGCTGGCTGAGGGTGCGGTGTAAGGCAAGGATAGGAAGGAGACCAGACCAAACAATCTCCAGTGACAATGAGTTCTTGGGCAGATGGTGCCTTGCAAGACTTGTGACTTTCACCTGTACTCACATTTGTATATTAGAAAAATCAAGCAGGAGCTGAAGAAGGTGCTTGGAAGAAACATGTCATTTTAACTCAGGACATGTTGGCCCTGAGGGTCCTTCTCCTGCTTGGTTCTGGGAATGGTTCACACAGCCTGGGTCACTTGCTGCTGAGCGTCCCTCAAATCCCCACCCACAAACCCAGCAAGCTCTCAGGCCTGTGGGAATTGGACGTGTGTCTGTACGAGAATTCTGAACTCACACTAGCTATTTGGAGATGGAGTATATGGCCAGAGGAAGCTGTTCCCAAGTCTATTGGGAGCAGGCAATCAGATGTGTGGTGAGTAGAGTCAGTAAAACTCTCACACTCTTCCTTCAGTCCACAGCAGAATGGAAAGCAGCCCTGGGATTTCAATGTGCTACAAAGACTTCAAGGAGAAATCCACAGGGGACTTGTTGCACTCACTTTCCTCACAACAACAAAAATTGTTTGTTTTATAGCTGGACAGAGCTTCTACCAGAAGCCAGGAGCCATGCACACTTTCTTAGTACATACTCTCACCTCCATTGCTCTGCATCCATGTGTACATGTGATGTCATGCCTGCTGTTTACGTGGCAGTCTTTTTCTTTTTTTAAACTTGAGCTTCTCCTTCTACCCATCTTCAGATTCTCCCCTGCCCTTCATCACCATGCTATAATGAAGCCCAGCATGCCTACATATTTTCCACTCTGCCTATACCATACTACACACACACACACACACACGTTAGGGATCATAATTTGTTTCATAAAACGTTGACACTGGCCAGTCATGTAGCTCCTGCCTGCAATCCTAGCACTTTGGGAGGCCAAGACAGGAGTTCGAGACCAGCTTGTGCAACACACCAAGACCCTGTCTCAATTTCACAGAACACACCAAGAGAGTGTGTGCCTGTAGTCCCAGCTACTTGGGAAGCTGAGGTGAAAGGGCTGCTCCAGCCCAGGAGGTTGAGGCTGCAGTGAGCTATGATTGCACCACTGCATTCCAGCCTGGGCCACAGAGTGAGACCCTGTCTCCTGCCAACCAAAAAGGTAGACATTATACTTTACACACATTTTTCTTCATCATGCTTTTCTTGCTAAACAATACATTACAGAAAGCCCCCCAAAGCCCTTGGGTTTGATGGTAATGCAGTCTTTTAATGGTCACATAATAATTCATAGTATGGATGTGCCATTTTTTTTAGCCATTCACCCACTGACAGACATTCATTTTCTTTCCAGTTCTTTGTTACCACAAACATTATGTAATACATATCTATACTATATTATAACATACAGACTTTTTCTTTTATCTCTATGGGAAGAAGGCCCAGCAGGAGAGTTAAAAGGATACATGCATTTTTAATTTTACTAGATTCTGCCTTTCAAAGGATTTTGAAAGCATTTTCCTCTCCCATTGCAAAAGAAAATCATAGATTTTTCGCTATTTCCCTATCAGCAATGGTTGTTACATTGGTCTTTTAATGTTCTCCAGTCTTAAAAATTAAAGATGTTACTTCTTACTTTAAAAAGCTGCATTTCCCCAACTACCAGTGAGTTTGAGCATGTTTTCATACAATTGTTGGTTATCTGGATTTGCAGTTCTGTGAAATGTCTACTCATGTCTTTTGTCTACTTCTTACTTTAAAAAGCTGCAATTCCCCAACTATCAGTGAGTTTGAGCAGGTTTTCATACATTTGCTGGCTATCTGCATTTGCAGTTCTGTGAAATGTCTACTCATGTCTTTTGTCTACTTTCTATCCATGGCTTATCCTCTTTTTAAAGAGTTCTTTGAGTAGAACAGATATCAACCCTGTCTTTATATTATGAAATTTCATGCAAATGCACTCTTTGTCTATTGGTTTTTTAAATGGGTTCTTTTGCCATATAAAAGCTTTTAATATTTAAATGGCCAAGAAATGCTTCTGCATGTCCAATTGCGGCTACAGAAGTTACTCTTCCATGAAAAGTACATGTTTCCAGGAGTGTCTTGTAGGATTTTACTATTTTATTTTCCACATTTAAGTCTTTAATATATCTGGAATTAATTTTTCTATATAGGAGTCCATTTTATTCCAGATAAAGAGCCAATTGTGATAACATAATTAATGAGGCCAAACTTTCCCCACTACATTGAAAGATCACCTTTAAGGCTAATCAAATTTTCATGTATTACACATCTGACTCTAGAATGGGAATGTAGTTCTAGAATCTCCAACTTATTTGTCAATAACAGTGATTTGGTTATGGTGGCTTCATAGTATAGTCTGATATTTAGTAAAAATAAGTCTACTTTTATGTTCTTTTTTTGAGCATGCTTTACATATTTATTCTCAGATATGTGTAAATTCCATTTATATTTTAATATAACTTTATGCAACTTCCCCCTTTCCTCCCAAAACATTCACCTGTTGGGATTGAGTCTATGTGGAATCATATATATTTATATTAATTTTAGAAGAGTTGAATCTTTTATGATACTAAGTCTTCCCATACAAGAAAATAGTATGCTTTTCCATTTGTTCAATAAGACTTTTAAAAATGTAGGTACTGTAAACATTTTTCCTATGCAATGTATAATTTTAATTGCTTTTTTGAAAGAATTCGTACTTCCTTTGCATTTCTAGGTGTCCACTGCTAGAGAAAAAAAAAAGCTGTTTATTGCTAGGCTAGAAAAAGGCTATTGATTTTAAAAATATATTTATCATTTATCTGGTCACTTTATCAAATTCTCTTATAATTCGAGTATTTATCTACTGTTTTTTCTTTTGTTTTCTAGATACACAATCATATATGAACATATTTACATTACCATATTTCTGTGAGCATATGTGTATACGTACAGAAATTGTTCACTGTTTTCCCAATATTTGTAATCTTCTTTGCAGTTGCCGAAAACATGAAAACAATGAATTATATAGTGATGGCAGGCATCTTGATTAATTTCTTATTTTAAATGAAACCGTTTCAGAATTTTACCATTTTGGGCAGCATGCTACTGGTTTTTGTAAATGGTCTGAATTCTGGTTAAATGGCTTTTTTCTGTTTCTATTTTATTTAGAGTTCTTATTTTGGGAATGGCAGCTGAATTGCTTCAAACGTTTTTGTAGCATCTGCTGATGGGATCATGTTTTTCTTATTTTCTTGATATAGTGATATTTAGAAAGATATTTAATTTCAAGACTCCTGTATCCCCAAAATAAATCTTACTTTGTCACATACTTTTTCTTTTAATATATTATTGGACTCCATTTGCCAATATTTTACGTAGAATTTTTGTATTTATGTTTATAAGTGAGACTGGCCTACAGTTTTCTTCCTCAAACGATGCTGGCTTGACAACAGGATTCATTTTCTGCAAGTGGTCAAATAATACTAGAGTGTTCTCTGCATTATAAAAGACATAAAATTTAGCTGAAATCCATTTGATCCTAGCAGCATTGGTCCTTCGTGGTATTTTTAGTCTCATTCTACCCACAAAACAAAATGAGCCAGGCACAGTGGCTCACGCCTGTAATTCCAGCACTCTGGGGGGCCGAGGCAGGCAGATCACCTGAGGTCAGGAGTTCAAGACCAGCCTGGCCATGGTGAAACCCCGTCTCTATTAAAAATACAGAAAATTTGCCAGGCGTGGTGGTGCGCACCTGTAATCCTGGCTACTCGGGAGGCTGAGGCAGGAGAATTGCTTGAACCCGGGAGGCAGAGGTTGCAGTGAGCCAAGATTGCGCCATTGCACTCCAGCCTGGGCAACAGGAGTGAAACTCTGTCTCAAAAAAAATAAAAAAAAATAAAGAAATTGACTATGGATATAATGAAAATCTTCTGGGACAGCATTCATTCATTACTTAGGAAGAAGCCTGTTTCTTGTTGTTATTGTTGTTTTTGAGACAGAGTCTTGCTCTGTTGCCCAGGCTAGAGTGCAGTGGTGTGATCTCAGCTTACTGCAACCTCCGCCTCCCGGGTTCAAGCAATTCTCCTGTCTCAGCCTCCCAAGTAGCTGGGATTACAGGTGCACACCGTCACGCCCAGCTAATGTTTGTACTTTTAGTAGGGATGAGGTTTCACCATGTTGGCCAGGCTGGTCTCGAACTCTTGACCTCAGGTGATCCACCTGCTTCAGCCTCCCAAAGTGCCGGGATTATAGGTGTGAGCCAACACGCCCGGCCTCAAGTCTGTTTTAATGCTATTAACTTGTTATGAAAATTAGTTTGAGAGGCTGAGTGTGGTGGCTCATGCCTGTAATCCCAGAACTTTGGGAGGCCAAGGCGGGTGGAACACGAGTTCAGGAGATTGAGACCATCCTGGCTAACACAGTGAAACCTCATCTCTACTAAAAATACAAAAATTAGCCGGGCGCGGTGGCGGGCGACTGTAATCCCAGCTACTTGGGAGGCTGAGGCAGGAGAATGGCGTGAACCCGGGAGGTGGAACTTGCAGTGAGCTGAGATTGCACCACTGCACTCCAGCCCGGGCAACAGAGCTAGACTCCATCTCAAAAAAAAAAAAAAAAGAAAATTAGTTTGAGGAACAACGACTTGCTACTTTAGCTGACTTGCGGAATCAAACAAAGAGTACATTTAGAAGAAAAAGCAGGAGAGAAATACTGCATGAAGAAAATGACAGCGGAGAACCCAGCCCAGAAGAGGAGGATCACTAGCAAATGCCTTCCACATCACAAATGTTCTCTTGCAGGCAGTCTCTAGAATGATCCTGGACTGGAAAAGTTGCTAAATAGGGCATTATTGGAGCAAGAATAGCAAAACTGGAATATGGATTAAGATGAATTAGATAATAGTATTAAATCCATGTTAAATGTTTCAGATTTGATCATTATACTTCGGTTGTATAAGAGGAAGCTCTTGCTACTATTGACTAAAGTGTTAAGCAGGAAAGCGACATGATGTTTGTAATACCCCACTGGGTCAGAAATAAATGCATTCACTAGTGTGTGCATGAGTGTAGGCATGTGTGCATGCGTACAAGTATGGAGAAAGAGAATGCAATTGGTGGAAATGCTAATTACTGTTCAATCTGGGTGAAGGGTAAATAGTAGTTCTTTGTACCTTTTTTGTAACTTTTCTCTATATTTCTATTTATTTTATACAAATGTCACCAAAACAATTTTCATGGGGGCAAATCTCCATGTTCCCAGAAGGTTTGGCCCCTCCAGTATGAGCAAGTCCAGAGCCCAGTGGCACATTGGAGTTCACCTGGCAGATCCTTGACCATTCCATCCCAACTGCCAGCACTCACTGGCAGCCCACTTCAATGCCTGCACTGTGGACTCAGTGGTAACCTAGACCCTTTCACCTTGAAATACACTTTTCTATCACAGTGTACTCTCTGTATAGTTTAGGGGACAGAAAAACTGCATAAAATATAATCTCAACCCTAGGGTCATGCATAACAATAACTAGAAAAGTTTGCGGCTCATGACTATAATCCTACCACTTTGGGAGGCCTAGGAGGGAGGACTGCTTGAGCCCAGGAGTTTGAGACCAATCTGGGCAACATGGCGAGACCCCATTTCCACAAAAAAAATGTTTTTTAATTAGCTGGCTGTGGTGGCATTTGCCCATGGTCCCAGCTACTAAGGAGGCTGAGGTGGGAGGATTGCTTGAGCCAGGGAGGTCAAGGATACAGTGAGTAGTGATGGCACCACTGCACTCCAGCCTGGGTGACAGAACAAGACCCAGTCTCAAAAAAAAAAAAAAAATTGCAAAAACTGCAATATGTCTGAGATTCTCTTTGTTAATCTGGGGTGGGGCTCAGGAATCTGCATTTTTCAAATAAACCCTAGTTATTCTCCTGCAAATGGTCTGTGGGCCTTATTTTGACCAACACTGCCCTCTAGCCTGTCAGCATCTTATCTGTAGTAGGCACTCAATAAAATCTGTTGGATTAATTTGAATTGGCCAAGACTGCATGGAGCTAAGAAAAGAATCCAGCCCTCATGCCCTGAGCATAGAAATCAAGCTAAAATCCACTCATACTATAAGCAGGTGATATATATATATATATATATATATATATATATATATATATATATATATATATACCACACCTGTCCTTGGCTCTACAACAAAATCTCTCCTAGGTCTCAGCATTTTGTTTCTAAAATAGGGATGTGGCATGTGTTTGTGTGAAGTGTCAGCTCCATTGATACCTGACCCTTTCAAGCACTGAATAATCGTGGAGCATTCTGCATATTTCCCCGAAATGGTTGCATAGCTTTAACCTACTTAAAATAGTTTCAGGAGGTACAGAGTTAGCAATCTGTGATCTCCCCTTAGTACACAAAGGGGAGGCCCTGGAGCCCCCATCCATGGGTAGGTAGTCAGAGTAGCTTTTTTAGCACAGGAGGGAATGGACATCAATTCTGTCCTGTTCTTACCACTCCTAATCTTTGTCTTTTAGGGCATCAGTATCAGGAGGAAATGTGCTAGTGACTTTGCAGCAAGTTAACACAGTTACTGACTCACCAACACAATTTCAACTCAAGATCTGGACCCAGTCCTCCTTGGAGGTGTCTGAATCCACACATTTGACCCTCTTAACCTGCAAGCTACACAGGGCCAGGGCAAACTACTGCATTCAGCATTTTACATCAGCACCCAGCACTGAGGTTATTCAATAAAGGGGGGTGAAAGCATGGAAGACTTAAATATCTAGCCACCAGTGGATTTATAGCACCATAGGTTTTATTATTGTATGTCTGGTAACTTCCATCTACATTTATTTATGATGGCTGCTTCAGAATGTAAATTCCCACGGAGCAGAGTTAGGATTGAAGGCAAGTGAGAGAACAACTCAAAAAATGGGCCATTCTAGGGTCTCTAGAGTGCTCTACATGCCCCTTAGTTCTTCCTGCCAGTGAAACAAAAAGCAAGAAAGCTAAGCAGCTACTGAGCCATTTTAGCTACAGTTTATATTTATTTCTAGCTTCTGAATTCATCATAGTTATAAAAAGTAATAAAAAAGGAACTTGAAAATCATAAAAAATACCAGATGAGCTGATTACCATCCTCCACAGTAGCTGGAAGTCAGAATTCATTATTTTAGCTCTAACTGCAGAAGAAAATGTTCTTCCACAAGGACAGATACCCTTTCAGGAAGGACAGAACGGACACCAGATCACACACTGTACATTTGTATCTATGTTTAAGAATTCAGAACAAAAATAATGAAGCGGAATGAGTTTAGGTGTAGTTCAGAAATTTGTACTTGAGCTAAAAACACGAAAGTGTTGCACAGGCATGTAGTAAGGGGGTAACAAGGGTCTATTATCAAGATATATGGGTTAATAATTTCAAGGGGTTATTCAGGAATGATCTGCTATGATTGAAACCATGTGTGGAGAGTTTGGGCTTCTGCAGGATGTTTCACAGCAACAAAGGGCCCAAAGATGTATTTGTGCTGCCTGCTAAGTATACAGATGATTGACTCAGATACACTTCCCAGACATAAACAGTGAAGGAATGTCACTGAAGTTCTAAGTTCTGCATGCTATCAGATAGAGATGAAGAATGCTTACCACATTGTACAGGCCGATGCACCAACGTTCAAATAAAATCTGCCCAGAAAATCCATTAACAAAGGCGAACCAAAGCTGAAAGAGAAGAAAGCTCATGAAGTTTTATATCAATATTGACCTAAATGTTTCCATTCACTGAAGAAGTAGCGGGAATGTGGACCACCAGCTGGACACAGCTGCTAAGGAATCATGAGCCACAGGGACTGCAGCAGTTGTTCCTTTATAAAACATAGATTCCCGATATCACAGAAATCCATATTGTAAGGAAAATTTATATTTAAGGCATACATCTACTTTCAGAGATAATATGCACATGTTCATAGAAAAATAGATTTAATTTGCATTTAATAGGTTTGGTATCAAAACTTTCTCATTGACTGGAGGAGTCTCAGCTTCACACTCTTGTTTTTCTCTAAAGTTGATTTGAGAAATACGATGTGTCTTTGCCGGACTTTCAAAGAGATATAAATCATAAATTAAAAACAACAACAAAAAGTCCTCTGTTCTGTGTGTTCTGAGTTCATAAATTATTGACCCTCCTTAATCAGATGTCTACCACCTTGACCAAGGTCAAAACACAATCATATAAAAGAAACATGTTCAAATCATTTTTTGAAGTAATGAGAGATGTATAAATAAATAGATAAAATGTGGGCTGTTATTCATGCCTTCAAGTAGTCTATGATTCTAACCGATTAGGCAAGACTGATATAAAAACAACTACAGAGCCAAGTGCCAGGATATAATTAGTGTACATGACAAGGGATAAAACACTGTCAGAGACCGGGCGTGGTGGCTCATGCCTGTAATCCCAGCACTCTGGGAAGCCGAGGTTGGCGGATCACCTGAGGACAGGAGTTTGAGACCAGCCTGGCCAACGTGGTGAAACCCCATCTCTACTGAAAATACAAAAATTAGCGGGGTGTGGTGGCACGCACCTGTAATCCCAGCTACTCGGGGGGGTCTGAGGCAGGAGAATCGCTTGAACCTGGGAGGTGGAGGTTGCAGTGAGCCAAGATAGTGCCACTGCACTCCAGCCTGGGCGACAAGAGCAAGATTTCATCTCAAGAAAATAAAAACCAAAACAAACAAACAAACAAAAAAAACAAAAAACACTGTCAGAAAAGGAAAGATCATCCAGATGTAATCTGAATACACGGAGGCAGCAGGACTGGGGTAGAAGAGGGCCGAGCCACCGGGAGGACAGAAACCTGACTTAGAAGGAAGCAAACATGAAAATATGGAATTCAAAAAGTTGCTGCTGAATATTCAGCTACATTTATATGAGATGTGATCATCCAGATGTAATCTGAATACACGGAGGCAGCAGGACTGGGGTAGAAGAGGGCCGAGCCACCGGGAGGACAGAAACCTGACTTAGAAGGAAGCAAACATGAAAATATGGAATTCAAAAAGTTGCTGCTGAATATTCAGCTACATTTATATGAGATATGAGAGTCTGATTGAGGGCAGACTTTAGAGTGTCCCATACAAATCATAGAATCAACGTTATCTGTGTCACATCATCACAGACAGAGACCGCTGCTGTGGTAGAACCTAACTGGCAACATAGAACAGACACCATGACAACCAGAGTTGAGGTCAACTCTGGTACTGAAATTTTACTGAGGCAGATTTTTCAAAATCAGTTTCTTGACTCCACCAGACTGCGTTTCTTGAAGCAGGAATTCTTCCCCATGCTGCTCTGTGCACTACTGTATCCAGTATGATACTTGGTACAAACAGGTACTCACCAAGTCCCCGTGAGATCAAATTAAATGCCAAATCAAGTGCTAGATGAAGTTTTCCTTAAATACAGCTTTCACCTTGTCATTACCCTGTTCAAAAAACTACTAGGGCTCCCTCCTAAATCCAAGATAAACTTGCTGACTTTCAAAAATCCTTCCACACTTCTATTCACTCTTAATTTCTTTTTCCTTTAAAACTTTTTATTTTATTGTAAATTGACCCTTTATAACTGTATGTATTTATGGGGTACAAAGTGATATTAAAGTTTCCAAGTTCAGTGTAGAATAATTAAGTCATTCTAACTAACATATCTATCACCTCAAATACTTATTTTGAGGGTGTGAGAATATTTGAAATTTACTCTTAGCAACTTTGAAATGTACAATGCACTATTAATTATATTCACCACACTGCACAATGGATCTCAAAAAACCCCAAACAACTTATTCCTCCTGTCCGAGACTTTGTACCCTTTGACCATCACCCCAATTCCCTCCATCCTCTGTCATCACCATTCTTTGTAGGATCTGATGCTCTCTCTCCTAGTCACTCAATTTCAACTACCCTTCCAAGAGGTCTGGCTATTCTCGGTGAAGAAATATTGGTGAAGAACTAAGAACCAGAGATTCATGCTGTGTTCTGTGCTTGGAAAATTCCTACAACATTTATTCAAATAATAGCCATCCCTAAAACCACAATTTCAACCCCACTCTCTCCCTACCACTGGAGGTCTTGGCAGTCAATACTTCAACCACACTTTTAGTGCAATGAGAGCCTGGATCCACATCAGATTCAAACACATTAGTAAACTGTTTCAAGGGTTTTAAGTTAATTTTCCCAAGACTGTGCCATAATTCTGAGTTCTCCTATTCAAACAATTGACCAAAAAGATATCTAGTGGGTATTTTATTTTATTGCAAAATCCAGTTAACATGTTGTCTTGTTATCAACTAAAAATAGAAAAAACAAATAAAAATAGAAAAGAGCCTGGGCATAGTGACTTATGCCTGTAATCCCAGCACTTTGGGAGGCCAGGGGGAGAGAACTGCTTGAGCCCAGGAGTTCATGACCAGCCTGGGCAACATAGTGAGACCCCATCTCTACAAAAAATAAAAAGTTAGCTGGGTGTGGTGATGCACACCTCTGTAGTCCCAGCTACTCGGGAGGCTAAGGCAGGAGGATTCCTTGAGCCTAAAAGGTGGGCAGCAGCAGTGAGCTCTGACCATGCCATTGCACTCCAACCTGGGCTATGGAGTGAGACCCTGTCTCAAAAAAAAAAAAAAAAAAAAAAAAAAAAAGCAAACACATACACAATGAAACTATGAGTAGCTTTAATTAAAACTACAAATGATATACAATAGATGCAAACAAATATGATCAGATTAGACCAAATCAAGAGAGAATGCCCACAGCAGACCGAATCTACAGATTAAACCAAGTAAAAAAAGTTTTCAAAGAAATAGGTGAAACAACGCAAGAAATAGCCAAACCAACTCTAATTTAGAGGATAAAATAGATAAAATATAGAGGTCAGGGCAAGCAGAGGCAGAGGTTGAATCCTGGATGGATTCAACACAGCAGGCAAATTAAAGCTGAAGGGCAATATGCTTTTTCCCTCCTTTTTTTCAGGAATCAATCAGGGAAGACAGCAGGGCAGTATAGAAAATATAAATGACAATCAACTTGGCAGACACTGATCAAGTAAGTTTCAAGGTGAACTGAAAAGAAAAAAAATGCAGAATCATCCAAGAGAAACCTATAACACACAGAAATTTCCTCTAGGGCATACAGGCCTCCTCTCCTAAGGGAAAGAAACAACAGCAAGGGAGGTGCTTATGATTGCAAAGTGATAGGAGACCAGAGCAGGAAGTGCTCCAAGACAACTTGGAATCCCCTTTCCCCTAGACATCTTCCAAAAATATTATAGAAAAAAATAAGAGGATATGACAAACGCACATGAAATAATCTTTCCAGGAGAACAAGCCACACGGCCGAAGAAAATCTCAAACATTCTTGGTGAGACTAAGAGAGCTAATGAAAAAGTGAATTTTCTTTGCAACGAAAGTTACAATAAGATGTCTAATATAGCAAAGAAAGAGACAAATAGGAAGAGGTCATTGTTACAAACTGAAGCTACCCTAAAGAGAAATGAAAGCCAGAATTGACACTGCTAGCAGGGTTCAGTGACTCATGTCTGTAATCCCAGCACTTTGGGAGGCCAAGGAGGGTGGATCACCTAAGGTCAGGAGTTTGAGACCAGCCTGGTCCAACATGGTGAAAACCCATGTCTACTAAAAATACAAACATTAGCCAGGCGTGGTGGTGCACACCTGTAATCCCAGCTCCTCAAAAGGCTGAGGCAGGAGAATCACTTGAACCTGGGAGGTGGAGGTTGCATAGAGCCAAGATTGCACCACTGCACCCCAGCCTGGGTGACAGAGCAAGACTCTGCCTCAAAAAAAAGAACTGACACTGCTGAAACCACACGTAGAGATAGGTAGTAAAGCTTGAGAACACAATTCTCAGCAAAGGTCAGAAGACTTTAAAGATAAGCAAAAAATTCCCAAAAAGATGTATTTTAAAAAAAGAGGAAAATAGAAGTTAAAAAAATGTTCAAAGATATAACAGAAGAAAATTTTCTGAAATACCCTAATCAGCCAGTAGAGAGGGGATCCTTCATCCTAGGAAACAAAACAAGCAACAGACACAGAAAGATCAATACCCACACATGTCCTGCTATAGAAATTAATGAGTTTTAAGATTTTATAGGATCAATTCTTCAGTATATTCAGACAGAAAAAGTAACAAAGAGAAAAAAATCAAGAAGTCTTCCTACTTCTCTCTAGCAGTACACAATACCAAAAGAGAGTAAAAGATGTTTACAAGTCCTTAGGGAAATAAAGTGTGATAGGAATTTTAGTAAAAGATAGAAACCAAGGAAACATCAAAAGCTGAAAAGTAACATAAAATGTGATGACAGAAGTAATATTAAACACGTGTCTTATATTAATAATAAAAAATAAAAGCTCAGGTGGGTAAAAAGATAAAATCCAAAATATATGCTACATATAAGATAAACATGTCAAATGAACATGAAAAAGACACTATTCAAAGAAGATCAGTTTCTTAGCTTGGATTTACAAAGCCCAACATACAATAAAAGTTCAGATGGATAAAAAAATAAAATCCAAAATATATGCTACATATAAGAGAAACATGCCAAATGAACATGAAAAAGACACTCTATTCAAAAAAGATCAAATTCTTAGCTTGGATTTACAAAGCCCAACACAATCAGGCCCCCACCTATCTTTCTGACAACACTGCATCTCCTCCAGTCAGCTACAGTGGCCTTCTGTTGGTTCCTTGCAGGCACCAAGTACGGACCCAGCTTTATTATTTTGCACCTAAATATCAGCAATTATGTCAACAGCATTTGTTTAATAAGTCATCTTTATCCCACTTGTTTGAAATGTCCCTTATCACATGATAAATTACCATAGTATTTGGAAAAGAATATGTAGTATTTCAGTCTCTATATACTCAAATGAATTTCAGATGCCTTGAATATTTAAGCACAAAAAACAAAACTCTGAAAGCATTGGAAGAAAACATGAAAACCATTATTTTGCTCTATGTGAAACATGACTCCTGTAAGACATTAAACTTAGAAATGAGGGACAAATTTGAAACTAATTTCTATAAATACAAATATTAACAAAGTTGAAAGAAAACTGATATTAAATGAATAGTACACACATATTTGGAATATCTATGAAAACAAAGGCCCAATTTCTTCAATATATAAAAAGTTCTTACAAATCAGACAGAAAGAACCCTACAAGCTGCTAGAAAAATGGGCAAAGAGTATATGGAGTGTGATCACAGGGGGAAGAAAAGGCTTAGAAACACAGGAAATCTCATTTTTATTAAACATGTACACAAATGGATATAACTGTTTTTCTTATCAGATGGGTAAAAATATAAAAGTTTGGTAAACTGGGGAAACAACACTGTAATACCCAGCTGGTGAGATAGCATTGTCTATAAATATGTTTAATTTAGTTTTCGTTTGAACAAGTGATTCCACCTGTAGGGACATACTCTAAATTATACCTTATAGCTCTAATCACATAATATTCAACACAAAAATATAATGGTATGGCATTATTTGGAAAACAATGCCACACCCTTATATATGGAAAACAAAGAACTAGAGCCTGCATGTATATTGAAAGCTGGTTAAAGAAATTACGGCTCATCCTGTAATGAACTCTAAGTAAGTTTAAAAAGATTTAATTTTAAATATAAGTCCCCATGCACTGCAAGATAAGAATCTCACAGATACATTAAAAATGAAAAAATAAGGGTAGTATTGAATGGCCATGACTGTGCAGAACAGATGTACATACTCATATATGCATGGCAACTTTCTGGGAAACATAAGGGATCATTAATATTCATCATCTTTAGGTGGTAGAAGTGTTCTCTGGGGGAAAGAGGGAGACTTGTTTAACACATTCATGTTTTATTTATATAGCTGTTTCTAGCAGTAATTCTCAGCTAGGGGTGATTTTGCCTCTGAGGAGACATTTGACAGGATCTGGAAATGTTTTTTACTGTCACACCTTGGGGGAGGAGCCTACTGGCATTGAGTGGGCCAAAGATGCTGCTGCTAAACATCCTACAAGGCCCAGAAGAGCTCTCTACAGCAAAAAATCATATAGTCCAAAATGTCAATAATGCCACTGTTGAGAAACCCTAGACTAAAGAAATAAGTTTATTTGGTCAACCCGATACAAAACTTAGAAATCTTGTTTCTAACAGATGTTTGTTACAAACAAAATAATAACATGTGGCTGGTTGCATGAAGCCATGATTCTGCTTATATGTATGGGAGCTTGGGTTTAGAAAGCTTTACTCTTTTTCAAATAAAAAGGAATAACAGATTCCTATAACTGGATATGAATCTGCTACCTTCACAAATTTGGATCCTGAAAACAAACACATAACTTTGTAAATTATTAATGAGAAATTATTTCAAAGACTGAGTGAATTCGGTATAATCAAGACACGCAAGCTGTTGAAAACATACGAGGGGGTAAAAATCTTAAGAAATCTAGCATCTCCTTCCATGAACTGACCTTGTTGACATTAACATTGTTCCAAGCAATACTGAGTCATGTAAAAAGTTTCATTCTTCATTTCATTTAACATTGTTGATTAGCTGAATGTTGGGATATTTCCTCTAAGCAGCCAGTGTTCTGATTCTGTCCAAGTTGGCACTGGATTGGCCACATGTTTCTTCAAAGACTTTTGATATGTTTGCACTAATTTTTATCAGTTGCAGGTGCTGCAGCTTTTTGAGAAGCATAAACAAGCTCATTCTCAACATTTTCAATTCAATTTCAATCTGCATTCAAATAATCCATCATTAGATGATTGGACCTGTTTATTTCATCGAAACTATTTACTTGGTAGAGAAAAAAAAAAACAAACCCAAAGCCAACATAAACAAAACAAACAAAAAAATCCACTTCTTAATTTTAAAATCCATGAGCTGGTTTTCCCTTACATTGAAACGCTCAAATTTGATTTCATTTTGGCAAGGTTTCCATAGGTGAAATGGGAAAAGTATGAGAAGGCAGTGTATTTTTAAATATTTATACAAACGTACTTAGCTTTTATTTTATTTATTCATGAGACAGGTAAACGATGGCTCTCTGACACATTATAAAATCAGACTTTCACACTAGTAAGTCATATACAAATGTTAATTCATACACCAAAAAGACAGCACCACCCAATTCCTAAATATAAATGTCATTTTTGGTGGGCCACAAGTTCCCAGCTGTGTACACTAAACGCAGAGCCTTCAATACAAACAGACTGTCCGTCCCCCATTTGACGTGCAGTTACTTGGATGGTGGCTTGCTTATAGCCACTAAATTTTACTCTTGGACTAATGGGAAAAGGATTCCTCTGCCTTTAGTTTCTTGTTAACTAGGAATGCTGTTAAATGAATACAGTCAAAGCCCAGAGAGCCAGATCCCTGCAGGATGGCCTCAGACTTGGTGAGCTGGTAGGAAGACTTGCCAAGCACTGCTGGCTTGCCAAGCTCCTGGGGTTTTTGGTCCTCAAATGTAGTGTTGTTATGAGCAAACTGACCCAAACTTATTAAATGGCTTTTCCTTCTTGGAAAAAAAAGACCCTTCTTTGCTTTAACTGCTGCCTGACTGCCAAAAACACAGTAACCGTCTTGGCTAATTGCACAGGCTCCTGTCTGGACGTCCCGCTGCCATCGTCCAACCTCGGCGGGTTGTACCTGCCGCCACTCTCAGGCTCTCAGCTAACAGCCGACACTTAACAAACGACTACTTAATGTGGAAAAGGGATGACCTGTTCTTCTATTTACTCTGCTCTTTCAGGATCCCTGGTAGAGGACTGAAGTGAAAAAGTACCCTATGGAGAATAATGAGGTAAATTAACATATGGTTTCTTACTGAAGTGGCAATAACATCACGATCTACTAATTTGCATATCAGGTCTGGGCTGATAAACTGGCACCAAAGATATCTGTTTAAATGTCAAAATGCTTCAGGTTTTTTTTGAAATTTGATCTGGCCATATGTAGTAAGATAAAATATAAACATATACTTTGTCTAGAAATTCTATTTCTGGAAATCCACTTCTCATAAATGAAAGCAGCGGTATATAAAAACCCATCTTGTTTTGCAGTATTGTTGGTAGCAGAAAACAAAATAGAAAGCACAGACAAAAAAAAAAACAAAAAACCCTGAAGTTCTTTAGTAGGGGGTGATTGCAGCAAATCTATGAACTAGAAACACCTATCTTTTAAAATGTTAAATTTATAAATATGGAAATGAAACAATGCCCAAGAAACAGCATGAGATTGACAAAGGAAAAGGCAAAATAAATAAATAGGTAAGTAGGCAGGAAATCAAGGGAAAAAGATCAGAAATGCTATTATAGAGCAAAGGTTGTCAGGAATAATAATAACAGTAGTAGTAGTAAGACACCCTAGAGAATCTTTTTCTGTTCAATAAATTATGGGATGGAGTGGCCAGAATTAAATGGAGACCAGAGAGGATACCGTGATAATGACAGGGCCTCATCTATAAAATCTTTGGAGAGTTTTCTATTGCTGACTGAGTCTTGGGTAGGTAAAATGCCAGCAGCAAACATCACATACTAATAACACTTCTAAGGACTTTTCAAGGCAAACCAACAAAGTTACAGAGCAATGCACAGAATCCATTTTTTTTTTGTAAAAACCACAACAAAAATGCTGTATGTTTACATACATTTGTATGAGTGCAAAGAAAAGTATGAATGGTTGGCCAAACTGTTTCTATTGATTCCTGAGCAGACATGGAGCCAGAAGAGGGCAAGTTATTTTTTCCTTATACATTTTTATTATCAGTGTAACAAATAAGCATCACTTCAACTTCAAAGAATTATGTAGAAGAAGAGAACTTGCTTGTCTTTATCACCACACCGCACTCATTTTTCTCTTCGAGCTTGCCACATTCTGTAATTTTTATTGTATTGTTATCTGGCTACCCCATGTGCTCAGAGATTATATTGATTCCACTCAATATCGTACACCTAGGATCTAGCACACAGGTGGGCACACAGTAGGTGCTCAATAAATGGATATATGCAGAATATTAATACTTGATGTTAAAGAGAAAAGCTCACTAAAAGAGCATGTTAAATAAGAAAACCACACACTGCAGAACAGTCATTTCTGTTATTTTTGATGATGATACAGGCTAAAGTGTATTTATGGCTTACTCAGTTCCAAGAACCTTGCAATACTCTAGATGAATTATCTAATTTAAATATCTTAACAATCCTAACAAAAGGTGTTATTCCATTTCACAAATGAGGAAATCGGGGCACAGAGAAGATGAAAGATATTATGGCTCATATCAAATAGGTGTTTAGTAGACTGCAGCGACTAGCAGTCAATCCTACTTATTTAAAAGTAATTTTTAAAACATTTAAGTTAAGGCAATTCAGAATCAAATCAGTATTTATGGCTACTAACTTATTATATTACTGATACTTTAAGATGGTCACTTGAACAAAATACTTAACAACTATAAGCACATAAGCACACCAAAAAATTTATGAATTATCCAGATCTTTTTCCTTGAGTGCCAAGGGATCCTTTTAAGATTAGGGTATAAGCTGTTTGAAAAGCAAGCTTTAAAAATCTTCCCCATTTTGTACAACAAAATGCAACCACTCCAGTTTAAAATATATCTGGCAATATTTTGAGTGAAAATATTGCAATCTTTTGCTAATATGGTTGAGACTGGCCTAGCAGACAATCAGAAGTAATCTTCTCATCTTTCATTATCCAAATTCCTTGAATAAAAAATAACACAAATTAAATACTAATGGGAAATCTAGGTTATGTTTAAAAGGACTTGAGGCTGGGTACAGTGGCTCCTACCTATAATCCCAGCACTTTGGGAGGTTGAGGCAGCAGGACTGCTTGAGCCCAGGAGTTTGAGATCAGCCTGGGCAACAGAGTGAGACCCTGTCTCTACAAAAATTTTTTCAAAAATTAGCTGGACATGGTGGCACATGCCTGTAGTCCCAGTTACCTAGGAGCCTGAGGTGGGAAGGTTGCTTGAGCCAGAGAGGTTGAGGCTGCAGTGAGCCATGATCGTGCACAGACTCCATGACATCATATCTCAAAAACAAAAAACAAAACAAAAAAAAAGAAAAAGAAAAAAGAATAAAAGGACTGGAATTTTAATCTTGAGAGTATAAAATAGAAATTATTACATGGAAATAAATGTAGCAGATGAGGTACACACATACATTTTTTACTTTAGTCTGGCATTTTCTTTTCCGTTAAAATCCCAACTAACGCAAGAAAGTTGAATCTTATAGCTCAAAGTCACAAAAGTTAGTAAAAAGAAGTCTGGTAAACATTTAAAAATTTTCTTTAATTACTCATTTCTCAGCGTTATAAAATGTCTCTGTTTCTGCAAAACTACATGCTTACTCTATGGAACATCAGGTAAACACAAAATCGTGTTTCCCCCCCCCCCCATAAAAGACCATAATACCGACCAGATGGGGTATGCACAATTAAATTGATTTTTAATAAGAAATTCTTGGCACAATAGAACATAATCGCTCCAAATTGTGTCAAGGACTTCGTAAATTTTTTTTATAGTTCAAGGCTTAGACTCTTCAGTCCAAATTCTGAGCTGGCTTGCTAGGGGACTGAATAGCTCTTGAGACCAGTAAGGAAATAATGAGCCTTTCATCTGGAGGTCACTGGTTAGGATCTGCTGTCGTTCATTAATGACACAGCTGTTTCCAACCTCCTGGTGTTGGAACAGTGGCAGGGGGTCTATTATGGAAGGGGTAGCAGAAATATGTATAAGATCACTTCATTTATGGACAGGATCTATGGCAAATATTTGAGAACATGTGTTTTATAACCAATAAAGTCACACCCTTAACTTATTGACAGTAAGATTTAGTGCCTGGCTGCACAGACTAGGATCATCAGAAGAGAATTCTGATGCTATCCCTCTATTCCCATCAGCCACAGTGAGCCTGTGGCCTGGGCAAGGTGTGAACTTGCTTTGTGTCTCATTTTCTGGTTTTGGAAAGTAGAGCGAAAGGTCTGTCTACTCTCCCAGCGGAGGGTTATAAGGAAAGAATCACATATATATATTTTAAAAATTCAGTTACTGAACTGTTTACTAAGGCCCTGCTTCAAGTTTTGCTCTGTGCTATGGGTAGGAGTTGCAAAGGTGAGACACCATCTCTGTCCAACAATTCACTCTGTTTGGGGACAGGCATGGGACGTATCTGAAGTGCAGAAAAGTTCTTTGGGAACACAGGAGAGGAAGAAACAGGTTACGTCTGGAGGAGTGAGCACAACTTTTCCAAATGTGGTGGCCACTTGGGCTGGGTCTTGAAGTATCAGATTCCATTCAGCAACTGGGTGCGGGGAGAAGGGGCACTGAAAGTAGAGAGAACAACTTGTACAAAAGCCTAGCAGGTGTGAGCTGCCAGGTGGCTGGAACAAGGAAAATGAAGTGAGAGAAGAGGGCTGGATTCAGACCGTGAAGGACACTAGACATGAATTCTCCAAATACATGAGCAGCTGTGCACACATTCCCTAAGAGAAATCTAAAGATCCATGTATCTACAAATCTCAAAAACTATCTCAATATGTTTTATGTCCTTTTTGGTATGGTAAAATATACAGAACATAAAATTCACCATTTTAACTGTTTTCAAGTGTGCAGTTCAGTGGTATTAAAAACATTTACCTTGATGTGTACCCATCACCATCATCCATCTCCAGGACTTTTTCATCACTCCAAACTGAAATTCTGTATTAATGGTATTAATTAAACCATTAAACTCTATATTAATGAGTATTAAGCAACTCTCCTCTCCCCACAGTCCCTGTTTTGCCTCTATGAAATCATGCAATATTTGTCCTTGTCTGTGTAGCTTATATTTCTTAACATAAAGTTTTATTCATCCATGTTGTAGCATGTATTAGGACTTCATTCTTTTTAAGGCTAAATAATATGCCATTGTATGTATATAGCATACTTTGTTTATTCATTCACCCATACATGGATATTTGGGTTGTTTCCACTTTTTGGCTACTGTGAATAATGCTGCTATAAACAGTGGTATAAAAACATGGGTTCAGTCCTTGCTTTCAATTCTCTGGGATATATACCCAGAAGTAGAATTGCTGGATCATATAGTAATTCTATGTTTAATATCGTGGAGGTACAGCAATACTATCTTTCAAGTGGCTAAACCATTTTACTTTCCCAGCAGCAATACACAAGAGTTTCAACTTATCTACATACTCTGTAACTCTTTTTTGTTTTCTATTGATAATAGACATCCTAATGGGTATGAAGTGGTATCTCAGTGTAGCTTTGAATTACATTTCCTTAATCATCAGTGATGCTGAGCACCTTTTCATTGCTTATTGGATATTTGCATATCTTCTTTGGAGAAATGTCTACTCAAGTCTTTCGCCCATTTTTGAATTGGTTTTTTGCTGTTGTGTTTAGGAGCTCTTCAGATATTTTGGATATTAATCTCTTATCGGATATATGATTTGCAAATATTTTCTCCCATTCCATAGGCTGCCTTTTCACTCTGTTGATAGAATCTTTTGAAGGGCAAAAATGTTGAATTTTGATGAAGTCCAATTTGTCTATTTTTTGGTGTTGTTGCCTATATTTTTGGTGTTCAAGTAAACACTGCCAAATTCAATGTCATGAAACTGTCCCCTTATGTCTTCTTCTAAGAGTTTTATTGTTTTAGGTCTTACGTTTAGGTCTTTGATTCATTTGGAGTTAATTTTTTTTTTTTTGAAACAAGGTCTCACTCTGCCGCCCAGGCTGGAATGCAGTGGTATAATCACGGCCTACTGCAGCCTCAGCCTCCCCAGGACTCAGGTGATCCTCCCACCTCAGCACCCGCCTCATCCCCATGAGTAGCTGGGACTACAGGAATGCGCCACTACAACTGGCTAATTTTTGTATTTTTATTTGGTAGAGATGGGATTTCACCACGTTGCCCAGACTGGTCGCAAATTCCTTGGCTCAAGTGATCCACCTGCCCTGGCCTCCCAAAGTGCTGGAATTACAGGTGTGAGCCACTGCATCTGTCCTGAATTATCTTTTTCATATGGTGTTAAGTAAGGGTCCAACTTCATTATTTTGCATCTGGATATCCAGTTTTCCTAGCCTCATTCGTTGAAAGGACTTTTTTTTTTTTTTTTTTAATTGAATGCTCTCGGCACTCTTGTTGAAAATCATTTAATTACATATTCCAGGGTTTACTTCTGGGCTCTCTATTCTATTCCATTGGGTCTACGTATCTGTCTTTATGGTAACACACACTGTTTTGACTACTGTAGCTCTGTAGTAAGTTCTGAAATCAGGAAATGTTGAGTCCTCCAAACAGATTGTTCTGGCTATTTGGGGATCCACTGGGCTTCCATATGAAGCTTAGAATAGGTTTTCCTGTTTTTGCAAAAAATGTCACTGGGATTTTGAGTCTACAGACTCAATGCAATCTCTACATATTTGCATTTAGGTAACATCTAAAATTTTTAATGATAAGGATAAATAGTTGTAAAAGATATAATTTCTGGCATATTATAAATATTAAAACTATAAAATAAATTTACATCACTTTTTAATGTGGCTAATGGATTCTAAATACCACAGATATTCATCACAACCCACTTTTAAAAAGACATTAACAAGCACTTAATGAGTGTGTGTGTGTGTGTGTGTGTGTCTGTATGTGTGAGCACATGAAGAGATTCATTATAAGGAATTGATTCACGCAATTAGAAAGGTGGGCAGGTCCCAAGATCTGCAGAGGGGGTCTGTAAGCTGGAGACCCAGGAAAAGCTGATGTTTCAGTTCCAGTCTGAAGGCAGGGAAAAAAGGCTGATGTACCAGTTTGAAGGCAGCTAGGCAGGAGGACTTTTACTCACAGGAGGGTCAGTCTTCTGCTCTCTTCAGGCCCTCAGCTGATGGGATGAGGCCCACCCACATTAGGGAGGGCAATCTGCTGTCCTCAGTCTCCCTATTTAGATGTTAAGCTCATCCAAAAGCATCCTCACAGAAACACCCAGAATAATGTTGACCAAATACCTGGGCATCCCATGGCTCAGTAAAGTTCATATAACATTAACCATCACAGGGTACTGGGGACACATGGCTAGAACCTCAATTCTGGAAATGCTTCTATGATCTCCCCACCTCCACAAGATTCCATTCAGTGTCCTTTCTCTGTTCCCACAGCCTCATCACAGGCCATATTATATCGTATCATCATATCCTATCATATACCGTATCATCATATATCATACCATATCATATATCATACCATATCATATATCATATCATCAGATCATATCACCATATTATATCACATCATCATATCACCATATCATATCATACCATCATATATCATATCATATCATATCATATCATATCATATCATATATCATCATCCTGGCTGGCTTGCCTGTCTCTCCCACTGGACTGTGAACTCCTTGATGTCTTTGCAGTGCCCTGAAGACCTTACTCTGGAGTCAGACCAACTGGCTAACATCCTGGCTCTCCTACTCTTAGCTGTATACTTAGGCAACTTTCTTTTTTTTTTAATTTTATTTTAAGTTCTGGGGTACATGCGCAGGATGTGCAGGTTTGTTACATAGGTAAACATGTGCTATGGTGGTTTGCTGCACCTGTCAACCCATTACCTAGGCATTAAGTCCAGCGTGCCTTAGCTATTTTTCCTGATGCTCTCCCTCCCCAACCCCCACAGGCCCCAGTGTGTGGTGTTCCCCTCCCTGTGTCTATGTGTTCACACTGTTCAGCTCCCCATGCGGTGTTTGGTCTTCTGTTTCTGCGTTAGTTTGCTGAGGGTAATGGCTTCCAGTTCCATCCATGTCCCTGCAAAGGACATGATCTCATTCCTTTCTATGGCTGCACAGTATTCTATGGTGTATATGTACCACATTTTCTTTAGCATTCTATCATTGATGGGCATTTGGGTTGATTCCGTGTCTTTGCTAGTGTGAATAGAAACAAGGATTTCTTGAAGAGTCAAAAATTTTGTATCATTCCTTCTACCTTGAACTCGTTTTCCATTCCACTTGACACATATAGTTTTACCATAATTTAATGTAGTTTTGTTTATTTTATTGATCACTTGTTATACTTCACAGAAATGGTAAATGGAAATCTTACTTAATTTTGTTTTAATTTCTATTCCTATTACTCATTTCTATAGATCTCAGTCCTGAGAAATCTATTAATAGTTCACACATTAAAAAGAATGTAAAGCTTCATTACAGCAAGAGCCATCAATACTTTAGATTTCTTCTTATCTATATACTGCTGATGTAACAGTAAGAATCTATTGATACATATACTTCAGGAATGTGAGTGAGGAAACTAAGAATAAGGAAAACAAGGAATCCAGGAAATGGTGCCCTCCTGGAGAGCATCAAAGAGAAGTGAAGTCCAGCAGCAAGCAGAGCCTAGAGAGCAAGCAGTCCAGATAGGGACTGGAGGAGAGGGTGCTTCAGAAGGAAGGGGAAGGGGGACAAGAGACTCAGACAAACATACTATAATGGTACATCTTGAGAGTATTAAACAAATGTGGGATGCAGTTAGGGTAAAAGACAAAAAGAAAGGCCATTAGAAACCACAGAGAAAACTGAAACCTGAACAAGAAAGAAAAAAAAATCATACTTTTTAGCCCTACAATGAACATTATTTACGTAATTTAAAGAGGTTATCATGGATCCCTGAATTAATTAAAATTAGAGATGTAACTATGTGGGAAGGGAGAAGGAGAGGAGGCAAAGCTGTAATGTAGAGAGGGAAATCCTCACCTGTTGAAACAGGAAGTCAAAAGATAATGTCTAAAATGAACCAAATTTAGCATACTGCAAAATAGGCACACATATTCAGAGATATGAAGACAACTTCCAGAAGAAACAATTGGGTTTTCTTTGAGATAGGGTCTTGCTCTGTCACCCAGGCTGGAGTGCAGTGGCACAATCATTGCTTACTGCAACTTCAACTTCCTAGGCTCAAGTGATCCTCCTGCTTCAGCTATCTGAGTAGCTGAGACTATAGGAACATGCCACCACGCCTGGCTAATTTTTGTGTGTTTTGTTTTGTTTTGTAAAGATGGAGTTGCATCATGTTCCTAGGCTTGTCTCAAATTCCTGGGCTCAGACAATCCACCCACTTCAAGCCTCCCAAAGTGCTGTGATTAAAGGTGTGAGCCATTGCGCCTTGCCCTAGAAGAAAAATCTAAAGAGCTTTTCTTTAGGGTTTATGAATAGAAGAGAAGTACAACCGGGGCAAGGATAATCATTTTTAATGATATTAAATATATCCATACACTGTATATACATACACATAACACACACGTATACTACGCCTCCAGCTTCTATAACTTTTAAATAAAGTATATTTTATTTTGATTTAAAATTTGATGCAATTGACTTCATTTTCCCAAGACATTATATAAATCATTGACTAGCTAGTACTGTTTTCATTTCTACATTGACATTTGGATTATATTTAGCATTTTTCTGCTGCCAAAATTATGTCACTGATATTGCTATGTATTTCATTGCCAAGTGCCTTTCACACACTAATTATCAATTTTAAATCATGTGATTACATCCCACTCAGTATAGCTGATATAGTTAAGAGGGAAAAAACTCCAGGGAAACAGCTGCCTCTTAGTTAAGATGACAGGATCTTTTAGTATAGTCATGGACATTTTTTTTTTTCTTTTAAGGGAGGCAAATGACAAAAATTGTGCATAATTCTGTATTAGATTCATCCCTTAAGATACCATAACATCATGGACAAAATTCACAGGGTAAGTTGAAAACAAAATGAAACGAAATATAAACATAATCAGAATTGTATCCTTTAATATTTATTTTCCAAAAAAAACTGGAAAGTTCATCAACAATTTGATGGGATAGACATAATCACACCAATAACCATTCAAAAACTCAAATAGTCTACTCAGGAAACAAGTGACTGACTGCAACTGCGTGTACATCCAGCTCCCTCTGCTCGCTCCCTCTCTCTCTTTCTCCACACCCTATTGCTCTCAGTGAGCCATTCATGTCCCAGTATTTGAGCTTTTTAGAAATTTATTTACTAAGATAGACACAGTCATATATTATTGTTGCTGGACAATGGATCTATCAATCAGAAATATCTGTAAGGTTGGAAAGGATTAATTAATTCAATTTATTTTTATTAAATATTGAGTACATATCAGGTTTTGGAGATAGAGTAGTGTTTTGTTTTTTTTTTCCTTAAAAAAAAAAGACAGATGTTCTCTGCCCTCAAGATGTTTAAATTGGGGCTGGGCCCAATAACAGACTGCATATTTGCTTTTTTCATCCCAAATGGAGTCAGTGCTATTTATTAAAGACAGTAAAATGTGCCAAGGACCTGAAGGAGGGTTCCCCGAGGAAAGGCCACTTCAGCTGAGCCTTGAGATGTGGCCAGGAGCTGGCTGCATGGGCCTATAGCGAGATCAGCAGTCTCCATTCAAATTCTCATCTTTAACTTACTATCTAAAGAAACAGACTTCTGTACAAATTAGTTAGCAATAAGATTAGAAGTATGGGTAAATTCAGAAACAGTAAGAAGCCTCGTTCAGAGAGAGTGCTTTTCCCACAGTAGTCAATATTGAATGGAGGTTAGAGACTACCAAAAGCTGAAGGAAAGCTGTTATGGCAACTGTTCTCCTGGGGTTCAAAATCCAATGGAAAAACAAAAACAAATGGAACTGATGCAACTTTCTCCTTGACTGTATTTAGATGGTTGAAGCTGCCAGAAGCCAGCTCCCCAGGAAGCAGACAGCTGACATGGTCCTCTCTGGGGCAACACATTAATTACGACTTGACACATATGCATGTCTTCTCCGATGCCCCAGGGTTTTGACCTCTGGTTATAACTCACTCCTGCTTGATCATTTATTGAACACATATTTATGGAGCACCAACTATGGACTAGGCTCTACTCCAGGAGCTGGAGATTGAGGGGGAAAGACAGATAGGATCCTTGTCTCCAAGGCACCTATGGACCAGTGAGGACACAAGTAATACAGAAGGAAACGTACAAATAAGAACATCAGAGCTCTGAAGAACACAGGGTGTTGTGAGCTAGAGGAGAGACCCACCAACCTTTCAAAAGGGAACAGAACATTTGGGAGCAAAGCAGCTAGA
Source organism: Homo sapiens (assembly GCF_000001405.40). Lineage (NCBI taxonomy): Eukaryota > Metazoa > Chordata > Mammalia > Primates > Hominidae > Homo > Homo sapiens. Next base: position 25,809,606 of record NC_000013.11, on the reverse strand, counting down.
GGAAGAAAAGTGCCACCTGTTCAGATAAGTAAAGAGGGCAATACAGCTGGAGCATAATAAGGAATTATGAGCGTGGTGCCAAAAGGTGGGAAGCTCAGCAGGGGTGGATCACAAAGGGAGGGGAAAGGACAGGGCAGGGGAAGACAAAGCAGGAAGAACGAGTGTTGAGATGAAAGAATCAACAGCTCTCTTTTGGACATGTTAAGTTTGAAAGGGCAAAGCAATATAGATTTTCATTTTAGATAAGACACTTCATTTTTATTCTTTGTTTTATTTCAGATTCAGGGGGTACATGTACAGGTTTGTTACGTGGGTATACTGCGAGATGCTGAGGTTTGGGCTTCCATTGATCATGTCACCCAAATAGTGAACACAAGTACCTAACAGGTAGTTTTTCTAACCTGCGGCCTCTCCCTCTCCCATTTCAGAGGCCCCTGTGTCTGTTGTTCCCATCTTTGAAGACACCTCACTTTTAAAAGCAGTATTTCACTGTTTAATAATTTTAAGCTAATATTATTTCATATACAAGCAGTGTCATTGTCCAAGTCAGACAACTGAAGATGTAGCGTGTAAATTTCAACAGCACAGTTTGCAAAAAGTGCATGTGTCCTTCATGCCTACCTCTTAGGTAGGACGCAATTCTTCCTTCTGAGATTTGTATTCCTTAGTTCTCTTTCAGCTCTGTGGAAAACCTCTCAGCTCTCTGAAAATATGGATTGCCAGTTTGCTTCTCAAGTAATCTCTGTTTATAAAGTTACAGTGGTTTGTAAAAGTTAAGACATGGGTATTAAAGTGTATCTGAAAGATGAAAAAAAATTTTAAGTAGAAATATACTTTAAATAGGTATTTCAGGTATAAAAAGTCTTTGTGGGGGCCAGGCACAGTACCTCAAGCCTGTAATACCAGCACTTTGGGAGGCTGAGGTGGGAGGTTGAGCCCAGGAGTTTGAGAACAGCTTGGGTGACACAGTGAGACAACTCTACAAAAAAAAAATTTTTTTTTTTTTTTGAGATGGAGTCTTGCTCTGTCACCCAGGCTGGAGTGCAGTGGCATGATATCGGTTCACTGCAACCTCTGCCTCCCCAGTTCAAGTGATTCTCCTGCCTCAGCCTCCCGAATAGTTGGGATTACAGGCATGCACCACCATGCCCAGCAAATTTTTGTATTTTTAGTAGAGATGGGATTTCACCACGTTGCCCAGGCTGGTCTCAGACTCCTGACCTCAAGTGATCTGCCTTCCTCGGCCTCCCAAAGTGCTGGGATTACAAGAGTGAGCCACCATGCCTGGCCTCTACAAAAAATTTAAACATTTAGCTGGACATGGTAGTGCATGCCTGTAGTCCCAACTACCTAGAAAGTTGAAGTGGGAGAATCACTTGAGCCCAAGAAGTCAAAGCTTCAGTGAGCTATGACTGTGGCACTGCACTCCAGCCTGGGTGACACAGCAAGACCCTGTCTCAAAAAAAAAAAAAAGTCTTGGGGAGCAAAAAAGCCAGTTTGAACTTGGGCTAAAAAATGTTTATGTTTTGTTCAGAATGCTCTCTTTCTTGTCTTTAAATAGGCAACTTGTGATTTAAACCACTGATGAAAATATCTCCAAAAGTGTCTTAAGAGACAGACTAAAGTGCATGGCTACTGTAGAGCCTCAGTATCAGATGCAGTAAATGAGTAGCTTACTGTAGAAAAAAAGAACAATAAAACATAAAATATTAAAAGGAAATTTACCCTTTATTCCTTTCTTCCTGTGTGTGTGAGACAGACAAGTGATTTTAGGGGTTATTGTGCTTTGCAGTGTTACTTCTGGCTTCTCGAGTGCACAGGAAAAGAAGTAACATGAGCAGAGTGAGTTAAAAAAAGAAACAGGTAGGAATAGCTGTTGTAAAGGAATTAAATGGTCTAAGTCTACTCAAGGGAAATACAGCAAAACATTTACAGTAACAGGATTAAAGATACTTTTCCATTCTCTATTTTTCACAAAGATTTAGTAATGGATCCATGAATTACTCACACTGGATTAATGTGCTCACTATTTGTTTTTATTAAAATAATTTTGCAGATAGATGTATAAATAAATGGGATAGAACTGAGAGTCCAGGAATAAATCCTCTCTGTTTTAGTCAATTGATTTTCAACAAGTTACCAAGACAATTCAATAGGAAAAAGAATAGTCTTTTCAGTAAATGGTACTGGTACAACTATATATCAACATGCAAAAGAATGAAGTTGGACAACTACCTCACACCATTAACAAACAATAACTCAAAATAAATAACAGTCGTAAGTTTAAGAGCTGAATCTATAGAATTCCTACAAGAAAATGGAGTAAAGTTTTTTGACCTTGGGCTAGGCAGTAATTTTTTAGATAAGGCACCAAAAGCATAAGGGACAAAAGAAAAAACAGATAAATTAGACTTTATCAAAATTACAAACATTTGTGCTAAAAAAAAAAAAACACTATAAAGAAGGTGAAAAGACAACCTACAGAATGGGATAAAATATTTACAAATAATATATCTCATATAGGATTTGGCATTTGTATATAGATTACATAAAGAACACTTATAGTCCAACAATAAAAAGACAACCCAATCCAAAAATGGGCAAAGAATCTGAATAGACATTGCTCCAAAGATGATATATAAACGGCTAATAACCACATGAAAAGATGTTTAACATCCTTACTCATCATGGAAATGGAAACCAAAACCACAATGGCATACCACTTCAAACCCATCAGAATGGTTATAGTAAAAAAAGACAGACAATACAAGTGCTGGTGAGGATATGGAGAAACTGGAACCTAGCACATTGCTGGTAAGAATGTAAAATGATGAAGCCACTTCAGAAAACAGTTCAACAGTTCCTCAAAATGTTAAAGATAGCGTTATCATTATGACTCACCAATTCCACTTCTAGGTATTGAAGAGAACTGAATACCTATTTCTATACAAAAAACCTGTATACAGATGTTCATAGCAGTGAAACCAAGAGGTTAATCTGATCACAACTGCCTGCTCTGCTTGCTTTTGGCCACTTGCTTTATGTTATTTTTGTCCCTTTTCCATGAAGTTGAAGGCCGTGCCACAGAACACTGAAACTTAACCATTACTGGCTGCATTACAGATGACATTCCTGGTAATGTTGGCTTCAGCTGTTTTTCAGAAACTTGGGCCAGCTGCTGTTCACTTCAAACCAGCTGAGACCACCAACCCTTCAAGTGGGCCTGCGCAAATGCCTGAGAGGTGGCCTTTTGAAGCCAGAGGGCCAAAAAACTCCACCCACAGATCATGCTAAAGCTGCCATCTTCTGTATATATGTCATATGAAGTGCCAAGAACCCCAAATACGCTTGCACAAATGAACCTGTTACTTCCTAACCCAAAAATATTCCTAAGTCTTATCGGCAGGGAGGTGGATTTGAGAGCTGTTCTCCCGCCTCCTCAACTTACCCCTGTGAACAAATCTTTTCTCTTTTGGAAACCTCAGGATACATGCTGCCCTACGTATGTTTCTTTGTAAAGCAAGCATTTCTAGGGCATGAAATAAAGTTGATCTTCCAACAAATGAAGAATGATCTCCCATCTCATCACCAGGAGCCTGCTCTTATGACCTGCCCTTCAGAGTAGAAGATATTATATTAGAGCACTGCATACTGTTATTTGAGATTAAAGTGTTTGCATTTTTTTTACTTTCTTATACATACTGGATATACCTACCATGAATTAAATAGTCCAGAAAAAAAAACTATATTGGCAATCATTTAGCATCTTTGAATGCATCCAAATCAATGTGAGAACTAATAAGTTCTTACATTGATCTATAGCCTTCATCAAGTCAGTAATTTAAATATTTCCACGGTTTCAAAATTAAGTGCCATGTGCCATTTTATAAACACTCAGACTCAATCCCTGGAACACCATCATGGTTTACAGTATGGAATACATATGGAGACTATATATGCACTGCTTTAAATTTCAAGCATGTAGAGATTTCCAAAGCAAGCTCTGCTTTTGAGTAAATTATACATACTACAGCTTTTATTATAACCAGACAAAAGATATCTTACTTTGTTACTCTTTTTCTTTTTTTTTGAGACAGGGTCTTACTCTGTTGCCCAGGCTGGAGTACAGTGGCATGATCTTGGCTCACAGTAGCCTTGACCACCCTGGGCTCAGGTGATCCTCTGATCTTAGCTTCCCAAGTAGCTAGGAATACAGGTGTGCACCACCATGCCTGGCTAATTTTGTATTTTTGCATTTTTTATAGAGATAGATTTTTGCCATGTTGCGCAGGCTGGTATCGAACTCCTAGGCTCAAGTGATATGTCCACCCCAGCCTCCCAAAGTGCTGGGATTACAGGTGTGAGCCACCACACCTGGCCTCCTCATTAAATAAAAGGTAGAAGGAAAAAAAATAGGGTAGATGGAAAAAATAAGCTAACTCCAAGTATCCATCTGTTGGATTCTAAAGCAAAGTCTGAATTTGTAGGAAATGAGAATGCAAACAAGAAAAGTTATTTTAACAAAACTCTTAGCAAAGCACCGAAAATACATAGACTGAAAATTAATGACCAAGAAAACAGAAGCTGGCAACTGAATGTTTAATGTCAGTGAGTTGGATAACTGTTACATTTTGGACCTAAGACCTCCATAATTTAAAACTATTAAACAATGCTAAAAATCTGCTGGCAGTGTTTAACCATTTAACGCCTCATTTTTCTCCTGCACAAACCTCTTAAACCTCAGCTAGCTTCTACCTTTTCTTGATGCTAGAAGTCCCCTTGGGCAGAGACTCTGATTTTAAGTTCACAGAATTCATTTTTCTGCGCACTAAGTTGAGAAGTCCCCAAACCAGCCTGTGGCAGCTCGGCACCCAGAATGCACGGGGTTCAGAGTGTCTCTCCTGGAGGAGCCCCTTCAGAGTAAACAAAATGCCAGCCCAAAGGAAGCTCTGTCTTAACAGAAAAAGAGGAAAAGCTCATCTTTAAAGACACTTCTATATTTAGAATGTGTTTACAGAAAGCTCCACTGTGTAGAGGTACCAATAAGAGAGAAACTAGCCACACATTCTAGTCCTGTACGTGTAGAAACAATTGTTTTTCTCTATTTAATTGTTAGATTAATATACTTATAAAGCTACAAAACTCATTATATAAAATTGGTTAAAATTATAGAAAATTAAACTGTAAAACACATGGAAGTTGCATTTCAGAATTAAAATGAGCTTTACCATCCCTGTCAGAGCGGAGAGGCTTCTAAATCTTATAGCTTTTTAAACAGGCACCACTTATTTCTATCTTTACACTTTTAATACAAGCTGTAATATTTGGTAACACTCCTTCACAGCCAAGAATCCACTGTACATTAATATCATTAAAACGGCCATTCCTTACCCCACCCCCAGCAGAAAATGACTATTAATTAAGACAAGCATTTTATACATACTGGAAAAAACGAAAAGGCAAAGTTGAAACAAAATGCTTTGCCAATGTATACAATATATGATATGCATAGGTAGTGACTTCGCCAGTGGAATATTATTGCTAATGTGCTTTTTTCTCTAAAAACTCATCTCTTTGTCCTTGCTGTGTATAATCATTTGTTATTTCTTCCAACACAGAAAACAGAAGTTCTTGTGCTGCTTGTCATACTACTTCAGTGTGTGCTCTTTAAAATAAGTTAAGCAAATGTGCCAGAGATGGCGTTTTAGAAAAGCTAGAGATTGAGTACTGTGTGCAAACACATACACAGTTCTCAGATGCCTCTTCAGTACTGTGATTCCGAAAACCATAGTACTAAGCACCACTTCTAGCTACAGGAAACAGCAGGTAATATTCCAACGTATTAACAACAAACAGGTTTGGCTAAGTGAACCACAGTTTGATGTGGAGAACTTAGGAAAGCCTTCAGGTAATGGTAACATCTGAGTCAGTTTTTGAAGGATTGGCAGAACTTCAATACTAACATATGGGGAAGAGGGATGTGGCATTTTGGTCCCGAGGCTGATCTGTGCACACGCACGAGAGTTGGACTGCACAACTAATCTGTGTGATATTTACTTATTATATGGCTGGAGGTAAATAAAGTTTATATCTGGGCCACATCTTTACAAATATACAATTTAATAATATACATATATATTTTTACATATCATGGGATATTCCTTAAATTGACTCCATGAACCTCTACTAAATTACTATGTTGTAGATTTAACTGTTCCCCAAACACTGAGGTTCTCATTTTGATATTCAGTTTCAACAAATTGATGAGTTTATATTAAACTCGTTTTTTACATCTGGTACAATCCTGTCACCTGACTTACTTAAGACCTGTAGTTAGTCACTTGAAAAAGCCATGAAACCTGACCACATACATATTGCATTTAACTACGAATACATAAACATAAAGTCATTCAACCAAAATGTGGTTCTGTATCCAAGAACTGCTCTCCTGGCTCCATATTCTCCATCACACATAGATACCACAGAGTGTCAATGTGATTTCAGTTAGAAAATGTCCGGTTTCAGGGTTTTAAGTAAAGGAAAAATTACAAGGCAATTTGAGTGTACATCCTTCACGCCTTTAAAAAAAAAATTCTCCAGTTTTTCACAGTTGTCTTACCCATATCTAATTAGCTTAAAAAAAAAAAAACTCACCTTTGAGTCTTTCCAAAGCATACAAATTAGTTTTTATTTTAAAAAGCTCCCTTATTTTCTGTGCGCATATTTCATCATTTTATGTAACAGTTTATATTCTGCGGTTCTAGTAACTTGCACCTCTAGTGAGGCAGTAACCACTGAAGGGGCTCATGGAATGAAAGGGAAGTGGAACTTCATTTTTCTTCTTTCACAACCACAGGAGTTTCAACGTGTTAGGTGGGAGGTTGACTTTTATGATGAAATTGAAGGTAAGTCTATTTTCAGACTTATCTATTGCTAAATTAATATCCAGCACATCAGGCTTCCATTTTACAACTCAATCAGAACTGATACACATACTGATAACAGAATTCCAGCAGCTGCATTTCCTACTGCCTCACAGACTGCCTTTCTGCATTGAATTTGAGAAAAAGTTCTCAAGCACAGTGAACATGTATCATCTTCCTATATTTTGTGTAAGAAATGAAGCTCACTTAGGATTACTGTATTTCCTAATTAAAATATGCCATTCGTATCTCATAATACTAAAGTCAATTTTTTTTAAAGTTGGCCAGCATTTAGCAGGCATTAGTCATCCCATCTTTCAATGCTTTTCCTACCCCCGGATGATCAAGACAGGGAATGTAGCTGCTGGTCTTCAAGCTCTCCATGGAGTTGCCAGTATAGAAACTGAGCCTCAATCACTGAATCTTAACCACTTGTTTCCCTGCCATTACTCATTGTTCATATTTGTAAAGACAAGTTCTAAGATGATGTATACTTATTTGTAACAATAATAGGAACTGTTTTCTGCAAGGCAAAACTTTTTAAAGTTCTGCTATTCATACAACGAATCTCTAACGTAGGTTACCATGTGATATGGTTTGGCTGTGTCCTCACCCAAATCTCATCTTGAATTGTAGTTCCCATAATCCTCACGTGTCATGGGAGGGACCCGGTGGGAGGTAATTGAATCATGGGGGCAGATACCTACATGTTATTCTCGTGATAATGAGGGAGTTCTCCCGAGATCTGATGGTTTTATAAGTGGCTTTCTGCCCCCACTTTGCTCTGCACTTCTCCTTGATGCTGCCATGTGAAGAAGGACATGTATGCTTCCCCTTCCACCATGACTGTAAGTTTCCTGAGGCCTCCCCAGCCATGCAGAACTATGAGTCAATTAAACCTCTTTCCTTTGTAAGTTACCCAGTCTCAGGCAGTTCTTTATTAGCAGTGTGAGAATGGACTAATACACCATGTATATCATATTTTTAATATTTAAATAGTCAAGTAACATTTGTTCACACCCAACAACTTCATTATCTTCACGTTTCAAAGTATATTGCCAAATCTCTCAATAGCAAATTCAAGGCCTCTGGCAAGAAGAAGAAGGAGAAGGAGGAGTACCCAGAAGCAGTTCCTCTCTGATCATTTGGAAACTTCTGGAGAAGTACCATCTTCAGGAGAGAGCCACCCACAGACAGGGATGTGGGAGGCAGGTTGTAAGAGCAGCACTGGCTCACATTTACCTGTATGAGCTGCAAAAAGAGTTATGTGTTTGGCCAGCGGGCCAGAACCGTGGGGCAATACTGAAGCCCTAGAGATTTTGGCTTGACACTGAGAAACATGGGGAATTTTCCTCAGGTCAGAGCACTAACTCATTCCAAGACAGCGAGTCTAGACAGCCCATAAGACTTGTTGAAAGCCTTAGAGAGAGATGCCCTGGGCTCCGCAGCCATCCCAGAAGAGGGAGCGCAGACTGCACTCCGAAGTAGAGTACCTAGAGCCTGGAGGTGGAGCATCTAGGCAGGCATAAACTCTACCCAGCAAATGTTCATTCTCTTTCCATAAGGCAGATTTCTTTTCCCGTTGTAACTTGGATGTATGTTATTCAGACAATAACCCGATGTTTTCCTACAAACAGACCTCAGCAGCTCTGAGCAAGATTAGGGCTCGGATTTCAGTTTCCACGGCTGCCTGGAAGCATCCTTTTCCTGACGGTCAAGATCTCAGAAATTCTCGACCCTGAAAGATGCTTTCTGCTGCCTCTGCTCAGAATTAATACAGAACTGGGCAACAGAACACTTTTAAGGTGGATCTTAGGATCATAAGCCCTTTTTGGCTGCCAAAACCATCTCTCCTGTAACACCTTACAGTTATTCTCACTGTTGCTTACTGAGACTTTTTATGAGGGTTAGGTTTTCCAGGCATGGGTGGAGACAAGGAGGCAGGCTGCAGCAGGGCTTGGAGATGGAAACACTCAGCATGACGGCGATCGCCCAGGGAGTTACTTCTTAGCATGGAGACATATGTACTTCTTGTGAAATGTTCACTTTCTCAGTTCAGCAAATCTCCTTCCTATGGATGAATTTTTAGGCAGAAATTCATATAGTGCCTCCAGGTGTCCAGGAGCCTGCCACACTACTCCTTTAAAGTCAAAATGAGTTGCTGCACCCTATATAATAAGCAAGATTCTTGAAAAATCACGGGAAAGAGGCTTATTTTAGATATCTGGGCCTGATTCAAGATACTGTGCAATAATGTCTGGCGTGAGCATCTTTTGGTTGACTTTTCAGGACTGATCTTATTATCCAATTTGTTGTTTTATAATCATGTAACTGTGTTTATTTCCTTTCCTGCTCTGACCAGGTCTGCACAGGTTCCTGGTACTGGTTCCCACCATTCTCCATTGTACATTTTTACCTGTTATAGATTTTTACTCATTATAGATGCAGCATATGCAGTTAGTGTTCTAAAATCAGCATGTCTGGTTTAAATGCCAGCTTTGCTGCTGTTTGAGTGTGGACAAGTTACATCGCACCTCTGGGTGCCTTGGCTTCCTCACGTAAAATGAAGATCATCTAACAGGGACTTAGGAGTTGGTGGACATTAAATAAGTGAATACAGTATGTGTAAAACACTTAAAGCAATGGACGGTACATTAAAAGGCCCAATAAATGTGAGCTGCTGTTGTTATTACGATTATGGTAGAATATATGGAACCACCAGCAAAGGTTTCATTCACCTTTAACCTCCTTTAGGAAATATGCTACATTTTCCTGAAGATCTGAGTGCTCTATTGGAAACAGCCAATTTTGTTTTCATGAAGTAGAGTTACTATTTTGCTCTCCTGGGTTGAAAGAGAAAAGATTTTTTGCTCAATCACATCCCCCTGCTTTACGGCAGCTTCATCTGCCATCAGCAAGAGCACTTGAAATGCTTTGAGGGCAGCTTCCAGAGAAGGGAGTCCTTAAAAATCCATGCAGACAAATGTTCAGGGGAAAGGTCCTTGTTCATCTAAATACACTCAGGGACGGAGGCAAGGCCACAGGGACTACTCTCTCCAGGCTCTTCTGCAGCCCACAGCTGCCCTCCAACGTGGAAGACTTGTGTGAAATTATTTTCAAGTAACAAACTTCTGTCAGATCCCACATAATCATCTATGGCAATGATTCCGTGTCTGGGAAGCGGCTGCATGTGTTTAGACTCAGGTAGGAGCTCCATATTCATGCCACCAAAGGAGTTAAAAATATGATGTTCTGGCATATTGGCTGTTTTGATTTAAGGGAACCTAAAAAACAGCAGGCACAAGAAGATCACTGTGACCTTCGTTCTGTTTCTTAAAGGCAGGAGGTGAAACTCCCATGTGAAAGATGTCCTTCCTACCCCAAAAGGAAAGTAGCATTCTTATCATCAAGGATAGAAGGTTGAATCCAAGGGAAATCTGCACAAAGGTTGTTAACTAACCCTTATCATCCTAGTTCCTTCTCCAATAATTACCTACCCTAGGCCAAGCCTGCTGGCCTTATCGCATTTTACAACTTATCTTTGTTTGTCCAATTCAATATATAAAAATAACTGACTGTGTTTTTTTTTTAATCTTTATTTTCCTTTGAGGGCTCCCGTGCCACATAAAACTTATATTAAATAAATTGGTGTGCTTTTCTCCTGTTAATTTGTTCTGTCAATTTTTTTTTTCTTAGAGATGGGGGTCTCACTATGTTGCCCAGGCTGGTCTCAAACTCCTGGCCTCAAGCAATCCTCCTGCCTCAGCCTCCCTAGTAGCTGGGATTACTGTGCCTGGCTTAATTTGTCATGTCCATTTAATTCTCAGGCCCAGCCAGGACCCTAAGAGGATAGAGGTAAAGCTTTGCCTCCCCTGCATCATTTAACTGCCACTACTACCTGCAGAGGTCAACTAAATCTTATTTTATAATTATGACTCTGAAGTACAGAAAGATCATTCAACTGGAGCTTGAATCTAAAGCTCATGTTCTCTGCACTGCAAAATTCATGTCTCTCAGCTCTTTCTTTCTAAAAACCATCCCTTATAACATCCCCACCTCCTTCAAATACTGTCAATGCACAGCAATTTGAAATTATTTTCTTATTAAGGATTTAAAATTGTTTGCAATAGTTTTTATCTATTGAGGATGGGCTTTTTACTTTTTTTTAAAAGCCATCTATAAGAAGATATATCTGTACTTTGGATAGGCCAGTTGGACAAGAGTTACATCAAAGTGCATGACCACAGACAGTTGTGTGCACCAAATCACCAAATGTAACACCATGCCATCATGTTCCTGTGCCCTCCCCTAAACAAACAGAAAAAGCTGAGGAAGTTCTTAGAGAACGAGATGACACTTTTCACAAATAACAAATGCTTCCCTGAGGGATTTTCAGTTATATGCATCACTGCTCATTCTATATATGTCTTCACAGAAGAATAACTACCATTTCTTATAGTGCAAATGAAACAAACTTGGTCTGATTTCAGTCTGGAAGCTCATTATGTGACACATGGTGGCCATTAGTAACCAGGAGATTCTCAAGGGTGAAGGAACCTTGCATTGAGGAAGTCATAGCCTCTGCAAAATTAAACAGGGAAAATAACATGGGAGTTAAGGAATTCTTGAAAAAAAATTAATCATGGAATACAAAAAGAGATTCATTCCCATTGGATATAGATCAAACTTTTGTAAATTAAGAATTTAAGATTCACTTATCTCTTAAATAGTCAGATTTAATCAGGGTACCCTTCCCATAGATAATTATTCACAGTCCAAACGGAATCAACTGCTAATTCTATACAATTTCTCCCTTCAGTTATAATGAAATATCAACACTTTTAATTTTATGAATTCAGATGAAATGTTTACCAAAACTTTAACACTTAAAAAAAGTGCCATTATGAGTAATAAACTTGCATTCAAACAGCTAATCGGCCCTGGGAGACTCCACCCATTAACAGTCATCCCATTAAATGAACAATTTGGGCCCTTTAAAATGTAAAAATACTATAGAAAAGGAAACCTAAACCAAATAAAACCTATGGTAGTAAGACAACCTCTCCATCAAATTCCTAAAAAAGTGGGAACACGGGCCTTAACAGTCTATATAGTTGCAGATGAAATCGTTTCCTTCAAGTCCAAATAGTTAATGTAAAGTTTTATTTGTTTCTCTTAAGAACGTACTATAACCAATTACCAAAATGTAAATTATTATTTTATTTTTTAATAAAATTTTAAATTTTTAGTTTTCGTGGATACATATTAGGTGTATATATTTATGGGGTACATGAGATATTTTGAAATAGGTATTTTACCTCAGGGTAAATAGCGTATCCATCACCTCAAGAATTTATCCTTTCTTTGTGTTATACACAATCCAATTCTACTGTTTTAGCTATTTATTTATTTTTTGAGATGGAGTTTTGCTCTTGTCACCCGGGCTGGAGTGCAATGGTGCGATCTTGGCTCACTGCAACCTCTGTCTCCTGGGTTCAAGCGATTCTCCTGCCTCAGCCTCCCGAGCAGCTGGGATTACAGGTGTGTGCCACCATGCCCAGCTAATTTTTGTATTTTTAGTAGAGATGGGGTTTCACCATGTTGGCCAGGCTGGTCTCAAACTCCTGACCTCAGGTGATCTGCCCGCCTCAGCCTCCCAAAGTGTTGGGATTATAGGCATGAGCCATGGCGCCTGGCTGTTTTAGTTATTTTTAAATGTACAATAAATTACTGTTGACTATAGTCACCTGGTTGTGCTATCAAATACTAGATATTATTCATTTGATCAAAGTATAAACTTTTAAATAGCCAAACACAGATTTAAAAAAAACCAAGTAATATAGAAGAACTAAATAAAATATAATACGGTCCACTACCATGGGAACTACACTGTTCTTGGCTACAATGTCCATATTTAATGAGTAATACACCTGGAATTTAAAAAAGCATAAAGATCTCTCCTTTAAAATCTTTGCAGTTTAAAAGGAATCCAGATAAGGGCTCTGTGTAGCACAGTGGCCATTTCAAGTGAGTGTGGAGAAATACTTCCCTCTGGGCTAGTGCTGAAGATCTGAGACAGTCCTTTAGGAAGCTAGGCCTGTTCTCTCCTGTTTGGAAATGGCTCTTCCCCAGTAGGTCCCCATCTAATTTCAGCATCTGGGGAACCAGCTTGGACATTCCTTCATTAAAATGGGTTTCATGTGTGTCCCACTCTCCTTTTGGAACTCCAGTACTCACGGCCCCTATGCAGTGAAGAGAGGGTCCCAAATGTTTGGAGGTAATAAACAACACACACCTGCCTTCTTATTGAATGATTTCCAGCACTTCCAGCAGTAACTAGGTCATAACCACACAATTAGCCCTTCATCCTGATAAAGTAGTTTTCTGAAGAAACCAGGATTCTATGAAGTAATCATAGTTTTAAAACTAGTTATGGGCCGGGCGCGGTGGCTCGTGCCTGTAATCCCAGCACTTTCGGAGGCCAAAGTAGGCAGATCACCTGAGGTCAGAGTTTGAGACCAGCCTGGCCAACATGAAGAAACCCTGTCTCTACTATAAATACAAAAATTAGCTGGGTATGGTGGCAGGTGCTTGTAATCCCAGCTACTAGGGAGGCAGAGGCAGGAGAATTGCTTGAACCTGGGAGGTGGAGGTTGCAGTGAGCCAAGATCGTGCTACTGCACTCCAGCCTGGGTGACAGAGCAAGACCCTGTCTTTTAAAAAAAAAAAAAAGATATGTTAGTGAAATGCTGTCCTGTGAACTCCATATTCTAGTTCCATCTCACAGATAAATGTAAAAAAATGCTGTCACCACCTACCAAGTTTTGATGGTTCTTCTCTCTAAGGACTAATTAAGTAATGAAGTTCAATAAAGGACCAGAAAAAAATTCTAGAGTATTCTTAATTAATTTTTCTCTATCTTGGGCAAGGGAGATTTGAGATAAATTTCTTTACTACTTATCAATAGCGCTATTCTAGTAGATGTTAGGATGCTTTCAGCAAATTCCAAATTTTCTTTTTATTTTGTAAGATACTTGTTAATAATTGCTAATTAGGTTGACTATAACCCAAAGAGGGGGAAAAAAGTCCTGTAAGCTTGACACATGAAATAGCAACTCTTCTCCTTATTACTATATTTCTGAGAAAAGCTCACTTAAATTTCATTCATTCCCACTAAAAATATACATCTAAAACAATCTATGTCAATGTGCTGACAATCTGTCATCCTAAAGAAATTTCTTCAGCTGTCATTGAGTGCCATGGAAAAGAAATCGACCAAATATGCTAAACATGGGCACAGAAGGTCTTTGCACTTGTGAATTATGATTTATTATTTACTATAATATTCATATTTAAAAGTTAATGTAATGTATAGAAACATAAGCATTTTAAATATCTTCTTAAAACTCAAAAATAGTGAGGGATATGAAGCTCTGACAGCCGAGTGAAAATCCCTCCCTGCCCCAGCACATTTGAACCATCTAACCTCTCAGGAATGAGAAAATTGAATGCAAGAAAATTCCCTGCTACTATTCACATATGCATATATAAAGTACAACTTTTCCAGTCTTAAAGGAGACTAAGCTTTAGTTTTTTTCCAACTGTTCCCTGGTTTATAATGCATAGAATTAATATCTTGATCACAGTCCTGTTTCTTGAATCAAAACTCAGTCATGGATGGCTGGATCACTCTCGGGAGGCTGAGCTACCGAGATTACAAACAAGAGGCTGACACTTGTGCATGAGCTGGACATCCTATAAATCCCATAAAAATGATTACAAGAAAATATGAGATGGTGGGGGCAGGCAGAGAGAGAGAGAAGGTGTGTGTGTGTGTGTGTGTGTGTGTGTGTGTGTGTGTGTAGGAGAGGGAATGCGTTGGGGCAGAATTTCAATATCAATAAAAGACCTTTCTGATAGATGTTATCCTTGGCCTGATTCAAATACCAAGAAGCAATTACTGGAATATATATATCTGTTTCTTATTTATTTTTAGATATAGTTTGCATACAATAATTATTCATCCTTTTTAATGTACAGTTGTGAGTTTTGATAACTGCGCACCCTTGTGTAACCACCATAATCAAGACACCGAGTATTTCTGTCACTCTCCCAAACCCTTTGTGCTCCTTTGTAGTCACCCTTTTCCTCCACCCAAAGACCCTGGAAACCACAGATCTAATTTTGGTCCCCACAGTTTTTGTCTTTTTCAGAATGTCAAATAAGTGGAATCATGCATTTATACAAAATCATACGAAAGGGTGTCATTTTTGAGTCTGGGTTCTTTCATGTAGCACAATGCATTTGCACAGCAAAGCACTGTATTCTGTGTATTGCTCCTTTTTGTTGCTAAGTAATATTCCACTGCATAGGTATACTGCACAGTTATCCACTTCTCAGTCAAGGGACATATAGGTTGTTTCTAGTATTTGGTAAGTAGAAATAAAGCCACCGTAAGGTTTTACCAAGGCAGCTGCACCATTCTGAATTCCCACCTCTTCTTTCTTCAAGATGGAAAACATGCTGCTCATGGCCATCAGGCCAGCTCTAAACTCACAAACTCCTTGAGAGCCTCTGTCCTCCCTCTGTCTTCTCCCCATCTCAAAAACAAACCAACCAAGTACGAAAAATATACAGAAGTTTGAAAGAGGTAGGGATGATGTATTGATGACGATTACCTCCTTCTCCCCCATGTCTGTGCTCTTCAAAATGGCTTAAACCATTCTCCAGGGCCTTCTGGTCATGTGCAACTGGATGAACAGGGCACACGTCTTCAAATGACAATCTCAGCTAAAGAACTGGGGTGGGGAATTGTTTTTAAAAGTAAAAAGATTCAAAATGTGGTCACCTGAGTACACTCATGACATCAGAAAAATCCTGAATTTCAACATAAGCTCATACCAGTGGCCTTCACCGTGACATATTAGATAGCAAAGGATTTCTCTGCTATCTCGTTAATGGCTAACACAAAATGTCTTTGCTATTACCAACAACAGTTTTTTCCAGTAAAGATAAAAAAAAACACTAAGTCTCCCCTGAGAAAGCCTGATAGTACATGTAGTATTTGTATGTATGTACTTGTGTACATACAATTATACACATATATGTGCACACATATGTACTTCTACATACATGTGTGTATAATACACATACACACATTTGCACAATATAAAGATAAAATATAGACAACCCATGGCATTAAACATAGCGTATAGGAGAATTTTGCCTAATCTAGATAAATAAAATTTTCATCTCTATGCTTGTTACCATGTCATGTAGAAATGGCTGGGCAGGTTTTCATAAAATATTTGGGGTGACCCGACTTAATATAAAGTCTATGTAGTACTCTTGTAATTTACTCTGAAAACCTCTAGGCAATAACTCAGAGAATCAGGCATTCTCCAGAGCAATTAAAACAGGTATGTGAAAAAGTCTTTGTACTGATGGTCACTTGATCACTTTATGCAGGCAACGAAGACAGTTTCAAATATTAACTCAAAATTGAAAGTCACAAGGCAGATGTTGGAATTGCAAGCACTGCTGTGAAAATCCCTTTGTTTCTCTGAACTTTTTACAGTCAGTGTGGGAAAAGGTACCACTCCTATGAAACAATTCCAAAGTTTTGCTCTTCTCTTCTCTTCTCTTCTCCTCTCTTCTCCTCTCTTCTCTCCTGCCCTCCCCTCTCTCCCCTATCCCTCCTCTCCTCTCCTCCCCTCTCCTTCCTTCCTTCTTTCCTTCCTTTCTTCTTTCTCTCTCTCTCTTTTTCTTTTCTTTTTTTTGAGACAGGGTCTCATTGTTGTGCTGTGATCATAGCTCACTGCAGCCTCGACCTCATGAGCTTAATCAGTCTTCCTGCCTCAGCCTCCCAAGGAGCTAGCTAGGACTACAGGCCCATACCACCACCCCCGGCTATTTTTTTTCTTTCTTTTAGTTTTTGTAGAGATGAGGTCTCACTTTGTTGCCAACACTGCTCTTGAACGCCTAGGCTGAAGCAATCCTCCTGCCTCAGCCTCCCAAAGAGCTGGGATTACAGGTGTGAGCCACTGTGTCTGGGCCCAAAGTATTTCCTAACCCTTCTAACTAGATCATAAATTCCCTCAAGGACCATAATTACATTTTTTGTTCATTTCATTAGTTTCAAAGCAATCAGGAAAGTGGTAGTCGGTAAATAATACATACTTAGTGAGTCTCTATTAATTATCTAACCACTAACTGGCCAAGGCACTTGACCTAGGCCTTGAAGAGCACAGCAGCCCACACAGAAGCACACAGATAGGCTTGATGAGACATATTAAAGACAACTAACCACCTGCAGAAAGTGTTTTCTGTTTGTGGCTAAACACTGTTCGGTCAGTTACATATGGATGACAAAACCTGCTGCTGAGAGGAAATAAGCAGGATTATTTTATTGTTTGCATCTGGGCTGCCAAAAAATGAAAGCCTTTATACTTGAATTGCACACTAAATGTATACAGATCATAACCAGAGTCTGATATCGGTACATTGTTTACATGAAGTTTTTGATTAGCAACTTTTGCAGCTCAAGGGAGATGGTTAACTTATTTTATTTCCTTTTCTGGTTCTTAAAATGGAGTTATTAGCCATACTCACGGACACAAATAGAATTCTACACACTGCTCTAAAAAGTTTTTAATTTAAGCAATTTAGGTTCTGGTACATCAAAATCAACACTAAAATGATTTTTGCTTTATTTCTGCAAATAGAAGGTGGCTAGGTTAGCTTTTAGGGTAGGTTTCTCTTGCAAGTCTCCCACAAAAAAAGGTGAGCATATACGAAATTTATCTAAGCTTTATAGATTGAAAATATACTCAGCAGCAAGAAGGAAACAAGGGTCTAGTAAAATGTATTTTCCATCTTCGGATCAACAAATATTAACACTAATGGGCTGGAACATGTCATTGTTGCTTGTTCTTATGGTAAAGAGCTCCACAGAAGGCAAATTTTAAGAGTGTCCTGAAGGGAGGATGATGAATAGGCTTTGAAAGAAACCAGTAAAATCATGTTCTGGGAGGAGAGAAACCACTTTCGCATGGAGTCCTTCCAGCAACTTCCAGGCAGAGTGGACTGCTTAGTAGGAGTAGCTGGAGTGTGTGTGTGTGTGTGTGTGTGTGTGTGTGTGTATGTGTGTGTGTGTTTAAGTTCGGGGATACATGTGCAGGTTTGTTACATAGGTAAACTTGTGTCATGGTGGTTTGTTGTACAGATTATATCACCCAGGTATTAAGCCTAGTACCCATTAGTTATTTTTCCTGATCCTCTCCCTACTCCCATCCTCCACCCTCCAATAGGCCCCAGTGTGTGTTATTCCCTTCTTTGTGTCTGTATGTTCTTATCATTTAGCTCCTGCTAACTGAGAACATGTGGTATTTAGTTTTCTGTTCCTATGTTAGTTTGCCAACGATAATGGCCTCCAGCTCCATCCATGGTCTTGCAAAGGACATGATCTCGTTCTCTTTATGGCTGCATAGTATCCCATGGTGTATATGTACCACATTTTCTTTATCCAGTCTATCATTGATGGGCATTTGGGTTGATTCCATGCCTTTGCTATTGTGAATTGTGCTGCAATGAACATATGCATGCATATGTCTTTATAACAGAATGATTTATATTCCTTTGGGTATGTATCCATCCAGTAATGGGATTGGTTGGCCAAATGGTGGTTCTGTTTTTAGGTCTTTGGGAAATCATCACACTGTTTTTCCACAATGGTTGAACTAATTACACTCCCACCAACAGTGTATAAGCATTCCTTTTTCTCCACCACCTCGCCAACATCTGTTATTTTTTGACTTTTTAATAATAGCCATTCTGACTGGTGTCAGATGGTATTTCACTGTCATTTTGATTTTTCATTTCTCTAATGATCTGTGATGTTGAGCTTTATTTTGTATGCTTGTTGGCCACTGTGTATGTCTTCTTTTGAAAAGTGTCTGTTTATGTTCTTTGCTTATTTTTTTTTTTTTTTTGAGACAAGGTCTCACTTTGTTGCCCAGGCTGGAGTACAATGTTGCAATCACAGCTCACCACACCTCAACCTCTCAGGCTCAAGCGATCCTCCCACCTCAGCCTCCCAAGTGGCTGGGACTATGGGCATGCACCACCATGCCCAGCTAATTTTTGGACTTTTTTTTTTTTCTACAGAGACAGGGTTTTGCCATGTTTCCCAGGCTGGTCTCAAACTCCTGGGCTCAAGCAATCTGCCTGCCTCCCAAAGTGCTGGAATTACAAGCATGAGCCACTGCGCCCAGCCTACCCACTTTTTAATGGGGTTGTTCTTTTTTTCCTGTAAATTTGTCTAAGTTCCTTATAGATGCTAGATATTAGA
Organism: Homo sapiens; assembly: GCF_000001405.40. Taxonomy (NCBI): domain Eukaryota; kingdom Metazoa; phylum Chordata; class Mammalia; order Primates; family Hominidae; genus Homo; species Homo sapiens. The sequence continues at coordinate 25,790,334 of NC_000013.11, read as the reverse complement.
CCTTTGGACCTATATAGTTTGCAAACATTTTTTCCTGTTCTGTAGGTTGTCTATTTACTCTGTAGATAGGTTCTTTTGCTGTGCAGAGGTCTTTAGTTTAGTTAGATCCCATTTGTCAATTTTTGCTTTTGTTGCAATTGCTTTTGCCATCTTCATCATGAAATCTTTACCCATTCCTATGTCCAGAATGGTATTGCCTGGGTTATCTTTCAGGGTTTTTATAGCTTTGGGTTTTACATTTAAATCTTTAATCCATCTTGAGTTGATTTTTGTATATGATGTAAGGAATGGTACAGTTTCAATCTTCTGCATATGACTAACCAGTTATCCCAGCACCATTTATAGAATAGTGAGTCCTTTCTCCATTTCTTTTGCCAGCTTTGTGGAAGATCAGATGGTTGTAGGTATGTGGTCTTATTTCTGGGTTCTCTATTCTGTTCCCTTGGTCTTTGTGCCTGTTTTTGTACCAGTACCATGCTGTTTGGGTTACTGTAGCCCTGCAGCATAGTTTGAAGTCAGGTAACACTGATGCATCCAGCTTCGCTCTTTTTGCTTAGGATTGCCTTGGCTATTGGGGCTCATTTCTTTTTGTTTCATATGAATTTTAAAAGTTTTTTCTAGTACTATGAAGAATGTCACTTGTCGTTTGACAGGAATAGCATAGAATCTATAAATTGCTTTGGGCACTATGGCCATTTTACTGATTCTTCCTATCCATGAACATGGAATGTTTTTCCATTTGTTTGTGTCATCTCTGATTTTTTTGAGCAGCGTTTTGTATTTCTCACTGTAGAGGCCTTTCACCTCCCTAGTTACCTAAGTACTTAATTCTTTTTGTGGCATTTGTGAATGACATTGTTTTCCCGATTTGACTCTTGACTTGACTGTTGTTGGTGTATAGGAATGCTAGTGATTTTTGTACAATGAATTTATATCCTGAGACTTTGCTGAGGTTGTTTATCAGTAGTGGGGTTTTCTGGTTTTGTTTTGTTTAAACACTAGAGTTTTATTTTTAGCTAACTTTGCAATAAAATCATTTTACAAAATTCGAAACAAGTTAATTACATTATTGTGTTTTGTCTTCTGATCCTTAATATTTTACAAATTGTAGTGACTGCATATGCTATTATTTTATACTGAATTTTAACTTAATTCCAAGCATAATTCCATTATTTCCAAGCATTGACACAGTTAACATTATTGTCATTTAAAAGATCTATATATCTATGATTTTGAAATACCATGGACCACACATCCATCCTCAATTCAACCAGCGTTCACTATTTCTGTTTAGAATCTGAGTTTCTCAACACCCTGGGGCATGAGTTTTAAAGAAACAAGTACATCAGTTTTCATGTTTCATTTACCTGCTCTTCATGTAACTCAAGCAAAGCATCTGAGCTTCTGGGATTCTAGGCTAATTAATGAAATCTATAAATACCAATTTGGGTCAGGGGAGAAGATGAGGCCACAGATGATGTGCAGAGAATGATTTCTCAGTTGTAAACTGGTGACCACACTGCTGAAATACAATTGATTCTTAGCGCACCAATTATTCTGAATGCACAAACAGGAAGCAAGCCCACTCAAGAGTTAATCTAACAGATGTAATCATGGTGATTTTGCTCTATGGTAATGATATATAGTTGCAATATATAACAGCCATGTTTAAGGTAGAGCTGTCTTTAAGGTAGAGCAAGGGAAGACTTAGCCCCTTCCCCAGAAGGTTTCCAGGAGAGCATCAGTGACTGCCATGCTGTTGTGGGGAAGATTCTGGATTAGGAGGGTTGCAGCCAGGCCACCTGGAAGACAGGGCTTCTAGCTCAAGCCATGCAAACGTGGGCACACCTTCTAACCCCTCTCGGCCTCAGTGTCTTCTTCTATAAAGTGAGGAAAACAGAAGGACATGCATCAGAAGGTTTGTGGGGATGAAGTAAACTCATATAGGAAAACCCTGTGGTTGGGGAACAACAGACTAGAAGAGCTTCCAGCTCTTAACAATGCCATAATTGTATGGTCTATCGATGTTAAATACCTTAAAATACTGCAAATGGCAAAGAGGAAGGCTCACTCTGTGGTCGGCACTTTGCTAAAGGTTGTCCTGTATGATTTTACTTCACCCTCATAAACTTTTTGATGTATGTACTTCTATTTTCCTCACTTTACAGGAAAGGATAATGAGGCTGAGATGGGTCAGGAGGTGCAGCCAAGTTTTCACGGCTTGAGCTGGAAACTAGGTCCCACAGCTGGCCTGGGTGCGGGGCCTCACCTGTAACCATGCTGCTCTCTGCTAGCGGCAGGCACCAGTGAGACCACCAACAGAGGAGTGGTTCCAGGGAAAGCCATGTCTGTGGGTCCTGGCATTTCTTCTGTGCAGAAAGGGCTGGCAGGCATTGGTCACCAGGCCAACTCCTCCGTCTTCTACCATCGTCTTGCTTGATTACTGTCAATGCTATTCTGGTCACATTTTACTCAAGCCCTTCTTTAAACTATGATATAGTCCCTGGAGTCCAGTGACTTTCTGATCCCTGGTTCCCTGGTTCCCAGACCCCAAAGCTGGACTTCCAGGACTCCCCAACCATGGGACACCTATGCCGGAGAGGCCCTGAGGCAGAGAGGCCCGGCCAATGGTGTTATGGAACCAGAGGCCCCTGGGCCAAGTTTTTGCTTGACTTTTCCCACATGTAACCAAAGTGAGGAGGAGAGGCAAATAAGTCCATGCAGCAACGCTGAATAAGGAAATGAAACTGATCCCCATTTTTTAAGGTATTTGCCAAGTAAAATGGAAACTACCTTTACACTAAAACCTAAAATGAGTGTGTACAGAGGCATTATTCATAATCACCAAAATTAGGAAACGGCCCAAATGTCCTTCAACAGGTGAATGAATAAACTGTGAAACACCCATGCAATGGAATACCACTCAGCAATAAAAGCAATAAATTACTGATCCAACGACATGGATGAATCTCAGATGCATTATATTGAGTAGAAGAAATTGGAATCAGAGGGTCATAATACTGTACAATTCCATTCATACAGCATTCTGAGAAATGCAAAACTATAGGTCAGAAAACAGACCAGCTGTTGCCAGGAACTGAGTCCCCTGAGGGGGACAGGGGTTAACTACAGAGGAGACTGGGGAATTTTTGGAGCCAGTGTCATACTGTTCTTATCTGGGTGTAGTAGGAAGCAAGCCCACTTCCTGGTGATGGCACTGGTTTATGTGTTTGTCAAGAGTCATAGTACTATGGCTGGGGACGGTGGCTCATGCCTGTAATCCCAGCACTTTGGGAGGCCAAGGCAGGTGGATCACTTGAGGCCAAGAGTTTGAGACAAGCCTAGCCAAAATGGCAAAACCCCGTTTCTAAGCAAGTCCTGAGTGACCTACTAAAGATAATTTTTTAAAAAATTAGCCGGGTATGGTGGTGGACACCTGTAATCCCAGCTACTGGGGAGGCTGAGGCAGGAGAATCGCTTAAACCCAGGAGGCAGAGGTTGCAGTGAGCTGAGATCCACCACTGCACTCCAGCCTGGGCAACCAGAGTGAAACTCTGTCTCAAAAAAAAAAAAAAAAAAACATAGAATTGTGCATTAAAAAGGGTTAATTTTACTCCGTGTAAATTATACCTTATTTTTAAAAAATAAAATAATATACTATACAAATAAGCACTTTCAGTAGAATAAAGGCAACCTCTAAGGTGGAACTAACAGGGAAGTAAAAGCTTCTAGTTAACAGTTCATGTTAAGAAAAGCAACTTTCAAATGGGCAAGGGACTGACAAAAAAGATTATTAAAACAACATGCAGTTTAATTAAACGAATAAAAATAAACTTCATCCTATAATTCCTGGGTAAAAGAGGACAATATTTTGATCAATATTTCACTGACATGCTCTTGAGGCACATGTAGTATTTAATAGGATGAATCTACTTTGCCTTCTCTCTGTTTGAAAAACCAGGCAAGAAGGCGTGTATATAACTCCTATTCTTGATCCATCTTTAAATAGTCCACTTGATCTGCCAGGACATTGGAACTGAGAAGTTAAGGGCATTCTAAACTCTTAGGACATCTGCTGGAAAACCAATATCGCAGCTCAGATGTATCGTTAGAACGCAATGGAGATTATTTACCACTTGAAAGTACAGACATTTACCAGAAGAGAGATGAGTTTCCTGATGTGATACTTTTAAATAGAAGCTATTTCAACTAAAGGTAAAAGGCAACAAACTCCCAAGTCCAAGAAAAAAAATGACGAATTGCATTCTCATAAATAATTACATTTTACTTGCATACATAAGGGTGTTTTAAAACCGAGGGTCAAAATCTACATCTCACACCTAAGGCTGACCAGCTTAGAGAAAAGGAGCAGAAGGGAACATATCCTGCTCTTGATCCTCTACAAGCAAATGTATGATTGTCAAACATGAGGATCATTTTCCATCATGGTAGTGATACGTCACGAATTCCCGTGTCCTCCTTCCTTTATCTTCTTCCTCATTTGCTACAGAAGGTGCTCTTTCTGTTGGCCCACTGACTTTTCTACAGCCTATACATGAAGTCTCCATTCTTGATCTTGGGCTTTCTATCACCCTAAAGCAGTTATTACTGAAATCCAGTTAGAATGGTGCTATTTGGGTATAGAGAGAGAAAAATGAATAGAAAGGCACGATCAGTGGCTCTGTGCTCAGACATTGTCACAGAAGTAGTTCTAAAACTTAAACGAAATCTGATTTCAAAAGTTTTAGACAACTATGTCTCTACTGGCAAAAGAAAGAACAGAAAGAAAAAAATGAGAGCAACACAAACTAAAATGAAAAGAAAACTTAGCAAGGAAAAACCTAATTGGTAAAGTCAACTACATAAGAATGAAAGGCTCTTTGAGAATTTCAGCCAAAATAGAAGTTCTATTAAGGTAGAAATGTGTTTAAAGAATTCAATCAAAATTATTATTATTATTATTTTTTGAGAAGGAGTCTCACTCTCAGCTTATTGCAGCCTCTGCCTCATGGGTTCAAGTGATTCTCCTGCCTCAGCCTCCCGAGTAGCTGAGATTACAGGTGTGTGCCCCCATGTCCGGTTAACTTTTTGTATTTTTAGTACAGACAGGGTTTCACCATGTTGGCCAGGCTGGTCTTGAACTCCTGACCTCAGGTGATCTGCCCACCTCAGCCTCCCAAAGTGCTGGGATTACAGGCATGAGCCACCACACCCAGCCAAAATTATTCTTTATTCTTTCAAAAGATAGGGTTAAACACAATATAATAGAAATGTAGGCCACGTGTGGCTCATGCCTGTAATCCCGGCACTTTGGGAGGCCGAGGCAGGCAGATCATGAGGCTAGGAGTTTGAGACCAGCCTGACCAACATGGTGAAACCCCATCTCTATTAAAAAACAAAAATTAGCCGGGCGTGGTGGCATGCACCTGTAATCCCAGCCACTCAGGAGGCTGAGGCAGGAGAATCGCTTGAACCCAGGAGGCAGAGGTTGCAGTGAGCTGAGATCACGCCATTGCACTCCAGCCTGGGTGACAGCGCGAGACTCCTTCTCAAACAAAAGAAAAAAAAAGAAATGTATCTTCTAGTACTTGAAGGGTATAGTTCTCTGCATGAAAATTACACCGGGAAAGATTTCAGTTGGATAAGAAAAGCATTTCCTAAAAGGAAATACAAATAATATGCTACTTAGGAAATCTTCTCTTACATTCTAAAAAAACAAACAAAACCCAAAAACCAAAATGTCCAAAAGATTCTTACGTGTGTGCCTCTACTGAAATGTAGTCAATGGATTATTTGCCCTTAGGGAAGTCATAACCAATTTGGAAAAATAAAAGTAACATTCACCCCTTGCCTGCAATCAGTACTAAACTATGTGGGTGCTGTCTCTGAATGCAAGAGGCCTTTAAGGAAGGGAAGCAAATTGGAATTCGTGAGGTGAAGTGGGCTGGATTCTCATCACTTCTGCCACAGTAACAGGTAGGGTGGGAGAGTGCACCCGGGCTACGAAGCACAGCTCCAGCACAGGGCTGACCTCTCAAAGTTCACGTGAGCCCTGGAAGTTCTTTGCATGGGCTCTGTTTCTGGACTTGCATTTTTTTTTTATTCCAAGGAGATTAAAACATTTTATAGAGTTCCAAAGACTCCTTTTTAAACCATCAATGCCTAAAAACATTTTTTTAGTGCTGGATCTTTATAATGATCCTTTTAGGTAGGGCAGCTGCAAAAACATCATAAAAAAAGCATAGATTGTCACATGGAAAGGGCAGTAAGAGTCTATTTTTATAAAGTTCAAAGTGATTGTGTATCTTGTAGGGAATCCCTCCAGACTGCTAGTATTTCTCTGGCTTAATACCTACCTCTTCCCTGTCCTCTCACCCCCTCTCCACCTTTTGCCAATAAACTCCCAGCTCTATCAACCAGCAGCAACCAGCTGGCCTTTCAGAGAACATTCCTAGGCACGTGTTTAACTAGTTCTCCAGCCATCTTCCGACTGAAATATAAAACCGCAGCATAATGCATTTCTTCTCTGTTAGGTACTAAGGGCTGGGCTAATTGCTGACATTTATCACAGAGCTGGAACAGACAGAGAACATGGATGGGAAAGGCAGGTGCTGGGCTCTCTTTGGCACATTCCCTGACCCTCTCCTCCCACCCCTTCACCTGATCAGCTGCTACTCATCCTTCAGGTCTTAACTCGTTTCATCCTGGGATCCTGAGGCCCTTACCCTACCACGCCTGTAAAGCACCACTTCTAACAGTTCTCATTGCAAGCTGTCTTCCTCTAAGCCAGCCCCACCACACCATATTATAATTGTGGGAATTCTTATCTGCATTCTCTATTTGATTCCAAGAGGAGGGACTGTCCTGTTCCTCTTGTCCCCATGACCCAAGAGTTCTTGACTTGGAGAATGAGCATGCATGAGGCAAGGAAAGCAGAATTCAGAATGTTTACATTTCTAGTTAATTCCCATTTTTCAATTGTCCAATGGGAAACTTCTCTAAGTAGTTTTCCCACCAACATATTACAGTTGCAGTTATTACTCAACAATTGTCAGCACAAGATAGGGACCACCCAGGTAATCATGGACTGTAAGCCCAGATGCTCTTGGGATGGGGTTGGCACCAGGCCTGTGCATGCAGAGGTCTTTGTGCACACAGCCATCAGAGCACTTACGCTGTACAGCCAGGCTCTCCGTCTCCACAGATTCAAACAACCACAGGAAAAAAAAATATTCAGGAAAGAAAAACAGTAAAAATATCAATACAAGAATAAATAGTACATATTTAAAAACTGGGCCAGAAGAGGTGGCTAACGCCTGTAATCCCAGCACTTTGGGAGGCTGAGGCATGTGGATCACCTGAGGTCAGGAGTTCGAGATCAGCCTGGCCAACATGGTGAAACCCTGTCTCTCCTAAAAATACAAAAAATTAGCCAGGTGCGGTGGCACGTGCCTGTAATCCCAGCTACTCGGGAGGCTGAGGCAAGAGAATCAAGTGAACCCAGGAGGCGGGGCTTGCAGTGAGTCGAGATCACGCCATTGCACTCCAGCCTGGCAACAAGAGTGAAACTCCGTCTCAAAAAAACAAAACAAAACAAAACAAAACTGATGCAGTGTAACAACTATTTACATAGCATTTACAATGCATTAGGTATTTAAGTAATTTATAGATGATGTAAAGTATACAAGAGGATGTGCATAGATTATATGCAAATACTACACTATTTTATATAAGGGACTTGAGTATCCACAAATTTTGGCATCTGAAGGTGGGGAGGGTGTATCCTGGAACCAGTACCCTGTGGATACTAAGGGATGACTGTACTCACCTCTTCCCCAACCTGTATTAGATGGGGAACTCTGTGCAGCATGTCCCAGTACCTCAGTCTCAGCATTCTGCCTGCCTTGGAGTAGGTGGTCAACACTTATTAAAGCTTTTAATAGAAAATGGATGGTTCCATACTTGATGAAGCCACAGCCTTTACAGAAAGGTCCATATGTCAATGATATTTTTAAATTTGCCTTTTACTTATTAACATTTTAACACCGCACTCATAGCTGCCAATCTATTCCTTCAAATAAAAGCTGTAACAGGAAACATAAAGCTAACTCTGCCAAGGCAGATGCACAGGACAGAAGAGGAAAGCTTAGCTATTAGGATTTTATCTTTTACCGTGTAATGAAATTTCTTGTGTCCCCCAAATGAAACACATTGTTTTGAGGTATAGTTAAGTCATGCATTATATGCAAGAGGGGAAAAGTCACTGGATGAAATTTTGATCATGGTTTAAAACATCTACTCTCTGTTGATTCTAACATTTAAAATGAAATCCAGCCCAAAGCCAGTGACTTCTTTTATCATTTATAATGAAGCATGGGTTACTAGTAGGACATAGATACCAATTTGTAATAGGGTTGACCAAGTGCATAGCATCTCCGTGCATTAACATATTTAATTAAGGCTCCCCAAACAAGAAGCTAATGACATAATAATGGAAAGAAGGGGTAATTTAGATATGATTTTTTTCTAACAATGTTTGAAGGTCGGGCAAAGGGGTCACGCCTGTAGTAATCTCAACAGCTCAGGAGGCCGAGGCGGGTGGATCACTTGAGGTCAGGAGTTTGAGACCAGCCTGTCCAACACGGTGAAAACTTGTCTCTACTAAAAATACAAAAAATATTAGCTGAGTGTGGTGGTGCACTCCTGTAATTCCAGTTACTTGGGAGGCTGAGGTAGGAGAATCGCTTGAACCTGGAAGGCGGAGGTTGCAGTGAGCCAACACTGCACTACTGCATTCCAGCCTGGGTGACAGAGTGAGACTCCATCTCAAAAAACAAACAAAAAAAAGTTTGAAAAATAATGATTATTTTCAAACAATAATAAAAAATTGATGATAAAACAAAATCTCTCACAGGTCCAACAGAAAAAAATAAAGCTGTAAAACAGCAAAAGGAAATATATGTTTGCAAAACAATTTTAAAAAATCAAAGTATTCATCTACTGAAAACGTTTTGGATTAAAATGGCAATTTATACATGAACCATAATTCATTTCACTTTTTTTTTTGAGACGCAGTCTCACTCTGTCACCCAGGCTGGAGTGCAGTGGCACGATCTCGGCTTCCGCTCACTGCAAGTTCCGCCTCCCAGGTTCACGTCATTCTCCTGCCTCAGCCTCCCGAGTAGCTGGGACTACAGGCACCTGCCACCATGCCCAGCTAATTTTTTGTGTTTTTTTAGTAGAGACGGGGTTTCACCATGTTAGCCAGGATGGTCTCGATCTCCTGACCTCGTGATCCACCCACCTCGGCCTCCCAAAGTGCTGGGATTACAGGCGTGAGAATTCGAAGACACAGAAAACAAACTGCCAGTAAGGCCTTTTCTCATATCCTGTAGTACAGGGATCCCCAACCCCTGGGCCACGGACTGGACTGGTGCTGGTCGGTGGCTGTTGCAAACCCGACCACATAGCAGGAGGTGAGCGGAGGGCTAGCGGGCAATATTGCCTAAGCTCCGCCTCCTGTCAGATCAGTGGCAGCATTAGATTCTCACAGGAGTATGAACCCTATTGTAAAACACGCATGCAAGGGATCTAGTTTGCACGCTCCTTATGAGGATCTAATGATAAATGTACTGTGCTTGAATCATCCCAAAGCCATGCCCTCTGTGGAAAAACTGTCTTCCCTGAAACCAGTGTCTGGTGCCAGAAAGGTTGGGAATCTCTGCTGCAGTATAATAAAGGTTTGTTTGCTTGTTTTAGGCTTGTCAGATATTGACAAATTTTTAAACAGCTGTCAACTAAATTCTGCGGTTCAGTTTCATTTGGTCCCCAAATTGCTGTGGTCTTAGAATATCTATTTCTATTTCAGTGATAGTATTTCCAGACCTTCCTGCTAAATATGCATCTCATTTCCTGGCCTTTATCCCCTATCAGTTTAATCACCCCCAAGAAAACACTAAAATTTCTTGTATGTGTTGCCAAAAATAAGTAGACTCCAAGCTGTATATAATATCCACTTTTTCACATCAATATACATATGTTATGGTTATTCTTTGTATTAGGAACCACCAACTAATCACCATTATGATTTCAGACTCATCTCTATTTCAAAAATAATTTGGCATATCTTCCTTATGTTATACCAAAGTTTACAAGAGATCCCTATGATAATTTTTCGAAATATAGGTTAAGTTCAAGTAATGTCCCTATTATTTTTCTATTTGAATTTTATGGCCACTAAAAATGTTATCTATTCCAAATAACCTTTTCCCAGAGGTTCAGAAAGTCCACAAACAAATGCATATGCCACCTAATACATGCTTAAAATGCTGATGCTGCTGTGCTTTGAAACTGTACTCTATTAAGAAAACCCTGAACAACTAACTCATAGTTTGTTAAATAGTGTAGGAGCTTTAAAGAACTTATTCAATCCCTCTCCTTAGGAGATACCACACAGAGGTCAGTCAAGACTTCAAAAATTTATAGGAATCCTTTCCTAACCTCTTTACCCCTAATCTTTACATTTAAGGCAAATTCCTCCCATTGTCAACATCAAAGAGTTTTAAAAATCAGTCTTTGCTTTCTGCTTCTAAATTACATGGAGAGATAGTTACATAATGGCATGATCTATGCCCCAGGCTTAAAACTACAAAATTACATGTAAGTTCTCTGCTTGCCATCTGCCCTACATATTGATAGACAAATTTTCCTAAATCACATTTACTATGTAATTTGACTATTGCAAAAAGAGAAGAAAAAAAAAGGAATCCCAGCTTCCAATGGCAATACTACTCCGACTGAGCCATTCAGATGCCCTTCCCTGGTCACTCACATATCTTTACCCTGCTCTATCTCCTTGCTTTTGCTAATTTCATCCCATTCCCACCCCCAGTGCAGACACACAGGGAATACACACCGCCCCCCTGCCCCACCCACCCCAACCCCACTCCCAGCTGGCTGCCCTGCAAGGCTCTGAAGCTCTGAGCATTCTAGACAACAACAGGATTTTACCTTCTGAGAAATATGGTCCATCTGGCCACGACCATGAAACATAGCATTTAATTAGTTTAATGCAAAACAAAACTATGGGTAAAATTTGTTTTTCAAACCTTCAATAAGCTCGCCAAAGCATACAATCTGTCCTTATACATTTTTGTCTCTCTCAAGGCGATGAAAGCAGCCAAGTGTTTGTGACATTTTTCTCTTTTTTTTTTTTTAGCATCTTAAAATGATTGTACAATATAGATAACAAAGTCTGCCACCATAGCCATTTTTAAGTGTGTGGTCCCATGTTCACACTTGCACTGCAGTTCCAGTGCCCAGCCTTGTGCAACCATCACCACCATCTGTTTGTCTCCAGAGCTCTCTGAGACATTCTGGTCACCGTCTATGGGAGACAGACAAAATCCTCAGTGTGTTTCTAATGATAAAAACCCAGTTTTAATTCATAGAATGGAACACTTAAAAAGTGTTTATCTTGCTGTACATCAATCATACTTGAGTAACACTGATTACAAATAAAGTAAGGAGGATACAGTGGCAGAGGAGGCTGGTGACAGTTGGAACCCAGATCGCAGAGGGGCAGGTGACGGGACGGAGATGGGCATTTCATCAGAAGGCACAGGGAGCCTGGGAAGGGGCTGCAGGAAGCAGCAGCATTCATCACTCTTTCATTGCCAGCATTTTCAAGCACCTCCATTCCAGACATTGTGCCAGACACTGGAATTGATCAGACGTATGTTTCAGAAATCGTATCCTAGCTACAGCGGAGATGGTCAAGGAAGTGAAACTAGCGGTTTTTGTAATCAACCCAGAAAACAGTACTAAATTAAGGCAGCTGCAGGGAGGATGGAGGCACAGGTTGTAGTATTTTCAGTTTTACCTATTAATAGGGCTAACATGAAACCATGTATTGCATAATTTTGTTCCTAGTTTTTAAATCCCTCAAACCAATAGTTATTTTGGCTTGAATTTTATGCGGCACACTCAACAAGCATTAATTAAGATTTGTCAGCAACAAATAACTTGTTGTTGTATAAATAAAAATACGTAAGCATGTGTTATGTTCAAGGAACTGTGGTAAAAATGGTCTAATTAGATCAATATCATTTGGGTGGAATATTTATGGGCTAGTGAGAAAGCTGTTATTCCACAAGGCTTTTGGGGGTTGAAACTGGAGAGAAGTGGAATGTTTATCAGTGCAGGGAATGGCTGAATAGATTGCAGGAAACCCCCCTGTGAAATGGCATGCCCTGGGTCTATACATAGTAACTGGGAATGGTCTCCAGAATACACTGTCAGGTGAAATGAGTTGCAGAAGGCTCTGCACAGCATGATGGCATTTATCTAAAATCCTTGATTTGTTTGTATACATAAATATCTCCATACCTACAGAGAAAAAGGTCAGGACAGATAATACGGAAGGAGGTTTGGGGGCGAGAGTGGAGGGAACTTTCAGTTAGTGTTCCATATAGCAACATGAATACATCCATGTGTTCCTTACACAGAAAAATCCACTTTTATAGGTTAGTATGCCAAGTGAGTAGACTGCATTACATCACAGGCTTACAGTTCTTCCCTACAATCTTTATTGGCAATTCAAGTCCTATAATGATCCTCATAATAATGGCTAAGGCCATAAAATGTGTGTGTGCATGCACACATGTGTATTTTTTTTTAATTTGCCAAATTGCCTTTAGACTACATTTTTAAGTGATTAGTAGTTATGTATCTTAGAGGGCATCTGAGATGACAACATATTGGCTATTGTAAAGAATCGCTCCTTGAGTTACAAGAAAACCATTTAAGATAAATAAGTAATGTATTTAATTTATTCTTACTTAAGTAATTAATTATAAGGGTTACCTTTAGAACAAAAAAGTATTCTTTGCAAATAAGCAAATCAACTTACAATAATCTTTGATCTTACAGTTCACAACACACTAAAATTGCATGCAAGTAAGTAGTACTTTCCTATTTTTAAAACTATATTTGAAGTGCATGTTGATGCGAAAGAAGTAATTTGGCAGTGGTAGGTAGGCTCTGCCTGAGTCAAGGCTCTAACCATATAGGCTCGGTCAAGGATTTTGCTTTCTTGGTTTTCAAATTAATATCCCCGAGAAATACTAAATAGAAAATTGGGCATGGAGTGGTGCAGACTTTAACATTTTCTTTAACTTTATAAAGAATGTTTAAAAGGCTGTTTACAAAAGACCATTTAACAACTGCTGCTCAGCTACAATTGAAATATATTAATTTGAGGCACGCATGTGGCACTTTCAGGGCCTCCTTCCAAATAGAATTTTTCAGGCAGACTAAAATTGCACTCTTCTCAGACTCAGCCCACTTGAAGTAAAAAAAAAAACACCAGCAAGATAGTAGGTGTAAATGACTAAGAAGGGGCCCTAGGGGACGATCTGAAAAGTGAAAGATTGGGAGCTCCACGCAGAATGTCTTGATAAGAAGTCTAGACTATCTGTAATTTGCTGATTGTGAAGAAAACGAGATTATTAAGAAACCGTGAAAGCCAGCAGCTACAGGAGCACAAAATGCTGGGAAGCCTGGGATAGCACGAAGAAACAGAGATTCTAATACCCTTTTACACGATGGTCCATGACCCTACGATACCTCTTTACACTATCGTCCATGACCTTGAGTGACGTTGAGGAGTGACTCCTACCACAGACACAGAAAAATGTAGGAGCAGGAGGGGGACAAACACCTTTAAGTGCCAAAAGGGAATTGTAAAAATAAGAGAAGAGAGAAACCACTAAAGTTCTTACACCAATATCTACAAGTTCTCACCCAGAGTGAACTGAGTTGAATATTACAGCACAAGACCAGCAGACAAATTGTGAATAATTTTTTAAATTATTGATTTTAACCTCACTATACTGAATAAAACGTCAATTATATCACCAAATCTCTCAAGCCTCTGCTGTGTATTTTCTTCCTAGGGAAATACACTTAAGCAGACAGGGCACCTCCCACAAAAGATTCAAATTAGGAAGAATGGGTCAGTTTCAGGACTTTAACCAGATCCCTTTTGATTGCTTGGAACATTCCTTAAGAATCAGGGCTGCTCCCCAGCCCACAAGGGGCTTTTGTGTGAACTAGAAGAGGCATCCTCTCTGCAAGTGCACACGTCTTGGCGAATAGGCTGGCCCTTGTGCAACTTAGAAAAATGCATTGCTGTTTCCAGTTGGGCTCCGGGCAGCTGAAGAGATGAATGAAGTAGCACAGGTTATGTTTCTGCTTCATTTACTCTTTTGGCCCGGTTGTCTTGGGCCATGAACAACCTGCACAACTTGGGGAAATCACTCTTTAGTAGTTTAGTTACCAGATGTGTGACATGAACTTATATGTTTGACCTGAATGATTGAGTAGGAAAGATTAGACAACCGGGTAAAGAAGTAGTTAGTTACAGCTACCTTAGCAAGGCACTTGTTATTAATAGTTATTTGAACCCAGTATTGTCAGAGCTTACATCAGAAAAAGTTGATTTCTTCCTTGCTTATTATTTTTACTAAGAGTCAAGAAATCAGATATAAAATAACCCATAGTAGAATGAAGCATTAAAACACCATAATTAACATTGCCTTCCTCCATAGACAAACATAGTTGGAAACGATTAGTCATGATGGCCTCAAAAGCCACCCCCTTTATAGCAGGGCTGTAATCCCACTAATAGCAAACATGAAGTGACTTTTCCATTTCTTCCTGGGCCCACCCCTCTAGCAGGCACGTTTGTTTTACTGGTAACTGAATCAGCATCTTGGAAAATTGTCTGACAACAGAATATGAACTCACTGCAATATTGTCAATGACCTTGCTGTTTTACTCCCCACTATCCCCTCACTCCCACACCCTTCCCACGTAAGTACCAGTGTCCAAGTATCCCAGAAGCAGTGAATGGATGCTAGGAAACTTGCAGAGTCTGTGAGAAATAAGGCAGAAATCAGGCCCCCTTGTTCATTCCAGCAACACCTCAGCGATCACCTGGCAAGGTGTAGGCCTCTGCTGATAGGATCTGACCCCTGTGGAAGGGCTGTGAGTATTAGCAAGATTCTACCCCAGCCAAGGACACAGAGGAAGAGGCATGGCAAAGAGGAACACAGGAGGAGAGCTAGGAGGAAGGCATGTCCGGGTAGGTAAGAAAGGCTGCAGATGCCCGCTTTGGTCATCCAGCATGAGGATCTAGACCAGAATGGCGAGCCCAGCTTCACAGGAGCTTACATGTGACCCAGGCTGTAGAAAGTCACAGCAGCATCTTTTAATTTTACATGAACAAAATCCTGCCTTGAAATGACTTTAAATACCTCAAGATATCCTCTTAAAAGAACTTTCTCTTCAAGGAAAAAAAATACCCCTTCTTACCTCAATAATATACAGGACCACGTTCTTATAGAAGCAGTACAAGATGCACTTGGTCACCCGGTTGTAGCTCCAGGCTCCATGAACCAACAGAAGCTTCTCTAAGTAGGAAAACTGAAAAAGGAAAATTACAAAGCTCAGAAGAGCCCATCATTGAGGAATAAAAGTCACAAACAGAATGTCCTTATGAACAGAAGTCAGATAATGTAGGTAGAGGAAACCAGATTCCGCAGGAATCTCAGAAAACCATTCTCTGAAGACAGAGCTTTCAGGCCCAGTGAGAACAAGTAAAATCCTTCTTGAAACTACATTATTATTATTTTCCCTAAACATACTGCTGGACTCCTAATTGTTATTCTTATGAAATTCTATTTAAACAAATGCTTTTTTGTAATTGAATTTTAAGTTCCAGGATACATGTGCAGGATGTGAAGGTTTATTACATAAGTAAACATTTGCCATGATGGTTTGCTGCAGTTATCAACCCGTCACCTAGGTTTCAAGGTCTGGATGCATTAGTATTTAATCTGATGCCCTCCCTCCCCCTGCCTCCCCAACAGGCCCCAGTGTGTGGTGTTCCCCTCCCTGTGTCCATGTGTTCTCATTGTTCAGCTCCCACTTATAAGTGAGGACATGTGGTGTTTGGTTTTCTGTTCCTGTGTTAGTTTGCTGAGGATAATGGTTTCCAGCTCCATCCAAGTCTCTGCAAAGGATATGATCTCATTCCTTTTTATGGCTGCATAGTATTCCATGGTGTATGTGTATTGCATTTTCTTTATCCAGTCTAGCACGGATGGACATTTGGGTTGATTCCATGTCTTTGCTATTATGAATAGTGCTGCAATAGGGATTAATTATTAAACAAAGGTGAGCTACTAAACTGAAAGAAAAGTACAGTGGAAGTCAGATATCTCTAAGCAAACACAGATTTTTTCAGTGACAAAAAGAGCAAGGGACAGGGACACTCACACAATACAGTCTTGTTTAAAAGAAAAGTACACACAGGTGCACATACACTACTTCCACTAACAACTGCGTAGTTTAAAAAGTTACACACACATATAGACACACACGGATGTACACACATAGATACACAGAGACACATAACAGGCACAGATAAACAGACACATACAGGCAGACACACACACCTAGACACAGAGATAGTGGCACACAGGACAGAGATACACAGAGACACACATACACACAGACACACATACATAGATACTCATACAAATACACATGTACACATAGATATACTAAGACACACACACACTTTGCCTCCACTTCTTGACCCATTTTGTCTTCTCCTTTTTTGCCTCCAACCAGTACAGAGCCCCTCTGGCCAGAGTGCTATGCAGTCAGGGGCTGCTGGTGGGTCCCAAGCTGGGAGTGATGTGATGGCTCCTGTGGTTTGAGTTGGAGCCATAGATAATCCAGTAACATTCAGGAATCCTCACTGGGGGAGGGGGTCTCTGGACACCACTCAGATCGTATCTCCTCAGCCACCCCTTAGCCTGGCTTTGCCTTCTGTGTGCCGTTTCATAAAGGTCCCAAAAAGTGTAAACCTTGCGCTGGAGGGAGGGAAACGAGTTTCTCTGGTCTGGTGCGTGGTGTCCTGCTCTGGCATAAATGTGCCGTTAGCTGCAACCCTGTTTACATCACGTTTCTACACATTTGATATGCCTTACACTGGATTTGAGTTCCCTCTTAGTTCCCTTGCATGAAAACCTTAATGCCTCCTGTTCTAAGTCAGAGTGTCAGTAAGTCCACAAGCTTGAAACCTATTACACTACTAGGAGAGACAAGCAGGCTGTATTGAGAATGCCCAGGACATTAGAAATTCTTTTGCAGTTATATACTTCTTATTAATTTCAGATGACTTTGGAAATTAAACGTAACTCTCAGCTGGGCACAGTGGCTCACACCTGTAATCCCAGCACTTTGGGAGGCCAAGGCGGGCAGATCACCTAAGGCCAGGAGTTCAAGACCAGTCTGGCCAACGTGGTGAAACGCCGTCTCTGCTAAAAATCCAAAAAGTAGTCAGACGTGGTGTTGGGTGCCTGTAATCCCAGCTACTCAGGAGGCTGAGGCAGGACAATCACTTGAACCCAGGAGGCGGAGGCGGAGGCTGCAGTGAGCCGAGATCCAGCCACTGCACTCCAGCCTGGGCAACATGAGTGAAACTCTGAATAAAAAAAATAATAAATAAATAAATAAATAAATAAATTAATTAATTAAATGTAACTCTCAATAGAAAAGAAATGACCAGACTGAAAATACAATACTTAAACAAAAAATTTTCAGGAGGAAACTGCATAATAATCTCCATTAGCACTAAAGAAAGGACTCCATCCTAGGTGGAGTCCCAGCTCAGCATGTTCTTCCAGGAGGTGAGGGGAAGGCGCGGGGCTCACCACGCATTCGGAATCTAAATCATCGCTTCGAAGTGGCAGAAGTAGGTGCACATGGAAAAATAAAACTCCCCATAAAGGCTCATTAAGGATTCCAAAGGGGAATGGGAAATCATAAAATAACTAGCTAAACAAATAAAAAGGAAGTTTGTATTTGACCGGGACCCCCTGATGTTAAACTTCAATGGGCACAGAAAACATCTGCTTGAGTCATCCTGAATGCCTCAACTTGAGCACTACAGTGATTTGTTTTCAGGAAAAAAAAATGTATATTCTAAATCAAAATGCTGTCATCATGAGGTCGTTCTGAAAACATTAGGAGGGCAGGGGGCAGGAATGATTCTCCCGAGGAGAATGGAAAGCCAAGGGCTAGGGGAGCACCATGACTCAGCGACGGCAGCAAGGTTGCTCAGGACAAGGCAGCTGAAAAAGGACGGCGCTCGGTCTTGGGCTGCCCATGTGCATAAAAGCACAAGGTAGGCAGGGAAGAAATAGAACCAGAGCTTTGCCCACTTCGTAACTTTCCCAAGGTAAGTCTTTGAGCTAACATTTTTTTCTTTCTGAGTATAATAACCCTGAGGGTACTTCCTCCGAAGCGTAATAAAAAAAATGCATCCACATTAAAATGAACAGATAAAGCCCAAGGCGATAAACAACCAGAGATGTTTACCATTTCAAGAGAGGCAAAGAAATTCATCAAGCTGTGGCTTTTCTGGCATGGTGACTAAGGTAGAGGCAGCATGTTGGTTGGTGCAAAGGTTATGAGGTTAGCAGGAACCTGCCCTGAAGTAACAGCATCCCCACCTAATCGGCAATAGGACCATGGACAGGAGAAATGAGGGTGCACAGAAACATGTGGGCTGCATCAGTTCCTTTGGCAGAAGTGACTATGATGCTGGAGGGGCAAGAAAACCCCCAATGGCGTTTTAAAGCCTCGCTCCCTGCTCCACCCTTCTTTGACACTTTTAATTTGAAGAGAGCAATTGCTCTGGATAACACATCCTATTCCTATGCAGTTCCAGTAAAGCAGGTCATGGGATCTCCCTTCCCTAGACATTTTAAAGAAAAAGACAGACAAATATTTGCCTGGAACTCCTAGGAAACCTCTTAAGATCCCTTCCAGCCATATGATGTTATAACTCAAGTATTTAATAATGCTGGGGTGTATAACATCTATAGTTGCTGACAGACTACAGGAAGTGCGAGTCCCACAGGCCTCAAAGCATTTGACTCAGGAAAGTAAACAGGCAGGTGTGCGTGGGGCCGGCCCCCAAGTTCACACTCAGGTCCGTTGTTTTCTGACCCCAAGATGCTTGCTTGCTTGGACCTGATGTAAGTCACCTGATACGAAGGAACCCCGGTTTTCCCACCTATAAAGTCAAGATTCCTTCTCTTACCTACTTCAGAAATTATCTTGAGGATTTATTTGAAATCAGCAAAGGAAGAAGATTGATTGCATGCACTTTTCAGAGCCAGGAGGATTTTGTAATTTCTCCCTGCATCTGCAGAACTGTGAGCTGAGAAGAAACCTGAGAGGTGATCTAACACAGAGCCCCCGCTTTGGAGAGGTGGAGCCCCAGAACTGCAAAGGACTGGCCTGAAGCCCTGGGGCTATAGGAAGCTCCTTCACATTTTATATGCAGCACCTGATTTCAGGTTGAAGGGGTGTGTAGCCATTTTTCCTTGTGTTCATGTGATTAAGGTGAACACATTCTTCAAACACCTCAACACCGTAGAAACACAAGGGAATTCCTGCTACCCAGCCGATGAGCAGGCATCTATTCATGATGTATCGCAATCTGGAGACAGAGGGACAGGCCCTGCATTCGCTGTGATGTCTAGGTTTTCTGGGTGATCCAGCAGGCCAAATCATCTAGATATGTAACCGCCCAAGGGATTCACCTTGCCCACTGCCTAGACAGAGCCGATTCATCAAGACAGAAGAACTGCAGTAGAGAAAGAGTAATTCATGCAGAGCCGGCTGTGAGGGAGACTGGAGTTTTATTATTACTCAAATCAGTCTCCCCAAGCATTCGGGGAGCAGAGTTTTTAAGGATAACTTGGTGGGTGGGGGTAGCCAGTGAGCCGGGAATGCTGATCAGTCAGGGAAGAAATCATAGGGAGTCAAAGCTGTCTTCTTGAGCTCAGTCAGTTCCTGGGTGGTGGGGAGCCACAAGATTAGATGAGCCAGTTTATTGATCTGAGTGGTGCCAGCTGATCCATCAAGTGCAGGGTCTGCAAAATATCTCAAGCACTGATCTTAGGAGCAGTTTAAGAAGGTCAGAATCTCGTAGCCTCCAGCTGCATGACTCCTAAGCCATATTTCAAATCCTGTGGCTAATGTTAGTCTAGTCCCCAGGCAAGGAGGTCTGCTTTGGGAAAGGGCTGTTACCATCTTTGTTTAAACTATAAAGTATAAACTGAGTTTCTCTCAAAGTTAGTTCAGCTTACGCCCAGAAATGAACAAGGACAGCTTGGAGGTTAGAAGCAAGATGGAGTCGGTTAAGTTAGATCTCTTCCACTGTCTCAGTCATAATTTTGCAAAGGTGGTCTCAGATATGCACCCTACGGGTTAGGAAATTGGCTATCTTCCTTCACCTTTGGGCTATCATTACGGAGTGGACCTTTCTTTCATCCTCAGGCCACCAGTGCAGTACAGCACATCAGGAGCCCTGGCATGCGAGGCTCGGATCAGCCTCCGCTGGACTGAACTTGGCCTAACTGCAGGAGGCTGATTGCTACTGACCATGGGGTCATTATGGCCCAAACCCAGCTCGTGCTCTTGGCAATTCACCTCACAGGGGTGGTCCTGGACAGCACCCCTCTCATAACTACAGAGAAGGCGACAGCTGTAATCACTGCTTCTCCCTGACCTTAAGCACCTAGCCAGGGGGTGTCCCAACACCTTTGGGAGGAGTGAGACTGGAACAGGATTATAGAGAAAGGCTGTCATGAGCACAGCTGTGCTTCAGCAGGCAATGCAGCAGAAAAAGCCATGCAGCAGATGCAGAAGCTGAAGGTGAGAGGTTATTATTAGCAAGATCAGAGACCTATCTGCCAGGAGCAGCACCTTGCCTGGATCACAGAGCAGCTTGGCCAACCCCATAGCTGGCCAGAGAAATCCAATCAGCAGGACAGGGCCTCCAAACTGCACAAGATCACAACTACAGAGAATTCCAAATATCCCCGGGGTTTCATCTAGACAGCAACCTCAAGAGGGGTGGCAGAGGTTTGGAGATGCACTGAAGGTTAAACGCCAGGTCCTCATGCCCAGCTATCATCTCTCAACAGGACAGGGCAGCTGGACGCCCAAGCTGCTGACCTGTGCGATGGCGTAATCCGAGTTGTTGGTGGCCTGCATGCCTTCATTCCCACTGATTCCCACACCCACGTGGGCTGTCTGGATCATCCCGACATCGTTGGCGCCGTCTCCGATGGCGAGGGTGATGGCCTTCACCCGCTTCTTCACCACATCCACTATCTCAGACTTCTGCAGAGGAGACACTCTGTGAGAAAAGAGAGGGAAATCAGAGCTATGCATGTCTTTCCAGAGGAAACAGCTGTAATCTACATTCCGCTGCATTAAAAGGACAGTTACTGGACGATCTCCAAATTCAATACATCCATTTTATGCTCATGTGCAAAGAAGCTTTCAGAAAACAGTAGCTTGTGGCTTTCAAGTATTTGCCAACTTCTCAGATGAAATATACAACAGAAAACTAACTTAAAACACAGCCTATTTGTAATCACTCTGCTAAGTGGGAGGCATCTGCACAAACTCCTCGGGGGTACGTGTGCCCTGCTGAATGATAAAGGAAGTCAGTCTAGTTACAGGGGTCTTCGGAAATGTCTTTCCAATAAATCAGAAAACCAGCACAGACCTCCTTTTGCTTTATGGTACATCATATACAACCTAGGGCTGGCAAGGGAATTTTCTGTAAAATCTGCTTTTACAGAAGGGAAAGGAAATTGGCAGGGCATGATAAAGTGCAGAAAGAAGGCTGGGGTAAGAGCAAAGAAAAAAGACTTCCCTACATCCGCCCCAGAAAATGAAGCTGTGTTTGAAGGGCAGCCAAGGCAGAGGATCTAGGATGGGAGTCAGGGAGTGGAAGTCTCCCCTTGTTGAGCCATGCAGAAGCACAGCCCTAAAGGGGGCAAGAAGATCAGCCCCTGCATAGGAAGGGTTCTTTCCACAAGGAATCCAAGATGGCGGCCAAGCTTTCCTAAGTCCTCAAGTCGTCTGGGAAGAGGAGCCAGTATAAATCTGTGGGGTCTAAAGCAGAGGGGTATTCATGATAATGAAGTGCTTATTCAGAGTGTAGACCACAAAACACAGCAACACGAAGCAAAGACTAGCATCTCAGGACTGAGTGACTCTACATTCTGAATTGGTAAGCTGATGCTTGATTTGCGGGATTTACAGGTAAGCTTTTGGATCACTTAAACAGCACTTGCCCCCCCACCACCCCCCCCCCACGCCACCACACACACAGAATAAACACAAAGTAAAAGATTTTTCTGGATTTCACAGAGGTCTACTGGCCACGCCCACATATGGACTTCACGCATCAGCTAGAATGGACACTCAAAGATTTGCCCAGTAAGAACTTCAACAGCTCCTAGATGGTCTCTACCCACAAAGATACCTGTTCCAAACAGAAAACTGAAGTGCTACCTGACATCTCATTCTACCAACTTGAGAAAGAAATGCATTTGGCGAGACAGCAAACTGAATGTAGAACCATGTAAAAAGCCTTTGCTCAGTGACAAAGATAAAAATTAGAAAGTTAGAAAAACATAATGAAAGGACTTTAGGAGCTGGGTTGCACAATCTGATATCCCTTTTAGCATTTTCACAAGGGTTTGCAATGGCAGCAATTCGATGCCTCCTGCAGTAGGTGCGACCACTGCAAATTATTATTACTTTTTTGTTGTTACTGAGCATACTTAAGAGTACTAACTCTGTCATTTGGGGCTAAATAGGAAAAGTCTAACTTCTCTTACAAATATATGGAAGGCTGAAATATAAAAACAGCTATCACATCTTTCCTCCCAAAGCTCTGTTGCTGCTTGCTAAATATTCTCAGGTTCTTCAACCATTATTTAATAGGCATGCTTCAGAACTTAAAAGATAGCCTCCAAGTATAATCTTTTAGGCAACTGAGAGCAGAATAGAACAGAATCACCATCTCCCTTGTAGCAGATGCCAGATTCACTTTAATGTGGCCTAAAAGAAAGTTACTGGAGCTTTAACACTGCTTATCAATGAAGCCTCTAGTCAACTCCACATAAGCAATTTTAACATGAAGGGATATTAAGCTGTATCTATTCCCGCCTAGTTTGTGCAACTGCTACTTAAAGCCAAGGGCTGATCTTTTTGGCAGAGGCAGCCCACAACTGTAACTGGCTACACAAAAGTGATTTCCCATTTTGTTTTGAAACTCCACAGAACCACAGATCAAATATAGTTGGAGAAAACAACCTGGGAGCCACAGTTAAAGGCCTGAGTATGACATTTTCCTGTGCACCACACATTGACCATTTAAGCAGGGAAAGGAAGTCCATGAGCCCCTGCTTTTCATGAGTGGGATCAGGAAAATGAGAACCAGCCACCTCATGGGATGGTTGTGATGTATTAATGTGAAACCACTGTGTTGACTAGCAAGTATAAAACAATTGCATCTCACACTCCACCTAGCATAGGATTATGTGAAACATCTTAACTGTTGGAAAAACAAAACAAGACTGGACACCTCTGAGTAATGCATGCCATCAGACTTGTGGTTCCCAACTGGGTGTGCAGGTGCCCTGGGGATGCTGCAGCAGAAATTTTTTTAATTTTTGAGGGAAATACAGCAATGTCTCTCAGGTAACAGTGCAAAATACTAGCTGGAAGTAGCTCACAGTTTCAACAATAAATCACACTGCATCCCTTTTCATGATATGTCGTTGTGAAGCTGAGCTCTCGTGGCGGTGATGATAAAAAGCAAATGCCTTGTGAAAATCAATGTGGAATAGGAAATGAGCAAGGCAGCAGCTATGCTTACCCTAAAGTTCGAGAAGTCGTGCAGCGCTCAACAGGTAAACAGGTACATCACCACATGCCATTGTCAACAGTAATGATTATTTAATGATGGAGGAAATAAGGATTATTTCTTTCAATGTATGTCTTTCAATGACATTATTGTTTCAAATGTCTGCTAAGTTGTTGGGTCATAAATACTTCTTAAATTATTTGACTTTACCTACTTAATAATTAGAAACTTAAGTTTTCCTTTTGGTCTAAGGGCTGTGCAAAGGAATTGCTGAGACACTGAGGACATAGTGGATCTACAGTCTGGATTCTTATGATTATATTAATCACTCTTTAATTAAAATCATTCATTCACTGAGGTGGAACCTCACTAAGGAGGGCATCACTTAATCTGCAACTCCTCTTATGCATCCATGAAAGTATCACAAGAGAGCGTAAAACAGGAACTTAAACAGGACTCAGCAGGCCTGAGGCTGCGACTCCTCCTTAAGTCCGTATGTCACCCAACTGATCAAGAAAGCTGGCCTCTCCATCAGCAAATTCAAGGTGGTCTGGAGAGAAAGGAAGCCCACAGGCAAAGGCTTGGCCACTTCACACTGCAGGGGTCGGAAAATCTCAGGAGTGGAACAGGGAAGGACCTAAACAGACCCGGGTTTTTTTTGAGGTTAAAGTTGTTGGTTTTTTGTTAGGGAGGTTAGCGATAGGCCAACCAATGGGAAATGAGGAGCAAGTCAAATAGACTCACTGGGCTTGCCACTCTGGGATTTGGATCTCAAGTAAGTCAAGTGAGGATTCCAATGGCTTAAAGTACAATCTATGAACATCCAACAGCTGCCTTTCCCAAAAAGCAAAAATAAGGAGAAAACCTGACCAGGGTATATAAAGCAAGTCATACGGTAGTATTTTAGGAGCATGAAATTCTCATCAAGGATTTATTATGCCCTCAGCTGTAATGCCTTGAGAAAACATAATTCTAGCACACACTAGGGGTTCAAAACAGATGTCCAACAGCTAATTTCTACAGAAATGAAGAGGCACCACTCCACTTTAGCCATATGCAGTATTTTAGTATACCAAGTTGCCAGGAAGCACAAGCCGGCTGTTTCTTAATCTTAACTTGTGACCTGGAGTCACATGCCACACTTAATAAGTATTCCCAACATATAATAATTCAACCTATAAAATAAAAACCCCAGACCACAGCTGACCCAAGCTAGGTGCTTGGGGGCACTTCTTTAATCCTATTTTGGTGTATTATGAATAGAAATATAAACCAAAAGCATTCAGTTGACTGGAGAAGTATTCTATCTGCTTTTTTGGATAACATAATAGATTCTAAAATGAAAAATAAGTTTTTCTTTTGAGACTTACAAAAATCAGTTCCTGGAGTATCTCATTTTATGGGACACATGTCCCTGAAATTTAAAAACTAGCTCTCTAACATTATTTCAAATATAACACTTTAGTGAAACCTTGGCTAACTGCTTTTATAGAACTAGTGATCATACACTAATTTATCTGATATACATAAACCCTGCTCTCAGAGTTTCTGATTCTGATCTTGCAATATCATCTGAACAAACCTAAGCAGATTCTTTACCTCCTCCGATCTTACCTGCCTGGTTGTCAAAGAGGGGCTGGATCTCGATTGTAGATTTGTACACTGAGCTCACTTGAGCCAGAGGGGTTACAAGGAACTCCACCCAGGAACCCCCTAGAGACCCAAAACACATATTAATTAACCAGACTCACAAAATTCTTTCACTATCTGGATTTGAAAACATCTTTATTACATGTAGCAGTCCTTATGACTAAAAGGAAGTTTGAAAACCACTGTCCTAGATCAATGAGTTTCCAACTTTAAGTGAGCATCGGAATCACCCAGAGGGATTGTCAAGGTACAGCCTCTGATCAGAAAGCCTGGGCTGGGCCTGTGAATGCGCATTTCTAACAAGCTCCCGGCTGCTGCCGCTGCTGCTTGTCTCTGGACCATACTCAAGTCACCAGCACTGGCCTAGACAATACCACAGGTTCTTTCTAGTAAAAATGTTTTCTAGCTAAGCTTGAATTTCCATAGCATAAGATACATACAAAATTTCCATAGTGACAGTTAACAATTACAAGAAACACTGAATCTTATCCCCTTTCTTAAAGTTTTGCATATGTAGGTTTTTCTTCTTTGCTTTTAAACAGAAACCCAGAAAGTATACATTTTATTGGTATTTCATTAAAAATATTCTTTTAATCTGAGTGTCTCAAATAAGAAGGTGGTAGGGGCAAAAACTAACCGAAATACAACAAACAAGACTTCATAAGTTGTTTTTCGTAATGACACAGAAACCAACTTATCAATACCAAGCCTAAAATACATAATATTTAACTATAAAATAAAGTGCTCCAATATATCAGAAGATTTCAATTGGAAAAGTGTTCATTTTCCTGTTGAAAATACTATCCTATGAAAAGGATTTTCTTATTGAAATAGTTATTTAAATAAAATATAACATCTTCTTTTTCATGGCAGTCAGTCAAAAACTTCAGTACCTTTAAAAATCTCATAGCTTAATTAGATAGATATACAAACATGTGATATTTGAGTCTAAAACCTAAAATTAATTAACCAATCCTATTTATTAAATGCCTCCATGGCTGACCACATCCCTTCTGTCTACTGTGTTCTTTCTTCAGATGCATTTAGTACATTTGTGCAGGACACAACCCAGGTGTCCAGGCCTTCTGGACAGTCGTTCCCTTCTGGAACATCTGTGCTCGGATCCAAACTGTGCGGCTCCCTCAAAACTTAATCTCATGGCCCAGATTTTGGTATATTTCATTGTAGCCCTAAATTCTAAAAGTAGATAATTTGGGCAGCTTGGAATGGCCCCTGGAGCACAGTGGCAGATATAGAATTTGGGGTTGGGAGGGCAGTAGTGGGAAAGGATAGTGGCAGGAATGGGGGTGCATTCAGGCGAGCCCAATAGGTACCTGTGGGTTAGCTTATCTAGAGGCACAAAGAAAGAAAATTTCAACTCAATCACTCAATAGTTCTAAGGTAGATGTAAGTGCTCCCTCACTATAAAAGCTCCCTCACTATAAAAACTTACACATGGCGAGGAGCTGTAACTGAGGAAGCTGCAAGAGAGTGTGCCTTAGAGAGATGCAACAACGAAGGAAAGGTGAGAGCAGTTCAGTTTTTATTTCAAAGAATGCAGTGTTTGACCAAGAGGCAGCCTCACACGGGTTGGGTCTAAGGTGGGACGTATTTTGAAAAGCAAGGTGAGTGCTGACAGAGAAAAGAACAATCCATGAGCGAATGGGTTTCAGAGTGACTACGTGCACCCCATTGTTAAATGAGCCACAGGCACAGACTTTCAGGGATGAGCGTTTCTAGCTTTGGTTGTTTTTGCAGCAAAAAATTCTGGAAATCCTATGCCAGTATTTCCTCTAGAGATGAAGGTGTTATGGAGCCCCTCCCATGGAAGCATTTCTCGGAATCCTTAGACATTTCAAAACCACATCTGAATATAAAAGAGGGGATTTCCTACAAAATGTCATGTGACTTGAGTTAACATTCTTTCCCTAACGCCATCAGCTGCATCATGAAAGAGCAGACAGGTGACATAAAAGTTTTAAGAATTCACTTTTTAAAAAATTATTTAATCAGTACATTTCTTTCCATAAACTATTCAACATAATTGGTTATATCCATCATGGGGGAATATGTTTTTCTCTCTAACCTTCACAAGGACAGAGATGACATCTTTCATTTCTTTTCTATCCCTCCCTTTCCTCACCCTTCTCCAAATGTCTAATTTAAGATTTGTACAGCAGACATTCAATAAATGGTGACTAACTACCAAAATCATGATTCCAAGACTAGCTACATCTCCACCCATAATTAAGCGTAATAGAAAAAAAATACAGTTCTATTTAAACAAAACTATCTTAACTTTCATATAAACAACAGACCTAGGAGCAGGCTATTAGTGTGCAATTCTGAAAGCCTATGCACAGATGGAGAGGATGAAAGGAATACATAAATGACTGGCCACCTCTGTGAGATCTAAATGCATCACTCATGGAAAGCAGATAAAAACAGCCCACTTGTCCTGTGATTCAAGAGACAGATATCGTTTGCAAACTTCCTGACCAACATGCTAGTGGTCTTGATTCTATTTTCTACAAATATCCTTAAAAACATTCTAGGCCTTCTGGGACAGCTTTTTTTTTTTTTTTTTTTTTTTTTTTTGAGACAGAGTCTCACTCCATCACCCAGGCTGGAGTGCAATGGAATGATCTTGGCTCACTGCAACCTCCGCCTCCCAGGTTCAAGCAATTCTCTTGCCTCAGCCTCCCAAGTAGCTGGGATTACATGCATGCACCTCCACACCCAGCTAATTTTTTTCTTTTGTATTTTTCATAGAGACAGAGTTTTGCCATGTTGGCCAGCCTGGTCTTGAACTTCTGACCTCAGGTGATCTGCCTGCCTCGACCTCCCAAAGTGCTGAGATTACAGGCATGAGCCATCACACCCAGCCTTGTGACAGCTTTTAATGACACATGGCTGACAACAATCTTTGTCCTTACAAAGGGCTCTCCTGGGAAAAGCTAACACCTAAGCTTAGTTTTTTTTCCTGGCCTCTTTAGATCATAATGCTTCAACTATTAAAAGCTCACCCCCAGCCCCTGCATAACACCTCACAAAAGCACTTTGAAGGCTTAATAAATACCAGCTTACCAAACATTTACAAGTAGTCTTGGGGGTGCTGCATGATACAAATCATCCAAACAAATTATTTATATTTAATAAATAATATATAAGGTATATATATACCTTATCATATGTGTGTGTATATATATATACTGTGCTAATATATATTATATTTTATATACATATACTTTTTTTGAGACAGGATCTCTTTATGTTGCCCATGCTGGTCTTGAACTCCTGGTCTCAAGCGATCCTCCTGCCGCAGCCTCCCAAGCAGCTGAGGCCGCAGGTGTGCATCACTTTGCCCAGCTTAGCTCAACCACCTATTTGCTCTTTGTGCAATGATTTAAGCCTAGAATCAGATTCCACCACAATAGAATGCCTCTGTAATATCTTTGCACTACAAATGACTATTTAACACAGTGCCCAGTAGAATAAGGATTTAACTTGCTGACTGACTAATATGACAAACGTATATCTCATTATTGGTGATAAAACATGCATGACTTAATGACAAACCCTGATGCTATCCAGCCACTCTTGAGAAATACAGGTCAACACGCTCCAGGATTTGTTGAACAAGTAATGTAAGAGCCCAGATGTACTGACGGTATTATTTTGGTATGGCTGAAACATGTATGTTTTGATAACATCCACCATATTTTGGCAATACCAGGCATAGGTCCTTTCCTTTCAGTGACACTGCAGTTGAACAGGTGCTAAGGTCACAACACCAGGAGTCTCTGCAAAGGTGAGGGGAGAGGCAGGCAGCTGTGCAAGCATCTTGCTTTTTATCTTAGTGCTGCAATTCCATGGTAATTTTAGGAATTTAACACATATATTTGAGCATATATTAAATTGTGGAAAGCTTGAAATTTCCACAGCATTGTATAAGTACAAAAATTATTTAACAGGGTATAAGTATCATTTCTCAAAAATACTAAGGTTAAATGTTTCCATATTCCAAAAGAGATTCTTTATAACTCAACTTTCAAAAACAGAATTTGAGCTCTTCTTCACACTCCACAAATAAAGAGAGAGCTTTTAGAAAATATTATGTATGTTAATATGCTACTGCAAAAATACATTAACATTTACTAATAATTTCCTTGTTGTGTAAAGGGTTCATTTAACTCATTTTCAATATTTAATAATGATAGGAAGTTTAATTTTAATTATTTCAGTGTTATATGCACCTCCCAACATATACACACAAAATATAGTCTTGGTTCTTCTACAAGTCCTTTTAAAAGACCTTGAAAAAAATCTTGCTAGTGTCTTAAAGTGTACTGCACCTCTTACGTTGGATGTTAAGTCCTCAAATATAAAGAATTTTAAGACTAGCTATTCTGTTTACCTGAAGATACCTTTATATGGCGTCTAAATTCTGATTTCAGGCTCTAATAATGTCCTTGAAAACCAAAAATTTTTAAAGGGAAGAAGCCATAACAATTGATTTAGACATGAGGCATATATATGGCCATCTCTCTCTACATATATTTTACTGATCTTAATTACTACATGATGACTGGTGACTGCTTCAACATCCTATGAGCATTGTCTTCTTTGAAACAGGAGTTACAGGTCAGCTATCCTACAGTTGTTAGTGGTGAGGGCAACTTGATATTCTTTATTAACTGAACAAAACCCTTAAAACTCGATCCTGTACTCAAGCCATAAATGCTGCCTCTGCAGCTGAGACTTGCAGAGGGGCTCTCAGAAAAACAGGAGGACACCCTGTCTGCTCAAGATCGGTTTACTCCACAACTGAGAAAGGGCTCACTTTGAAATAAGGATACTTTGCTTGGGGGTTCAGAATTTATGCATCGGTACTTGCGTCTGTGACAATTTTATCGCATGTCCACAAAAACAGAACAATTAAAGTGGCATTCTGACAGGAGTCTAGCTTCTGAAAACCTGACATCTCTACTAAATGATGTGGAATGTATTAAGATCTGGGCAAGCGCATTTCATGTAAAAGTTGAATGGGTTGTATGTTGTGAATTATATACAGTTTTATAGTCACTGAAATCAACCGGTTATAGTCTGTCTCTTCCTGTACTAGACTGAAAAGAATGGAGCAGTCTAGGAAGGCTGGGATTTAAATAAAAGATATTAGATCCTTCTGTTCCCATGCTGAAACAGGGATTAGAATAACACATCTAAATACCTTAATGTTTTTAGCACAAAAAGCATTAATTTGATACTCTGCTTCCTTGAAATGCTTTATTAAGGCCCCCAAGACCCTCTCAGGAGCGTCTGGCTTCCTCAAAGTTAACATACATGTATTGTTCCCCACTGCACATTTTACTAGTATTTCAAAATAGTGTGCCTGACCTCTGCTGTGGGGAAGGTGGGAATAGGAATCAGAACTGAGAGGAAAGCTGAGAAGTGTTTGAGTTTTGACATTTCAGAGCAAACTTGTGACTCCTGCAGGACCAGGCATCGTGAGCTCATGCACGGCTGAAAATTAATGACAACGGAGATGCTTAATATATTGGATGGTTTTAATTAGGTCTGCCCTTCACCCATCACCTGTGCACAGAACAAAAGGTCATCTGATTACCAATCCCATATCTACACCAAACTGTAACTTCCTGCACTCTGGAAATAGTGGGTAGGCTATCCAGTTCTGACCTTCACCTCAGTCCTAATCCAAGCAATTAAGAGACCCCAGAGCCACAGGGACAGCAATGGCCAACACCATGTGTGCTTCACACTCAGGCAGGTAGTTTGCAGATTAATACTTCTCTCTTCCTCTTTCTCTTTCTTTCCCTTTCTCTCTCTCCCCCCTTCCTTCTTTCCTTTCTCTCTCTCTTTCTCTCTCTTTCTTAATTTGGAAGTGGAATTTCTTGGGTGGGAAAGGAGGTAATTTACACAAAGCTCTTTCTTCCAAGTAGCATACACACCTTCTAAAACCCAAAGACTGTTTAACAAGCCACTTATTCTAGATCTCAATAGCGGGAAATAATAATGCTTTACTTTTTCATGGTTATATGTGTAAAACTGTTTTAAAAAAACAGGAGTGGCATTCTACCATTCCAAAAATGGAACATGAAAATGACTTCCAGTGATTCTATATGTCTGCTAATGTCCTGGTGAATGGCAGAGAAAAGATGGACAAACGGATTTCAGATAGATGTGGTGGTGGTGGCAGGTGGATGAATATAGGTACATGGGGGCCTGCCTATAGAGAGGACATGAGCCCCAAGACATTGTGTATCCATAGAAGAAACACATTTTTATAACTAATTATAATAGTAGTTGACATAATCTAATGTAAAGGTTATTTTGCAACTTGCTTTTCTAATTGATTAATACCATCATAATAGCACTTCCTTGGACAAAGTCTGATCTGAAATGTGGTTGGCTATGTGCTTCTGTCTCCATAATTAGGCTACAAGCTACTTGGTGTTAGGGACTTGTTTTACTCCTCTTTAGACCTTTAGCATCATACACAATAGGTAATAAACAAATATTTGCTTAATTGCCCATGTTTTTGCAATGGTTTTTTGGACTTAAAACACAGCTCTTTTTTCTTTCTCCTCCTCAATTGTTTCCATTTCATGTTCAAGGACACACTTATCATATGAAATGAGTAATGATCATCTTGCAGTTTTTGATCAAAAGGGGTGAAAGATTAAGGCTATGAGTTTATTACATCCCCTGTTCAGAGAAGCCAAATCCCAACTTTTGACTCCACCTGGTAGCTATTCAGTAAAGAGTAAATTAACATGAGGACAGCCATGTTTATCAGGTTATCTCCTTTTGGAGGTTAACAGCGGCAACCTAAACATCAAGTATGGCATTGTGGTGGCTTCATGGGTGGGGTCAATACCTCCAACAACTGCCTCACTCACCTGGGCTGGAAGCTGCAGCATGGAGCCAGCAGGACCCTGTGCCTTCAGAATAGAGCTAGTCACTGAGCTCAGAAAGGAGATAAAGGCCAGAGTGAGCCAGACACACAACCGCTTGGATTGGGAGGGTACCAAAGGGGGAGTTGAGAATGAAGAAAGTTCCAGCCATGAAACTTGAGAAATGAGGGGTTTGGGGGTCAGGAACACATATAACAGGGGCTCTCAGCTGACTGAGAAAAGGATTTTACTTCTCATGCTGTAAAGGTCTTGAAATATCATGCCTGTGCCTTACAATTACACTCACTTCTCAGCCGAATATGGGAGTCATCAACCCAACTGCGACTGAGTGTGATAGAGAGAGAGGTTAAGGCAGTGGAGTAGCAAGCAGCTTGGCAGAGAACACCCTCTCTTCTAAGTGCGTGTGCACACACACACACACACACACATAGTATATCGTTACACTGAACTGGCACATGGATAGAATTTAAAGTAGTGACAACTTTGGTGTTGTAATCTTTTCCCCAAACCATGTAACAAAATGACCTGCCATCCACTTAGATGAGAGTGACTCAGCTTCCAGGGCACAGTGGCAAGTGCATGCTAGGTCTTGGGGCTCTGGTGATAGAAAGGTGAGGAAAGCACGCGTGTGTCCACTGGAGCCACAGGGAGCGATGCTTTTTCTTTTTCTCCTATGGCCATCCTCCCACAGTGGCACAAGGTCCAGACCAGATTCTGTGACCAATGGTCCGAGGTGATAAAAACCAACATGTGAGGAAAAGCCTTCATGATCCTGTGGGCTATTTGGAAAATTCCTCCCTCCTCCCACCACTCCATCTCCTGGAGAGTAGGTGTATTGTCTCCCTAGAGGTTTAGTGTATGCTGTGGGGAAGGAGAAAAGAACTCAGGCGTTGGCAATGTGTGAACATATTAATGAGGGGGAAGGGTGGGGAACGAATGCGCTGAGCGAGCAGGATTCAAGGGATGGGCTGTACAGGGGCTCCCTGCCTCTTCTTAACCAGACAGACCCCCTCCCTGGTCCTCTTTTTCCTCCTCTGTGAAGAGACCAATGAGGAGGATTTCTAATGTTCCTTAAGCCAAAGCCTATGCTTTTAAGTTGAAAACAAAAATATGGGATTCAGTAATAATAATGATAGGGCAGCAGCAAGTGCTGATTTCGCACATACCATTTGATCATCAGTAACTGGGCTAAGTGCTTTCCACGCATTGGCTGCTGTAATCCTAAGCACAACTCTGCAAAATTGGTGCTGTTATTCTCTCCATTTTACAGGTAAGAAAACCCAGCTCAGAAAGATTGACACAGTATGCCCGAGGTCACAACCTAAGAAGTGGCCAAGACAAGACTAAACACAAGCAAGTGTCTTCTTGCTCCAGGCTCCACACCCTCACCTACTCTGTTACATTCTTTGATTTCTTCAAAACACACATTTGGAAGCTTTCACATAATTCTGCTGAGCAACTGGGCCGTGGGTGGGAGACAGAACACAGGTACCACAGCTTCCGCTCCCAACACTGTAAGAATCCAGCAGAGGAGCCACAACCACACCACTTCACTCCAGCCTGGACGAAAGAGCAAGACCCTGTCTCAAAAAAAAAAAAAAAAAGAATCCAACAGTTACCTAATCCTCCAATTCACAGTTTTCTGCTTATAATATGGGGACACCGCCATTGCCATCTGCTTCACAAGATAACCATGAAAACTGAATAAATGATAAAGATGGATGAAAGGTGAAAAAACCTATCCTGGCTGCTACACCTGGAGTAGGAGCTGCTGCTGCATGCTATCCTGGAGCACCATCCCCCTGCCTCTGTGAGGACACCATCCAGGCTGAGAGCTAGTGCTGGCTGGGAGTGCCCTTCCCCTCTCAGCTCCTGGCTTTAAGGCCTCTCAAGGTCTTCAGGACAGAGGTGGGAAGAGAAACAAGAAGAGAAGAAAGTCTTGGCTGACGTGTCCCTGTTTGAATTTATCTCCCTTCCCTTCAAGTCCACTGTCTATGTGTCAAATTCTATATGGGTTTTTTTTTGAGACGGAGTCTTGCACTGTCATCTGGGGTTGGAGTGCAGTGGTGTGATCTTGGCTGCCTGCAACGTCCACCTCCCAGGTTCAATCGATTCTCCTACATCAGCCTCCCAAGTAGCTGGGATTATACATGCCCGCCACCATGCCCAGCTAATTTTTTTGTATTTTTAGTAGAGAGGGGGTTTCACCATGTTGGCCAGGCTGGTCTCAAACTCCTGACCTCATGATTTGCCCACCTCAGCCTCTCAAAGTTCTGGGATTACAGGCATGAGCCACCGTGCTCGGCCTGGGGTTTCTTTATATATCAACCTATTATATTATATTACATATTCACACTGAAATTATTACTCACTGAATATGAATAACACAAATAAGATAGTAAGTTCCTACAGGGAAAAGATTATGTCTTCATTTTTAAATTGCCCCTACATTCAACGGAATGCTTTGCACACAATGGCTACTGCCAATTTTGCCTATGTGAATCAGATTGCAGCAATAATGGGAACAGTTTTGATAAGCAGTAGGAGGGCCACAGGACACAGGTGGGTTTGGAGATGGAATGAATCAGGAATGAAGAAGGAACTTTGGCAGGGTCAGTATGCCTCCCTTTCTGTAGCTTTGTCCCTGGGTGAAGCTGGGAGCTACAGTGGAGAGGGCCTGCCTCTGGAGATGGAATTGTGATAGTACCATCATTTGTCTTGATTGATTAGAACTGTACATTTAGCTCATCCTGACCTGATGCCCTAAAACAGTATCAGCTGTTCACAAGAATAAATTACAAACATACGAATACATGCAACTGTCACAAACATTGTCTCCTCAAGCAACGTCAAACAGCAAAGTGATTCTTTTCCATTCATGTGCTGGAAGTAGTTTTTCCTCTTACTCTTACCTCCAACAACAACAAAAAACCCAAAAAACAAATCAGCAAATAATCCAATCAAGGTGCAATTAGTATAAGTGGAAGTCTAGAAACAGTGTTTCACTAAGAAAATTGACAGAAATTGACATAAAACAAATTTTGAAAAAGCCTATGTAAAATAACACCAGACAACTAACAAGTGAAAACCACAACCATCCACTCCAACAGAAGACCATTTTTCTTAGCCTAAAATCCTAATTTATATAATTATTCTCTATCATAATAATCTCTTTTGCTATATTAAAAAACAGAAGTACTTTATCTCTGAAATGATTCTTAAATATTATAAAAATTAAATTAAAAATGGGATTTTTTGCTTTATATTTGACTAGAACAATTTTTTAAAATGAGCTAACACCGCTCTGTTTTTTGACATCAGAAAATTCTCCAAGATTCCCTTAGTTACATGGGGCTATATTTGTGCTATAAACTTCTAACTAGAGTTCTTCTAAATTGAAGGTATTAATTTCCAGTCAAAGGAAAATGTTTCAACATTATTGAAAAGAGAGTTCTGACTGGCTTCCAAGAAGCTATTTGTAGCTCATATCAGTAAAACCTCAAAAAAAAAAAATCGCATACTTTTTTTTCCATTTGAAATGTTTAAAAGGTGAAGTTTTCCTAAAATGCAAACAGAAAGCCATTCCTTCCTGTAACGACAAATGCTGAGTCTGGGCAGCCGGCATAGTGGCATGCCTGTTCTGTTCAGGGCCAGGGCCAGTTCTTCTTCGTCAGTTTTCTATGTACATTTTAGGATTCTTTATCAGCATGTAATGAAGCTCAGGTCATTAGCAGAACAAAGAAAAATATATTAAACAACCCAGCTATGCAGATGGCAACAAACTAGTCAACCCACATAAATACACCAGGCAATTAAGGGAGATGTGCAGAGATAGCCTATGGCCTCCAAGGCGTTACGCAGTGATAAGGCAGGGCTATCCATCTTGACTGAACAAACGGTATCTGCAGTGCCTAACGGCTCATTGACTAAGTCACACAGACACCATGCTAAGTGCAAGGGGTGCAATTTCTTTGAAAGTCCTTCAGTGAATGAAGGAGAGGAAAAGCATACATGGATGTTGGCTTAATACACTTTAACAGTAATTAGGAAATAGCCATTTTCTATTTCTTCCAGATGCTATGTTAGTGATAGAAACAGACTTTTCCTTAACTCTGGGGCCTGCGTTTTGACATAAGTGGTGTTTGTCTTTTGGGTGCACCCCAAGCACTCAGGATACTGAGACCCTTCCACAATCAGGGAGCAACACATGGCTGTCATGTGGCTGCCAGTTCCAAAGACAAAATATCTCCAAGAGAGAAGCTGGGAAAGGACATCATTGAGCTAAGAAGCCATCCCTCCAGGTTGAGGATAATTTTCCCTCTGTGATCTCCCTGCAATACCAGCACCATGTTTGCTGTTTTCCCAGCATAGTCCTGGTGGTGTTCATCTCAATAGCTGGCATGGAGCTGGCACTCAGAGAGTATTTGTGGACTGACCTACCGCACTAGAATGAGATTCTCAAATTTGCAGCTATGCATTGCTGTACTCTGTAGAAAGGCAAACAGAGGACTGTATGCAACAAAGGGAGAGGAAGCCAATAACCACACAAGCCAGAGCGTCTGGCCAACATTCACATGAGTCAGCACTGAGCTGGGGGCTGGAAATAAGCTAGAAATGGCTGTATAAAGGATTGTGGGTCGAGCCAAAGGGCAGCTGTGGAACCACACCCTGTAAGTGTTAGCACTTGGTTTGTGAGCTCCCACTTCCCGGATTTCCCTGCCACTTTTGCTCATACAGTGTTCTTGGACGTGCTGTTGGCCACCAGGCTACCCTTTCTCTGATCAGCAGCGCCCCATGCCCACTCCTCCACTCTGCCCTGTCTGTCCCTTCTCTTGGCACAAGAGCTTAAGGGCCCAGCTTGCTGAAGGAGACCGAGGGAGGGCACAAAGACCCCACAGCAGCCAGCGCTGGTGGTGCCCCCCAGTACTCCACAGTGCAAGAGGGGAGAGATGACCTATTTATAAATCACCCCAGTAAAACCTGCTATCACACATAGCTCAAAGACACGCTAGAGGGTGGCAAGGAAAGGGAAGGAGGAGAGTTAGAAAGAAAAATCAGAGGAGCCTTGCCCTGAGCTAGTTCTGAGACCATGGATAGAGATGCTGAACTAAAACCAGCCAAAAAGAATCTGAGGTAGAGGAAACACTTTGAACAGAGTTTGGCAACAACAAAGTAGACTAATATCACATAATGCTTATGTGTGGGCAAACAAGCACTGGCCAGGAGTTAGAGGCTGCATTGAGCTATGCTTGCACTGCCACTGCACTCCAGCCTGGGCAACATAGTGAGACCCTGTCTCTAAACACAAAACAAAACAAAAAACCATGCAGTCAGCATATGTCCATTCTTCCAGAACAATACATTTTACATCTACTGCACTCTCAAGGACCTGCTGATGAACAATAAGCTAGTGACTGTGCCTATGACCTTGTCTATTTATCCATTTACTTTCTTAAGATAAATTTCTTTCTTTTTTTTCAGAGTCTCACTCTGTCGCCCCGGCTGGAGTGCAAGAGTATGATCTCGGCTCACTGCAACCTTTTCCCGGGTTCAAGCGATTCTCCTGCCTCAGTCCCCCAAGTAGCTAGGACTACAGGGGTATGCCACCACTCCTGGCTAATTTTTGTATTTGTAGTAGAGATGGGGTTTCACCACATTGGCCAGGCTGGTCTTGAACTCCTGACCCCAAGTGATCCACCTGCCTCAGCCTCCCGAAGTGTTGGGATTACAGGCGTGAGCCACTGCGCCTGGCCTCTTAGGATAAATTTCTTAGGATAAATAGCCAAGCTGCCTATTCAGAAGTTATGCACATGTAAAATTTGTATTCAGATTGCCTTTACGTAGGACTGCACCAATATATATGCCCATTGGTACTCTCTTGCCTTGGCCCCCCAAAGTGCTGGGATTATAGGCATGAGCCTGAGCCACTGTGCCTGGCCCTCACTACCTATTGTTGAATGAAGAAAGCAAATTACAACAGTACACGTAACAGTAGCATCCAATTTTAGACACATACTAGATGTATACATACATATACATGCAGTGATAAAACTTCAGGAGAAAATGATTTAGAAAGTGGTTATCTCTGATTTGGGTGTATTATTCCTTCATTTTATTATTTCTGCTTATATTATTAACATAGATTACTTTTGTAAAGAAAAAGCAAATAAGTTATTAAAAGCAGTGTAAATACAATTCAGGCCAGGCTTAATCCCAGCACTTTGGGAGGCCAAACTCCTGGGCTTAGGTGGGAGGACTGCTTGAGCCCAAAAGTTCAAGACCAGCCTGGGCAACATAGCGAGACCTTGTCTCTACAGAAAATTTTAAAATTAGCCAGTCATGGCAATCACGCCTGTAGTCCCAGCTACTCAGGAGGCTGAGGCAGGAAGATCGCTTGAATCCAGGAGTTGGAGGCTGTAGTGAGCCATGACTGTGCTCGGGTGATAGAGTGAGACCCTGTCTCTTAAAAGAAAAAAAAATCATAAAATAAAATAAATAAATAATAAAAACACTTCAAGGTTTCACTCAATTTTAAAGCTTTACAATCCTTGCCTAAAATGAAGCCATTTCAGTGATGCTACATTACAGGATATTTCCATCATAACTTTCCAAGTACAAGGTATTTGAAGAAGTCCTAGAAAACAAGATGTTGCCATTTCTTTGCACTGTGCCTTTACCCTTCTGGTAGGCACTGTAGCAGAGCTGCTTATTACAGTCTGGGGCCCTCAGGGCATCTGTTGACGAGGTTGAATTCAAAGTAAGCCAAGGTATGGGAGGTTGACTTAGTTACTTTCAAATAACCACAGAGAATCTCCTTGTAGGAGAATCAGGAAACCCACCAAATAAATCACATTTGCACAGTAAGCTAAATTTTATCAGGAAAATGGAGCTTTTGTCCACCAAAGACGCAGTACTAGCTGTGAGCCCACGGGCGCCTTTGTCATTGAGACTCCCAAGCTCTCTGTGAGTGCTCTGATACACTGTGGTGCTGAAAACCTCCAAGATTTCAGTTCCCTGTTGGACCCTGGACAGAGAACAACACAATCTCAGGCTTTAAACATGGCTATGTTGTCACTAGGAATACTTTAGTGAACTACACGTGTAATTCCAAAAAGATTCCTTTTTTTTTTCCCCAAGCAACTCTTTCAAAACAGAAGTTTTGTATACATCGAGCAGAAGAGGACTTTTCTTCGCAAGCTTTTTGATGCCCATGTGCTCGTATAAACTCGATGCCAAAACTACACATATGAGGTACCTGCCGACAGGGCCCCCAGGCTCCCCACACTTCCTCCCTATTACTGGAACACACTCATTTCTAGAATCCCATCACGTGGTGGGGCGAAGGGCCCTGCTGAACTGAAAGTATCTACGGTGCTCCCAAAGCTGGGCTGAAACCACCGGCCTTCGGAATGGGAGCCGGGCAGAGCAACATGGAAGCAGGTGGGAGTCAGAATCGGGGGGATAGCTGTGGGGAGGGAGGCTGCTTCAGTGTGGGGGTGGGCACAGTGTATGGCCCAAAACTAGAGACAGATGAGAGTAACCAAGGAAGAGGGGGCACTAGCAGAGGGAAACTGCCCACAGTTAGGGCCCGTGTTCCTGGCTTTGGTAACTACACACAGATGTGTACTATTTTATTTGGTCTCCTGAAAACTCTAGCGACTACTCTGAGAAATGCAGCCTGCTCTGCCTGGGTCAGGAGCTGCTTTCTGGACACCGGCCTGTCTTCCACACGAACTGGACCAGTGACCCTTCAGGGAGGACTTCACCGAAGTTCTCCTTACTGTGGCTTTAGAGGGACACAAATAAGTAAATAAATATTGAGACAATCAGATGATTTCTAAAGATGAACTTGGTTGTTTCGTATACAAACAGGAGCTCACATACATGCAAATAATTCTTCTTCTTCGTTTTTTTGTTTTGTTTTGTTTTATTTTTTAGAGATGTGGTCTTGCTATGTTGCCCAGGCTGGACTCAAACTCCTGGGCTGAAGCAATCCCCCATCTCAGCCTCCTTAGTAGCCAGGACTAGTGGTACGTGCCACCATGCCTGGCCAAATAATTATTTTAAAAACAAACTTAGATGTCAACAATTAGAAACTAAAGAGACAATGTGACAGTTATCATCAGGCATTCATTCTACTCTATAGTGACCAGAATGTCCCATTTTAACTTCCTTTCCAGTTTTAAAGAAAATCGGAAGGAACATGAGTTGGCTGCTGCCTGTCTACACCGCAGCCTTGGTCTGCTCCTAAGGCAAAGCTGTCCCACTCTTTCTTAAATTCCTCCCATCTCCCTTGCCCCAGGAACAGCCTAAGCTCTGTAGCTGCTCACTCAAGGGGCTTTCTGACTGCCCCCACCGAGCACAGCCTCCTGCTCTGACATCGATGTGACAATGCCTGCGTCATGATTCCCTGCTGCCTACACCCCCTCCTCACCCACATTCCCACTGCTCTGCTTTTCTCCAGACAAAACCTGCACCGCAAACTCCCTCGCATCTGGACTCCCCTCGGCTAACTTCAGCTCTATCCTGAAGACCACCTCCAGTGTCGTCTCCTTCCTGGCGGGGTCCTCTGATGCTTCTCCCATCTCCGTCAGGCCCTCCTTCCCCTCTGCCAGCTTCACTTCCCCCTCCTCCACTCTCTTCCCATCAGAATACTCAGCCCATGCCCAGAAATCACCATTTCCAGGCCTGTCTTCCTGGAAGGACTGATTCCTGCAAGGCAAAGGTCTGTTCTCTTCAGCGTCTGCAGTGCCTCCCAAATGCCTGGCCCACCTGCTGCCAAGAGTTAGAAAGTGTCAACTTTTATTTCACGGAAGACAGAAAAACAACCTAAGGATCCACAATTTCATGTTAGTCAAAACTATTCTGCTATCTGCTATCTCAATTGGCATTATAATTTCACTGTCCTCTCACTACAAGCCATGGTGAAGATACACATTTCACCTTTCAAACTTCATAGAAATGTCCACTGATTTTAATCTCCACATACTGTTATTGAAATGCCTATGTGTATATACATGGTGGTGATGGGGGGCACTCTTTACAAATACTAAAAACACTAAAATAAAAAGGAGAAAAAACATTTTGAAAATGCTATAACCCAAACCAGAATAACTGCTAATACAAACAGGCCCCTTCCCAAATGTAAGCGGGTCACAAGTAATGGCTCACCTCAAAGTGGCCGCAGCAACGCTGTTTACTCTCCATTTGGGGCTTAAAAGCATTTTAGTTGATGAACAGGCCCTGAAGCAGAAACATCTAAACCCATGCTAATGCCCAGCAGAGCAGTAACTTCTTTTGATTAATTTACCAGCACTGAAAGCACAAGAAAGAGATCAAACCGCGTTCTGCACTAAACAATTAAACAAGCAGCCATGCCTCCAGTATGGTGTGCATCAGGATGAAAGCTGGATGGGGTCGAATGAAAAAGCAACAAATATCTTACATTGATTAATGCTTATAAAATTTTTTCCCCTTAAATGTCATAACATGTCATTCAATGCTCGAACCAAAGAGCTTATGTAACATTTAAAACAAAAAAAGAGTTCCAAAAGCCTAAGAAAATTCAGATGTGTCCTGAGGAGAAAAATCAGGTCATTCCAAACACTTCTAAAGAACATTCAAAATACTTTGGCAGAACTCTGACCAATTTGCTGAAATATCTTCAACATGAAACAGCATGGGGGGAAAATCCTATCATCTCCTTTCATCGAAAAATAATTTTTCTGCTATGAGTGAAATTGTTCTTAATTTAAACTAGCCCATTCACAATGTCCAATACTATCTATATACACTGTTTTGGAAACCCAGAGCTTAAACAAATATGATGATACAAATATATCTCTACTTAGTAATTTTTTTCTCAAATTGGAATTTAAACCATATGGTGATTCCTAAATCAGAATGAACTACAAATGTCAGTAGTTAACCCTTATAGATTTTCTGAATGATTGGCTGAATGAATTTTTAAAACCCAATAAATGTCTTTGTAATAAAACAAAACTTATATACTTGTAGAAAAATATCTGAACAAAGCCAGCTAAAAACGTCAGCTTAGGAAAGTCAAACTTGGTGCATTTTACATCCCTGAAGAACATTTCTTGGTGATTCAATGTTATTTTAGTCAATGTGTTGGCATGTCTTTGGGCTACTCACTGCAACTCTGTCCTAATCTGTAAAATGGAGCTGATCCATACTTCGGGGGATTTTAAAGGTTAAATGAAATTGTTATCTATAAAGCACACATCCTGACATCCTGAAATTCTTCCCTAAACAAACCCCTCCCCACGCATTGTATCCCCAGGCGATGCTAAACCCCTTGCAGAGCTTTTGGTCTACTTAAGCACACCTCCACGTGTCTAACCCCTCCTCCATGACTGAGCTTACCTCCTCCACTCCAGCACGTACTGTTCTGTAAGAGTTATCAGGTATGTGGAAGACATGAAACAAACATGAATAAAAGGACCCACAGGATACCTTTTGCTACATCTGCCAAACAGTTCGAATTGAAGCCCTTTATATTTTCAAACTCTTATGTGGAAAGACCACAAAAATTTGGAAATGCGACACTGAAAACTGACTTCGCTACTAACCTTCCCACAATACTGTCCTCCTTATGAAGATGAGAGCCCAAGGAGCACGGCAGATGAGGCCTGTTTGCCTGCTCAAGCGCTATGGCTCTAACAGGCACGAATCCTCTATTATTGCTACTGAATAAATAAATGAATTGTAGCTAAGGTAGACCTAAGTTTCTACTGATCCCTCCTTCCAGTTTTCTTATATGTATACAGGAAAACAAAAATTTGCTATTTTAGATCTTTCCAAAGACAGTGACACCCTCCCTTAGAAAATAATTTAAAAACCCTTGGATGAGGTCAGGAAACACAAGGAAAAGGAGCTCTCACTTTGCAGAGGAAGCAGAGGCTCGCAGGACAGAACGACCATAGGCTCTGTGTTTCCCCACAATGGAGGGAAACATATCCTATCTAAGAAGCTTTGATCATGGGGATATTTTGAAAGCACGGGCCAAAAAGATGGAGATAATCTAGCACAATGTTTAACATAAAATTAAGAATGACCTATGAATTATTCCACACTGATTTTGACTCTGGTTATAAAAATTGGCTTTCACTCTGACCTGTTTATATGGTTCAGTCTTCAATGCACTTTTCTCTAA
The DNA here is from genome assembly GCF_000001405.40 of Homo sapiens. Classification (NCBI taxonomy): domain Eukaryota; kingdom Metazoa; phylum Chordata; class Mammalia; order Primates; family Hominidae; genus Homo; species Homo sapiens. The sequence goes on along the minus strand of NC_000013.11, from coordinate 25,746,755 downwards.
ACACTTCAGCTGGAATCAACAGATTTTTAGCTCTTGAGACGAGGCATTGTTATTGCTGCTGGGGCATGAATAACGTCCGTCCAGGGAAGAGAAGGTGCTGGTCCAGTTTCCTTTCAGTGTGGGATCACCAGCTTTCCCACAAATGAGCAGGAAACATAATAGACTCAACCTGGGTTAATTGTTTTCTAACTCTAAGGCACTTTCACAAACATTTGAACCTACTATACAGAGTAACCTCAAATATTTACCTACAAAAACACCATTACATACATAGAAAGGACCATAGAAGTCCTTCCAGGTTCAAATTCAAATTCTTTAATCAGCTTCATTCTGCAGAACTTTATTTGCCTACGTGCTAGACTCACTGTTCTCATTTCCCAAGTTAAATATCCAATGAGATGCACAGCCCTTGCCATCCATCTGTCCTGCTTTAAGTTCATGTCAGTGTGCAAATTCCTACAGACATCCTGAGAGCCATGAACAAGACTTCCTTCTTTTCACGACAGTTTTGGGCGTTTGGGAGTTTTTTGGGGGTGGGAGGTCTTGAGTTGGCTTTATCATCAGTTCATTGAGAACATCATTGAGAATGCCAATTTCAGCTGGAGAAACAACTCATATGAATGAATTGCCTTTACCTGAATTTTAAAGACTTTTCTGAAAAGTATTATTTGCAACAGGGTATCTCTTGGGTATTAAAGAACATTTTTACAGAGGCTCACTGCAGATCAACGAGAAGTCAGCCCACAGCTCCAGGCATCTGGAGTGTGGTGAAAACAATATAAACCATCAACATGATAGGATGTAGTCAGCCTCCTGCCTAGCATGCTGTCACATTCAGAGTGATGTATCCTGACACAGTTTCTCTTTTACTAAAATACCATTTTTGGCACTGCATTCCTAAGAAACTGAACTAGAGGATGATTCAAAAAACTCAGGTGGTTTTTGTTTGCTTGCTTAAAAGTAATCTTACTTAAAGAATAAGCAATCAAAGTTCTATTGGCACTAGAAACCAATCCTGGCCTTTATTTCATTCATACAAGTGTCATCTCAATCCTTAAATACTACCCTCTCTTTGTATCAATTATATCTTGGCTGAATTCATATTTACTCCACTTGTAAACACTCCAGCCCATCCCCAGGCATCAGGAAAATTCCAAGTTTGATCATAGAGTGGATACATAGTCCAGAGCCTAGATAGATGTAGACCAAGCAAATGAAATATTCCAAGAGTCCTCATGAGATAATACTGAAAATGATGCCAAATCAAATGTCCATGTCCAGTCGTTGGAACCAAAACAGGACATAAATAAAGATAAGTTCATTGTAAGTTGACTTTACAGTCTAGGCTGGCTCCTGTCACTGAGCACGCCACTTCCCATTGACATCAAACGCTCACGGCATAACGCATGGGGCTTGTCATGTCAGCTTCAGGAAAACAAGGAGCAAGCTGAGTTCTATGCCATGAGCATCCCAGCCACATCCTCCAAATTCCTAAGCCGAGTCAGAAAAGCCAGGCCCCAAGCAGTGGCTCACACCTGTAATCCCAGCACTTTGGGAGGCCGAGGCGGGTGGATCACTTGAGGTCAGGAGTTTGAGACTAGCCTGGCCAACATGGCAAAACCCCGTCTCTACTAAAAATACAAAAAAATTAGCTGGGCGTGGTGGCAGGCGCCTGTAGTCCCAGCTACTCGGGAGGCTGAGGCAGGAGAACGGCTTGAACCTGGGAGGCGGAGGTTGTAGTGAGCCAAGATCGTGCCACTGCACTCCAGCCTGGGTGACAGAGCAAGAGACTCCATCTCAAAAAAGAAAAGAAAAGAAAAGAAAAGAAAAACTGGGCCCCTGCTCTAGTGCTCCCCTATGTACTCCCCAAGTCATGTCATGCAACCGTAAAAACATTCTCGGAAAATACATTTAAGGTCCTTTCCTCTGAAAATACAACCTGTTTCTAATTAGCAACGATAAGAAACTCCAGGATTTCTCTCTAGATGAATGCATTTTAATTTCACAACATGCCTTGTAGCAAGTTTTTATTACAAACACTGTCTGAGGCAGGTTCCTATCACCCCAGTGGCTATTGAGAATTCTAACCAACATCTCATAATAAGGACACAGCTGGGCTAGGATCAATAACACCATCTTGTTGCTCCCAATCTAATTATCAGCCCACTATTACTTCCTAATTATTTTTATCACTGATGTAACTGAAATGATCTCATTGTGAAAATACAGAACAATCTGTATAAAAATTAAGTTCTCCCCTCCCCCCGCTTTAGTTCTTTTGAAAGGACTAAGGGAAGTACAGTCTAAATGAAATGTGCAAACACACGCACAGTTTTCCACTTCTCAGTACCATCTCTGACCCACAGACTTGCATTTGTGGGCAGCTGAGCCACCGGCTCACAGAGAAGGGCGCACATACACACGGGGGGGTGGTGAGTGAGCCAGATGCCATGTGCAGGCATGAGAGCTGATTTCAACAGCAGTGAAGCAGCCGCCAAAGAAGAAAAGATATGCTGCATACAGTTTCAGGATTAAGTAAGTAAAATCCACTGCACTCAAATTGGTTTATAAACAGAAAAATGAAAAAGAATCGGGCAATTGCCAAAGAAAATTCACGCTGAATTTCAATATCTTCCCTCCTACAAGATCAAGGCACACACTGGAAGATGTTAGTTTGTAAAAATTACTAAACCAGACCCACAATATAAGATAGTTAATGACTTTAAACATTTATACTGTTCCAAATGACAGTACATACTTCTTTCATAAGTAGTAGATGTAGTCATAGGATTAACTGACATCCTACAACATTTTGGAGCTTTTCTTATAATCTGAAATACTCTTTCCCAGAGCAGTCCACTAATGAATGAATCAATGGCTAACAGAGAGTATGCATGTTCCTCACCGCCTTCACCTCATTCATCAATATAGGTTTTCATAACTAATTAGTGTTCTTGCTAAGGTTAAGAAAAACCCAGCAACAGGTGAAGTGGATGAAACTGATCAACTTGTTGAAAGCTCTAGAACAAATCACTGTGGTACTCTTTCAGTGGTGCTGCTGGACATCTCAGGACACATTTGTCTAAAATTCCTTCAGGCGTTTCCTGTCCCACACATGCCAGAACCTGATGATACATCTACCATTACAAATGAAACATGTGGCCGGCAAATCCACATGCAGAAGTGCAGCTCTGCTCCCATACTTTAGTGACCACCCACAAAGGGAACAATTCTCACGATTTCCTCGCTTTCCCTTTACTGGACCATCCACCACTCTGATAGAATTCTGCTGGAATTCTCCATGCTAACATCTCCCCTTGTATTAGTTTCCTGGGGCTTCTGTAACCAAGCACCATAAACTGGATGGCTTCCACACCAGAAATTTATTGTCACAGCTCTGAAAGCCGGAGGTGTAGATCAAGGTGTTGGCAGAGTAGATTCCTTCCGAAGTCTGAGAAAAAGAATCTGCTCCAGACATCTTTCGGCCTCTGGTGGTTGCTGCCATCTTCAGCATTCCATGGCGTTCCTTGGCAGAAGCACCGCACAACCTCTGCCTTCATCTTCACATGACGTTCTTCCTGTGTGCCTGTGTCCAAATTTCTCCTCTTTATAAGGACACACCAGTCCTTATAAAGGTGTATTAAGATGAGGTCCACCCTAATGACCTCATCTCAATACATCTGAAATGACCCTAGTTTTAAACAAGCACACATGCTGAGGTACTAGCAGGTTAGGACTTTGACATAAGAATTTTGGGTGGACACAATACAACTTATAACACCCATATACCTTTCACCTCTTCAATAAATCCCCTCCCTTCCAAATTGGAAGCTGGCTCCCCCAGAAAGGGCTGTGCTATAAGAGCACCTCCACCAAACTTGTCTGTTCTATACATCCTCCCACATCCCATATGCTGCAGACTCGAAGGGGTGACAAACTTCTCTTACACTGCCAAAGGTCATTTCCCAAAACACTGCCTCCTCCATCTTTTCTAGAATCTCTGGTCATGAGTTCCCAGCTCATATCCTTCAGAACAAGTGATCCAAAAGATTTACCATAAAAAAAAAAAAAAAAGACAGAGAGAGAGAGAGAGAGAGAGAAAAGTGGAGTGGGGTGTGTGGGGGGGATTAATTAAGTCAAATATGTTTAGGAATGACTGAATACTATTTATCTCCCTTCTGAAAATTAAATATAAACAATGACAATAACTGAGACACTTTAATAATGAGGGGGAGGAAGTAGAAAACATTTTGAGAAGCACACAGCCTCAGTTTCTAGTTAGCCCCTAACTTGTAGTAAAACTTCTTTATGATGAAACACATGTGTACCCCTCATTTGTTGTCTGAGACACATGGTCTTTGCCTACATTAAGAATTTACTTTATATATGTATATTATCTCATATGCCTCATATGCACATGAAAGCATTTGACTTTTACAGTCATGTGCCCCATAACGATGTTTTTGCATATACGACAGTGGCCCTATAAGATTATAATGCTGTATTTTTACTGTGCCTTTTCTATGTTTAGGATGTGTTTAGTACACAAATACTTACCACTGTGTTGCAATCACCTACAGTATTCAGAACAGTAACGTCGTATAGGTTTGTAGCCTAGGAGCAACAGGCTATTCCGTACAGTCCAGGTGTGTAGTAGGCTATCTCATCTAGGTTTGTGTGTGTATACTCTATGATGTTCACACAATGATAAAATTTCCTGATGACGAATATCTCAGAATGTATCCCCATCATTAAGTAATGCATGACTGTACCTGTAAGGAAGGTTGCTGGAATTTTCATCAATGAACATTTGCACCTCCTGAAACTCTACAACGAAGATGTCAAAGGGAGGAGTGGCACCTGCCCTCAGGCATTATAGACTCAGGCTCAGGTATCTCAAGAGCCTTGTAAAGCTCATGCATCTAAAAGGGGCAGATACTGCCCCAGAACCCAATTTTCTGGGTCCAGCACCCTTCCCCCAAATTCTGTGATGTTGAGCCCTCATTTTATGAAGGTTGTATTTTAGTTGAAGATCAATAATTCAACTTTCCTAAGTTTTCAATTAAGATCTAAAATGTTGGCCAGATATGGTGGCTCATGCCTGTAATCTCAGCACCTTGGGAGGCTGAGGTGGGAGGATTGCTTGTCCAGATCAGCCTGGACAACACAGTGAGACCCTGCCTCTACAAAAAAAAAAAAATTAAAAATTAGCTGGGTGTGGTGGTGTGCACCTATATACCCAGCTATTCAGGAGGCTGAGGTGGGAGGGTTACTTGAGTCCAGGGAGCTTGCGGCTGCAGTGAGCCATAATCATGCCATTGCACTCCAGCCTGGGCAGCAGAAGCAAGTCCCTGTCTAAACACAAACAAACAAACAACTAAAATGTTGCTCGAGTGTATGTTTCAGCTATTTTAGGGACACTTCTAGTCTGGGTACTGTGCTCATTAACAGCTAATTACTATCCAGGGAGATCATCAGTCCCGATGTCTTAAGAAATGAGGCAACAATCTGACTTCCAACTTAGCTTCCTTAGAATGCAGGACTTATATCCAGTGCTCATCAAAATTTCCATGATTTTTGAGAATTGGTGATGATTTTTAAATTAATTTTCTCAAACAAAGATTTTTCCGATAAAACTAAATTTGAGAACTCATACACTTTCTGAAAAATACTTATTTTCTTATATAGTTCTTAAAAACAATATGTGTTTTTAAATGTCTGGTTACTCACATAGCTTTATCTATAATACCGTAGCCATATTTAAGAAAGTTGAATAAGCAGAGTCTTATCTAAAGACGCCTGTTTAAATGATTGGCTTCCATTGGCTCACCAAGTTGTCTGAGGTTCTCACATTTTTCAGCCTTTTGAGATAACACGCTAAAGGTCTCTACAACATAATTATGTGAAATTTCCTATCACTCATCAACACTTCAAATTAGCTGACACACTAACCCAGTCAGACCTTAATATTCATTTACATGCTAGGAACTCCTATCAGCTGAACATCCTTTAAGCTCCAACCAATTTAAGCAACTCAACCAATATGGAATTCATTATCTTTCATGCCAAATCTGCATTTCCACCTATAATGCCTCTCGTGGGTAGTGACAATGGCCATGCACTCCATAAAGCCATGAAGCTACATAGAATCATCTTCAACTTCTCCTTCCTCCTTGTTGGATCTTCACTCTGTTGATTTTCCCTCCTAAATTTCATTTCAGTCCACTATTTCCACTTACCCTGCTACATTGTCTCAGTTCAGACATTCATCATTCCTATTGTCATAGAGTCCCACACTCCCTGTTGTTATGTCGCTTTCTGCCAATGACTGACTTACCATCTCCTTATCTCTTAAATGGTGAAATTTTGGAAATGAAAAATAAACACTGCTGTTCATCCTTCTGCAAAAATAATCATGTCTTTCTCTTTTTTTTTTTTTTTTTTTTTGAGATAGAGCCTTGCTCTGTCCCCCAGGCTGGAGTGCAGTGGCGCGATCTCAGCTCACTGCAAGCTCCACCTCCCAGGTTCACACCATTCTCCTGCCTCAGCCTCCTGAGAAGCTGGGACTACAGGCGCCCACCACCACGCCTAGCTAATTTTTTGTATTTGGAATAGAGATGGGGTTTCACCGTGTTAGCCAGGATGGTCTCGATCTCCTGACCTTGTGATCCGCCCGTCTCGGCCTCCCAAAGTGCTGGGATTACAGGCGTGAGCCACTGCGCCCAGCCCTCTTTCTCTATTGAGGATGAGCAATGTAGGTGGCCCCTAATGGTCAGCCCACTGTGGTGGACTGTTGTGCAATGTATACATCCAAATATTGCTTGCCTTTGGCATTTTGGTGCACATTTCTTCTGTTCACTTAGGTTCTGCATTTTACATTATTTTTTCCCAGCCGCATTAGTGTGCACTTTCCAAGCTGTATCTCATTTTGTTATTTCCTGCCTATACTTTTAATCTCCTGAAGGAGATTATAATATTTCTGTCCTTCCAGATTTTTGATATCTCCCCTGATTCAGGATCATCTGCCAACTTCATCAACATGAAGTTTAAGTTTATTCCTCTTTAAATAAAATAGGATACATCATACCAATCCTCATAACATAAAGCTACAAGTGGTTACCTTGCCATTTATGTTAAGCTTTTTTTTTTAACTGTCTTTCCACTATTTTCCATCTGTGTGGCTCTTCTCCAAGACAAGTTGAATTTATTTTGCAATAGAACAGGCTAAAAAATTTCTGCTAAAAAAATAAAAAGAGAAAACCTCCCTCTACGTTATATTAAGACTGCTCTCTTCTCTCAGTTGACTTAGTTATACATAAGCAAGTTAAAAATCCATAGGTTTCCTTCTTTAAACCTTTCTGCTCCACACTGTTTCTATTCTGCATAGTTTAATGATAGAGAACAGAATTTCCCATTCAAAGAAGAGCATGAGGTGAACAAGCTCCACTTATGATATGTGAGATACACTCAAAGCCCCTGATGAGCAGACAGCAGCTCCTCCTGGAACCTCCCTAAAGGCATCGCCAAGGTGCCCTGGGCCCTGCATTAGCATGTGCCATGGAAGGCTGACACTCCAGTTCAGGCTCTGGATGAGGTCGGGTTGTGCAGACACCTGAGAGAAACACCAGAAGATTTTCTTCCCCTGCTCAAATCCCATGATGTGACTCTCCTGCTCCAGAAGTTCAAGAGAAATGGAAGAGCTTTTACTCAACTTCACTGTCAATATATCTCTCAGTCGTGCCTCCCACCCACACTCATCAACAAGATAAGTTGGACTTACGTAACAAGGATAAGTCAACAAGGATAAGTTGACTTCTGATAAGTTCAGTTACCATCACAATAATGTACACTATTTTTAGACCTTGAAATTTTTATGTTTTCATGTTTCTTTTAGAAAATAAATCAATATATCCTGTGCCAAACAGCTGTAACAGATGCAGATTTACCTTGCCACCTCATTAGAAGAAACAAACAACTATAAATCTTGTATTACATCCAAAGAGTTGTCAGCCTGAAATAAAAGCTGGCAAGGATCCAAGTGGCATGTGCCCTTGATTCCAGTCATTTTGCCTGCAGTTCTTACATATGTAAATTGAGAAACTGTGAGCAGAAGCAAGCCAGCTGAAAACAGAAGTGTTTAGGGTACACAGACACATTGGTGGGGCCCTCCAGGCCCAGGCCCCTTCCCACCCTTCACCACAAATCCCTCTCTGCTTCCTGTGTTCCCTGCTCGCTCTCCACCTCCTTCCAATCACAGCATATTTTTATCATTTACCACTGGCTGGGTTCACATGCCCAGCCATGGTGGTAGACCTCAGAATGAGAAGACAGGATGTAACAAATTCCAAACCCCTGCAACCTTCTTAAAGATTAAACTACAGCAACTACCAGAAGAAGTGTGTGTGGGGGGGGGGGAGGGGGGCACAAAAAGAAAAAAAGCAGAGACAATGTGATCAAAACAAGAGACAAGAGGGAGTGTCATACCTGCGTTCCAGAATTTGCCATCAGTTTATGTTACAGTTACTCTACCTGTGAGAAGCCTCGGGGACATTGGAGTTTAAATCCCAGCCCCCTACTTCCTCTGGACAGCATCTTGCACTCTAAAAGGAGTTTCTCACTGGTAAGATGAAAATAGCACTTCTGCAACCAGGAAGTGATGCAGAGATTAACCAAGCCAGTGTGCCTAATGTACGACGTGGTCTTCAGACTCAGAAAGAGGCATCATATTTACACAAAATGTTGTCTGATCTCTGTAACTGAAAGTGATAGTTTGGCTGGGTGTGATGGCTCACGCCTGTAATCCCAGCACTTTGGGAGGCCGAGAGGGGCGGATCACGAGGTCAGGAGATCGAGACCATCCTGGCTAACACGGTGAAACCCCGTCTCTGCTAAAAATACAAAAAAATTAGTCAGGCATGGTGGCCAGGCGCCTGAAGTCCCAGCTACTCGGGAGGCTGAGGCAGAAGAATGGCATGAACCTGGGAGGTGGAGCTTGCAGTGAACTGAGATCGCGCTACTGCACTCCAGCCTGGGCGACAGAGTGAGACTCCGTCTCAAAAACATAAAATAAAATAATAAAATAAAAATAAAAAAGCCAGGCGTGGTGGCATTTGCCTGTGGTCCCAGCTACTCCGAAGGCTGAGGTAGGAGGACTGCTTGAGCCTGGAGGTCAAGGCTCCAGTGAGCCATGATCGTGCCACTGCACTCCAGCCTGGGTGATAGAGTGTGACCCTGTCTCACACACACAGAAAAGAAAGCGATAATTTGCAAAAACAGAGTCTGTTTTGGATTCTTCTATAAGGGTGGCTTTTACCTGTGAACTCAACTGGGGATCAGTAAACCAACAGGTGACTCTTCTTGGTCAAACCAGACAGGGTTTGCTTAACTTGAAATTTTACAGAATCACCAAGAGAATTAACTGGGGTCCAGGTGGCTAAAGTAAAAAATAAAATAAAATAACACAAACATAAGGTGCAAACACCTGAGTGTGAGTTTTGGCACAGGCTTGAGCTATTCACTTAACTTCCTGAGGACCCGTTTCCTCATATTTAAAAGTGAAGTAAATATAGCTGCCTTCTTCCCTTGCAGAGTTATGATCTCTGAATGGGACAACACACAGGAAACACGGCCTAGAACTCCTGTCTTCACTTCTTGCCTCTTGTTCACTCTTAAAATTCCTTCTGCCCCACCCTCCACTAAAACTCCCCTCCTAACACACAAATCCCACAAGCACTGTGGGTTATCATCTCTGCACTCAGGTTATGTCTGTGACAGTTGACTTCAACACATGCACCCTCCCTAACACTGAAAACTCTCCCACTTTAGTCTTTCCCCAATCGATAGTTATCTCATTTTTCTTTGCTGGTTTGTTGTACTCTACAATCGCTGGTTATATTCCCTGGGGTGCCTGTCTGGACATATTCACACAGGACACCCCCTCACACACTCCCATGATCAACTAGAGCCTGCCTGTTGATAATCATCTAGACCAGGGATCAAAAAACTATTGCCCCGGGTCAAATCCAGCCCACCGTCCATTTCTTTAAATAAAGTTTTATTGGAACAGAGCCACATTCATTCATTCATGTACTGTCCATGGGAACTTCTGTGCAGCAATAGCAGAATTCAGATGCAGAGAGACCACAAAGCCTAAAATATTTATGAAATGATCCTTTACAGAAAAGTTACACTGACCCTTCATTCAGACTTGTGTCCAAAGTCACACTTGTATTTATGTCTCCAACGAATCATGCCAACCTCTATACCTCACAGGCCCCTCTGAAACGTCTGACAGTCAACAGTTTACAAATAATCATTTCAACCTCATGTCGCGTTCAGTTAATACATGATTCCTACCCAGGAACACAGGGTTCATTGCAGTAGTGCCTTCTGTGACCACATAAATTTGTGACAAAGTAAGTTCAATCTTCCTCCTACTTTCTAAATTTTTCCTTATCTTAACCCACTGCCTCTCCAGCCTTTTCTTGAGCGGCCATCTTTTCACCCTTGGAATGTAGTCACGCATCACATAATGAAGGGGATGCAATCTGAGAAATCTGTCATTGTGCAAACGTCATAGAATGCACTTACACAAACCCAGATGGTATAACCTACTACACACCTAGGCTATATGGTACAGCCTATTGCTCCTAGGCTACAAATGTGTACAACATGCTACTGTACTGAATATGGTAGGCAATTGTAACACAATGATAAGTATTTGTGTATCTAAACACATTTCAACATAGAAAACGTATGGTAAAAATATGATATAAAAGATAAAAATAGTAGTCGCGTATAGAGCACTTACCATAAACAGAGCTTGCAAGACTAGACGTTGCTCTGGGTGAGTCAGTGAGTAGTGAGTGAATCTGAAGACCTAGGATATTACTGTACCTACTGTAGACTTTATAAATACTATACACTTAGGCTACCCTAAATTTATGAAAAATAAAGTATTTGCACTATGACATTACAACAGCTACGACGTCACCAAGTGAAAGGAATTTTCTAGCTCCATTATAATCGTATGGGACCACCATGGTTGATATGTTCTGTTATTGACCAAAATGTCATCATATGGTGCACGACTATACAAAAAGCCTCCTGTTTCCCTTATCCTCCTGACTTACCTTCCTCTCATTCATCCTCCTCCTGCTGTCAGTTTTTTTTTCTAACATAAGAACTTCCAACCCTTGCCAGTGTGGAGGTTCACGCCTATAATCCCAGCAATTTGGGAGGCCGAGGTAGGAAGATCACTTGAGCCCATGAGTTCGAGACCAGTCTGGGCAACATGGTGAGACCTTGTCTCTACAAAAAGTTTAAAAAATTAGCCAGGCGTGGTGGTGCTCTCCTGTGGTCCCAGCTAATTGAGAGGCTGAAGTGGAACAATCGCACAAGCCCAGGAGGTCAAGGCTGCAGTGAGCTATGATCATACCACTGCACTCCAGCCTGGGTAACAAAGCAAGACCCTGTCTCAAAACAAAAACAAAAAACTTCCAACCCTTATTTCTCCTTCAGTGTCCTCGAAGATATGACCTCTAACTCTTCAGCTACATCTAAAATCATTTCTTCCTTGCCATTCAATGCTTTAGCCAGCCAGCAACCTGCAATAAGATTTCCAAAACAGAAGACCAGTATCCACCCTCAAGACAGGGGAATGGAACCATATTAAATAAATTACATTTTAGGTACTGTGCTACAGACCAAGTCAACCACCTTTTCTGGAGTTTCACCTGACCATCAGATAGAACTTATCGCTTGTTCCTTTCTGCCACCATTGTGCCTTGGTCTCACCTCTATTAGACACCTTATCACGGCCAGGCATGGTAGCTCACGCCTGTAATCCCAGCACTTTGGGAGGCCGAGGCAGGTGGATCACTCGAGGTCAGGAGTTCAAGACCAGCCTAACCAATATGGTGAAACCCCGTCTCTACTAAAAATATAAAAATTAGCCAGGTGTGGTGATGTGCACCTGTAATCTCAGCTACTTAGGAGGCTGAGGCAGGAGAATCGCTTGAATCTGGGGGCCGGGGGTTGCAGTGAGCTGAGATTGCACCACTGCACTCCAGCCTAGGCAACAAGAGTGAAACTCCATCTCAAAAAGAAAGGAAACCTTATCACAATGTGTCATGATTTTTTGTCACATTCCAGGCCCTCTACTAGGCTGTTGCTCCCTAAAGGCAAGGGTTGCTTTAAGCAACCTTGAAGCTCTAGCACTTGCCCACTGGGTAGCACACAGTAGGCACTCAATAAATGCTTGCTAAGACACTAAAGGCACTGTAAACTATAAAGTACTATATCAGTTGAAAAGAGATAAACCTGTTACCTACTGTTCTGTGTTCAGTTCACTACTCACTTCCTATCCTCCAGACATAAACTGAAGATGGGAAAAGTAAGGATGTGATCAAGTCCTTGCAAATGGCCTTTGCAAGTGCTGTCTCAGCAATGGCCTAGCTCCTACTCCCAGCTGGACACAGAGCCTTTCCCAGTAGCACTGACCAGTACAGGAATGTGGGTGGAATGGGAGAAGGTAATTAGGAAGGAGGGTGATGCTTTATTTACACAGCAATTAACAATGAATACTGAAGTTTATTCAGTCGAATAGGCATTTATTGAATGCAGACCATATGCTGGGCACTATGTGGTGTGCATAGCAAGCTTTTCATGGTAAAAGAGAAGGATGAAAAGAAGAAATGTAACATGAAGAGAAAGTTAAAGGGTAATTTGATCTTGTTTGTATATTGGGAAAAGGTCATTTTTACAAAAGAGGTAACCAGCTGTTCCTCATCGCCAACGAACAAAAATCAAAAGGAAATGGGGTTAAGCTGTGCCATAAGGTACTGAAGTTAGGCAGAAGAAAAAAGGTGCTGACATCAAAGGGTGTTAAACCTATTTGTGGTTTATAATTTTGTGTTCAGGAGGTCCTTAGTTTCAGAGGATCTGAGCAGTTGTATTTGAGGAAAGGAGATGGAACTGATGAATTCTCAAGATACTTCTTGAGACCATGAATGACTTTTTTGCTTTTTAATATGGGCCCATGTATAAAATAGATTAAGTGATACAATGTTTTCAACTTCTGTATACCACCTGCTTTGGAAAAACTATTAAAATCCAGTATGTGAGAGGGCCGACAAAGCATGAAGAGCAGAATAAATTATAAATGACTAAAATTAAAAGGCAAAGGTTCCTGGTGGAAAGAATACAACTTTAGAGTGCTAATGACAGAGGTTCCCAGTATCTTTTTGTCATTTATGGCCTATTGGACCTTGCAAAAAATGTACACAGAGCACACCATGAAAAATGAAGCACGCATGCACACACAGGTATGGGCATGCCTGTGTATGTATATGCGAACACAAAGTGCCTAAGAGGAAATAACAGTAGTCCCCTTAGGAGAGTGATACCATTAGCGGTTTCTATTTCCTTCACTGTTTTCCAATCCTACAATAAGCGTCTCTTATTCTTACAGTGGGCAGTCAGGGGTGGAAATACCCCTCTTTGCTCAAAAAAATCTGGCTAGGTTTTTTTGACAATATAATTCTTCATGCCATTCTTTATTATGCTATGAAATAACTTCTCTGTTAATCAGAACACCTGCTGTCAGCCAGATTATTTCCTTATTAGTCATTGAAGACTTCCATGACTTCACGACACACAGTTCCCATCTTCTGTAGTATTTCATCATAAAGGCATGTAAAATTGCTATTTAATAGCTTCTTATTCTTAGATACTACCCATTCAGTTTTCTTACTTGTGGGAAAATTACACCACTGAGATATAAGAAAAACTGCAGCCAACTATAATAATTCTACATTTTGGGTGGAAACAAAGGAAGGGTGGGAGTTTTGTACTATATTTTCAATAAATTTCAATAACTTCCAAATGTTTATGCTTTCCAGGTTTATTCACACCTGTGGGACAAAAAAAAAGCAATAATACAGGGTACAACTTTTTTTCAGCAATAGGCTAGTTCTTTTACTGGGATAAATTATATATATTTTTCCTAATTGTTATCCCTTTGAGATCTGGCTGACTGACTCATAAAACACAGAATCCATTCTGTTATCACTTAGCGTGTTAGACCAGCTCAGCTCACAGACAAGCTGAAGTACATCACACAGGACTCAACGGAACTGAAGCACTTCTGGTGAAATACAATCCCACAGAAAAATTACAAAGTCCTTCTTTAAATGATTCACTTCATCAGTTAATATTCTTGGCCATGAATTACATATTAAGAATAAATTCAGGAGATGTTTCATTTATTTATCTGAGGTATTATAATTTAAATAATACATAGAATTTCAGAACAACAACAAATCATAGCTTGGAGCTCACATGGCCACTACCTCGAATATCACCAGCAGGAAACAGAGGACTGCAGTGTGAATGGTTTGCTCCAGGGATTGTAGCTGGTCAGTGACCTCATTGCTACGTGGCCACAAGCCCCATATTCCGAATTCTGGTACAGATTCTTTCCCAACATGCGAGGCTGCTCATCTAGCAAGGATATTGGAGATAACAGCCCAGAAAGCATCATACGTGCCTCCAACTTCCAAACACTGCTTTTTAGGAAAAAGCTGCCTCCTTTTCCTAAACACAGTAGTAAAGCAGGGAAAAGCTCAGCTCTCTGGGCTAGGGAGGGAAAAGCTTGATTTTTCACTAACACAGGGAAGACAGAGCAGTGGGTGGGAGGTGAACAGCACAGAGAATGTGGAGAGGCTGTGAGGGAAAACTCACAATTCAGGGACCCCGGAGTCCTGAAAAAGAGGACACACTGCCCACCTATGGAAGCAGTCTAATTTCCCAGTTTCCATTTATCATCTTCAAATCAACCACTTCCATTTTCAGAGCTTAAGCTTTCGAAGACCTTCAATATGAATGAAATAAATGTGGATGTTAGCAAGACTCTTGCTTAAAAAGAACAAGTTCTGTGCCCTGTTACAATGGATTTTCCTAGTTCTAAGTGACCCATTTGTATTCGTCACCTCATGTGCTTCATTTCTGCGAGTGTTAGTTGGATTCTGCCAGAAATCCCTCTGCTTATTTTTTTAACCAAGAGGGTGTTATATTCCACATTCTGTGAATTTGATTACATCAACAGGCACATTCCACTTACCAATGGGGTGAGGCCTAAATATCGTATATCAGCACTCTAGGATTTAGTACCCTTACCCAGAAAAATGAAAATTTAAGGCTGGACAACATTTACCCCAAATAAAAAGCATTCTTTGGCCAAAAGTGTTTGGGAAGAGAATTGAAAAAATAGCAGGCACGAGAGTTCAATTGGTCAATATTTTAATTGTTATGGCTTTAATCCTTATCTTTATTCCCACCTCTCTCTTTCTTTCTCTTTCTTCCTTTTTCTTCCTCCCTCTTCCTTCCTTCCTCTCTCTCTTTCCTTCTTTCTTCTTTCCCTTTCTCTCTTTCTCTCTCCTTCCGGTCTTTTCTTTCTTTCTCTCTCTCTTTCTTTCTTTTTCTTCCTCCCGCTTCCTTCCTTCCTTCCTTCCTCTCTCTCTCTTTCCTTCTTTCTTCTTTCTCTTTCTCTCTTTCTCTCTCCTTCCGGTCTTTTCTTTCTTTCCTTCCTTCTTTCTCTTTCTTTCTTTTATTTCTCTCTCTCTCTCTCTTTTCTTTTCCCTTTCCCTCTCTCTCTCTTTCTTTCTCCTTTCTTTTCTTTTCCTCCCCTCTCCTTCTTTTTTGCGACCTGGCTGGAGTGTAGTGGGAGGAACATGGCTCACTACAGCTTCAACAACCCAGGTTCAAGTGATCCTCCTGTCTCAGTCTCTCGTGCGGCTGGGACCACAGGTATGTGCCGCCAACCTGGCTAATTTTTTGAGTTTTTGTAGAGACAGGTCTCACTTTGTTTCCCAGGCTGGTCTCCAACTCCTGGTCTCAAGTAATTCTCCTGTCTTGGCCTCCCAAAGTGCTAGGATTACAGGTGTGAGCCACTCATGCCTGGCCTATTCCTTCCTTAAAAAAAATCAAACAATAATAAAAATCTAAGAACTCCTCAAATCCCAGCTTACATAGTAAGCTTTTCCAGAATAAGCAAACTGGGCATGGATTCTACATTTGGCCTTCTTTATGGCAATCACATTTGGTCTATTATACATGAAAAATTATAAAGTAAGAATATAGAATAAAATAAAGAAGCTCAACCACAAAGAGAAATCAGCAATGGATACTACTTGTGAGTGTGACAGATATCATGCCACTTGAAGCTATAAACTCTAAGCAGAGTTGAAGCTACCCTATGAGCTCTAGTTCACATATTTATTACATTTTAGACACCAGAGGTAAAAGCAGGACCAGTGTAATAGAAAGTAGTCCCCACACATAGCTGAAACTGCCAAGCCATGATTCCCTTTTGTTCTTCAAAACAAAAGCCAACTTGATAGAGTTGAAGACATACCTGTCTTAAAGAGACTTTTGCTTTCTAATAATTTTGTTGTTGTTGTTGTTGAGACAGGGTCTCACTCTGTCAC
Source organism: Homo sapiens (assembly GCF_000001405.40). Lineage (NCBI taxonomy): Eukaryota > Metazoa > Chordata > Mammalia > Primates > Hominidae > Homo > Homo sapiens. Next base: position 25,730,268 of record NC_000013.11, on the reverse strand, counting down.
TCAGGCGGGAGTGCAGTGGCATGATCACGGCTCACTTGCAGCCTCAACCACCTGAGTTCAGGCAATCCTCCCAACTGAGCCTCCAGAGTAGCTGGAACCACAGGCACACGGCACCATGCCTGGTTAATTTTTTGTATTTTTTGTAGAGATGGGGTTACACCATATTGTTCACGCTGGTCTCAAACTCCTGGGTTCAAGCAATCTGCCCACCTCGGCCTCCAAAGTCCTGGGATTACAGGCATGCACAACTGCGCCAGGCTGCTTTCTAATAAATTAAGTTAGATGTGAACAAAAACAAGCTGGGGAGGTGCAGTATACTACATTCCCTTCTGGCAGAATGCACATTATCAGATTAAAGACTCAGAGGGAAAGCAATCACATTTAACAATTATACAAATTTATTTGCACAGAGAGCTATTTTTTTCCCCCACGTTACACTTAGCATCCCGAACAATGTTTCTTTAACTACAGTTTAGGAAGTGCTAGAGTGATGAGTACCTAGGTCTCCTGCAAATCTGCTACCTGATCAACATTTCAGCTTTTTTTTTTCAGTTTAACAAAGTCATCTTAAAAAGGAGTGTAAACACAAGTCAAACAAAACAAGCCAACAGGTGTAGGGCAGGACCGACTTCATGCACACCTTGCCAGGGGAATAACAACACCAAACCAGGAAAAAGACACACGTGTCGCGACACAGTCCATATAAATGACATCGTGGTTGGACTCAGACCCAAATCCAGATCTTAAACCCTCCAAGTGTGACCCAGTGGACATTCAACTTCTTTAAAGCGCAGTTAAATGGGAATATCATGACCTGTCCTAAAAGGTATGAATCAGGGTTAAATGAGACAACATACGAAAATATGTGCCACAGTACCTGGCCTGGCCATGCCTCAGGCATTCCATACCTTTAGTCACTTTCCATCCTTCCCTAGTTCTCTGCGAGACAGAGGACAGGGAGGCTGAGATACAGTCACAGAAACCAAGGCCAGGTTATCTTGATTGTGTATTACAAGGTAATAACTAAGTATGCTTAGCCTGTAGTCCTAAAATGAAAAAATGTGGAAGAGCACAGGGGAACTAACAGAAGCAATTCAAGGTCATAGCCATGTAAAGGCAATTCAGTAAACTGACTGAAATCTTGCACAAGAAAGGAGAGAGGGGGAGGGTGGGAAAAAAACAGTGGAGGAGGAAGGAGAGAAGGAGAAAGGGAGAGAGAGGTGGAGAGAAAGAGACACCACTCCAAGGTTAGCTCTGAGTTTTTAAGAATGCAAGAGGAAAATCTCCATTTAATAGGACCTGGAAAGAAGTTACGTTTGCAATCTGAAAAACAGGGTTTTCAGAGTTAATGTTACTAACAGTCACTTTCCAAGGAGCACGCATATGAGAACTAAAAGCACAGCAGTTTCGGGCACACACTTCTATATGCAGATGCATTTGCTAATTACAAATTTTCCCGTCACTCAGGATGCAATGAAGATGTCTAATCAAAAGTCTGCAGGGGTAAAACAGAATGAGATAGGGGATACAGGTGAATTCTGTTCACAGACAGCCCTGTGACCTGGGACACGGTGCTCCCCCCTTCTCAAAACCTGGGGTGTTTCACTTGCACGGTTTTTAGAAGCCATCTCAAATGTCTGCTAACAATAGTACATTGCAATGCTGGCTACCTAAAAAGTCCATTTTTTCTCTAAGACAGAGACATTTTATCTGCCCATCACATGGATCAAATATCCCCAGTAATACTGAAAAGTAATATGACCTTTATTCACGGCATCAACTCAAGATGTGGATGGAGCTTGGTGTAGCTAAAACAGCAGACATGACATTGCACCTGCTGTTACCCCCACTCTCTAAGCAGGTAATATTATTAGCCGGGTATTGTGCTGAGAACCTTACTTTTGCATAGACTTCTCCATGAGGTATCCTCACTTCACCCATGAGAAAACTCCTGATTCCAGCTAATTTCTTCAACAAGGACTAAAGCTGGTAAGTGGCAGAGGCAGAATTCCAAGCCAGGCAGGTTTCACTTCAAGACCTGTTCCCTTTGTCACTACAGCTGCTGTTCATTCACACCAGGAATTTAGATATTGTTACATTTATTCCAAGTTTTTACATTTTATAAAGACTATAAAAACCGGTTTTTGCTTTAACAAAATCTGACACAGTATGTGGTTCCTTGACAGATGAGCCACGTGCAAGCTGAGGGCAGGAAGGGAACTTGTGGGTGACCTGATCCTCAACGCCCCCTTGAGCTTGGGATCTGAGAAGCGTGGGGGCATTTGCACAGGTGAGTAGGGTCACGTGACTACCTGGTGAGCCACAGTGCCAGGACCAGAGCACAGGGCTTGGACTCCAGAGTTAGGGATATGGCCAGTTTAAGATTTTCATCTGGGGTCGTTTTCCATATGTAGATTTCGCAGAGTTAATGTTCCATTCATAACTAGGGCAAATCGGTAGGAAATTACAAAGGGGAGTATATTCCCAGTGCTTTGTCATACTTGAGGAAATGAAAGGATTTAAGCATATCTGGCTTGAAAAAATATTTTCTCTATAAAAGTTAATCTACAATTACGTTTAATGTGAAATATTATATAGAAAAACATCCCATGTGTTTTGGTTGCTAGAGGACATTTTATAGTTTATGTTTTATTACTGGTCCCTGGTGTGTTTCTGAAAAACTCCCTCTGGGAAAGTTTATTCCGGATAATGGCTGACTTTAGCCATGAGCATTTCCAATCATCTCACACGCAGAGTCTCCAGGGCATGTGAGAGTGTATCGTGTTGTCCAAAGGCCTGAGATATTTGCTTTTCAGTAATGCAAATACAGCTCTGGCATGGGGCGGCTCCCTTGGCGTTGACAAAAGAGAACACAAATAGTAACGTTGCCAAAATCACTTTCCTGGTTGGCCACAGCATTTTGTGGTACCTAATGTTTTGTGAAACCAAACAACCCCAAAAAACTCTCTAAACTTCTTTCTGTAATGTTCCAATATATTCAAAAATATTTCCAAGACTACCAAAGTTTGTCACATAAAGGTTAAGCTTGATTATTTATCATTTCATGGTTTCTCCATCACACCATAGTTAGGTTAATTTACATATAAATGCTATTTTCTGAGATCTGAGAAAAAACACACCCTGAGATGTGCCAGGTTTGCTCTGCGGCTTGCTTACCCCAGCTCTACATCACGTGCATGCATGTACCCCTGATGGAGAAGGACGGGGATATGATATTAAAGACACCAGGTACTACACGGAAAATCAAGACAACGAAAAATGAGGCTGAAATGTACACATGTATGTATCTGTCCACTGCACCTCCTTCTCCTTGGGGTGGTTCTCTTTTCCCCATGGAGCCTTCCTCCCAGCATTCCTGCCCTATTGCAGGGTCTTTTACCTCCAGACCCTCAAAAATCTAGCACTCTTGCTATGAAAAGGACTCCCTGGAATTGATAATTCCTATATCCTTTCAAGGCAACTGTAGTAGGCTGAATAACAGCCCCCAAAGATGTCCACACCCTAATCCCTGAAACCTATAAATGTTACTTTAGGTGGCAAAAAGGAAATGTGCAGGTATAGTAAAGGATCTTGAAGTGGGGAGATGATCTGAGATTGGGTGGGCGCTAAATGGAATTCCAAGTGTCCACAGAGAGAGAGAGATTTCACTGCAGGATTGGAGAAAGCAATGTGACAACAGAAGCAGAGAATGAAGGGATACATTTTGAAAATGAGAGAAGGGGCCACAAGCCGAGGAATTTATCATTTTTAAAAAGCCATCAGAATCCAGCATCTACTAGGAGCTGAAAAGGCAAGGACACATTCTCCCCAGAGCCCACAGAACCTAAGAGAATAACTTACTGTTGTTTTAAGCCACTACCTTTGTGGTAATCTGTTGCAGTGGCAACAGGAAACGAACATGCCCACCGTCCAGGTGCCCTTCACTTGCCATTCTTTTCACACTTTTGCGCCTTTAGTTACAGGGACACCTGACACATTGAGTTACATTTACATGTAGCTATAGCCACACTTTACTACCTTCTCAGCAAGGGTACCCTAGTTCAGGTACTTGTACAAAACATTACAACCTGCTTGACACAAATTAGAAAATTATCCTCTTTACAAAATCATTCTCTTTAAAGAATTTCTTTAAATAATAAACACCACTGATGCATTCGAAACAAACGGGTCCAAAATATTTCACCTTCGTTTTCTTCTGAATGCGTGTCTATCTACATACTAAAGGTAAACATATTTAGCAATGGTATTTGAGTTACCTATCCTTTCTGAGCTTCAGTCATCTTACCAGGAAAATGGTGTTGCCATGTGAATGAAATAAATAACACAAATAAAACTCCTACTATAGTTCCTAGTACAGAATGAGTGTATGCTGGTAGGAGTGTTTCTGCCACAGCATGTGACATCTAGCTATCAGACTGATCTTTTGTGGTCCTTATGGAGAGCTGCCTTAAAAGCTACAAGATTGATCTATAAGACAAAAAAGAAATCACTCTGATTTCTCTCTCTGAGCAAAAATACAAAAAGCATTCAACAAGGCAGGGTCAGAATGTCCACAGCTAAGGCACGCCACTTGAAAGCATCGGGTTGAAGGCACAGAAGAATCATGTGTCTGGTCTACCTGGAGTCATTCCCAGCAGCCTGGCTGCCTCCACTAGACAGCCATTTTATACCCACAGCATGCAGTGACCAGCGCTCCAGAAGACCCAGCTCACTTACATCTGCACCCCAGCACCCCTGTCTGTTGTCCTTGATGCTGATCTTCGGTCCCTCAGGTTTGGGAATAGTCATCTCAGAGGTTCAGAGTCAGCACAGACTGAACCTAGGGCCTGAAAAGGACTCAGATTCCACTTTGGTCCACTTTAATGGAGCAATGGTCAATTCCTAGCCCTGTCACCATTCCTAGCCCTGACCTGCAAGACAGGCATGCAGCGCCTCACTCAGGCTTTGCCTGAAACCTCTGGGTCCATTTGTACTTAACAGTACAGACACGTGCTCACAGAGGACAGGAAGTAAAAGGCAAAATGATTAAGAGAAACTGGAAGAATGAAGGGAAGTTTTTCTTTTTGATCCTGTGCTTTCTCCTGTTAGTGGGAGAATATTCCTCCAGGTTACCAATGGCCTTCAGAGATGACAATAATGGAGAACCCAGCATTTATCACAGCTTCTTCAGAGCGCTTGTTTAAAGGCTACACTTCCTGATAGATGACAGACTCTGGGAGGACAGGAAATCTGCCTATCTAGGGTGACATTTACTCTACAGGTCCTAGCAGAAGGTCTGACACATAGTATTTCAATCACTTGTTTACTCTGATAACTCTTTTTTATTGAAGACACCTAGGAACCGGAAGAGGCAATGGTTTCCTGAACTGGTATAGGATAAAATTAATCTAGACTTTATACTGATTGTTCTCACTCAATTGTCTACACCCTTTGTGGGCCCAAGATGTGGTCAATGGGCCTAGGACATCATAAAAACAGATACCTCATTTTCTTCTACTTTTCCATGCCTACCATAAGATATTCCTACTGGAAGGGATTTATTTCTCTTCCTTACTCCCAGGAAATGACCCAAGGACTAGACAGCAGCCTGCATGTGCTGTGGAGCCCAAAGAAGTCAATGTGAATTTTTAAAATGGAGAAATAATATGAGATGAGGCCACTGGGTATTTTTGAAAACAGTCAGTATATAATGGGCTCTCAGCTCATAAGGGAGTTATAACTCATCAAGGAGATAAAACTTACAGTTTTTATAACTCACAGTGCCTTGAGCTATCAATTTTCAGGCCCTCAGGCCATCATTCACAATTCAACATTGGGAAATGTTGTCCAGGCTTCCCTGTTCAGCCTCTCCCTGCCTGTTCACTCTCTCTGACTGACCTCACCCACACATCCCATTTCTACCGCTTGTTAGTGACAGTGATGGTGAATCCATCCCCAGGCTGAATCTTTCTCTGGAGTGCTGGGTATTTATGCCCAATTACCTTCTGGAAGTTCCTGATCATGGGCACAGAGCCCTCCCAGATGCCACATGAATGCATTAGTTTTCTATTGCTGCATGACAAATTATAACTGGTTTTCTTCTCAGGGTCTCCCAAGTGTAAAATCAAGGTATCAGCCAGGCTGTGTTCTCATCTGGAGCTCAAGATCCTCTTCCAAACTCACATGGCTGTGACAGAATTCAGTTCCTTAGAGCTGTAGGACTGAGGGCCCCATTTTCATGCTGGATGCCATTTGGGGGCCACTCCCAGCACCTAGAGGTTACCTACTTCCTGGCCACGCATTCTCCTCCATCTTCAAACCAGCCACGGTCCATCAAATCCTACTCCTATTTGAAATCTCCCTGGCTTCCCCTATCTCTGTTCTCTCCACCCAGATTTAAACGGCTCATGTGATAGGTCAGGCCTGCTCAGATAATCTCCCTTTCCTAAAGTCAGCTCGTCATGGAAGTAAAACTCATTCCAGCTGCAGTCTCGGGGGTTACGTGGAGGGAGTGCCCCAGAGGGTGAGAAATCCTGGCGCCATCTTGGACTGGAATGCTGCCCAGAACAATGGCTGCAAGCAAACTCCTCTCTCCCATTTTTCACCTACCCCAAACAACAGCTAACAATCGCTACAGCCTCTGTGCAAATGAACTGAATTATCCAGCTTCAATGCAGTTAAAAACAGAAAACAAACAAAATCTGGCTAGATGATGTTTAAAATCAATACAGAAAAGCCAAAAGTAAAAGGAGGTAAAAGATCTGCCAGGCAAATTCTAACTACAAGAAACTCACTGTAGCCAACTGAATATCAAATAAGAGCCTCTAAGGCAAAAACACATTGCTAAAGATAAGGAATGTCATCTCCTTAACAAGAAGAAAAGTATAAAGTTAGAGAAAGGAGATAGCATTTAATATTCACGAGGCTGGTAAAGATTAAAATAAATTGAAAATACAAGTCTTGGCAAGAATGTAGATCTAAGGAAATTTTTATAAACTCCTGGTAATTCACTTAAGAATATAAGTTTGCATTATTTAGTGAAGTTAAAAATGCCCACTCCCCACTACTAAGCAATTCTACTCCCAAGTATTATGTCCAAAAACAAATTTGCCCAAGACATTTACTATTTTTGTAGCCACATCATATGTAACACTTGAAATCTGGCAAGAAGCCAAATGTCTATCACCAGGAGAATAATAAAGTAAGTTGAGGTAAAATTCATACAATGGAACTTTATGTAGCAGTGAGAATGAATACACTCCACCTACAGGAATTAACACGGAGTAAACTCAAGTAACCTTGAACAAAATAACTCATAATGCAGAAAATAATAGACTACAATTCCATTCAAATTTCATGTACTTGATTATGGAGCAAATAAGCAATTTGATTCATTATAGAAACTATGAAGAAACACAAGTGAATGATAAAATTAATAAAATTAGTTACCTTTGTGGGATAGAAAGGAGGATATGATCTTAGGTACACAGGGATCTTGAAAAGACTGAGTGTCTTAGCCAGGGAATTAGAAAAAAATACTTATTTTATTGTGGCTTTTATAAGTTATATGCATTTTTGGTACACACAGACAAAAGTCAAAATAGACAACTAACATACAGCAATGAATTAGTGCCAAGTGTGTGTTACTAATAATAAATTCTGTAGCAGCACCAAAGTCCCTTCTGGATGATATGGGTAGAAAGGGGATCAAGAAAGAGAAGTGTCAAAATACATAGCATGTACAGGATGCAAAACATATACCAGTCTCATTGGTCAGAAAGTCTGCCTGAGAGAAAAGCAGAATGCAAGGCTGAGGCCAATAATGGGGTACCTGTAACCCCAGCAAAATGCAGGCAGCACCCTATAGGGAATGGGGAACTTCCTGATGGCCTTGTTCAAGGAAGTCTTGGGACCAAACAGTACTTTAGTAACCCTCTTAGGTAGCAATCTATTGATGAAGGCCCTGGAAACAAAAGGGATCAGCTACTGCCATCAAGGAAGAAGGGGAAATTGAACTGAGGAGGCTACTAAGGAGCAGAGGGTATTACTGCAATGGGGTTCAGAGCCACGGCTCCCACACTGAGATACCACTGCATACCCACTAGGATGGCTATAAGCGAGAAGTCACATGACATCACATAATATCAAAAAGTCACATACCAGCATTGGCAAGGATGTAGAGGAATTAGAACCTTTCCACACTGCTGGTGAGAGTGTAAAATAAGGCAGCCACTGGGGAAAACAGTTTCATGGTTCCTCAAGAGGTTAAACATACAGTTACCATTCAGCCAGTGATTTCACTCCTGGGCATATACCCAGGAAAAAATGAAAACACATATCCTTGCAAAAACTTGTACATGCGTGTTCATAGCAGCATTATTTATCATAGACAATAAAAGGTGGAAATAGCCTAAATGTCCATCAACTGATGAATGGATAAACAAAATGTGGTATATCCATACAATGGAATATTATTCAATCATACAACAGAATGAAGCACACATACATGGATGTGGATGAACCTTGAAAACACTGTCGTAAGTGGAAGAAGACAGACACATGCAAGACTGCATGATGTATGATTCCATTTACAAGAAATGGGAAGGACAAGCAAATCTATAGAAATGGGAAGTAGGTAAGTGGCTGCTTAGGGCAGGGGGCTAGGGCTGTTCAAGTGTACCAGGTTACCTGTTTTAAAAACCTGATACATAACAGCTGTACATACTCGGGCCTATCTCTCAGCATTCAAGTCAAAATGGATTAAAGATGTAAATGTTAAACCTGAAACTGTGAAACTGCTGGAAGAAAACATTGGGGAAATGCTTCAGGACACTGGTCTGGGCAAAGATTTTTGAGTAAGACCTCAGAGTCAGGCAACCAAAGCAAAAACAGACAAACACAAGCTTTCTCCTAGAGGTGATGAAAATGTTCCTTAATTTAGTGTGATGATGGCTGTTCATATCTGTGACTATATTAAAAACCACTGAACTGTACATCTAAGTGGCTGAGTTATTTAGTATATGGACTGTAACTCAACAAAACTGTTATTGAAAAAAAAAAAAGCTCACTTGAAGTCAGGAGTTTGAGACCAACCTGAGAAACACAGCAAGACCCTTATCCCTACCAAATAATAATAATAATAATAATGAGCCATTTGTGGTGGCATGAGCCTGTAGCCACAGCTATTCGGGAGGCTGAGGTGGGAGGATCACTTGAGCCTAGGAGTTCGAGGTACAGATTGCATCACTGCACTCCAGCCTGGATGACAGAGTAAGACTCTGTGTCAGGAAAAAAAAAAAAAAAAAAAGCTAAAGCTCCCACAGCTCAGACCAGTCAGAGCTGAGGCCTCTCTGCCCAGTCCAGCACTACGTTCAGCCTTGGGACATGGCATCTAACCTTCCTCCCACAGGGTTTTTATGAGGCTATAATAAGACAAGTTGCATGAAGTTCTTAGCAGAGGCTGTCGTAGCACAGGGATTGCTGAAGGCTGAATGAAAAGTTAGACTCAAAAGAAGCAAGCATCAGGAAGTAAGAACTGGAGAATGGTTAAAGGGGACGAGGATGAGGAGAAATGCACATGGTTCTGAGGTTTCACACCTGAGGGGTGGGCACGATGAGCCATCATCAGCAAACGTCCCAGAGTTGCCTTCCTGTGTAAGGGAAGAGGCCACGTGTGAGATGAGTGGACGACCTGAGGGAAGGTGAGAGTTTCACACGGAGATCCCAAGGTCCATAAAGATGAACCTATTTTCTTTGCCAACTCTGAAAATTTGTCCCATAGAAGTATACATTTATCAGAGGTCATGTGGCCAGGCGCAGTGGCTCATGCCTGTAATCCCAGCACTTTGGGAGGCCGAGGCAGGCGGATCACAAGGTCAGGAGATTGAGACCATCCTGGTGAACACGGTGAAACCCCGTCTCTACTAAAAATATAAAAAATTAGCCTGGCATGGTGGTGGGCACCTGTAGTCCCAGCTACAGGCTGAGGCAGGAGAATGGCATGAACCTGGGAGGTGGAGCTTGCAGTGAGCCGAGATTGCACCACTGCAGTCCAGCCTGGGCGACAGAGTGAGATTCCTTCTCAAAAAAAAAAAAAAAAAAGAAAAAGTATACATTTATCGGAGGTCATGTGCAGATAACAGAAATCATGCTGGGTATTTTAACTAGAAGGTAACTTTATACAAGAATTCGGAGCTTATAAAATCAGGAGAGAGACTTGAAGAATAGCCTCTGAGCTGTGCCTCCAGGATGACCCCCAAGACCCAGACACCAGCACAGAGGGGATGCTACATGAGGAAACCTGTCCTCATACCACTGTCTCCAAGCACAGGACACAGGAGCCACCAGAGGCCCCACCAGAGCCCCATCCTTACATTGCCTCCAAGCATGGGCTACAGGGGCCACCATGGGGGCCCCACAGCGATGCCAGCTCTGGGCACAGCTCGCCTGCCAGTCAGGCCAGCAAGCTGATGTCTGGACCACACCATCCCTCTACCCACTTAATTCTGCTCTGTGTTCAAGTCTTACATAAGTGATTCTGACAGGCTAGTCATTTTCAGAACCCTTGCTGCCAGGGGATGATTTTTCAGCTTTCTAGTATCAGCAGGACAGGAAAAGACACAGACGGGAGATTGGAATGGATGTTAAATGATTGAATCTACCTTATCTGCCATCTCATCTCAAAATAACAACAGCTTAATTTTAGTGAGGTGAGTAACAAATGTTCTGGGAATGCTTGCTGCAAGTATCTATCTATCTTATCTATCTCCATCATCCATCCATCCATCCATCCATCCATCCACCCATCCACCCATCCACCCATCCACCCATCCACCCACCCAACCTTTCAATTTAAGAAGCAATGTTCATGTCAGCCTCAGAACTGCTAAGCCAGCTTCTCTTACTAACTGCCACATAGACCCAGCAAGACAGTAGCATCCTTAGAAAAACCAATCTTGCCAAAGCAACAAATTGTTTTTCTTTCTCCTCTGTGAATCAATCAATTAAAACAAGCAATCCCCAAAGGAGAATGAGTAGACAGCACAGGGCTGTAATGTTGTGGAACTGCTTTATTTTCAAAGAAATGAAATAGCAAGACATTCAAAATTAAAGCATAGAGCCGGATCACGGAAGTTTCCGACACGGAGATGGATTCACAGGATCTAAGTGCTCACCTGGGAAAGTCCAGGAAGAAAAGCACTCCCAGAAACTGACCTGTAAGTTTTTCACAGTAGGTCTAATTTAGAGGTGCAGAACAAGGCAAGTCTTCTGAAACCCCGAAACATGCAGAAAATGCCACTGGTGTCCCCACATGCACGCGTATGTTCTTACACATCAACAGGGGCCCATTCCCTTCCACTCCTGCCATTTTTGTACCAACTTGTCTACCTAGTTCTAATCAATGCAAAGAGCCAACCAATTACAACAGAAGAAACGCCTCTAAGTTTCATCTATCACTAAATAAACAGTACGTGTTTGTAAGCCTTTACTTCTAACTAACCTTAGTAAAATCAATGTAAAACAATTTACTGGTGTTTTAATCTTTCTTATTTGGGGCTAAAAAAATCTAATTTCCTTTCTGTGATTCACACTCTGTCTCAGGGGGTGCTCTTGGAGGATGTTTCCTAGATTGGAGCTGGCTCTTTAGCATTCTGTTTTTCAGTACAGTCCCAACTTCTGCACCTCATCAAGTAAAAACAAACAACCCTCTCCCTGGATACTTCTCTAGACACAATAGAATGGCAGCAAAATAACAGCCTACTGGCTCTCAGTGTTGTATACCAGTATGCCAGTGAGCACTCATAACCCAAACCAAAATGATACACACGTAAGAATGAACCAAGAGACTCAGAATACCAGGGCAATAAAACGGGAAAAAAAATGAATAGCAAACGAAAAACTCTACTAATTTATATGTCATTTAAATTTTTTCTGACCCCGAGTCTCTGTGATATTAAGATGTTGCTTAATGAAGTTTTAGATTTGAGGCTTCCTCCAATTCAAGGAACTTACGTAAATCTGTTTTGAAAGATTTACTCTATTTTATTACGACAAAATAAATGACAAATTGATCTTAACCTAATTTTCCCAATGTTATTATCCTACTCTAAAAGGCCACCACGCCACACAAATTAAAATCTGATCACCTGCCCAGTGCCAACATCAAGGGAATAAATGCTGGGGTGCATGGGACATAATTTTGAAACAGGCAACACACACCATGCCCAGACCCTTCCTGCCATCTGCTTCACTGAAACCCTGGGGACTTGCATAGGAGATTGTTTCCTTTTCCTTATAAGCCTGGACTTTAAAGCACTATCATAAAAAACACATAATGTAGTAAGAGGAAGGAAATTAAAATGCCATCGATAAGCGAGGTTAACTTCAATCTTCAATCCAATCTGTGTGCATTAGGTACATGCCAGACCACAGGAACTGCACAACCAAGCACATACTACAAGACCAGCAGCAGCTATACTGAGGGAGGCATTCAGATGAGGGTTGATCTCTCGAAAAGGAAACATATCCACCAAAGGACAGCCATTCATTATACACAGTCGGTGAGATTATAAGAAAGTGGTTTTGGTCTATTTTTTCCCTTCAAAATTTCTTCATTAAACATTTAGTTAGAATTGTTGTATATTTCTTCATTCAATCTTTAGATGCTTTTTGAAAAGAAGAGCTCAACAAAGTAAAAGAAGTACATTAAAGTAGCACATGGCACCACCACTTACCCAGTTTCATAGTTTTGTGATCTAGGGTAAGTGACTTGACCTCCCCTAAGCTTTGGTTTTGTCTGCTGCTGCTGGTAGTGGTAGTGCCTACCTTGGTGTTTTTTTTTTTTTTTTTTAGTTTTTTCAGGATCATATGGAATAATGCCTGGACAGAGCTCAATAGAGAGCCTAACCCATTCTCAGCACTCAATGGCTATCATAACTACCAAAATCCCAAATCCCTGATCCCATTCTCAATAGCTCCTTCTTCCTTACTATTACCTTTCATATGTGACTACAAATCCTCCCAATTTTACATCTAGACCACCCTCAAATCTCTTCATTTCTCTTCACCTCTGTAATCCATGCTACCATAATCTGATGAATGAATGAACGAATGAACAAGCGGCCATTCTTTCAGACAGTCACTCTGGCAATGCTGCCAGCAGGTGGATATGCACATTAAGTGAAGACTCACTGGTGATAGTGGCATGTATAGGCAGCAATGATTAAAGTCACCTTTCTTTCCAGAAAGAGTATTTTCCTAACTCCACTCTAGCCAACCTGCCTCTGAGTCGGTATGTTTGGCCCTTTGAAATTAAAGGAAAAAACTAAATAAGCAATTCATGCTTTATATATTCAGTAGTCCTATAACTTATACACTGCACATCACTGTTTCTTCTCTCACAACTTGTCATCACTGCATTTGCTTCTTTTTCCTCTTTCCTGTTAGGTTTGTATCCCTCATCCTCAGTGCCAGAATGTAAGCTCCATGAGGCCAGGGCTATGTCTGACTTGTTTATGATCATAGTTCCAGTGCCTGGAACAATGTTTTACACGTAATAAGAGCTACATAAATATTTTTCAAATTGATCTCCCCACTTCTATTCTCATCGCTACTCCTTTAAACCCTTCACACCCTGCTGACAGTGATCTTTTAAAAATATACATCTGGCCAAGACCACTCAAAAAGGAAAAGACTGTCTCTTCAACAAATGGTGCTGGAAAAACTGAATATCCATGTGCAAAAGCATGAAACTGGACCTTTATCTTGTAACATATACAAAAACTAACTAAAAGGAGATGAAAGACTACAGGTAAGAGCCAAGCTATAAAACTTGTAAGGGAAAACATAGGAGTAAATCTTCATGATCTCAGATTAGACAATGGCTTCTTAGATATGACCCCATAAGCAACAACAAAAAAAAGTAGATAAACTGGGCTTCATCAAAATTTAAAATTTCTGTGCTACAAACAATACCATCAAGTGAAAAGACAGCCCAATGAATTAGAAAAAATTTTTTGCAAATCATGTATCTGATAAGATACTGACATTAAGACTATATAAAGAATTGCTACAACTCAGTGATAAAAGACAAGCAACCCAATTTAAAAACGGGCAAAGGATTTGAACAGATATTTCCCAAGGAAGATATTCTGGTTATTTGTAGCTAACAAACACATGAAAAGTTGTTCAACATCTTTAATCATCAGGGAAATGCAAATCAAAACCACAGTGAAATACCACTTTATACCCACTAGGATGGCTATGACTTAAAAAAGGAAAGTTTTGGCAAGGATGTGGTGGAACTGGGACCCTCACACATTGCTAGTGGAAATGTATGGGGTGTAATGTATGAAATGTAAAGTGGTGTAGCCACTTAGAAAAACAGTCTGGCAGTTCTGTTTTAGAAGGTTAACCATAGAGTGACCATATACCCCAGCAATTCCACTCCTAGGTATATACCCAAGAGAAATGAAAACATATGTCCACACAAAAATTTGTAGATGAATGTTTATAGAAGTATAATTCATAGTAGCCAAGAAGTAAAAACAACCTAACTATCCGCCAAGTGATGAATAAACTACATGTGATATATCTATACAATGAAATATTTTTTGGCAATAAAAAGAATTGAAATGCTACGACATGAATGACCCTTTGAAGACTTTACAGTAAGTGGGAAAAGCCAGTTGCAAAGCAATGTCCAGAACAGGTAAATCTATAGAGACAGAAAGTAAATAAGTGGTTGCCTTGGGCTGGGGAACTGGAGAGACATTGGGAATGACTAATTGGTACAGGGTTTCTTTTTGGGGATGATGAAATGTTCTAAAATGGAATGTAGTAGTGATAGTTATACTGCTGTATGAGTATACTAATTTGATTGAATTGTATACTTCAAATGTGTGAATTACATGGTATGCTAATATTTCAATAAAGCTGTTATTTTAAAAATACAAATCTGACCACATCATTCCTTTGCTAAAATTTTTCAAAGGTTTCACATTGCACTGAGGAGCAAGTCCAAGTTCCAATGAGACTTGCAGACCTGGGTGATTCGGCCCCAGTTTTCTCCTCCAGCCTCATCTTGCACTACTCCCAACACAACACATACACATAGTAGTTGCTCAATAGACACTAACCTAATGAACTGATTTTACAATAGACTTCAACAGTATTAGCTGTCAATGAAGCCAACTTCACCCTTCATAAGTGGCATGAGAATGGGAAAGCAAATACTAAGGTATATAACTTTCAAATGAAGCATTTATCCAAACTTCTTCATACATATTTTTTTCTATTTCTAGTGTCCAAGCAGAGATCTTAAGAGCACCCTGCACTCAGTACATGCTAACTTGGATACATAAGGCTCCTTGGTTCCTCCAAGAGACTTTTGCATTCTCTTACATGGGTATCTATTTCCTACAAGTAGATAGCCAAGAACATGGAGATAAAAGTAGCTAAGCAGGTGCCCTGCATTGGACAAATAACCAAAGGAGAAAAAAGTTGACCCTGACACCCTAAACATTTTCCATAGTTACAATCACCACTGTTCTCAGCATAACTTCAGCAACTGTCATGAGAAGGGAGTAGGCTGCCTCCAAGAAAGTGAAGGTTTGGTTAGCCTATCACATCATTCATTCATTCACCAATATTTATTGAGTGTTCATTACGTGTCTCGTGTCATTTCCAGTGCTGAGGATGGAAGAGAAGGCTAAGGAGACACAATCTCTGCTCTAATGAAACAAACATTCTGTTGGGTGGAGACAGATTATCAATAATTAGGCAAAAGTATAATAGTATGTCAGGTAGTGGTAAATGCTATCAAGCAAAATAAAGCTATGGAAAGTGGCACTAACAGAGCCAGAGTACTCAAGGTACCCTGCCTTGAGCTGAGAGGGTGACATTTGAGCAAAGACCTGAATCAGGTGAGTTTGCCATGTGTCAGTGGGGCAAAATCCTGTTATAGTCCTGGGGCAAAGCCTGCTTTGAGAGCCAAAGGAACAGAAAGGAGTCCAATGTGGCCGGGACACAGAAAGCAAGGGAGAAGCAGCATCCCACTAGGTTTTTAAATTTAATTCTGAGAGGTCACCAGAAGGTTTTCTTCCTTTCTTCCTTCCCTCCCTCCTTCCTTCCTTCCTTCCTTCCTTTCTTTCTTTTAGCAGAGGGATACAGCTTCTTTTTGAACACCAAACTCTGGGTTAATCAAAGCTGATAGTTAAGGATAGCCACAGAAATCTATATCAGCCTACAGCATTAGAGAAGCTAATAAATTTAAGAATTCAACGTACCTAAGATCAAAGGCATCTAATTGCTGAAATACAAGAGACCAAGCATCTAATTCATAACTGTACAGTCTACGTAATTTTTACTGGCCAGCTCTTCTCCCAGGCCCTGAGTCTCACAGAGGCAGGGGTTGTGCTGGGCTGTGCTGATCTTGTCCACCACGGTAGCTGCTAGCTACCCTGGGGAGCTGCTAGCTCCCCAGGACCCAGAACATGGCACGTTGTTTGTCAGGAAACATATTTGCGACACATATGCTCAATATTCATTCAGCACACACACAGATGGATTTCAAAGTCATCTCAAGAACACGAAGTGACCTGCATTTGAAATAATCCTTAGGAGACTTGTGAATTGACTAGAATCGCCTCAGAAAAAAGTACTAAGTTATAAACAACAAAAACTTATGAATCACTAACTACTAGATTCAAGAAAGACTTTTCTAGACTCCTGACTGAGAATCTCGGTACAAGGCAATGAGAGCTTTCTGGTTTTTTCCTGCAGAACGTCTACATGAAAGCTGTAGCACCAAAAATAATGCTGATTGGCTGCAGGGTTTTGAAAAGTGGGCTAATATAAATTTGTTCTAAATCAATATCCTTTCATGCACACATAAAAGCAAGTTTGAAGAGCATAATGCATATAAACTGGTGAAAAATTCTAAATCAATAAAACTTGCCTCTTAGCCCTATCAGAAAAAAACAGACGTAGTGGGAACGATGACATTTGTTACACAGAGTTGTAAAAAATGCCTTTCAAGTTAGAAATAGAAGATGCGATTTCTGCTTTCTAAAACTTACAGCAAGACTGAAATATGGAGTGGGCTAACAAAGTTGAGAATTTAGTAAAAGAGAAGCGTACATCATTTTGGGAAAGGGGAGAATTCTATACAATGAGCACTATCTACATTTTTAGGGATTAAATTGCTAAACTTAAACTGAGACAAGATAAATCAAGTTAATCTCAGGATAGTTTTAATGGAAGACATGGTATAGTAAACTAAATATAACAGGGTTTTAGTTCCATGAGGATAATTCTTACTTTTGCTTTTATCAAATGAAATAACTTATCTTTGCTGGAATCACATAGTTTTAAACATGAAGAATACCCAGGTATATTTTGCAAGGAAATATTCTTAAGGCTACTATCTCTTACTCAAGCAATTCTCCCCACCCATCATCCCTACCCGACTTTCCGACCCTTTTAACATACACCAATTCAGTTTACTAGAAAACTCCAGTTGACTAAAAATTCTACAGTAAGAATTTTTAATACATAGCCTGAGCAGTATGGAAATCTAAGCTTAGTATTAGGTTGGCTTTTATTATGTCTTTTGTCTCGTGTTACACACTCGTGGAATCACTGATATCCTTTTTATGTATCATCTAGTCCCTTATGGTTTCAGCAAATCCACAGGATTACCCTGCTATCAGTAGCACATGGATTTCATACCAAACAGGCTTATTATTCAGCAAGGATGCTCAAAGTCTGGCCCCGCCAGTCACCTGCCCAGGAGGACTGAGTTATGGGAGAATCCTTCACCTTCCTCAACATTTCTCGTAGTCCTGAGTGTGCACCTAGAAAGAGGTATTTCCTACAAGGCTCATCTTCCAGGCTCCAGGGTTTCTAGTGGGCAGCAGCACTAACTGACATAAGCCACCTCCACACCTGGAAGATGAAGACCCTCATGGTACTGTGCAGACTGAGAGATAGGTAGAAGAATTCCTTTCTAATGGGGAACTCTGTGGACACCCCTGACCCATTAAGCCAAAAGTCAAAGAGCAGTCTAATAAATACATCTGGTTGAAGCAAAGTAACTTGATACAGGAGTGAGACTGTATCCTTGACTCATGGTTTCTCTCTCCTTTTCATCCTATAGCCCTGTACACTATGGTGACTAACCAGAAATGGGCATTCTGTAAATGCTAGATACAAAATAAATAAATAAGGAGGCATTTTTTTTCTAGCTTCAGATAGATTGATAGCCTGTAACTGGGAGAATATGGGCTTGGCAGAATCCTACCTGCACCAGAAGTGAACACCCAGCAGCTGGTGGTAATTCTAAACATCTCACAATGCTGGAAATGAACTCCTCCTCCAGGACCCCCTCTGACATGAGCTCTCTTACAGCAGTGCTTCATCTCTACCCCATCTCACCATCCCCAAGTACATTCAGTCAGTCACTAAGAATTACAGATTCTAACTCTTAAATGACTATAAATCTGGATCATAGTCCATTCCAGAGAATCTGGAAATTCAGTCCAACTTTTCTTTCTAACACCTACTATGTGCCAGAGACTTGTGACCCTAGTGGAAGTCTAACATGTGCTAAATTGAAGTATTACACGGGCCTCTACCTTGCATATGAACTCTAACTTGACCTCCATAGTGTTGCCTTCTCCTAAGGCTCTGTTTGCTTTAAAAAAAATTTTTTTTTTTTAAATATAGAGATGTGGTCTCACTGTGTTGCCCAGGCTGGTTTAGAATTCCTGGCCTCACACAACCTTTTCGCCTCAGCCTCCCAAAATGCTGGGATTACAGAAATGAGTCACCATGCCCAGCCTGTGATCTAGCTCTGCTACTCTGCTCAAAATACTTTAATTCCATACCATTATCTTTAGAATAGTCTCTCAGCATGGACTCCAGAGTTCAAATCCTGAAACTGTTCATTAATACCTACAGGACTGGCCAGGCGCGGTAGCTCACGCCTGTAATCCCAGCACTCTGGGAGGCCGAGGAGGGCTGGTGTCTTGAGGTCAGGAGTTCGTGACCAGCCTCGTCAACATAGTGAAACCCTGTCTGTACTAAAAATACAAAAATTAGCTGGGTGTGGTGGCACGCCCCCTGTAATCCCAGCTACTACGGAGGCTGAGGCAGGAGAATTACTTGACCTGGGAGGCGGAGGTTGCAGTGAGCTGAGTTCGCACCACAGCATTCCAGCCTGGGCGACAGAGTGAGACTCTGACTCAGAAAACAAAAAAAATACCTAGAGGACCTCAGGATATATCTTTGTTAGTCTATGCCTCAGTTCGCTAACCTATAAAATAAGAGCAATAACTTTCCTCTTCATTTTCAGGATTCTCAGGAGTAGTAGATGTTAGTGTTTGCAGAGGGTCTGGACATCACGATAGCTTGAGTGCTAGCCTCTTGATGGCATTAGGATTTCCCACCACACACTCATCCCTTGGAGTTTACTAGGCTGTGTCATCTCCCAAGATTCAGCTTTCATAGCACCTCATGCTGTGA
This sequence comes from Homo sapiens, assembly GCF_000001405.40. NCBI lineage: Eukaryota > Metazoa > Chordata > Mammalia > Primates > Hominidae > Homo > Homo sapiens. The sequence continues at coordinate 25,710,744 of NC_000013.11, read as the reverse complement.
CTGTGTTACCATTTGTCATAACCAGACTGGCCTTCCCACCAGATTGAGCCCTCTAGGCAGGCAAAGGTTGTGCCATTTGTGTTCACCCAACAACCTTAAACAGTAGGTACTCCCTCAAGTTGGGTCACAGTGAACAGCCTGGCCAGTCCTGGGAGCTGGCCTGACAAGCAGTGTGGTTACCTGTTCAACCACACTAATAAAAGCCTGTTTCAAAAAAATATTAGGATCAAATACAAAATAGATCTTACGGAGACCTATAAGATGTCTAAAAGTCCTCTCCTAAGTAGAATGCTGGGTACCAGAGGCTGGGAACAGTGGTGAGGATGGGAGATACAGAGGGGTTGGCTAACGGGTACAAACATACAGTAAGATAAAAGGAATAAGATCTGATGCTCAGTAGCACAACAGGACACCTATAGTTAACAATAATTTATTGTATATTTCAAAATAATTAAAACAGCGGAGTTGGAATGTTCCTAACACTCAAGAAAAGATAAATGCTTGAGGTGATAACACCCCAATTACCCTGATCTGATCATTACATATTGTATGCCTGTATCAAAACATCACATTTATCCCATAAATATGTACAATTAGTACGTATCCATACTTTAAAATTAAAAATTAAAAAAAATAAAAGTCTCCTCCTTCTCCACAACATTATCTAAACACATGTGAAACTAAACCAAAGAAATCTTGAGCTTGAGACATTCTGAAGTAGAAATGTAGAAATGCAAGACACCCAGCGATGAGTTATCCTGAAGACTCTTGGCAGCAGATTTCAAATAAAGGAAACACAAATATGACCACAGAAAGATCCTACTTTATTTCTTTAACATCTCTAATTATAATTATTTCAAAACTTCAAGAAATGTTGGTATCAGCCCTTAATTGCATTCATTATTCATTATTTTTAAGTATTATAACTAGGTTTATATTGGCATAGGCTAATACTACAGTTATAGGTACACGGGATTATAAATTCAGATCTAAGTGTCATTAAACTAATATCATTCAACATTTACTTTTTTCCCTTAAAAAAAGACTTAATCTGCTTCTATATTATTGTTAAACTTGTTCCCATATTTGATAATTCAAAATTCATTTCTCAATGTGAAGCATCATCGTTTGAAAACATTGAGCTTAAATGTATAGTCATGTGTTCATGTATCTACATAGAAACATATATTCCCTACTATTGTTATTCTGTTTCAGAAAAAAAACTCAGTATCTATTCATCATGATTTTATATAGAGAAATTAAGAACTTAAGGTTCAATCATCTGTAAAGAGGCAAAATAATTGTGATAACACAGGAATCCTAATTTCTCAAGCTCTAATATCTTCATACCACACCCATCCATTAAAACAGACAAGAGTAAGGAAAAATGCACAAATGATTGACAGGCAGTTTTAACTTGGCACTTGTATATTTGTGAAAGGATTATCTTCAACTTGGTGTATTTACTTTGGTCTTTAATGATTGGTGTGTCCAAGTGGTGAAAGGACGCCACTATGAATACTTGCTTAGTAAGAGAAAAAAATGCATGCTCTGTTTTGCTCAGATGACCCAGGTGTCAAGAATTTGATGGGACGGTTGGGGAGGGGGTGTCTGTCTGTCTCTCTGTCTGTCTGCCTCTCTCACTTACAGGCCTGTCAGAAACTAAACCACTGGCGACAATTCAGCCCTGGGACTCTCACAGAGCTCAGTTAACTGGTTAACAAGAAACAACAGAAACCAAATCATTCAACAGACCCTCTCAGACTCTGCTGACCCAGCAAAGCTCTGCAGATGACAATGGTCATAAGGCGCAGACATCACCAATCATAAAACTCAAACCAAGCACAGGCTCCCAAAATTTGGCAACTTTAGTTAGCTCTGTCAGTCTGACCTAGCTCCTGCTGACAAAATTTACTTGTGACCCTAAATAAGACTAAATATTAAAAAAGTATAAACATTCCTCTTTGTCATTTGTTTCCTCTCTAAAGTTCAACGAGTAAGAAACAATGGGAGAGGCTTAAAATAGAGAAACTGCAGTCTAGATGTGGCATAGTAGTAGATGTGGCTACACCTTGCTGACTGTAATCTTGGGGCTTCCTATTCAAACTGGAGGACAGTAAAGCTCCCAGGATGGAGTTTTTTTTTTATGGTTTTTAAAGTCATAGGCAGAATACTGGCTGTCAAAATCAGGCAAGGGAAAGCATTGATAATTCAGGAGGTGACAGATGAGGGAAAGTGTCAGATGTATAGACAGGAAAATGGATAACATAATTTTCTTTGGGACCAATTAACGTAAGAGCTATTTTGCATACTTTCAATCAGAAAGGTGTCAGTGTTGTCAGAAGTGAAATTTTTTCCTGATGAAAGTTAACATGACACATTCTTGTATTAATGAAACACATTCTGAATTATTTCACAGGAAAGAGGAGAAAAAGCACTTTAAGTACAAATACCATCACAAGGCAAGACTTGGGGACATAAATATTCATGACATATTCCACATGTTTAATTAAGCTCTGTTCTTGATTTTCTTTTCTGGTTTGTTTTTCTAGTAGGAAAGATGCCAAATATTATGAGCTTCTACTTCAGAATTTTAGGCCACAGTGTGACCTCGTATCACCCTGTTTCATTTGGCAAGCAGTATTGTCAAAAATGACATGCACTGATGAAGTAATCATTCATGAAAAAGGGGAAAGGAAAAAAAGAAACACAGGAAAAGTCTTGAAAAGTCATGTGTCTGTGAGCTCTTCTGGTGTCTCACAAGGGTCCCCATGTGTTGAAAGCTGCAGAGCGGATGGATGGGAGATCACACAGACCCTATTACCATAGTTCTTAGACTACTGCCAAAAGAGGAAAGGGCTTCATTACTCCCACTGTTCAGTTTGCATCTGAGCTTCTGCAAACAAACACTAGTGTGAAGGTACTCAGTGGAGGGGAACTTGTGCCATGTAAATCAGGTTTCAGAACCATTAGGAAAAGTAGGTCTACTATATAAGCAAAATGATATGGTAATAATTTTATAAGCCAAAAAAACTCCAAAGAGATGTGTTCCCAATTACACAGCATATTATTATAGATCAATCCTCATTATTAAATGCCCCTTGGCAAGTATTCTCAACATGTTATCCACGTCTATTCACTCAGTTGCTCATAGCTGACAAGCAGAAGAGCTTCCTGTATTTTCAATCTTATACTAAATATTTGTCCACATTTTTATCACATGTACTATATTGCTCCCCACCAAATTGTTTTATTAGTCCAGGACATAAGAAACAAAGTTGATACGCTACTTTTTAAAAAATTTCTCACCTGAAATAGTAACACCCAGATAGTGATGATATATAACTTTTAGTTAGAGGGGAATCAAAACGTCAGAAATCCCTAACAGTTAGAAATTGATCTTATAGAGTAATTCATATAAATTATTTGCTGCAATAGGTATTTAAGATGAGAATTGCCCTCCATTTCTAAATGTGCTATCATCAAAATTAGCTTTAATTTCAAAAAGCTTGTTTTTTTTCCTAAGCTGTAAATAATTATTTAGAAATGGTTTCCTTTTCCTACTTTAGATTAATACTCAAGTCTCTACATATTCTGGCCTCTACAATGATTCACGTGAGCTATTTTTAATATACTACAAAATCTGCATCAGTCTAGTTTTATTCTAGAGAAATTATGGTAAGATCTGTGGGTGGAAAAACAGTGTTTAAGCTTTGGGCTTTGAGAAATTTTTTTTCCAAGATGGTGCTGAAGAACTATTACATCTGAGCGCTCTCATCCTTAATAAAATAACAATGAAGCCATTTAGAACCAAATAAAATTGCTGTAATCATTCAAACAATAGCATTCATGTTAGAGTTAAATTTAAAAAAACCTATCTAAAAGTGAATTCTACCTTAATTGCATGCAATCAACAAATGGGCAAATATATACTAAGCCACAATCAAACAGCCCAAGGATAGACTTACAGCCTCGACAAGTTAATAATGCTCTCTGGAATAGGATGTCAAAGTAGGAAGCTGGCTTATAACTAATCGTTCATGATGCTGAGAAATCACATCATGAATGAAACTAAAGAAAAGTTTTATTTGTGCAAGTGTACAATTGGATCCCTACCAATATGGAGGCCAACTAAAACACAATTGGTGGTACAATTCTAATTACTGCATCTGAACTCTGTTTTGACATAATTCTGTGTGTAGTTCACAGGCTGAAGGATACCACACACAAAATGCATAACGTTCTGATTTCCTATTATCCATCATGCCTCATTAAGGTAAAAAAGCTAAGCTGGGGAAGGAACCAAATCAGAAGAGCCAGTTCTTTTCTACATTAAGTAGTCTAAAGTTAAGACAGATGTCCACCAGGTTTTTTAATGCAGGCTAAGTGAGTGATAAGCTTAGGATAGGCTGGAAGACTGACCTGACGTTGGGAATGATACACTGCCAGTGTGTTAAAATGTTGGACAGTATATATATACATGTATACATATACATACTTTCACAAAATAACCTCTAAACTGCTCCCCTTTCTTAGTGAGGCTAACAAACCCCAAACTGGGGCTTGGAATCCATACTATGCTTACTAAACAGAGGAGAATATGTTTGTCCCAGCAGGGACTAAGCTACTAGTCATCTCTCTCTGACTCTAAGCCAATTCATCTTACTTTCTGAGTCTAAGGCTACAAGCCCTTTTGCAAGTTTCTATGTTGCTTATCCTTGAATCCATTATTGTTTTATGGACATCATCAAGTGTCTTTGCAACTATTCATGTAAAAAACATTGTTAACCTGACTATCCATCAATTAGGAATAAATTAATTGCTGTGTTTTCATATAACAGAACACCATTATGCTTTTAAAAAACAAATTTGACATAGAAACTGTGTATAACCTTTAACTTTGCATATTGTAAAAGGTGTAACCCTTCGTCCAATGAAAAGTGTTTTCACAGAAGGAGATCAAGACTTCACAACCAATTGTCAACAGTGCTAATCCCTAGTTGGGGGGATTGTGAATGCCATTTTCTTTCTTCTTGTTTGTCTGTATTTTCTAATTTTTTACAAAAAATATAAATCACTCTTACAGTTAGAAAAATAAACCCAAGAAGTCTTTTTAAACATTCAGTGCGTCCACTCGGCCTTTTTCTCTCTCCTGTTTTCAAATCTATGATATCACAGCAGGCTTATACATGTTTATCTTTGAATCTATCCTGAAAGACAGAAGTCTAAACATATCAGAGAAAATAAATGATGCCTTTGGAAACCCTTAATTTGCACATCCCGTGGAAATCCCTGCCGCGGTGTTTTCCTTCCACTCCATCTCTTGCCCAGAGATGTGAAGCCGTAAATCACATCTGCTAATGAGGCAGTGCCCAGCGGCCCCCATGTCACCTGTATTTGCTGGGGACTCTGATGGGGCCATCACTAACGTCCTCACAGGGGGTCACTGATGATTCTTTCATGACTCTTTTCCTGACGAGACAGTCACTTTAAAGATTTCTGAGTGTTCTCAAGAGGTCAAAGTCCTCTCCCCTGGTAGTCTGTGCTAGAGAATTTATCTCCATTTGGACAAAAATAAAGACCTTCAAAGAAAAAGGGAAAATGAGAAAGGGGGAAGAAAGAACAGATAACTCTTTCTTGAACATATTGAAAATGGTTTACACATTTTCCACATAACTTTCACCCCTTTGGAGAATGACAAATCCTACAAGACTTTATGTTGATTTCTTGAATAAGTCTAAACATATAAGACAGTTGAAAAATATGTGAAAAGCAAAACTTTCGTGCAAAACTGTATTATCAGTAATAAACGTGTGACAATGAATTAGCTGACACAGCCAACTGTGTGACTTAAGAGCATAGGCCCTGATATTATTCAGATAGAACATAAAATGCTATCTCTTCCACTCCTAGCTGAGACCACAGACAACATGATATAATTTTTCTGAGGCCTTTATTTCCTTATTTATAAAACTAAATGCAATACTGAAAAGGATAAACAAATTAAGAGATTTTAATGTCTGACCTCAATTTAATAATGTGCTTATATGGTTTAATCTCTCTAAAGGTCCCCTAGATATAAAACCATGCTTGCTAATGCTGTCAAAAGGCCCTGGCACTGTGGCTCATGCCTGTAATCTCAGCACTTTGGGAGGAGGAAGCAGGAGGATAACTTGAGGCCAGGAGTTTGAGAGCAGCCTGGGCAACATAGCAAGCCTCCATCTCTATAAAAAAATTTTAAAAATTAGCCAGGCATAGTGGCATGCTAGTCCCAGCTATTTGGGAGACTGAACAGGAAGATCGCTTGAACCCAGGAGGTCAAGGCTGCAGTGAGCTGTGTTTGTGTTCATGGCACTGCACTCCAGACTAGGTGACAGAGCAAGACTGCCTCAAAAAAAAAAAAAAAAGTCCTAGATGTGGTTGGATGTACAGAAACTGGAGCTGAAGTGAGGGGCCACGCTGGACAAGCAGATGGCAGAAGTTGTCTTCTCAACCCTGACTGCTGTTTAGAATCAACAGGTAACTAAGGAGAAGAGAGGTGCCACGGGGAGTTTGTAGAATTTCTAGAGTTCTGATTTTATTGCTCTGAGGAAGGGCCTGGGAATCAGACTCTTTATTTTTCTTTCCACAAACATTTCATTTAAACTAACAAAACTTCTGCTCAAAGGATTCATTTTTTATAATCAACAAACATTTCATTCAAATGAGTGAACTTTCATTCAAACATATCAGTTTTTTAATTCAACAAACATTTCATTTAAATGGATGAATTCTTTTATTCATTTATTTATATTTTACTGAGGTAGAAATCACATAAGATAAAATTGACCATTTTCAATTGAGTGGAATTTAGTATGGTCACAATGTTGTACAATTATCCCCTGTAGCCTGTTCAAAAACACTTCATCATCCTCAAAAGGAAATCCCATGCCCACTGAGCAGTCACTGGCCATTCTTCCTCCTCCCAACCGCTGGCAACCACTAGCCTGCTTCCTGGCTCTGTGGATTTGCCTATTCTGAGTATATGATAGGAATGGAATCATATAATATGTGGTCTTTTGTGACTGGCTTCTTTCATTCAGCCTGTTTTCAAGCTGCATCCACATTGTAGCACATGTCACTACTTTATTTTTTTTTATGGCTCAATAATATTCCACCGTATGGATTCATATGTGGGTTGTTTTCCAATTTGAGGCTACTGTGGGCCGTGCTGCTATGAACATTATGGACATGCACATACAAGTATTTGTTTGAGTGCCTGTTTTTAATTCTTTTGGGTGTATACCTACCTAAGAGTGCAATTTCTGGGTCATATGGTACTTTCCAGATTTAGCTTTTTGAGGAAAATATGTTTTTAAAAAGTTCTCAGCCAGGTGCAGTGGCTCATGCCTGTAATCCCATCACTTTGGGAGGCCGAGGTGGGCAGATCACAAGGTCAAGAGATCGAGACCATCCTGGCCAACATGGTGAAATCCTGTCTCTACTAAAAATACAAAAATTAGTTGGGCATAGTGGTGTGCGCCTGTAGTCCCAGCTATTTGGGAGGCCGAGGCAGGAGAATTGCTTGAACCTGGGAGGTAGAGGTTGCAGTGGGCTGAGATAGCGCCACTGCACTCCAGCCTGGCAACAGAGCGAGTCTCTGTCTCAAAACAAACAAACAAAAACAACAACAAAAAAGTTCTCCAGATGATTCCATATGAAGCTGGTGTTGTGAGAAGTCACTAATGTATAAGATGAATGAGGCCATCCGACACATTAAATGGAAGGCACACGGGGAGATGTGGAGTGGGAATACGATAGGACCAGAGGTAAAACCTTGGGAAAACAACACTTCACAGGCAGCCAGAAAGCCCATAAAGGAGACAGATAACTTAAGGAGAAGAGAAAGGTGCCACAGAAGAAAAAGAGAACCCCTCAAGGGAAGAGCCCTCAACACCAGATGCTGAAAGGATCTGAAAATCAAGCACAAAAGGGAGTCTGCTGCATGTGGCCAGATGGAGACCCAGCTATGCCTTCTTCACTAAGGGCTGGGTTTCAAGGAATTGGGATGTATGTGAGATGCAAAGGAATAGAGGCAAATACAATAACATAGTCTCTTATTCACTATTTGCACTTCTACACCAAAGGCCACGTCTCCTCTCCTTATTCATCCATGACACTAGGAATTTGCAATGTAAATGTCACAATACTTGCAAGCCCACAATAAAAACCTTGGACTGGACCAGTTTACACTTCAACTAATTACATGGCAACACCCCTGCCAGATACAAAGTAAATTATACTGGAGTGCTGACTATATATGCCCTCTCTAGGATTTTAACCATATGGAAAATATTCGGGTACAGAAATGCATAATTAGCAAATTGTTTGATTCTAATTTCAGCAAAATATTTAATAAATTCTTGCATTCCCTTCTTTTTGCTGCCTAAAGTACTGTTTTAGTTTAAAGGTATTTATTTCTATACAACATCACCAATTTCTGAATCAATATTGATAGGAACATGCTTCATGATTTCATAGACCAGTTATTTTCTGAAAAAAAATTACTTCTTTCATTATTAGAGAAATAGGTAACTCTCACAACTATTATATTTTGAAGATGAAAAGTGAAAATTAAGGTCAACTTTATGTTTGAAGCCACATATTAAATTTAGCTTAAGTTTAAATTTTCAATGAATAGTAAGTACATCTGAAGTGTACAAGTGCTTTTTTCTTTTTTTTAAGTACATGTTGATTTTTTTAAAATCTTAAGTATGAGATCAGCCAAGAAATGTCTCCAAGAGCAGGAAAATGATGCACTATCCTAAATTCCCTTTTTCAATTAATGCTTCCATTTTGTAGACTGTAACAGTATTTAATTTGAAATTTCCTCTTTCTGTGCCAATTCCAGTTTGAACTCCCCTTTGAAGTCTTCAAGTATATGGCCTATGAGACACACAAAGCACTGTGAAGCAGTCACAGCAAGAAGGGGAAAAAAGTGTGTGTGTGTGTGTGTGTGTGTGTGTGTGTGTGTGTGTGTGTTTTAGTATCAAGCACCTGGCAAGAAAAGAACATGTTCCTGTAAACCCTTACAGGCATTCCTGGATCTCCCCTGAGAATCCAACGGACTCATTTTGATTTCCCTCTTAAAAACTTATAAGGTTTTAGGGTGTTTGCATTGGGTTACAGTTTACCAGACTTTTCCACGTTGTTACTTGTTTTTGTCCACCAGCGAGTCAGGGGGATGACCCCTTGATCAACAGGGCAGTGGCAGGCAGAAGTGGCTGACTCCCATGACTCACGGCTCTGAGGTAGAGCAGTAACAACCTCCAGTGTGGAGAAATTCATAAAATCAGGTACCCACCTACTCAGCAGCTTTACAATGTAGAAACAAAGGGAAATTTATGAATAAAAGTATTTCCCCACCATTCTTTCCATCCTGTTTTCCATTTGCATAGCCCTAATCTAAACTGCTCAAATAGAACCCAGGAAAGAAAGCACAGGATCAGCTACTTTAAAAAGAGAGCTCATTAGCTATGACACCAAAAGCACAAAAGAAAAAGATAGATAAACTGGCCTTTGTCAAAATAATTTTGCTGCAAGTAATACTATCAGGAAAGTGAAAAGGTAACCTAAAAGGGGAAAAACTGCAAATCATCTATCTGATGAGATACTTGTATCCAGAGTAGCTAAAGAACCCTTATACCTCAATAATAAAAAGATAATCCAACTTAAAAATGGGCAAAGGATTTGAATAGACATTTCTCCAAAGAAGATATACAGATGGCCAATAAACACATGAAAAAACGATCAACATCATTAATCAACAGAAAAATTCAAACCAAAAGGACAATGCGATACCACTTCACATCCTAACTAATCAAAAAGATAGCTAGCGACAAGTGTTAGCATGGATATGGAGGAACTGAAACAATCACATATTGCCAGTGGGAACAGAAATGGTGCAGCCACTTTGGAAAACCATCTCGCAGTTCCTCAAAAGGTTAAACATGGAGTTACTGCATGACCCAGCAACTCCATTTCTAGGCACGTACCCAGAGGAGTCGAAAACCTACGTCCAAACAGAAGCTTGTACATCAATCTTCACAGTAGCATTACACGTAACAGTCAAAAAGGGTAAAAAACCCAAATTCTCATACATTGAGAAATGGATAAACATGTGTTACATCTAAACAATGGAATATTACTCAGCCATAAAAAGAAGGAAGTACTGACACATGAAACAACAGGGATGGAGAGAAGTCAGAAAAAGAACAGGCTAATTAGAGAGACAAGTGAGTAGATGATTGGTTGTTTGGGATGGGGGTGAAGGCGTGCAGGAAGATGGGATTAACTGATAATGGATACAGGAGTTTCTTTACGGGGTGATGAAAATATTCTAAAATTGGTTGTGATGATGGTTACATAATTTTGTGAATATACTCAAAGGCAATGAATTGCTTTCAATAGGTGAACTGTATGGTATGTGAATTGTATCACAATCAAGCTATTCGAGGAAAAGAGAAGGAGGCCATCATAAAACCCAGAAGCAGTGTATTTCAAGGTGCTCTGGCCATTGCTCCCTGCACCAGGTCCCCCACAGCTGCACCAGGTTTCCTGACTTAAAGGTACAACAGACTTGTCACTCATTGTTTCAAACACATTTGAATTTGTCCTCATCCCCATGGTCCCTGAATATCCTGTGACCATAGGCATAAAACTGACATGCCTTTCCACTACTGATGCTCCACTAGCCAGCCCCTCCAGCTCTCTGTGACCTTTGGTGACCACTCATCTTTCTAGTGGTTTACTGTCTTTATAATTCTGTCTGACTTTCAAATTTCTATCAGAACTAGACCTCCACATAGCCAGCAGCCAATGGAATGTAACAATCCCCCACCACTGCCAACTGAAAAAAAAAAACCTTCCCAGGAAGGGAAGAACCTACAAAGATTTCTGGTTAGATTTTACCACAAAAATTGCTATCACATGAACCCGACCAAAGCTCCTCCTTAACTGAAAAGAAATACCCCAACAAACGCCAGAAAAGAAGCATCAAAGCCCCACACATCTTGGAAGTTGAGCTCAGACATGTGCAGTAGGTTGGACCCCAGTAATTTCTCAAAGGGGCTTGAGGCAGTGTTTTTCCAATTTATCCCCCATGGTGAATGTGACTGGAAGCCCTGGTTCTTACTCTTTTTATCTTCTCAGAAGACAATAAACAAAACAAAAATGTAAAAACCACTAACTGCCTCTGCAAAATCTGTGCACCAACAGTTAAAAATAAATTTGTATTTTTGTTTTGCCTTTTTTAGATACAAAACTTTAAACCTAGAATTCCCATGCATCCCTTTCTTTTGTATAAGCACGGGATACAGACACAGCAGAGTGTGAACTGTGCACAGCCTGCAGGTTCCTACCTGCAGCATATGACCGCTTTGCACGAGAGTGCCAAATCCAGGAAACTCCTCCGGACTTCGAAGGAGAGCGCGTACTTCAGGGTGTGGCCATCGATGATCAGGGCCACGTCATTTTCCTTGCCCAGCAAATTCCCAAGGTCAGTGCAGTGCTGAGTAATGGCTGCCCTTGTGGCCTGAAACAAGAGTATAGGGGAAAATCACATTTTTTGTGTGTTTAATATCAAAAACAAAATAGAATTCAAAATTAAGTTTCTTGAAATGAGAACACACCCATTCTAATATAAATATACTATCAGTTCAGCTTTGCACATTTATACATTAAAATTTCAATGCAATGCCCTCTGGGTCTGTTTTATGGGTACAAACATCTTCATAGTGAGATCTGTTAGAAATTTACAATAATCCACTTCTTTACACTACATACACATTATTCTTGGTGCCCCTAGAATAGAAAACTCCATATAAACAAATGTGCTTTTTGGGGAAAGATAGCATTATTGGAACTTGAATGGCAAACACTAACATTTCTCAGTTTGCATAAGATAATCTTTAAAGCATCCAAAAGATAAAAATATGACAAAATATTAATTTTGAATCCTGCTGAGATCTTCAGATTAAACCATTCTCTCCATGCATTGCCAGCGTAAGAAATAAGCTGATCATTTTTCCCATGTTATAGAAAGTATCTAATCAAGTTAAACTGCCAACACCTACCAAAACACTACTACCAGCCTTAAAAGCATCTTGGTGTAATGTCCATTATCACATGGAATTAAAGCACAATAACATTTTTTAGATTTAAAAAAAAAGTGGGCTGGGCACGGTGGTTCACGCCTGTAATCCCAGCACTTTAGGAGGCCGAGACAGGAGGGACTGCTTGAGCCCAGGAGTTCAAGACCAGCCTCAGTAACATAGAGAAACCCCGTCTCTACGAAAAAACTAAAAAATTATCCAGGCATGGTGGTGTGTGTCTGCTGCATGTCTGTAGTCGCAGCTACTCTGGAGGCTGAGGTGGGAGGATCGCTTGATCCTGGAAAGTTGACGCTGTAGTGAACACTGAGCACACCACTCCAGACTGGACAACACAGTGAGACCCTGTTTCTTTAAAAAAAAAAAAAAAACAGACGTTCTTGTTTTCACAGTGAATTTATGACTATGAACAGGATATCTCACTCAAATATAAGAATGTAATTTTGGGCTCATAAAAAATATGGTTTAAGTTAATTGGGAAGCACAGAATTCTGCTGAAATTATTCTGTCTGGAAGACGACTATTAAGTAACATTCATATGCAATTTATTATATGATAAGGTAAATTGCAATCTTAAAGAAATATGTTTAATTAACAAGAATCCTTCTACCTCTAGTAAAATTGAGGATCAGCTACTATTAAAAAGTGAGAAACAGGTTCCAGAAAACTGTCTTATTGTTCAGTGTTTATTCTCAAAAAGTGACTTTTGACAATTTCATAAAGATTTATTTAAGAAAGATGTAGTCTAGAGCCCTGCATTGTGGTCAGATGACCTGGGTTCTAGTCCAAGCTCTCTACTTGTTACCTCTGTGACCTTCAGCAAGACACTTAGCCTCTTTAAATTGCCATTTTCTTATGTGTAAAAAGGAGCTAAAAACTTCATAGCACTTTTCTTATGAACAAATAAACTAATCAACGTAAATTATTTAGCACGGGACTTGGCATACAGCAAACACTCAGTAAAACCCATTCTTCTTCCTCTTACTATTTATTCATCAAGAATTTCCCCTATCTGGGCCAGGTGCAGTGGCTCACGCCTATAATCCCAGCACTCTGGGAGGCCGAGGCAGGTGGATCACTTGAGGTCAAGAATTCAAGACTAGCCTGGCCAACATGACGAAAACCCATCTGTACTAAAAATACAAAAATTAGTCGGGCTGTGGTGGCACGCACCTGTAATCCCAGCTACTCAGGAGTCTGAGGCAGGAGAATCAATTGAACCTGGGAGGTGGAGGTTGCAGTGAGCCGAGATTGCACCACTGCATTCCAGCTTGGATGACAGAGTGAGGCTCCGTCTCAAAAACAACAACAACAACAACAACAACAAAAGAATTTTCCCTATCAAGGAAAATACACATCTCTTCTACTTCAGGCAGTGAATACATGCCATCATTAGCAATGCCTTCTTTGTTAATATAATACAGGCACACCTCATTTTATTGTGCTTCACTTTATTGTGCTTCAAAGACAATTGCATTTCTTACAAATTGAAGATTTCTAGCAACCCTGAGTCAAGCAAGTCGATCAGCACCATTTATCCAACAGCACCGGCTCACTTCGTGCCTCTGTGTCACATTTTGGTAATTCTTGCAATATTTTAAACTTCTTTCTCATGATTATATCTGTTATGGTAATCTGTCATCAGTGACCTTTGATGTTACTATTGAAATTGTTTTGGTACACCATGTCAAAAGCATGGTGCACCATGTCAAAAGAAGATAGGCCAAAAGCTAGGCCTCTTGCACCAGTTAGCCAAGTCGTGAATGCATAGGAAAAGTTCTTGAAGGAAATTAAAAGAGCTACTCCAGTAAACACACAAATGATAAGAAAGCAAAACTGCCTTATTGCTGGTATGGAGAAAGTGGTCTGGAACCACAACATTCCCTTAAATCAAAGCCTAATCCAGAGCAAGACCCTAACTCTTTTCAATTCTGTGAAGGCTGAGAGAGGTGAGGGAGCTGTGTTAAGTCTGAGCCTTAGCAGATATTGGTTTATGAGGTTTAAAAAAGGAGCTGTCTCCATAACATAAAAGTGCCAGGTGAGGCAGTAAGCGCTGACGAGGAAGCTGCAGCAAGTTCGCCAGAAGGTCTAGCTAAGATAATTGATGAAGGTGGCTTCACTGAATAACAGATTTTCAATGTAGATGAAACAGCCGTCTATTAAAAGAAGATGCCATCTAGGATTTTCATAGCTAGAGAGGAGAAGTCAATCCCAAGCTTTAAAGTGTCAAAGGATAGGCTGACTCTTGTTAGAGGCTAATGAAGTTGGTGACTTGAAGTTGAAGCCAATGCTCATTTACCGTTCTGAAAATTTATGCTAAATCAATTCTTAGAAATGGAAAAACAAAGCCTGGCTAACACCACATCTGTTTATAGAATGGTTTACCGAACATTAAGCCCACTGTTAAGACCTACTGCTCAGAACAAAAGACTCCTTTCAAAATATTACTGCTCACTAACAATGCACTGGGCCACCCAAAGCTCTGATAGAGACATCGTTGATGAATGAATGTTGTTTTCATGCATGTTTATCTAATATCCATTCTGCAGCCCATGGATCAAGGAGTCATTTAGAGTTTAAGTCTTATTATTTAAGAAATAGATTTCATACTACCATAGACAGCAATTCCTCTGATGGGTCTGGGCAAAGTAAATTGAAAACCTTTCAGCAAGGATTCACCATTTTAGATGTCACTAAGAACACCTATGATTCATGGGAGGAGGTCAAAAGATCAACATGAAGAGGAGTTTGGAAGAAGTTGATTTCAACCCTCATGCATAACTTTGAAAAGTTTGAGACTTCAGTGGAGGAAGTAACTGAAGATGTGGTAGAAGCAACGGGAGAACTAGAATTAGAAGTGAAGCCTGAAGATGTGACAATGTGCTGCAATCTCATGATCAAACTTGAATAAACGAGGAGTTGCTTCTTATGGATGGGCAAAGAAAGTGGTTTCTTGAGGTGGAATCTACACCTGGTGAACACGCCGTGAACATTCTTGAAATGACAACAAAGGATTTAGCACATGACATAAACTTAGTTGATAAAGCAGCAGCAGTGTTTGGGATAATTGATTCCAATTTTGAAGGAAGTTCTACTGTGGGTAAATGCTATCAAACGGCATCACATGCCATGGATAAATCTTTTGTGAAAAGTAGAGTCAACAGATGCAGCAAACTTTATTGTTGTCTTATTTTGAGAAATTGCCAAAACCACCCCAACCTTCAGCAACCACCACCTTGATCAGCCAGCAGCCATGAATGTCATGGCAAGACCCTCCACCAACAAAAAGATTATGACTTGCTGAAGGCTTAGGCGATTGTTAGCGTATTTTAGTAAAAAGTATTTTTAAATTAAGGCACACACATTGGGTTTTTTAAAGATGTGATGCTGTTGCACACTTAATAGAGTACAGTACCGTGTAAACATAACTTTTATATGCACTGGAAAACCAAAAAAAAAAAAAGATAGTGTGACTTGCTTTATTACAGTATTTGCTTTATTGCTATGGACTGGTCCCAAATCTGCAATATCTCTGAGGTATGCCTGCAATAGACGAAACATTAATAGAATAATGTTCTATGCATAAAAGTTAAATGGACTTTTATTAAAAACAAAGAAGCCAGTCATGGTGGCTCATGCCTGTAATCCCAGCACTTTTGCCAAAGAGGGAGGATCACCTGAGGCCAGGAGTTCAAGACCAGCCTAAACAACAGAGTGAGACTCTGTCCCTAGAAAAAAAGGGACATATAGGCACATAATTGGCCAGGCATGATGGTGCATGCCTGTAGTCCCAGCTACTCAGAAGGGTGAGGTGCAAAGATCGCTTGAACCCAGGAATTGGAGGCTTTAGTGAGCTATAATCATGCCACTGCAGTCCAGCAACAGCCTGTCTCTAAAATAAATAAACTTTATACTTTTTATTGTCAATTAGCTTTGTAATTCTGAATCTCAAACAAGCATCCTGAAAACATCTATGCCTTCCTTATCTAAAACAACAGCCTGCCCTTTAGAATTTGGGTAGAGAGAAAAAAATTACCCTGACCTGGGGAAATGCCAGCTTGGCAGCCTGGGTGTGTTCACCAGGAAATTCAGGTAAGTCTGGGAAATTCTAGAGGGGTGCCTGCCGGGGGTCAGTGTATGAAGGACAGAAAAACCTCTTGAGAAGCACGTCACCAAAGAGATGAGACAAGGTACACAGATTTGGCCCAGGGAGAGCATCCAGGTGCTACAGTAGAGGCCCAGTCTAGCTCAGTGCCAAGTCCCATGGGCCTCCCCACTGGACTTATGCGTGGATCCAAGGAGGGAAAGAGTGAGGAATAAAAATCTCTGAAATGTGGAGCCCATTGCCTGTGGCTTTTTGTAAGAGGGCACAGCATAAATGGAGACATAGGTGCTCATCTTAGGAAGGCAGCTTTCTCCAGTTAGGGTTATTTCTGCAGCACACATGAGGATAGACTGGATGCCAATACATGGTTCTTCTTCCTTGGCAGGAGGAGGAGAGGGACTAGCTTGGCCAATGTGGTAAAACCCAGTCTCTACTAAAAATACAAAAAATACAAAAAAATTAGATGTGCGTGGTGGTGCACGCCTGTAATCCCAGCCACTTGGGAGGCTGAGGCAGGAGAATTACTTGAACCCAGGAGGTAGAGGTTGCAGTGAGTCAAGATCGTGCCACTGCATTCCAAATGGGCAACAGAGCAAGACTCCATCTCCAGACAACAACAACAAAAACCCAAAAATTAGAAAAGTGTGGTGGCACACCCTTGTATTTCCAACTACTTGGGAGGCTGAGGTGGGAGAATCACTTGAACCTGGGAGGCAGAGGTTGCAGTGAGCCAAGATCGTGCCACTGCACTCCAACCTGGGTGACAGACAAAATAAATAAATAAAATAAAAATAAATAAAACAGAGAGAGAGAGAGAGACAGAGAGATCTGAGGGATGTCTCTCTCTGACCTCTTGGTGGGCTATTCAGCCTTACTGGTACACTTTGAGTTACATTTTGCTTGAAAATGGCTGGTTCTCAATCTCAATCCTGCTTACTCTTCCATTCTCTTCTCCCTGCCCTTCATCTGCTCAGATACACTCCTTTGCCTCTGGGATTGAAATCCTCTTCCTACCACTAAGAGCCCTCCAGGTCCATCCTTCTAACGCCACCCTTGACGTGTCTCCAGCCTCTACTTTGAGTTTAATTCCTGCACTTTCCATGCCCACTCGGCAATAATCTTTGATCAAACCCAGACGAGCTGGGTTCACCACACACATGTGGTGGAACATAGGTCCCTTCTGTGCAGTTCTCAAGCGAGCCAATTGAAGGTATTACTATCACAAACAGTTCCTTATTCTCAAATGGACTATGATTCAAGAGTCTATTTGTAAGGTAGTTATTGGGCACTTAGAATCCATTTTCCCAGAGGAACGATGTTACAAATTATGGTTGGATCCCAGGGCCAGTTAATGCCTATTTAGTCCAGTTGCTAAAATTTATACTACAGTCTCTTATTTTAATAAAAAGCCAATTACTGAAAGTTACAATGGACTTAGCTGTTATAAGGGGCATAAAAAGTCAGGGCTGGAGGTTTCATACCCAGAAAGATAAAAAATATTCCAAAATCTTTAATTAGTATTTTGCTTTTAGGTGTTAACATTAAACTGTATATTTCTAGCTTTTGGTGCATGTTCTACAATTGTATTTTCCTTCACAATTAAACAAACGCATAATTTAATGTCGAAAGTGAGTGACTGCTACTGACGACTGTCCCCTACCTTTTTCCCCAGTTTTGTTCTCCTGTGAACTTCACATTTCTTAGCAAGGTCAGCATGGCCTTTGCATTCCCAGTTTATAAATTAAAATTAGGTAATCACCACAGACAGTACCACCTTATAATCTCAGGAGATGTTGTGTGTCTGCTGATTCATAGAGGATCCTCAGAGTTTCATCTGGTGAACCCTGAAAGACGGTGGAAGTGCAGCCCTGCTCAACCTAGGAGTACCCAGGATTCAAAAGGTGGTTCCACTGTTAATCACTTTGGAGTTAATAAACAAGCCAGGAGAGATGAAAACTTCTAGAACCTGGATGCATTTCTACCGATTTGCAGATGGCAAGAGTCTCTCTTCAAAAATGAATGGTTCCAGCACCACTGAAATCTGCACGGGTAGGAGCCCTCTTCCTCCGTCAGCTCGGCAGGGCCACGAGGGATTTCCTAGATGCCATGGAGCAGCAGCTGCTGCAGCCCTCACTTTGATGTCCTGCAAATTCCAGTGGGCTCAGAGCTGACCATGCCCAAAGCAGATGGTTCAGGTTTCACTAGCAGCACTTCAACCACACCATGCTTAGCCTTCGAGTTCCAGAGCAGACTCCCTTCTCCTGCATTAATTGGGCTAGTGAGTAGCTAATGATAATGCTCTTTCTTTATCCCACACATTCAATGCTTTTTCTTCCCCTCCGTGAATCTCTTTCTCCTGTCCCCTGTCGACCATCAGCTGTGTCTTTTCTCACCATCGCCCTCCCCCATTCTTCAGATCGTTCCCTGCCCAGCCTCTCACACCCAGTGCAGCTGCAGTCACCATTTCCCTGCCACTTTCATATTCTTTTTACTATCATGTTCATTTCCAACATAATCACACCTCTTTCTTGACAGCACTAATGCTCTCCATGCTTTTGTATTTATAGAACTTAATGAGTGTAAACGGTAAAATTCAAAGCACAAATATAGCAAATCCACTTTGGGCTAACAAAAGCTGCCAAGGCTGAAGCCGAAGTAATTACATAAGGCCTCCACTCTGGCAGCTGCTGGTGGCAAGTAAAGCTTGTACCTTTTTGCTCTGAATATTGCCTTCTTCCAATCTAGGAATATCCCTAAATTTAAAGTCCATAAGTAGATAAGAGAAATTTCTGTTAAATGTATAACATTTCAAGGACTACCTATAATACTAATAATTCAAAGGAAGACAGGATGATATCTCACAGGCATTAAGCAAACATTTTCAAGAGATGTTTGGCTTCTCACCTGCAAGCACCCAGGTGCCAGTCTGGTACCCTCAGGTTATCTTTTCCCACTTACCCCATGACATATTTCTCTACACTGGCCATCCCTACCTCCCACAAAATGTTTCTATTTCCAAAAAACGAAAAACAAAAAACTTTTATCCTTCTCAGAATAAGCCAACCCAATTTATTGAATTCACACATTCACACTAGCATGTAAGCCTCTACAGAAATACTCTTTTGTTAATCAGCTTTATTAACTGACATACAATAAAGCTGACCCATTTTAAGCGTAGGATTCAGCAGCAAGTTTTGCCAAAGGTACAGAGTCAGGTAACCCCGGCCACAATCAAGATACAGAACACTTTCATCATCCCCAAAGTTCCCTCCTTCCATGCTGCAGACAAGTCCCTTCCCTCACTCCAGGCCCTGCTGACCTTTCATCTACCTCTTTTTACTACAGTTTGGCCTCTTCTAGAATGTTATATAAACAGAATCATAGTTTGCAGTCTCTTCTGTTTGGCCTATTCACCTAGCCTGATGCTTTCAGATTCATCTAATATTAATGCACATGTCAATACTTTATTATTTCTGTTGCCAAGCAGTATTCCAATGTATGAACACAGCACAATTTGTTTAGGTGTTCACCTATTATTGGACATTTGGATTGTTTCCACTTTGAGGATATTATGAATAATTCTTCTATGAATCTGTGTGACTGGTCTCTGTGTAGACTTACGTTTATATTACTCTTAGGTAGAAATCTAAGATTGGAGTTACCCAGTCATACCACACATACAGGCACAAACAGAGCAAGTGCATGTTTAACCTTCCAGAAACTGTAAGACTGTTTTCCAAAGTGCCTGAGTCACTGTGGGTTCCCAGGTGAGCTCACAGGTGAGCTCTGCCACTATTCTTCATGCTCACAAACACCTGCATGCTCAGTCTCCTTAATTTTAGCCTTCCAGTGGGTGCGTAGTATTAGATTTAGTAATTTTAATTTGCATTTCCCAAATAACCAATGGTGTGTTGAAGACCTTCTAATGCTTAATGAATGAACTGAATTTCTGTTTGCTGAGATTTCAAGACATACACCGTGGGATCATTCAAGAATACCAGGGACACACTGTGTGTGCATGGGCTTGCCTTGTCTAAGAAGCTCTCTTGCAGGGTAGCTGAGATACTCTAATTTTAGTTTCTTCCTTTCAAAAAAAAAAAAGTCACAAATTTCTTAAAAACCCACGTTTTCCTGAAAAAGCATCCCATGCAGTGTTAGAGGACAGATTTAGGAAGTGAGATGCATAAGAGAAAACTGGCCATGCTGTTAATGATCAAGTATCATTTGTAAGAAAGAGACTATTTATGCACTCAGGCTCCAGAGCCCAGAAAGTCTGAACACTATTAATTACTACTATTTACTGAAAGAAAATTTAACTAACAGTTGTGACAGGGCTCAAATCGAGGTTAAAAAAAAAAAAACTCTGAAAATATTTACTGTTTTCATTTCTCAAAAGATATTAAATAGCAACCCTAATATGCTTAATTTATTTTTCCCCCAAACTAGATTTTTATTTTAGTACCAGGAATCCTTTTATTTGCTAAACAAACAGATTCTTGAATACTGTTAAATCTCTCAAAAATAATGTATATGTTTTAAGAAGCATTTACTACTTGACTGTGGATTCTTTTTGTAATTTTTTAAAACATGGAATTCTCCTCAAAATAGATGTTTTTTTTTCCTAAAAGAAAATTATTTCAAAGTGTGATCTTCCTACAAGAAGAATGTGAAATCAGCATTTGCAAGCCACCACTCAGCTATGTATAAAATGACCTCCATAATCCCACGGAACAGTTGCTTGTCACACCATTTGCCCAGAGTGGATCTCTAGAAGTCACTGTGTACTTGAGGGACACAATGAATCAATGCCACATTTAATATCATCACTCCAACTAGGAATAGTTTTACTATGAACATAATAACCTTAGCTTAATTGCCCGACCTTTGGGGATTAACATTTTCAACTTTAACAAATAATGATATAGCTATTCTGCTTACTATTTCTAAAGTCCCCTTGATAATTGGAAAAATTATAAAGGGCCCAAACTGAGCACAATGGAGATTACATTTACAAATGAAAAATGAAACTACCAGATAAATTATTTTCTAGACAACTTAAGTTTACAAAGAGCGTTTTTAATGAACTATGTCATTAAGTATATCAGGTAAATTTTACCAAAGGAAGATAAAGGGTTATTAATCTCATTAAGATCTTTATTTGGCTTACAGCGACAAATGTTAATATATGTTCTGTCAGCATAGGCAGCACATAAGCGGTATAGTCATTACAATTTTTGAACTACTTATCTGCTTTAAGACAAAACCAGTTTCTTAAAACACGTGCTAAAACTTTTAAAGCAAACCTCACAGATGCTGTATAAGAAAATGAACATGGTAATCTCAACTTAATTATTTAACTTCCTGACTCTTGGAGATTTAAACTTAAAACTTCAATATTTTGAAGACACAGCCACCACACTTACTGTCTCTAAAGTCCCTTTGACTCTTAGAAAAATTATAATGTGCCCAGGCTGTATTTAGTCTTGTGCAAACAGCAAATGAAAACAGTGACAAATTTCTGAAAGAGAAATAGTGAAGGAAGATCATTTAAAAATATTCTAAATGCATGTGTGGCAGCTGCAGGCTGTGCAAACTGGCAGTGAAGATCATAGCCATAGGACGAAAATGGGAGCACAGGCTCACATTTGGAACCTGCTGAAGCAAAGGCACCAGACAGAAAGGGCCGAAGCTGGGCTGTCCCCCACAGGCTCCCAGGCTGCAGGTTAGCCCACAGGGCGTGGTTCTTGAAAGCCCTGCCAGCAGGACCTTCTTAGGACTCCCTGAATCAGCAGGCGCTGGGGAGTACAGACAGAGTTATATGAGAGAAAAGAACAGCTGTCTACAAATCCTCTGCTATATCAGGAAAATATCTCATGCTCACATAGGACACCGTTACCACATTTAAAATTGGAAATACTTTCTACATGAGAGTCTCCAGTTGGTAATGGCAGTGGCGCACTCTATTATACATAAACTTTAAAAATCAGTAAGTGAAAAAAATAAGCAAAAAATGTAGAAAACATCTCATTTCCACGGTGGCCTCAGCACTGCAGATACAGTGAGGAAGAAGTCTTATCTTCTCCCTGACACACACACCTGGCCGAAAGGCTTCCGGCTGTGTAGAACCCGTAACGAACTAGGGTGCGTGAGGGTGGGCTTTGGGGCAGGTTGGGGCTCTCCTCACCATTCTTTATTTTACACAGACTGGCAAGGAGGGAAGGTCATGGAGACAGATGTTAACACTGAAATACAGAGCAAGAAACAAAATCCTGTAATTAACTCTTAGGCAGGAAAGGCCTATAATGTGCACAGGATCCTAGAGGCCCAAGAGTTTCAGAATGAAACAGCGACACAACAGCACAAAACAGCCACACAACAGCACGAAAACAGCCAAAGATCACCGCATGTCTGGCTGTTGGGGCAGTGAGTATCCCAGGCCTGTAAAGTATGGTGAGCCACAGTCTCGTGTCAGGAAGGTGCTGGAGGGTGGGGACTCTGGCAGGCTGGGAGGAAGCACTTGGACTTCATCCCAGAGTCTACAGGGAGCTTGTGAAGGTTTGTATGGATAGAAATAGCATACTTGAATTTTTATTTGTAGATCACCCACCACAGTATGGAAGATGGACTGGAACAAGGACCCAGCCAGTTAAGGAGGCTTAGAATGCTGGGAGCCTAACCTCTGCCTGTGGTATCACCTCTGCCTGTGATAACAGACAAAACCAGGAAGTGTATTTACTAAAAAGAATAAACAGTGCTCGGTGAATGGTGAGAGGACCAGAGAGGAAATGGGAATAAGTAATAGGCATGTGGCCAGCAGAAAAAGGAGCCAATCTCTAAGAAAGCAACAAGTAAGGAACTGGGGAGGGGTGGGGACCAAGTGACCGCAGATCAGAAGTCACTGAATATCAACGCCATGGAGAGAGAGCTGGCTCTTTCGTTTAAGAGCTGCCTACTGCTCCCCTCGATGGCAGTGGGAAGGCCTGCTGGGATGTGGGGGATCAGGAAGCTTCTCTAGGCCCTGGAACACTGAGAGCTGCTCTCTAGGGACACTGCTGTGCCTGGACAGCCTGATGAGAGTCACTTCCACCACTATGCCCCCATTAGTGTCTGTAAATTTCAAATGAACATCCGGCAGCTGTCACTTGCTCTTTGTGGATCATATAACCTTTCAATCAATGTTGGCTGAAGAATGGAAAAAGAGATCACCTGGGTCATTTCCTTACTGCTCCCACTGGGTGAAAAAAGCAAACAAACCAATCACCTAGCAAACAGCAGGTGCTGAAGAAATGCTTGCCACCCCTTGTTTGGGGACTATCTGCTGCCTCCTGAACTCCTGACCCCGGCCAGAGCACTCTGCTCATGGCCGCTGTGGGCCATGTGCTCTCCTCTGCTCCACGACTCCCTTCTTCTTTGGGGCCGTGACAAGGGCCTTCTGATGACATTTTGGAAAGTATTTGAGATGTTAGCTTGGTGGGCCATTCATACAGTCAGTAAGCAGTCATGAAACATCGACTACAGGAACACAGCTGTGCACAAAACTCCAAAGGCCCAGCTCTCAATGGGCTTACACATTAGTGAGGGGACAGACACTACACAAATAAAAACAGAACGCGGTGTCATGAGCTGTTAAGAGCCGTGGATGAAAACCAAGCAGGGTTTAGGAAGCAGGATTCCATCAGAATCCTGGGCATTCAGAGCCGCAGTCAAGAAGACTGAGACTTACCTGAGGGTGGAAGTAGACCAGTTTGTACTTCAGTGCACAAAAGGTCCTGATGGCGAATTTGAGTGGCCAGGAAATACAACCAGTAGGTTGACAAGAGGTTAACTGTTCATCACATTAAAAGAAATATTTTTAAGCCAAAATTTAAAAGCCAAGAGATTCCACAAGAAAACTCTGTTATCTAGCTTCTCTTGAAACATTACAGTGTCAGGGAGTTCTGAGCCCATGTTCCCACTGAACTTGTTACCCCTGAGAAATAAACACACGTGCTCTTGGCCAGGTGCTTCCCAGTGTCTACTGCCTCCCTGATACTGGGATACTGAGTGTCACTGTCACTGAGCATGTACAGCTTGTTTTTTTCCTCTGGACCCACCTCCCCATTAAAAGTCAGAATAAAGATGACCAAGGCAGCTATAAGTTTCTGGTTTGGAGACAGAGGTCTCCTTGGAGCACTGCATCATGTTCCTGCCCCTCAGGCCCGTGACGCATCCGCTCCTTGTGAGCCCTATTCTCTCTGATTTCCAACAGGACAAAACTCATCCCAAACAGTAGTCCAATCAGGCATCCCAAATATAGCATGCCCCAAACTGAGTTCCTGGTTCCCTCCCTCCCAAGCCTGCATGGCCCTGCATGGAATAGTTATGGAACACCACCCAGAGAAACACAGCAGTGATCACTTCTGTCTCTTTCAGTCCAGGACAGCTCCATGCTTCCAGGTACTCACACCAAGGATATCAGAATCATTCTTCTTCCTTTCTGTCATACCCCATATATTCAATCAATCAGCAAACAATGCCACCTGTGCCTCTGAAATGCATCTAGACCCTGACCATATCTCACCTGGCCACTGCTAGGGTCACCCTCCCTCACCTGGACCATCAGAGCAGCCTCCTGAACTGTCCCTGGGCCTCCACCCAGCAGAGAAACCCTGTTACCATGGAAGGCAGGTCCTGTCACTACATTCAAAGTCCTCCAAAGCTTCTGGTCTCCATCTGAATAAGAACCAAGTGCCTTCTGATGGCCAGCGAGGCCCAGCACCCCTCTGACCTCCTCTGGTGCCAGAGCCCCAACTAGCTTTCTGCTTTTCTTCTAATAGGCTGACCTGCTGCTCCCTTGCATCCATTCTCCCAGATTTCCATGCAGCTCACCCCACCTCAATGTGGCTTCTTAGGGAGGCCCTCCTGAATGCCCCCATTTAAAATTACACTTCCCCATGCAAACTCCTTATTTCCCTTTCCTCCTTTATTTCCCTTGGGGCATGTACCATGTCCGTCTTCTACATCTTTTACTGACACATTTTGCTCACTGTCCACCCTCCCCACTAGAGAATCAGCTGCAGGGGCCAGGATTTCCTGGCTGACTCTTTCACAATTGTATATTCAGGGCCGAGGGCACAGCCTGGCTTGCAAAGTATATTCAAATCTTTACCGAATGGAAGAATGACATAAAAAAGGTAAAGATGGGAAACAGGGAGTCCAGTTCAGAGACTATGCCAACACCCATATATCTAATCGGCCTGGACGGAGGGAGCAGCAGGACTGAAGCCTTTACAGAAGCAAAGGGGACTGGGCTCAGTAACTGAGTGTGAGGCCTGGGCAGGGGCTGTGTCTAAGGCTGTCACATCCAACTATGGCTTATCAGCCTTCATAGAGATGGAGGAGGCCAGAGGGCGACAGGATAGGAGGGGTTGGGGAGGAACCACAAGCAGGAGGAGTCAATTTGTAAGCAGGTTATTTAAATGAGTTGATTAATCTATACATTAATACATTCTTCTCAGGTATAATTCAAAGCCTAATAAACTCCTCCAAGACAACTTTCAAGGTTTAAATTATTTCTAAATGTAATAAGCCCAAGACTCAAAAGAGCTCAAATTCACTCAGTATATACACTACAGGTTACACTCCATCCTCTGGAACAAAAGGAAAGTTACAAACACCAGGAATACGTGGGAAATGATGATTTGCAGAAGACCAGAGTGTCCCCAGTGCTTGAAACTATGTGAAGAACAAAAAAAAAGAGAAGTGGCTCTGTTTTCCAGACTTACATTTAATAGGTTCTAAATCCAGCACAGATTTGACCTTTGCTTTAAATAGATTTTCTTGGAGAGGAGGGAAGAAAA
Source organism: Homo sapiens (assembly GCF_000001405.40). Classification (NCBI taxonomy): domain Eukaryota; kingdom Metazoa; phylum Chordata; class Mammalia; order Primates; family Hominidae; genus Homo; species Homo sapiens. Next base: position 25,684,651 of record NC_000013.11, on the reverse strand, counting down.
CATTGATTCATCCGAGACTCCTGAACGACCTACTGTTCACATTACTTGGAATAAAGTCTGCTTTAAATCAGAATTCTTGAGACACAGAAATAAATATACCAAGAGGTTTCTAATTTTGTGCTTTCACCAACTGATTATTTTCATTCACAACAGTGGACGAACTCGATATGGTCTTTCCATGGAGGCCGAGCAGAGCACACGGCAGAATCAATCAGATCAATGCAACCAGGCTCAGCCTTCAGCTTGTCTTGAGATCAACACTTCCAATTGAAAAAATAAGAGAAGTATGTGAAATGGAGATGACTATTCAGGGCTTTCCAAGGCCTGAGTTAATTTAGCAACATTTGAGGAATAAAGGAAACGCAGGAGCAAAAATATTTCCAGTAAGACTGAAAAAGGTTAAACCAGAATCATTCACTACTAGGACTGTTCACACAGTAAACCTGAAACATACAAACTTCCCACTCTGCTAAGCGCAGTCAATAAGATCAACGTCACACACTCAAGGGCTAACTGGCTGGTTAATAATGTTATCCTGGGCGGAAGCCTTTTTATTATATCTTATTCGTTAGAAATTTTGTTTCCTCTCAAACCTTTTAAGCATCTCATTGTTCATTTTATATCACAGTCTTAAGACAGTTGGAGAAACAAATAAAAATAGAAATCAAATAGAAATCTCCTTTACTATTTGATTCTCTTTAAGGAAGAAATATGAAAATGTACTTTGTGTTTGTGTACCATGCAAATAAATGACCCAAGGGCACCAGGCAGGTAAAAAAGATATGCCAGGACATTAGGAGTAGTGAGGACTGTGGCCAACTGGAAAGTGCCTGTCCCCACCTAACGATATTCACAGTGCAGTCCAAACAAGACACCACTGTAGGCTAAACTTGGCCTTCTTGACCATCAATTTGCCACAAAATCAAGAATGACTAGAGACTCATAATAAAAAAAAAAAAAAGGAAATGATGGCTTGGATAGCATTTTCTTGTTGTTGTTGAAACTCTGAACAACACTTGAACAGGCTTTCACAGAAGCCACCATTTGTAATTCCGCACGGCTCCTACCTCTCCCTACTGGTTAAAGGAAAGCAAGGGCATCCTGGCACTTCAGTTGAGATGAGAATTCATTCGTGCCAACCATCATTTCAGAACTCTAATGACAAGAATAAAATACAAATGTGTAGACTGAAACCCACAGAAGTATTAGTCCACACACATAAAACTACACACAAAATCTAGTAGAATTATAAGACTCTACTACGAAATCACGCATTTTAAGAAACTTATGTGTCTAGAACACTAACAAGCAAGAGGACCAACTGCAGTCCACAGGGACAGTGGTGATGTAGGAACTGCATACAAATCGCTCACTACAGTCTCAACCACAACCTCACCTTGGATGTTGCAGCTGCTACAGGCTTAATGTCTAAGGGCAATGTGCTAACGTGAGGCCCCTCCTTCCAAGTTGTTTCCTGGTCTATTTCATCCTATACACCATTACTAAAATAACCTCAAATTGTAATATCAGCAAGTCATTTTTCTGCTTATGATCTTTCACTCTCTGTGTATATCTTATCAAATGCAATACTTAGAGATCCAATTAATGCTTACTTTCCGGGGTTGTTTTATGTTTTACATTATTAAAGCTTTCAACCTTTTATGGTAAATGACCACAGAATCTCTCCCTAATTGCATGAAGAATTTTTTCCTGAAAACCCAAAGCAAGCCTATTAGGTGTAAAAGAAGGCCATAAATGTATGTGAAACCAGCCAGAAGGGAACTGGCTTATACTGCAGGCCAACCCTGAGCTCCAACCCCTGTGAGAGCACTACTTCATAGTCCTAAAAGTAATCTACCCACCTGGGGCAGGCGGGGTGGGGAGTTCAGGGGATGCTTTAATGTTGTTGTAAACCAATACACATATGTGAATCCTCAGGGTAGGCCTAGCAGTACAAGAACTTTGGGGAAAGACATCCTGCAGCTGAGAACCAGGTTCAACATTCTTCGGGCTGTAACTCAATCGGCCAGCCTGCAGAAACTCAGCAAATAACGGCTTTCTGGAGAAAGCGAGCAGAGAAGCCTTCCAGAGAGTCAGTGGTGTGCCCCGTCAAGAGAAAACTCGCAATAAAGGAGGTGGAGAAAATTACTCTCGTATGAGCTTTAAGAGTCTTCATGACAGATGAGGAGAACTGTGGCCAATTAAAGCAATGCACCAACTAAGAAAAACAGCTGCCGGGGAGCATGCCAGGCTGCTCCAGCCTCTTAGGCTGGAAGGTGACTGAAGTCCCAGACTCAGACTCAGGGGAAGGATTTTATGCCTGATTATCATCTCTCAAAACTATAAGGTGTTTGCAGAGGAGGGGGGAGGCACGATCCGATTAACAGGGAAACCCACAATAAGAGTGGAAGGTCAAGAAGATGGGCCATGGCAATGGAGTGCGGCTAACAGATACCAGCAACTTCATGAAAGCTGCATGGCACTTCTTACTACAAAAAAGAGTCTGAATTACAGAGAATGGTGATCACGGGGTTTTTGGTGTGTTTTTTTTAAATTTTGCTTTTCTTCCACTATAGTTATGCACAGAAATGGATACACAGTAATTTTGTTTCTATCTGACGCGTTTTTCTTCAGTGCATCAGCCAAGGACCGCAGTGCTCTCTCAGCCTGGGTTCTAGTCCAACGCCGTCACTCGACGGGGACCCATCACTCTTGTCAGTTACAGGGCAAACCAGACCACATCCAAGGCAGTCAGTCCCAAGTCTTCGTTTGTTCTCAACTATTTTCAAGGACAGATAAGAATGGAACAAACCACTGAGGGTTGTTTCCCACCCCCAACAACATCTAAGATGATCATTTTCACACATCTTTGGCACATAAATCATTTGGAGGTGTTTTCAAAGAGTTGTCTGTTTTGTTTTGGTAGAGAGAGGGAGCTAAAAAGAGAAAAATTAAATACTCATATCTAAGAAGGAGGAAACAAACCTGTCCACAAGTTCAGACTACCTCTATTTTTCTTTTTCCACCAGGAGCCATTTTTTGTTATTGTGGGAGCAGCCATTCCCGTAATCTGCCTGGAGACGTCTCGGACCAGCTCCCTGCCTGCACGTTTCCCTGCGTGGACTGAACAAAAGGCACCAATGCCCTAACCCTGCAGCGTCAGGACTGGAGAGTACACACAGCACATGCTATCATCCAGAATTATATACCTGCCAACTCCTGAAGAGTGTGGAAAAATTAAAGTAAACACTATGGGGTACGCAAACATTTAATTCTACACTCAATATGGGAAAAATCTTCTAAAACGTTAGCATTAATCCCAAAATCACTTTCCAATGCAGGAGAAGCTCCAGGCTAACAAATTAAAAACATTCATTTTCATCATATCCAAACTGGAGTCATGGGAGAGGGAGAGACAGTCAAGCATGCCGGGTATCTGGACACTCCCTACAACCTCAATATTGTCAAGTCTGTTTCCTTGAACCCAGATTTTTCTTTGCTTTCTTTTTTCTAAACAGTTCCCCAAACCCTTCAAAGACTTTTCTCCAGAAAGCCATTCTAGAATTTCTATTTTTCCTAGAGGACCTTGCAAAAGGAATTAGTCACTTCAATTCCAATTGTTTCCCTCTCTTCAGAAAAATATACTGAGTTGTATTGTTTGATTGAGTTGTCTGCAATTAGAATTCTTTTGTGCAGGGAGTGGGAAGCACCTTGACCCAATTCAACCTGAAGTCTTCCATGCTATTTAAATATACAGTGTCCCTTTTACAATATCTCTAAAAGAAACCAAGCGCCCACACCAAGTACAACCTAAACCCAAATGCCAGGAACTGACAAGCCTGGGCCGCTGAGATAAATACAAACATGGTTGTAGAGGGCACCTTGATGGCAATGGCAAAAGCCTCTCACTTTGCTTTCAAAGAGACTGACGTACAAGGAGCCTTAGGATGACAAGAGCAGTTAGCTATGAAGGCTACAGAACACTCCAGAACATTCCCCTTCTGTTTTCTTCACTCTATCTCTCCATGTTGTTCTCCAAATTTTCAGCATTGCATCCATGATTCTACCACCCTGGTCTCCATGACCTTCATTTCTGCTTCCCTTGAGCCATGGTGTCAGTTTCCCAGGGCTGCAACAACCAAGTACCACAAACTGGGTGGCTTAAAACAACAGAAAAGTACTCTCTCACAGCTCCTGGGGCTAGAAATCTGAATTCAAGGTAGCCACACTCCCTCTGAAACCTGTAGGAAGGATCTTTTCCTAGTCTCTTCCCCACTTCTGGTGACTGGCTGCCAATTCCTTAGTACACAGCTGCAGCTAACTTCCATCTCAGCCTCCATCATCGCATGGTGATCTCCCTATATGTGTGCATCTCTTCTTTCAGAAGAACATCAATCATTGCATGAAAGCCTCAACTTATGAACTCATCTTAACTAAGCTGCCATGATTCTATTTCCAAACCAGGTCACATTCTAAGATACTGTGCAGGGGGGTTTAGGACTCAACAACTCAACGTATCTTTTCAAGGATGCGATCCAACCCACAAAAGCCACACAATTAGCACGGTCACACCAAGAACGTAGAGCATGAAATTTCTCTCCTGTTCAATTTCTGCCCCCACTTTAATTCCACCTGTCTTGTTTTGCAAAAGTGTTTTGTTCTAGAAGCTACTGTGAATCACTCTAGACTGGTATTCCTCAGCTTAACCCACCTCTCCAACTACCTTGAACTTCATGAAAACTGATGCTGTCTTAATCCCCTTGACCTCCTATTTTTCCTAATCCGCAATCAACAATCTATGTTCTCAACTCAATCTATAGAGCATCAAAGGAGAAAGACACTGACAATATCAACTGGTCTCTTCATGTCACTAACCTGGAATGGGCCCAGGGTGGTATCCTTCGCCCAGGCCTCTCCAGATCATCCTTAACAATGACCACCTTTGTTTTAGGGCACTGATTCATTATTTCAAAATAACATATTCAAATCTTTACTGTGTGCTAGTAGACATTTAGCTTATGTTCAGGTGTCTATGGTATACAAGATTAATACAATCCCTAAACTCCAAGAATTGAAAGTATGTGAAAAATATGAACACATAAACATGTAGTGCTGACAGTCATAAGTGTCATGGCCACCATACAAGCAGTAAGAAAACTACGCTTACCTTGAGGAAGACCTAACACCCAAGGAAGTCAAATCGCATTATCTGCCCCAAAGTTTATCCCTGGCCTTCTTCTAATGCTACATGGCTGCCTGGGTGATAACATTCTGTTGCAAAACCTCAAACACTGCTTCTGGTGGCTGGCTTCCAAACTCAGTCTCAATTTTTTCACTGTGCTTACAACCAGAATGTCCTGTTACCATTTTTTATCAGGATGTTCCAGTAGTACAGAGAATTTAATAAGTCCAAAACAAAGCCTATCATCTTGATTTCCAGTATTTCCCTCTTTCTGCCTCTAGGTTAATGTTGCCACCATTCTCTCAACCATTCAAACCCAGAATCCTACTATCTTTTACTAGCCTTCATTCTCCTTCATCCTATTGCCTTCCTCCCATTGCTTACCTGGTTTCCAAGTGTAATTTTAAAATTCTTACTAGAAGCCTTTATTTCTGTTGTCTCCCTAATTTTTCCATTATCATATTCTTGATTCATGTTGTCATTAACTCACAGTGATTACTGTAAAGACATCTTCACTGAGTTGTCTTTCTTTGCCCCTGAAACCCAACTTATAAATAACTTGCATTTTTGTAGCATGTTACAGCTTACTGCATGCTTTCACATACATCGCTTTCCTCCACAAAGCAGCCTCCAGTGACAGGGAGATTAAGAATTATTCTCCTCATTTTATGAGGAAGCCTTAGAGGTGAACTGACTTGCCCAAGGTCACGGAGCAAGTGAGTGGCACAGCTACAATTCAACCCCAGGACTAATTTCCAAGGTAGGGCTTTCCAGCTATCCTGCTGCCAAAGTTGTCTTTCCAAACAAGGCTTTACCAGGTCTCTGCTGCATAACACGTGTGCTGGAAGGCAAGCTGCCACCCAGGAGCTGTGTTGCAGAGCTGGCTCCCTCTGCTTGACTCCACCAGTCCTGCCCTCCTGCCTCAGAAGAACCCCACCTGCTGGCACACTCTCAGGGCCACAGGCAGCACTATTGAAAAGTGCTAGAGCTGCCCCAGTGGCATTTACCTTGGCATCTGGGGTCTAGGTAATTCAATCAACTCAGCAGCTCTCCAGTGGGGCCTTTTAATCCTATAAACTCAGCAATACTCCCGGCCATATCCTCCACCTGCTGCCAGCCTGTCACTAAGTGCCTCTACCCTTCTCCCCAGCCTATTATCTGCCTTCTTCACTTGTTGCTGAAATTACCGCCTGAGACACAGAACTCTGTTTTCCCCCATACTCCACAACTACTAGCTTGGTGAGCCCAGCTTTCCCCACAGAGGCAACAAGTGTTTAACAGAATCCATTAATCATCAAGTGCCTTGACAGGTGCTAGGGACACAGAGTTGAAGGCCAAGTTCTTGTCATCAAGAACCACCTGCACCTCTATTACTTATCCACTCTATCTTCTGGGTCGTCTGAGCTATCATGAGTCATGTTCTGTTCATCTTAAAGTTCTTACATTCCTGCATTCTTTCCATCATTAAAATTTGACTTTCTGTAAAGGTATTACTTGCCTCATAACCCTCTGTAATATCCCCCACCCCCTCTCATTCGCACCAGATCACCACAGTGCTCCTTCCAGAATCTGTGGACCACTAACTCTCATCATCATTCCTTAAAGTCTGAAGTCCACACTATTCACTAACACCCCTGTTCCCATCTGCTTTGCCATGAGTGAATCCACTCCTTCATGTTCTCTTTTTGAGGACAAAGGAGACTGAAATGTTTGAATTCAAACACAGGCTGAAGACCATGAGAAGACAGTCCCCTATAGAAAACTATAACAGAGAATACAGGCCACCTATCTCTCTCCCGTTGTCCTCTATTCACCTTACCCTTCACCAAGATCAAAATCTTCTATACTCCTCAAATTAATCTTCATGTTCACACATTATCCCAGAGCTACCTGGACTACCTCCTGTCTGTCCAAGTGCCATGCCTTCTTCAGAAGGGAATTAAATGTCTCTCCACCACCACCCGGGTCTCACATGAGTTATACCAACATGGATTTTCTTGACTACCTTCTGCATTCTCCCTTCTGGTAAATTATATTCAATATCTACAGATGGCAAAATTTGGGCAGGTTTACAGGCCAGGCTAAAGAGTTCACATTTAAAGTCTTAAAGAAATTGAAAACCATTATGGATCTAATCAATGTTGTCCAATAAAACTTTCTATGATGCTCGAAATGTTCTGGACTGTCCACAGGTGCCTACTGAACACTTGAAATGTGGTGAGTGCATCTGAGGAACTAAAACCTTGATTTTATTTAACATTAATTAATTTGAGTTTAAACAGCCCCATGTGGCTAGCAGAGACCACAGTGGGCAGCAGACTTCTAGACTAAGCTGATGCCACAATAGAAGAGTTTTTAAAAGGTGAGTCTGCTGCAGTAGGATGGAAGATGGTGTGCAGGGCATTTAGCAAGAGAATCCTGTCCCAGGCAATGATCTGGCCCAGAGATTTCCCTTCCTCTGGAAAAGAAAATAAAAATTCCTCTTCCCAATAACAAAGGCACTAGGAAAAGAAAAACAAAAAAAGAAGTTAGAGGTTTCCTAAATCCCTTCAAAAGAGCAAGACTACAAAACATAAGACACCTTTTTGTTTAGGAGTTTTAACTTGTCAAATTGGGAGTTCCCTATTGAATAACTCTACCAATAAGAGATTTTAATCGACTACAGAGAATACTGGCCTGTATTCTCTGTTATAGTTTTCTACAACATGTATACAAGTATACATGTATACTTTCATCAAGTCAAACACAAAAACAGTTTCCAGAAGGAATATATAAAAATTTTTTTTAAAAAATCACTTAATGTGTTGTCTGTCTTTTCCTTTCCACTTGGCAAACTTCAACCTTTTTTACTTTGGCACAGGTAAAATAAGAGCTTTCTCGTGAGGCAGAGTGAAGCTGGTTGAGCTGGTTGGGTAGTGTGGGGCACTCACATGCAATAAAGTGTGTGGCCAGGACAAGGGCTGCAATGTCCTGAGGCAGAGTTCACGTGTGGTCTCAGAACTCAATTAGATGTTACCCTTCTGCAGACCCCTGAGATGACCTGGTTATTTCCCTGCCATCCTCCACCTCTCATGAGGTCTGCACCTTTCCAGGACAACTCAAGCCGGGGGAAGAGCTACTGAGATATGATGTACTGAGGATAGCAAATGTAGAAATATCTAAGCTAGATGAGGGAAAAAAGAATCTAGCTCATTCTTCCCCAAATGCCTGTGAATATTAAAAGCATTTTAAAGACATCTATGCTTATGATGTCAAGTCAGAAACATATTCTCTAATTTGAAATTCCAATTTTCTGATCCAGACCACCAATCAGATCACTTGCAGTTAACCACTGCCTACCTATTAGAATATTTATCCTTCAAGGCACTACTGATTCTTAAAATATACATATACATTTTTTTTTCTTTTATTAAGATACAATATTTTACACGCTTATGGGTTACATGTAAGTATTTTTGACATGTATAGAATAAGGATCAAGTCAGGATATTTGGGGTCTCCAATACCTTGAGTATTTTTCATTTCTATTAATATATGATTGTAAAAATAATTTAATTATGTTAATTTGGTTTCTATAACATGAATCAAAGGGGGAAATGATTAATTATGGCATTTCAACTTAAAATGTCATTTTTTCACATGCAAAGCCCTCTCTGTAACTCCATCAGCAGCATCCAAGCCTGCCTGTCAAAGGTGAGCTTGTCCAACCCATGAACACCGGCACAACCCAGGAGAGTATTTTCAATACTCTTCCAAACATGTTCACTCTCTGAAATACACTAATCACAACAAAATTAAAGCCCAGATCTTCCAGAACATGTTTACATGATATTCTTGTCTTGCTACTTAGAGTGTAATGATTTCACATTCTATTAAAAGAACAAAAGATATTCACAAGAAAAGGTTGTGTTATCCCATTTCCCAAAATATTAAAATAAAAAGCTATCTGATAAAACTTATTATTTACACATATTTGCAAGTGTCTGAAAACAACTGGAGGTATTTCCCAAGGTACACCTCTACACCAGGCCTGATTTGATTCTGTCTGCCCTGTTCTACAACTCCTCTATCCACTAGGCTTGATTTTGACGGCGTAAATGTGTAAACACAGGATGCCCTCTGGAAAGGAAGAATGCTAGACATTTTTAAGCACTTAAAGATTGACAACTGCTGAGCAGTGGCCCCCAGAGAAATTCAACATGGTTTCCTCCACCTGGTATTACGGGTCATGCAATGCAAATCCAAAGAACAAAGCTGACACTATAGAGGTAACATTGCTGCCATTCCAAAAATTCTGCACTACTAGGGCCCCAAGGCTCCACCATGTCTGCTTCATATGCTCACCTTTACAAAAGGCAAACAATCTAGCTGTACACTCAGACAAGCAACTGAAACTTAGGGGCAAAGGGAAAAAGATAAAACAGGATGACTCGCATTTGGTTCCAGAATGCACCCATTAAAACAGACAACAGAAAGAAGTAAAGGGTCCTTCTAGACTTACGTCCTTTTGGTGACTGAAATTTGCTTTCAAACTACTCAGTAGCACGACCAGCAAACCTGCTATGTTCAAAAGCTCAAAATTATCTTTTGAAGGCGAGTGAGAAATAATTTGGATTTGGTTTAATTCTATAAGCAAATTCTTACTTCAATACCACTCCCATTCTGTCCTATTTACTATTGTGGTCATTCTAATTTTGAAAAAGTATTCAGGTTTTGCACTCCTAATAGTCACTACACGGGAGGAAACGTACTGTTGAGGATCTCCGGGTGGGGAAAATGTGCCAAGGAACACTCTTCCCCTCAATGTTTCAATTGCATTTAGCTCTCCAAGTCTGATGGGAATTTTATGCTCTTTAGAGAAAGGAGGAATTTGACACTCAAGTCTGTGGCAGGCACTGCAAAGCACTAAATACACCACTTCCCTGCAGCCCTTGCAATGAATCCATTCTAATCCTCTCTTGGTGAAAAGGATGGGCCAAGAGGCATCAGAGACATAAAAGCCAGCTTGCCTCAGCCAATTCCAGAGACCTAATGATCTGGTTTGGGGGCCTAAAGCTAACTGGAATGGAAACGATATATTATTGAAGGATGCATAATTTATTGAAAAGCCTATTTTGCACACTCACTTTCATACATGGTTGAAAACAAAAAATAAAGCAGCTAAAAGAGCCAAAGGTCCTTATAGATTTAGTTTTCGGGGGGGGACACATCTGGACCCTCATAGGAGTTCTGAGAAGACAACATGGCCAGGATGAATTTGTTCACACTAGCCTAAACAGGGGCAGAGGTTGGGTGGCTTCTCTAAGTGTGGAAACGTTACTTTGGGCCAGACAACCTTGAATGGTTGGCTTTTAACTAAAGACACTAACACCACAATATTTCCTAGACCTTCCCGAAGTCTCCGTTTATGGCAGGATGTAGCCATGGTGGAACCAAAGCCAGGTAGGATTCCATGACTGCAATCACACTGCCGAGTTTCCTCTGCTGAACCACAAAAAACAGCTTGTTGAAAACATTAGCTTAATGATGACAAAGCGGCATATGGACTATGTAATTTTCACCAAATTTTTGTACCATCTTTCACTTTTTCCCCTAAAATTGTTTCTTTTTCCCCTCCTTTCCCTGTGCAGAGCCAAGTCTAACTAGGACCACACAGGCAAATAAAATTATAAATACATCTGAATTACTGGACTCATTTTATAAGTTACTTCAGTGGCTGGCTTTCTTTCCATTGCCGTGAATCATTCTTTATCAGCCTAAACCATTTTTCCTACGCACCAATAGCTGTTTGGGTGGGATATATGGAAGATTATGATCAGATCTGTGTCTGGGGTAGGAAAAAAGCAAGCTTAGTAGAGAAACGAGTCAGCGTAGACAGGGAGCAATAAATGCCAATTTGTAAAACATCATGAAATTAAGGAAAATTAGCCAGTAGAGCTGTATGATTTTCCAGTACCACATTTGTTAAAATATGTTTGACTTCTATTTCTATAATTACATTGGTATCATACATGACAGGAGGACAGTTAGGAGAATCCATTTCCTGTGCAGTATACAGAAGTCAGAGTCTCTGCTTTGTAGCTATCCCAACTGGTCTCATTTGCCACATCATGGGTAATCTTCTTGTATCCTATCCAAAATTTCTGTGGCGTTAAACAAGAATCATCAAATAGAATTCCACATACATTTATAGAAGATCATCAGTATTCGCTGTTATAGTGTCTGCAGAACTCTGCTAATAGTACAATCTGAAAATCACAGGAACAGTGAGAGGCGGAGGAGAAAGCATTCTGTCCCTCATCTCCTTGCCTTGTCCATCATGGTAGGAAAGAGGCAGGGTTGAATGGAGAATTAATGCTAGCCTGGGAGTCCTGTGATTTTTAATCTAATACACTATTCATGTTTTCGTTCCAAAGAAGCTGGAGAGATTATTGCCAGAGAATACTGACCCTAAAAAATACAAGCTGACCAAAGGTTCTTGTCTCTACCCTGCTCCCTCCCTCTTTTCCACCAATCCCTTATATTATTCATGTCTCCCAAAGTCTCCAAACCACCAAAGCCTGCCCACTCCCACTCTGTAATTGCCTCCTTCTTCCTCTGTGACCCAGTCTCTTCCGGTCTCAAATAAGCATGTTCACAGTCTTAAAATGTTTTAATAGCTATCACATGCAAGGGAAATTAGATTGACTATATTAGCTCAAAAAGCCAGAACTGGGACCTACTGGTACAGATTTTGATCCTACCCTGGGGTCAGATTCATCTTTACTCCAAAAGGAGTAAAGCCACTGCCTGGCAACCAGCAGAGGCAGCTTCAGAAACGCTGACAGAATAAATTTAGAGAATGAAGAAAATAAATAGCAGCCAGAATGAGAAGATTGCACTTGAGAAATATTAAATGTCCTTTTTTTAAAAAAAGAACAAAGGTGGCACAGATTTGAAAAACCAATTCCTTAGAGTTTTGAATTGAACTCCCCTTGCCAAACGTGCTAGAAAAGAATATCTTCCTGCCTCCATTCCCACCCCAAAGAGAAATGGAAAGACTCTGCCAGCAAGACAACACACACTGCAGTGATGTTGTGAGAGGCAGCCAGCACTTTGGAGAAAAGCTGATGATGCCACAGTCTGAAAAAACAAAAGACCTAAGATACTTTCTCTATGGTGCCTTACAAGGATAAGTTGAAAGGGAGTCAGAACATCCTTGGGCATCTTTTACTGCCTCTCTATGAAAAAAACTGGAATCTTCAAATAAGACAAAAGTATATATACAGATAGGCCCCCCGAACAAACATATGAGAGACAGGCAGGCAGGCAGACACTAACTTCAAGTTGATACCCATCCAAGATGGACTCTATGACCTACAGTGTCCCCCACTGAGCAAAATAGTACGCTGCTCTATTGGGGAACCTGCCCCGATATTCATGTAGGTTCTTTTCTATTTTCCTTAAGTGTTGGCCAGCTTGAGAAATAAAGGGACAGAGTACAAAAGAGAGAAACTTTAAAGCCGGGCATCCGGGGGAGACATCACACGTCGGTAGGTCCCGTGATACCCCACAAGCTGCAAAAACCGGCAAGTTTTTATTAGGGAGTTTCAAAAGGGGAGGGAGTGTGTGAATAGGTGTGGGTCACAGACATCAAGTACTTTACAAGGTAATAGACTATCACAAGGCAAGTGGAGGCAGGGCGAGATCACAGGACCACAGGACCGAGGCAAAATTAAAATTGCTAATGAAGTTTTGGCCACCGTTGTCATTGATAACATCTTATCAGGAGACAGGGTTTTGAGATCAACCGGTCTGACCAAAATTTATTAGGTGGGAATTTCCTCTTCCTAATAAGCCTGGGAGCGCTATGGGAGACTGGAGTCTATCTCACCTCTGCAGTCTCGACCATAAGAGACGACCACACCCAGGGGGGCCAGTTTAGAGACCTACCTCCAGGTACACATTCTCTTTCTCAGGGATATCCCATGCTGAGAAAAAGAATTCAGCGATATTTCTCCCATTTGCTTTTGAAAGAAGAGAAATATGGCTCTGTTCCGCCTGGCTCACCGGCGGTCAGAGTTTAAGGTTATCTCTCTTATTCCCTGAACAATTGCTGTTATCCTGTTCTTTTTTCAAGGTGCCCAGATTTCATACTGCTCAAACACACATGCTGTACAATTTGTACAGTTAATGCAATTATTACAGGGTCCTGAGGCGATATACATCCTCCTCAGCTGACAGGATTGAGAGACTAAAGTAAAGACAGGCATAGGAAATCACAAGAGTATTGACTAGGGAAGTGATAAGTGTCCATGAAATCTTAACAATTTATGTTTAGAGATTGCAATAAAGACAGGCATAAGAAACTATAAAAGTATTAATTTGGGGAACTAATAAATGTCCATGAAATTTTCACAATCCACGTTCTTCTGCCATGGCTTCAGCCGGTCCCTCCGTTTGGGGTCCCTGACTTCCCGCAACACTGCTCCACTATACCTGTCCAGAGGCTGCAGACACAGCTGAAGCAAGACACTTAACAGAACTGCCAACAAGAAGAAAGGAAGTAAACAAACTTTTCAGTCATGAAATTGATGAGGAACCAGCTCCATGATTTCACATATAGGTCAAGCTTGCAGTGTTAGTGGCCCAGTGTGAGTTGGACAACAATCAAGTTGTGACTCTAGGTAAAGCCTTTAGACTAAACTGTGCAAATGAGCACATAGCTGGACTGCAAGTAAATCTACAAGTTTCTAATTAAGGCATCAGGAGGAACATCATCTAAGACATAAAGTGTTGCTACCTGTTTTTCTCCAGGGTAGTCAAAGAAGAGGCTCTTTCAGGCTCCGCAAATTCATTTAAATTTTAAATCACATTTATGTTAGCTATACAGGTGTGCCAGCCAAAAGGTGGTAAACCAGTCTTCTGAAAATGGGAAACCATTTTCACCTTATATAGCTAAACTGAAATAATCATTTTTTTAGCAAATATTAGTAAACATTTAAGACAGCAGGGCATTGTGCCAGGAAATTCAGAGAGGGAACCTGCAGCAAGGGGGAAGAGGATGAGAACAACCCACCTCAGACTCCATCCAGCTCCCAGGGCTCAACACCAGGGCAAGAGACTGCAGAACGTCTGATTCAATAACCTCAGGCAGAAAAGGCTGCCTGAATAACAGCATGTTTCATTGAAAATATTCATACTTAGATTTCTATGCAGTGGGACTATCTTCCTTCAGAAGGAACTACCAAATCACATCATACAAAATGGTGGAGTAGGGCACTCAAACAAGTGGTCCCTGAACTAAAATAATAAGTAAGCTAACAAATACTGACACAACCAGCTTTTTCAGAACTCTAGGAGTTAATTAAAAACCTATGATAGTAAGGAATATGCCGAATGAAGAAAAAGGCAGCTGGATTTGAGTAAGAAAGCGCTGGGGTCTTTTCTCTCACTTGCCCACCATGCTCTAACCCCAGCACCATAGGGCAGCCATGGGGATGGTGGCCTGCCCTCCTAGTGTGGCTTGCTGGTATCAGGGAGCTAAAGTAAACCTTATTCTTAAAATACTGCAGGTATGTATTTTGACCTGCCTGGCTGTTCCCTGAGGGGCTGCACAGAGGCTGGTACTTGTTTCATTCCTGCTCCCTTGGGCTGCAGTGGCATTTCAGGCAGCAGTGGCATCTGTTGAAAGATTTCAAGACACACACTACCTATGCCTCGGACAATGGATGGGGAAGCAACAGACAGACCAAAAAGCAGGGAAGGTGGAGGCTAAGAAGGAAGTTTCTAGAGGGAATAAAAACTAGTAAGGGACAGACCAAAAAGCAGGGAAGGCAGAGGCTAAGAAGGAAGTTTCTAGAGGGAATAAAAAATGTATACGCTGTGGAAGCTAGGGTGAAAAATCCATGCCTAGGACTGCCACATGCTTGGAGAAGACCTGAGAGGACCATAGGTTTGCCCCACTGGTGGATCTGTGGGTTCTGCACAGCAGGAGGTGAAGGCTAAGGCAGAGTCATGGGTGACCTGGTTTAGCATTGAGGGAATGACTTAGGTCAGAACTAAGCTGCAAAGACTAGAAAAATGTTTGGTGTTTTGTTTTTTTCTTTTCTTTTTGGTTCCAGACATTTAAGGAAATCCTCTGTCACATAACTGGCTGACCAATGAGATAACAAAATGGAAATGTCAGTAACCATATGTCAACAGAACAGAGGCTTCAGTAATGATACACAGTAAAGAATGCAACCTTTGGAAAAATCACTAAACAGATGGCAGCCCTCAAGAGTCAACAATAATAGACCGTGGTTAGGGGAGAGAATCTGATTTCCAGGGATACCATATAACAATATTCAAAACAACTAGTTTTCAAAAAAAAAATTACAAGGCATACCAAAAAACAAAAAAGTATGTCCCATTCATAGGAAAAAAATAAATTGACAGAAACTATTCCCCAAGAAGCTCAAACACTGGGCTTACTAGACAACAACTTTAAATTAACTGTCTTAAATGGAAATGGAAACATGGACAAAAAAAGTAGAGGAAATAAAGAAAGCAATGTATAAGCAAATAGCTAATATCAGTAAAGAGATAGAAATTATAAAAACGAATCAAACAGAAATTCTTAAATTGAAAAGTTTAACTGAAGTAAAAAATTCACTAAAGGGGTTCAATAGCAGAAGTGAGCAGGCAGAAGAAAGACTCAGCAAATGTGAAGATACTCCTATGCATATTTTATATACTGTTAAATCATACTGAGAAGTAGAAAGAAAAAAGAAGAAAAATAAGCAGAGCCTTAGAGACCTGTGGTATACTATCAAGCATACCAACACATGCAAATGGGAGTTCCAAAAGAAAAACAGAGAGATAAAGAGGCAGAAAGAATATCTGAATAAATTATAACTGAAAACTCCCAAATTTGATGAAAGACATGAATCTACATATCCACAAAGCTCAACAAACTCCAAGTAGGATAAACTCAAAGAGATCTATGTTGAGACATACTATATTCAAACCATCAAAAGCCAATAACAAAAGAGAGAATCTTGAAAACAGAAAGAAAGAGGCAACTTATTATACACAAGCAATCCTTAATAAAATCAACTGCCAATTTCTCATCAGAAACCATGGAGCCCAGAATACAATGGGGTAAAATATTTAAAAAGCTGAAAGAAAAAAAAACTTAACCAAAAATGCTATGCTTGGCAAAATTACTAAAATAAAGGAGAAATGAAGACATTCCCAGATATACAGTAGCTAAAGGAGCTAGGCCTGCCCTATAAGACATGCTAAAGAGAAATACTTCAGGCTGAGAGGAAAGGACATTTCATAGGAACTCAAAGCTATATGAAGAAATAACAATCACAGGTAAAGGTAACCATAGGTAAACATAAAATTCATTATTTACGTATTTTGGGGTTGTACCACTTCTTTTTCCCAGGTGATTTAAAAGACTCGTGCACAAAACAATAACTATAAATCTATATTAATACAATATACAAAGATAAAATTAGTAAAAATAACATAAAGGGGGAACAGAGCTATACAGCAGCAGGGTTCTTATATGCTATTGAAGCTACACTGGCACCATTTCAAACTAGAATGCTATAAACTTGCAATATTAATTGTAATACTCATGGTAAATCAGTAAGAAAATAACTAAAAAGTATACAGAAAAAGCAGTGAAAAGGGAATCAAAAGGGTACACTAGAAAAAAAAATCAAACACAAAAGAAAGCAGTATTAGATGTTAAGTGAAAGCAGCCAGGCATAAAAGGTTACACATATTGTCTTAGTCCATTTTGTATTGCTATTAAAGAATATCTAAGACTGGGTAATTTATAAAAAAAAAAAGAGGCTTATCTAGGCCACAGTTTCGCAGACTGAGGAGTTCAAGGACATGTCCCTGGCATCTGACAAGGGCTTTCATGCTGCATCACAACATGAGATGGAGAGTGGGAAAGAAGGTCAAAGTGGAAACAGATATGTGCAAAAAGAGGGAAATGCAAAGGATGTCTTAAGGGAGTTAACAACTGACTCCCGTGAGAACTAATCCTTTCTCATGAAAATTAATCCATTCTCCTAAAAATGAGAACTCACTCACTACTGGGAGAACAGTACCAAGACATTCATGAAGGATCCACTCCCGTAACCCAAACACCTTCCAGTAGGCTCCACTTCCCAATACTGCCATGCTGGGGTTCAAATTTCAACATGTGTGTGTCGGTGGAGGCAAACAAACCATATCTAAACCATAGCACACACTGTATGATTCCATTTACATGAAATAATCAGAGTGGGTAAATCCATAGAGACAGAAAACAGACTGGTGATTTTGAGGGGAAAGAGTTGAGTTACTGTTTAATGGATACAGGATTTTAATTTGGGGGTAATGAAAATGTTTTGGAACTAGACAGAGGTGGTGGTTGCAAAACATGAATGTACTAAATATACTGAATTGTTCACTTTTAATGGTTAGTTTTATGTTATGTAATTTTTACCTCCATAACAAAAAGTAAGCTGGGGCAAAAAAAAGTAATGACTTCTAATTTTGTTTTCATTCTGCTTATGGTAAAAAAGAAAACAACCACACTTATTTCTTTTAAGAACAGACTGAATAAAAGTACTTTTTCTAAAGAGATAGCAGAAGTAGTTTTGGCTACCTCAGCCTTATCTCTACTCAGAAAACCTTAATTCAGTTGCAAATCCATTTTGAGGTTTTACTACCTTGAACTAGTCTCCCTGAAAGCAAAGTTAAATGTATATACAGTTGTCATAATGCCTTTTGGTGTTGTCAAAAGACTCAGAGTTTAACATATGTAACAAAAAAAAGGAAAAACACCAAAAATACCCACATTTAGCCCCCACAACATCAAATGATAATTGTCATAATTAACTCCTATATTTCCAATAGCAAAACTTAGCTTGGAATCATTCATTTAAAAACTAATATTCTGGCCGGGCGTGGTGACTCACGCCTGTTATCCCAGCACTTTGGGAGCCTGAGGTGGGTGGATCACCTGAGGTCAGGAGTTTAAGACCAGCCTGGCCAACTTGGTGAAACATCATCTCTACTAATATATATATATACACATACATACACACACACACACAAAAAATTAGCCGGGCATTGTGGCAGGTGCCTGTAGTCCCAGCTACTTGGGAGGCTGAGGCAGAAGAATCACTTGAACTGGGAAGTATAGGTTGCAGTGAGCCAAGATTGTGCCACTGCAATCCAGCCTGGGTGACAGAGCAAGACTAGGTCTCAAAAAAATAAAAAATAAAAATAAACAAATAAATGACGAATTAATAAAAACTAATATTCTTAAGATTCAATAATTAAAATGTTCCAAGAAACACCTTCCCGGGGAGTATAAATACCTAAATTATACAATGACAATACTTGAATACATGAAAGTAAACTAGCATTGCCCTGGGTAAACATTTTATAAATTTGGCCTGCAATCCCTTGATGTTCTTTCCATTGGCCAGTAGAAACTAAAAAAGAGAAACAGCATTCTTAACGTTAAAATTTTAAGCCTTATATATATTTTATAAATATATATTTATATATTCATTTTATAAAATATATTATGAACATATTTTATTATAAGTATATATAAGGCTTAAAAATCAAGCTCTGAGACAGGAGTGGTGGTGTGCATCTGTAGTCCCAGCTAGCTACCCAGGAGGCTGAGGCGGGAGGATTCCTTGAGCCCAGGAGTTCAAGTCCAGCCTGAGCAACATAGTAAGACCCCCACCTCTAAAATAATAATAATAATAAAAACAAATAAGCTCTGGGTTACAGAACCTATTCAATATGCTTGTTACATGCATCCATGGTTTCTGGAATTTAAGACAGAGGTACAGACTTATTTGGATGAGGCTCTTACATGGCACAGGCACAACAAGTCCCATATCCTTGGCCACATTTCACACATATTGCTAAGCAGACCAGAAAGAAAGTCATGTACCAGGGATTGAAAGTATGCCCCTACCATCTCTGCACCTGAGGAAAAAAAAGTCATCCAAATTCTGATCTACATGTTCTTTTTTAATATTTATTTTTAGAGACAGGATCTCCCTATGTTACCCAGGCTGACTTGAACTCCTGAGCTCAGGCACGCCTCCCTCCTCAGCCTCCCAAGTAGCTGGGACTACAGGTGTGTGCCACCATGCCCACCTTTGACCTATGTATTCTAAAATACCACTCAAAAAAGTTGAATAATCTGTTTTGACTTAGAGACAGGTTGATATAATCCTATCAACTGGTTACTAACCTGAATGCCAATGCTTATTAGGAAATAGTTCCCCTGCCCTGTGAAGGAAAATCTTGGGTTCACTGCTGCACCACACTGTGCACGGGGACCTCCGCCTACCGGGGACTCTGCCTTCGTTGCTGGCCACAGCCTTTGTTGCTTCTGCTGCCTTGTACATCTGGGCTCTGGAAGGATTCACAGCCACACTGCTCCTGGTCTCGACGGCTTTTTTTTTTTCAATCTCTGATGCCACAGAAAGTTATTTTCTTAATTCTATAACATTCTGGACCCAAGTGTAGATCTTCTTGACTATTTGCAATATTTCATTTTGTCTTAAATGTCAATCTTCTTTTAGTTAAAGCTCTCTCGCATTCAAGAAAATCAGTTATGTCCCATGTTACCGCAAGGAAAAAGGTATATGGTCACTAGATTCACAGAAGAAAATGAAAACCAAGTCTCAGGAATCCAGGTAGCAATTGGGATGTGGAAAAATCTTTCACATCTCTTGGATGATACCTCTGCTTCTCTCTGGGGATCTTTCTATATCTGCTTGATCAACTGGCTCCTTCTGGCTACCTGGTTTTGGATGCACAAGACCCATCAGAGCCAAACCCATCAGACTTCATCTGGCATTCCAGCTCCAGTAACCACTGCCCGCTGGCAACTGCTCTCTCTGGCTTGAACAGTTTCTTAGGGCGTTCTTACTGGTACAGCTTGTCTCTGAGCCAGTCTATCTCAGACTTCTACCAGCAGACCTACAAACGGGCATCTCCTGACAGTAACAGCCACAGTGCAATCGCTGAAGAGGGGCAAGATCATGTGACCAACTGCCCACTCCAGAAGAGGCGTGGGTGAGGAAGGAAATGATGACATCAAATATTGCTACATTTTATCTAATTTCATATTCTCTCTTACAACCTAATCAATATTTAAGGCCATTTACAGGTAACTTATTTTATTGTAAGTAAAGATCTTTCTTGTAAAGTAGGTAAAGACCTTTACTTACAAGAAAGTAAATTACCACAGCCATTATTCATCTTCTAATTTCTTCAGTTTTTGTTTGTTTGTTTTTGTGAGACAAGGTCTGGCTCTGTTGCCCTCCCAGACTCAGGCCATCCTCCCACCTCAGGCTCCCGAGGAGCTGGGATTACAGGCGCCTGCCACCACACTAGCCTAATTTTTGTATTTTTTGTAGAGACGGGGTTCCATCATGTTGCCCAGGCTGGTCTCAAACTCCTGAGTTCAAGCAATCCACCCACCTCGGCCTCCCAAAGTGCTGGGATTACAGGCGTGAGCCACCATGCCTGGCCGTCTAATTTCTATAGTTTCTAATTAAACTTCAGAATATTTTCCCCTCATTCTGTCACAGTAACTCTTAAAAGTTACAGGTTTGACAATGGTTTTAAATCACTTATGGTTAATAAAAATTCCTATTGAGGAGACCTCCACAAATGTCTTTCTTCTCAGCAAATGGCTAGAATAGAGGCAAAACTCAAAGCAGTCCTGTATACTATGGGATACAATAAAGTTCTATAGCCAGACAGTAATCAGGTCGAAGATTGCTTCATCTCTATATATCACCCAAACAACAGGTCTAGAACAAAGAGAATTCTAGTTCAGAAAAAGTAGCTGGTCTGCGATCCTTGAAACAGATAATGTCGGATGCAACTCTACAATCATGGGATAAAAGCCAGTGGCCCAATGCACCTCAGTGGCACACAAAAGATGATGGATGATGAGGCCGTGTGAATATTACATCAGGTGTCAAGGTTAAATTGAGACATTTGTACTCTAGTTCATTTTAATTGCAAAGCTGACTTAAAGAATACCTCTCCCATCTGCAAACTCATAAATGAGATTTGCCCAGCAATCGAAGAAAAAGTTCAATTCAAACTGTAGGGAAACAGCAAACTTGAAATAACTTATAAGAAAGAAAATTAAATTAATATTGATGCTAAAGTCACTCCTGCATTGAATTAACTTTCAGAAGGATTAGGCTGAATTTTATTAAACCTACGCATTCAGGTGCTGCATTGGCTTTGGAATTATTCAAAATTGAATTTGAATCCTGGCTCTGCCATGTCCCACGTATGTGATCTGGGCCAAGATAGTTATCTTATCTGAGCCTTAATGTCCTCAAATCTGCCAAGCAGAGCCTCTACACTGCATTTCAGATGCCTGTGCAGGTGCCCTGAGATGATCACCTAGTGGTATTCACACAATGCACAGGGAAGGGCAGCCATCAAATATCCATCTCCTGCTCCCTTTCTGCTATTTCAGTTCCAGATGAACCCCTTTCCTTTGCATTCGGGCTGATGCCACCCATCCATTTACTGACAGGGTGCTTGGAAATGACATAACACATGCATATAAAGATCTCATTGATATTCTAAAAGGATGCTGCATGCAAATATGACAGTTTACCCAAAGACACCTTCAGCACAGACCCAGGCTTCCTTAAACCTTTCAGGTGCTCAGATCCACCGGCTAATAGTGTTTCAAGGACCATCTGTAGCCTAAAAACAATGTTGCCAAGGGCTCATTTCTCACCCCCAGATTGGATTACTCACTAATTCATTTTAGGCCCAGTGATTATGAATTTATGTTTCCCTGAATAATTGTTTCTGTCTGCAGTGGCTCACTGTTCATTTACAGTCAGCTTTTTGACAGTCACAGGATGATTTCAAGAATATAATATTATACCAAATAATCCAAAAATCAAAAGACCTCTTCCCTGTTCGATAAAATAAAGAAAAAAAATATTCGCTAGGTAAAGTTAGAACATCAAAGTTAATCAGAGAGTCAGAATCCCATATAGAATCAGTCAAAAGTTAGGCTTAAATCAACCACATGCTAAGCCTATGAATTCTTTTTTCTTAAAAATGGGGAAATTATCAGGGGCAACGATAAAACATCGCCAAGAATGTAGCCCACAAAACAACTGGGGTGTGAGCTTCCTTTGTCTCCTGGTTAACCTCTGCACACTCATCATGGCAAGTAATGAGAGTAAATGTGTATAACAGCGCTTACAATATGCTATGTACTCTTCTAGAAATCTGCATATATTAACTCACTTTTATCCTCACAATAATGCTATGAGGTAGATGTTATTATTAACACCATTTTACAGATGGGAAGGTCCAGGCAGAGACAGCTTAGGTAATTTGCTCCTGGTCAGAGAGCTAGAAAGGACTAGAACCAGGATTCAAATCTAGGCAATCACACTTCAGAATTCTTAAGTTAATCACTACCTAATGCTGTCTCTAGTGTCCTAGGAAACAGATACTCAGTCCCTAAGATCCTCATTGTTCTTACTACCCATCTCTAAATGAATGATTTCATGTGTATAAATCACAGCTTCCCATAATCACTTAAATTAACATCTCATCCTTTCTACTCATGTTTGAATCCGATGCTTATTTTTGAAAAATCTTTATATAACAACAAATTTACTCATCACTCTCCAAGAATGTGCTGAATCAGATTTCAACACCCACTGGAAGGTTAAAAAGTAGGTACTCTGGGTAGGTCACACTATCCATGATTCAGATAATAGATCTCATCTCTTTTAATTTTTGCTTTCCCCAAGTAATACAAGGAAAGACCGTCTCTCCAGAGCTATGCAAATTGGTTTTAATCCTTCTTAAGTTCATAATCTTTTTCTCACCCTTTACTTAAGTCAATTTTTACTTTATTAAGTATATATTTGAGATATTACAAGTTAATGAGCAAGAAAGAAAAAAACAATCTTAGGTTCCTCTCAAAAATCTATATAAGTAATGACAATCAAAAACAAAAATTGTGTGGCTCTACCACAATGAAAACACCAGTCAATAAGCAAATGGATGAATATCAGCGGAATCAATAAAGGTACAAAGAGAGAAATAATTTTGACCTTTAATAATACCATGAATTATTTTAAGCTAATGTACACACCTAGACTTGGTAGGGGTAGCCTCGGCAGTGGCAGGTTTTTTGGGTGTGGAAGAGTAGTAGAACAGATGGTTCCTGTGGTCCGTATCTGATAGGCAGGCCAGGCTGTGTTCCTGGGTCAGAGCACCTGTGCATCACAATATCCTTGAGCTTCAAGGAACCTGCATTCCAATAGAGGAATCTAAATACCATACCCACATGTAGTGAACTCTGTCTCTGTCTCTCAGAGACGCACGTGTGAACACAGACACAAATGGGCCATCATTACAGGCTTATTAAAATGAAGAATCCCCTATATCTGTAACTTCCCAGTTCTCAAGAGCTGAGTTGTTGATATGCAAGCTACGCTCCCACTTCTCCATTCCATGACCATCGAATAAAGTCTGCACTGCTTGGCACTCACTTTTGGTTTTATGTATTGTCTTCATGAAGCCAAACAGGAAAGAGTCCCTTTTGGGGTAACCGGGATCCCCAGTAGCAGCATTTCCACGTATAGTATTGTTGAATTTACCTTAGCAAATGTGTGGAATATTACCAAGTTGTTGTGACAGCCCCTGCTCTTAAAGAGGTATTGTTTAATGAGGGAATATTTCCAGCTTTGTGACTTGGTTTATTGCTTCATATCTGAACATACTCTCTTTTTTTTTTCCTTCTATGTTTTCCACAATTCAATAATTTGTCATCTTTAGTTAACCTGGAGCACCCTTTTATGTTTGTTTTAGGTTTACAGTGTGGGATTTAAATTTTGGCTCCAAACTGCCATCTCTCTCTGCCAACATCATTCGTAAAAAGTTCTTCTGTCTTATTTGAGAGTGTGATTTGATATTAAAATTGATCCAACTTGCTTGCTAGCTATTTCTCAACTGCCCTCTGGGTGTCTATTCATTTACATCAGCCCGGGTACCACCCTGCCTTAAGGACTGGTGTTTTAAATTGGGCTCTAGTGGTTGATGGGTTAAATACTCTGTAGGTGCATTGTTACAGAATATACCATTGGACTTTGGGGCCCATTTATATTCCACATGAATTTCAGAATCACACAAACGTTGAAATGAAGATGATCTTTCTCACTTTAAGGAAGAAAACTCACACATGAGGAGGCATTCAAATATAAAATTGGTGAAAGGAACCCACTGGCTTCTCCCACTCTACCCAAGTTAAGAAAAAAGAAATAGACTTTGTGGAAGTCTTTCACAAATTCTGATATTTAGAAGAGCTAAACTTGTCCAACATAAAGGGCCTGATAGTAAAAGATTTTTTGTTCCTTTCTTACTGTGTACTATTACTAATAGAAACAACTGGCTTCAACTTGTTCTAGTTCATTAAAAATAAAAGGGAAAAAATGGCTAATAGCAAATTCAAGAGGGTAGCTTGGCTCTTAGTAATTTAATTCTAAATGTAATAACATGCTTATTAGAAATGGAAGGTCACTCTCCCAAAAATTTCCCTAAAGGCACAGCTGCCAAATTGACTTCTGATCTAGCCTTTACAGTATTATTAATTCAATGACATCACAAAGCTGGCAAGGGAAAGCTTCACGCTTGCCCTACAAAGACAGATAGCAGTGCCTTAGAGAGGTCCTTACAAGTTTCTTAGGAAAGTGACTTGAAAAAATAAAAGTCAGCTTACTTTTTCTTTTTCCCCCACCATCCTGATAAAGGACTACGAACGCTTTTCTCTCGCTTTTGGGAAAAGCCTACCGAACTGGATTTCCCACTTATTTGCCTTACATCTTTGCTCTGCCTTCATGCATTTGCAGCAAAGCATTCTCTTTCCAGTGGTGTAGAGATAGCTTATCTCAGGGCAAGCCCCTGGGATTTGGTCTAAGGTTAATACTGGAGAAAGGGCAGAGCATCCTCCAACGTTCCCCCAGCTCAGACAGACAACCATTGAAAGGCGCCTGGCATGCAGTTGGCCTCAAAACCTGACTTGGCAGCAAACTCTAATTAAATGAAACTCGATCGCAGAGTGCTTGTTGATCTTAACTTGCCTAAAGTTCCAGACTTGGACAGCAGGTTGAAACCTGCTATGATCATAATCAGCACAATCGATAGCTTTTAGAAAGAACTTTTTCTAAATAGATTTCAAAGGGTCACCTCCTACTATCTGTAACTCGAATCAAACGACCGTTTGCAAGACTGCCTGGAGTGACTCACTGGCTCTTCCAGGGAGTGAAGAGCTTGCACATACATAACCTTCTGAGGGAGACGATTTCTTAGGCAGCTTTTGCTGAAATAGATCATTCCATTTTTACCATCAACCTTCCTTTCCTCCTATGATAGGCCCTGCTACCTTTAATATTTCACAAATGCCAACAAGTAAATAATGGTGTAATAATATCATCAAATCTTACCTAGGTAGCAATACCCTTCATCCACAGCTCACCAGGAGCAGACTACAGTAGTACCAGGTTGAGTTTATTGACTCTTTGTAATCAGGGAGCCAGCAGGTGGGAAACTATGGGGTGGCTCTGAGCAAAAGAGCTGTAGGAGGGAATTTGGGCTCTTGTTAGATGATTTTGGGGAAAGTTCAGAGAAGTATGGTTTTGCTCTGGATTTGGCAGTGTCTGAAAGCAGAGGCAAATCTGTGACTGAATCTCTTGATAATTTTATCTGGAAGATAGGAAAAGCAAACAAAGTGAAGCTAACTCTTTTATTATTTTTTGAGACGGAGTTTCACTCTTGTCATCCAGGCTGGAGTGCAATGGTGCGATCTCTGCTCACTGCAACCTCTGCCTCTCAGGTTCAAGTGATTCTCCTGCCTCAGCCTCCCAAGTAGCTGGGATTACAGGTGCGCACCACCACCCCCGGCTAATTTTTATATTTTTAGTAGAGACGGGGGTTTCACCATATTGGCCAGGCTGGTCTCGAACTCCTGATCTCAGGTGATCTGCCTGCCTCGGCCTCCCAAAGTGCTGGGATTACCGGTGTGAGCCACCGTGCCTGGCCAAAGCTAACTCTTTAAAAAGTCAAGAAGTAGCAGTCACTCATATGAAGCAAGGGGAATGTCTGGTCATTTTTGGTGGTCTGGACACAGGTAATTCTAGAGGCACATCTGCCTCTATGGTAACACTTTTAAATTCTAAGTTTTCAAGTAATACAACTTAGATAATTTTTAGTGACAGCCAAATATCTGTTAGCTGAGGCAATCAATCAGGAGTTCATCACCTCTAAGTTATTAAGAAAAGAGTGTGCACGTCCCTACCAGTGGCCTTGGTGCCAAGTTGCCCAATCTACTCAAATCTTTCTACTAGTTTTTAATGCTTCCCTGAGTTCACTACTCCAATCTGTAAAACTGAAATTCTTTAGAAGATGATACTGTCAATTAAATACAATGGAAGAACCAAAAGTAACGTTACCTCCATCAAACTAACAAAACCTAAAAGGCAAAAGACAGGTCTCCCAAATATTTTGCAGAATGACAATCTGCTACTTCTGGGCCAGGTTTCATTTGTAGCAACTGCTCATTTTAAAGAGAAAATATGTACTAAATTACGTGTTAACGCACACAGTAGGTATTTCCTGAATGACCAAAGTCAAGCATTACATAATATGTTTTAACAAGGTCATCAGACTTCATTTTACCCAAAGATTCTAGAGTAAAAGTATCTGTTTAACACCAACATTTGTGTGTTACATAGATCATAAATATTTTCTTCCCATTACAAAAATTGCAAACTAGTGTGGTTGCAGCCAGCATCTAATCCAAGATTTATTTGGGCTATGCAGTACAGATTTCTGTCTCTTCTTGAAAAATCAGGAGTTCTGGAACACTGGGCCTGAATTCCTACAGGAAACAACTGCTTGGCAATGAGTAGTGGCTGAACATGCTCTGCTGCTGGTGACAGTCCCCATCTGGCCCATGAAAGACATTTATGTTGCTGTCTCACCCCCCCAGGCATCTGAGCGTGTAACTCCTGCTTCACGGAGAGGGACCCCGGGGCACAGAGTCAGTATCTGAGACAGGAGGGAAGAGATCACTGATGTATAGCAATGTGCTCACTAAACCATTCTCAGCCTCCTACACACCTCCAGACAAGGCAAAAGAGGATACAGACAGCTCCTCCTCTTATTTTGCACTTTGGTTTCCTGACCTGAACACCAAACTCATTTCATGTGGCTTTCTGGAGTTATAAAGTCAGTGTGTTAGGTCTTAAGTCTAGGCTTTTCCCCAACTCCCCTGGACAATATATATCCCGAATTAATGAAGAAAACTATCTGTCTTTTTTTTTTTTTTTTTTTTTTTTTTTTTGAGACAGAGTCTCGATCTGTCACCCAGGCTAGAGTGCAGTGGTGCAATCTTGGCTCACAGCAACCTTCATCTCCTGGGTTCAAGCGATTGTCCTTCCTCAGCCTCTGGAGTAGCTAGGATTACAGGCATGCACCACCATGCCCAGCTAATTTTTGTAATTTTAGTAGAGACAGGGTTTCACCATGTTACCCAGGCTAGTTTTGAACTCCTGGCCTCAAGTGATCCACCCACCTCGGACTCCCAAAATGCTGGAATTACAGGTGTGAGCCACCACACCCAGCTGAAGAAAATATATCTTTTTTTTTTTTTTTTGAGACAGAGTCTCACTCTGTTGCTCAGGCTGGAGTGCAGTGGCACGATCTCAGCTCACTGCAACCTCTGCCTCCCATGCCCAGCCAGAAAATGTATGTTAATAATAGGTTACAAATCTCAATGATCTGAATCCATTGGGACTTTTAAGTTTTAAAAAAATCAAACTTTGGCTGGGTGTGGTGGCTCACGCCTGTAATCCCAGCACTTTCGGAGGCCGAGGTGGGCAGATCTGAGGTCAGGAGTTCAAGACCAGCCTGGCCAACATGGTCAAACTTTGTCTCTATTAAAAATACAAAAATTAGCCGGGCATCATGGCACACACCTGTAATCCCAGCTACTTGGGAGACTGAGGCAGAAGAATCACTTGAACCCAGGAGGCGGAGGTTGCAGTGAGCTGAGATCATGCCACTGCACTCCAGCCTGGGCGACAGAGTAAGACTCCATTTCAAAAAACAAAAAAAAATCCAACTTTAAGTAATAGTGTGATTCACTAGGGAATCACTTCATTTTGCTAATGTGAGCACTTGAGCACTGTCAGCTACTGTTCTCCATGCATTTACGTGTGTAAACCTATTTGGTCCTCATGGTGTTCCTGAGTACTGATGGTGTCCATATTTTACAAAAAGGACACGAAGGCATAGGGTTTCAGCGATGGGTCCAAGGTTACACAGGGGGAGTCAGATTCAACCAGGCACTGGGACCCTGCCTGTGAATTCCTATCCCATTTGTTGAAAGACTCTTGGAAATAACAAGTGCAGTTGTATTTGGAAAGACGAGCTTGTTTATTTACATACATTGAAATCTAGTGACATCTCACAAGTTGGCAAAGTGACCTGAACTCCAATTCATTCTGCCCATTTGCACACGAATATTTCTAAAACCACATAAGGTACGTATCCCATTCACTAAAGTTTTATAAGTGATTCATTTAAACTACAGAAAATACATTGTCAATAATTGTATTGCAAGATCTAATCATGTACTTTCGGGTTTTTTGCTTTTTTTTTTTTTTAAAGAGATTTAGTTTGGGGCCACAAGCTTGGGAAGCAAACTACTGATGCTTAAGGTCAGTAAGGAATCTGTGAGACCATTCCCAGTTAGAGGCATCAGATAGCTGCTCGACCATCAACTCCTCTGGAGTGTCTTACCTCTCTACTGTGGGGAACAGCACAGTTGAGGGAGCATCTTGTTTCAACAACTGCAGAACTTCACTATTTCCTACCATCTCCAGTTCAACTGCAACAATAATAATGTTCTAAATGACATTAAGAGCTCCACTGATGGCTGGGTGTGGTGGCTCACGCCTGTAATCCCAAAACTTTGGGAGGCCGAGGTGGGTGGATCACCTGAGGTCGGAGTTCGAGACCAGCCTGGCCAACATGGCAAAACCCTGTCTCTACTAAAAATACAAAAATTAGCCAGGCGTGGTGGCAGATGCCTGTAATCCCAGCTACTTGGGAAGCTAAGGCAGGAGGATTGCTTGAACCCAGGAGGCGGAGGTTGCAGTGAGCTGACATTGTGCCACTGCACTCAGCCTGGGTGACAGAGTGAGACTCTGTCTTGAAAGAAAAGAAAAAAAGAAAAAAGAACTCCACTGAAGAAACAAGGACATCAGACCACCCACCATGGGTGAGTGCCTACTTCCTCAATGTAGAATGTAAAACTCTTCTAAGTCTTCTAACCCTCAGACAACCAACCACTTGTAAAAAAACACTTAGTCTCACTAAGAGATTAACCCAGTCTTTTTCCACCTGTCCACATCACCCTTCGGTACACTGGGCAGTTAACATAACCCTGGATGAGTACCAATTTTGGAGACTTCTGTTGAAAACAGTTGAATGCCAACAGATATCCCAAAGAGAGCACCTATAAGTGGGAAAATTCTCAGGATCACAGCAGCATCAAAATAAGTATCACTGATGGGCATTTCTATGTACCACCTGCACAGCGTCACACACAGGAAGACTTGGGGGGACTGTCTCCCCAGTGACAATGAAGGCAGAAAGGCGAAATAAAGGGAGATGACCTTCTATGTCTATATCTACAGTCCAAGGGCACAGACTAAGGACAGAACTCTCCCACTAGCAGGACTGTCCACCCAGTAGGAAACCCAGTACCGCCCACTGTCTGGTGATGAAACTCCCATATTTTATGTCCTGTAAAGCCAAAGGATGGCCTAGTGACTCAGTGCAATGACTTAACATCATAACAACTGTCTTCAAAACTCTACCAAGGGCAGGGCACAGTGGCTCACGCCTGTAATCCTAGCACTTTGGGAGGAGGCCAAGGCGGGCAGATCATTTGAGCCCAGGAGTTTAAAACTATCTGGGCAACATGATGAAATCCCATCTCCATAAAAATTACAAATATTAGTCAGGCATATGGCACACATCTGTGGTCCCAGCCACTCGGGAGGCTGAGGTGGAAGGATCACCTGAGCCCAGGAAGTCTAGGCTGCACTGAGCCCTTATCGTGCCACTGCACTCCAGCCTGGGTAATAGAGTGAGACCCTGTCTAAAAACCAAAAAATAAAACAAAACAATGACAGCAAAAACTCTGCTACCGTCCTTAGAAGCAACTCACTGAAAGGTATTCTATGAATGAGCAAAAAAGAACTGCTTTCTTTTCAAACCTAAAAAGAGCTTTGTTGGATTTTGAGGCAAACAACAGTTTCTGAGGGGCATTCTCCCTCATGCCTTACCTTCACAGTGTACAGGGAGGAAAGCAAATGTCCCCACCTTTCCCTCACCTTTCTTCCCAAGGCCAGCTCCTCCAGAGGTATCCCATTCACCTGGTTCTCTCTCTCTCGCCAGCATCCAGTCAGCACCTAATTGATGCCAATCACACCTCTTCACTCTGAAAGCTAACCCTTACCCTCTATCCTGAGTAAGTCTACCTTAGCTCATATGCTTATCCTCCTCTGCCTGAAAAGTTGGAACAGATTTCATTTGGCTTCTCTACATCTTCTCTCCTATTCCACCACAATCTCCACATTGCCAAAGTTATGTTGCTGAAGCAAGCATTCATGCATTCATTTAAGCAATTTATTAAATACCCATTGTGTGCGGTCTGCTCTCCTGATTAAGGAGACAACAGCAAAAACAAAAACAAAAATCTTGTTTTTAATTTAACTTTTATTTTAAAGTTCAGGATTACATGGGCAGGTTTGATATATAGGTAAACTTGAGTCATGGGGGTTTCTTATACATATTATTTAATCACCTAGGTGTTAAGCCTAGTACCCATTAGTTGTATTTTCTGATCCTGTCCTTCCTCTCACTCTCCACCCTCCAGTAAGCCCCAGTGTCTGTTGTTCCCCTCTATGTGTCCATGTGTTCTCATCCTTTAGCTCCTCCTTATAAATGAGAACATGTGGTATTTGG
The DNA here is from genome assembly GCF_000001405.40 of Homo sapiens. NCBI lineage: Eukaryota > Metazoa > Chordata > Mammalia > Primates > Hominidae > Homo > Homo sapiens. The sequence goes on along the minus strand of NC_000013.11, from coordinate 25,653,357 downwards.
TTTTCTGTTCCTACATTAGTTTGCTAAGGCTAATAACTCCAGCTCCACCCATGTTCCTGCGAAGGTCATGGTCTCATTCTTTTTTATGACTGCATAGTATCCCATGGTGTATATGTACCACCTTTATCCAGTCTGGAAAGGACTCCCTATTCAATAAACGGTGCTGGGATAACTGGCTAGCCATATGCAAAAGATTGAAACTGGATCCCTTCCTTACACCATAGACAAAAATTAACTCAGATGGTTTAAAGACTTAAACAAAACAAAAAACCTTCCTGGACCTGAAGACGTTTACAATCCAGCAGGGAAGAGTGATTGCACTGAAACAGAGCACTGTAACAGAAGATGTAGATTGTGATGAAGTACACAGCAGGAGGTCATGACCTAGTGAAAAGTCTGAAGGAACATCCTGGGGAAGGGATGATTCAGCAGAAATCTAAAGCTTAAGAAATCATTAGGTACAGGTGGGAGTGTGGGCAGTGATGAAGAACATTCCAAATAAAAGGAAGAATGGCACAGTCAGTGCAAGGACAAGAGACACAATCCAGGAACTGAAAGAATCTCAGCAGAGCCAAAAGGCAGAGTGCGCTTTAAAAACTCTACTGAAAGAAAATCAGGAACTTTCCTATGCACCAATAAGAGCCAGTTAGAAAATCAAGGAAATTACGTATTTCTCACAAACTCAAAGAAAATAATTATGTAACAACACAAGTTTACACACAGAAGAAATTATCTTAACAACAAAGCAGTGGAAATGACATGGAAAAGATGATCACATACAACCAACCTTGTTCTGAATAACATGTTTAAATGAAAAATATCCTAAATTTTTTGAGGAGAAAGATGAGATACGTTTTAAAAAATAAGAATAAGGAAGAGGGAGGTCTAGCATTAATAAACATTAAAATATGTCATAAAGTTTGAATCACTAAGTCTGTGACGCTGGCACAAGACTGCTAATAGAACCAATGAGCCACAGAACAACCCCCAGCATACTCTGGAGTTTAACACACATGGTAAAGGAGGAATCCCAAACCAGTAATAAGGAAAAAGCTTGCTCAATGAATGGCGCTGGAACAATCAGGTAGCTATTTGGAAAATAAATATATTTAAATCAGTGGTTTCCAAACCTGATTGTGCATCAAGAACTGTCTATGATATATATTTTTTAAATATTCTGAGATTTTACCACCCCATCCCACCCCTACATTTAGTGAGTGCGGAAGGGAACTGAAGGGAACTGGGCAAATGTCTCTAAAAAGCACTTCAGGTGATTCTATCATAAAGCTGGAATTTTCAACCATAGATTTGAAGTCTTAACATCATAGGTCGGAATAAAATTCCAGATCAGAGACATAGTTTGATTACAGTTAGAGATACAAATAAAACTAATGTTAAAAAAATTTTTTTAATCTTTCATTTCTAAATAAAGGATGATTCTAAGTACAAAAGTAATAAACAAAATTATAAACAAAAAATTGACTAAAATCAAAATTAAAGAAAAACAGAGATAATTATTTATAACCAAGATATCAGTTAAATAATGAATACCTTAAATATATAAAGACATACTTTAGAAGACACTGACAAGAAAAATACTAATACCACAATAGATAAGAGCAAAATTAACAGGTATAATTCACATACCTAAAATGTCTGTTGGACAAAGCCAAAAGGTTGTCCTTTGAAAAATCTAATAAACTCCCCTGATCACAATTCTCTAATAAATAAAATCTGAAATATATAACTTGAATAAAACTGAGAGATGCTATAGTCATAAATAAAAAAGATGATAGGTGTGAACAACTTTAGGCCAATAAATTTGAAAATTTAATAAAATAAATCTGCAGAAAAAAAAGCTTACTATAACAGCCTGACTTCTAAGAAATGAGAATGTATGAATAATTTTTTTTTTTTTGAAACAGTCTCACTCTGCCGCCAGGCTGGAGTGCAGTGGCGTGATCTTGATTCACTGCAATCTCTGCCTCCCGAGTTCAAGTGATTCTCCTGCCTCAGCCTCCCGAGTAGCTGGGACTACAAGCATACGCCACCACGACCAGCTAATTTTTGTATTTTTAGTAGAGATGGGTTTTCACCATGTTGGCCAGGATGGTCTCGATCTCTTGACCTCATGATCCACCCATCTTGGCCTCCCAAAATGCTGGGATTACAGGTTTGAGCAACCACGCCTGGCCGAATAATCTTATAATAATTAAAGAAGTTGACTTAGTAGTTTAAATTTTCTCACAAAGAAAATTTCAAGTGAGTTCTATCAAGCATTCAAGGAAGAAATAATTTCAGCTTTACATAAACTAAGTCAAAGGAGATAAAGAGGGAAAGCTTCCCTAACTCATTATTATGGATAATGTAACTGTGGTACCATAATCCAATAAGGACAATGCAGAAAAATGAACACTATAGGCAAATTACATTCAAATATGGATATAAAATTTTAAACAAATACCTAAAACAAAATCAAATAATGTATTTTAAAAAGTAACACATCATGACCAAGTTGGCTATTTCTAGGAAAGCTAGATTGGTTTAACATTGGGAAATTATTGAATGTAGTTCACAAATCAAAAGATTAAAAAAGAAAAACCATAAGATCATGTCAATAAATACAGGAAAATTAGTTGATACACTCGAAACAATGTTCATAATAACCTGATAAACAGTACTTACAGAAAATCTACAATAAGCATCATCCTTAAATGTAAAACATTAGTAGAATTCAAATTGGAAAAAAAGCTGAAGTACCCTTAACGCTACTTCTGTTTGGCCCCAACACTACTTCTATTTTGCAGTGGAGGTTCTAGTAAGCTAGATAGGTCGAGAAAAAGAAATAGACCATAAAAACTGGAAGGGTATATCCAAACTGTTATTCAGAAGTGGTATTTTTGTTTACATTTAAAAATCCAGAATAATCTACATATTAGAATTAATAAGAGAGTTCAGAGTTCCTAGATCACAAAACTAATGTACAAAGAGAATTCAGACGACATCAGCAAGATGGTGGGATAGGAGGTCACAGGTTTCACTACCCCCCTACCCCACAAAAAGTTCAACTAGCAACTATCCACAGACAAGAACGCCTTGGTGAAAACTCCCCAAGTTAGGAATAAGTCAGAGTCACTTGTGTGGTCCACAGCATGGAATAAAAGCCGCATGGAAAGGGTGAGAGAAACTATCTCACTTTGACAACATTGCCCCACCCCATCCCTCAAGTTGGCCCAGGGCCTCACAGACGGGATTTCCCAAAAACCATGGTTTCTACAGAGGGAAAAGAGAACCCGAAAGCAAATATCCAGCTTCCCTAGCATTCCAAGATGCTTCTTAGGAAGTCCACTCTGGTCTCACCTCAAAGGGAACACAGCGGAATACAGCACAACTAGACCACCTGGGGTCAGGTGGAAACAAAGCAATGAGTGTACAGATCTTGGTGGTAGCTTTGTGTACCTGGCAGCAAAGGTACCTGATTAGAGGTACCAGCTAACAGTGTAGCTCACAGGCAAAGCTGAGCTGATCACTCCTGGAAGAGGTGGAAAGTGCTACCTGGCTTGAATTCCTAGACAGGCACAATCCAGGACCAGCCTTGGACTCTACCTGAGGGCCCTGCCCATGGAGGACAACAACCACCACAGGGAATTGCAGCAAAATGGAAAGCTAGTTGTGCCACACCTGGGAGTCTAACAACACCTGGTGTGACCTCAAAGCTTACCCCAAGACCCTACCCAGGCAGGGAGACAACCAATGCAGCAAACTTCATTGAAGAGCAGGGACAGCAGAGGGAAAGTTTACACAGCACTTAACCTCAACACTTAACTCACCCTAAGGCCCCACACAGGCAGGAAGGAAAACTTCAACCATGCATTTCTATTGTGCATAGCATCTGGTCTTGTCCATCTCAGTGTCTCCACTTAACTTTGAGGCCCCTCCCACAACCCTGGCCAACTGCAGAACTCAAATAGTGGTACCACTTGAGCAGAGAACACACCCTGGCCTGATCTGAGGCTACTGTAGTGCCCATCCAGCAGCTCAGCCTGATTGTGAAGCTCAGTCCAGCCAGCTGCCCCATGTGAATTCAAGGTAAAGGCAGCACCCCAGACATTTAGAGAACTCCAAAATAAGCTCTGCCTGCCCAAGGCTGTTACCAGCTAGCCCAACCAGAATTGCAGGTTAAACTACATAATAAGGGTCTGTTCCAAAGAATGCCTGTGAAAGCTGGAAAAGGTTGTTATCTCAAGTACACAAACACCAACGCAAGGACACAAGGATTACATGGACTCAGGAAGAAATCATGACATCTCCAAAAGAAACTGACAAAGCTCCAAAAATTGACCCTAATGAAAGGGAGATCAATAAAATGATGACAAAAAATTTAGAAAAATCCTCTTAAAGAAATTCCATGAACTGCAAGAATACAGTCATAATAGTCAGCCCGCCATATTCATGGGTTCCACATCTGTGGATTCAACCAACAGCAGATCAAGAATATTCAGAAAGAAACAATACAAAACCCACAACAATAAAAAATGATACAAACTTAAAAATACAATATAACAAGTATTTACATAGCATTTTCATTGCATTACATATTACATGTAATCTAGAGATTATTTAAAGTCTATGGGAGGATGTGCATAGGCTTTATACAAAAACTATTCCATTTTTGTTTTGTTTTGTTTTGGTTTTGAGATGGAATATCACTCTGTTGCCAGGCTGGAGTGCAGTGACGTGATCTAGGCTCACTGCAACCTCTGCCTCCCAGGTTCAAGCAATTCTCCTGCCTCAGACTCCCAAGTAGTTGAGACTACAGGTGCACACCACCACACCCAGCTAATCTTTGTATTTTTAGTAGAGACAGGGTTTCACTACGTTGGCCAGGATAGTCTCAATCTCTTGACCTTGTGATCCACCTGCCTCGACCTCCCAAAGTTCTAGAATTACTGGCGTGAGTCACCACACCCAGCCTACTCACCATTTTATAGAAGAGACTTAAGCATCTGCAGATTTTGGTATACATGGGGGAGAGGAGGGTCCTGGAACCAATCCAAATGGCAAGACTGACAAAGAAATGGAAACAATTTTTTGTAAAAGAAAGAAATCATAGAGATGAAGAAGCAATATCTGAACTGGAAAATGCAAGAGAAAGTTTCAACACCAGGCTCAATTAATCTGAGAAAAGAATAAATGAGCTTAAAGACAGAACTTTGAAATTATCCAATTAGAGAAATAAAAAGAAAAAAGAATAAAGAAAGACTATGAAAATTATGGGATATCATCAAGAGACCTGGCCTACGCATAATAGCAAGTCAAAAGGAGAAGAAAGAGAAAAAGGGCCAGAAAGCATATTTAAAGAAATAATGGGCCGGGTGCAGTGGCTCATGTCTGTAATCCCAGCACTTTGGGAGGCCAAGGTAGGCAAACCACCTGAGGTCAGGAGTTTGAGACCAGCCTGGCCAACATGGTGAAACCCCATCTCTACTAAAAATACAAAAAAATTTAGCCGGGCATGGTGGCAGGCACCTGTAATCCCAGCTACTTGGGAGGCTGAGGCAGGAGAATCACTTGAACCCAGAAGGCAGAGGTTGCAGTGAGCCGAGACCACGCCATTGCACTCCAGCCTGGGCAACAAGAGTGAAACTCCATCTAAAAAAGAAAAAAAAAAGAAAAAAAGAAAAAAGAAAGAATGGCTGAAAACTTTTCTTACTGGGGGGAAAGTGCCAATATCCAAGTACAGGAAACAGAGAGGTTTCTAATCAACTTCAACCCAAAGAGGCATTCACTAACACACATAATAATCAAACTATCTAAATCAAAGACAAAGAAGAAATTCTAAGAACAGCAAGAGATAAGAAATACATTACATACAAAGGGGTCCCAATATGACTATCTTGGCAAATTTATTAGCAGAAATCCAGCAGACTAAGAGTGGGATGATATATTCAAAGTGAAGGGGGAAAAAATCTGCCAACCAAAAATATTTTACATAGCAAAGCTGTCTTTCCAAAATGAGGCAGAAACAGAAACTTTTCCAGACAAACAAAAGCTAAGGAAGTTTATCATCATTAGGTCTGCTTTACAGAAATTGCTAAAGGGAATTTTTTAAGCTGAAACAAAAGGCTGTGAATTAATAACATAATAGTTAATGGTATAAGTAATACAGAGCTATATTCAGAATACTCTAAGACTGTAATGGCAGTGCATAAGGCAACTTTATTCCTTGTACAAGGGTTAAAAGACAAAACTATTAATAACAACTATAGCTAAAATAAATTACGAAGGAATACATATTACAAAATGACAAATTCTGACATTAAAAACATAAAATGGGGGAAAGAGAAGTGTAGTGTTGTTGCATGTAATCAAACTTGAGTTTTTATCAGCTTGAAATAGACTGCCAGAAGTATAATATGCTCCATGTGAACCTTATAGTAACTACAAAGCAAAAATCTATAGTAGACAAAGAAAAATAGAATGGATTCAAAGCACGTCATTACAGAAAACGATCAAACCACAAAGGAAGGCTGCAAGAATGGAAAAAGGAACAAAGTATCTTAAAACAACCAGAACAAAACTGACAAAATACTAAGTCCTTGCCTATCTATCAATAATTACCTTGAATGTAAATTGATTAAATTCCCTAATAAAAAGACAGAGTGACTAAATGATTCTTTTGTGTGTTTTTTTTTTTTTTTTTGAGATGGAGTCTCACTCTGTTGCCCAGGCTGGAGTACAGAGGCACGATCTTGGCTCACTGCAACCTCCACCTTCCAGGTTCAAGCAATTCTCTACCTCAGCCTCCCAAGCAGCTGGGATTACAGGCGCCCACCACCACACCTGGCTAATTTTTTTGTATTTTTAGTAGAGATGGGGTTTCACCATCTTGGCCAGGATCGTCTTGAACTCCTGACCTCGCCTCGTGATCCACCTGCCTCGGCCTTCCAAAGTGCTGGGATTACAGGTGTGAGCCACCTTGCCCAGCCCTAAATGCTTTTTTTAAAGGCTAAACTATATAATGCCTACAAAACATTCATCTCATTTTCAAGGGTGCATATAGACTGAAAGTGAAGAGATAGAAAAAGATATTTCACTCAAATGGAAAGCAAAGAAGAGCAGAGGTAGCTATACTTAAATCAGACAAAACAGACTTTATAAGTAAAAAACTAGAAAAAGAGACAAAGAAGGACATTATATAATAACAATGGGTTCAATTCATCAAGAGGATATATCAATTGTAAATACACATGCACCCAGCATTGGAGCCCCTAAATATATAATGCAAATATTAAAGAATCTTAAGGGAGAGATAGATTCCAATATAATAACAGCAAGGGACTTCAATACTCCACTTTCAATAATAGGTCATCAAGACAGAAAATTAATAAGGGAACACTGGACTTAAACAACACTTTAAACCTAATGGACTTAACAGACAGATATGGAACATTCCATCCAACAACAACAGAGTACACATTCTTCTCAAGCACATATGAAGCATTCACCAAGACAGATCATATGACAGGCCACAAGACAAGTCTTAGAAAATTTAATAAAACTGGAATCATACCAAGCACCTTTTCTGACTACAATGGTATGAAACTAGAATTCAGTAACAGGAGAAATTTCAAAACAAAAATTCACAAATACATAAAAATTAAACATCCTTCGGAACAACCAATGGATCAATAAATAAATTATAGGAAAATTTAAAAATATATTGAAACAAACAAAAAAGGAAACACAACATACCAAAGCTCATGGGATGCAGCAAAAACAGTTGCAAGAGGAAAGTTTTTACAGCAATAAATGCCTATGCTAAGAAAGAAGAATGATCTCAGAGAAACAACTTAATATTATGCCTCAAGGAAACAGAAAAAGAAGAACAAACTAAGCTCACTATGAGTGAAAGGAAAGAAATAATTAAGATCAGAGCATGATATGGTTTGGTTGTGTCCCCACCCAAATCTCATCTTGAATTGTATCTCCCAGGATTCCCACATGTTGTGGGAGGGACCCAGGGGGAGGTAATTGAATCACAGGGGCCAGTCTTTCCTGTGCTATTCTGGTGATACTGAATAGTCTCACAAGATCTGATGCATTTACTGGGGATTTCTGCTTTTGCTTCTTCCTCATTTTTTTCTTGCTGCAGCCATGTAAGAAATGCCTTTCATATCGCACAATGATTCTGAGGCCTCCCCAGCCATGAGGAACAGTAAGTCCAAATAAGCCTCTTTTACTTCCCAATCTTGGGTGTGCTTTATCAACAGCATGAAAACGGACTAATACAGAGCAGAAATAAATAAAATAAAGACTAGAAAAATAGTACAAAAGATCAACAAAACTAAGAGTTGGATTTTTTAAAAGACAAACAAAATTGACAAACCTTTAGCTAGACTAGAGAGATAACCCAAAATACGACTCAAAATAAATAAAATCAGCAATGAAAGAGGCAATATTACAACTGACAGCACGGAAATCCAAAGGACCATAAGAGAACATTATGAACAAATTATATTCCCCAAAAATGGATAACCTAGAATAAGTGGATAAATTTCTACATATATACAACTTATTAGGACTGAATCACGAAAAATAGAAAATCTAAATAGACCACTAACAAGTGAGGAGATTGAATCAGTAATAAGAAGTCTTCTATTAAAGAAAATCCCAAGGCTAGATGGCTCCACTGTTTAATTGTACCAAATGCTGTAATGAAGAACTGACATGAATTTTTTAGACACGCCTTCAAAAAAAATAAAAGAGGAAGGTATCCTTTTATGAAGCCAGTATTACTCTGATGCAAAAACCAAACATGGACATCACAAAAAAAAAAATACTGCAAGCCAATATCCTTGATGAACACAGATGCAAAAATCCTCAATAATACAGCAAATTGAATTTGCCACCACATCAAAAGAATCATTCACCAAGATGAAGTGGCATTTATCCCTGGGATGCAAGGATAGTTCAACATATGGAAATCAATAAATGTGATACACTATATTAACAGAATGAAAGACAAAAACTATATGATCTCATTAGACGTAGGAAAAGCATCTGACAAAAATCCAACATGTCTATTGAATGTTGGATTCCTTGCCAGAGCAATTCTGCAAGAGAAAGAAATAAAAGGCATCCAAATTGGAAAGTACAAAATGAAACAATCACTGCTGACAACATGATCTTATATAGAGAAAACCCTAAAGATTCCACCAAAAAACTCAGAACTAATAAATACAATAAAGTTGCAAAATCTAAAGTCAACTAACAAAAATCAGGAACATTTCTATACACTAACAATGAACATTCTGAAAAAGAAATCAAGAGAAAAATCCCATTTACAATAGCTACAAATAAAATAGGAATAAATTGAACTAAGGAGGTGAAAGACATGTACACTGAAAACTATAAAATGTTAAAGAAAGAAATGGAAAAAGATGCAAATAAATGAAAAAAACAATGTTCATAGACAGGAATAATTAATATTGTTAAATTGTCCATGCTACACAAGGCATGCTAAAGAGTCAATATAATACCTATCAAGATTTCAAAGTCATTTTTCATGAAGAGAAAACAATCCTAAAATTCATCTGGAACTGAAAAAAAAAACAAAACAAAACCAAAGCAATCACGAAGAAAAAGAACACAGTGGGAGGTATCACACTACCTAACTTCAAACGATACTATAAAGTGATAGTAATTAAAACAACATGATACTCACACAAAAAAAGACTCACCAATAGAAGGCCCAAAAATGAACTCACATATACGGTCAATTGATTTCAACACTGGTGCCAAGAATACAAATAGGGAAAAGGACAGTCTCTTTAATAAATAGTGCTGTGAAAACTGGATGTCCATACACAGAAGGATGAAACTGGACCCTGTCTCTTACCATATATAAATGGTAGAAAAAGCTTCACACAGCAGGGGTTATATACAAGAATGTTCACAAAGACACTGTCATAACAACAAAAAACTGCAAGCAACCCAAATGTCCATCAACAGAAGAAAGGATGAAAACATGATGCTATGATGTAACAATACACAGCAGTGAAGAGGAACTATACCTGTATTAAAACATGGATACATTTTTTCAGGAAAAACCAGAGGATCACAATATTCTTTTTTAAATTATTATTACACTTTAAGTTCTAGGGTACATGTGCAAAACATGCAGGTTTGTTACATATGTATACATGTCCCATGTTGGTGTGCTGCGCCCATTAACTCGTCATTTACATTAGGTATATCTCCTAATGCTATCCCTCTCCCCTCCCCCCATCCCACAACAGGATCCGATGTATGATGTTCCCCTTCCTGTGTCCAAGTGTTCTCATTGTTCAATTCCCACCTATGAGTGAGTACATGCAGTGTTTGGTTTTTTGTCCTTGCTATAGTTTGCTGAGAATAATGGTTTCCAGCTTCATCCATGTCCCTACAAAGGACATGAACTCACCCTTTTTTATGGCTGCATAGTATTCCACGGTGTGCATGTGCCACATTTTCTTAATCCAGTCTATCACTGTTGGACATTTTGATTGGTCCCAAATATTTGCTATTGTGAATAGTGCCGCAATAAACATACGTGTGCATGTGTCTTTATAGCAGCAGGATTTATAATCCTTTGGGTATATACCCAGTAATGGGATGGCTGAGTCAAATAGTCAAATGGTCTTACACAATGGTTGAACTAGTTTACAGTAACAACAACAGTGTAAAAGTCTTCCTATTTCTCCACATCCTGTCCAGCACCTGTTGTTTCCTCACTTTTTAACGATCACCATTCTAACTGGTGTGAGATGGTATCTCATTGTTTTGATTTGCATTTCTCTGATGGCCAGTGATTATGAGCATTTTTTATGTGTCTGTTGGCTGCATAAATGTCTTCTTTTGAGAAGTGTCTGTTCATAGCCTTCGCCCACTTTGTGATGGGGTTGTTTTTTTCTTGTAAATTTGTTTGAGTTCTTTGTAGATTCTGGATATTAGCCCTTTGTCAGATGAGTAGATTGCAAAAATTTTCTCCCATTCTGTAGGTTGCCTGTTCACTCTGATGGTAGTTTCTTTTGCTGGCAGAAGCTCTTTAGTTTAATTAGATCCCATTAGTCAATTTTGGCTTTTGTTGCCATTGCTTTTGGTGTTGTAGACATGAAGTCCTTGCCCATGCCTATGTCCTGAATGGTATTGCCTAGGTTTTCTTCTAGGGTTTTTATGGTTTTAGGTCTAACATTTAAGTCTTTAATCCATCTTGAATTAATTTTTCTATAAGGTGTAAGGAAAGGATCCAGTTTCAGCTTTCTACATATGGCTACCCAGTTTTCCCAGCGCCATTTATTAAATAGGGAATCCTTTCCCCATTTCTTGTTTCTGTCAGGTTTGTCAAAGATCAGATGGTTGTAGAGGTGTGGTATTATTTCTCAGGGCTCTGTTCTGTTCCATTGGTCGATATCTCTGTTTTGGTACCAGTACCATGCTGTTTTGGTTACTGTAGCCTTGTATAGTTTGAAGTCAGGTAGCGTGACGCCTCCAGCTTTGTTCTTTTGGCTTAGGATTGACTTGGCAATGCAGGCTCTTTTTTGGTTCCATATGAACTTTAAAGTAGTTTTTTCCAATTCTGTGAAGAAAGTCATTGGTAGCTTGATGGGGATGGCATTGAATCTATAAATTACCTTGAGCAGTATGGCCATTTTCATGATATTGATTCTTCCTATCCATGAGCATGGAATGTTCTTCCATTTGTTTGTATCCTCTTTTACTTCATTGAGCAGTGGTTTGTAGTTCTCCTTGAAGAGGTCCTTCACATCCCTTAACTTGGATTCCTAGGTATTTTATTCTCTTTGAAGCAATTGTGAATGGGAGTTCACACATGATTTGGCTCTCTGTTTGTCTGTTATTGGTGTATAGGAATGCTTGTGATTTTTGCACATTGATTTTGTATCCTGAGACTTTGCTGAAGTTGCTTATCAGCTTAAGGAGATTTTGGGCTGAAACGATGGGGTTTTCTAAATATACAATCACATCATCTGCAAACAGGGGCAATTTGACTTCCTCTTTTCCTAATTGAATATCCTTTATTTCTTTCTCCTGACTGACTGCCCTGGCCAGAACTTCCAACACTATGTTGAATAGGAGTGGTGAGAGAGGGCATCCCTGTCTTGTGCCAGTTTTCAAAGGGAATGCTTCCAGTTTTTGCCCATTCAGTATGATATTGGCTGTGGGTTTGTCATAAACAGCTCTTACTATTTTGAGATACATCCCATCAATACCTAATTTATTGAGAGTTGTTAGCAAGAAGGGCTGTTGAATTTTGTCAACGGCTTTTTCTGCATCTATTGAGATCATCATGTGGTTTTTGTCTTTGGTTCTGTTTATATGCTGGATTACATTTATTGATTTGCGTATGTTGAACCAGCCTTGCATCCCAGGGATGAAGCCCACTTGATCATGGTGGATAAGCTTTTTCAGGTGCTGCTAAATTTGGTTTGCCAGTATTTTATTGAGGATTTTTGCATTGATGTTCATCAGGGATATTGGTCTAAAATTCTCTTTTTTTGTTGTGTCTCTGCCAGGCTTTGGTATCAGGATGATGCTGGCCTCATAAAATGAATTAGGGAGGATTCCCTCTTTTTCTATTGATTGGAATCATTTCAGAAGGAATGGTACCAGCTCCTCCTTGTACCTCTGGTAGAATTCAGCTGTGAATCCATCTGCTCCTGGACTTTTTTTGGTTAGTAGGCTATTAATTATTGCCTCAATTTCAGAGCCTGTTATTGATCTATTCAGGGATTCAACTTCTTCCTGGTTTAGTCTTGGGAGGGTGTATGTGTCGAGGAATTTATCCATTTCTTCTAGACTTTCTAGTTTATTTGCATAGAGGTGTTTATAGTATTCTCTGATGGTAGTTTGTATTTCTGTGGGATTGGTGGTGATATCCCCTTTATCATTTTTTATTGTGTCTATTTTATTCTTCTCTCTTTTCTTCTTTATTAGTCTTGCTAGCAGTCTATCAATTTTGTTGATCTTTTCAAAAAACCAGCTCCTGGATTCATTGATTTTTTGAGGGGTTTTTTGTGTCTCTATTTCCTTCAGTTCTGCTCTGATCTTAGTTATTTCTTGCCTTCTGCTAGCTTTTGAATGTGTTTGCTCTTGTTTCTCTAGTTCTTTTAATTGTGATGTTAGGGTGTCAATTTTAGATCTTTCCTGCTTTCTCTTGTGGGCATTTAGTGCTATAAATTTCCCTCTACACACTGCTTTAAATGTGTCTCAGAGATTCTGGTATGTTTTGTCTTTGTTCTCATTGGTTTCAAAGAACATCTTTATTTCTGCCTTCATTTTGTTATGTACCCAGTAGTCATTCAGAAGCAGGTTGTTCAGTTTCCATGTAGTTTAGCAGTTTTGAATGAGTTTCTTAATCCTGAGTTCCAGTTTGATTGCACTGTGGTCTGAGAGATAGTTTGTTATAATTTCTGTTCTTTTACATTTGCTGAGGAGTGCTTTACTTCCAACTATGTGGTCAATTTTGGAATAAGTGTAATGTGGTGCTGAGAGTAATGTATATTCTGTTGATTTGGGGTGGAGAGTTCTGTAGATGTCTATTAAGTCCACTTGGTGCACAGCTGAGTTCAATTCCCGGATATCCTTGTTAACTTTCTGTCTCATTGATCTGTCTAATGTTGACAGTGGGGTATTAAAGTCTCCCACTATAATTGTGTGGGAGTCTGAGTCTCTTTGTAGTTCTCTAAGGACTTGCTTTATGAATCTGGGTGCTCCTGTATTGGGTGCATATATATTTAGGATAGTTAGCTCTTCTTGTTGAATTGATCCCTTTGCCATTATGCAATGGCCTTCTTTGTCTCTTTCGATCTTCATTGATTTAAAGTCTGTTTTATCAGAGACTAGGATTGCAACCCCTGCCTTTTCTTGTTTTCCATTTGCTTAGTAGATCTTCCTCCATCCCTTTATTTTGAGCCTAGGTGTGTCTCTGCATGTGAGATGGGTCTCCTGAATACAGCACACTGATGGGTCTTCACTCTTAATCCAATTTGCCAGTCTGTGCCTTTTAATTGGAGCATTCAGCCCATTTACATTTAAGGTTAATATTGTTATGTGTGAATTTGATCCTGTCATTATAATGTTAGCTGGTTATTTTGCTTGCCAGTTGATGCAATTTCTTCCTAGCATCGATGGTCTTTACAATTTGGCATGTTTTTGCAGTGGCTGGTACTGGTCCTTTCCATGTTTAGTGCTTCCTTCAGGAGCTCTTGTAGGGCAGGCTTGGTGGTGACAAAATCTCTCAGCATTTGCTTGTGTGTAAAGGATTTTATTTCTCCTTCACTTATGAAGGTTGGTTTGGCTGGATATGAAATTCTGGGTTGAAAATTCTTTTCTTTAAGAATGTTGAATATTGGCCCCCACTCTCTTCTGGCTTGTAGAGTTTCTGCCAAGAGATCCGCTGTTAGTCTGATGGGTTTCTCTTTGTGGGTAACCCGACCGTTCTCTCTGGCTGCCCTTAACATTTTTTCCTTCATTTCAACTTTGGTGAATCTGACAATTATGTGTCTTGGGGTTGCTCTTCTGGAGGAGTATCTTTGTGGCATTCTCTGTATTTCCTGAATTTGAATGTTGGCCTGCCTTGCTAGGTTGGGGAAGTTCTCCAGGATAACATCCTGCAGAGTGTTTTCCAACTTGGTTCCATTCTCCCCATCACTTTCAGGTACACCAATCAATGTAGATTTGGTCTTTTCACATAGTCCCATATTTCTTGGGGGCTCTGATAGTTTCTTTTTACTCATCTTTCTCTAAACTTCTCTTCTCGCTTCATTTCATTCATTTGATCTTCAATCACTGATACCCTTTCTTCCAGTTGATCGAATCGGCTACTGAAGCTTGTACATTCGTCACATAGTTCTCGTGCCATAGTTTTCAGCTCTATTAGGTCATTTAAGGACTTCTCTACACTGGTTATTCTACTTAGCTATTCATCTAATCTTTTTTCAAGGTTTTTAGCTTCTGTGCGATGGGTTCAAACTTCCTCCTTCAGCTTGGAGAAGTTTGATCGTCTGAAGCCTTCTTCTCTCAACTCATCAAAGTCATTCTCCATCCAGCTTTGTTCCGTTGCTGGCGAGGAGCTGCGTTCCTTTGGAGGGGGAGAGGTGCTCTTATTTTTAGAATTTTCAGCTTTTCTGCTCTGTTTTTTCCCCATCTTTGTGGTTTTATCTATCTTTGGTCTTTGATGATGGTGACATACAGATGGGGTTTTGGTGTGGATGTCCTTTCTGTTTGTTAGTTTTCCTTCTAACAGTCAGGACCCTCAGCTGCAGGTCTGTTGGAGTTTGCTGGAGGTCCACTCCAGACCCTGTTTGCCTGGGTATTGGCAGCAGAGGCTGTAGAACAGTGAATATTGCTGAACAGCAAATGTTGCTGTCTGATCATTCCTCTGGAAGCTTCGTCTCAGAGGGGTACCCGGCCGTGTGAGGTGTCAGTCTGCCCCTACTTGGGGATGCCTCCCAGTTAGGCTACTCGGGGGTCAGGGACCCACTTGAAGAGGTAGTCTGTCCATTCTCAGATCTCAAACTCCATGCCTGGAGAACCACTACTTTCTTCAAAGCTGTCAGACAGGGACATTTAAGTCTGCAGAGGTTTCTGCTGCCTTTTGTTTGGCTATGCCCTGCCCCCAGAGTTGGAGTCTACAGAGGCAGCCAGGCCTCCTTGAGCTGCAACAGGCTCCACACAGTTTGAGCTTCCTGGCCGCTTTGTTTACCTACTCAAGCCTCGTCAATGGCAGGCGCCCCACCCCAAGCTTGCTGCCATCTTGCAATTCGATCTCAGACTGCTGTGCTAGCAATGAGTGAGGCTCTGTGGGCGTGGGACCCTCTGAGCCAGGCATGGGATATAATCTCCTTGTGTGCCATTTGCTAAGACCATTGGAAAAGTGCAGTATTAGAATGGGAGTGACCCAATTTTCCAGGTGCCATCTGTTACAGCTTCCCTTGGCTAGGAAAGGGAATTCCCTGACCCCTTGTGCTTCCTGGGTGAGGTGATGCCTCGCCCTGCTTCAGCTCATGCTCGTTGGGCTGCACCCACTGTCCTGCACCTACTGTCCAACTAGCCCCAGTGAGATGAACCCAGTACCTCAGTTGGAAATGCAGATATCACCCATCTTCTGCATCGCTCATGCTGGAAGCTATAGACTCAATCTGTGCTTTCAAGTGCAGCCATTTGTTTTTAATCTTTTTTTTTTTTTTTTTTTTTTTTTTTTTGAGACAGGGTCTTGCTCTGTCACCCAGGCCAGAGTGCAATAGTGGTGCAATCTCAACTCATTGCAGTGTCAACCTCCCAATCTTAAGCAATCCTCCAGCCTCAACCTCTTGAGTAGCTGAGACTACAGGTATGCACCACTGTGTCTGGCTACATTTATTTTTCATAGAGATGATGACTCACTATGTTGCCCAGGCTGGTCTCAAACTCCTGGGCTCCAGCAATCATCCTGCCTTGGTCTCCCAAAGTATTGGGATCACAGGCATGAGGTACCACACCCAGCCACAATATTCTTCAAGTTCAAAAACAAGCAAAACTAAACCAAAAGTTGTTTAGAAAAACATGCACATATGGGGAGAAACTGCTTCTAAAAACTAGGGAATAATAAACACAAAATTCAGAACAGGAGTGAAGGCGAGATTGTGGTAGGGGAAGAGCAGGTGGAACCAAAAGGAATCTCCTAGTTGGATGTCAGGTTCATGTTTGTTTATGCTTCATGGATTGTCATATCTGTTTTGTGTCCATTGATATTAGATTTAGAAAATAATAATAATAAGATGATATTTCCGGGAATACTAAGAACATAGGGCAGATTAAAGACAGCAATTCCTAAAGCAAGAATTTACAAACCTATATGTGATTTGATGGAATCAATGACAATCTTCATCACAGGATTAGGATTCTATCCCGAGGATACCCCATGCATATAAAACACTTAACTAAAAGTAGTTGTTAAAACTTAGTAGCATAGGATTTTGTACATTATAAAATATAACAATCTGTCAACTCATATTTCTTAATGTCTACTGTGCTGAGCAAGAGTCTAGACAGAAACACAGCAGGGGGTTAGAAAAAAAGGCCCTGCTACAGGGAATGTATTTGACACTAAGTTGTTTGAGACAAAAGCTTTCATAATTCTGAGATATTCCTTCCTGTCCTCAAAATCCACTCCCCAAATCCTGCCAGTTTCACCTTCTACCTCTTTCTCACCAACTCCCACGGCCTTCACTGTGGACTTCCATCAGTCCTTGATCCTGGCACCACTACGTCCCCCACCTCTTCCCCCCATACTCATCCATCTTTCCTCGTCCATCCTCCAGGCATGCAAATCTGGACTTGAAGCTTTAGTGAATCCCCGCAGAACAGGAGGGGGTGCGCTGTCTTTGTAGAAAGCATTTTGCAAAAGCTCCATTTAAAATAATTTTGTTATGTATCACAATAGTTTGTATTTCTGTCTTCTCATTAATCTCTGAGCCCCTTGAGGACAAAGGTCCAGCTTTTCCTTTTATGTCTTTCCAAAGCAGAGAGGCTCAGTATAATTATAGCAGTTCCATTTCTGATAGGGGATGTGAGGACACTAAAATTTTTGCACAGAGGAAATCTTCAAAACTTGAGCATGGCCTATAGGGCCTCCTATGCCTGACCTCAGCCAGGCTTTCCAGTCTGTCTGATGCCTCCAACAGACAGCATTCCCTGAAACCATTTAACAGAAATCATTCCATGGAGTATTACAAGGACTCCATGCTCAATTGAGTTTGGAAAATCCTGCAATAAACGGATTTAAACAGGTTTCCTGGCAGGAGGATGTCTCAGAGATGTTAATATGGTTCTGTGATTTGAGAATCTCCAAAAGGGGAGTCTCGAGACGTCACATCCTCGATCTCAGCCACAATTACCTCTTCACATGGGACATTCATTTACACAGCCTGCAGTACAAATATTTAGTAGAACACTCCCCAAACTATGGCGATTTCTGTTAAGGAATGGCTTCACATACCTCATTTTCCCTAAGTGCTTTCTCCCCAAGTCACTGTTCAAGTTTAACCTTCCCCAATCTTAGCACACTCCTTCTCACATTCTCCTTTATTTCTACAATGCTCTCTAAGTGTGTTTATGAATTGTCTCTTTTAAAATGTTACACGGGTCATGCTTCATGAGACTGAAGCCATGAGCATGGTGACTTTGGTCTTACATCCCCAGCACAGAGCAAAGTTCTGACACACAATACAATCCTAACTCATGGTGCTGACACTGAAACAGCACACACCAGTGAATGCAAATTCATTTTTCCCCTTTACTTTTTAAAATTAGAGGGAACATCCCTAAGAGCAATTTCAGGAGATATTTTGCAGCTTCTCCCCCATCCAAAAAAAAGTGCTTGCTAATGATCTAGTAATTGTTCTTACGGTTTCTAAACAATTGCTAAACACTATGGTAAGTGTCCATAAGTTTAAGCCTTCACAGTCGTTAACTCCCTAATGTGGGAGGCCTCTGCTTGATCAGATATCAAAGAGTTAAAATTATAATTCTGAATAAACTTGAACAGATTTAGAGAAGGCAAGTGAAAGAAATGCTTGGTACAGGTCTTTCAGTCATTTTTAATTTCAAAAACTAAAATAAACAAAACACAACTGCATGAGACAATGGCAGAGACAAACTAAGATACATGGACTTATTTTCAATTCCACTCTTTGGTGAAGATCCATTTAAAAGAAAACTTCATCAGTTCAAACTTCCAAGGGGGCCTTAAGAGATCATGTAAGTCATAATTTAAAAGGCTTAAGACAAACTGTTACTCATTAAACTTAAAAATTTTTTATAGCTTAGTTTTGGGTTCGATTTTTGACATGTTAGAATTTTATTTCTGAATGAGCACTTTATGGGACTAATAACAGCGCCCTAACAGGACTTACTGCAGTTACAGCATAATGTCACCATTTTAAAGGCTAGTATTTAGAATTACTGAGTATTTACTTTTAAGAAATTATTGATATTCATGGGTCCAATTTATTTGATGCCTACTCCATCAGGAGCTCAATTCCCAATTGTAGCTTCGGTCCCTCGAGAAAATCAGGCAGATTTTCTGACAACTCATTTTGAGATGCTGTCTCCTGAAACAGCTGTTAACCGGAAGTAGAGACTGCTAGTGTCTGTGTCAAGCTTGACTGAGTTTATCCGCTTTAAATTCATACATTTCCTGATGAAGTTTTCAGATATTTAGATACAGCATTAAAGTTTGTTTGTCTCTATCACTCTTAATAGTCAATTGGTTTTTCCATCAACAACAAAAGAATGTTTGTGAAGCAGTCGGATTTCCGTATGATCTTTTTTTTTTTTTTGAGACAGGGTCTCACTCTGTTGCTCAGGCTGGAGTACAGTGTCACGATCTTGCCTCGCTGCAGCCTCAACCTTCCAGGCTCAAGCCATTCTCCCACCTTAGCCTCCAGAGTATCTGAAACTACAGGCACATTCCACTATGCCTGGCTAATTTTTACAATGTTTGCAGAGACAAGGTTTCACCATGTTGCCCAGGCTGGTCTTGAACTCCTGGGCTCGAGTGATCCACCCACCTCAGACTCTCAAAGTGCTAGGATTACAAGCGTGAGCGACCACGTCCAGCCTCCCTATAATCTTGATTTAAATAATGTTATTTACATCCAACTTATCTCACACCTAAATTACAGGAATTCAAGACTTAGCCAAAGACAAAATGACACAAGGTGGCTACTTCATTGTTGTCATTATAATTATTTTGTTGCTATTATTGAAAGGACATAATAAGAAACTCTAAATTAATTTTAATGCCCACGTACAGGATTTCTAAAAAGACAAAGAGGTGATCTCGCTCGTATTCCCATGCACTCTCTTGCTCTCTTTATCTCTCTCTCTGTAAAGGAAGGTAAGGCTGAAAAGTAAGCTGTTCTGAGGCTCGTGATGTGTATTATCTGTCCTTGAAGTCTGAGAAATCATACTATACAATGACTCACCTTAAAAGCAGACTGCCGAGCACTGCATGTAGGGTATATAATGAAGCCTCCAGGAGGGAAGGAATTTCTTTACATGCCATTCTGAAAGGGAGGTCCCCCAGCTTGTGTGCACAATTGGAGTAACAATATCATGCCTCATTAATAGAACGGATCTCTAAAGGTTATTATAAAGGATATCACCAAGCTCAAGAGAAATCTGACTGCATCTTTCTGTGCTAACAGGGATCAAGTAGAGGCTGAACAAGTGAGCAGAATCTTCTTTTTCAATACTTTGAGAATCAAACATTCTTAGATACTAAACATGCTTCCGTGACTCAGGAGTTTTACTTAAAAGTAAAAACTTACAGTTTGTCACTTAGGCATAAAAGCATAGCCAAACTATTGGTGGCAAACAGACTGTGACTCTGAGAGTAACTTCTAGAGTCTCCTCGCTGGGAAAGTGAGGAAAAGCTCAGAGGGGTGAGCAGAGCACAACTTCTCCCACGCAAGAGGGCAGCTTCCCGGCTAAGCTGGAGGAGTAAAAGGCACCCTCATCACAGAAGACGCAGACTGTCAATCTTCCTCTGAATCTCTACCAAATTAAAGGTACTCCCAGGGGACTGGCCCACAGAGCAGCTCAGGATTCTGTCTTTACCTAAGGCCCATCCTACCCAGTGAGCTACACCTGCAGGGATTTAACGCAAGGCCAGCGGAAGCCAATCAGGTGAAAGGTAGCATGAGGCAAAGGATAGAAACATTAGAGCAAAAGTCAGGGGGGTCTGTAATGTGTGTGATATTGTGAAATATGTATTTGCTCTTCATCCCTGTTACCTGGCACAGAGCCCCAAACACCTTTGGAATCTCAAGAGTGATGTCTTTCGCATGTTAATGAGATGGCTACCAGTGACCCCTAGGTCACCCTACCCCCTTGGTTTCCCTAGGTAGCTTCAGGGTGAAACAGGAAAGACCGAGGCAGGATTAGAGAGTTGGGACTTCCAGCCCCACCCCTCAACCTCCAGGGAGGGGAGGGGCTGAAGGCTGAGTGAATCACCAATGGCCAGTGAGTTAATCAGTCATGCCTACGTGGTGAAGCCTCCATAAAAGCCCCAAAAATCAGGGTTCAGGAGCTTTCAGGTTGCTGAACACATGCAGGTTCCTGAGGAGGGCAGGGAGGCTCTGAGCCTCTTCCCATACTTGACCTATGCATCTCTCTATCTGGCTGTTCATCCATAACATCCTTTATGATAAATATGAAAATGTAAGTAAAGTGTTTCCCTGAGTTTTGTGAGCTACTCTAGTAAATTAATCGAACCATGAGGGGGTGTCAGGGGGTGGGGCTTGCGATTGGATTCTAAGGTCGGGGAGAGCCTTGTGGGGCTGAGCCCTTAATCTGTGGGATCCAACTCCAACTGAGTTAAATTGTAGGACACCCAGTTGGTGTTTGCTGCTAGAAAACTGCTTGGTTTGCTATGTTGGGAAAACTCCCCACATTTCTGGTGTTAGAAGTATTGTACTGAGTGAGAGTACGCAAAACACTTTAGCTTTTCCTGTATCTCAGTCTATGTAAAGCTGCAAGAAGTGGAGGGCATCATGCCTATATGTTGGTGGTGGTGGCATTTTGAAAATACCCCTGCAAAACATTGTAATGATATTCCATGGGTCACTAAAGGTATATGAGCAACCCACTGAGAAAGTACAGTGCCTAGTATAGGTATAGTATTTGTCCCCTCCAGCTTGTGAATGAAGTAGGAGGTCACCAAATTACTCTCTTCACACATAAGCAGCAAGCATCTTCTTTTAGAGTAAATATAATCATTATCCAGCACTTGACAAAATGATGTTTCATAAAGTTTACATGACTTCAAAAAATCCTCAAATCAACTTAAGACCAAAAATACCTGGAGTAGACCTAAGTACATTAAATTTACTATAAATCATCAGGAAGAACTGTATTTGGTCTTCAAAGATATTCTCCATCTACACCATCCAATATGGTAGCTACTGGCTGCATGTGCCTAATTACATATAAATTAAAATGAAATAAAATTTAAAATTCAATTCCTCGGTTGCACTAGCCACACGTGAGCGGAGGTGCTGAACAGAGCACAGATGAGCCTCACCATCACTGCAGAAAGTCCTGTTGGACAGTGATGCTGTCAATTTTGAAGATGAGTTTTTCTCCCTGCAAAAACCACAGGTATGTTTTTTCTTACTTAACATTGCCTGGGATTTGCTTGCTGGGTCAGAAACTGAAAAGCAAATCACACTTAGCACTCTCAAAGTCTTAGAAAACCCACAGTCAACAACTCAAGATGCAAATACTGTAATTAAGCTATGACAATACAGACACCCAGGCAGTTATTTCACACTGAAACCTATGGCCTCCAGCACAGCCAAAGGCCTTTGAACCAGACTTAATCCCCAGAAAATACTCCAGTCAGTCCCAGAAGTAGTTACTGCTCTTGTAAATTAAAATGAAGGATGAGAAAGCGGACCCTAAGGATTTTTTTTTTAATAGATGATGCAGTTGCCTTTGGTATGTCCAGAGTAGTAACAGAAAATAAACATCCTATTCATTAGCCAGGCACATTGCTCAGGTTCGCAGTCAACACTCCATTTATCTGATTATCACCAACATGTATTATTAAGAAGCATATTTTACATGTATCAACATAAGGGCTGTCTCAAGATTTCCTGTAGAGCCCATTCCCTCAAGGAAATATTCGGAAGATCTTTCTATTCATAGGAGTACATGAGCATCAGCTAGTTGTGTTTAGCAAACCACAGTTCCGCCACTTAATATTGTTAGCCTCAAGCCAAGTTTCAATGAGGGGAGAACAGTGATGCATGTGAAATGAGGATTAGGGCTGGGGCACACTGGCAGGGAAAACTGACATGGTGAAATTAGTGTCACAACAAATAAATGCTGTCGCATGGAAAAGGGAAAGGGCTCAGTCTCAACTGATTAGTCATCTCTATGGAGATCAACGCTGCCACTTCTCCTGGACACACGCAACAATATCTGGAGTGGGCTTTTCACGAATGGGTCTGTGTGAGTTATAAATTGTTCTATGAATGCATTATTTTCCACTAATTGAAAGCAAAACTAGAATCACTTCAAGGCCACAAACTTAAATCCCTGTACCACCTAGCTTTGGGTTTATGTGACCATATGGTCTAATTCACTTAGAAATAAAACATGAGAAGCAAGCACACAAAATTTGAGGCCTGGTTTTCCCTCCCAGTTCCCTGTTTGGTGGTGGGGGGGGGACAAAAAGGTGTCTTAAACAGCATGAGAGTGGTGTGCATGTCCATGATATAATAATAAGAATTGCTTCCTTTGAAAGAAATTGCCAACACAAAGCTTTCAGTACTATAAATACTTCAGCAACTCTAAAGTCGTTGACTTTGCCATAAAATTAAACTGTGGCTGCCATATGAACTGCAATATTATATTACTCTTTCCCTCTCAAATATCAAAATAATAAAAATATTAGTATAAAAGTTTATAGAAAGCAGAACAATTTACACCGTATATGTTAAACCAGTATTTCTTCACTTGAGGTCAGGGGTTTTATGCTGGAAAACAGAAGCGACGCTGATCTAACACAGTAAAAAGGCAGAGGGTGGAAGGGGGCGGGTGACCACAGAGCAAAGAGAAAGAATGAAAGATGACATTCTGATGGGCCTTGCCTCATAGCTTAAGCTATTCCTTCAAATAGCCTCCCGAAAGCTACAGCAAACTGCTACAGATCATATGCACCATCTCACCTAACGCAAATACTTGGCAGCTCTTTAAATAGCAAATAAAATAAAGATATTTATATTTCGAGCTATTATTTCAAAAAGGAAAGAGTATTACTAATGGTGATTGGAAGAAATTTATGAAGACTATCTACAAGATTAAACGGCTGATTAAAAGGAAAATCATTAATTTTTTCATCTTTCATACCAAGAAAATAGACTTAATGTAACTGTGCCTTCATTATAGTGTGTTAACTAGTCTTAATTTTAAAAATATTTTAAACCTCTATGCTTTTCAATGATATGATTTGCTATTCTATTGCTTCTTCTAAAAATTTTTTTATTGAGCCAAATTATTCTTAGACTGAAGAGGTTACAACAATCAACAGCCAATATGTTTACTTGAGACTGCCCATGTGTTCTGTCTACGAACACTTTCTATGTGCCCAGGAGCAGGGTACAATGCTGGTTTGATCCTGTCCTCAAGGAGACTATGGTCTAGTAAGGGTGACAGGCAAGTCAGAGAATAAACATGACAGAAGAGTTACAAGGACAGTGGCCAACAGACCTATTAGTCTCATAGGTGACCAATTATGCTCCCCTGGAAGAGTGATGATCACCAAGTTATCAAACAAGGGCTTAGGATGCTGGTGATGTGATGTTCCCTCTCATGGAGGAAAGAAGGGGCAATGTTATGGGTTAAATAATGTCCCACAATAAAACGTATGTTGGAGTCCTAACCCCCAGTACTCTCAGCCTGTGACCTTACCTGAAGACAGAGTCTTTGCACAGGTAATCAAGTTAAGATGAAATCTTCAGGGTGGGCCCTAATCTATCATGACTGGTGTCCTATAAAGTGACAATGTGTACACAGTCATATACAGAGGGAAGGTGACGCCTGAGCACTCAGAAGCTGGAGGAGAAGCCTGGAGCAGACTCCCCTCAACCATCAGAGGAGACTGATCCTGCAGAAACCTTGATTTTGGACTTTTAGCCTCCAGACTGTGAGATGACAAGTTTCTGCTATTTAAACCACCCAGTTTGTGGTATTTTGTCATAGCAGCCTAGAAGACTAATACAGGCAGTGTTGTCCTGAGTTAGGAAGAGAGGAAAGAATACTCAGGCAAAGCGATGAGAATGAATAAAAGGCAAGGAAGTATGAAAACGTAAGTGCATTTACAGGTGTGGACTACAGAAAGAGAAGCTCAGAGTAATGGCTGTGGGCTTGGAGAGACATTCCACAATCAGGACATACAGCAGGATTAATTAACATAAAGGGTAAAGCAAAGCTGTGTGATGTTATCTTAAAGAGAATGAATGGCTCCCAGACCCAATGGACCTCAACTGTAACTTGACTGAAGGAATTAATGTGGGTCAGAAAAAGGTCTAAAATGAAAGACTATAAAGATGGTTAGAGGCAGACAGCATGGGTTTCTAAGTCAGCAAGAGGGAGGGTGGCCTAGGAGTGTCCAGTCAGGCTTTGTGGAACCATAGCCACACATCTGACACCATTAAACAGTAAAGTGGGAGAATGAAGTGCCCTTCTATCTGGAGTCCCAGTTCACCATGCAATATGGATAACATGGCTTCTCAATGTGATCATGGCTTCTTTATGTCAGCCCAAGCCATAGACTCAGTTCACCTGACAGGTAAAATTTTCATTGTTAAGTAAAACCCTTGCATCTGGCTCATAGCACTTATGAGCCTTGATGGTGAGAGCTGGCATCATCAACTACATTTATGACAGAATCCAACAGGGAAGAATGTGTTTCAGAACACTGAGGACTAATATCCAGCCAGAGTGGCCTCACCAAATGATGCATTTCCTCCAGATAGCTCCATCTCAGTTAATGACAATACTTTCAGTTCCATCTCGGTCTGCTCAGGCTGCCATAACAAAATGCCACAGACTGGGTGGCTTAAACAACAGGCATTTATTTCTCAAAGTTATGGAGGCTAGAAGTCAAAGATCAAGGTGTCAGCCAATTATGTTACTGATAAAAGCTCTCCTCCTGGCTCACAGACAGCCACCTTCTCACCGTGTTCTCACATGGCGTTGAGATGGTGGAGAGAGAGATCAGGTGTTTCTCTTCTAAGGACACTAATCTTATCAGATTAGGGCTCTACCCTTATGATTTCATTTAACCATAATTGCTTCCTTACTCCAAATACAGCCACACTGGGGGTCAGCGCTTCAACATATAAATTTTGGGGGAACATAATTCAATCCACAGCCCTGTCAATGGGGTCACATTGCATCTAGAATAATCCTGCTTCCTTCCATGTTCTACAGGGCCCTGCATGGCATGGTCTTTCCTTGTCTGCTTCTTGACCTCACTGGGCTCATTTTGCTCCTGAGGCTCTGCCACACCACCTCCTATGTATTCTGCCACTGTACCACCTTGGCGGATTTGCATTTGCTATTTCCTCTGTCTGGCATATCCACCCCTGGTCCCATCTCATTCTCCTGGAGTCTCAGGCCAGAAATAGCTCCTCACTGAGGACTCTGTTTACCACCCTATCTAAGTGATATGGTTCAGCTGTATTCCCACCGAGCTCTCATCTTGAACTGTGGCTCCCATAATTCCCACGTGTTGTGGGAGGGACTGGTGGGAGATAATTAAACCATAGGGGCAGTTTCCCCCATACTGCTTTTGTGGTAGTGAATAAGTAACACGAGATCTGCTGGTTTTCTAAGGGGAAACCCCTTTTGCTTGGCTCTCATTCTCTCTTTGCCTGCTGCCATGTAAGACATGCCTTTGTTCGCCTTTGTTCTTCCTTCACCCTCTGCCTTGACTGTGAAGCCTCCCCAGCCATATGGGACTGTGAGTCCATTAAACCTCTTTTTCTTTATAAATTACCGAGTCTCAGGTATGTCTTTATCCGCGGTGTGAAAACAGACTAATACACTAAGGGTGACTTCTTTACTCCCCATACCACTCCTTAACACATCATCCTCTTACTTATCTTTCAATGTACTTATGCTATCTTATTCATTCGTCTACCTTCCCACAGTTGAGCTCTGAGTTCTATTTAAGGAACTTCTATCATGTAAATATGTTCCCCAAATTTCATTCATTTAAAACTTAACCCCCAAATTCATATGCTGATTGGACATGGAGGCTTCAGGAGGTAATTAGGATTAGACAAGGCCATCAGGGTGGGACCCCTACAATGGTACTGGTGACTTTAAAAGAAGATGTACAGAAACCTGAGCTGACACACATGCTCTTGTGCTCTTGCAATATGGTGCCCTCTCCTGTGTTATGATGCAGCAAGAAGGCCCTCATTAGATGTCAGCACCATGCTCTTGGACTTCCCAGCCTCCAGAACCATTAGCTAAATAAACTTTTCTTTGTAAGTTACCCCAATCTGTGGCATTTTGTTATAGCAACAGAAAATTGACCAAGACAGGAAGGAATCTTCTAGATCCTTTCTAATCGTGTATTCCCAGCTGCCTAAAATTGTGGTTAGCACCCAAAAGTTGCACAATAAATTTGCTGAACGAAAGAATAAACCACTTGTGTTCAGTGAGTATCCAGTATTCATCTTCTTTTTTGGAAAGGCACATTACAATCACATTGATTCAATTTTGACTGTATAACCTTTGAAACATCAGATGGCTAAGACATAGTTTAAAAAAACAAACAAACAAACTTCAGAGCCAGTAGATGCAGTCTCAGCAATTCTACTTAGTTGTGTGACCTTTGACAGGTCACTTCTGAGCCTAACATATTCATCCGTAAAATGGGAACACAGCCATTCACATCATAGGCTGTTGTGAGGATTAAATAAAAATAATTGAGTTATACACCAATTATGCCTTTTGGTTCATAAGTAAATTTTTGAAATTTCTAGTTATTCAGAGATCAACACAAAACTTGCAGTAACAGTCATGTGATGCAAGAGAGCTCCACTTTTTTCAACATTCTGTGGAATGAAGTGTTAACAAAATCTTTCGTCTTGAGAAAAAGCAACAACCCTCAAGAGATCTGCAGTGGCAAACGCTGTAATGAGACACCCTCTGCCCCTGCCTCCCCAAAGACCTTCACTACTCACTGCTCAAACACATTGATGTTGGTTCCCACAAGAAGGTGTAATTTAATAATCTTTGAATTGCTGAGGCCTGTGTATTTTTAAACCTGAAGGCTCAATTAGCAGCTAGAGTTCAATCACTATAGTAGCACTTGTAATTTCAGACAATTACTTCACGTTGTGTGGAAGCTTTGGACATAAAGAGGCTGTATGTTTTAAGGCACATTTTGTCCTACTACATTTCTGCACCCTTTTCTAAATGCTTAATGCTTTCAAAAACTGCATTTGTTCTTCCTCAAAAAGGGATCTGACAAAATAAAAGGTTTTCTCTTATTAACATTTCTCCTGTCTCTTGATTACGGGGCTCAAACTTGAGTGTCACTCCTCATGAAGAGTATCTCCAATTCTCCACTTGTTGAGGCAAGAATAATCCTCAGATCCACAACTAATCTCTCATCCCTTCCAACACTAAATGCACATTTTCTTGTTGCCTATTCTTGCTTAAAGATCCCCCAAAATGTGACTAGATAAAATTGATCATGCACAATCCATTGTTGCTATTAGGTTTTCCTAACACCATTAAGGAAAAATAAGACCATTTTATATCTTTAGAGATAATTCCTATGTAAAAAACTTTTAGATTTCAGCTGATTCAAATATATCAGAAGCAACACACATCTGCAGATGGAAGGAATTTCTTTTAAAATGATAATCTTGTTAAACTTACAGGAGTTGAAATAGAAATGAAAAACTTAAGAGGATTGGTCATAGGAAAATTGTACTAATCAATTTACTTGGTTGAACTATTTTTCTGAAAGCAGCTCAGAGACAAGACCACCCCTGTGCAAGTGTAACTCACACAACTTGTACTTACCCAATTAATAGCAAATCACTAACTTGATTAACACATAATTACATACATACCTCAATTGCCTTTAGAACATATAATTTGAGGAAATACTGTAATTTGTGCTTGGGAAATACATTGTTCACCTACATACAATACTCTCTAATAGAGGCACCATTGAAAATATTCAGAAAACTAGTTAACATTAAGTATCTTGTTAAGGTTAACTGGGCCACCTAACAACTTAGCAAAATATAAATTACATTGAAGTGAAATAAAAAAGGTAGAGTACTTGCCTAGAGTTATAAAAATCAGACAGTGAAGGTTATAACTCAATCAAGCTGAGGCCATTTCTGTAATTTCATTTGTCTCCTTTTCCTCTTCTGTATTTATAAACCACAAGTCCTTAGGTGATGAAGGAATCCTGGCCCCTTGATTTAACCCACCATCTCTGCCAAAGTCATAAATGCCATATATCAGTAGCTTGTAAGACCAGCAAGGAAAGAAATGCCCACAGTCCTTGTCCTGAGGGTTATGTCAACTAGTTAAGTGTAAACGAAAACAAATAAAGCAAGACAGTTTTCTATTAAGAAATACCCTTCTTGGAGAGTCCAATTCAGTAAGCCGTTTAAGCACCACCAATGTGCAAAATATTTTAAAGATGAATACACCAGTTTCTACCATGAAGTCTTAACTAACAAACAAGCTTACAGCCCAGGAAGGGGAAGGATGGCACTCCATTCTCACACACACACACACAATATAGATATATGTATATTTATATTTATGCATGTATATATATGCACACACATACATACATGCATTATAGATATATGCATATATAGGTATATGCATATATCTATGCATAATTTATGCATTTATAATCTATGCATAATTTATGCATTTATGCTCATCTAGATATGCATATATATCTCTATATGCATGTGTATATATACACGTATACACACACACACATATTTCTATAACACAAGAGAAGTCCGTGCAGTTTTACTTCCATCAGGATAAAATTCTCCCATGTCCAAAAGTCCATGAAGGTGATAAATCCAGAGCAAAGGCAGAGATATTGGTCATAAGGATAGAATTAGAAAATGAGACTGATAAATTAGAAAAACTACTATGTTTCAAAACACGTATTTGGTGATTTGGTGAATTTACAAGATTTTTCTATTTACCTTTCAAATCTTTTCTTCTTAATAAAAAACACACAAAAAAAGGTGGAAAACCTTTTATCACTTCTGAGCTGACACTGAGAAGAACTTTTGAAAAAAAAAAATCATAGTCCTGGCTTTTTGTTGTTGCTATTGTGGAGACTAAGTCTCACTCTGTTGCCCAGGCTGGAATGCAGTGGCATGACCATAGCTCACTACAACCTCAAACTCCTGGGCTCAAGTGATCCTTCCACCTCAGTCTCCCAAGTAGCTGGCACTACAGGCTCACATCACCATACCCAGCTAGTTTTTTAAAATTTTTATTTTACTTTTAGTAATGACAAAGTCTCCCTATGTTGCCCAGGTGGTCTTGAATTCCTGGCCTCAAGCGATCCTCCCGCCTTGGCCTCCCAAAGTGCTGAGATTACAGGCATGAGCTACTGTGCGTGGCCAGTCCTGGCATTTTGTTGAAATTCAATTTCTTTTGAAGTGAGGGTGCCTCTAAGAATATATTCTTTAAAATTCAGTTGCTCATTACTTAATTTATAACAAAATATTAAATATATTTAACTATGAAGATTTCTACTGGACTTAAACACCAATTCTAAAATGATCAGAACTTTGCAAATCAATTTTTCACTTTAACTAATATGACAGCACATCTGAAATAACCCTACAATAAGTACTACATGTTGAGTATCCCTTATCTGAAATGCTTGGGACCAGAGGGTTGCAGATTTGGGATTTTTCTGAATTTTGGAATATTTGCATATACATTATGAGATATCTTGGGGATGGGACCCAAGTATCAGCTAAAGGGAGCTAAGAGGGTCTTTTATTCCCCTGGAGATGCTGAAGAAACTATGTGTTGTGTGCCTGCATTTTGACTGTGACCTGTCACATGAGGTCAGATATGGAATTTTCTATTTGTGGCCTCCTGTCAGCACTTAAAAAGTTTCAGGTTTTGGGGCATTTCGGATTTTGGATTTTTGGACTGGGGATGCTCACCCTGTATAAACATTTCTGTTTCAGATTATTTCACCATTTCCCAAAGTATGGGAGGGCAGAGGAGAGAGGACAGAATGAGATTCATTACTTTTCTAGGTTTCAAAATATAATAATTTCAGATCTCAACTTTCCCACTTTCATGTGGTAGCCTTCTCCTTCCTTCTGCTCCTCATCATTCCTCTCACTGTTGCTTATCTTATTGTTACTATTTCCATTTCTTTGCTTCCCCTCTCCATAAGAAACTAATTTGGCAGTTACCAAAAATCTGCTTAGCTCTATTGACACATCTCCAACTTGGCATATACATTTCTTGAAGGCTTAATTTTTTTTTTTTTTTTTTGAGACAGAGTCTTGCTCTGTTGCCTAAGCTGGAGTGCAATGGTGCCATCTCGGCTCACTGCAACCTCCACCTCCCGGGTTCAAGCAATTCTCCTGCCTCAGCCTCCCAAGTAGCTGGGATTACAGGTGCGCACCACCATGCCCAGGTAGTGTTTTATGTTTTTAGCAGAGATGTTTTTTAGTACTGTCTGTTTTTAGTAGAGATGGGGTTTCACCATGTTGTCCAGGCTGGTCTCAAACTCCTGACCTCAGGTGATCCACCCACCTCAGCTTCCCAAAGTGCTGGGACTACAGGTGTGAGCCACCATGCCTGGCCTGAAGGCTTAATTTATGAAATAAATACATGGTCAAGGTGTGACTGAATCTCAGTCACAGGACAAAACTGTGGGCTCACTGTGGATTTTAAAGGAATCCCATTTTCAGGTAAATTAGGTCTAAATTCAGTGCAAATTTGTTTCCTCTACAATTTCCAATTTTGTTAACCCTCAGATACTTCTAAAGAGGATAACAGAGCTACAAGCACTGGATGGGAATCCACTGTCTTATGAATCCTACCTTTTTTCCAGTTTTCTTGGTGATGGAAGCTTACTTAATCAGGACTGGATTTGGTAAATGTCAGCATTAGCTGGAGTGAAGAAAAATGAGCTCATTCTAAAAAGGCAGGACGGATTTCAGTCTGATAAAAAAAGTCTCTGCAGATAACACCTCTGGTTGGGAAGAACACAGATTATAGAATATAAGAATATTTGGCTCATAAAAATCTGAGACAGAGGCAAGAAAGCACTAAGTAGCAGAAAAGGTTGAGAAAAACAAAAAGAGAAAAATGAAAAGATTAAATCAGAAACAGAACATATCTCATAGCTAATTTATCCTCTAATGTTTCCACCAACACTCAGCCCAGAGATGATGAAATCTGACACTTAACACACTTATGTAGATTTCATACGTATTTGTTCACAAAGCAAGTTACATTAGGAGCATCTTTCCTAGTTACTAAGTAAACATTTTTTAACACATTTCAAGGTACCTTCTTCTGCACTGGTGAAGAGCCAGACACAAAGGTACCTAGGATAAGATGACTTCCCTGGGAATGCAGAGTCTAGTGAGGAAGACACTTAGACCAATAAATCCAACAGCATGGGAGTGATACCATGGAGGCCCAACGGCAACATCAATAATCCTTCCACTCCCACTCCTAGGCCCAATCACCCACTACTCCACTTCTCTCAAAAGAACTTCCCATCATAAGCATCACAGATCTGTTGAGGTTTTTCTTATTATTTAAGTCTCTCCTTCCCTTTCTCTATGGCTTCATACAATTTTACTAAAAAGCAGTGAAATGTCACCATTAGTTCATTGATCTCCACTTCCCCCTTGATTACAAGAATCAAGCAGCAAGCTACATTGTGCCTATTTCTAACATTTTGTTCAATTATTCGACTTAAAATGTAGTAAAGAATTTTGTCTTAATTTCATATTTCTATCAACTGTAAAACTGTGCTTGAAAATTATTTTCCAAGGTAATATGAGGATTTTTAAACATATCTATTTCACACTCTTCTCAATTTACACAGGCAATTGTATTATATTTCAAGTCAATATTTTTAAAACCCCTCAAGATGATGTTCCATATATTCAATACTAATCTAAGTTTTATCACTGATTTCCCACTTTCTTTGCTTTTTATACTTTGAACAGCTTAGATCTTCCACCCAAGAATATTTTTTTCCGTACAACATGCAACCTTTAAAATTTCCTTTAGTATGGGTTGGCTGGTAGCAAACTCTCAGCTCTTAACTTTTGTGAGTGTTTTGATTTTAACCCCATTCTTCAAAGATTTTTCTGCCTATAAAGCTCTGGGTTGGCAGGTATTTTCTTTCAGCATTGAAAATGGCATTCTGCTGTGTTCTGGTCCCTCTGTTGCTGGTGAGAGGTCACCTCTCTCTCTGAGGAAGCAATGCTGTACCCATCCCCTACTCCCCACCTTCTCTTAGTGTCTGCTGTCCTGAAGTTTCACTATGATGAATCGTGGAGAGAATGTATTTACTGATCCTTGTTAGGACTTACTGGACTTTCTGAATCTACAGATTAGTATCTTTTTACCACCTTCAGAAAATCCCTAGCTATTATTTCCTCAAATATTTACTCTGCCCTATTTTTTCTCTTGCCTTTAGGCTGATCAAGCTCGGTAAACTTCCTCATTCTACTCTGTATGCCTCAACTGCCCTTCTGGGTTTTCTCGTGACTCCTCTCTTCTTTGTATATATAGATTGGGGTCAGTAAACTACGGCCCGTGGGCCAAATATATCCCATAGCCTGTAATCTAAGAACGGTTTTCACATTTTTAAAGGTCTGTAAAAACAAAATTAAAATAGGAAAGGCTATGCAATAGAGACCATATGTGGTCCACAAAACCAAAAATATTCACTAGCAGATCCTTTACAGAAAAACGTTTGTTGACCTCTGTTCTAGATAATTTCTTATTTACCTACTACTTCCCTAATTCTTCTTAGAGTATTAACTAATATACTATTCAACCTTTCCTTAGAATTTTTAATTTGTTGTGATATTTTTCATTTCCAGAAGTTCTATGTACTCATTTCTCACATCTGCTGTGCTACATTTTATAGTTTGCTGGTCTCCACAGATATCCCTAGGGTTACTGTCTGTTTTTTTAACATAGCATGGTTGTTTTATATTCTATATCTGGTTATTCGAGTATCTTCAATTTTTGTAGTTTATTTATAGTGTCTTTTCGTGCTAATAGCTGGAGATGTCTTCTTTCTTGTGCTTTATGATTTTTTGAAAGTGAATTAACAGCATACAGAATAAAAGTGCCCTCCTATGAAGAGGAGCTGCATTGGCTTTTGAGAAATGTAGAGTCTGAGGGTCCTGAGTCCATATGAGTAAGGAGAACCCAGAATTCAAATCCTCAGGAAACCTGGCTGTCTTCTGTCACCTTACCCTGCAGGTGTGCCCCTGCAAGGCCCCCAGCTTAATGGGAGGAAGCTCCCTAAACTGTAGACCCTGTCCTCTGCTCCCTGAAAAGCCTCCACAAAAGGTGCTTCTGCATCCAAGGCCGTTCTCGCCTCTCTGAGTTCCTGCTCTCCTTCAGTTTACCTGAGAATCCCTTACTCTCCTTTCTTCAACGCTAGAAAAAAATGTATTTTTAACTATTTTATTCAACAATCTTACTTAGTTTCAGCAGGAGAAGTGGTCAGGGTAACCTAGCCTACCACGACTGGAAAACAGAAACCCAAGTTCAAGTTTTTAATCACATCATTGCCAGTCTGAGAACTGGGAGTTCTTTCATTTCAATGCTAAGAAGCGGATTGAGCAAGCCCTTTTCCACCACCCAAGAACTGATTGAAATGCATGTTGGATGTAGCCCAGGACTATGCTATTCTATGTGACCCTGCAAAGTCTTAAGGCATCAACTACTACTAAGCATCATCTTGCTCCCAGTAGCATGAAATCTCCCTACCCTACATAGAGATCTTGCTGGGAAAAAAAAAAAAAAAAAGTCTAACTATCAGAACTTTAATGGAGGGACATAATTGGGTTTCCTTCTTAAAAAAAAAAAAAGTTTACTGCCATTAATAGAATTCTTCACTGCTCCAGAGCTTAAAACAGACAAAGTTGCTAATGAGATGTTTTCAAGCATCCTAAACATGGGTCTTCACTGAGGTAAACCCAAGGCTAGCCAACATCCTACCCACAGGAGGGCTATTGTGTGCTGCCTCCCAGCCGCTCCACACCTTCTTCCCGAAAATGACAAATCTTTCCTCATGGCAATGAGGCAGTCTCGGGGCAGTGACAACACCCGGCATGAACAACCAGCTGTATCAATGTCATTTCCATGTCTTCCCTTTCCACACTGCCCTACATATTCCTCAGGTCCTCCTACTCAGACCCTCCCTCGTGTTTATAAACACGCACTCCTAACCTGTTCTGGTCCAGTTACCTCAGCAGGTCACTCTCAATCTTTCCATTCTATTTCAAGATTTAAAAAATTACTGAAGACCGCTGTAGAACAGTATCAGGTATAACATGTACCAAAAGAAAGCAAACCAGAAATCTAAGTAAAAGGAAGCATAAGACTTATGTCAAATAGGTCAAATAGCTTATGTTCTTCAGAATACTGGGAAATCTTTCCAATTGCCACCTAAACATCCATTCACACTCACGGTCTTTCAGCTCCTAAATACAATTTTACACTACGGGTAACTAGCCACGAATTCTAACACTGATTTAATATATATAAAATGCTTCTATGTTGGGAACTTTCACATAATTTACAGATCAATAATTAATTTCTATATTGTCTCAACTCATAAGATTTTAGGTGTAAATATTAAGATCGATGAGAGGAAGCTCAGATGAAAAAGGAAGGAGGAGAGGGTATAAGTTAAAATAGTCTCCCCAGAACTGCGTGAATTTTTCAAATTCTACATTAATAAAGAAATACCATGGAAAACAATTTAAATCTACATAATTCAGTAAGTTTCATGATGGAACTGTAACAAAAATTAATAAATTCAAGAAATTCTAACAAAAAAACACAATAAACAGCAAAGTCAAGGGAACACCAAGAATGGAGTTAGTGAGACAACTATCTAGTCCTTGTTTCTGTACCGAACTTAAAAGAGTTTTGTCAGATGAATCAGTTTTCAGTTTTATTCTGCCAAACTCTTCAAATCATTTTCTACTCACAAAACTATCCTCTCATTTCTCAGAGGGAACTGAAATAATGAATACTGATGATAACTGATGGATTCAACGAAATGACAAAACCTAACATTTAAATCAATTGAGTTATAAAAATAATCACCCCCTAAAACTACAATCTAATATCTGACTTTCCTGTAAATTCCACATAAATAACAAGAAAAAGACCTTCAAATTAATCTCTTAGAAAATGATAAATAAATTGTGTATGGCCATTAAATAATAACTGTATGATTATAGTCAAAACAATTAACTTTGAGGAAATGAACAAAGCTTGCATTCGGTTTGGCATTTTAGCTTTTGTTGTTTTCATGCAAGTGCAGTGAGATTTTCAGTCCTACTTGACTCTCCTTGTGGAGATTTATCAATTGAGTCTTGTCTGCTACTAAAACTGTAATTAAACTTTACAGTAAGCTATTTACATGTCTGCAATAATTTCTTTTCAAGATAAACCAGGCTTCAGTTTTATTCTATGAAATCATTTCCAATTACATATTTAATCTTTATGTTATTACTTAAATTATACATGTACCACCCTCTAGCCCAGATCCTGGCTGGAGGCTCTGGCAGCAGCTGCCACACGTGTCAAAGGGCTGTTATTATATTCAATGGGAGCCACATGCACCAGTCTGCACAACACTTTGTACCCTGTGACCTAATTCAGCCTATGAGATCTGGCTAATATTTTAGGGTGAACCCTGGTGCTCATGACTCAGAAAAAGAAAATGAATGTTGCTGAAATTGAAGCATCCTAGAAGTATCATCTCCTCTCCAGCTCCCAAATAGGAAATTATTAGGGACTTGGAGAATCTGATGAGCTAAGCAGTACCACATACTACTCTTGAAAATTAAGTGGTCATGGTTCACGCCTATAATCCCAGCACTTTGGGAGGCTGAGGCGGGTGGATTGCCTGAGGTCAGGAGTTCGAGACTAGCCTGGCCAACATGGTGAAACCCCATTTCTACTAAAAATAACAAAATTATCTGTGCATGGTGGCGGGTGCCTGTAATCCCAGTTACTTGGGAGGCTGAGGCAGGAGAATCACTTGAACCCAGGAGGCGGAGGTTGCAGTGAGCCGAGATGGTGCCACTGCACTCCAGACTGGGTGACAACAGCAACACTCTGTCTCAAAAAAAAAAAAAAAAAAAAAAGAAAGAAAGAAAGAAAAGAAAATTAAGTGGTCACTAAAGGATAGAAATAAGGAAAAGATTCGTATTTATGCATCTAGGAAGAAGGACTGGAAGAT
Source organism: Homo sapiens (assembly GCF_000001405.40). NCBI lineage: Eukaryota > Metazoa > Chordata > Mammalia > Primates > Hominidae > Homo > Homo sapiens. Next base: position 25,616,231 of record NC_000013.11, on the reverse strand, counting down.
TGTTGGGTGGCATGGGTTTGGTAGATGTACCTTATCAGTTTCAGAAAGTTCAATTCCAGCATTGAAAGTGTGTTGTTGGGGGTGGTCAATGATAAATGAATGTTAATTATTTGGGGGTTTTTTGGTCTGCATCTAATAAGATAACTGGGGTATAGGAGAAAATCACAGACAGGAGGCAGGACTAACTTGCAGTTCCCACTTGGACAAACAAAGCAGCATGTGGAGACTCATATTGTGAACTTTTGCTCCAAGAACTACCACAGGAACATACCAGGAGAGTCGAGAGAATCCACAGACCCTTGGAAGAGAGTGGATTACTGCTGCGAGCTTCAGGAGACAGCTAAAAAACTGTGAGTGCCCAAAGTGTGAAAATGTGAAAGGGGAACTGTCTGCCCCTGAACCACAGGGGAACCTGAAGGTCCAGATTATGAGAAGAGGATTTGACCTTACCTGGAGCTGAGGCAAATTTAGAGAGCTGAGCGAAAAACACAGGTACAAGAAGAATTGGGAAGAGTCCTGTGGGATCTCTCAGTCCCCAGAGTACACATTTCTGGTTTTGTCTCAGGAATCCTTGGGGAGGGCTACCAGTGGAATCAGGGAAAGACCACAGGGAAAAGACCTCCAGCTGAATTTGTAATAATTTCAAGTGAACCCGAAGTTTCCTGGACAGAACCCGGAAGAAGGGTTGAATCAGGAGTGCAGACAGGAGCACAGAAGCCATGGCAGATGGGGAAGTGTGAAACCTGAAAACCCTCTCAGCGAGAGGCTGGTAGCCTGGGGCAAGTTCTCAGCCCTGCTCACCCACTGCCTGGAAATAAACTTAGTGCCATTTGGGGGACATACGGTAGGAATGAGACCAGCCTTTCGGGCTTCATGGTAGCTGAGCTAGGTGAAGCCTGTAACTGCCAGCATTCCCCAACTTCCCTGGTGACCTGCATGACATAGCAGAGGCAGCCATAATCCCCCTGGGAAGATAACTCCACTGGCCTGGAAACCACATCTCCATCCACCACAGCAGCCGAAGCAAGCCCTGCCCAAGGACAGTCTGAGCTCAGACACACCTAACCTTGCCCTCACCTGATGGTCTTTCTCTACCCACCCTGGTAGCCGAAGACAAAGGACATAATCTCTTCGGAGCTCTATGGCCCTGCCCACTGCCTGAGAAACCCCCATACTTATCCAGGTGACCCTAGGGCAAGCTTGTATCCCCCTATACTACCAAAGCCGATGGTCTCTTGAAAGTGCCACCTCCTGGCTGGAGGCCAACAAGTGCACTAAACAAAAATACAACCAAGTACCCTCACAGAGTCCACTTCACTCCCTTGCTACCTCCAACAAAGCAGGTGCTGGTATCCATGGCTGAGAGACCTGTAGACAGTCCACATCACAGGACTCTTTGTAGACATTCCCCAGTGGCAGCCTGGAGCCAGGCAGCTCTGCTGGGTGGCTAGATCCAGAAGAGAAATAACAATAACTGCAGTTCAGGTCTCAGGAAGCCCCATGCCTAGGAAAAGGCGGAGAGCACCACATCAAGAGAACACCCCATGGGACAAAAGAATCTGAACAGTAGCCCTTGAGCCCCAGATCTTCCCTCTCACATAATGTGCCCACATGAGAAGGAACCAGAAAAATAGTTCAGGTAATATGACAAAACGATGTCCTTTAACACCTCCAAAAGATCACACTAGCTCATAGCAATGGATCCAAACCAAGAAAAAAATCTCTCAACCTTCAGAAGGTTGCTTATTTAGCTACTCAAGGAGGCACCAGAGAAAGGTGAATACCAACTTAAAGAAATTTTGAAAATGTTACAGGATATGGACAGAAAAATCCCCAGAGAAATAGACAACATAAATAAAAAAAATCACAACCTCTAAAAATGAAGGACACACTTAAAGAAATACAAAATATACTGGAACATCTCAGCAACAAAATTGAACAAGTAGACAAAAGAACTTCAGAGCTTGAAGACAAAGCTTTCAAATTAACACAATCCAACAATACAAAAAAATGAACAAAGCCTCCAAGAAGTTTTGTATTATGTTAAACGACCAAACCTAAGAATAATCGGTGTACCCAAAGAAGAAGAAAAATCTGAAACTTTAGAAAACGTATTTGAGGGAATAATTGAGGAAAACTTCTCCGGCTTTGCTAGAGATCTAGACTACAGGAAGCTCAAAGAATACCTGGGAAATTCACTGCAAAAAGATCATCGCCTAGGTACACAGTCATCAGGTTATCTAAAGTCAAGACAAAGAAAAGAATCTTAAGAGCTGTGAGGCAAAAGCATCAGGTAACCTATGAAGGAAACCCTATCAGATTAACAGCAGATTTCTCAGCAGAAACTCTACAATCACAACCTCTGGAAATGAAAGACACACTTAAAGAAATACAAAACACACTGGAATCTCTCAGCAACAGAATTGAACAAGTAGACAAAAGAACTTCAATCTCTAAAAGAGATTGGGGTCCTATCTTTAGCTCCTTAAACAAGACAATTATCAGTCAATAATTTTGTATCCAGAGAAACTAAGCTTCATAAATGAAGGAAAGATAGTCTTTTTCAGACAAAAAAATGCTGAGAGAATTTGCCACTACCAATCCAGCACTACAAGAACTTCTTTTTTTGTGTTTGTTTGTTTTTTTGTTTTGTTTTTTTGAGATGGAGTCTTGCTCTGTCTCCAGGCTGGAGTGCAGTGGCACAATCTTGGCTCATGGCAACCTCCACCTCCCAGCTTCAAGCAATTCTCCTGCCTCAGCCTCCCAAGTAGCTGGGACTACAGGTGCACACCACCACACCAAGCTAATTTTTGTATTTTTAGTAGAGACGAGGTTTCACCATGTTGGCCAGGATGGTCTTGATCTCTTGACCCCGCCTGCCTTGGTCTTCCAAAGTGCTGGGATTACAGGAGTGAGCCACCATGCCCAGCCAAGAACTTCTAAAAGAAGCTCTAAATCTTAAAACAAATCCTCAAAATACAACAAAATAGAACCTCCTTAAAGCCTGAATCTCATAGGACCTATCAAACAGTAACACAATAAAATAAGGTATTCAGGTAACAAATAGCATGATGAATAGAATAGTACCTTACATCTCAATGCTAACGTTGAATGTAAATGGCATATATGCTCCACCTAAAATATACAGAATGGCAGAATGGATAAGAATTCACCAACCAAGTATCTGCTGTCTTTAAGAGACTCCCCTAACATGCAAGGACTCACATGAACTTAAGGTAAAGGGGTAGAAAAAAACAGACACCAAAAGCATGCAGAAGTAGCTATTCTTACATCAGACCAAACAAACTTTAAAGCAATCGCAGTGTAAAAAGACAAAGAGGAACATTATATAATGATAAAAGGGATTGTCCAACAGGAAAATATCACAATCCTAAATATATATGCACCTAACACTGGAGCTCCCAAATTTATAAAACAATTACTACTAGACCTAAGAAATGAGATAGATGGCAACACAATAATAGTGGCGACTTCAATACTCCACTGACAGCATTAGACAGATCATCAAGACAGAAATTCAACAAAGAAACAATGTACTTAAACTATACCCCAGAACAAATGGACTTAACACTTATTTACAAAACATTCTACCCAACAACTGCAGGATATAAATTCTATTCATCAGCACTTGGAACATTCTCCAAGCTAGACCATATGATAGGCCACAAAACAAGTATCAGTAAATTTAAGAAAACTGAAACTATATCAAGTACTCTCTCAGGCCACACTGGAATAAAATGGGAAGTCAACTTCAAAAGGAACCCTCAAAACCAAACAAATATAAGGAAATTAAATAACCTGCTACTGAATGATCATTGGGTCAACAATGAAATCAAGAGAAAAATTTAAAAATTATTTGAACTGAATAATAACAGTGGTACAACCTATCAAAACCTCTGGGATACGACAAAGGCAGTGCTAAGAGGAAAGTTCATAGCATTAAATGCCTACATCAAAACGTCTGAAAGAGCACAAATAGACCATCTAAGCTCACAACCCAAGGAACCAGAGAAACAAGAACAAACCAAACCCAAACCCAGCAGAAAAAAAGAAATAACCAAGATCAGAGCATAACTAAATAAAATTGAAACAAAAAAATACAAAAGATAAATGAAATGAAAAGCTGGTTCTTTGAAAAGATAAATAAAATTGATAGACCATTCTCAAGACTAACCAAGAAAAGAAGAGAGAATTTCCAACTAAGTTCAATTAGAAATGAAACGGGAGTTATTACAACTGATACCACAGAAATACAAAAGATCATTCAAGGCTACTATGAACACCTTTACATGTATAAACTGGAAAACTTAGAGGAGATAGATAAATTACTGGAAAAATACAACCCTCCTAGATTAAACCAGGAATAAATAGAAACCGTGAAAAGACCAATAACAAGCAGTGACATTAAAATGGTAATTTTAAAAATTGCCAACAAAAAATAAGCCCAGGACCAGATATATTCACAGCTGAATTCTATTAGACATTCAAAGCATTGGTACCAATCCTATTGACACAATTCCACAAGATAGAGAACCCTCCCTAAATCATTCTATAAAGCCAGTGTCACCCTAATACCAAAATGAGGAAAGGACATAACAAAAAGAGAAAACTACAGAACAATATCCCTGATGAACATAGATGCAAACATCCTTAACAAAATGCTAGCTAACCAAATCCAACAGCATATCAAAAAGTTAACACACCTTGATCAAGTGGGTTTCATACCAGGAACGCAGGGATGATTTTACATATGGAAGTTAATAAATGTGATACACCACATAAACAGAATTAAAAACAAAAATCACATGATCATCTAAATAGATGCAGAAAAAGTCTTTGACAAAATCCACCATCCCTTTATGATTAAAACCCTCAGCAAAATCGGCATACAAGGGACATACCTCAATGTAAAGTCATCTATGACAAACCCACAGTCAAAAATATTATACCAAATGGAGAAAAGTTGAAAGCATTCCCCCTGAGAACTGGAACAAGACAAGAATGCCCACTTTCACCACTTCTATTCAACATAGTACTGGAAGTCCTAGCCAGAGCAATCAGAAAAGAGAAAGAAATAAAGGGCATCCAAATCAGTAAAGAGGAAGTCAAACTGTCACTGTTTGCTGATGATATGATCATATACCTAGAAAACCCTTAAGACTCATCCAAAAAGCCCCTAGAACTGACAAATGATTTCAGCAAAGTTTCAGGATACAAAATTAATGTACAGAAATCAGTAGTTCTTCTATACACCAACAGCGACTAAGGTGAGAATCAAATCAAGAACTCAACCCCTTCTACAATAGCTGCAAAAAAAAAAAAAAAAAGGAATATACCTAACCAAGGAAGTGAGAGACCTCTACAAGGAAAAATATAAACACTGCTAAAAGAAATTATAAACAACACAAACAAATGGAAATACATCCCAAATACAAAACACTGCTGAAAGAAATCGTAAACAACACAAACAAATGGAAATACATCCCACGAATGGAAATGACCACCCTGCCAAAGCAATCTACAAATTCAATGCAATTCCCATAAAAATGCACCATCATTCCTTACAGGACTAGAAAAAAAAGTCCTAAAATTCACATGGAACCAAAAGAGAGCCCACATAGCCAAAGCAAGACTAAGCAAAAAGAACAAATCTGGAGGCATCACATTACCTGACTTCAAACTATACTATAAGGCTATCGTCAACAAAACAGCATGGTACTGATATAAAAATAGGCACATAGACCAATGAAACAGAATACAGAACCCAGAAATAAAGCCAAATACTTACAGCCAACTGATCCTCGACAAAGCAAAGAAAAACATAAAGTGGGAAATGGACACCCTTTGCAACAAATGATGCTGGGATAATTGACAAGCCACATGTAGAAGAATGAAACCAGATCCTTATCTGTCACCTTATACAAAAATCAACTCAAGATGGATCAAAGACTTAAATGTAAGACCTGAAACCATAAAAATTCCAGAAGATAACATTGGAAAAACCCCTGTAGACATTGCCTTAGGCAAAGACTTTGTAACCAAGAACCCAAAAGCAAATGCAACAAAAACAAAGATAAATAGATGGGATTTAATTACACAAAAAAGCTTCTGCACAGCAGAAGAAACAATTAGTAGAGTAAACACACAACCCACAGAATGGGAGAAAATCTTTGCAATCTATACATCCAATAAAGGACTAATATCCAGAATCTGCAAGGAACTCAAACAAATCAGCAATAAAAAAACAATCCTATCAAAAAGTGGGCTAAGGACATGGATAGACAATTCTCAAAAGAAGAAATACAAATGGCCAACAAACATGAAAAAATGCTCAACATCACTAATGATCAGAGAAATGCAAATCAAAACCACAATGGGATACCACCTTACTCCTGCAAGAATGGCCATAATAAAAAAAAAAAAAATAGGTGTTGGTGTGGATGCAGTGAAGAGAACACTTTTACACTGCTGGTGAGAATGTAAACTAGTACAACCACTATGGAACACAGTGTGGAGATTCCTTAAAGAACTAAAAGGAGATCTACCATTTGATCCAGTAATCCCACTACTGGGTATCTACCCAGAGGAAAATAAGACATTATTCAAATATATATATATTTGAACCCAAATATATATATATATTTGAATCCAAATATATATATATATATTTGAATCCCAAATATATATATATTTGGAATCCTTTATTCTTTTAATGCTTGTCAAAACTACACTCTAGGCATCACATGGGTATTTGGTGTTCTCTCTTTAAGAGAAATTGTACGTAATGAGGCCACTCCTTTAATAGTTGCAAATCTATTCACATTTTCTATTTATTCAAGCCTGATTTTGAATGCAATGGATTTTTCCTAGGTAATTGGCCATTCCATCTAGGCTTCAAATTAGTTCTTCATTGTACTCTTATGTTATTCTACTCACTGCTCTACCTGTGACTTCTCTTTTCTCATTCCTAAAATTGTTTATTTTTATCTTTTTGCTTTTTTTCCTTCATCAACTTGCTTGTTGCCTATCTCATTAGTTTTTTTGAAGAATCTTACTATTGGTTTTGTTGATCTTCTCTTGCTCTTTTATTAACATTTTAAATTGTATGTATAGCTTGTTCATTTTAAGTCTTTTTTATTTTGTAATCTAATCGGTAAGGCTACAAAAATTTCCCTCTTTGGGATATTCATATCCCATGAATTTGATGCAAAAGTATTTTTTAATCATTCAATTCTAAGTATTTTCTAATTTCCAATGTGATTTCCTCTTTGACACTGGATTTGTAAGTATAGGTTTTTAATTTTCCAAGAATATAAGATTTGTATGATGACCTTTTTGAAGGTCTTGGGCAAGGGCATAGCACTCACAGAACATGAGCTGCATGAAAATCAGTTCTCCAAAATTCTGTTAACACTTTATGATTTGTATGGTCATTTTTGAAAAGTGCTTGAGAAGTATGCAAATGCAGATAGATATAGATGTATGTATGGCATAATCACACTGACATATTTGTCTGTGTGATGTGTGTTTATGTGTCATCTGCAGCTGCTTTCTAATTACAACAGGAGAATTGAATAGGTGACACCTACAGCATATGGCACACAAAGCCTAAAATATTTACTATCTAGTCCTTTACAGAAAAAGTTTGCAAGATTTTTCCTAACCATATATACTTAGCACCTTAGACGTTTCCTTTGTGGCAACTGTCACAAACAGAACTTAAATGTATAGCTGAGATTTAATGATGACTGCTCAAATTTATAACAGCACAAACAGAAACTTGAGAGTAGAGAACATACTGTCATGTAATCCTATGTCTACAACCTGGGCAAACTGCCAGACCTATTAAAAGTACTCAAATATCTGTTGCTTTAATGAAACCCAGAAATTAAATATGCACGCTATGGTTTGGATATGCTTTGTCACCCCAAATCTCATGTGGAGATTTGCTCCCCATTGTGGGGTTCAGGCCCTCTTGGCATACCTGTTCCCTCTTTGACCTTATCTACAGGTTTTTACACAGCACAAAAGCCTTCACCAAAAGCCAAGTTGATGCTGGTGCCATGCTTCTTGTATAGTCCCAGAACCATAAGCCAAATAAGCCTCTTTGGCTTATAAATTACCCAAGCACAGGTATTCCCTTTATAGCAACACAAAATAGACTAATTCAATCCGTTTCTCCTTTGTCCTACTCTGAGGATTCTCTTTCACATGCTTCTTATTTTACTATCATCTATTAAGAGGAAAACTCACTATTTTTAAAAAGCAGCATTTCTAAGTCTGTGTCCCTTATAACAAGAGTTACCAAAAAAGAAAATCACTGGTCAAATAAATTTGGTTAACAAAATATTCTATATAATAAACCTCTGCATGATTTATAGTGAAATAAGGGGATTAAAGATTGTGTAAAAAGTGTAGTAGATGAATCTACTTCATTATTTACAACTCTGCATCTTCTCAAATTAGCCATAGATCCAATTCTCCCAAAAATGCTTGTTAACATTTTTAAAAACACTGTTTCAGAAATATAGCTACAGCTGGCAATGGAACTGGAATTGAGTCAGTTTCCATCTGATTACACAGGGCAGGGGGTCACTAAACTTTTGGTAAAGAACCAGATAGTAAATATGTTACAATTTGTGGGCCATGCGGTTTGTGTTGCAACTACAGATGGTCACTGACTTTGATGGTTTAACTTACGATTTTTTGACTTAACAATCGGTTTATCAGAGTACTAAACGTTATTTTCAACTTATAACTTACAATGGGTTTATCCAGAAGTAAACCCAATATGAGTCGAGGGGCATCTGTACTCAACTCTGCCTTTGTAGCATTGAAGTGATCATTGACAGTACATCAGTGTGCATGGCTGTGTTTCAATAAAACTTTATTTATAAAAACAAGTGGTGAGCTGGATTTGTCGCACTCGCCAGAGCTGGCCAGCCCTTGTCCTAGGGCAGCAGTCCCCAACTGTTTTGGCACCAGGGACCCGTTTTGTGGAAGATAATTTTAACACAGGTTGTGGGGGATGGTTTCAAGATGAAACTGTTCCACCTCAGATCATCGGGCATTAGTTAAATTTTCATAAGGAGCATGTAACCTAGATCCCTCACATGCCCAGTTTACAATAGGGTTCCCATTCCTGTGAGAATCTAATGCCACTGCTGATCTGACAGGAGGTGGAGCTCACGTGGTAAATGGGAGCTCGCCTGCCACTCACCTCCTGCTGTGTGGCCCAGTTCCTAACAGGCCATGGACCAGTACTGTTTCGTGCCCTGGGGGTCGGGGACCCTTGAAAATTATCTACACTCTGCTGCCTTGTACAGTAGCCACTAGTCACATGTGGCTATTAAAATTTAAATTACTTAAAATTGATAGTTCCTCAACCAAACTAGTTATGTTTCAAGTGATTAATAACCACATGTGACTAGCAACTATTACAATGGATAGCACAGAAAAACATTTTCACTTCTCATTAACCCTCTATAGAAAATGTGTGGGTGGATGGGTGTCTGGGGGTGTTTAAGTATACCAATCATTTTGTTTCACACTATTTTTACATTTAATTTCCTGGTAATAAGGGGCAAAAGTACCTGAATAACGAAATGAATATGCTCAGTTGGACAAAAATACTTTCCAGTAGGCTTATAATTTAAATTTAAGTAGAAGAACTAGACCATTCAGCTGGATGAAGGAGACTGGCAATTTAATAAGTCAAGAACTTCCCTATTGAAAGCAGAGTAGAGAGCTAATCTCTAAGAAATAATAACCATGTTCCAACTTATAGAGTAGGCTTTAGTTTTTACCTGCCAATGAATCATTCTTCTTCAACATGTTCTTAAATCGTACAATTAAGATTGGAAAATTTAAAAGAAAATAATCATTCAAACAGAAGCAGTGTCAGCAACAGCTACTACCTTTCATGGTTCACCTCCTATGGCACATCAAATAGGAAAGGCAGGAGACAGCTATGTAAATGGAAAGTTCATCAGTGTTTCAGGTTATGAGCTATGCAGCCATCTATTAAGATATCATTTTTGCTATGATAGCCTCAAATTTAGAACATATTAAATGCAACCTCATTTCAGAGGATTTTAATTCCACAAACAACACTGAGAAAATACCCACATTTCCAACATTTATATTACCCGTGCAGAACTGTGGTAAGCTCTTTTCATTCCCTAGTAAATAAATTACAATTAAACTGGCAGAATTTACTTGGAGGGCAAGAAGGAGTATATGGATTTATATGTACATACGTGTGTTAAGTGTGTGTGAATATAGATTACCTCCACTCAAGAAGGCATATTTCTCTTGACCTAGGAGCCTTCTAGGAATTTATTCTAACAAAATAAACAGTAGAAAACAAAATGAGATCTTTTCCTAGACATTAAAGGTTAGAAACAACCTCAATGTCCAAAAGTAAGAGAAGGTTTAAATAAATCACAGAAATATACAAAATGTTATCTACATAGTTCTCTAAAACCGAGCTGCAGCTACATATTAGTTGATCTAGAGATACAATCTCAGCTACGAGAGAAAAAACTAGGTTAACATGAATATCTATTGTGAGTAGTTGCATTTTTTAAAAAATGGCTACCAATATACACACAGGCATATATGTATATACACTACATACACACAAGGTTATTGTATTATTAGTGAATTAAAAGAGCCAAAAATTTATATAAACTATATACTTCTACTTATTCCAGTTCTCTGGGTAATGGAAGTCTACCCAGAGAACATTTTTCATTTTTCTTTTTCCTCATTAATATATATTTTTCAACATTAAATGAATTGGGTAATTTTAAATGTGGGCAAATGAGGTTTAAAACTATTAGATTGCCAGAAAACCTAAATTATCCTCAGAACAAAGCTTGATGGCTATAATCCCATTAATCAAGTGAACTACATCAAAGGTTCTGTCTTAGACACATCATGGAAGTCATTCCAAATAAAACATGTCCAGGTCTACATAAGTTACCTTATATAGGAAGAACTATGCTTAGAAATTTGACCACAGAATAAAGTTCACTGACGAAGGAACTTGACAGATGTTAGCCTTTCATATAATAATTTTTCTCTTACAATACCCTGAGACTCCATTGTCACAACAAAGTAGGTTGTTATCTCAGCTTAAGAACCATCATCGCTGTTGACATTCAACATTTTTCATGATATACCTTTATGATGCACCATGTAATTACTGATTTTCTTCACTTAGAAAGCCAACAGTGGTAAGTCAAGAGTTGTCAGGCTCCCTGACAGATGATGCATGCCTGTCTCTCTCTGTGAGTTGGGGCTTTCAAGAGTACCATTAGCACAAAAGACGGACAAGGACTTTTGAGTTCCACCCCTTCCAAAAGCTAGATTTCACAAACATGGACTATCTATCAAAAACAAACCCATTGGATGGGAATGATTTGTTATGTAGCTACAGTAGAATACAGGAATACTAATACTACCCACCTTTGTTTTGTGAAAAGCATAAACAAAAATAAGATTCTTAGATTATAAAGAGCTTGGTACATTAAGTTTAAAGTTCTGACTGATTCAAATAATTATTTCAAGACCATTAATAACAAATATCTACCACTTTCAATTAAACAGAGGAAATGTTAAAAGAAAGAATATTCATTTTATTGGTTGAATTACTTTAAAAATCATAGTTTACTACACATTTTGGAAAAATAAAGTTACCCATTAATTTGCTCACCATGATAGGGAAATCCATTACCATGCTAACCTAAGACCTACAAGAAGTTTCAGCAAAACTCACTGTAAACTTCTTTTGTTTTCTCCAGTTGTTCTCCACCCAATTCCTTGCACTCACTCCAATCAAGCATTCATCTCCATAATGCCCCAGACAGCTCCTGACAAGTCACCCATGACCTCCACGCTGCTAAATCCAATAATTATTTCTCAGACCTCATTTCACTGAACCCATTAGCAGCATTTAATACAGCAGTTCCTTCCCTTCTTCTTGAAAGACTTTGTTCCAGTTGGTTTCCAAAATGCCAAACCCTCTTGCTTCTCTACTTACCTCAATGTCCATATTTTCTCAAACTCTCTTGCTTCTCTACTTACCTCAATGGCCATATTTTCTTGATCTCCTTTGCTGCCTCTCCTCTCTCAAACTTTTAAACAATGAAGTACCCCCCACCCCACCACCCACAAGAGCTGAATTCTTGAGATTTGCTATCTCTTATCAATCCTGGTGACCTGATTCAGCCTCACAGAATTGAAAACACTACACAGACTATTACTCAGTATTTTTCTCCATAATAGACCTTTCCCCTGATTTCCCAAACACACATATTCAACTGCCCTAAGGATATCTAAGAGTTATCTCAACCTTAAAATGCCCAAAAAAGATTCCTTATTCCCCCACCTTACCTGCTCCTCCTATGGTCTTCCTCTTCTCAGAAATGGCAACCTGATCCTTCCAATTGCTCAGATCCAAACCCCTCGGGTCTTAACCTTCTTCTATCCCACATCCAATACATCAGCAAACCCTGTCAGCTTTACTATCAAAATACTATATGCCCAGAATCTCACCACCTCCCATCACCAATACCACAACCTCCACTCCAACACCCCCATCATCTTCTGCCTGGATCAGCATCCCCAGCTACTAGGTGGGCTCCTGCCTCCATGCCTTTGCCTCCCTTCAGCTTTAGTCTCTGCTCACTCCAGCAGCCAGATACTCTTTTTAAAATTTTTTTTTTTTTTTTTTTGAGACAGAGTCTCATTCTGTCACCCAGGCTCGACTCACTGCAGCCTCTGCCACCTGGGCTAAAGCCATCCTCCCACCTCAGCCTCCCAAGTAGCTGAGACTACAGGCAAGCACCACCACACTGGCTAAATTTTTTTTGTATTTTTTGTAGATACAGGGTTTCACCATGTTGCCCAAGCTGCTCTTGAACTCCTGGGCTCAAGCGACCCAACCACTCTGGCCTCCCAAACTGCTGGGATTACAGGCGTGAGCCACCGTGCCTAGCCAAGACTCCTTTTAATGGTAGAGTATTCATTACCAAGTCAAAGAGCAATAAGACTATTACATGAGGGACCTAGAGGAGTCAAATACACAGAGACACAAAGAAGAACAGATACCCTTTTACTTATTTATTTATTTAGAGATGGAGTCTCACTCTGTTGCCCAGGCTGGAGTGCAGTGGCACGATCTCGGCTCACGGCAACCTTCACCTCCCATGTTCAAGCAATTCTTTTGCCTCAGCCTCCCAAGTAGTTGGGACTACAGGCACACCCCCCCATGCCTGGCTAATTTTTTTGTATTTTTAGTTGAGACAGGATTTCACCATATTGGCCAGGCTGGTCTTGAACTCCTGACCTCATGATCTGCCCGCCTCTGCCTCCCAAAGTGCTGGGATTACAGGCATAAGCCACTGTGCCTGGCCCAGATATCCTTTTAAAAGGTAAATCAGATCATGTCACTCTTCTCAGATTCCAATGACACCCATTTCACTCAGAATCTCCTAACAATGCTCTACACTGCTACAGGATGAGTTCATGCTGTCTCTCTGGCTCCCTCTTCACTCTCCCCTCCAGCCACACACTGCTCAAATGCAGTGGGGAGCATCGGCCTTTGCCTCTGCATTTGCTGGACCATCTGCCTGAAGCACAATTCCTCCAGATACAGGGTGATCATACAATTTTACCCTCCAAACCAAGGCACTTTGGGAGTAAAAAGGGGAGTCTTAAATCTATGCCAGGAAAACAGGTGCAAATTGAGACTGCTCCAGGCAAAGTGGGAGGTGCCATCTCCTGTCCAGACAGCCCCATGGTTCCCTCCCAGCAAGTCGGCTCCAAAGTCATCTCATTAGAGAGCATTTCCTTTACCACCTACACAACACAGCAGCTTCTCCCCTCCCCGCCAGCCCTGTTTCCTCATCCTGCTGACATTCCTCAATAACACTTACTACAGAACCCTAAGAAAAAATGTTTTATAATTGTCTCTCTGACCTTAAAATGCAAGTGCCTTCAAAGGATTAAAAGAATTATTAATTGGACATGCCTAAAAACAAATTAGAAAAAAATTGTTCAAGCAACATTTCTAGTATACCACAATCTTACTACCTTCACACACACAAAAAATGTTGATAAGCAAGTTTAATTACAAAGTAATCTTACCAAGTAGGCAAGAGTATCAGGAATTTTTTAGCAGATGGTAGGAAAAAAAAATAGAAAGTTTCTATCAAAAATTTTAGCAATAACCTTGAAAAAAGAATATTTCATGACCTTACAGAGTTGCTAAGAGGGTTAAGAGAGATAATTTATATAAAGTGCTAGGCACTCATGAAAAAGCACTCAACGGACCATGAGCTTTTGTTACTGGAGAGGCTGCTTAGTATTCTGTTTAAAATATGTGACCCACATTTTGTGTAATAAAAAATCACGTTAACAATACAAGCATTTCTGGCCGGGCGCAGTGGCTCACGCCTGTAATCCTAGCACTTTGGGAGGCCAAGGTGGGTGGATCACTTGAGTTCAGTTCGACAGCAACTGGCCAACATGGTGAAACCCTGTCTCTACTAAAAACAAAAATTAGCCGGGCCTGGTGGTGCATGCCTGTAGCGCGCCTGTAGTCCCACCTACTTGAGAGGCTGAGGCAGGAGAATCACGTGAACCCAGGAGGCAGAGGTTGTAGTGAGCTGAGATGGCGCCAGCATGGGTGACAGAACGAGACTCCGTCTCAAAAAACAACACAAACAACAAAACAAAACAAAACAAACAATTTAATTATTTCTAAACATATCTTTTCAAAGTGGTCTCTCTAAACCCAAAAAAGCCTTCATCATATCCCACATGAAAACATCGTATTCATCTTAAAGCAACAAATGATGACATTATGCCTATGCATATTATACATGTGTAGATCGCTTACCACGAACCACCTGTCATCAGAGAAAAGATCAAATTGGAAAACTGGACTTTTCTAAAAGAAAAGTTGAAAATAGTTAACTACGACTTACTATGAGAATTTACCATAGGGCAAAGACTTTTCTAAGTACAGAAAGCAGGAGTTTCACCCTGTTAGCGCCCCAGATGTTGTCTTGACCCTTATGCCATCCTTCATCATCTTTAACCTGGACAACTGTTCTTTGTCATGAGAATAACAACAGAAACAAAATAGTCAACTTCTGTGTGGTCCACGAGATGTTCATGGTCACTCTACCTGTCACTGCAAAGTACCATGAAGAATCGACTGAATGTTAAAGGTCTGACTTTTATGGAATAGACCACATCCGTGCGATCTTGTAGTATCCCGTGTCCTCCTGATGCCTACTTCCTGCCTACAGGTGAGCTGGTGCTAGATATTATCTGCTGGCTTCGGTATTTATTTCTGTCTTCTTCCATGTTCTTCCCTGTATTTCAGAGACTGGAAGGCTTAAAGCCATATTTCTTAGACTCCTTTCTTACCAAGATGCTGCATGAATTCTATCAACAAGATGCATTTGCTTAAGATTGGGAAGACAGAGAGGAGAGAGAGCATGAAGAGACCACATTCTACCATCTCGACCTGGCTTCATGGGTGTAAGGATGCCAGGACGTTGGCAGTGGCTCCCTGAGGTCTCCTGGGTAGCAGCAATAGTGCTCTGACTCCGGGAACAAAGCTGCAGGGCATGGACCTGAAGCCTCTCTAGGGCTCGCTGGCTTCTGCTCCTTCCGCTCCTTCCACTTTCCCAATAATTTCACAAGCACCTAATTTCCTATTTTAAATCTTTACACTTGAAATTCATTTCTGTGCCAGCTGTTAACATCTCTCACTGTCCAGGCTCCCTTCTGTGTTCAGCCTATGCTACTGGAGTAGGAACTACCAACCACACTCCTCACTCACAGGTGGCTCTAGGCCCTGCCAGCAGGAGAGGGGCAGAGAGAGAATGAGAGACTCCAAAGCTGGAGACAAAGAAAGAAATGTGCTCCTTCTTGTTTGCTTCTTGTCTGCTCGCAATTCCCTTGACAATCACTTCTTTAACCTAGCCTTGGGGATGTCTGTGTTCAATGAAACTTTATTTGCAGGAAGAGATGTTGGGTCAGATTTCTCCTGAGGGTTGTACTTTGCCAATCCCTGCCCTAGAGTTTTCTTACTGTACTCTTAGTTACCTAGTTAGCAAACTCCATAACTTAATTAACAATTCTTAACATTGAAACCACTCTGTTCAGAGACCAGATGTGGTTTTTATCTCCTGAGCAGAACTTGACGGTCACCATTTCCTGCATGGAACTCTGACTGTTCCTATAGTTGGTATCAGAAGTGGTTCTAAGAAATATTCCAAAGGTGAAAAACTGGCATTAATTATTTCTTTTGCTTGGGTTTGAAGGCACTGATGACCTAATCATCAGTGGAAAAAAGATATTAGCTGTCCATGGCAAGTAGGACCAAAATAGCTACTGAAGTGATCATTCAATGGCTTTCCTTGCCATTGCAGTCATCATCCTGCCTCGTCCCTGGAACCCAGAGGTGAAACAGATGCACTATTCTGGTCTTCTTTTCTCCTGATCCAGCTAAGTTTCCCTGGAATTCTCAAAATCAGAGATAACTGGCCACACACTAGGGGCAATAAATTATTACAAAAGAAAAACCCAAGTGATACAGGTCTTTAAACTGGAAATTAATATTTATCAAAGACAGAGGCAGAGTGATTACTTACATTTTGCCTCTAGGCGTGGTAAAGTAACTAGTATACAAGATTTATAAACAGCCAGAAAACTGGGAAAGTGTATGAAACACACTGTTTTCAGACACTGGATAACAGGCAACACAGGAAGACAATCCTCAGAAGAAGAGAAGTTCATGAGGTGAGCCGATGACAGCTGAAGCTTTCTAACCAGAGGTACTTCCCAAATTGTGATTCAGGGAAGAGGAACCCAGAGGATGATGTTCTCACTGCTATGAGGAGACAAAGAATGTTAGAGAATGCTGGGTGGCTAGGAGCTGCAAAGCAGCATATGGGAGAGAAGGAACTGCACAGAGAAAGAGCTCAAGCATCTGTAAGGGTCCCCTTGGCTCTTTAAGCAAATGCTAATTTATGCACATGTACAGGGACATGACATGAAATTTGGGGAAAGAAAACCCTAAAATAGATACATATATTTTTTCTCATATATATGAAAAAAGAACAACTATCAGTGCTGTAAGATAAAAAAAAAAATTCCCAGGGCTCATGCATGATTGGAAGATACTTAAGTTCCAGCACTGACAGTGGAAAAACCATAGGGAACACTTGGGGTCTTAGGCAGCAGCACCAACAGGTTATAACTTGGTAGGAAAGCTGCAGTAGTTCTAGAGTAAACTATAAACTCACAAGTAACTGCCTGCCAAAACACAATATTCTTTAAAAGAAAACAACAGAATCTAGACACTCAATCACAAAATAACCATCATACAATAAAAAAAATTACTAGACATGCAAAATAACAGAAAAATGTGACCTATAACAAACAAAAGAAGTAAGCAAATAGAAACAGACCCATAAATGACAAAGAAGTGGAATTAGCAGAGGAGGAATTTAAATGAGCTATCATAACAATATTAAAGGATTAAAAGGAATGCATAAATACAATGAAGAGAAATGGAAGAATCAAAAGGAGCCATTATAATCAGAAAAAGCAAATTTGACGTGCACAAGTCCTGTACACTGAAAACTACAAAATACTGCTGAGAGTAATTTTAAAGACCTAAGTAAATGAGAGATATCCCACGTTCATAGAATGCAAATATCAATCCCATTAAAGTGTCAAATTGCATTAAATCCACACATAAATTTTCGGAAAATCTCCATAAAAATCCCAATAGGCTTTCTGGAGGAATCTACAGCCTGATTCTAAAATGTATACAGAAATGCAAAGGTCCTGAAACGACCAAAACAGTCTTTAAAAAAAATAAAGTTGGAGGATCTCAAGACTTGTTATAAAGTTATCATATTGAAGACAATGTGGAATTGGGCACAAAGAGGGATACATACACAAATGCAATAAATTAGAGGGTCGAGGAAGAGTCACATATATGCTCAATAGGTTTCCAACAAAAGCACAGGTATTTCAATGATGAAGTAGTAGTATTTTTCACAAATGATGCTGTAAACACTAGATAACTATACGGGATATAAACTGGACCTCAATCCTTACCTCATACCATGCACAATAATGGATCACAGACTTAAACTTACAAGCTAAAACTACAAAACTCCTGGAAGTAAACACAAGAGGCACTCTTCCCAGTCCTAGAGTAAGTACATATCTCTTAGAGAGCACCAAAGCTCTAATCACAGCAAAAGAAGAAGAAAATGAGAAAGAAATTTTGACTTCAACAAAATTAAAAAAAAAAACAAAAAACTTCTGGCTCTTCAAAAGGTGTTTATACTGCTTTTCTATAGTTATGAAACATATTAACAGAAATTTAGCAACGTAGAATACCACACATATTTATCATCTCAATTTCTCATAAGAAATCCATGCACAGCTTAGCTAAATCTGCTGCTTAGGACCTCATGAGGCTGTAATCAAGGTGTTGGCTAAGCTGGAGTCTCACCTCAAGGCCTGACTGGAGAAGTACCTGTTTCCAGCCTTCCTCAGGTTGTTGGCAGGATTCATCTCTTGGTGATTGTCGGACTGAGGTCTCCATTTTCTTGCTGGCTGTAGGCTTGGCCACTCTCAGCTACTAGAGGCTGTCTGCAATTTCTTGCCACATGGCCCTCTCCATAGGCCTTCTCACAACATAGCCAGTTACTTATTAAAGCCATCAATGGAGAAAAGTCTCTCACTCCAATCTGCTAAGATGGACTCTTATATCATGCAAGGGAGTGACATTCCATTACCTTTGCCATATTCTACTGGTTAAAATCAAGTCAAAGGTTCCACACACACTCAAGGGGAGGGAATTAGGCAAAGGTGTAGACACCAGGAGGCAGGAATTATTGGAGGCCAGCCTAGGGTCTATTTTCCCTAACACTGGTAAGAAAATGGATAGGCAAGACAAAGATTGGTAAAAAAAAAATTTGCAACAGACATCTATGAAACAGGGTTTATATCCAAATTATATATTCAGAAAACTCTTAGAATTCAGTAATTTTAAAAAGCATATAACATGTTTTTTTAAATGGGCAAAAGTTTGACAGAGACTTCAACAAAGGAAGATTTTTAAATGACCAATAAGCACAAGAAAATCAACATGATTAGTCATCAGGGAAATATAACTTAAAGTCACAATGAGATATTATCAATAATACACACCCACTAGAATGGCTAAAATTAAAACGACTGACAGTACCAAACACCGGTGAAGATACGCAAAAATGAAAACTCGCAGGTAATACTAGCAGGAGTGTAAAATGGAAATTGTTTGGCAATTTCTTATAAAGCTAAACATATATCTTCCCTCTAATCTAAGAATTTTACTCCTAGCTATTTACCCAGGAAAAACAAAAACAGATGTTCACCAAAACTTGCACAGAACAAAACCCTTACAGCAGCTTTATTCATAATAACCTCAAACTGAAAATAATGAAAATGTCCTGTAACAGGTGAACGAATAAACAAATTGTGGAATATCCATAAAATGAAATACCCAGCGAAAAAAGGAATGAACAGATGATACACACAGCAACATGGATGAATATCAAAATAATTGTGTTGAATGAAAGAAGCCAGACAAAAAGACAGTCTTCATATGAAATTCTAAGCAAGCACAATTAATCCATTGTGTTAGAAAGAAGGTCCGCGTGCTTGCCTGGGGATATGGAGGGCTGGAACTTTTTGAGATCATGTAAATGTTCAATATTTTAAATGGGGTGGTGATTACATGCTTATATACATTTGTCAAAATATATCACCATGTACACTTAAAATTGGTACATTTAATTGTAGGTATGTAAACTGTATCTCAATAGAGCTGATTTAAAATCATTACCTGTGATCAATTTGTAACAACTGCCTATTAAAGCCAAGTCTGTGGCAGATCAAGCAGCTACTGAAATATACCATTAGAGCAGAAATAATACAAGATTAAGGATAGGTCAGCCACTTCTCACTGCACTGGGAAGCTTAAAGAATGAAAATTGCAAAATCAGAGGTCAAGACAAAGTCAGAAGACAAGAGAGTCTCTATGACAGACTAAGAGAACCTCTTCTCTCATAGCAGCCCGACATATGCAGCCTAAAAAGTTAATTCTGTGGGTTGTAGAATTCAATGAATGTTGTAGTCCTAGACTAACCAGGTCTCTTTCATGAAAGTTAGGGCGCTGATGGGAAAGAGTGGGACCTTAAGAACCTGAATGAGGACACATGTATTGGTTTGAATGAATCCAAATCCCTTGACCTTCAAATCCTGTTAGCTCTCCTTGGCCAGCAGCATCAGACCCTCCTCCTCTCTCTCTGAGGACAGCCCTGCACTGTGTCATGCTGGAGCACCATGTATTGACCCTACTTTTAATATCAGGTTCTGTACGATTAGTAGGGTGAGGATAAACAAAGAGACTACCACCTATGCAACAGTTCAAAATATATAACCTTTTCTCAGAAAAACATTCCAGAGGGAATCTGCAGATTCTGTTTCCCAAAGTCATCCAGGGGCCCAATCGAGGGGAGCAACTCTGATGTTGCCAATAAATAGCCCCCAAAGTAGCTCCAGCCTTATACCATTTCCAGCCAGCAAAATGGGAAGGGCTGAGGAACCAGGGCAAGAGATTTCCTTCTCAATGGGTAATGCACAAGGTCGCACCTCACTTCTGCTCACATTCCACCAGTGAGAATTTAATCTTATGGCCACACCCATCCACAGAGAGGCTGGAAAATGTAGTCTCTGCCGCAGGCATCATTAATGAATTTTATCTGATTCCATTTTCATTCCACAGTAGCCATTCCATCAGTGACTGTACATACTTATTTCATAAAACCTTTTGTGTTAAAGAATTAATGCTTTGCTCTGAGCAAACACATCTTTGCCAGTACATCTTTCTTTTGATGGCCTCTCAATAACAATAACCTTTGGTTTATTCCATACGTTGAAACACGTTAGAAACTACACTTTTATCCAAATATGTAGTAAATCTCTTATGTTTCACAATTTGTTTAATTACTTGTTTCTTAGAAACCTTGGCAAATGCCATTAATTCATTCCTTTTTATGGCTGAGTAGTATTCCATTATATATATATATACATATACATATACGCATACATACATATATATATATATATATATATACACACACACACACCACAGTTTCTTTATCTACTCGTTGTTTGATGGGCATTTGGGTTGGTTCCAGGTTTTTGCAACTGTGAATTGTGCTGCTATAAACATGTGTGTGCAAGTATCTTTTTTGTACAATGACTTCTTTTCCTCTGGGTAGATACCCAGTACTGGGATTCCTGGATCAAATGGTAGTTCTACTTTTAGTTCTTTAAGGACACTCCACACTGTTTTCCATAGTGGTTGTACTAGTTTACATTCCCACAGTGACCTGGATGAGATTGGAGACTATTATTCCAAGTGAAGTAACTCAGGAATGGAAAACCAAACATCGTATGTGCTCACTCATAAGTGAGAGCTAAGCTATGAGGATGCAAAGGCATAAGAATGACACGATGGACTTTGGGGACTTGGGGGAAAGGGTGGGAAGGGATAAAAGGCTACAAATCGGGTTCAGTGTATACTGCTCGGGTGATGGGTGCACCAAAATCTCACGAACCACCGCTAAAGAACTGACTCATGTAACCAAATACCACCTGTTCACTAATAACCTATAGAAATAAAAAATTTTTTAAATACACACACACACACATAAATCCTGGCAAGGTTTTGTATAGGTCTTCCACCCATATTCAACTTAATTATTGCTACACTGCGTTCTCTATATTATTGCAGCAGGAAAACCAAATGCTCTCCAAGTAACTCAGCACTTTTTGTCCTTTACTAACAAATATCAAAGACATTTATCATTCACGAATTTGCAGTAGATTTTGTGAAATTTTAGAGTAAATGATTAGATTACTACATTCTTTAAAAAATAAATTGCTGGTAAAGTTGTAGATTTTTATTCTCTTACTCAAGATTCTTAGTTTTTAAAATCTCATTAATTCCTACAATTTCATGTTACCACAGCTAATATTTCAAGATACCATATACATTTAGGACAAAGTTTATGGTTAATTATAATAATCTTGTGAATAATTTTGAAATTTGCTGTGTCTGTCAGATCAGATCACTGTTTTAACTATCAAGTAGCTGAGAAGAGCTGGAACTAGCACACACATTGAGCAAGGCAAATTATTGCAGCTTCTGCTTACAATGTTGTTATCCTCAATTCACTTATTTTTTTAACAGGAATTCTATTAAGTCAGCATCTGTGAGAGTCATTTTAATGAAAACTAACTCTAGTCCACAAGTCCATTTAACCAATACACATGAATGGCAATATTTCACAATTGGCTAAAAGCAAATCAAAGAGTGAGAGTCTCAGTAACAACCTTTCTCACTTGAAACGCCATGCCTCCCTCCTCCTACCCATTCCTCTCAGACCAATTTCTGGTCAGTGTGCCAGGAAAAAAAATTGAGGATGCCAGTGGCAATCCTTACGTATTATCAATAAAGCTAATCTCTCAGTACTTTTCTAACTGAAAAAATAGGAAACCACAACTTTTTTTCCAGCATTTTAATATATCATCTAGTGTCCCCCTGGGGTGCACACCATCACTCCACCTTGTTCAAAGACCACTGATCTCATCTATATTATGGAGCTTAGAAGTTATTTTGGCAGCATATGACAAACTCAAAACACAGACATAAATCCTAATTGTTTACAGCATTTGGAGTCCGAACCTGGCCATACTTACTGGTCTGATGAAACTGATAGGGGCCAGGTGTGGATCCCCTCACACTTATATGAGAGATGAAATAAAGAGAAGCCAGGCCAAATGCTTCTAATTGTTGGGCCATTTTCTGTGTCCCTGTCCCATCTGCATTGTTATTGGAGCCCTGAGACTTAAATTCTCAACCTGGGAGCTCCACCAAAGCTCTACTGTATATCTACTTTATTGCGCTAGGACGCTGCTTTTATCCCCCTCCCCACCACCAAATACGATTTTAATAAGAATAGGAATGGTTTTAACCCAACTAAAGCATGAGAGGGAGGAGAAGGCAAGGAAGGAGTAGAATCTTCCTCAGTAGACACTAGTCAGAAATATGGAGTGTCCTTTTGAATAATGAACAAAAACAGTACATAGAAAGTGCACCTCTGCTCAGTAGATACTGAATAAATTACAGTCATTATACTAAAAGATGAAGTTCAAAATTAGTTAAGAAAGAATCATTCTTAGAAGGTTAAACCAAGGCAAGTCAGGAAAACACCCATAAAACCCTTCTCAGTTTGGCGTCACAAACCACTCTTTGGTCTAGGTAAACCAGAAGTCTCAATGTGTATGTAGAGTTAAAGTTCATCTCTTGGACTCCAGAAAACATCTGATATAAGGGGAAAACAGAGGCTCATTTCTGAGTTACCTCCAGAAAAAGGAGGCTTTTTTCAAGGTTAGAGATACCTTTGAACCAGAAAATCATCAGAAAAAAAGGAAGCCTCAAGTACAGACACTGTGGGTGTGTTCATAAGGTATGTGCACACATCCAAGGGTTCTAGGAGCCTTTCTGCAGGAGCACTCTGCTCTCCTGTCCACCGATGCGGTGTTTTGGCTTACTCATTTTCTACTTCTTAGTAACATCAACTTGTACTCAGCCCCTCATGGCTACTGTAGCCACTATCTCATCAGCATGACTTTTAAATAGAAATTCTTATTGATGACTAGAAAATTATCTTAAGCTTGTTCATTCATTCAAACATTTACTGAGTGCATAATATGTGCAAAGCAAGGTCTTGAAGGTGGAGATGCCCAGTTTTTTTAAACAGGTTTTTAACCATGGACCTTACAGTCTAAGGGACTAAAGGGAGGTAGAAAAAATACAAATTATGTCATAACACTGAAAAAAAACCTGATTAAAAAATGGGCAAAGGATTGAATAGACATTTCTCCATAGAAGATATACAAATGACCAAAAGGCACATGTAAAGATGTCCATTGTCACTAATAATTAGGGAAATACAAATCAAAACTCCAATGAGATACCACTCTCAAACCCATTAGAGTGGCTACTATTAAAAAAAAAAAAACCAGTGTTGGCAAGAATATGGAAAAATCACAAACCATATAAAACGATGCAGCTGCTGTAAAAAAACAGTATGGCTGTTCCTCAAAAAGTGAAATGTAAAATTACCATATGATTCAGCAACTCCACTTCTGGGTATATGTCCCCAAAAATTAGAAGCAGGATCTCAAAAAGATATTTGTATATCCACATTTATAGCAGCACTATTCACAATAGTCAAAAGTTGGATTGAGACCATCCTGGCCAACATGGTGAAACTCCATCTCTACTAAAAATACAAAAATTAGCCAGGCATGGTGGCGCATGCCTGTAATCCCAGCTACTCAGGAGGCTGAGGCAGGTGAATCACTTGAACCAAGGAATTGGAGGTTGCGGTGAGCCTCGTTTGGCACAGCACTCCAACCTGGCAAGAGAGTGAGACTTCGTCTCAAAAAAAAAAAAAAAAAAAAGTTATAAGCTACTCAACTGTCCACTGATGGATTAATGAATCAACAAAATGTAGTATAGGCATGCAATGGAATATTAATCAGCCTTAAAAAGGAGCGAAATTCTGACACATGGTCCGATATGGATGAACCTTGAAGACATTATGTTACATGAAATGAGCTAGTCATAAAAATCACAAATACTATATGATTGAACTTACACGAGGTACTTACAGCTGTGAAATTCATAGAGACACAAAGCAGAATGACTGCCAGGGGATGAGGTAGGTGTGGGAATGGAGAGTAGTTGTTCAAAGGGGCACAGAATTTTGGTTTGGGAAGATGAAAAGAGTTCTGTGGATGGATAGTGGTGATGGTTACACAACAATATGAATATACTTAATGCCACTGAACTGTACACTTAAATGATGTATTTCACAACAATTTACACACACACACACACACACACACACATAGTATTTCCAATGATGAGAGGTTCCATGGAGAAAAATAAAGACGTGTGAGAGGGGGAAGACTGAAACACTTGGGTAGAGGAGAGATTTCCTCAGAGCATGTGAGAATTAGACTCCAGGAGATGAGGTATGACCTGGGACTCTGGGCTGCCTGCAGGCAGTAACATGAACAAGGATAGGAGGTGTACCGAGATGAATTCTGAAGCACTCACGCCAGAGGGTGGTCTCTTGCCAGTGGTGCCTTGGAAACATACAGAACTACGGACTCTCCCCCTGCCTCCTGCCCTTGGTCTCATGAAGGGGTAGAGAGTATCCTGGTGTTCACGATAGGAGTTATGGCCCTCTCAATTTGCAAGTATAGAAAGCTCTGTACTTTATTGCCTCCCTTTAAAAGAGTAATTAACCGTGCCATCTGCCCCTGGCATTGGCTAAATATAAATATTAAATATACTGCCTGAAAGGGTGCTATGGGTGCCTGCCAGTAACAAAGCCCTTGTTAAAAGTTCTGACAAGTGGAATCTCATTGTTCAGCTCATATTTTCATATCAAACCACTTCACAGGTTGCTGGTGACCCTCAAATCAGCTCCCACTGCTGGTCTGTTCAGTGGCTTTATGCCATGATGGGGTGGGTTCATGCGGCAGCATTGGGACATCAGAGAATTAAGTATACATGTATCCTATTACTATACGAATGTATTATTATTATTTCAAGACAGAGTCTCACTCTGTCACCCAGCTTGGAAAGCAGTGGCACGATCACGGCTCACTGTAGCATCCACATCCCAGGCTCAATCAATTCTCCAGCCTCAGCCTCCCAAGCAGCTGGGACTACAGGCATATGCCACCACGGCTGGCCAATTTTTCCATTTTTTGTAGAGATGAGGTCCTGCTGTGTTGCTTAGGCTGGTCTGGAACTCCTTGGTTAAAGCGATCCTTCTGCCTCCGCCTCCCAAAATGCTGGGATTACAGGCATGAGCCACTGCACCTGGCCTCACTATATAAATTTAAACAATGCTTAACACTTGAATATTAGTTTTATTCTAAAGTTTGTGCTAGAAAGAAAATCATACATGTCTCCTTAGTAACTTATAGTGAAATTAACCATCACCATTTAATGTAGGTCATAATAGGTTCCACTAATATTTCATACTTAATGATTAAAGCTAAATCAGATTAAAACTATCCCATTTTAAATGCACAATTCTAGATGAATAAAAGTATTATCATGAGGCAATATTCTAAGCTTACTGTTTTGATGTTTAAAGATAAGGCTTTCTGACATCCATTCTTAAATATAAATATAAACAGAAAATAAACACAGTTTTTTCATAACTGTTTTTTAGCAAAACATGATCCCTGATTATCAATGATAGTAGAAAGAAAGAGTTTAATACTGTTATAGCAAAGCAAATACAACTTTGAAAAACTACTTACATCCAAAGAGTCCTCCTTCAATAGGATAAGGGCCATATTCTGCGATACCAATCGGCAGGAATACCCTGAAGTGGAGGAAGAGACAACATGTGAATTTCTCTTTCCTTCTGTGAGCTCCTTAAATTCAACCTCCTTGGTTATATCTGCCACTTTAAGCCTATTGGCTCACACAGAGGAATAGGGTAACAGTGAGGAGTAGGAAAAGTAAGTTGATTTTGATTCTTGTACAGATTGAATAGAACTAGTTGGGAATGTCTTTATAACTAAAGGCTAAAATAAATACTTCCCAATTTTTAGTGGATTTTTCTTTATCTCTGTTATCCTTGTATAACATTAAGATAAGCCTTGGATCGTCTAAAGTAACAGTGAACACTTCAGGAAGGCAGTGGACCCCAATGGTGCCCCTAAATCAGCACACACACACCCACTGGGATAGCTAGCTCCCTCCCTTCCTTTAAGACAGCAGCTGATTCTCACAACAGGTTTCAAAGGAATACACTGAGGGAGTCACTTTTCCTGTGAAAAATTTAAAGTAATCCACATTTCAAAAAAATCTTTCTTTGGTTGTTATTTTAAAAAGGCTTTTTTTTTTAAAGGCTTATTTGGAACGAAAGTACTCCTAGTTCTTAACAATTTCCTTCTCATTTTTCAGTAAAGTTATCTCTATGGGTTAAGCGAGATAGTATTTTCTCTTTCCCTCCCAGCAGGAGAACTATTTTCTAGGAAGCCCTGGGCTCTTTCCTACTCATACTTTGCCCTGGGTGAGCAGTCATGGACCAAGCCGAGCGCCTCTCAGGATGCCTCCCCTCCAATCCACACCCTCGGTGGCGAGGAGAGGGCTCTCGCAACTCCAAGACCAGAGGTGTCCGCCAGGGCACTGGCCTGTCTCTCAGATCACCTTGCCATCCTCTCAGTGCCTTGGGGGGTTAGCGACGACTTGTGCTTTCCACCAACGCCCAACTCAATCTCTCTCATTGAGAAAAGGCAAGAAAAAAATCCTTCTCCACAGAATATTGGCCCCCACAACTAGTTTTGTCTCAGCACCTTAAGATAATGGATTAAGGATTATAGAAAAGGGAAATCAATCAACAGCCTTCAACTAAGCAGGTGACAATCTCAAGGGAGGGCTTGGCCAGTACTGTTCCTACAGCCAGGGGGAGGAGTAAGGATTCTCCTCACAGGACAGGGAAGAAGACATCCTTCTCACAGATGCTACACGTGGCTAGCAAAGAAGACGGCATTTACCTAAGGGACAAGGAGCAGAACTGCTGCATTTATGTGCTCAGACCTACTAGCAGGTTCCCTTTTCATCCCTGAGAAATCCTCCTAACAGGTACAAAATGAAATTCAAGATAGACAAAAATTAAGACCAAGAAAAACCATGTTGTGGGTTTTTGGGGGAATGAAGGGGTTGAAGGAAACAGTAAAAAAATTTCGTTTGTGTATTTCAGAAAGTACATCCTTCCTAAGGACCGCCATGTAGAACATTTTGTAAAGCACCTCCAAGATCAAATTTTAAAGCGCAAAATTATGGCTTTTCATCCAAATGTTAATTTTTTAAGGCAATATGAAAAAGACATAGGCAAGGCTGTTAACAACAGTTATCTCAAGGGAATCAGATTATTTCTCTTGTTAAAACAAACACATATTGTTTTTAAAGCCAAAACAAACTGAATAATTTTAAATCACAATACCACATGGGCAAATACCTGTTACATCTCTAAAACAAAAAAAAAGGAGGGGGGAACAAGAAGCAATTTTCTATACATTTACAAACTAGTTCAAGTCTGTATTTTAACAACAGTGATGGATAAAACTGAGACCCTCTCAAAATGCCATTAAAAGCTCTGCCTGGTAGGACTAGAATAATCAAACTCTTTGTTTCCCATTAAAATTTTACAAATGCATTCTTCCTTCCTATAAGTCCTTAGATTAGGTCCAGAAGGGAGATCTACATTTTCTTTTCACTTGCAAAGAGGGATATTGCAACTTTAATCATTTCCCTCTATGTTAGATTTATTCTTTCTTCATCCCCAGAGACTTTCAGCAACTTCATGCAATATAGACTGTTACAAATTTAGTGTAACTAATGCAAAAGGATTTACTGGTAGTTTTTTACTTCAACAACAGCTGCAGAAGCTGGCTGTAATTTTTAAGCCCTCGCTTGCTGCTTTATTTTATATTTTTCAATTTAAGCAAAATGCCATTTGACAACTGAAGCTACACAAAGATATTATGGAAAAACTCAGTCTTTTTTTTTCTAGCCATGGCAGGGGGAGAGAGAAAAAAAAACTACTGACACTTTCATGAATTTAAATATACAAAACTAAAGGCTTCTGAGAAGAAACAGGTTAAGGGTTTTGTTGTTGCTGTTTTTAGTTTGGATACGGAAGTGAGATTTTGTTTAGAGAATTATCAGTTGGAGCACTCGCACTAGACAGACCAGGGAAGTTTAACCCAGTTAATTGTGGCTTAACTAATGTAGCAAATTATTTATTGTGTCAATCCACATTTGGTGTGCTTGATTTCTAATGTTTTTGGATAAAATGAGATCAACTCTTGGAGAAGAGCCAGGTATAGAATGTCAATCCAAACTTGTAAATTGAGGTCTACTTCTTTAATCTCGCAATCTAACAAGACGGCCATAAAATGACTGAGAGGAGAACCTCTGGGATTTCATTTTTTACTATAGTTGAAATTAACAGTATACTACAAAAGGGTTTAGTCTTTCTACTACCTGAGTATAATCAACATTCAAAGAAACCAAAATATTATATAGTCTATGGTACTTACGGCAGGACTTGATTTTAATACAAGATAATGCTTCACACTAGAAAATATTACTAAACCAAATCTGTCAGCTCTCTCAACCTGTTTCCTCCTTAAAAAAGGAGAACACTGGTTTTGATATCAAATCCAGATTTCTCTGGAGACATTTTTGAAAAAGTCAGGAACAATGTATCCTTCCACACCATATATCCTGAGATCACATCCACCAAGCTACCCATCACAGGATTCAACATGGTACCAACCCGCAGTGAGCATGTTACTGGTTCTCAATAGCTTTACAGAGAATCTGGTCAGTCAGTGTTTGCCTGTATGAAAAACACTGGCAGACAACAAGAATGCATGACAAAAGACGGTCTTTTAAGCTATCCCAGGTGGGATCAAAGACAGCCCGTCCAGAGCCCCTCATCATCCAGAGAACCAGGGAGCTGAGGCCTTGTCCCTGGAGCACACGCCTGGGCACCTCTCCCTTGAGACCCTTCAGGCCCTTCTCAGGAACCCTCGCCACACAGAAGAACATGCTCCCTCAACCTCACCTCACGGCTTCTCCCCACGTTGGGACATCCTGACCCATTCTATTCTCAGTCATTTTTGTTTTAAACAAACTCTGAAGGCTCAAGTTTTAAACTCCTCTCATCCAGGAAGACTTCCCTGGTCCTTTACAACTCATATTGTTCCTTCTGAGAAATGAACACTGTGTGTTGTGGTTAAGTGCTCAGATTTTCAGCTTTCTCACATCTGTATGACCTAGACTAAGTTACTTCATCTCTCTGTGCCTCAGTTTTATCTTTAAAAGGGGATAATGCCTTTTAAATTCTCCAAGGGAATTAAATATAAAACATCTGTAAAGGACTTAGTGCAGTATCGGGCACATAATAGATAACATTTGCTAGTAACTATTACAAAAGCCAGTCATAATTAACATCTACACTGCACAATTGGTACTTCCTCATCTGTTTCATTCTCTGATTTGTCTCATAATTAACTCATGCCCCAAGTGTGGAATGTAAGTTGCCCAAGCTTATAGTGGAGCACCTGGCAATGTTAGCTGCAGGTAATCAAGAAATACAGGACTGAATCTTCTGTGAAAAACAGCAGTAAGATTGAGAACATCACCAGTGTTGTCACCCTCACAGCCCAGCTTCACCTGAGAATGGCAACTCGCCTTCCTTTTAATGAACAAGAAAATGTACAGGCAATTACAGGAGGGGCAAGTGACATATTGAGTCACTTCCTAAAATTAAACTTCAAAGATAATCTATATGTATCTCATAACATCATATTGTTTACCTTATACACAATAAAATGTATTAAAATTTAAAAAATAAACCTCTAAGACCATAAGAAATGGTTTTAAAAGTATCAAATGATGGGTAACAAAATGCAGGGAGGGTGGGGGAAAGACTTTAAATTTCAATTCAGAAATGGTTTAAGAGGAAAGCTAATGCCAACTTAATTACTTTAAAATGGAATACACACTAGGATTTTGTTCTCACTCATCCTACATCCATTAAAAAAAATTACAGACTGCGAAAACTCCACATCTATTGCATAACTATTTAATAGACGTTTTATTCAGTGGTAATAAGGAAATGACCACTACGAAATTCACAAGGGCTACATCTGAAATTTCACTTTAGACCAGCTGATGCCAAATTTTTAAGCTAAAAGAGAAAATCGCCAACTCCTCAAAACACAGCTAGTTAGCATAAATTCAAGCACAGTGTTGCAGGATTCTGGCAACATGCCAATTTCAAACTACTAAAACCTATACACAAGATGATTGTCTATCTACATACAATTCACTGGCTCACAGGAGACACACATGTCTTGGAACTTGATTTGACTGTGTGTTTTTTTTCTAAGGTATGAATAAAAAGTTAAACTTTAAAAATAAATTCTCAAACTACGAGATAGATATATATATTTTAAAAAACCAAACTCTAAAAAGAGCCAACACCTCCAAACACCAAAGATAATTAATGTCACCAAATCTAAAGATGAACTCTTATGGTACATACCACTAAGATAATGCTGACAATTAAAAGCTAAGAGTCAACAACTATACGACATCCCCATTTCAGAGACATTAAAATGTAAAAACAATGTGCACCTTGGAATGGATGAAATGTAGTACCATTCTCCGTGGTCTTCTAAATCAAATTTCAGAAAGCATTTTTTGCAAAAGCTATGTGAATCCCTCTAAATAAGCCCCACACCAGAAGTCAAGAGCCCTGAGACCTAGTACCAGTTTGGTCATTAAGTAGGGTATAGCCCTGGGAAATGTAGAATTTCCTCCTCGAGCTATAAGAATGTTCATATGTAAATATTAAAAAAAGAGTTTTCAGAAAACACTCCTAGTATAGTGCCTGGCACTTGCCAGACACTCCATTTACTTGCTCTGCTTCCCTTTTTTCATCTAGAAGGAGAACTGCTAGATACTTGATCTTCCCAAATATCTTCTGGATACCTTAAAATCCACACAGGATGCATGAAAATGTAAAGTATTATGGGAGACAGGTCCATAATGGTTCATACTACCAGGGGTATGAGGGCTATATGACTAGAAAACAGGCTTAGAAACCCACTCTGTATCTAGAGCATGACCTCATGCTGCTGACAGCTGCCGCCTGTGGTCCCACACTGAAAAGTCTAATAAAATGTCCGGACGTATATGCTTTCCTGAGCCTTCTGCATCATTTGTAGGCTTGACAGATACTTTAAATCACAAGACGACATTTAAATTCTCGGCGTCACCCAAGGCTACAAGCTTCAGTTCCAAAGGTGAAGTGAAGAAACAATTCAGACATAGCTCTCTCAAAGAAATCAATTGTCTAGCTGTTAGAAGCTTACTTAGTAACACCCAAGATGTGTTTGAATCTGACTGATACACTAGATAAAATGTGAATAGAGAAAGCCTCCAGGATAAACATAAGACTTTGACAAAAAGTCCTCAGCTTATAAAGCATCATCTTCTAGCGGTCTTGGAGAGTACTTGCTAAGAAAGATCAATTAAGAGATAGCAAATGATGTGAGCGGTTCTGGCATGAGCACTACACGTTACTACACCCACTTAGAAAAAAAGTACAAAATAATACAATCGTTATTTTTAAAAAATTGTTTGGACAGGTATCAATTATCTCATAAGGCTCAGAGCAGCCTCATCACATACAAGTAAAACTTTCGTTTTTGAGTAATAATCCATTTGTGTTTTCTGGGTTGATTTTCAGCACTTTGCTTTCTCTTGTGTTTATCCCAAACTTAGCTAGATAGGCTCAGGTATAATAAAATGAACACACACGAAAAAGGGCTGCGTGTGCTCCCAGGGGCCGGGCGGTGTGGATGAGAGGCAGTGAGAGGGAGCTGTGGTGCTTTTCCAGCCAGGGCACATCCAAGAACACACTGAAGGTAGTTCAGTCTAGGGCCAGTGACACGCATAGGTTATTAGGCCAGCGGGAACGCTCAAGATCTGGAAAACTAAGAAAGGTTACCACTTTACAGCTCAATTTTAACTTGAGGGGTTATCCACTTTTTTCACATTGCTCTAATAGGGTGGAAAGCATATCACCTAAATTTTAGGTAAGTATTTCAGGGTAACAGTCAACTTAGCATGCAAACAACAGGGGCCACAGATCCATAGCAGGTGTTTTAGGCCAAACTTATATGAAAAATAACACATAAAGGGTCAATGTATATACTTATACAGAAATATAGCATACAAAAAGCAAATGTGTTATTCTTCATTTGTAAAAATGCTACTGACACATCATCAAAGGGCTGTAAGCTTGGGTTTGTATTTTCTAGTAGCAGTGATGATTCTGCACTAAAATACCATCATACTGTTCTCCAAAACCATGCATCTGAATGACAACCAGCACAAATCCAGGGACAAAGTCTATGGCTGATTCTTCAGGGACTGTTTATGAATCCTATGTTACTCTCTTGTGAGCTTAACTTCCGTTGTTTGGGAGCCCAACTTCCATTTAATTAGCTATATCCCTGACAAGAAATGATTACATGGCTTTTGTCTATTTTTTTAAATCAAATTTATCCAAGAAGGCAGGTATTATTTACAACTGAGGTTACATGAGAGACAAAGCTGATTCAAAGATAAGGTTTTCAGGAAAGGGACACCATTGGATTATGTTGAGAATATTCCAAGAAGACTACTCTGAAGAGGACTATAGTCACTTAAATACAAAGGCTCTAGCAGGTTTCTTCCTAAAACACAGAGCACTGACATAGAAACAGATATAGAAATAGAGTCTACTTCTAGCAAGCTATTCTAAGTTATGCAGTGTTCATTTTACCACATATGCACCAGGTCTTGTTACACCATAATGCTGATCAAAGTACCAGATAGTGTTTAAATGTTTCAAATAATCAAGATTAGATTTTTAAAAAATGAGTAGCTTCAACTCCTTTTCAAACTTAAAACGTGCTCCTTTAACAACGGCAGAGTTATCCTGACTTAAATTCCTTTTCTTCAATTTTCATCTCTGTGATGCTCTGCAGTCAAGGAAGTTGTCAACAAGCTGGGAAGGGAAAGATGCAAGGCTCTTAGAAAAGCCCATTAATGGGCAAAACCATTAAAATGGTTATAATTACATAAAATAATAACGCATATTTAAACCTAGTAAAAACATGCTCTCTTAGTCTCAGACTAAAATTTTGTGAAGAAAGCAATAAGAAAATCAAAGCTGTCAAATCTTGAATTCTATGCCCTATGTAAGTGTGTCTAATTCTTTTCCAGGAACTATGATAGTTTTAATGTTTGTAACAGGCATGGAGGCATCTTCATTTGATTTAGGTCAATTTTCCTTAGCCTTGTGAATGAAGATTCCTATAAAACATCATCTGTCAATGAATTTGAGAAACATTTAGACACATTTAAAAGATACTTGAAAAACAAATACAAAACCCAGCATCAGGAAATTATTTGTAAAAATAATTACCTATATTAATCGCAGTTTCTTGTTTGTCTCCTGTCAACACCCATATTTTAATTTCTGCCTTCAACAGTGTTGCGATGGTTTCTGGAACTCCTGCTTGAAGGCGATCTTCTATGGCTGTGGCTCCAAGTAGCAGCAAATTCTACATTGAAAAAATATCCTCAGTTAAAGATTGGCACATACTTAAGAACAGCACTAACAAATTCTGACAAAGAAAGGCAATCAAACGGTTCTGAGACAGTTGTTCTATTTCCTCTATTTTATACTTGTGTCTACAGATGGCATCTGGATGGATGGCATTTCCAAATGCCTTGCAATGGTGGACTCACTCTACACACACAGGCAGCCCAGTACTCATCACTGATTTCTTGATACAGGGGCTTGTTAGAATAGAAGCCATCTGGCAGCAGAGCAGATGGGCAGGTTATCCCGAGGACACTGACAGTACCTGAGCCCTTCCTCTCAGTCCACTAATGAGTAGCATATTATGTCACATTTAACAAAGGAGGAGAACTAATTCTAGATAATACACTTACCTGGCAAAATAGGAGTAAGAGACCTGTGGTGCTAAGGATTTAACAGTGAGAGAAAAAAAATCCAAGTATCTTAAGATTGAGGGTAGCTATAAAATGTTGCCCCTTTTGGTCCTCTTAAAGGCCCAGGGCAGATCAGCTCATGCTGAGGATGGGTGTGGATGTTTGGTTCCCTCCAGCTGCCCGCACTGTGCCTGCTGGTCGGGCAAATTCCAGAGACTGTACAAACGGCCTGCTCCATGTACTCACATCCCAAGTCTCTCCAGGACATAGCACCTCTACTTGGTCACAGACTGTGGGAAGATCCAACTCTTGAGCATCCACCACAGGCACATCACCTATTTAATCACCTTTTTCTAATTCTAAAAATAATTTTGGCTATTTCCAGTAAAACAGGGCAAATAAACACCTGAATTCAGATTTATTCAGTTCATTTTAATTCAGTACATTAAAATGACTGAATATAAATAACTGAATATAAAACTTAAACAAAAAAACTGAGTAAAAAAAAGCAGAGGAGAATTTTTTTAAACCAACAAAGGAATGAAAACAGTAAATAAGTGATGGTTTCAAAGTTATGGAAACTGGGCCAGACATGGTGGCTCACACCTGTAATCCCAGTACTTTGGGATTTGGGAAGCCAAGGCATGAGGACTGCTTGAGCCCAGGAGTTTGAGACCAGCCTGGGAAACATAGCAAGACCCAATCTCTACAAAAAATATGAAACTTAGCCAGTCATGGTAGCATGAGACTGTAGTCCCAGCTATTCAGAAGGCTGAAGTAGGAGGTTAGCTTGAACCCAGGAGTTTGAGGCTGCAGTGACCTATGGCTGCACCATTACATTCTAGCCTGGGTCCTGGGTAACAGAGGGAAACCCTGTCTCTATATTTAAAAAAAAAAGTTATAGAAACTGGAAATTGGATGGCCCTATGGCTGCCAACATGAGACAGAAAAAGCTGAAACCCAGCTCCCACACTTGAAGGAAACCAATAAATTGAAAGTGAGCTAAAGCCTTAGGATAAACTGAAAAGAATAACAACAACAACAAAATCAAAGTAGGCAATGTGGAGTAGCAACGGCAAAGTTTAAATATCATTAGAATAAGTTAGTGCGAGAAAGCTTAGCATGTACAACATCTAACCAGCCTCCACAGCATTCTGATTGCTCCTGTAACTCAACAGCGTGAGTTAATCTCATTAAGCCTAATCTTAAGCAAACCCAGAAAGTCGCTGATGCTGTTTTTGACCTGATATTTCTTAAGCTATCATTAATGTTTAGCTGAGGGTGGCTAGAGCTTTCAGAAAGACCATGAAAATTAAGTGCTTCTTAAAGCAAAGAAAATGATTCAGAGCTAACGGTTCATTAAGACACAAGAAAAGAGAACATCCCTACATAGTAAAAGGATTCCTGTTCAAATACTTTGTGAAATAGGTGGTTAAGTCCTTCATGGAGCTGAAAAGACTGTATTGTGTGCGGTTACCTTCTCAATGATCTCGTAACACTCTTCCAACCGTTGAGCTCTGTCCTTCAATATGGTGCTGGCTTCCTGATAGACTTTCAGCCACTCCTCATACTCATTCTCAGAGAGATCAGCATAAGCCACACAGAGAGTCCGCAAGCCTGCAAGACAGCCACTGGTGAATGGAGGCAGGCAGAACGCGTGACCTCCTAGGGGACAGCCTGTGCTCCCTTTTCCATCAGCATGCCCAAAAAAATTGAAGAGACTCTGTGCTTTAGGTCACTCTAATTCAACACTCCCACATCTACCAAGGGACCTTTAAAAACAGCTCTCCTGTATTCTAACATAAACTACCTCTTCCGTAAGGCTGAGAGTGCGCGAGAAGTCAGAAGAGTGAATTCTCCATGGCAGAGAGGTTCGGGAGCTGTGCATGATCCATGTGCAGTAAACAGGTTTCAGCAAGCAGAGGAGGTGGGAAGTGTGTTTCAAGACAGCAAGGAAAGGCCCCACGTGCTATCCCATGAAAGATCCAGGCTTTCAGGCAGCCACACCCATGCGTGTGTGTGAGCATGTGCTCATATGTGCATGCACGCAGAGCCAGAGGCCAGAAAGCAGCAGTTAGCACTTGAGTGTGGCTCCAGCTATCATGACATTCGCTATCAGGAACACCTGACATCAGTGTTGTTTATAGCCTTCCAGAGAACTCCTTTCCTGCTCACTATGGGTTCCATGAATTATTATTTCCTTAAGTCATGGATAAGCCAGTGACATAAGGACACCAAGAGAGGGACAGGAAAATAACCATATGAGTTTTCTGAGAAAGGGACTAGTAACTAAAGGTGATTCTACACGTTGTGCGTTGGCCTGTCTCTCCCTCTGCACCACTGCTGATGAGTGACAGAGGCATCTACAGGTAAATGAGTTTGGATTTGGCTATGCATCTTGTCACTGCCATGGGCACAGGAGGGGATGGGGCAGGCACTGGAAGAATGTGCCCCTGGAAATCAAGACAACATGCTTGAAAGTACAGCTCCAATGGCCAAAAACAGCATTTCCAAATTCCACTTACCTTCCGTGGCAAAGTATTCCAGATGGCATAATGTTTCCTCCATATATTTTGAGTCTTTTGAAAGTCTCTCAAAAATCACATTATCCTATAAAATAGGGAAACATTGTGACTGGCAAAGCCTTCAGTAAACCTTCCAGCCAGCATACTAAGCATGGCTTTGTTTCTGTTTATCTAACATGCATGAGAATACCCGAGTGGGTAAGTAGGAATTTAGCATTTGGCTGGGCTCAGGCATGAGCTTTGGAAAACAAATTGGGTATGAATGTGTCCAACAAAACCAAAATCTGTTATCTTAAAAGCCAAACAAAAATATGCTGGGGAGAACCAGAAATACAGGAGAATCATTGGAATACATGGGGGCCTATATTCACCAAAATTTGCAAAACTCATATCCCAAAGTTTATCAGGCGTTTGCGCAGAAGGAGAAAGGGTAAAATGCACATCCCAAATTACTCAAGTACAATCCTGCCTCCCAATACGGGAGGAGCTCCTAAGCACAGAGGGCACAACCCATTGGGCGCTGAACTCAGTTCTGCCAAGAAACACACAGGTGCACAGCCCATCTGCCTATGACTATTTCCATGACTGACAAGAAGGGTTGGGGGACCAGATCCCACAGATAATCCATCAAATGTGTTACAAATTGCATAGTTTTAGGCTATTACAAAAATTTTTTTAAACTGAGTTTGGTTTTGGAGAGAATTAAATCCTATAAAAATACAACACACCTTTGCAACATTTTCGTATGTACCTCTTCTATACTGACAGCCCTCCTCTCTCTACCACCTCACACTGACACCTGTTGTACTCGATGTGGTACTTAGAACACAATGGCAAATGAATAAACAAAAAGTTTCAAAAATATATCATATGAGAACAAAACCTAGATGAGCTTAATTGAAGTCATTTTACCATAAACACAGAATTCTTTAGCGAGTCCAAATATAATGCCTTTAGAATTCCCATGCATTCCTTCATTTGTAAAAAGCTCTACTCATCGTGTACTCAAATAAAACCACCCTTCTTGCCACAACTGGTAAAGATTAGTAATACTGTCAACCACTAATTAATCCTAGGAGAGCTCTGTATTCTTGACATAGTCAAATAAAATAAGTTTAATAATTCTTTCCCTCGATACATAAGACTAAAATTTAACAGGATCTAGTTCTATAAGTAAGACTCATAAGCAATAACATCTTTCCTTTGAGATAAACCATTTAGATTTGGTTACTAGAAGGTATACAGGACAAAAAGCCTGACCTAGGAAACTGACTAAAAGGGGCAGTAATAATGCAGCTACACATGGACATTGCCTTTGTACCTAAAACACGTCTCTCTATAATGTATGAGAAAAAAACATAACAATTGAGAAGAAGAGGTGCTAGAGAACCAATATATATCAGAATACTCAAGATTATCATAGGTCAACACAAATTACTTTGTCTTCCCAAAGTCAAAACACAATGCTGGTAAAACTGGAATAAGAATTCCCATTCAAGGATTTTGCATGACACGTGGAGTCACTGTTTCTGAAACCAACGATTTCAGTAAGCTTTTCACTGACCATCTTTGCCACACTGCCCTGAACCACCATTATCTTCAGTGGGCTTTTACTACTAAGTCAACTTCACAGCCTACCTGAAACAGTCTTTCAACTCTGGACAAACAATCAGGGAATGATGAGGAAAGCAGTTAGGAAAAGCGGCAGATTAACAAAGCTGCCAAGAACTCCGCTACGCACAACGCTTCTCCGGTACTTACAGCCCCTTTACAGTAAAGCCGAAGTCGTCCTGAAGGAGTTCGAACAATTACAGACATTCTTTTTCTGTCACTGGGAGAGTGAAAAAAAAAAAGTCATCATTGGTCTGTTTACAGGATGCATATCCCACAGCTGAACACCAATCAAAACAAAAGGGGGTCTGGGGTTCCTAAAAATGAACAAGGTCTATCTTTCCCTGCCTTTTTCTTCAAAGTAGGACCTAACTGTGTATCTCCTACTCTTTTTATTTACATCTAATGAACATAAGCCTATTTCTTTCCCTGCCATGAAAATAGACTAGGACCGCTATTTGCAGTAGGAAAAACAGAAAAGGAGAATTCCAGCACTGACAGTCCACATCTGATTGACTTCTGACTCTACTCTCTAAAAATATTCTTTATTTTCCACCTCTAAGCTATCAAGTAACTTGCCCAGTAGGTAGGAAAGTGGGAGACTCAGTATAGATCCACTTAACTCAGAAGCTCCTCCCTGTGTCATCTTTTAATTGGAGTAGAAAGAAATCACAAACCCGCAGAACACTCCCAATTTAGCACCAAGGAACTCTCTCTCCCCTCACCGCAGCATCTACACTTCCTCACACGTCTTTCCTCATGGCCCATCCTCACTCACCGAGCCCTCAGTGAGTCTCCACCGCCTATGAATTCTTCTTACTGCTCTCCGTCCACCTGTGCAGCCTCACCTCATCTCCCACCAACCCTCCCATGAACCACCACCAGGCTTCGAGCACACACGGGACTCACCATTCTCCTCTTCTACACATTCTGATCCTCCTTTGCCAACATTTCATCCTCCTGAAGCACACTCCAACTACAGAGGGCCCTAGACCACCCATCTCTGTGGCCTTTCAGTGTGGTGGTTCCCAATGGACTATAAGTCTCTAAGAGTCGGGGAGAGTCTCTCTTCAGCTCTGGGTAAATTCCCACATCCTAACCTATAGTGCTCTAGCTGACCTGGATTTGCATTCTCTCTCAACTATCTTAGAGGTGGGCACTCCTAGCAGTTCTTGAAACCCGTGTTTCAGTTTCTCAATGTGTAAAGCAAGTACTTCGCGGGAGTATTATCAAGATTAAGTGGCACTGGGAAAGAGATGAGTCCATGAAAAAGAAATAGACTCACCACTGTAACCACAAATTATCTTTCTGTTCTTTCTTATTCTCCCATATATACATTTTAATACATCCTTGTGTCTCTACCAATATTCACCTGTTTTTATCTAACTCCCTTTTCTCCTCCTCCTTGCCTGTCCAATAACTGCTGGTCCCAGTTAATGTAATCACAGGGCACTGCACAGTTTCCAATAAAAGATGAAGCACACAGTTTGGAGAGATGCCTAGCACGTCGCTCACCTCCACACGCAGGGACACTGTCACCACTTCCTACATGAGCCACCACCGTAATCAGCCATCCCTCCTCCCCTCCCCATGGTTCCAAGTCGATGCCTGCAAACCTAAAACTAAAGACTAGGGCTGGAAAGTATTTCCTACACAAAGATAAAAAACTAATCCTTATTAAAAATAGTTTATAAAGCAGACAGAGCTTTATAACACTGTTTAACAAAGGTTATTCAAAAATCCACCTAATTTTAATAATAGGAAAAGATGCCTTTGAGATAGCAACAGAACTTTGCTTTAGTACTGACAATTCCATGTTAAAAAGAGGCAAAGAAACAAAAAATTAAGATATGTTTCCTTATAACCAACTATGAATGTTCTATGTGAACAAAAAAGTCCAACAAATATTCCTGGGTCTAACTTTTTAAAATTGTACTGGGGAAGAATGCTTCCGAATAAGTCCAGGAAAACTTCCCTACGTGGACCCAGCCTCTAATGGGATGAACTGATCTCATCTGTCATCATTTGTCAGTTTCTCAGATCTCCAGAGGAGTGCTCAAATGGAGCAAGAGGAATGACCTCATGGGACTTGGGAAACGCCAATGAAAATAATGCCCCCATCACATGCTCCAAACTATTCAGACATGTCTGCAGCTGCTGATGCAAGAACATCAGGCTCTGGAAATCTAAAGAAAAAGGAGGACATGGAAGTAGAGCATTTCTCTTGAATAAAACAAAGAAAAATAACCTACTTCACTTTCTTTAATGAAAGTCACAAATTCCAAGAAGAAAAGAGTTTATGGAGATACATTTATTATATTTAATACTTAAGTAATATATTGAATCATACCATACAATCATGTAAACACTCTGATGAAGCTGGTAAATAAATATAATTATTTTATTTCAAACGTATGAAAGAGAAACATACCTAGAAAATTCCAGGACATTAAGGATTCCGAATGTTTGTTCCTGTCCCATCTAAAGGAAGAAAAATAGGCTCTTAACCGAGGTGCAAAGTATTAAAATCTCAAAGCAATTGTCTCCCAAGCATAAACAGACATATATATGCTCTCTCTCTCTCTTCCCACCTTCTAGCCCTTTGCAACATGTACTGTTTTCTCACAAGTCTGGTGGGGTCAGAGCTCCCTCTTCTGGTGGAAGCTTCTCACGTTTCTTCAGTGCTAACAGTTGGGGAGTGCAGGCACTTCCAAGAGATGGAGATAGAGGACACCAGCTGCACAGGTCCGTCAGAAACCTTTGGCCCAGTTATGCTTCTGAATTCAGGATTTTACAAATTATATAGACATATTCTAGACCATCTATCATAATGTCCCCAGCAGGGTCTGGGGTAACATGCTGGTACACAACACATCCGCTTTCTACAGCAAAATGTATGCATATCAGGAAATGAGATTCATAAAGATCATAAACAGCTTCATGTCAGTTCTGATTAGGTTTTGCTGCCAAATAACTCTTCACCAAATTTAGGAAAAATCTTTTGGAATTCAAAGGCATTTGGGTTTCGAATTTGCAGATAAGAGATGGTGAATCTGTACCTGGTCTCAGAGCAATCAATCAAACGCTCTTTTTCTTTGGGTTCTTTCAAGTTAGAATGTCAATATTCACAATTTTTTCCATCTAAAAATTCCAGATGGTGCGCATGCTATTTTCAGATTTTTAATCTAATCTTTTCATTTCCCCAACACTTCACAGTGGAAAGAACATGGCCTTTGGCACCCAATACATGTGAGTTTGAATCCAGTTTCTGCCTCTAAGTGTGTGACTTTCTTATGCATGGCAAAAGCACTCATCTCTTAGGGCTCAGAGAAGTAATCAATGAAGTAACACATTCAAATTACCAAGTATATGACGGAATCATTATCTTCATTCACACCCACAACTCTCCACTCCTTCTCTTTGCATCCTACAAAACAACTAATGATCCACTTCATCCAGCCTTCATCAATCTTTATTCACTTCTCTGGATCCACGAGTTCCGAGTTCCCTTTCTCCACAGCCTGTCCTAACTTTCCATCATATCCCCATTCAGAAGACACCCAGTGCTACTACCACCACCCAGCACCAGGGCTGCCACTCCCAGGAGCCACCCCCTCTCTCACAGTTATATCAACCACGTCCACATGCAGCCCATGGATGTGGCTGTTCTGACTATTGGCGAGGACATTTCATGTAAATATGTAGGAATTTGAGAATTTGTTCCTGACTTGGTAGTACTGCAGTAAGTTTTTTCTTTTACTTATATGCAAAACCTATAATTTGAGAATTGGTGGTTTGATGAATGGTTGAGTAGGATTCTTTTTATTACTGTTATCTACGAGTCCTAACTAATCAGGCAGTCTTTTGTGACCCCCAGAAATATGACCTTAAAACTTTAATGAGGTAACAAAGAGGTGTCAATGCAGCATTATAACACCAGGAGGACAACACCAATAGGCTCTCTAGGTTCCACATTTATTTGGCATTGTGAGTGAAGTGGAAGCGCCTGTTCTCTTCTGTCTCTCTCACCTATGATCCAAGCTCCCCAACCCCCAACCTCCATTTTTGCAATGCAGAGACATGCGGTGGCACCCACACAACTGAAAATCCTATAGTTCAGATTAAAATTCTCCTCCAACTGAAGGGGGGAAAAAGACCTCATTTTTAAAAAAGCTTCTGTACGGGAAATTCTATATTCAATCAGTACTTCATTCCACTTTTAATGATGGTACATTTCCTTAAGCTAAATTCCCTTTGTTGACTAAAATAAGCATAGTAAAAGTAAACATGATCACATGATCTCATCTCTGTACTCCATAAGAAACTGAAGATGCCAATAAATGGGTACTTTGTATAAGATAAGATATTTTATAGGTTTTGCATATAACTAAAAGAAAAAACTTACTACAGTACTCCCAAGTCAGGAACCATACGAAGTTATTATACCATTTGGAAGTGAATTTCAAATGCATTAAAGGTCTATGGATTTAAGGATGCATCCATAAAGCCAAAAACTATAATCCCTGCGTCTTCCCCAAATGGAGGAGTAGGGAAAGGCAAGGGATGGCAGGGACTAGCCCCAGACCCTTATCATCAATGCAGACAACAATAAAACAGCCCTTCTAACTGGTCATCATGAAAAACACCACTGCCTCACCAGTCATAACCATCATTTTCCCCTGTTGCCCATTCCAAGGGTCTGTATTTGACCTCCTATTTGATATAATTATTTTCCTATCACTAAATTTCTCCCTTTGGCCTGTAGGTAAGGAAACTCAGAAAAAATCAGAAAACATGTAAACCCCTTGACTCCAGTTGCAGGGGGGATCCCTCATATAGATAAAAGAGATCAAAGCCCGGCACAGTGGCTCACGCCTGTCCCAGCACTTTGGGAGGCCAAGGCGGGTGGACCACTTGAGGTCAGGAATTTGAGATCAGCCTGGCCAACATGGCAAAACCTCGTCTCTACTAAAAATACAAAAATTAGTCAGGCGTGGTGGCACGTGCCTGTAGTCAGTCCCAGCTACTCCGGAGGCTGAGGCAGGAGAATTGCTTGAACCTGGGAAGCAGAGGTTGCAGTGAGCCGAGATTGCACCACTGCACTCTAGCCTGGACAACAGAGTGAGACCCTGTCTCAAAAAGAGAGAGAGAGAGAGAGAGAGAGATCTTAACGCTGACTCCTCTCCCAGCTGAAGAGACTGAAGCCCAGTGGACTGTGAGGCTTCATTGAGTAAGAACTCTTAGGCTCTGAGGCTACAAAGAGATGTGGAACCTGCCCTCAAAGACAAGTGGGCCGCTAAGTTATTTTCCCAATTATTATAGAACAAAGAGTAGATTCGTGAAGTTCTTTGCTACAAATAATTTCACATCAGTGTATGAAAGACATGTGGAAAAGCATCTTGAAGGGGAAAACAATACTGCAATGCAAAACAACTCGAACAAGCTAATATAATCACATTAACTCCAGTTTGTCACAGGTCTTAATTTTTCACTGAAAGAGAAATTTAGCTATCATATTTACAATAGACATGCCATTTCACACACACAATCTTCACAAAAGCAGGTGATCTGAAATGTGCACACGCATGTTACTCACCGCTTCTATGATGACTGAGAATGGTGTTCTGGCTGTGAAGACAAAGCCCAGCTTTTTAGCTCCTTTCACCAAAGCAGCTTCATCTGTCAAGTGGGAGTTGGTGAAACATTGACATATCACTGGTAGTGACAGAATTCTGTTTAGTGTCACTTTTCAAATTAACAAAATCCGCTCTACTGAAGGAGGCCTGGTGTTATCTG
Organism: Homo sapiens; assembly: GCF_000001405.40. NCBI lineage: Eukaryota > Metazoa > Chordata > Mammalia > Primates > Hominidae > Homo > Homo sapiens. The sequence goes on along the minus strand of NC_000013.11, from coordinate 25,571,492 downwards.
CATAATAGTAAAGACTCAGGATAGAGAAGCACTTGCTTTTCCTACCACCAGGGTTCTGAAATGAGCACTCCTGTTAGATGGGAGGCTTGGATATATGCTAATTCACCAGGACAAGAATGATTTCTATTCCTGCTATTCTCGCTTGGGATCAAGTTCTCTCCAATGAACCTAATAGTCCCATGACTCCCACCAAACATCTCCTCTGAGCAAGGCAGTATTTTAGTTGTGCTGTGGGATTCCCAAGCCTCAGGAAGTGGGTAGAGAGTACCCCCATGCACAGCTTCCCCAGCAGGCGGAAAATCTATGAGGTGGGGAGGATGAGGAAGAAGCCAGCTCTGTTCTTTCTTCAGAGCTCTGTCAAGCCCAATCACCTCTGCTGGGAGATGCAACATAACCGGGGTCCTCCCTTTGCTGTTAAAAAAGAGTCATGAGAGTCAGGAGAGCCCATCCCGGGCTCTCTACGGCTTTGCACCTGTAGCCACAGCCTGGCCACAGGGTGAGGCCAACAGCAGACAGCCGAGTCTGTGGGACGGACTACATGGCAACACCTCCAAGAATAACTGCAACACCCAGGTGTCCTGAGAAGGGGCCAGCAGGGCGCATCCGGCCAGAGCCCTCACCTGGGGAAGAGGCCTGGTAGATGATGTTATCTCCATCCTTCTCAGGAACAACCGTGTGGCACACGGCCAGAAGGGTGAGGAACTCCTGAATGCAAGGGGCTGTGGGCTGCAAACGTGAGGCGGGATTAGTGTCAGATACAACACCTTCAACAGGCACCAGGGCTCACACAAGCAGATCCCCAACTAACATCCAGTCATCCTATTGCTCCCTGTAGGACAGGGTAGAGGTCCTTAATATGGACCTCAGATCCCCCTCCTACCGCTCTGGTCTGGAGTCCCCAAGCCGGTTCTCCTGACGCGCACTAATCCCCAGGTTTCTCTTGGAATGCAGCTCCTGCGCTTTAGCTCAAGAGATGGGGAGAGAAAAGACGAAAGAGCCTTCCTGTACCTCCACACACCCTGCCTCCCCAGGAGCCTCGGCCTTGCCCACATGCTTCCATTTGCCCACGTGCTTCCGCCTCCCCACATGCTTGCACTTCACCACGTGCTTCCACTTGCCCCTCTGCTTCCGCCTCCCTGTGCTTCTGCTTCACCCACGTGCTGCTGCCTCACTCTCGCAAGATCCTCCGGAAGCGTGTGTTCTGCCTCCCTCACTGCTGTACCTCAGGCCCCATAAACAGAAGATGCTCCCATCTCCAGGCTCCCATTCCCCACCCCGACATCTGTTCTATACAGTGTCTATTCTTTAAGTTTATAATCTCTCAACACCTGTAAAGCAGTGCATCCCTTGCTCATTAATATTGAACAGCAACGAAAACCAGAATTGCCCTGGATATGTATTTAATAAAATTCTCTTATTCTCTCTGGGAAAAAAATATATAATTTTTTATTGGGATTAGAGCACATTCATAACTAGTGGGAAAATAATGCTGTCTTCCCATCTAAGAAAAGTGTGTCTTCCTATGTATTAAAAGCTTCTAAATATTCTAAATATAAGACCTGGCACGTCTATTAATTATTTTATTTGCTCAAAAATTATTTCAGTGACCACTATACATGAAGTACTGTGTAAGGCATTTTATCTATTGCCTTTTATATTATGAATGGAATCTTATTTCCATTACATTTTACAGTAGTTTCTTGTTGGGATGTAAGTAGAAACATTGATTTTTGTAAGTTAATATCCAATTGTCACTGAGCTCCTACTAGTTCTCTGAATTGCAGTTGACTATCCTAGGTTTTCAAAGTAGACAATTATATCACCCACAAATGAGAAGTTTTCCCTTTTCCTCCCAATATATAAACTTTCAATGTTCACCTGTCTGCAGGAGCTAGCACTTTCAGAATTACATTCAAGGCAGGGGTGATAAGCAAGCTTCCTTGTCCTGGGGTTATTTTAATGTCAGTGTTCTAGTGCATCCCTTTTAAATAGGCAACTGGCTATAAAATTGAGATAGATTTATATCTTCATGTGAAGGAAGCAGCTATGTGTTTCCTCTTTTGATGGAGTTTTCTGTTTTTTTAGTCATAAATGAATGACGGCTTCCACAAGAATATTTTTAGTTTCTTCTCTGTCTTGTGAATGTGACTTAAGCAGAATTTTATGGAAGCAAATCACAGCTATTTACATGGCTACTTCTTATCATGAAGAGAAAAGGCACCTTAAATTATAGTTCAGTAAAGTCATGAGCTTAGGGAATTTACACATTCCTCAAGGCCTGCATTGCAAAAATGGTAAGAAATTTTCCCCAAAAGTACTTTATGTGAGAATTTAGCTTCAATTCAAGATTGCCTTCCCCTGTACCTGAGAATTTTCCAATCCTGAACATAACCTTGTCCCGTAATGAAACAACATAAAAAGTGTCTTAGATTTTACAAATAAGTAAACCTAGTAGTGAGATATTTTCTAAGAGTTATAAAGAATTGCACACACAAATAAAGCCTTCTACCTCAAATGGTAAGCCAGACAAAATCCATGAAGATTTTTTTTAAATCCTAAAATAAAATTAACCTATCATTGGTTTTCTTCCTATTGCATTCTATAATAAATTAGGGAGAAGAGACAAAATTAATCTGAAGCCTATGGATGCTTATATTCATGTGTGTATATATGTATGTGTGTATCTTCTTAGATGTTAAAAATTTGTATTGTGGTAAACTATACACGTAATATCTATCATTTAACCATTTGTAAGTATAAAATTCAGTGGCATTTTAAATACATTCAACAATGCTACACAGCCATCACCACTATCTATACACAAAACTTCATCTTCCCCAGCAGAAACTCTATACCCATTAAACAATAACTCTCCATTCTCTCTTCTCTCTATCCCCCAGTAACCTCTATTTTGTTTTCTGTATCTATGAATTTGCCTATTGTATGTACCTCATAGAAACAGGATGATACTATATTTTTCCTTCAGTTAACAGCTTATAATATGTACAAAATGCCATATATCTAGAAATGAATATTTTCTACTTATTCGGTGAATTTAAAATAGCAGAAAATGATACATGTTTAAAATTGTTTTGCAAGCAAAATTGCAGCTACAAATTATCCAAATCATATACGTATATAAGTGATTTCTTCTTGAAGACTCAAGCTCAGAAATCTTAGGCATAATGATTCAAAAGAAAGTTATATCTTCTTCCTTGGTGAACCTTTGAAAATTTATCCCACACACTGGTTAGCAATGTAAGCAGGGGGTTGCATAAATTGTCCTCCGAAATTTCTCATAGGTTGATTCTCTAAGAGCCAAATTCCATCTTGGCTATCAGCCCACACAAAGCTTAACACAGTCCTAAAGCAACCAGAAAATTTGAAATGATGACATAGGAAAAAAAGAAAATTCTGTAGCAAATGGAAGTATTCCCTTGGGAGGAAAGTAAGGGTTTTCTTGGACCAAATGTTTTAATTTTAGTCAATAGTCCCAAGACAATTTAGATGAGAATGTGGGGCATGTGCAGCCGCAAATCCTCAAATACTTCTTCCCTCTCCACAGACACATTTTGGCAAAATGAACAAGTAATCTAATAGGCCCTGTGTTTAAACTGCTTAAAAACCTCCAATGGGTACATTTAATTCAATCCCACATCTCCCCAAAGAAAAATATTGGAGCCTATTCTATGGTCTTCATTATTGTAGTGCAGCTAGATGTTAAATGTCAAAGAGTTTAGTTAACATAGTAGCTAAGATGAAGAGTACCTCAGAAGGCCTCAAGGATCCAAGAAAGCTTAAAAATGGTACACATAGGCTAGGAGGCTTTTACTAAAAATTAGAAAATAAATTCCCAAACCAATCGATCAATTCCTCATTATGCTTGTACTGAAACTATGAGTATCCAGATTAAAATGCCCTTGAAGTCTCTGTGTTTGGATGGTCATCACAATGTCCCCACAGCAGGGCTTCCTTTTCACAGGGGTTGCACCTGTCCCTACTCTCAATGGCTTTCCCACTAAACTAAAAAGAAATTTGGCTCAGGAGGGCAGACGATGAGGAGGAAAGGAAAGAAGAAGAAAGATCACTAACTTATATAAACAGTGGGATTTCTTCCTAAAGTTCTTTCCACTCACCATGGCCACCAAGGAGGAGTCAGGAAAAAGCAGTGGGTAGGGGAAGGCAATGGGAGAGGTATTAGCTGTGCTCAGATCTCCATTCAAACATCAACAGAGGACAGGCTCAAGAAGAGTGTGGGATGAACAGTCAAAACCCCAAAACGTCACAGGGACCCAAAACACCAGTCCCGGGCCAGCTTTGGAAAGAACACCTGTGAGAGTCAGAAATGAACTGAACCAAGCTTTGAAATCTTTCAAACACTAGAATCCCAGTAGCATGTAGGGGGTCCCCAGAGAAGCTCTTCTCCAAGTAAGGATTTGCCCCAGGCCACTGGGTTTCTATGGCATCCCACCTTTATGTCAGTGCAAATACACTGCTCACATGTCAACAGTTATGGTAGCCATGACAGTCACCAAAGAGAATGGGATTCCTCTCTGTCTACACAAACCAAAATCACCTCCTCAGGGAGTTGCACCTTACCTGTCCTGCAAAAGCATACACTGGCTTCTAAGAATTTCACATGTCTGCTTCCCCAGTGAACAGGAATCCTTTGAGTGTTTTTTATTCGTCTCTTCCCCTAGTACCAAGAGCAAGGTATTTCATATAAATGATGTCCTTAAATAGATTGTGAAATGAGTGAATAAATAAATGAGTCTCTGATGTAAATGGGGATCCAATAGTTTGCTGCTATTCCTAGCCCATTACTGGAATTCTGTGATGTTCCATACACGCTGCTCATCTTATTTCCTTTGCTACTTTCTCCTCGTTGATCTAGGAAAGCAAGCTCGTGAAACTGGACCAAGAGCAGTCTCCGGAGCTCCTATGTCACCCTGCCACTTTCTCCTTTTCCATTCACCATCCTAACTTGAACAGACATATTCAGTTGCCCACCTTTGTGGTTACCCTCAACCTGAATACTATTTGAAAACACTTCTTTCCTCTCGAGTGCTCAAAGTACACTTGTTTCTTTGACATCTTTGATTAAAACCACCTTCCTGCAGAGACGATTCTTCAGAGGCGCCACTTTTCTGCTTGGAGAATCTTCAGCCTAGTAGCTGGATCTACCTCTAAGATCAGAATCCAAGAAAGGATTCTGTAGCTGTCTGTGACTGAAACAGAACATAGACTCCAGCAGCATCCTCTGTGGGCTTGGACCACTTCATCAGCATCACCAAGAACTGAGTCGGAATAGCAGCATCACAGCCTGTGGGTGTGCGAGCCTTATACACTCACATTTCAGAAGAGCTAGCAACAAATGGGCACTAACTTCAATAGAGAAAAGTAGGATTTCCTCATGAAAACTTAGAAAAAGTTTTAAATATATCTGTCTCTTAAAATTTTGGAAATTTGGAAAGATAAACTTTTAATTTTGCTCATGTTTACCTAATTTTAAATCTAGAAATTTTTTCAGAAAAAAAAATTAATCATATTACATCTAATTTATACTGACTTAACTAGTTGTGAAATGTTTTGATCATTGAATAATTTTCTAAGTTGGCATTTTTCAGAGTAGCCTTTAAAATAACAGTGAATTACCCTTCTAGACATTGGCTTAGGCAAGGATTTCATGACCAAGAACCCAAAAGCAAATGCAATAAAAAAAAATGTGATAAAAACAAAGATAAACAGCTGGGACCTAATTAAACTAAAGAGCTTTTGCACAGCAAAAGGAACAGTCAGCAGAGTAAACAGACAACCCACAGAGTGGGAGAAAATCTTCACAATCTATGCATCTGACAAAGGACTAATATCCAGAAACTACAACAAACTCAAACAAATCAGTAAGAAAAAAACAAACAATCTCATCAAAAAGTGGGCTAAGAAAATGAATAGACAATTCTTAAAAGAAGATATACAAATGGCCAACAAACATATGACAAAATGCTCAACATCACTGATGATCAAGGAAATGTGAATCAAAACCACAACGCAATACCACCTTACTCCTGCAAGAATGGCCATAACCAAAAAATCAAAAACAGTAGATGTTGGCATGGATGCGGTGATCAGGAAACACTTCTGCACTGCTGGTGGGAGTGTAAACTAGAACAGCCACTATGGAAAACAGTGCAGAGATTCTTTACAGAACTAAAAGTAGAACTACCATTTGATCCAGCAATCCCACTACTAGGTATCTACCCAGAGGAAAAAATACTTGCACACACATGTTTATAGCAGTACAATTCACAACTGTGAATTGTGGAACCAACCCAAATGCCCATCAATCAATGAGTGGATAAAGAAACTGTAATATATACATATATAATATATACACATATACATACATATAAAGAGAGAGATGATGGAATACCACGTGGCCATAAAAATGAATGAATTAACAGCATTTGCAGTGACCTGGATGAGATTGGAGACTATTATTCTAAGTGAAGTAACTCAGGAATGGAAAACCAAACATCATGTGTTCTCACTGAAATGTGGGAGCTAAACTATGAGGACGCAAAGGCATAAGAATGATACAACGGACTTTGGGGACTTTGGGGGAAGGGTGGGAGGGAGGCAAGGGATAAAATACTACAAATATGGTGCAGTGTATACTGCTCAGGTGACGGGTGCACCACAATCTCACAAAATCTCACACATCACCACTAAAGAACTTACTCATGTAACCAAATACCACCTGTTCCTCAATACAATTTTTCCCTTATAGAAAAATTAAAAATAAATAAATAACAAATAAAATAACAGTGAATTGATGTGATTCTGCAGTTAATACTGATTTGAAGTGGTGTGATGTCGTAGTTAAAAATCTAACAGACTGAGGTTTAAGGCTCATTTCTACATTTATGCGCTGGGTAACTACTCGCCAATTTAATCTTTTATTTAACTTCCTTGTCACCTCCCAGATGTGATTCAAATGTTGACTAAAGTGTTGAAAGAAATATATGTTAGTTGCCTGGCACACAGTAGAATGCAATAAATGCCACCTGTTATTATATATATCTTACTTTTGTTTCCTAAAGTATCCTAGTCAAAGGATATGCAATTACACTTGGCCTCTTAGATTCACAACTGTGACAAAATAGTACTGCAGAAATTTTACAAAGCAACAGCCATTGGAACTGTTACAGAATTATGTGGTAAAACTCGTCTTGATCTTGGTGTGCTACTTTACAAAATCACCAAGTATTTAAATACACTAATTTATGCATAGCGTTCACCACAAAGCATTTGTCTAAGATCACTTCTCAGAAGGACTCACATCATCAAGTCGAGACTTTTCCCATGCTCTAAAACTGCAACTTGCAAAATACTACATGCATATATAAAAGAAAGTTGCACCGTAAGCTGTTTGCTGTCTTCGAAGTAAAACAGAGCACTTACATGGCGATCCTCAATGTTCTTCAACAGCCTGGGGTCATCAAAGTCACAGGAATCACTACAGGGAGGAGGCATCCGACTGTAAGAGAGAACAGAGAAAATTTATTCAATTTAAAAGTTTCTGTTAAGCTAACCCAAACCTGGAAAGAATCTGCCTTCAAGAAGAACCATACCTAAAGTCCTATAGGGATTCACATTAAACTTTTAAAGACTTGAAATTCTGTATTATTATTTTAAACCTCAAAACAATTAATCCTGGAGTTTACTATAAATAAGATACTTTACGAGTTATTGTAAAGAACAACAGTTACAAGGAACAATAGTTACAAGGAGAAGAAACAGAAGCCAGGGATCAAGACAATGGCTGGCATTTCAGTTGGCCCGAGTCACTTCCACCAGAGAAAACTTCTAAGAGTGTCTGCTCACAGCAAATAAAACAAGAGTAAATATTGCACTGTATACATGCAATCATTTGTGGCCAGAGCGCATATGTAGGAGAGGGAAGACAACAAATAATTACAAGAAAGGAAACAATATGATGGCTGTGAGCTATCACATTGAAGAAAATGTGAAGAATCAACTATATATTCATTTATCTCCACTCCCTCCTGAAATTTTTTTTTTTGAGATGAAATTTCACCCTTGTTGCCCAGGCTGGAGTGCAATGGTGTGATCTCGGCTCACTGCAACCTCCGCCTGGCATGTTCAAGCAATTCTCCTGCCTCAGCCTCCCAAGTAGCTGGGATTACAGATGGCCACCATCACACCTGGCTAATTTTGTATTTTTAGTAGAGACAGGGTTTTGCCATGTCGGTCAGGCTGGTCTCAAACTCCTGACCTCAGGTGATCCACCCACCTCGGCCTCCCAAAGTGCTGGGATTACAGGCGTGAGCCACCGCACCTGGCCTCCTCTTGAAACTTCAACGTTGTCAAGACAAAGACAATGAAAGAAGACATGACAGCAGAGTGTATGTTAGTCTTAACTTGAAATACGTAACAGCACAGAAAACAGTAACCAACAGCTTGCAAGGGGGAGCACCTAAAATGCAAGCTGATGCCCTCAACAGTGTGCTGGGAAGGTGGAACAAATGGCAGCACAAGGCACCTGTGAGGTACAGGGAAGGAGGAAGACAGCACAGCTTCCACATCCACTTGAGGAACATTCAGCCTTCAAGAATCCTCACATCCCATGCGGCCAGACAACTGAAACTTCCACAGCCAGAAAAAAAAATGCTTATCTTTTACAGAAATTAAACCAGAGTAGTCCTGAGCCCAGGCACACTGGGCACACAGGCACACATGTGGATAGGTTAGGCATCCTCCCAAAACAGGGTTTTAAGTGAAATTCTATATAAGCTGAAAGGTACAATCACTGGCCCACTGCCTCCACACAGCTTCCAAAACAGTTGAACCAAATTTATAGCCCTTGGCAGGAAACTAGAAAGTTCTTTTTATGAAAAGAAAGCTGAACAGCTGACAAGAAAGACCCATAGACACTGACATCTAGGGATCCCTTAATACAATAGTGGGTCCTGGCTGACCATTCTCCAGGCAGGCAATCCGTCATCAACCACAGTGGCCCCACTCCACACACAGCCCTAGCAGTCAGGTTTCTTGTGTATAAGCTTTAAAACACGTGCAGACAGACAGCATCACCATTTATAAGGGAAACAGAAATCAAAACTATGATAAGGTACCACTTCATACCCATTAGGATGGCTATTATAAAACAAACAAAACCTGAAAAATCACAAGTGTTGGCAAGGACGTGGAGAAAGTGAAACCCTTGTGCATTGCTGGCAGGAATGTCAAATGGTGGCTCTGCTATGGAAAATAGCACGGTTTTTCCTCAAAAAGTCAAACACAGAATTACCATACGACCCAGTAATTCCATATTTAGGAATATACCCCCAAGAATGGAAAGCGGAGACTGAAACAGATACCTGTATGTCGATGTTCACAGCAGCGTTATTCACAGTAGCCAAAAGGTGGAAGCAACACAAATGCCCATGAACAGATGGTGGGATAAACAAAATGTGGCATATACATGCAATCGCATATTACTCAGCCTTCCAAAGGGAGAAGATTCTGGCACATTCTACAACATGGATGAACCCTGAAGACATGCTAAGGGAAATACGCCAAACACAAAAACACAAATACTGCACAATTTCACTTGCATGAGGTACCTAGAACAGGCAAAATCATAGAGACAGAAAACAGAATGGTGGTTACTAGGGTCTGGAGGCAGGCAGCAATGAAGAATTTTTGTTTAATAGATAGGGTTTCAGATGAAAAAGTTCTAGAAATGAATGGTGCGGATGGCTGCAAAACATTATGAATCTATTTAGTGCAACTGAATTGTACATTTAAAAGAGTCAAATGATAAATATTATGTTACACATATTTTACACAAAAAGAAATGAAAATATATGAGCACACAGCCAATGATCACCAGGTTTTTGAAGAAAGCCTATAGAAAATAAATCAAAACACCAGGGGTGGGCAGTAGGGAGGGTGGGAGAGGAGGGCAGAGAAAACACGGAATGCAAAAGCGAAGTTAGGGGAATGCTTTCGAAAACTGAAAGTGAGATCACACAGAAAACTCATGACGAAGGATAGAAGATCAAGGTGAAAAAAATACCAGGAAGTAAAACAAAAAAAATCTATGGAAAATGAGACAGAACGATAACAAAACTGGAGGATCAACCCAAGAGATTCAATATCTGACTATCAAGAGATGCAGAGGGAACAGGGAAGCTGGAGAGGAGGAAAATTATCACAGAAATAATACAAAGACACTTCTGAGAATCAAGAAGAGGAAACTCAGAGACAGAATGGCCCACTGGTGGTCCAATGAATGTCCAAAATAATGGAAAAAATTCACTTTGGGAGGCCGAGACAGGCAGATCACGAGGTCAGGAGATCAAGACCATCCTGGCTAACACGGTGAAACCCCGCTCTACTAAAAATACAAAAAATTAGCTGGGTGTGGTGGTGGGCGCCTGTAGTCCCAGCTACTCGGGAGGCTGAGGCAGGAGAATGGTATGAACCCGGGAGGCGGAGCTTGCAGTGAGCCAAGATGATGCCACTGCACTCCAGCCTGGGCAACAGAGCGAGACTCCGTCTCAAAAAAAAAAAAAGGAAAAAATGTAAAAACCTGCCCGAAGCTTCATGGTTGAAATGGCATATGCCTAAGGAGGTACAGAAAATCTGAAATGCTTCCAAAGGGGGTGGAGCAAGAGTAGGAGATAAACTCTCACCTTCCATGGTAAAAAGTCAAACAATGTCTAAATGTTTTTAATTTGTCTTTTTTTTTTTTTTTTTTTTTTTTGAGACAAGAGTCTCACTCTGTCACTCAGGCTGGAATGCAGTGGTGCCATCTCGGCTCACTGCAACCTCTGCCCCCTGGGTTCAACTGATTCTCCTGCCTCAGCCTCCCGAGTAGCTGAGATTACAGGCACCCGCCACCACATCCAGCTAATTTTTGTATTTTTAGTAGAGACAGGGTTTCACCATGTTGGCCAGGCTGGTCTCGAACTCCTGACGTCCAGTGATCTGCCTGTCTAGGCCTCCCAAAGTGCTGGGATTACAAGTGTGAGCCACCACACCTGTCCTAAATGTTTTTAATTTAAAAACTAATATAAACATTATTTTGAAATATAAAAATAAAATTTTTTAAAAAGCAAAAGCACTGAGGTTGGCTGCCTCCAGGGAATAGGGAGTGAGTGGGAAACACTGAACCAAGGGCAGTCAATTTTTTTGTTAAAAGTCCTATAGTATCCCTGGACTTTTAAAGCCATGTTCATCCTTAAATTTTATCTGGTTTTCTTTCAAAACAACATATATGCAACTTTTATTTACATACAAAAATAGGCAGGTGAGAAATGCTAATAAAATTACTCCAGGGCGAGCCTGGTTTCTCACACCTGTAATCCCAGCACATTGGGAAGACACAGCGGGAGGATAGCTTGAGGCCAGGAGTTTGAGACCAGCCTGAGCAACATAGTGAGACCTCATCTCTACAAAAAATTACAAAATTAGTCAGGCATGGTGGTGCATGCCCGTAGTTTTAGTTACTCAGAAGGCTGAGGCAGGAGGATCACTTGAATCCAGGAGTTCGTGACTACAGTGAGCTATGACAGTATCACTGCACTCCATCCTGTGCAATAGAGTGAGGCTGTCTCTAAAAATGTAAATGAATAATAATAAATAATTATTCCAAAAGCTTTTCCACTAAAGTGTCAAGAAGTGCTAGAATCTACTTACCAGAAGTCATCTGAAGACGGCTCTCTTGCCAATTCTGGGAAGTGACTGCCAGAGAAACGGAAAACAGAGTGGTCACAAAACTGTGATCAAAAGACAGACATTCTGATCAAAACTGATCTAATTCTTAGATTAGATATACAAACTTACAGATTCTCAGGGACTTCTTACCAAGTTAATATTTGCAGAAATAAACCACTTTTTTTGTTGCTGTTTTTCTGTTTTTGTTTTTGTTTTGAGACAGAGTCTCACTCTGTCACCCAGGCTAGAGTGCAGTGGAGCAATTCCGGCTCACTGCAACCTCTGCCTCCCAAGTTCAAGCGATTCTCCTGCCTCAGCCTCCTGAGTAGCTGGGATTACAGGCACATGCCACAATGCCCAGCTAATTTTGTATGTTTAGTAGTGACAAGGTTTCATCATGTTAGCCAGGCTGATCTCGAACTCCCAACCTCAGGCAATCCACCTGCCTCGGCCTCCCAAAGTGCTGGGATTACAGGTGTGAGCCACTGCACCCAGTCAGAAATAAACCATGTTTTAACTGTTCAGAGTTTAATTTGGGATCCATTCAGTTACAAACACATTCCATAGTAACTACTTTATCCTTTCAAAACATCAGAAAGTCAAGATATTTGACTAAGTAGCTAAAAATAAACTTATTTTCTTGAAAGAATACAAGTAAATTTTCAGTAAATGATAAACACACTGACCCATAGGTTACTCCGGCAATGCTGCACTTCTTAAAGTTCATGATATTGCATGTAAGCGTTCCAGTCTTGTCAGAAAAGAGATATTTCACCTAAACCAAAGAATAAAAGAAATATACATCAGGAAGTATTGAGATGCAAAGATCAACAAATGAAGTCTTTCCTTCTATATTTTTCAAAACCTGTATGAAACGGGTAGATTTCCCTAAAGCAAGCAAATTAGTAACAAAAAATATATTAATATTTTAATGCTTAGACCACTTACAAACCTTCTTCCATAACTAATTATATAATCAAAGTGTACCGAAATATGCAGAGGGAGTTGCAATAAGAGCTCTGACTGAATGATGTGCTACTGAATGATATGCACCATCATTCTACACGTAACATTTGAGAAATTATGTCATGGATTAGTGAGGGAGAGTAATTAACAGAATTGCCTCCAGAGGAAACTCCAGTTTCTCAGTGGTCTTCCAAAAAGGCGTCAGGACTTGCTGAGTGCTAGATACCTTCCAGAGATCCCAGAGAACTGGTCTAGGGAAGCAGTGTTTTACTGTTGTATAGAAGAGGGACTGATTACATGAATTGCTTACTCAGTAATTTTTCTTAATGATACAATATAAACATACACTGGGAAGTTTTTTGAAAACAATCAAAGGGACTTCAAGTTATTAAAGCTCCTAAAGAAGTCAAATACTACATCTACATATAATACTCGTACCTTAGGGCTAATTTATACTTTAAACAAGTTTTTACATGCAGTAAGTCTAGGGGTATGGAAAATTTAGTAGAATCTGCCTTTAAGTAAGCAGGATTCTTTCTGCATTTTTAAGAAAATTAAAATATCATATAAAAAAACTAAAGGCCAGGTGCAGAGGCTCACACCTGTAATCCCAGCACTTTGGAAGGCCAAGGCGGGTGGATCACCTGAGGTCAGGAGTTTGAGACCAGCCTGGCCAACATGGCAAAACATCAACTAAAAATACAAAACAAATTAGCCAGGCATGGTGGCAGGTGCCTGCAATCCCAGCTACTCAGGAGGTTGAGGCAGAAGAATCGCTTGAACCCAGGAGGCAGAGGTTGCAGTGAGCCGAGATCGCACCATTGCAATCCAGCCTGGGTGACAAGAGTGAAACTTCATCTCAAAAAAAAAAAAATTTTTAATGAACATTTTATAATAAGGGCTTATTAAGATTTGCTATCACTTTGCCTACTAAATTTTAACTTATCCTTAAAGTTCCAACTCAAAATTTCTTCCTCATGCAAACTTTCCCCATATCCTCAATTAGGATGAACTACTGAAGCATCCATGGGTACTTCTTGAACACTTTCAATCCTTAAATTATTCAGGTCCAGTTCAATGACACCTGCAAACAATTATATACTGCACACTGTGCTAAACTAACAAAGGCAACCAAAGACCTGTATAGGGCACACCCACGCCCTCACAAAGTCTCCAGAGAGAAATGGACACTACATCACTCATACCCCTTATTTTACTGTATTTATGTTTGGAAGACTGTTATGGGAACATAGAAGACAGACTAACCAAGCCCGGAAAACTGGAGAAGAGTTCAAAGAGAAGGCAAATTTAGCCTGATATGCACCAAGAACTCACTGATTCTTACAGGAGAAGGATTTTACCAACAGATAAAGGAAATGACAAAGCCATTCTAGAATGAGAGAACATAAGCCAAAAAAAAGAAAAAAAAATGAGGATTGACAGCCCAAGGTCCAAGGCCTGCTCTGGGTGCTGTATTCAGCCCTTTGTGACCAGAGCCCCAAAGGCAATGGGAGGATTTGTGCTCTGTGCCAAGGACATTCTCTGTAATAACAATCCATCCTGTTATACTAAGAATTTAGAGCACTTATATGAATATACACAATTTAAGGAAAGATAAAGACAAAAATTAAGTAGGTTTGGAAAATTATATCAAAGAAACACAATCACTTGCTTTTTTTTGTCTACAAAGGTCTATTTTAGTCTACAAATTTGAACCTCAGTTTTCTGGCAATAAACTCAAAAATGATACACAAACCATCACAGAATTCACTCTATCCTCGAGGAAAGAAAAATGAAGAAAGCAAGCCTACCTCCATAAGGGAGTTTTTCTAACCCTCAGATCAATGAGCCATGTCGCCTGCATTTTCACAGAGGGATAATGAGGAGCAGGGGAGATGCAACATGGTAGTATTCCTTCACCAGGCAGGGAAGCTTGGAACAGCCAGATCTCGACAGACAACCCGAAGTCCCCAATCTGACACTGAATAACCAGGTGTCCTTCGATAAGTTACTCCTTTCCTTCTCTATAAAATGAAGGTACAGCACCCTCCCCTTAGGGTTCCTGGTGGGTTTGAATAAGGTGTATGAAATGAAGTCAAAATCTTTAATGGCAAAAGGCATTCAAAAGAGGTTAGTCCTCAAAAATCAACAAGTAGGACCTAATTAAACTAAAGAGCTTCTGGACAACAAAAGAAACTACCAACAGAGTAAACAGACAACCTACAGAATGGGAGAAAATATTTGCAAATTATACATCCGACAAAGGTCTAATATCCAGAATCTATAAGCAACTTAAACAACTGAACAAGCAAAAACCAAACAACCCCATTAAAAAAATGAGCAAAAGACATGAACAGACATTCTCCAAAGAAACATGCAAGTGGCCAAAAAACATATGAAACAATGCTCCACATCACTAATCATCAGAGGAGTGCAAATCAAAACCACAATGAGATACCATCTCACACCAGTCAGAATGGTTATCATTAAAAAGTCAAAAAACAACAGATGCTGGCAATGCTGCACAGAAAAGGGAACACTTATCCACTATTGGTGGGAGTATACATTAGTTCAGCCACTGTGGAAAGCAGTATGAAGATTTCTCAAAGAACTTAATACAGAACTACCATTTGACCTAGCAATCCCATTACTGGGTATATATCCAAAAGAACACAAATGGTTCTAACAAAAAGACATGCAGCATCTTTATCACAGCACTATTCACAATAGCAAAGACATGGACTCAACCTAGATGCCCATCAACAGTGGATTGGATAAAGAAAATGTGGTACATATACACCATGGAATACATAGCCAGAAAAAAAATGAAATCATGTTCTTTGCAGCAACATGCATGGAGCTGGAGGCCATTATCTTAAGAGAATTAATGCAAGAACAGAAAGCCAAATACCACATATTCTCACTTATTAAGTGGGAGCTAAACATTGCATACTCAAGGACATAAATATGGGAACAAGAGACACTGGGGACTACTAGATGGGGTTGGGGAAAAGCGTTGAAAAACTGTTGGGTACTATGCTCAGGTACATGAGTGATGGGATCATTCATATTCCAAACCTCAGCACCACATAATATACCCACAAAACAGACCTGCACATTTACCCCCGAATCTAAAATAAATATTGAAAAAATAAATTAAATTAAATTAAACATTTAAAAAGAGGTTATTCCTTACAGGAATGTCAATGTCAGACACAGACATAATGCAAAGCCCAACTTAGTAAAGGCAAGAGGAGTTCAGGGGTAAAGGTGGAAAAGATACTGTTCCCTAGAATATTCCAGAGACAAAATTCGGAACATGCGAGAAATGCATGTCCTTTAAATTGGCCCCCACACGTTTTGTAGGGTTACTCAATATCTAAGTATCTCAGCCATCGTTTTCCCCGTTATTTGCTTCTGATAACACTTTTTTAAGCGTCCCAAATGATGTTGCACTGTATTTTTTATATTACTTCTTTTTTTTTTCTGGTTACTTCTGGGTGATACGACATAGCTGTGTCTCAAAAAGCAAGACAAAACTGAGTAACGCTTATATTTACTGGCACATTCAAAAGTATTATATAGCTCTTCAGATGTTCTAGCCATGTTCATGGAGAAGTATTTTTGCAAAATCTTTCCATGGTTCTTCTGCTAACACTCATTTTCCCTCATGCTCGTGTCACCATTCCCAAAGTTCCCAGAGGCTTTTTCACCTGCCCAAGCTCTTCATTAAGGTTTGATGTCCTGGCCATGGCAGGAGTGTCATTTCCTATATAATACATATCTGTGTCCTGAGAGAGAGAGAACAAGAGACAGGATTTCAGAAAATATATACCATTAATTCTTCATTCAGATTAACACAGAAAAGAAGCTAAGAATGGGTAATCTAAAACCCTTTTATTTTAATAGAAATGCTGATTTTGGCTGGGCGCAGTGGCTCATGCCTGTAATCCCACCACTTTGGGAGGCCGAAGTGGCCAGATCACTTGAAGTCAGGAGTTCGAGACCAGCCTGGCCAACATGGTGAAACCCTGTCTTTACTCAAAATACAAAAATTAGCCAGGCATGGTGGTGCATGTCTGTAATCCCAGCTACTCAGGGAGGCTGACGCATGAGAATCGCTTGAACCCAAGAGATGGAAGTTGCAGTGAGCTAAGATCACACCACTTTACTCCAGCCTGGGTGACAGCACAAGACTTCATCTAAAAAAGAAATACACACACACACACACACACACACACACACACACACATACACACACACACACACATGATTTATATTTATATAGATATGATTTGATTTCAAAATAATCATTTCACAACCTAGACTAACTCATGATTCTCACCTTGCTGACGGGATTGCTGTGAAGATCAAATAAAAATGCACATCAAAGTGCCTGGTCTACAAATACTGGCTGCTAAAGTCCACTACTTAAGAGCCATGGCAGTCCTTTAAATATCTTATCTCCACCCTTACAATCAAATCCAAGTTGACTATCACAATGAATTTTGATATGCGAGTGACCACTATAGTAAACACACCCAAGAGGCCTTTTCTTCAGCCTTAATTAGATGTTAAAAGCGTGAATAGCAGGTGCAGCCAGATGACAGGCACTGGCTCAGCATTCCACCCCATTCTCTGACCAATCCTCACAACAACGCCTTGAATAGGTACCACTGCCCTTCCATTCCCCAAAAACACCCTCACTGGTGATCCCTGGCCAGTTCTTTGTATGGCCAGTTTAAGCCCCTGGACCTAATGGTAAATGAATATAGTTCTTCTTTTTTGAGTGCTCAATTAAATGCCAAAGGCTCTGAAATAGCATTGGAAAATAGTGATTCAACTCTGCTTTAATACTCACCCAGTTTATGAAAAGGGCTTGAGTATACTTCACAACCTCAAGAGTCACCAACAGACTGATGGGAATAAGATTGTTGTATAAGATGATGAACGTCAGTAGGTTGTATCCAAAATTATCTGAGGTGGTGTCTGTGGAAGGAAACCAGAGTATCTGAAAGGTGTTCACAACCAAAGTCTATTGGCTCATTTAGAGATTCATGTTAAAATAGTTATTGAGCACCTCCTGCATGTCAGGAACCGTGAGTTCAAAGGCTGCTTTCTGTAGGAGGCACACAGGCCCCACAATGCGACTGCACAGCAGGATGCATCCGCTAAAGAGAGGCTCACAGGACGTAGCGGGAACCAACACAGAAGGCTTTCTAATGGGAAGGCATGGTCACTGAAGGCCATCCAGAAGAAGAAATGCTGCTTTCAAGTTTTGAAGAACAGAGAAAAGAAGCAAACTTGAAAGAATGTAGAAAAGAAGACAGGCCTTTGAAATGGTTGTAAGGAACACCTACAAGCTCACTAAGGTACGTGTATATTGGGGATACTCCAAAGAGCTGGAAAGATGGACAAAAGTGTGAACAAGAGAAGCAGACAAAGAGAGAGAAGGCTTGAGCCCAGCTAAAGATAAGAGAAGGGATATCTGGACGGAACAAGTTCCCTAAGGATGGAACAGGACCCTAGGGGATGGAGTCCACAGCAGAGGCAGCATCAGCTCCAGGAGGAACAGAGAATGGGGGAGGGAGAGGGGGACAAGGTCTGGGGGTATCAAAGGGAAAGTTCTTTCCTTGACAGCCATGATCTTCTGCTTGAAGGGTAAAGTAGTGAGATCTTCTTAACTTAGCAAGAGGCTTAAGGAGAAGGTTGCAACAGCGTTTAACTGATATTAAAGCTGTGAAGGGAACTAGAATGAGAATAAAGATAGCAGAAGGCTGGGATTGGAGGGAGACTGATAATTTGTAATGGCTCCAAACCATAGTTACTAGGTTTTTTCCCAGGAAATTACATCAAATGGTGGTAGTCTGATTCCAATTTAGAGTTTTGAAGCGTGGCTGTGATGGAAAGACAAGGAGCTGGGAAGGTACAGGGGGAGCAGGCATATGCTGGCCAGTAATTTTACCTTTCCACAATCCCTTCACTTCCTACTCACTACCAACCCTTCCACTTTTCCTGCTGGTTGCTTTTCTTCCTGACATATTACTTTGCTCTCTTGTTCTCCTGTAGAATTAAGGAGTTTCTAAATAGGATCTCTAAGTTCCAATAGTTACAAATATCTGTAAGGTATAAACAAATATCTACCTGACAATTACAAATACAAGAAATACTAAAGAAGTTCTCCAGGATGAAAGAAATACCAGACAGTAATTAAAATCCACAAAAACAAAGGACACTAGTAATGATAATTCTACAGGATTTATAAAAGATAGTATAATTATATATTCCCAATTTTAAAAAAGCAATTGCTAAAAGCATCATAAAATTGCATTGTTGAACTTATATACAGATGTAATATATATGACAGTGCAAAGGAGTGAGGAGAGAATGAAGATACATGAAGCAAAGAAATGACACCAGCTGTTAAATCCAAAGGAAGAAATGAAGAGCGAGACCTGGAAATGGTAAGTAAATATGTTAATATAAAACAACCCTGGCCAGGCGTGGTGACTCACACCTGTAATCCCAGCACTTCAGGAGGCCGAGGCGGGTAGATTGCCTGAGGTCAGGAGTTCGAGGCTAGCCTGTCCAACATGGTGAAATCCCGTCTCTACTAAATATACAAAAATTAGCCAGGCATGTTAGCACATACCTGTAGTCCCAGCTACTCAGGAGGCTGAGGCAGGAGAATTGCTTGAACCCAGGAGGTGGAGGGTGCAGTGAGCCGAGATCACACCACTGCACTCCAGCCTGGGCGACAGAGCAAGACTCCGTCTCAAAACAACAACAACAAAAAACACTATCAATATACTTTTTTTCTTTTTTCCTTTAGCTTCTTTAAGAGACACAAATTATTATAACACTATTTTGGAGTTGACAACACAGATAAATGGAATATAACAATGACAGCACCAAGCAGGAGAGGAAATGGAGGTACGCTGGAGTGACATTTCTGTGTTTGACTAGAATTGTTAGTATTAATCAAAAGTAGATTTGGATAAATTGGGAAATACATTGTAATTCCTAGGGCAACCACTAAGAAAATACTTTAACACAGAGTTTAAAAATAACCATTTGAGTATAAGACAAGTCCCAAATGTGCCCATCTTCATTTCATCACATGATCCTAATCTCAATTCTCCTTGAAAGGCTGGCATTATGTACAGTAACCAAAGGGAACAGAAGGACAGCAGGGACACCACACTTCAACCATGGCTGCAAGAACATCTCAAAAATGGTTTTCTTCCACTGGAACAAGCAACCCACCCCGACACTTACCCATCTTCTTGATGTACCAGTTCTTTTCACCATGAGACCTGTTCCAGTACAGGGCCCCCGCCGAGCTCACCAAGGCCATGACCAAGAGGATGCCAAACAACACCAGGATCTGCACGTTAGTCACCTTCTCAACATTTGATCTCTTGAGAGGCGCTTTGGTTGAATTCTACACAACAGCATTGAAAGTCAGTAAGGGTCACAGAACAGATTTGGGGCAAGGGGTTGGGGGAAAGGAGGTAAAACAACCATATTTAACAACCAACAAGTAAAAGACTATTTTTTTGCCAAATAATCAATGCAATTCAAAAGTGTACCATGCTCCTGAATCAATAGCTAGTTTTAAGTAATGAAGAAAGACAACATACTCTACCAGTTTAAAGAACACATTCCAACATTACATGATTCATTCTGTACTTCTTATGATTATATCTTAGCATATAATTGTCACTTTCCTTATCTTAGAACACAACAGGTTCTAAATATAGTCCAGTTTCAAAGAAATCAGAACACTGGTAATTCAAGAGAAACTTAGACATTCCATACCATAAAAATCTAGAGAAGACCTTCACGATAATAGCACAGCTCTGCAATAAATACACAGAGATATTTCTAAAGCACATATTTTTCCTCCCGGAGCTCAGAATTTGAGGAATAAAAAAGACATACACAAACACATACATATCAATAATGCAAAACAGAACATTAGAGGGTTTCAAAATAAGTGGATGGACAAAAAGTTCACTTGGAGAACTGGGAACAAGAAGCAGGACCAAGAAGAGTCAGGAAGGGCCTGGACAGGAGAAAGCTGAGTGGCATCCTGAATGATGTAGACAGCAAAGGAGAAACGGAAGGAGAATGGCAACCTTATCACAGGCTTAGCACCTGCCTTCTCACTGCTGGGGGGAAACCAGCCCAGGTGGAGCTGAGGCCAGTGTTGGCAGGAGAGTATAGAAAGATTCATTAAGGCTAGATTCAAGAATCACTCCAGTTCAGGTGGAACATTTGGGACTAGATCCTCTCAGCCATGGGAAAGTCAACACAACTGTTTGAGAAAGACAGTTATGCACCTGAAGTCATTTTATTAAAAAATATCTGAAGGTACTTATGGTGGGCAAACTAATGACCACCCCCTCCTCCACCAGTAATGCCCACATCCTACTTGTGGGGCACTGCGAGTATGTTATTTTATTTTATTTTTTGAGATGGAGTCTCACTCTCTCACCCAGGCTGGAGTCCAGTGGTGTGACCTCAGCTCACTGCAACCTCCGCCTCCTGGGTTCAAGCAATTCTTGTGCCTCGCCTCCCAAGTAGCTGGGACTACAGGCGCCCACCATCACGCCCGACTAATTTTTTGTATTTTTAGTAGAGATGGGGTTTCACCATATTGGCCAGGCTGGTGTCGAACTCCTGACCTCAGGTGATCCACCCTCCTCGGCCTCCCCAAGTGCTGGGATTACAGGCATGAGCCACCATGCCTGACCTGAGTGTGCTATTTTATACAGCAAAAGGGACTTTGCGGATGGGATTAAATTAAATTAACAACTGTGAGACAGGGAGAGATTATTCTGGATTACCCAAGTGGACCCAATCTAACCACAAGGGTCATCAAAAGGGAGAAGCTTTCTGAATTGTGCTCAAAGGGAGAGGTGGAGACAGAGAAATGATCAGAGAGAGTCCCCTCTGAAGCCTGCAGAAAAGAGCAGCCAACATCTCGGGTTTTAGCACAGGGAGTCTACTACTCATAGTAGACTTCTCACCTATAGAACTGCAGCACAATAACTCATGTTTTTTTAAGTCACTAAAACTGTGGAAATCTGTCACAGCAGCCAGAGGAAACCAGTACAGTAATAACAGCAGGTTGGGGAAGGAGACACTGAAGAGAGGAAAGCCACAGGGGAATTATTTATAATCCATTCCTGGGGGTGAAATAATTCCTGACTTAAATCAGAAGTCAGGAATTGGACAGGGAGAGGCTCACACAGGAGTGTCAGCCTGCAGGTCTCCTTCCATGAATCATGGGCCCAGGCTTTTTTTTTTTTTTTTTGAGACAGAGTCTCACCGTGTTGCCCAGGCTGGAGTGCAGTGGTGCGATCTCGGCTCACTGCAACCTCTGCCTCCCCGGTTCAAGTGATTCTCCTGCCTCAACCTCCCAAGTAGCTGGGATTACAAGTGTGCGCCACCATGCCCGACTAATTTTTTTGTATTTTTAGTAGAAATGGGGTTTCACCATGTTAGCCAGGATGGTCTCAATCTCCTGACCTTGTCATCTGCCCGTCTTGGCCTCCCAAAGTGGTGGGATTACAGGCATGAGCCACCGCGCCCGGCCGGGCCCGGACTTTTAAGAGACAACACCAATTTGCCAAGTTTGGATAATCTGAGAGTTTGTAAGGCACTAACCATAAAAATGGTACCTTGTGCCAAACTTAAGTCAGCATTCTCCTTCACTAGTCTCCATTGATCTGATCATTAAAAGAGCTAGGATGAAAATGTCTCCAAAGATAAGAATACAAATAAAGTCACAATGTGAAAATAAAACTGAGATGAAAACATGAGGCAATTCACTCCTAAGCTCCAAGAAAAATTTATACCACATCACTGAAATTGTTATTTGAATTCTATTGGCAAACCAAAAATACTATCTCCCCACAGTTTTCTTTGGGGGCAGAGGAGTTGGGGGATTGTACTGGTGATTTTGAAAAGCTAAGTCCTTTAAATATCTAAACAACACAGCAGCTTTTTCCTTTATTTCTATTTTTTCCCTTTTACTTTATTTGTCTAAATTATTCATCCTTTACGGACTTAAAAATCCTCAGGAGTCTAAATGGAAATCCATTAGTAAAGGCCAACTTATCATCAATCAAATACTGTATCAAGGTCAACTGAGACGACACATCCAGGTCTGGCCTCAACGTAAGGGCCAGCAGGCCAGGTCCAGGACTGGTCATCCTAACTCTTAAAAACTAAGCAAGATCTCATCATTCTTAATAAATATTCACTAAATGTACAGGCAGGAAAAAAATTATCATAAACCTCATTTCTATACCCCATTTATTATTGACTTTTTATCTTTTTCAGTGGCTGAATTCTGGCCAATTAGGAGGATTAGAAAACTTTATCTTTCATCTAACAGAAGAGGAACAATCCCAAAACTTCAAGCTTCAACATGTGCACTTTGTGGAAAGCCAACCTTGGCCTACTGACTCCCACCCCCTGAACATTTTTACTTGCAATGATCAATGATGGGTTTTCTTTTGTTTTGTTTGTTTGTTTGTTTTTTGGAGACAGAGTCTTACTCTGTCACCTGGGCTGGAGTGCAGTGGCGTGATCATGGATCACTGCAACCTCTGCCTCCCAGGTTCAAGCGATTCTTCTGCCTCAGCCTCCATAGTAGCTGGAACCACAGGTGCATACCACCACGCCCAGCTAATTTTTTGTATTTTTAGTAGAGACAGGGGTCTCACCATGTTGCCCAGGGTGGTCTTGAACTCCTGAGGTCAGGCAATCTGCCCACCTCCGCCTCCCAATGTGCTAGGATTACAGGTGTGAGCCACCGCACCTGGCCCAATGATGAGCTTTTAATGTTAAATTCCTACAAGTATTATAAATTCTTCCATAAAATTCTTGAAGAACCCAGCTACTTCAGTGTAACGGACTTATAAATAGAAACAGGTCAAAATGTCAGATTTTGAAAAGCTGAAATCAGACCTGTATCTTAGATATTTTATTCCCTCCTGAGAAACAGGCCATTGAATTCTAGTTAGAAAAGCTGTCCCCAACCTTTTTGGCACCAGGTACTGGTTTCGTGGAAGACAATTTTTCCACAGACTTGGGTGGGGATGGTTTTGGGGTGACTCAAGTGCATTACATTTATTGTGTACTTTAATTCTATTACTCTTACATTGTAGTGTGTAGTGAAATAATTATACAACTCACCATAATGTAGAATCAGTGGGAGCCCTGAGCTTGTCTTCCTGCAACTAGACAGTCCCATCTGCAGGTGATGGGAGACAGTGACAGATCACTGGGCATTAGATTCTCATAAGGAATGAGCAACCTAGATCCCTTGTATGCGCAGTTCACAACAGAGTTCACGCTCCTATGAGAATCTAATGCCACCGCTGATTGACAGGAGGCAGAGCTCAGGCAGTAATGTGAGGGATGGGGAGCTGCTGTAAATACAGATGAAGCTTCACTAGCTTGCTTGCCACTCTCCTCCTGCTGTAGGGCCTGGTTCTTCACAGCCACAGACTGGTACCAGTCTGTGGCTTGGGGCTTGGGGACTCCTGGGTTACACTGACTCTGGAGTTTGACTGCTTGTGTTTTGTTTATTTTATTTGTTTATTTTTTATTTTTATTTATTTATTTATTTATTTCGAGACGGAGCCTGGCTCTGTCACCCAGGCTGGAGGGCAGCAGCACAATCTTGGCTCGCTGCAACCTCTGCCTCCTGGGTTCAGGCAATTCTCCTGCCTCAGCCTCCTGAGTAGCTGGGATTACAGGCATGCACCACCATGCCCAGCTAATTTTTGTATTTTTAGTAGAGATGGGGTTTCACCATGTTGGCCAGGCTGGTCTCGAACTCCTGACCTCAAGTGATCCACCCGCCTCAGCCTCCCAAAGTGCTGGGATTGCAGGCGTGAGCCACTGCCCCCGGCCAGACTGCCTGTGTTTTGAATCCTACTAGTTTTGTAAGCTTGGGTTACTAGGAGACTCTATGCTGCAAGCCTCCTCATCTGTAAAATGAGCACATACTACCTAGCCATTGTGAGGAATAAATGAATTGATATATGTGCATCACTCAAAATAGTGCATGATTTGTTGTAATTATGTTCGCTGTAATTAGTGTGATAATCGCTCTTTTTCCCATTAAATCAACTAATAGAAATTATAGACATAAATATTTCTACATGTAAGTAAACTAAACATGAACTGAAGGAAACTTGAAGGGCAAAAGGCATTGAGGTGAGAGACTTCAAAAAAAAAAAAAAAGGTAGAAGAACCCGACAGCAATTGAGTTTCCTCTCTGTGGTCAAGTAGCACAAGCACAGACAAACAATGTTATTTCACAAACAGGATGGCTTCCAGCTATGTGTGTTATATTCCTTTTGAAAGCTCATTATTTTTACCTGTTGTTTCAGCCCTAAAGGCACAGCAGGTCTAGCACAGATGTTTCTGGGGTTTTCCATCATTCTATACATGAGCAGTCAACATGCAAGAAGCCTTGCAAAGAGGTTTCTCACACCTAGGGACAAGGAAAAGTGCCTCTCACACTCACAAAATGCAAACTCAGTGCATGCCTTACTCACTGAAGAGAAGACTGGAGCGTTTTAAAAGATAGTTTAATTAACTCATGTAATATTGGTTTTCTAGAGCAAAAGCTATATTACCAATGTATGCTCTAGAAAAACCATATTACAATCTGTTAAAAAAAAAACCCAGTGTATAAGAAATATTGGAAAGTGCTTAAATTTATAATATGCACAATCTTAAAACTAGCTTTGGGGCCTTGACCAAATGTGAGCTAGCTACCCATGATCTGTCTGCCACTTCATCATAAAAAACAGAAGTAGGCTGGGAACTGTGGCTCATGCCTGTAATCCCAACACTTTGGGAAGCCAAGGTGGGTGGATCGCTTGAGTTCAGAAGTTCAAGACCAGCCTGGGCAACATGGTGAAATCCCGTCTCTACAAAAAATACAAAAATTAGCCGGGCATGGTGGTGTGTGCCTACAGTCCCAGCTACTCAGTAGGCTGAGGTGGGAGGATGGCTTGAGCCTGGGAGGCTGAGGTTGCAGTGAGCCAAGATCGCGCCACCACACTCCAGCCTGGGCAACAAAGCCAGACCCTGTCTCAAAAAACAAACAAACAAACAAAAGCCAGAAGTAGTGATTTGTGGTTAGTGGAGCTCCCAAAGCGTGCAGCAAGGGTTACTGACACTGCACTATGGGAG
This sequence comes from Homo sapiens, assembly GCF_000001405.40. Lineage (NCBI taxonomy): Eukaryota > Metazoa > Chordata > Mammalia > Primates > Hominidae > Homo > Homo sapiens. The sequence continues at coordinate 25,545,554 of NC_000013.11, read as the reverse complement.
TTAAAGGATACTTTCTAGGTAGCAGGGTACTAAACTATTTTTTTTTTTGAAATGGGGTCTCACTATGTCACCCAGGCTGGTCTCAAACTCCTGGTCCCAATGAGCCACCCATCTCAGCCTCCTGAGTTCTTGCATGGCTACAGCACTAAACTATTCATCAAGATAAAGTCTTCATATGCAGGCCGCTCAGAAACAATAAACTTAAAGCATTCCAGTCAGCCCTTGTGAATGGATAAGGACCTAGCAGGGGCGATGGATCAGGCACACTTCAGATACACTAAATAATCCTGATCCACCCAAGAGCTGCCTCTCAGCATTCACCAACTCTTCATTTTTCTAGCTGCCATGGAGCCCTCCCGCCTTGCTTCAACACACAAGCTCTGCAACAGGCCACTGCACCTGGGCCCCTACCCTTCCAGCTCCTGAACTTCCCTCTGTACTCCCACTCCCTCAAGAGCTCTCTCCTCCTTGCCTCACAAGTCAAGGACACGCCTCCCTTGAGTACCCCCAAGCAGACGGTGCGCCAGTAGACATCTGCATCCTTTGGCCTCTGAAGGTAGCATTACTGGATGTATATTCAAGACCTAGTAATACTTCTAGACCTTTATTCCTTGGATGCCATGTTAAAAAAAAAAAAAAAAAAACTCACTCATAAAATTCACGCCATTTGGCTACACTACCTTCTGCCCCTCCCCCGTAGCCAGGCCACACCTCTCAGTTGCTCCCTGTCACTCACAGAAGACTTGACAACTGGCTCATGGCATTCCTTTCTGGCCCAGCTTCATCATTATCGCATCTTCAAAATCACAGCACTGGCCCATCAAATGCCTTAGTCTCTCAGTTCCTTACTTGTCAACATTGAATGGCCTTCAACAGCTCTGCCTTTGTCTTCCTACTCACACGAGTCACTCCCAGGTCTCCCATGCTAGAAACTCTCTACCCCAGAAATACAAAGACAAGATTCTACCCACTGATCAGCCTGTCACTCAGCAACTCCAACAATCCTCTTCAACTTCAGGGAGTCTCTCAACCCTTCTAATCCCATCTCTCCTCCCTGTCTCCAATGTGTTTACTAGCTGCGGTGGCCACCAACGTCTACTGCTTCATCTCCTCTAATACTTACCTCTTTCATCTGACTATCATTTGACCTCAAAGAGGAGACCAACACAACAGTCTCCCTTCCCTAGCTCGATATCTAAAATGTGCTTCTGCCACGGGAATCATTCTTAGCATGTAGTCCACTGGCTTCCAGCCTAGGTTGAATGACCCTCCTATACACACTGACAGCACTTAGTAATGACACACATTCCAGTATCTCTCTCTCTACTTTGTCATTCTATATTACTCCTTAGCCCAACTGGCTCCCCGAGGATAAGCCTGGGCCTTTCACTATTGCACCCATATGGTCTAGCACTAGACTTGGTACGTGGTCACTAAATATTTTTAAATCAAGAAATACAGCCAAATGTGCATTTTAGAAGTTATACAAAAGAACAGACAAGCTGAAAAGCCAATTCTCATTAATAGCCACCATTGGCAAAAATAAGATGCCAAGTGATACCAAACAAATGTAAGAAATGACATACAGGGACACTGATTTCTGTAGAATTTCAAAAGGTGTCTGGCAAAATACATCATAATAGCAATGTGACCTATAAATTCACAAACAGTTTTTTAAAAAACATTAACAGGGAAAAAGAGCAAAATCATTTTAACTTCATTTTTTTCTTCGGTCTATGAAAACTAAACGGTTCAAAAATAACTGATTTTAAAGTCTCTAAAGTTCAGTTAAATAAGGCAATTTGCTATAAAATCCTAATTAATGGGATAAAGAGGAGAAGTAGAAAGAGAAATTTAAAAGTTAGAACTAATTCCCGCTTAAGTCCAGAAGATAAAATAAGTTAGAATTGATTGTTCCCCTAATCCAGAAAACAAAGACCATTTGTAGTTCAGGCATACGGTAACAAATATCAGATAAGAGAACAGAAATCTAGAAAAAGCTACCTAAGAAACTAAAATAAAGGCAGTTCTTTCCAAATTTAGGTTCATAGACAAATTTGAACTTCCTAAATGCAACATCTGCATTTTCCACCTTCTAGTCAATAAAAGCAGAAAGAAAAAAAAGACTGAAATCAGCATAGAAATGTTTTACCTGCATGAGTTTGGTGTCGTGTCCAGTATAAACAACTATGCCAAAGACCCACTGAGTATTTCTAAGCTGTGTACCTCTTAATAAGATCTGGTCAGGCCCAAGGGCAACAAGGCTAAAAATAAAAAACAACAATGATATTTAATGATAGTCTGGAAAATAAGCATGAGTTTTTCCCTTAAACATGAACCCACAATAAATCAAATGTTCCCTTTCCTCCAATTTGAACTACTTCACTGAGAAACACAGACAACAAAGGTTACCATTGGCTTAATCTACCCCAAAAGGACCCACAGAAAGCTTTATTTTACATTCATCACTACAGAAAAAAAATGCTTTTTCTATAAAATGTTGCAGGTAATTATATCTCTCATGATCCTGTTATGAAACTCAATACCCAGAAAGGAAGTTGCTAAAATAACAACCAAAGCTTACTCATTTGTAGTTAAGTATTATTATTGGAAGTATTATTATTATTATTTGTAAAATAAATCTAGTGTATTTTACAGACTATTAGGAAGGAGTAAAATTTTAAAAAGCAGCAACCTATCATATCAATTTTTTTAAGGATGACTTAATGAGTAAATAAAGACCTGAGTGACAATTTAGAAACTCAGAATGGGGAGCCCATAGTATAGCTATGTATGCTAAATGAAACCAAGAAGCAGTCACACTTAGTTGTCATATTTATAATAATTTGGGTTGATTCCTATGATCAGGTCCTTCCAAGCCTTGGGTCGTCAAAATATAAAGGACATTGCAAGAGGCTGGGTTACAGGGTTGGAGGGGGCATTGGCAAGAGGCTCTAGACAAACATGGCCAGAAGGTAGAAACTGCTCTCCAACATCAGAACAAAAGACAACTCCAGAACAACATAACAAATGCCAGAAGAACAAAGATAACAGAATATAGACAGGAGGGCACTGAATATTCTAAAGGAAGAATAAGTGTTCATTTCACTCAACTTTCTAAAAACAAATGAACGCTCCTTAGAAGGTGGTTAGCAAAAAAAAAAAAAAAATACACATACACACATTTCTGTAACAAGTGTATTAGCTTGTATACACCTCAGATAACTCTCCTCTGCTTTTCTGGACAATTTTATGCAGCTAAAACCATTTCTCCTGCCTGGCAGAGAGTAGGCACAGAAAGAATATGCCACATGCTTTGAGCCTCATCTGAGGCCCTTGGGCTCAGGGTTTTTTTCTTAAATCTAAGGAAGGCTTTAAATTAATTGAAAGGGTATGAAATCTCACTGTTTTAAAATATTACAAAACTAGGAAACAAACATATTTTCCAAAGCTCCAGTAATTCTTAGTCACATAGTTTAAAAGACAATGAAGAAAAGGCATATAATACCTTTTCCCATCTAAGTTCAAGTTTCCAGTGAAGTCATAGAGGTGGCGGTTGGGCCCTTCACACTCTATAGTTCCAGATAACTTCATCAGAACTTCACGTGTTTGCATGTCAGCAGTGTGACTCAAACCCTAAAAGATTAAACCAAAAGAGGAAGTCAAACACAATCTTCTGTGCTTAGGGACACCATTCAGCATCCCTATGGTTAATCAAAAGGAAAAATAAGGCATCTCCAGTGCAATAATTTGGGGGGCTAACAAGTCAAACTGTCAGCCCCTCAAGGCAGACTTTTCCAGTAGCTTTTGCCACAACGATCTAATGCAAAAGTGGCAAAAGAATGTAATGAAGCTGAAAGTTAAGATTCCACCACTGTACTAGAAACATCCGTGCATAAGTAATAATTAACATACCCCAGCACCTTACAGCAAGCATAATCTACTAGCTGTACTCTAACACTGGTCATAAAGATAGAATAGAGTAGCCCTCCAATATTTTACATTATCTAGCACTCTTCACTTTTTCTTTAAGAGACAGGGTCTCACTCTGTCCTCCAGGCTGGAGGGCAGTGGTGCAATCATGGTTCACTGAAGGCTCAAAATCCTGAGCTCAAGTGATCCTCCCACCTCAGCCTCCTAAGTAGCTGGGACTACAGGTATGTGCCATCATGCCCAGCTATTTTTTAAGTTTTTTGTAGAGATAGGGTCTTGCTATGTTGCCCAGGCTGTAACTGTTCTTTAAATGGAAAAAAAAAGTCTAAAGCAAATATCTACAGTAGAAAAGAAAGATATATGGATAGAATTGCTGAATTCAACTTTAAGCAGCAAAAGTTTTTTAAGCTTCAAAGTGCTTAAAATTTTTATATGTTAAAGACCATTCTTCATTCTTGGCCAGGTGCAGTATCTCATGCCTGTAATCCCAGCACTTTGGGAGGCCAAAGCAAGCAGATCACTTGAGTTCAGGGGTTCGAGACCAGCCTGGCCAACATGGTGAAACCCCATCTCTACTAAAAAAATATAAAAATTAAGCCAGGTGTAGTAGCATGCACCTGTAGTCCCAGCTACTCGGGAGGCTAAGGTGGGAGAATCGCTTGAACCCGGGAGGCAGAGGTTGTAGTAAGCCGAGGTCGCATCACTGCACTCCAGCCTGGGCAACAGAGCAAGGCTCCATCTCAAAAAAAAAAAAAGAACCAAAAAAGACTATTCTTCATCCTAGAATTAAAATATATGGTAAGAATAGTTTTCTTTAAGGCATGGAAGTTTTTTATCTAATTATATCACCCTCTAGGATTAGAATCTTTATTACAACAATGATGTAAACTGGGGTACCTGGAGCTTTTCTGCTCCATTTGTCCACTAAGCTGTGTCCTTCCCAGCCACTCAGCTTCATCGAGATGTCCCCTCTCTCCAGCATCACAGGCAGAGAACTCAATAAGACGCTATATGAAGGCCTGGCACCCTGCATGACCTAGAGTTTGATGCAGCCTACTTTTTCGAGACACATTCTCTCTCATCATAAATGGCATATTCTTCCCATAGATTCCATTAGGGCTAAGGCATAACCCTTTGTGGCTGAATATTTTATTTCTCTAGAAAAAGATATGTGGGGACCACATTTGCAGTTGTGTCTACCATAACAACACAAGTCATCAGAGGTGACTTTACCTGACGTATTTTAAGGTTCGTCTCCCCATCCAGATTAGCTGTTTCAACATAACACATTGCCTGAGGTTCACTAAGGAGAGAGAAAAAAAGAGCCAAGTTTCATAAGGTCCTTTCCACAAATTCACAGTTTAGAAAATCTCTATTATGGAATCTGTGTCTGCTGATTGGCCCTTCAAAATAAATTGTTATAAATAACCACGATAGTAGGAGTAATGGATGAAAAAGGAAACACACACTCATCTTTGGGACTCAGTACCAGTAGAGAGTCATTTGCCCAGATGATCTGCCTTTGTAAGCCCCACATAATGACTGCTGAGCCTCAAGAAGACAGGAATGAACTGAAGATGAAAGAGAAAGGGAAACATGTGATGTCCCCAGTCAGACCCAACCACTGGGTTCAGGCAATCCTTCAAGTCTGGGGCTGGGCCTGACCAAAAAGGCTGCCCAAGGCATGGCCAGTAGAAACACACATTTTTTGAAGAAAACAACAGCCAGAGGAGTTGAAGGATCGAGGCACAGGCTTGGCAAGGCTTTAATTCTCTGCCATTTTTACATCTCGAGTCCAACTTTTTAATCAAAACACCTAGCATTAAAGATAGAAAACTCGAAAAATAAAAATAAGCATAACAGATATTATAATCCTATTTCTAATCTTTGAGTTTAGCTAGGTTCACACAGTTAGTGATTAACCACCCCTTGACTCTTCCAACTAAAAAACCACTAGTTAAGGTAAAAATCCCCTAGCACTACCTTTATGGGCTATATGGCCTTGGCAAATTGTTTAGTCTCTCCGTATCTCAATCTTGTCATGTACAAAAGAAGGCTATCCAGGGTTATTGGGAAGATTAAGTGGGACAACCTCCTCAACAGGTTGTTCAGCACACAGCACACACTCAGACACTAATAATGAGCATGCTGGAAACATGATGTCAGCTAAAGCAATCTGGTATTAAGACCAAGTTAAAAAAAAAAAACTGGCTGGGCACTGTGGCTCACGCTTGTAACCCCAGCACTTTGAGATGCCAAGGCGGGAGGATTGCTTGAGGCCAGGAGTTCCAGAACAAGCTTGGGCAACATCTACAAAAAATTTTTAAAAATGAGCCTCTACAAAAAAATTTTTAAAAATTAGCCAGGCATGGTGGCATGCACCTGTGGTCCCAGCTACTCAGGAGGCTGAGATGGGAGGATCACTTGAGCCCAGGAGTTTGAACTTACAGTGAGCTATGATTGAGCCACTGCACTCCAGCCTGGGTGACAGAGTAAGACCTTGTCTCCAAAACAAAACAAAACACACACACACACACACACACACACACACACACACACACTAAATTTTCTAAGGTCACAGCCAAGACTTAAAGACTTAAAGCCCGAACTATCAAGTGATCAATATTTTAATATTTCTAACGGTTTCTTTGTTGTCAATCAATATGGACAAACATAAATCCTGCCCTGTGTTATTGGTTCTTTTTCCCCCTCCACAGGCCTGGAGTCCTATTTTTAAATCTATTATCTCAAGCAGAAAATTAATGCTTAGGCTTAAAATCCAATGAGTGATTAACTTCAATACAAGAAACGCTGTCTGCAATCAAAGAAAATGCAAACAGCATGCCGATCTATGATTCCCAACAGTGTATAAATATAGGAAGTTATAGTCCTAACGTCACACAATTTAATCTTGAATTCAAGAATAGATGTCAATTCTTGCCCTAATTTTGGCTTTCTTTCCTAGCTATGTACTTTCATGCACCAAGCCCCAAAAAAGTCAAGAACTGCACTGAGTGATGATTCCTTCCTAGAATAAAACTACCTAGAGAATATGAAAATGATACTTGGACAGAAAAGGGGCAAAACATGGATGGATGAAGAGCAAACACCATCTGCTGGTCACGATTACGCTGAGAAAACACCCACGGTTCTTGAACAGCTATCAATGTGCAGCACTGGGTTCTGCAGGACAGACTGCTGGCAGGGCCCATCAGGAAACAGATTCTGAAATCTCAGATATGCTGCAACCTGACATTAATGAATGGACCACTCCACTGCTCTTGACTCAGTGCCCCTATAAATAAGAAAAAAACCCCAAATAGCCAGGAGACTAAGTGGAGTCAACACACATAAAAGAGTTCAGAAAAAGCACAAAGGAATGAATGTGAGAAAGAAACCAAGGGTCATGGCAGGAGAAGGGAAATGACAAGAAATGGAAGAATGGGACAGAGAGAGGATGGTAGAAGGGAACAGGCTGCTCAAGACTGCCCCAGGTGCTGCTTAATATTTTATTGTTCTTAACATTTATTGCAAAAAAGGTGCCTACTAGCACAGCTAACCTGGATGACAGCAGGACCACATCTGCTGGAAGATACTGCCCATTGACGACCTTCACAATGTCTCCCACTGCCACCTAGAGAGACAGGGATGAGGACAGAGGGGCACGAAAGAAAAGAAACAAAACACACATGGTGAAAAAGGTGCTTAAATATTTGAAGAAAAAATTATTATATAACTAAGCCATGAAGTTTAAGATAGAGAAGCCCAAATTATTTTCCTTGACAAGAACAAAAGGAAAGTGCTTCCATGCAGACACTGGTAATGTTGCCTTTTTTTGCAATGATGTTTAATAAAAAAGGAAAGGGAAAGGGAGAAAAGGGCTAAGTCAGAACAGCTATAAAGATCTCGTTTTCTTACAATTATGCATCCATTTACAAATACTTCAGCATTTCCATAGCTGTATACAGTAGGGTAGAACGGTCACGCACACACCACCAGAGCCAGCCTAAAGCCTGGGCTCAATCCCCACTGCACCCCTGATGAGCTGTGTAATGATGAACAAGTTATATAAACTCTGTGTGCCTCAGTTTCCTCATCTATATAATGAGGATAAAGGCACATATTTCATAGAGTGACTACAAGGATCAACTAAGTTAACACACATAAATTTTTCTCTGTTTTATAAATTTTTCTCTGTTTTACAAATTGAGGTGCAGAAAACAAAATAACTTGATCACAGTAATACAGCCACTGAGTGTTAGAACCAGGATTCAAAACTGGGCAAGCTGCACGGAAGGCCAATGCTCTGATTAAAAGGCAACAGTAAATTCACCCATGAAAAGTGCACCTGAAAGTCCCCCTGGAAATATACCACATAAAATGGAGAAGATTTGTACAGCCTCAAGAAATTCCCAGAAAAAGGATCACGGCCAAAGTCAGAGACCACCTTGGGGAACAGACTCCACTAGACAGAAGATCTCAAGCCAAGGAAAAGGGCTGTAGTCTCCAAAATGGTACCATGGCGAAGTGTCTACCAATCCTTTCAGTAACATCGCAGAAAGCACTAGGGTAGAGAGAACAGGGGCTTTCAAATCAGGCAAGCCTAACTCCAATCCTAGCTTTATAGCCGTGTGCTAGCTTTGTGATCTCCGCAAGCTGCTTCACCTCCCAGCGCCCCAGCGTGTCATGTCTGAAACAGGAAAACAGTGCCACCGGCCTTGTAAGGTGAATGCAGTGACTAAGGAAGTATACACGGCACCTGGCATAAAACAGGTCCATATAAATGTCAGTCTCCATCAGTGGGAGCATAACTGAAAGGACATCATGAGTGTGAAGGTCAAGGACATTAGAATTCTCTGACGATACCAGAAGACCATTACTAGTACAGTAATAGTTGCAAAGCTCAAAGTGGGCATTTATGCTTTCTATTTCCTATTCTAGCCATGTTACTATTCTCTTAGAAACCAGGAATTTCAAGTGATACGAAACTTGTGAAAAACTGCCAGATCTTACAAGCTAGCAGGTGCCCATGTTTAATTTTCTGTTGGGAAAAAGGCAAATTTACTGAAAGGTATCCTATTGGTGCTTTAAGTTGTTTATTAAAGTGTCTGGGGAAAATGCCACAAAGCTGTTTTAACAACCACCAGTACAAAAGCAATGGATGTTATGTCAATTGAAAGTGTTTTTTAAAAGTAAAAAATATTTTGGCCAGGCACAGTGGCTCACGCCTATAATCCCAACACTTTGGGAGGCCGAAGCAGGCAGATCACTTGAGGTCAGGAGTTTAAGACCAGCCTGGCTAACATGGTGAAACCCCCATCTCACTAAAAAAAAAAAAAAAAATTAACCGGGCATGGTGGTGGGCACCTGTAGTCCCAGCTACTTGGGAGGCTGAGGCAGGAGAATCGCTTGAACCCAGGAGGCAGAGGTTGCAGTGAGCCAAGACGGCACCACTGCACTCCAGCCTGAGCAACAGAGCGAGACTCCGTCTAAAAAGAATAAAATAAAATTAAAACGATTTCATATGAATAGTTTAATTACATATAAAAATCAGAAGAAGTAATTAGTAAAGAAAAAACCACTAGACAAGAAAATTTGTCATGTTTTCAAATGAAAAAAGGCAGTGGATTTTTTTAAATTCAAAGTGGGAGGATAAGAGAAATTATGGCTTTCTCTCATCTTTACTCTCTAAATAAACATTCATATTCCAGTAACCAAGTACTAAGAAGTTTTGTGTACATAAGAAATGACTTACTTGGATTTTGCTTGAAAAAAAATTTTTTTTTGGTTGTTTGTTTTCTGTTTTTGAGACAGGGTCTCGCTCTGTCACCCAGGCTAGAGTGCAGTGGTGCGATCAAGGCTCACTGCAACCTCCACCTCCCATGCTCAAGTGATCCTCCCACCTCATCCTCCTGAGTAGCTGGGATTACAGACACGCACCACCACGCCCAGCTGATTTCTGTATTTTTTTGTAGAGATGGGGTTTGACCATGTTGCCCAGGCTGATCTTGAGCTCCTGAGCTAAAGTGATCCAGCTGCCTCAGCCTCCCAAAGTGCTGGGATTGCAGGTGTGAGCATGCCCGGCCTGGAAATGGTTTTAATGTTCTTACATGATTGTTCCTTGTGTGTGCAATACTCCCTCAAAGAATTAGTACACTGGGAACAGAAACCTTCCAGATCCCTGAATCCACTCTAGCCTCAGAGAGTTCCTCAAGTCTCTTAATTTTGAGGAAGTAGCTGAAAGATCCTCTCGAAGTCAATCAAAGCCACTGAGATCCACCTGAGAGCTGCCTCTTGGCGCTCACCCGTGACTCAGCTACAGCCCAGGGGACAGCAGATCTGAGCTTCAGCACTTCAGATTAGATTATTATCATTTTGGGGACCTTAAGGACAGCCAGCTTCCCCTTGCCTGACACCTCTGCCCTCTCCTGTATTCTCATCCTCACATTGAACTACTCACAGTTCCGCAGCTAGTTACCCCTGATTCACCCTTCAAGAGCGCACTAGAGCATCTCTGGAGGGCAGACTTTCCTGATCTGAACCACTGGGTCTAGGTAGGTGGCCCCTCCCAGCTCTTCCCAAAGTGGAAGCTTTCTCCTACACAGAGCTCAGCAACTGCACTGCGTTAGGTTAGTTGCCTCTCTCTCCCAGGACACCGGTGGTTCTTGAGTGTGCTCCCTACACCATCGGCATCAGCCTCAACTAGTAATTTGTTTAAATGTGCAAATTCTAGGGCCCCACCTGAGACCCAGTGAATCAGATAGCCTGGGAGTGGGCCCAGCCATCTGGGTTCCAGCAGCTCTGTGGACGGTGACTGGGATGCCCACTGAAGTTTGAAACTCCTTAAGGGAAGCGCTGAGCTTCATTCTTCCCATGCCTAGTACAATCTCTGGCACATGCCAGGAGCTCCACTGAAATAAACCAAGTAAATACATTTTAAATGGAAATAAAACTGCATGCGGTACAGTACATAACTGGTGTTTCTTTGTTATTGTTGTTTTTCTCCCAAATGAACGATGGAAACAGTCATGAGTTTTAGGAGTCTGCAAAGCTGTCAGCTCCTGGACCACAGAAGACCATCAATTAGAGACCATCACTCCATTTTCTGCTGTTTCAAGTAATGTCAGGCCCTCTGAATCCAAATCATTCTTCACTCTAGCTGATACTGATACCTTTCTGGGGAGGGAGTAACAAGAAGAACCCTAGAGAAATAGAGGGGCAATTTCCCAGTGCTGGGAGAACCCTTGAATTCCTTCAGCATTGGGAGCATCTCTCCCACTTTGAGTCAAGAATTCCCAACCTCCTGACCAAGAACCATGACCTTTCCAAACGTGAGGTTGATGAATGTTTGCAGCATACGACTTCAAGATTGCAGCAAAGGTTAAGGTGTTACTGTAAAACACTATAAAGGAGAAATTTCTTTAAAGGGTGGCGAATTCTCCTAAAACAAAGTAAAGTAAAACGAAAACTAAAGCAAATGCTGCAGTTACCATATCACGGGCATTTTTCAGATATAAAAGACTGTAAGAGGCATTTAAAAACATTGTTTATTAAATGTTTATTTAGCAAGAAGAACCACTTCAAGTTACCCTTCTAAAAAGCTGTTTTCTTTTGAAATCATGTTAATCGGCTTTGAATGCTGGACTAATGAGAGTCATCCCCCAACACATCTTGTGTCCATTAAGAAGGTCCAGCTAAAACACTCATTTAAAAAGCTAATTTTATGAGATATAAAATACCTAGATGGTATGGCAGATTTCTTCTAAATTTTCTACTCATCACCATAAACAACCAAAAAACCACACCATTCTTCAACCCTCTAAACCTCATACTTCCAGGGACGTGGAAGCAAAGCTTTCCTTGCTATTATTAAGAGCAGCTAACTGCTGTGCTAGAACGGAAATGGGGTGGTTTCTTGCCCCCTTTCCACCACTCTGTAGTTAATGACCTTTCCACCCAAAAATGTTTAAAGTGAGAATCACAAATGCTAAAAACAAAAATAAACTTTAACTTAGGTTAAGACAACAGAGGACCAGGGAAAATATTTCTCAAATTGGATTTAGAAACTAGAAAATACTTTGAGATTTCAGAAACGTCACTCAGGAGCGATGAAGTTCATAGCTTGAAGTGACACATTGGGCCCTTACTAGAAGGTGCAAGGGAAGGAGTAAACACGCATCAGGTCTCAGCAGACCTCATGGAAAACTCTACTGTGTCTAACAGAAACTTTATACTGCAATCAAGACCAGCAATTCATTACGCGTCTTCAAACCAATAGTACTGGTACATCTTTAAAATTAGTTTTTACCTCTTTCCACATAATGGTATGCCACATACCATTTCTTAACACTGAAAAAGAGAAAAATAAAATATTGGTTAATACTGGTGTTAAATTGAATCAGCTTCCTAAAATCCAAAAGCTTTCTTTTAGAATTCCATTTATTAATTCTAACATACCCTATCTTTAGCCATGATGGCATAACATCAGCACCCCCACCCTCAAAATGGAACACCAACGTATGGTATGTACCTCTGTAACATATATACATTCATGCATACACATAAATGTTTATGTATGTATGTAAGTTAAATCTACTTATTTTCAGCCCAGAAGAAAAAAAAAGCCTGCTGTTCCACAATTTAAAAAAAACTGAACAGCTGGGCGCAGTGGCTCATACCTGTAATCCTAACACTTTGGGAAGCCAAGGCAGGCAGACTGCTTGAGCCCAGAAGTTTGAGGCTAGCCTGGGCAACACGGTGAAACCCATCTCTACCAAAAATACAAAAATTAGTCGGGGGTGGTGGTGCTTGCCTGTAGTCCCAGCTACTCAAGAGGCTGAGGTGGGAGGATCACCTGAGCCTGGGAGGTCAAAGCTACAGTGAGCCATGATCATGCCACTGTAGTCCAGCCTGGGCAACAGGAGTGAGACCCTGTCTCAAAAAATGAAACAAACAAACAAAAAATTGATGTTGTAGAAATAAAACAATAAAAAGTAGAAGAGGGAAGTAAGGAGAGATTATAAATGAAGGACATGAATGCTTAGACTTTTTATGGACATAAAAACTGTCTAGTTCCTGAAAATTACAACCTTTTCTAACATTCTAAAATACACAAATGCTGTTCAAACTTAATTATCAGGACTAAAATTATGTTCAGTTTGTTTGTTATTTTACTATTTCTTTATTTTATAGATCATCTTCCCAATTTATCTCAATACCATTCACTACTTATTTAAAATTCCTTAAATGCAGGCCTTATTCTTAAGTTTTCCAGTGGAAAAAGTCCTTCAGCCTGGGATCTTACCTATTGTTTTCTTTTTGTTAACTGCATTGTCTGCCTTGTGTCGCTTCTGTTACAGAAAGAAAAAAAATAGTTTAACATTCAAAAGTTCCACATGAATAATTGAAATAGCAAACAAAACAATCAGGAAATTACAGGGGACAAGGAAACTAAATGCCAATAATGCTCATGCTGTAAAATTCAGTTAGACAATTTTGTGATCTATCAGCACTCCCTAAGTTTAGAAGTGGTCTCCTCTAGTTTCAATTATTTTATTTTGGTTCTAGCACTTGGAAGTACAAAACTTTTCACTCCTTGCTTTAGATCAGACTGAAATGATTATTCAGTGTGATAAACCCAGCAACAAACAGCCAACTTCATTTTATTGATAAAGTAACTTTGCTTCGATGTGTACAGGTTGAAGATCCCTTATCTGACATGCTCGGGACTAGAAGTGTTTCATATTTCAGATTGTTTCAGATCCTGGAGTATTTGCATATACCCAATGAGGTGTCTCTGGGATGGGACCCAAGTCTAAACATGAAATTTATTTATGCTTCATATTCACTTTATGCACATAACCTGAAGGTAACTTCATACAGTGTTTATAATAATTTTGTGCAGCCATCACACGAGGTCAGGTGTGGAGTTTTCCACTTGTGGCATCATGTCGGCATGCAAAAGTTTTGGATTTTGAAGCATTTCAGATTTGGGGTTTTTGGATTTAGGGATGCTTAACCTGTATTATATTTATTTACATACCTATTCCCAGAAAGATGCATATATGTTTGTGAAAGCAAGGTGTGTGTGTATGTAAGGGAGGAGAGGAAGATCCAGAGACAGAGAGACAGCACATGCAAACATATATATATAACATATATATAATCATATATATAATCATATATATAATCATATATATATCATATATATAATCATATATATAATCATATATATATCATATATATAACATATATATATCATATATAACATATATATCATATATAACATATATATATCATATATAACATATATATCATATATAACATATATATCATATATAACATATATATCATATATATCATATATATCATATATAACATATATATCATATATAACATATATCATATATAACATATATCATATATAACATATATAACATATATATATCATATAACATATATATCATATATATAACATATATATACACACACACACAAATATATAGGGGGAGACAGAGCAAGAAAGACAGGGAAAAGGAATATAGTTGCTGTAGCCAATGAACTTGGAGGTACACTAGGATGATTGTGAGGGGAGAAGATTCTTGTAAAATTGCCTCAGGCAGAGCGAGACAATGCTGCCATCCTAGACAACACAGCAATCTTTCATTTGCTGCCCAAATTAGCAAGCTCTAAAGCAGGCTATAAGGAACATCAGTGATAAAAATCAATGGGGCTCCAGAGACCTAATATTTGAAAACAAAGTTTGAACTGTTTAGTGTCACTGTACAGGTATTTAGGACACTCTGAGTATACATTAACTCCCCCTAAAAATACCATCAGGTGTCTAAAGAGGCTGGTTAAGCTATAGCCCAATTTCCTGCCTTAAATATATCACCCGAGGCAACACATAAGTTATTATCTACTGCATACAATGATTTTATTATCCAAAAGCAAAAACTTACAAAATCTTCTACAATCTCTTTGATGCCTGCAATTGTTAAAATAATGATCAATGGCACCAGGGTGGTATATCTTCCTGTTGGAGATACATCTGGAATTTGCTGGAAGATAAGAGACCACAAGTAGGAAGTTGGCACATTAAAAATCCTCTCCATGAACAGAAAATTACGGCAGTCACGTACGTTTCACACTTTTGCAGTTCTGTTCCATTTCTGTTACTCAAAAATAATTACCTTACTTTAAAAACTAGCTACGTATTTTACATATTTTTAAAAATTTTATCCAACATTGGTTATGTGTTTGGAACAGAAAAAGGCTTAAAAGTATGGCCCTAAGGCCACTTTTCAATGCCTCTTTCAGTCACTGCAATCATCCTCAAGGCCATACCAAAAGAAATCTCCCTGTATACAAAGTCAGGCTTGTTCACTCTATCAAACAATGACTAGAGGAGGGAAACAAACTATATTCCAAGATTATAACACTTTAGCAGTTAAGGAACCTTTAGCAAAATCTCATTTTACATGTAATTAAGTGAATTCCAAGGAACTGTTAAAAAACCATTACCTGTAATAAGGCAATGAAGAGAAAGAAGGCATTAGCAGCTCTTCTAATCTGCTCATACAAGAATCGAGGTAGAAATGTCAACACGCTGTACTTGGCCGTACTGTAAGTGCAAAGAAAAATAATACTATCAGTTATAGATGTAAACTCTAAAACACAAGAACAGGACAAGAAGTTTAGAAAGTTTTACAAATGGTTTAAAAAAAAATGTTTCAAAACTCAAGACAAGGAAATTGCTGTGTATCTTCTCCTAAAGAGCTTTAGTTTGTAAAATGGCGCCCCTGATGAGAAAATCTTCCAATGTGGTCTTTGTTTTCTACATTGGAAGATATACATGTGCTTCTTTAATTTTCACACAACATAAGCAGAGACATCTACCCACCTTCTAGGAGCTATATGCTATGAACAGCAGGCGTGTGAATAACAATTCGATGTTCCCCTCTGGGTAACCACCACAGATGTTTCATGCTTCAACCACACCCAAATAAATTCCATTCCTTCCACACACCCTTTATTTGATCATGTTTGCTCACACTTTTGCTTCCACCTAGGACATCCTCTCCCTTACACCCTACCTGTCTCTCCATGACCAAAGTATCCTTCCTTCCACCCAATCTTACATCTTTCAGTAAGTCTGGTCAAATTTATAACGACACTCCTCATGCAAGCCTACAGTACAGTGTTTACACCTATATCATATAGGCATAATGCTTTGCTTAGTATTTTATCTATCCCCAGAACAGATTATGGGAACGACAAGAATGTTTACTTCAATTCCATATGTTCCTAGCACATAGCAGATAGTGAGTGAACAGTGAAATAACCCAAAGGCAAAATTAACCAAACCAGCTGTGGCTGCTCACACATTTTATTCAAGTTTGCACCATAAAAGTACCTATATGATTCCTAGCTCACCCTCTGAAGACATCACTCTGAGCCTATTCTTAATTATAATATATTCTAGCAAGATTATCCAGCAGGTTTTCATCATTCTGAGCAAACTATCACAAGGACAGAAAACCAAACACCACATGTTCTCACTCATGGGAGGGAATTGAACAATGAGAACACATGGACACAGGAAGAGGAACATCACACACTGGGGCCTATTGTGGGGTGGGGGAAGTGGGGAGGGATAGCATTAGGAGATACACCTAATATAAATGATGAGTTAATGGGTGCAGCACACCAACATGTGTATGCATATGTATGCATACACATGTTGCATATGTATGCATACACATGTTGCATATGTGTGCATACACATGTTGCATATGTGTGCATACACATGTTGCATATGTGTGCATACACATGTTGCATATGTGTGCATACACATGTTGCATATGTATGCATACACAAGTTGCATATGTATGCATATGTAACAAACCTGCACGTTGTGCACATGTACCCTAGAACTTAAAGTATAATAAATAAAAAAAAGATTATCTAGCAGGTTTTTAATTTACAACAAATTAGAAGCACCCCAATAGAAGGGCGAAGGGCTCAGGAGACAGAATACACCAGAAGCAAAGTACACTACTGTGAGACTGGACAGCAACCAAGCCTGGAACAACAGAGTAAAACCAAAGTGGACTACTCAAAAATATAGCAGCCAGAGGTCATTTGATGGAACAAGAAATAGTCCCACTGCCAATAGTCCCATCTGCCACTGCCTCAGAGAAAATCATGCCCCATGGTACAATGGCCTCGCATTTCACAATACAGTGATCAGAGTTATCCTTAAAGACAAAATCATTTTTAGCAACTTCTACCTAAGGTGCTAAAAATGTATGTGATGTTATATGAAGACCACTTTTTAAAGAGTTAAAACTTAAACAATATGTAACTTGAAAGACTATCCCTGAATTAGCTAGAAATTTGCTGACATGGATCTCCTCCTTGTTTAAGTGGCCCTGTGGCATAACAGGATGTCACTGTGAAATCTGGCCAGAATCAACAGCTGACATTAAGTTCATTAAAAAGTAGGGAAAATACACAAAACTCATGTATGTGATAGCTCACAATACAAAGTCTTCTTAACTATGGCTTAGAGGACAAAATCAAATGGCATATCATGCATACCTCTACAGCAATCCTGACCACTGAAATAAAGCAATCAACATTTGTCAGCAAAAAACAAAAAGAAAGTTCACATACTGTAAAATAAGAGTGTAGAAACTATCTTGCAAGATAGCTTGATTATAACATTTGAACCTGAGATTCCATCTGTATAAACCAGATACACATGCACACAGTTGGCACATTACCCCAGCTATATATGAACATTTTCCACTTGAGCAAAATGCTGACTGTGCTTAAGGACCTACATATCCCTGAGAACCATGAAGATGGAGAGTTGAGGAGGAAAGGAATCTTGCTTGTGGCAAAAAATGAAATATAAGAGGGTAGAAGTGGAGAGGGAAATGCATACTAACTTTTACTCTACTAGAACTAGAAAAACGAGCCCAAATGCTTGCATCCTGAGATAGAGTAAGCATGATCAATAATTCAGAGAAATTAACATTCATCCAGGAAAAGGTTATTGTGTGGCATTAAAATAATTGCCAAAATATATAGCCATTAGCTGTCATGTTACAGAATTAAAGATATAACACTACAAACAGCTAAAGGCAGCACCTATCAAAATGAGTCTACCAGAATATTGCAGGATGGTACTTCTCGAACACACCAGTCTCCTGGAGAGCTTATTAAAATGCAGATTCTGATTCAGTACGTCTGGGGTGGGCCTGAGATTCCACATTTCTAACAAGTTCCCAGGTGAGTTCAATGCTACTGGTACAATGACCACACTTTGAGTAGCAGGGATTTAGGATAATTCCTGAGGAGGTAAATTTGTTCAAACTTCCTATTTGAATTTAATTCAGCAGAGCACTATAAGGTGTAATACAATGAGGTTTCTGGTTCCAAAATGGTGGCGTGGAAGCAAGCTGGCTTCATTCCCCACACAGAAAACAAAAACCAAATTTACAGCACTAAGGTTATCACCACAAATATCCCAAAACTAGAATATGAGGATGAGACAGTTCTCAGTGCCACAGAGAAGTAAAAAAGCTCCAAGTAGATGGTAAGAGAAGGGGACATCCACAGCCAAGACATCCCTCTCCCCAATCTGCCAGCACCAAGCACGTGGAAAATTTCCCCCAACTCTCAGTTTAACACTGGAAAAAGGAAAATCAAGGTGACGGGCAGCTTCCCCATCATCTTGAGTTCCCTGGCAGGATACCTGTTCCTACCTCAACTCACAGGAAGCATGGGGAGTGCTTGAAGGAAGAAATATCCCTGGGGACAGCCAGAGACAAAGTGAGGAGGCAGGACTACTATCCCCAACTCTGGAAACTTTGCTCTATAAGTTGGCCAAAGAGATACCAAATTGCAGTGTCTGCTTAGCAGCACCATGCTGTAGGAGGTTCATCCCACAGGTCCCCTGAGCACAAACCCCTAATTCACCTTCCCACATTGCTAGGCTATCCCCTTTGGCACCATTTCCATTTGGGATGGACAGTGCTCCAATTGTTTATTAGAGTGGAGACAAACCTGGGCTTAAGGCACCATCTAATGCTGAAAAGGAGGCAGTGACCTAATGGGAAAAGAAAGAAATTCAACAGGTAAATTACAATGAATCTCTTAAGCAAATATATCCAATGAAAAGCAAAAGAATCCAGACAGAGAAAACTGAAATAACTAACTAATTCTCCAATGCAAACATATACACATACATTCATAAGTGACAGCAGCAAACAGGGAACCATGACTTCCCTGAACAAACGAAGCAAGGATCCAGTGACTAACCCTAACAAGATGGTGATATGTGAGCTCTCTGAAGAAGAATTCAAAATAGCAGTTTTAAGGGAACTCAGTGATTTTCAAGATAACACAGAAAAGCAACTCAAAAATGTATCAGAGAAATTTCATGAAGAGATTGAAATAGTAATAAAAACAAACAGAAATCTTCAAACTGAGAAATGTATTTGAGGAACTGAAAAACTCATTAGAGGCTGTCAGTAGGAGAATGAATCAAGCAGAAGTAAGAATAAATGAGCTCAAAGACAGGCAATTTGAAAATACACAGAGAAGAAAAAAGAATAAAAAGGAACAAAGATTGTCAACAAGATAAAGGAAATTACCTCAAAAGACAAAGTCTAAGAATCACTGGTGTTCAAGAGGGAGTTAAACAAGAGCAAGGAGTAAAAAGCTTACTCAAAAAAATAACAGAAAACTTTCCAAAACTTGAGAAAGAGATAAACATCCAGGTACAGGAATGTCAGAGAACAACAAACAGATCTGACCCAAATAAGACTTCACCAAGGCATGTAATAATCACATTCTCAAAGACCAAGGACAAAGAGGATCCTAAAAGTAGCAACAGAAAAGAAGAAAATAACGTATAAAGAACCTCCAATTCATCTGGCAACAGACTTATCAATGGAAACCAAACAGGCCAGAAGGGAGTGGAACAAAATTTTCAAAGTGCTAAAAGAAAAAAAATTTCCATCCAAGAATACTGTATCCAGCAAAGCTGTCCCTCAACTATGAAGGAGAAATAAAGGCTTTCCCAGAAAAACAAAAGCTGAGAAAATTTACCATCACCAGATCCATCTTACAAGAAATACTAAAGGAGCTTCTTCAATTTGAAAGAAAAACAAACACTAACATGCAAATAGAAAACATTTGAAGGTATAAAACCCACTAGTAAAATTAAGCATATAGACATACCCAGAATACTCTAATACTGTAATTGTGGTGTGCAATCCACTCATAACTCTAGTATGAAGCCCAAAAGACAAATCTATCAAAAACGAAAACACATACAGAAACCTGCTAAAAAATAGGCAGTATAAATATATCCAAATTGAGGTAACAAAAAAATCAATATGTAGGGGAGATAGAGTTAAAACACAGAGGTTTTTTTAGTTTATTGTTTCTATTCCTTTCTGTGATCTAAGTTAAGTTGTCATCTCTTTAAAAATAACTTGTTATATCTACAAGATGTTTCTGCAAGCCTTGTGATGACCACAGTGCAAAAACCTATAATAGATACACCAAAAATAAAAAGCAACAAATTAAAACCTATTACCTGAGAAAATCACTTAACCACAAAGGAAGATGGAAAAAAGAAAAGAAGGACTGAAAGACGGAAGGAAAGAAGGAAGGAAGGAAGGAAGGAAGGAAGGAAGGAAGGAAGGAAGGAAGGAAGTTATCAAACAATGAGAAAACAAGCAGAAAAATGGCAGTAGTAAGTCCTTACTTATCAATGATAACACTGCATGTAAATGAACTTAATTCTCTAATTAAAAGATATATATAGCTGAATGGATAAAGAAACAAGACTCAGCTATATGCTGCCTACAAGAAACCGATATCACCTATAAAGACACACACAGAATGAAAGAGATGGAAAAAGATATTCCATGCAAGTGAAAACCAAAAAATAGTAGGATTACCTATTCTTATAATACACAAAACGGACTACAAGTCAAAGACAAAGAAGGTCATTTTTATAATGATAAAGGCAATTATAAATATCTATGCACTCAACACCAGAGCACCCAAAAATATAAAGCAAACATTAATATATCTAAAGCAAGAGATAGACTGCAATACAATAGTAGTAGGGGACCTCAGCTTCCCACTGTCAGTAATGGACAGATCATCTAGACAGAAAATCAGCAAAGGAACACTGGAGTTAAATTGTATACTAGACAAAACAAGACTAACTCACATTTACAGAATATTTCACCCAACTGCTGCAGAATGCATTTTCTTTTCATTGGTATACAGAACATTCTTTAGAATAGACCATATCTTAGGATATAAATCAAGTCCCAGCACATTCAAAAAGTTAGAAATCATATCAACTATTTTTTTCTGACCACAATGAAATAAACTAGAAATCAATAACAATAAGAACCCTGGAAACTACACAAACCCATGGAAATTAAATAACATGTTCCTCAACAACTGATAGGTCAATGAAGAAATTAAGAAGGAAAATTTTAAATTTCTTGAAACAAATGGATATGGAAATATAACATACCAAAATCTATGGGATACAGCAAAAGCAATGGTAAGAGGGGAAGTTTGCAGTAATAAACACCTACATCAAAAAAGGAGAAAGACTTCAAATAAACAACTTAATAAAGTACCTTAAGAGATTAGAAAAACAAGAACAAATGAAACCCAAAATTAGTAGAAGAAAAGAAATAATAAAGGTAAGAGCAGAAATAAAATTGAGACTAAAAAAAGTACAAAAGATCAATGAAACAAAAACTTGAATTTTTGAAAAGATAAGCAAAATTGACAAACCCTTAGCTAGACTAGGAAGAAAAGGGAAGACTCAAATAAAACCAGAAATGGAAATGCAACATAAAAACTGAGACCACAGAAATACACACACAAAAAAAATCATTAGAGACTACTATGAACAATTATGCACCAACAAATCAGAAACCAAGAAGAAATGAATAAATTCTCAGGCACATAAAACCTACCAAGACTGAACCATAAAGAGACAGAAAACCTCAACCAATCAATAACAAGTAACTAAATCAAAGCCATAATAAGAAGCCTCCCATTAAAGAAGAGTCCAGGACCAGATGGTTTCACTGCTGATTTCTATGAAACATTTAAAGAAGAACTAATACCTAGCCAGGCAAGGTGGTGTGTGCCTGAAGTCTTAGCTACTCAGGACGTCGCTGAGGTGGGAGGATCTAAGCCCCAGAAGTCAAGGTTGCAGTGAGCCAAGATTGCGGCACTGCACTCCAGCCTGGGCAATGAGAGTGAAACTCTGACTCAAAAAAAAAAAAAAAAAGTTATCCTAAAGCCTTGAAAAAAAATTGAAGATCACGGAATACTTCCAAACTCATTCTGAGGCCAGCATTACCCTGATAATAAAACCAGGCAAGAAAATTATAGGCCAATATCACTGATGAACATAGATGAAAAAATTCTTTTTTTTTTTTTTTTGAGACAGAGTCTAGCCCTGTTGCCCAGGCTGGACGGCAGTAGTGTGATCTCAGCTCACCACAACCTGTGCCTCCTGGGTTCAAGGTAGCCTCAGCCTCCAGAGTAACTAGGATTACAGGCATGTGCCACTACCCCTGGCTATCTCTTTGTATTTTTAGTAGAGATGGGGTTTCACCATGTTGGCCAAGCTGGTCTTGAACTCCTGATCTCAAGTGATTCACCCAACTTGGCCTCCCAAAGTGCTGGGATTACAGGCATGAGCCACCATGCCCGTCCAGTAGATGCAAAAATTCTTAACCAAATACTAGCAAAATGAATTCACCAACATATTAAAAACATCATTCACCATGATCAAGTGGAATTCTTCTCAGGGATGTAAGGATGGTTCAACATATACAAATCTATAAATGTGATATATGACATTAACAGAACCAAGAACAAAAACCATGTGATCATTTTAGTAGATGCTGAAAAAAGTATTTGACAAAATTCAGTATCTCTTTATGATAAAGATCCTCAACAAACTAGATATAGAAGGAACATACTTCAAAATAATAATGGCCATACATGAGAAACCCACAATCAACATCATACTCAACTGGGAAAAATTGAAAGCCTTTCCTCTAAGATCTGGAACATGATAAGGATGCCCACTTTCACCACTGTTATTAAACATAGTATTGGAAGTCCTGGACAGAGAAATTAGGCAAGAGAAATAAATAAAGGGCATCCGAACTGGAAAGGAAAAAGTCAAATTAGCCTTGTTCACAAAGGACATGATTGTAAGTTGCAGGATACAAAATCAACATACAAAAATCAGTAGCATTTCTATATGCCAACAGCAAACAATCTGAAAAAAGAAATCAAGAAAACAATCTCATTTACAATAGCTACAAAGAACGTAAAATACCTAGGAATCAATTTCACCAGAGAAGTGAAAGATCTATATAAGAAAAACTATTAATACACTGATGAAATAAATTGAAGAGGACACCAAAGAATGGAAAGATATTCCATGCTCATGGATTAGAATTAATATTATTCAAGTGACAACACTACCCAAAGCAAATGACAGATTCAATATAATCCCTATAAAAATACCAATGATATTCTTCACAGAAACAGAAAAACACAATTCTAACGTTTATATGGAACCACAAATCTTGAATAGCCAAAGCAATCCAGAGCAAAAAGAACAAAGCTGGAGGCATTACACTACCTGACTTCAAAACATACTACAAAGCTGTAGTAACCAAATCAGCATGGTACTGGCATAAAAACAGACACATAGACCAATGGAACAGAATAGAGAAGCCATTGGGAGGCCAAGGTGGGAGCACCACTTGAAGCCTGGAGTTTGAGATCAGCAACATTGTGAGACCCCATCTCTTAAAAAAAGAGAAATAGAGAGAACCCAGATATAAAGCCATGCATTTATAGTCAATTCATTTTAACAAAGGCGCTAAGAACATACAGTGGGGAAAGGACAGTTTCTTCAATAAATGATGCCGGGAAAACTGGTAATTACATATCAAAAAAGAAATCTAGACCCCTATCTCTCATTATACAAAAATCAAATAAAAATAGATTAAAGGCTCAAATCTAAGACCTGAAACTGAGAATTACTAAAATAAAACATTGGGGAAATACTCCAGGACATTGGTCTAGACAAAGATTTTCTTGTATAAGACCTCAAAAGCATAGGCAACCAAAGCAAAAATAGACAAATAAGGTTACATCAAGCTAAAAACCTCCTGCAGAATGAAGAAAACATCAACAAAGAGACAACCCAGAGAATGGGAGAAAATACTTACAAGCTATCCATCTGACAAGGGATATGTAAGGAGAATATAACCAGAATATAATAAGGAGCTCAAACAACTCAACAGCTAAAATAAATAAATAGATAAAATAATATGTTTTAAAAATGCATAAAAGATCTGAATAGACATTTCACAGAAGAGACATACAAATGGCCAACAGGAAAATGCTCAACGTAACTAATT
Organism: Homo sapiens; assembly: GCF_000001405.40. Classification (NCBI taxonomy): domain Eukaryota; kingdom Metazoa; phylum Chordata; class Mammalia; order Primates; family Hominidae; genus Homo; species Homo sapiens. Next base: position 25,521,111 of record NC_000013.11, on the reverse strand, counting down.
CTCAGAAAAATGCAAATCAAAACCATAATGAGATATCATCTCACTGCAGTGTAAATGGCTATTATAAAAAAGACAGGGAAGATTGAATGCTGGCAAGGATATGCAAAAAGCAGAACCCTTGTACACTGATGGTGGGAAAGTAAATTGGTACAGCCAGTATAGAAAACAGCATGGAGGTTCCTCAAAAAATTAAAAATAGGGCCGGCACGGTGGCTCATGCCTGTAATCCCAACACTTTGGGAGGCCAAGGCGGGCAGACCACGAGGTCAGGAAATCGAGACCATCCTGGCTAACATGGTGAAACCTTGTCTCTACTAAAAAAAATATATATATATACAAAAAATTAGCCAGGTGTGGTGGCGGGCACCTGTAGTCCCAGCTACTTGGGAGGTTGAGGCAGGAGAATGGTGTGGAACCTGAGAAGCGGAGCTTGCAATGAGCCAAGATCGTGCCACTGCACTCCAGCCTGGGAGACAGAGCAAGACTCCATCTCAAAAAAAAAAAACAAAAAAAAAAAAAACTAAAAATAGGAATGCCATATAATCCAGCAATTTCACTTCTGGCTATAGAGCCAAAAGAAAGAAAATCAATATGTCAAAGAGATATCTGTCTGCACTGTCATATTTATTGCAGCACTATTCAGCATATTTACAGTAGCCAAAATATAGAATCAACCTAAGTGGCCATCAGTGAATGAATGGATAAAGAAAATGTGGCATATATACACAATGGAGTACTTATTCAGCCACAAAAAATGAATGAGATCCTGTCATTTGCAGCAACATAAATTGAACTGGAGGTCATTATATTAAGTGAAATAAGCCAGGCATAAAAAGACAAATATCACATGTTCTCACTCATATGTGAGAGCCAGAAAAGTGGATCTCATGAAGACAGAGGGCAGACTGGTGGTTACCAGAGGCTAGGAGGGGTAGCACGGAGGAAGAGATGAAGAGAGGTTGATTAATGGGTACAAATACACAGTTAGGTAGAGAAAATAAGAGCTGGTATTTGAAAGATCAGCAGGGTGACTATAGTTTACAATAATCTGTTGTACACGTCAAAATATCTAGAAGAGATTTAAGGCATTGGATATCCCAATTACCTTGATTTGATCTTTACACACTATATGAATGTATCAAATTATTACATGTACCTTTAAAATATGTGTTAATACAACTATTATGTAGCAACTTTTTAAAAATGTAATAAGATGGGAGATGTTTTACCATTCACTCTGCCAGGGGAAAAACATCTCCAGGGGTAAATGGGTGAATGACAGAACTTCCCAACAGGATAGTTTATTCACCCAAGTAAATAAGCCACCCCTCCCCTAAAGACATTCCCACTCGTGTGACGAAATGCATGTGCCAGCATCACTGTCCTCCTGGCTAGTCACAGCAAGGAGGGGCTTTAGCTGCATGGAAACCCAAGACCTTAGAGCTTGGGGGCTGGAGATAAGTGACCAGGCGCAAACAGGAATATTTCTCTATGATTCACTCAGTCTCCCTCTAAACATGAGGCCAGTGTTTCCTGAAACTGGGTGACATGAAGATGACCGGGATTTATCAAAAATCCATCCATCCATCCATCATGTGCAATAGATATTTCCTGAGCCCTAATTATGTACTAGGGCAGTGTGCCAGCCCCCGGAGATACTAAAGGGAACCAAGTGGTCAAAAACGCACACCCTCAAGGAAATTGCACTCTAGAGGAGAAACGAGATTAAAAAAAAAATAGAACACATAACAGCATAGATCGTGATGAATACTGCAGGGGAAAACAGATCAGGGAAGGAGGATACAGAAGGGTACACTGGCTGGGGCTGGGAGGAGGATTATTTTCAACAGAGTGGCGAGGGAAGGTTTCACTGAGAAGGTGACCTGTGAACTAGGCCCTGAAGGAGGTGAAGGAGCAGGAGCAAGTCTCATGGACGCACAGGGGAAGAGCTTTGCAGAGGGAGGGGACAGCGAGTGCAGAAACGCCAAGGTGGGAGAGCTCCCGTTGCTCCACCTGTAGGAGGGAGAGTAAAGAGCCCAATTTGGGCAAACGGAGGTGGAGAAGTATGAAGAGAACTGAAATGAACGTGGCAAAGGGCCAACGCATTGGCCTTGTCACTCATGTTGACACACTGGCCTTTTTCCTTTTGGGAGATGGGAAGATCTGGAGGCTTCCCAGGAGAGGACAAAACCTGACAATAATATCTATCTGCAAACCCTCCTCTGAGGAGCCCAACTCATGGGGTGGATCTTGTTACATGTATGTTGGACACGCTTCACTCCATAACTCATAATTAGGCACATACAGAAACAATCCATTAGAAAATAGGGTCTGGCAAAATATGGGTCTGGGTCTACCTGATCCTCACAAATCACAAGGCACCACAGGAGTCTGACCTCCAGAAATGCAGCAGAAAGCAAGAACCCACAGACAATACCAGAGTCTGATTTTCCAGCTACGAGAAAAATTGAAGTTGACAGCTGTTCTCCAGAGACCGATTTAAAAGACGCAAAGTTCAGTAGCTGCTCAAAGTGTAACTTCCCCTTCAAGCAAGCCTCCAGAAACAGAAATTAAGCTAAACCTTAACACGCAACACCAAAATGGAAACAGTAAATCCATGTTAAGGTGTAAAGACAGTCAAAAACAATTGCCTTATTCTACTGCATTCCATGGCAAAACAAATTTCTTATATCTTCCCAACATACAGTAAGCGTTCAATATTTACTGAAAGAATAAAGGAGGCTTTAAGCGTCCCCACCGGAAGCTGACTTTGTGAACAGGGCCAGCATTCCATGCCCATGTCCTGGAAGCCTTCCATCCTAGCAGGCTCCCGATAGGATATCATTCACCTTCCTCCTCCCAAATGGTCACTCAGCAAGGAGTTCTAGATGATTGGAAGTTGAGGACAAGATGATAACACTAAACATTAAGCAGTTTAATTCAATGATTCCTTAGCAGTGCATTCAACCAATCAAGGGAAAGAACAAGAGCAACACCACCAAATGCAAAAGCCCTTCCCAGTGGCCCTCTGCCACTTCTCTTGATGGACATCACTGCATACCTGGGAGCCACCCCAGAGGACATTCCAATGGATGGCAAAGCCCATGGCCTTCCACATCTGGCATCAATTCCTTAGGCTTTGCCACCATCCCTCCCAAATTGTATTCTGGAAATAATCTTAAATCCAAGAATTCCCACTGATAAATAGAGCCTGTCAATGGTAACATATGAGCACCTTACAAGAAATTTTCACTTCATTTTATTAATGCTAAACTACTGAAATCTCACCAGTTACAAATAAAAGGTCACTAAGTTCATTTTAAAACACTGCCATTTATATTTTCAACATGTTCCTAATTCTTAGTCTACAGCAGGAAAAAGGGGTGTCAGATACTGCTTTATCTCATAGCCTGTTCCCAGAATGCAGTAATTGGACCAGGAGAGGTATTAGTGCTCTTTTAGACTATCTGTCACAAAACACATCCAAGGAGTGAAATGGAAGTCGACTGCTGACCAATCAATTTACAATACACCTTTGAAGGTAAGTTCATAAATTAGAGTCTACCTATAATTCCTATTAAATAGTGTGACTGTCCTGCTCCTATCAGATTTCCAAATCTGTTCTATTACTCAATGCATTATTCAACAAATAACTATGGACATGAAACACTTTATCTCAACACCTGCATGGAAACATGAGCTGAGAAGAAGATAACATTTTGACCACTGAGCATGCTGCCAGGAAGATCTTCTAGTGAAAACAACTCTTAGATAACCAATTCCAAATGCAAGATATCAGATATTTATGGCTAATATCATTAAAAGTGACATTATTGAAAAGCAGGTTTTACCCAAGTGATTTATTCTTTCTTTTTTTTTTAACTTTAAAAACATAGAACACTTCATGAATGTGTGTGTCATCCTTGCGCAGGGATCATCCTAACCTTCTCTGTATCATTGCAATTGTAGTCTATGTGCTGCCAAAGTGAGCATGACCAGGTGCTTTATATTAAAAAAAAAAAAAAAAATGTGACCAGGCACGGTGGCTCATGCCTGTAATCCCAGCACTTTGGGAGGGCGAGGTGGGTGGATAGCTTGAGGTCAGGAGTTCGAGGCCAGCCTGACCCACATGGTGAAACCCTGTCTCTATTAAAAATACAAAAATTAGCCGAGCTTGGTGGCAGGCACCTGTAATCCCAGCTACCTGGAAGGCTGAGGCAGGAGAATCGCTTGAACCCAGAAAGCGGAGGTTGCAGTGAGCTGAGATTGCTCCACTGCACTCCAGCCTGGGTGAGAGAGTGAAACTCCGTCTCAAAAAAAAAAAAAAAGTAAGAAAGAAAGGAAGAAAGAAAGAAAAAATGTGAACTTCATGGTATAAAAACAAAAAAAAAAGAGTTATGAGATTTATTTAATTTTGCACTGCAAGAGAAGGATCATTTTTAATGAGATTCTTCTCAATTTTCAATTAAAAGAAACAACAATTATTTGTTATAAAAATATCTGGCCTCAACAAGTACAGGAATCATTACAATTCAGGCCCCATGCAGCCACTGCCCCAAAAGAAACGCAACAGGTCAGCGTGTGAAACTCTAACACTAAAACATATTGCATTTAAGTATACCACATTTGGCCTTTCATTCAGAATTCAGTATATTCTTTCCAAACAGAGGGAAATAATCCCTACTACAAGGAAAGATTTAAGGCTGTCCTAAGTGTTGGCATGCTACAAACCAAGTAAGGAGCAGCAGCCACTCTGAGATCGAGTTATCCAAAGGCAAGGGCCTAAACCCATCCTTTTCAGGTCCCAAACGCTTTTGCCCTCAGTCAAGGGTGCACTGGTTCTCGGGGAGGACATACCTTGTCAGAAAAGACACTTCCCAAGGAGACAGGGTTCAGGAACTACAACATCAAATAAGATCTGGATGGAAAGCTAAACCGAAGTGGTCAAGCTGGGAGAACATCGGGAGCTGAGATGATTGGTACACAGAGATTTCTAGTATGGAAAACACAAATGTTTAATTTAGGTCTGGGTAGAAAGCCATATCTATCCGTCCCTCATGTTGTAGAGTTAAAAATCTGGGGCAAGCTATATTATTCTATCTTTCTGGATTTCTCACATAATTGTCAAACTTTATTCAAGTGTTTAATTCTAACTGACATTTCTTTGTTTATCATGCGTATATAGCAAAGTGCACAAAACCAAAGTGTGCATATATAGCAAAGTGCACAAAACCAAAGTGTACAGCTCACAGTTTCATAAAGTGGACCCATCCCTGCAGGTGTCTAACTGAAATCCAACATAGAGACATGAGTTAAATAGGTCTGTTATGTGCAGGATTCTAACAGCAGTAAAGACCCGATCTAAAGGCTGCCTAGCTTCAGACTGACAATTGTAAAATGGAAACACATTTACCACTTCTGCCTACAGGGACACCACTACCATACTAGAAAGGAATGTAAAAATATGCAGTCAGTTTAAAACACACACACACAACTAGGAATGGAATCATTAGCTAAGATGTGGGGTTGTCTTTTTTCTAAAATAGACTTCTTTCTGCTTTCGCCAGACAAGTTGAACATGCCTCCAAGACGCCTTCTGAGTATGAGCTGCAGGGAGAGAGAAGCCCACAAGAGGGGCTGCCGCCTAAGCAAGGGCCCTGGCCTGCGAGGCAGGAAGAACGGGCTCTAGCTTCACAAATGGTATCTCAGAAGATATGTCAATCCATTTTTAAAATAATAATGCAGTTGTAATAAGAGTGTCATTGTGTCAAAGAAACAGAGCCACTAGGTGACATATAGAGATTTATGATAAGGAATTGGCTCACACAACTATGGAGTCTGGCAAACTCCAACACCAGCAGTGGGAATGGGCAAGAGGGCCAATGGTATGGTTCCAGTCCAAAGGCCGGTGGGTTGGAAACTCAGGAATAACCATTGTTTCAGTAGCTCTGAAGGCGGGAAAAGCTAATGTGCCAGTTTGAAGATTGTCGGGCAGGAGGAGCTCCCTCTTACTTGGCAGAGGGTTGTTCTGGTCAGGGCTTCAACTGTTTGATGGGGCCGCCCACACTAGGGAGTCCACCTGCTTTCCTCACTCTACTGATACAGATGCTAACCTCATCCAGAAATCCCCTCGCAGACACTCAGAATAATGTTCAACTGGATGCCTGGGCACCCCATAGCCCTGTCGAGTTGACACATTAACTTTACTATCACAATCATATATTAGGCAGGGCAGAGGCAGGCACAAGCCCAGTGCATTGGAGACAGGGGAGCCTGTGGACAGGAGGGGAACAGTTTCAGCCTGCAGAGCTCAGGAGACTCATGAGACATCAATGATGGAAAAGGGTCTGTGGCAAGCATAGAAAGCAAAGGGAGGTATTTGAAGTCCATACACAGAGGAGCTCACACAGGAAATCAGGGCTAGGAATCTGGAGGAACCCCACAAGATAAACTATAAAGAGTTCGAAGCAAAAGACTTCATAAAAGAAACATGGTTCCTCTCTCACAAGCCCCCTTCTTCTGGTTACACCAAAATCTTACACAGCCAGGCTGCTACACCCACAGCCAGGAGTATTCCCAGGGCACCCACACAAACCTCATACACTCATGTCTAAAAGTCCTTCACCGAAAAGTGAGTCTTGCTATCTGGCCTGCACTCACAGAGCACCCCATCATCCTGCTACACTTCCTCTTTGAAAAATTACCAAATATGTGTAGAAAGCCTGCACCACAAAAAAGAGATTTTAAATGAATACAGAAGAAAGGGGAGACCTGAGGAAACAGTACAGCAAACTTTAAAAGAATATTTTAGAGTTTGGAGTAATGCTAATTCTAATATCCTCAGAGTCATAAGATGATAACACATTCACATGAAACAAGAATAAGATGGTATTTCTAAAAAGGAAACAGAATAAAATGGCTATTGGCAATTGGAAGTACGCTAGCCTAACTAAAATATTGCAAAAAAGGAAGTGAAAAATAAAGCTAAGCAAATTTTCCAAAAAGTAAAACCAAAAAAACAAGATGCAAAATAAAAGAGACTTAATAGTACAAATACAAGACCAATATCCAACTATTAAGAGTCCCTCTCCCTCTCCCTCTCCCTCTCCCTCCCCCTCCCCCTCCCCCTCTCCCACTCCCCATGGTCTCCCTCTCCCTCTCTTTCCACGGTCTCCCTCTGATGCCGAGCCAAAGCTGGACTTTACTGCTCCCATCTCGGCTCACTGCAACCTCCTTGACTGATTGTCCTGCCTCAGCCTGCCAAGTGCCTGCGATTGCAGGCGCGCGCCGCCACGCCTGACTGGTTTTTGTATTTTTTTGGTGGAGACGGGGTTTCGCTGTGTTGCCCGGGCTGGTCTCCAGCTCCTAACCGCGAGTGATCCGCCAGCCTCGGCCTCCCGAGGTGCCGGGATTGCAGACGGAGTCTGGTTCACTCAGTGCTCAATGGTGCCCAGGCTGGAGTGCAGTGGCGTGATCTCGGCTCGCTACAACCTCCACCTCCCAGCCGCCTGCCTTGGCCTCCCAAAGTGCCGAGATTGCAGCCTCTGCCCGGCCGCCACCCCGTCTGGGAAGTGAGGAGCGTCTCTCCTGGCCGCCCATCTTCTGGGACGTGAGGAGCCCCTCTGCCTGGCTGCCCAGTCTGAGAAGTGAGGAGCGCCTCTTCCCGGCCGCCATCACATCTAGGAAGTGAGGAGCGCCTCTTCCCGGCCGCCATCCCATCTAGGAAGTGAGAAGCGTCTCTGCCCGGCCGCCCATCGTCTGAGATGTGGGGAGCGCCTCTGCCCCACCGCCCCGTCTGGGATGTGAGGAGCACCCCTACCCGGCCGCGACCCCGTCTGGGAGGTGAGGAGCGTCTCTGCCCAGCCGCCCCGTCTGAGAAGTGAGGAGACCCTCCACCTGGCAACCGCACCGTCTGAGAAGTGAGGAGCCTCTCCGCCCGGCAGCCGCCCCATCTGAGAGGTGAGGAGCCCCTCCGCCCGGCAGCCACCCCGTCTGGGAAGTGAGGAGCGTCTCCGCCTGGCAGCCACCCCGTCCGGGAGGGAGGTGGGGGTCAGCCCCCGCCAGGCCAGCCGCCCCGTCCGGGAGGGAGGTGGGGGGGGTCAGCCCCCCGCCCGGCCAGCCACCCCGTCCGGGAGGGAGGTGGGGGGGTCAGCCCCCCACCCGGCCAGCCGCCCCATCCGGGAGGGAGGTGGGGGGGTCAGCCCCCCGCCTGGCCAGCCACCCCGTCCGGGAGGTGAGGGGCGCCTCTGCCTGGCCGCCCCTACTGGAAAGTGAGGAGCCCCTCTGCCCGGCCAGCCGCCCCGTACGGGAGGGAGATGGGGGGGTCAGCCCCCTGCCTGGCCAGCCGCCCCATCCGGGAGGGAGGTGGGGGGGGTCAGCCCCCCGCCCGGCCAGCTGCCCCGTCCGGGAGGGAGGTTGGGGGGTCAGCCCCCCGCCCGGCCAGCCACCCCGTCCGGGAGGGAGGTGGGGGGTCAGCCCCCCGCCCAGCCAGCCTCCCCGTCCGGGAGGTGAGGGGCGCCTCTGCCCAGCCGCCCCTACTGGGAAGTGAGGAGCCCCTCTGCCCGGCCAGCCGCCCCGTCCGGGAGGGAGGTGGGGAGGTCAGCCCCCCGCCCAGCCAGCCGCCCCGTCCGGGAGATGAGGGGTGCCTCTGCCTGGCCGCCCCCACTGGGAAGTGAGGAGCCCCTCTGCCCGGCCACCACCCCGTCTGGGAGGTGTACCCAACAGCTCATTGAGAACAGGCCATGATGACAATGGCGGTTTTGTGGAATAGAAAGGGGGGAAAGGTGGGGAAAAGATTGAGAAATCGGATGGTTGCCGTGTCTGTGTAGAAAGAGGTAGACATGGGAGACTTTTTGTTCTGTACTAAGAAAAATTATTCTGCCTTGGGATCCTGTTGTTCTGTGACCTTACCCCCAACCCTGTGCTCTCTGAAACATGTGCTGTGTCCACTCAGGGTTAAATGGATTAAGGGCGGTGCAAGATGTGCTTTGTTAAACAGATGCTTGAAGGCAGCATGCTCCTTAAGAGTCATCACCACTCCCTAATCTCAAGTACCCAGGGACACAAACACTGCGGAAGGCCGCAGGGTCCTCTGCCTAGGAAAACTAGAGACCTTTGTTCACTTGTTTATCTGCTGACCTTCCCTCCACTATTGTCCTATGACCCTGCCAAATCCCCCTCTGCGAGAAACACCCAAGAATGATCAATAAAAAAAAAAAAAAGAGTTCCACAGAAACCAGAGAAAGATAATATTAACAAGTTATACAGAAGAAGTTGCTAGAACTCTAAGAACAAAGATTTCTGATTGAAAGGGTACACGAAGTACCCACAACAATGAGACACATACCAAAATTTTTCATTATAGAATACTAAATATTTTTCATTATAGAATGCTATTTCTAAACCATAAAGATATTAAAAAGAGCCTATTTATAAGAAGAAAAAAAATGAAGATGAAATTGAGCCTCTTAATAGCAACACAGACCTCTAAACTGACACTTTAGATTTCTATACCCAGCCAAGCTATCAGACACTCACATCTACTTTTCACATAAGCTTTTCTAGGAAGCCTCTTACTGCAAGATGTTCTTCAACAATACAAAACAGTAATCAAGAAAGCAACCCCCCACCCCACTCCCTGACAGTGTCTAAATATCAGGGAATACAACTCAAGAAAGCAGTGAGAAAGTTCTGGGATGACCACTTTACAGCAACACATCTACAGGGCAGCCAGTTTATCTGGCAAGAAGATGGCGAGGTGTGGAGGGGAAGGGGTAAAACCAAGAGATTATTCTGGGATATTTATTTTAAAATATATAGAGAGGTTATAATATAAATGTGTATTGATCTGATGGAAAAGATAAAAATTAAAATGCAAAAAAAATTGTTTAAGGAGAAGAACAAGGCAGGAAAAGCAAGTTATACTAGAAAAGAGGCAAACATGATACACTGCCTCACTACTTGGACCTGAGGTAATTAACTGAAATCTGCATCTATAAGAGAGTTCAGAGAGATCATTTCTAAACTGTATTTCACAATGTAGAGAAAACCACATTTCTAAACTTAATTTTGAAATATGGTAGAAACCTCCAAAGAATTAAAAACACAAAGAGTTCAAAGTGGTTGCCTTTGGTGGAACAGGACTGGGATGGGAGAGAGGGCAGGAGATTATTGATTTTCATGATAAGCACTTCTAAACTCTTTCAACTTTTAGCTACCTACATGTGTTGTTTTAATAATACTTTAATATAAAAAAGTAGTATCCAGATATAACTGTCAAGGGACAGCTGATTATTTTAGCTAAGTTTAGGACTGGTCATACATAAGGAGCTTTTTTTTAGAACATGAAATCAGACTAAAGACCCAGTTTGTTTCTATACTGCTTCCACCACAAAAGAGCTAGTAACTACTCATATCTGATATCACTCCCCACTATCACTTCCTTTTGCCAGCGGCAATTGACACCTAGATCATGGATAAAAGAAGGGGAAACTGTCATCTGCCCCATAAGAGTCTAACAAGAAACAAACATGAGTACAGCACTCAGAGTGCAACATTTGTATGTATTCCTTTGAGATGAGCAGGCTGGCTTTCAGCACAGGAGTCTTTACCCTAAAACTCACCCCACAGGGAAATCGAAGAGTCCAGTTCTTCCCCTTTAAATGGAAATCACTTTATTCTAAAACGTATTTGCTCTTATTAAGTTCTCTTGCTTCCTTTCATCCTCTGCCAAATTCCTAGAACATCTTTCTTTCTTCTTTTCATCAAACCACATCCTTCTCCTTTTCTGAGCCAATAGCCCAAGGGGTCATCTTCTCTAACAAGATTTTCTCTATTCATGTCTACCCAAAGTGTACAATCTGTAATCCATCCATTTATTTCAACATTCTCTGTGTGTGTGTGTGTGTGTGTGTGTGTGTGTGTGTGTGTGTGTGTGTTACAGACAGACGGGAACAGACAAAGGCAGGGAGTCAGAGAGAGAAAGAAATTTCTTGTCTTGTACTGTGAGCTCTAGGCTGGTCACATAAAATATTTATTATCTTAACCACCTGTCCACGCCTTGCAGGTTGAACGCTCATTGTACAACTCAGACCAACAGCACAGTGCCCTCTACTGGCCAGCCAGCATAGCAGTGTTTTCTGCAAAGTAAACATTTGGGGCGTGCGCCAGATGAAGTTCAAGTTCTTCATAAATTATCTAATAATAATCCTCAGAGAACTGATGTTTAAGGAAGAACTGTAATAGCCTTATTGCATTTGGTTCTTGCATATTCACTTATATCCATTTAAAATAAAAACACAATGTACTGGTATTCATTCCTAAGTAATTCTAAAATGTTTAGTCATCTTTTCATTTAATTTACTCATTAGTTTACCCAGAAATCACAGAAGGAGAATATTAAATTTTGTGGAGACTGGATGCAATTTGTATACAACATGTATACAATTTGGGAATCTTGCTTTAAGAAAAATACAGTATTACGAAAACAAAATTGGGCACAGAAGTGAAGTTTACTTATAATGAAAAAAACACAACATATTACACATTCATGAAGGCTGAAAAATACATCACGTTATCCAGAAAACATACTATTTTTATTAAATACTATAATATTAATATTAATAGTCCATAATACTTTCCCCTCCATATTTTTAATTTTATTTGTGTGGGTAGTTTCTTAGAAAATTTTGTAAATAGTTTGTATAGAAAGAACAGATAATTCATTTTTCCTCTAGCAATAATTGATCAATTATTTTTAATTGATCTTTTGGTAAAGCTTCTTTCAGCTCCACAACTTATCAATATATGTCATGTAAATTTTTATGATGGTTGTCAAATTTAGAGGGATTGCCATGAAATTTCCTTTGTAAGTGAAACTTAAAATCTAGCTTCTGGCTCCACACATTTCAAACACTGTCTCTCCAATATGACTCACATACTTCAAGCATAATATACCACACTGATATTTTGATACTTCTAGAAATGCTACACCATATCATAACCTCAGATGCAGAGGTGGCCAGGAAGAATATTTCTGGTCCTTATTTCTATGCTGGGAGAGCTAAAAATTTACCTGTTCACAAAAGTGACTGCACACCATGTAAATACAACTCTAAACCCAACGAAATGTTATTTCTAACTCAACTTTCCCTTACCCAGGTCCCCAAAACATGTCTCCTAACAGAAGAAGGATGAGAAGGGGGAAGTTTGGGTGAAAAGACACTGTGTTCTTACCCCAAGCAAGGCTCAAGTCTATTAAATTATGCAAAAATAATTGGCCATGTCTACATTGGTAAGGTCCCCCCTGGGGCCCTGGGGCAGACATTCTGAAGCGTAAATACCATTAGCTCCCAGAAAATCTGCTTCTGTGGATATATGCATCATCTAATACAAATATGTAAGTGATTTACACATGGTTATTTTAATAACAACCTATATACGTTTCCATCTTTTCTCCAAGTTTATACAATCTTACATAGATGTCTCAACACACGTATTCACACATAATCAGAGGGTTGCCAAAGTTCCACAAGTATGAGACATTATGCCATTTTCTGAATTTTTTTCTTTCTCAATAATATTGCAAAATCCTTGCAAGTCAATTGTATAATTCTAATTCATCCTTTTTAATGGTGATATAATTTTCCATAATTTATTCAGCCATTCTTCTATGATGAGCATTTACTTTATTTCCAGGCTTTGTATGTTATGAGACACGTCACAATAAAGACCCATGTTCATATGTCCATGAATACTGGTGAGTTTAATTCTAGGAGATCGATTGCCTGAAGTGGAATTAATGAGTCTGAGGGTCATGTGGTTGTTAAAAATTAAACTAAAGTCCGCACTGCATTCAGATTTCCTAAGTTCCTACCTAATGTCTTGTTTCTGTTCCTAGAGGAGCATAAATTTTAATATATAGTAGACAACATGCTAAAAGGATTTTCAAACTTCACATTCCTACCAGCAATGTGTTGGTGTATTATTTGCATGCATATTCCTGCCAGCAACAGATATTAACAGTTTTTTTTTACAGTACTGTCTTATGTCAAGTAAGACATCACTGTCACATTAATTTGCATTTCCTTGACTGCTAATCAAGTTAAATATATTTTCATACATTTGTGAGCCATATCATCTCCTCATATACTTTGCCCATTTTCCCACTGGTTTGTTGATCTTTCCAGCGTCCCTTTGCAAAGCCTCTTGGAATTGTCTGTTAACTCTATTTTATATTATGTAGTTTACATTTAGTAGTTTTCTAGACTACTCATTTGTATATCAAGTTTTTAATGGCACCTTTGACATACAAAGAGGTACTGGACATTGGAAATGTTCCAAAATATTTATAGCACCTTGGTTTAGTATTAAGAAGTTCTTCCCCAACCTCATTATATATGTAATGGCTAAGATTGTCTTTACTGACTTTTTTATGTCAGTCTTTAATTTCTGCAATCAGAATTTATTTTCACATATGATAAAGGATAGAGTTCAGTTCTGTCTTCATCCTGACACATAGCCACTTATTTAAAAATGGTACCAGCACAGCCAGGCACAGTGGCTGACACCTGTAATCCTAGCACTTTGGCACGCCAAGGAGGGAGGATCACCTGAGGTCAGGAGTTCGTGACCAGCCTGGCCAACATGGTGAAACCCTCTCTCTACTAAAAATACAAAAATTAGCCAGGCATGGTGGCACATGCCTGTAATCCCAGCTACCCAGGAGGCTGGAGCAGGAGAATTGCTAGAACCTGGGAGGCGGAGACTGCAGTGAGCCAAGATCGCACCACTACACTCCAGCCTGGGTGACAGAACAAAACTCTTTCTCAAAACAACAACAACAAAATACACACACACACACACACACACACACACACACACACACACACACAAAGAATGGTACCAGCACAATTACCCACCCCACTTTACTGAGATATCACTCTTCAATATATTGGCATGTATTTAGTTCTATGTCAATTCCCAACCAACTGATTTACAGTAGTTTTATACATGTTCTGACTCTTGGTAAGGTAATATCTCCCTCTACACAGTATTATTCCTTACCAAAATTTATATAGAGATACACAGATATACAGATATACACACACATATTTAGTTTCTTATTTATAAGTTTTATATGTAAAATAAGATATATATATATATATATATATGTACTGTACTGTATATATACACACACAGGTTAAATATCCCTAATCCGAAAATCTGAAATTTGAAATGCTCTAAAATCCAAACCTTTTTGAGCACTGACATGACACCTCTGCTTTCTGATGGTTCAATGTACACAAACTTTGTTTCATGTACAAAATTATTTAAAATATTGTATAAAATAACCTTCAGGCCAGGCATGGTGGCTCACACCTATAATCCCAGCCCTTTGGGATTATAGTGTCACAGTGTCACAGATGCTGCTCCTCTTCAGATCCACAGCCGTGTTCCACACGAGGAGAAACAGAGAACTGGGCACCTCGATCCGGGAAGTGGGGCTTCCTCAGATGCCCTCAGCTCCCGTCTCATTGGCCAGAACTCTATCTCATGAATGTTTCTGGTTTCAAGGGTTTCCAAATGGGTACATCTGGAACAAAACTGGTGGGCAATATCTGCCTTGATGACTTTTTCTGAAATACGCAAATGTCCAAGACGTGGCCTCCTGGTTTCCATATTGGAGGCCAGCCAGATGGTACATTTGGCCCCAATCCACCTTTGTAAGGGAGTCAAACTGGGACTATTCTATACCTTGCATAAATAGGAAAGAGCAGAAATATTAATGGTTTGTGTCTGAGGCATGACAAAAAAAGCATGTACCCATTATAGCATCCATAGAAATGACCTAGAATCAGGAGCTAAAAATCTGTCAGCTCCCCTCAAATGAGCCCTGCTCAATTAGAAAATCAACAACTTTCAGCAGGGAGAGCGGAAGAGCTCTCTCATCATTCGGTATTATCTAGGAGAAATATAAAATTGGATTTTCAACAAAGCTAAACGTAACTGTCCTTTATAGGAAGCTGTAACCAAACACTTGTTAGATCCAATTTCCTCAGAATAACCAAAGCCTGGTCGGGAACACAGAAAGCTGGTTTGTAATCCCAGCGTCAGCTTGGAGAAGCTGCTTGACCTTTCCACACCTCTAGCTCTACACTCTGCAGTGGAGGCCATCATTTTCCTTTCTCTATCGCGGGTCTTGTGAAGTTGCAGTTAATTTATAATTCTAGAGCAAGAAAGAATGCCTGTATAGGAGAATATAAAGGAAGGCAAGAATATGTCGGATATTAATAATACCTTGTTAATGATATTTGATATTATCATAGAATATGATATAGCATATATTGTATATAATAATAATAAGTTATGTAGAGCCATCAACATGCTAGCCAGTTGGCAACAGTTTTGAAAGGGAAATAAGTGAGCAGGCTCTCCTGGTAATGTCCAGACCTGCGGAGCGAAACAGGGATGTGTACGTCTTTCTGGATACAGATTTGGAACTATAATATCTCTAGAGAGATAGAGTCTCTAGGTCAGATACACTGAGAACAAAAAATATAAAGGGCTGAGGATGTGATAAAAAGTGAAGGCACTTATATCAGGTTGTGTTTTAAGAAGTCTATGAGGTTAAATTATACGTGTGAAGGTGACTTTAACACGTATAACAGTTGTAAAACACAAAATGATTTTACTAATCAGACTTTAAAACTAATATCAGACATTAAGGTTATATGAAAAGCAAGAAAGAAAATAATGGTCTTATAAAAGGAAAAATAAATCAAGGGGGTTTATGTGGTTTTGAGAAAAGAAACTGGAAGAATGAAGGGTATATGTCAATAGATCTCTTGAGAGAGAGAGAGAGACTGATTAACAGGCATTTCCAATGAGTTGTGACCACCACCCCCCCCCGCCCCGCCGAAAAAACAAATCCTACTTAACAAATCTAATAGAAGTTTTATCATCAGCAAACTTGAGACTGGAGTCAAAGCAATTTCAGACCCATTCAATCCAATAATTCTAAAACCAACACATACACTATTTTTGGTAAAGTGATTGCTATCAAGATATCTCACATAAGAAAGAGGAAGATGGGTAAGAGCAGTAATTTCCCCAACAACTAAACAATAACTGTAAATTCTCACTAAAAAAATACAATTCTGAGAATACAAACCGAAGTTAATAGCGTCCGATGGCCTCAAGCCCACTGACCCAAGCAAAGATTTAGAAGTAATGAGAACAATAGCCTGGTTTAGGGGCATGCACTTACTAGCAAGAGGACCATAGATTATTACATGTGACCTTTCCCATCACACTATAAAGTGACTCTGTCTGAGCACTGTATACTTTTTTTTTTTTTTTTTTTTTGAGACGGAGTCTCGCTCTGTCGCCCAGGCCGGACTGCGGACTGCAGTGGCGCAATCTCGGCTCACTGCAAGCTCCGCTTCCCGGGTTCACGCCATTCTCCTGCCTCAGCCTCCCGAGTAGCTGGGACTACAGGCGCCCGCCACCACGCCCGGCTAATTTTTTGTATTTTTAGTAGAGACGGGGTTTCACCTTGTTAGCCAGGATGGTCTCGATCTCCTGACCTCATGATCCACCCGCCTCGGCCTCCCAAAGTGCTGGGATTACAGGCGTGAGCCACCGCGCCCGGCCGCACTGTATACTTTTTAAAAAAAAAAAAAAAAAAAAAGGAAAGGAAAGATTTTTAAAAATTATTCTCAATAAATAATCTTCTAACCACAACTTCTGAAAAAAACATACGAAATAGATGTTAGATGAAAAAGGATTTTAAAATAATAGGATACCAATCAGTTCTATCTCTTCAAAATCTTATACCAATTACCAATCCACAAATAATTCTATCAATATAATATCTAATCCTCATACCATTTATATAGACAATACTGAATACTGACGGTATTCAATGCAAAACTGGACTGAGGTAGCAGGGTAGTGGAGCACAAAAATACCAATGAGCAACTTTCCACTGGAGTGAGGCAGAGGGAAGTGGACTGCAATCCACCACTGGATTCCTTCCAACATGCTCTCCAGTGCATTGCATACCCATGCGCATGACAGAATCACCTCTTGCAGCTCGAGGAGTTCAGACATAGAATGTTACTTCACAGTGCTTGTAAACATTTGGATAACCATTAGCAAAGGACAATCTCCAAATCCTACTGGAGAAGTTTTTTTTAAAGATCTACATACCTTGTTTGGCTCTGAGCTGCTATCTTGCACCCAGTGTGTGCGCACACACATCTTTATGCCTCTACCTACCAAATGCCGGCAACAGGCTCAGAGTCACATGCCACACCAAACTTGCCATTAAGGATTCAGGCTTTATCCTGTGGCTTGTTTTTTTAACCCGAGGACCTTAATTTTCTTCACAATTGACTGTATGACTATCCTTTTCAGCATCAGAGTTATGGCACCTAATCAAACTCTGAAAGATCCACAAGAGAAAATATACAGAGTGTTTAATTATTTTTCCAACATCTTACTCCTTCCAAGAGGGAGTTATTTCTTTCTACTGAGCACATGAGGTCTTGTCCTGGCCCCATGTGCAAATGGAGGCTGAGTTCTTGTGGATTTGGATCCTCCAAATGCCCAAGGGTAGCACCAGTGCCAAGCGTCTCACCTAGAACGCAAATTCCCATCTCAGCACAACTCCTGCAGCTGGAAAGTTCTGTATGAACGCTGCTTCATGGTGTCATTACTTGTCAGCATGCCGACCACCCTTTCCAACCTCACAAACAGTAGGGTTACTTCCCTTTTCATTCGGCTCTCTAATAGGCTACTCTGTTTGCGTATGTCATTGATTTCTTCTCAACCAGTACCCATTTCCACAGAAGGAGCCTTGGACTCGGTCTCGATGCTGCACAGGGCAACCAGCAGTCACCAACTCATCACACAACTTTGCGTAAGTCCCTGTTTGAACTATACAGTGAGGGGTGAGGAGTGAAGCCAGGTGGCAGCTCGTGTCTCTTCTAGACCCAATATCAGAGAGGCGTTTCCACCCAGGCAGCACACTGATCCCACCCGCCTAGTCCTGGACATTCTGCCCCCGCTTGGACACCTCCATGACAGCACTCTCGGCTGGACAGCTCTCAATGCCCAAAAGTTTGGTCAAGTCTTCCCCAACTGGTCTCTTCTCAAGCTAATAAACAAAACCACCACTCAGGTTTGACAATGCCTCTTAAAATGCATAGCAAAACAACATCCATGAAACACCCACTATACCTACACACGATTGTACTAGAAACCAGAACCCACACAATGCCAGCCTCCAGGTGTGTGAGTCTAGAGCATGGCACACAGGCCATGACATCGTGCAGTGCCAAGTACAACAGCCATAACAAGCAGGTGATACGACACGCACACACAGTCACATCTGAGTCCAAAGGACAAGTAGGAGTGAATTCGTCAGTGTTCTAGGTAGAGGATCCACCCGCTACCACTGTTCTTCTGAATATTATCATAGCAGTTACTATTTGTAGCTTACTATTAGCAGCTTAAAAAGTTAACTTGCCCTGTATCACCCAAAAAGCAAGTGACAGAGGCATGTTTCACATTCCTGTCTGCCCTACCCCAGATTCTGAATCACTTTCATTGGGTTCTAGTCCCCTGTGGGAATTAGATGACAATAAGGGACACCCTCCACAGAAAAACGAACACACGCCCACTGGCAGCATTCTAAGCTTCAATACTTGACAGTAAATTCATTTTCCCAATGACATGATGATGAGGTTATAATGAGGCTCAATGAGGATTTATCTGAATTAAACTATGTAGCCAAATAGCTCCCGTTTATTTCTCCTTTTTCATTGCCAGTGCCATCATGGCTTATTGGAAATCCTCACCACATCACACCTCCTAATTGCCTGAATCTATCCACAATGACACATGACTGCTGTCTGACATGCCACACAGCATGTTTAAAAACACCCCGTGATCCAAATCATAGCCAGCATTTGAGAATTTATTTTTGAGGCACTTGACATTACTTCAGAGGGTTGCTTTCTAACTAACAGAGTTAGGAAGTGAAGCCACGGTATGGGATCTGAACTTGCATTGTTAATAAATTCACAATGCCTTTCTTGAGCTCCCCAGCCTGTAATTAAAGGGTTCAACATTTGCTTCCACGCATGTCTTTCCAATGGTTGCTCCCCCTCCAGTGCAAACCTCTGCTTCAGACACGCATGTCTTTCTGTGTCCTGAACTCACCCTCCTTTCTTCTAGTCCTACTCCTTTCTGGAAAATCTGGACTGTTCTACCATCCACTAAGACATCTCCTCAGAGTCCCAGAGGACAAACGCTCCCTTCCCTGAAGTCTGGGAAAATTACCTCGCCCTTCAGCATTGAGCTTTATGCTACCTTCCATTACAAGTTAACCATGGATGTGTGTCTTGTCTCCATTTGATTATAAATAACAGAAGACTTCCCATAACATATTATAGTGTAATAACTATGTTTTCTTATTTTCTGTACCCTAACGCTCTGGCCCCTGGGGCTTCACTGACCCTGGGAGGGGATTGCCCCTTCTAGGGCTAATTCCTAGAAATAGCAAACAACTTGCCAGGGAATATGTCTTTCACATGCAAACCAAACAATCCAGTCTGTGCTGTGCCTCCCAGCTGCCTCCCTTAGGAAACTCTCACTCATCAAGCCTGCCCTGATCATTCCAGAGCCAGATGCCAGACAACCAGAGCAGCCCTTATGTCCAGAGCTCACTGAAATTATCCATATCAGCCAATTCTAAACCTGCTCATCCCGCCTTGCCCTTCTCATGGAAACCAGAGGGAAGGCCACTGTCCACGCTTCCTAAGCCACCTGGAGCTTCTATGTGTGGCCCTGGGTGGTGTGCCAGCCTCCTGTTTCTAGGGAACTGTGAGTACAAACTTCTTGATGATGCTCCTTTCTGTGTCTGCAGGTCTTACCATACTCGATTAAAACGAATCCCAGGTACATTTTTAAACACATGACTTCTGCATCTCTTTCATGCCTCCCCCTTTCTGCCCAACCATACTTCTAAAATAGTATCACATCATCGAGTAGGAGTCAAGTATGTCAAAGAAATACAAACATGGGTTGAAGAAGATAGGCATTCAAGTTTAGTTTTTCAAAAGTGAAAAAATACATAAGGCGTACAAATAAAAAAATGCACAGGTAATATATTTACATGCCTCAAAAATGTAAAAATACACAAAAAAGTTTTAACTTAAAATTATATATATTGGTGCCAGGTGGCTCACGCCTGTAATCCCAGCACTTTGAGAGGCTAGGGCAGGTGGATCACTTGAGTCCAGGAGAACAGCTGGTGCAATGTGGCAAAACCCCACCTCTACAAAAAGGACAAAAAAAATTAGTCGAGTGTGGTGATGCATGCCTGTGGTCCCAGCTACTCAGGAGGCTGAGGTGGGAGGATCACCTGAGCCGTGGAGGTTGGGGTAAGCCAAGATCGCACCACTGCACTCCAGACTGGGCAACAGAGTGAGACCCTGTCTCAAAAAAAAAATTATATATTGGGCCTCAAGTTACCACTGTTATTACTCTCATGGTCTTTATATTCTGCTTTAATTTCATTTCACTTTAGTTCATTTCTCTAACACTGTATGAGCACTCCACACAATATTATGGAGATAATCCCTGTCTGCACTGTAACACTAATGCATTGTTTTAATTGACTAAGACATTTAAAACCTTTAGTAAGTTTAAAGGTGTTATTTTAATGAGACAAATCTTACCTGCATATCCTATGATGTTACACCTGAATATTTCAATTACACCTTCAGAAAAGCTCTACAATAACATAATTGAGTTCCCTTGAATTCTCTAGGGCAAACAAGAGCCCTCTCTCCCCAGCAGTTTCTAATAACTTGTGTGGCACCTCGCTCACCCTATTGTGCCTTCCTTCCAAGTCCAGGGAAACAGGAATCTTAGTGATCTGTATCATACTTCAAGATAAGAAGGGAGCAGGCAATACATTTATGGAGGGCACTTTGATAACTATAAAATGAAAGATTTATGAGGAAATAATCTACTCTTCCCCCATGACACACACGCCTTGCTGAACCATGGGGTTGTCATGTTTGGGGAGTTTCAGCTGTGCTACCCTAGGACTAGAGGGTAGCATAGCTGTCCTCTGCCCTTGCTGTCTTCTCTGCCTGGTATCTTCCTCCCACCCTGCTCTACCTCCCGTTTCTCACACCTTAACACAATCATCACTTCCACAGTGAGTTGCCCGTTGGTCTTCCCCTACCCTATCCCAACTTTTCCTTATGTCTCCTGTTTATTTTAACAGCCCTTATTATAATCTGAAGTTATCTAGTTCTTGTGTTTACTGTCTGTTTTCCTAACTGAACCAGCTCAGGTAAGTACTCCACAAATATTAAATAAAATAGTACACTGGAGAGGAGAACCAGTACGTGTGTTTGGCAGAGTTTGAGATAATAGCCACACCATTCCTGAATGAATAGAATATGATGTCCCCAACAAGAAATTATTGGCATCCAACCTGGTAATTAATATATGTCAGGCAATTGACCTTTAAACAAATCTGCTAGATGAGCACCAACTTACAGAGGTGGAAACGCTCTCGAAGAAGGTGTTGACTGGCCCAGGCTCACATAGCTAGGCAATAGCTAAACCAAGATTCAACCCCCCAAACATGACAACACGTGGTTCACCAAGGTGTCTGTGTTATCAGGGCCAAGTGCGTCTGGCTCCAAATCTCATGTTCTGAAACATTCCACCGGATACAGATTCAGAACTAGGCATTATTTGTGAAGTAGGGTCTTATATATAGCTCTACCTGCAAGTCACACTCAAGACTCATCTCCCTCTAGGTTTGTTTCTGTGAGTAACACATTCACCTTTGCCAAGTCTTCCTTAAATGCTGCACTCAATTTAGTGAGGGTTACTATACACTAGGGTCTGGGCCCATAGTTGGCCTGAGGGAGTACTAACAGGTAATTAGGCCAGAATATAGGGCAACAATTGGCGCAGGATAGAGAATGGATCTTGGGGGCAGTTATCCCCTGCCACATGGAGATTCTATTTTATTGTCAAATATAAGGAATCTCAGTTTTACTTTCCTTAACCGAAGTGTCCATTTCCTCCTATGTACTGATTAGAACAACACGTTAGCACTACTCTGTATATAAACAGTCTCTGGGTACAGGACTCAGTATCCTGCCACCGAAGATGAAGCACAGTGGCTAAAAGCATGAGCTCTGCCACTGCACTCCTGGGTCTGCCATGAGCCCCAGGCTTGTTATTTAATCAGTCCATGCCTCACTTTCATCATCTGCAAAATGGAAGTCAAACATTGAGTTAACAGAAATAAAATGTTTATAACGGCATCGGGGACATAGTATGTTCTCAACAAATGTTAGCTCTTCCTAATATTATTTAAACCCCTACCTTCAATTTTGACTTGAACACATCTGCAGGGTGTTAGAAAAACTTTTCAGACTAGATTCATGCTATCTAATATCATCCTCTGAGCTTGGCCGAGGTAGGGTATTAACAGGATTATCCACATTGGCCAATTCTATGACCAAAAAGATCAGCTTACCTGTTAAGCACATCATCAGTAACAAGACAAAGGTAGACTCCATGTCTGAGAGACTGAATCTGCAGCATCATTGGAGAATTAATGATAACCAGAAATAGATGTGCATATGTAAACAAGCATTCTGTAGAATGGGTGATCATGGAAGGACTCGAGTCCCTTTATAAGGCAGAGCTTACTGATTTATTTCTATGATGAGAAATTTTAAAGGTGAAATATCAAATTCTATTAGTGAGAATCCACTATCTGAAAATCCAAGCAGGCACACAAATATTGCTGCTGTATTTGCTGCCTTGATACTGATGTTTTCCTCACAAATATGCACCATTCATAGTATGAGCACCTGTTTATCTCTCCAGCACTGCAAGTCTCACCCTATTGACCATTAAATCCTAACAATGAGCATGACACCTGCCCCGTATTGGGTGCCCAAAATTTTCAACTCATATCCGGAGCACGTGTGTCCACATGTATGGGTATACAGCATATGGATCAGGTGAAACAGGCAACAATTATAATGAACAAGTACTAGACAATGAAAATCTTGCTTTTATTATTATTATTATTATTATTTGAGACGGAATCTCTCTCGGTTGCCCAGGCTGGAGTGCAGTGGCGCGATCTCGGCTCACTGCAACCTCTGCCTCCCAGGTTCATGCCATTCTCCTGCCTCAGCCCCCCGAGTAGCTGGGACTACAGGTGCCTGCCCCCACACCCAGCTAATTTTTTTTATTTTTTATTTTTAGTAGAGACAGGGTTTCACCGTATTAGCCAGATGGTCTCCATCTCCTGACCTCATGATCCGCCTGCCTCGGCCTCCCAAAGTGCTGGCTGGGATTACAGGCATGAGCCACCGTGCCCGGCTGAAAATCCTATTTTTAAATAGTTATTTTCAAGAGGGGAGATAGACTAGGAAAAAGCAGTGGTCTAAATGATAGATATTTGCTTAGGTTGGCTTAACACACCTTCAAATTCTCCCATTAATGGAAAAATAAACTAACACTGCAGAATCAAATAAACATTCATGTGCATTCATACATTAAAACAGCCTTTATTTTCCCCTGAAATCTGAAAAAGTATTATCTAAACCAAATTAGATAGTGCAAACTCAATTTTCATTCAGCTATTAAACTTTTGATTTCCCTTAATCGTCAGTAATTTAATAGGCAATCAGTCCTAAAACTAACCATTCTTTTGAATGGTTAAATTAAACCTAAAAACTACTCTGTGTTTAACTCAGTCTAAAATGTGTTAGAGTAAAATATGAAGCCTACAAATTTCACAGAAATAATAGCTCCTTTCACGACTTTAATCACACATAATATTCCTTCTGTTTTTGATACTACTAATGGCCCACCTCAAACTTCAAAGAATTTCTCAAATCAGGTGATTAACCTGTGTTGATCATGATACTTCACATATTGTGGACACCCCACCACCTGCTCACATGAAGAACACACACCTGCAGGAGGTGACTGGTCCTCTGAGGGCCCCGCAGCCTGCCGAGGGAGTCAGACCCTGCACCTTGGTCTCATTAGCACGATGGTCTCAACACTTCAGCACTGTGCCAGCCAAACATAAGCCGTGCCCAGAGCAGCTTTACATCCAAAGGGCTGAATTAACACATCAACCCACACAAGCAGATTATAATATTGAGATTTCCCATTTCCTCCTGATATTTTAATAAGAATATTAAATACTCTAGTACAAAAGCACAGCAATGCATTAATCCAAAATGTGACCTGCATACAAAGGTCAACTCCACCTGTGCCTCTCTAAGAGAACAAATTGTTCCTCTAAGTAAATAGGACTTTTTTTAAAATCCTGGGCTATTAGAGATCAGAGCACCTGATAATCATCAAGCTCTGTTACCTTCCAATTTACTGATGATAAGGAAAACAACATTTCCTGAAAACCCGAAGTGTTCTGGGCACTATGCTCATCATGTGTTTGTTCACATGTATTTTGTTTTTTTGCATCATTTATTTAGCCTTCAAATATCCACTCCTTTTTGCCAGTGAGGAAATTGAGGTCCATTTAGATTAAGTCACTATTTATTTTTTTCAGATTTCCTAAACTGTTTCTTTCAGCAATTAACTATAATGTGAAAAGAAAAAAAGTATTCTCTCCTCTTCAATGTAGATTTCATGCAGGGGTTCAAAATAAGCCAGACGCAATAGGAAAATGATCAGGTGGTCTAACATCCAAGCTGGAGGTGGCACATGAGCCAGGGGTGTGAGACTCTCAGTTTCCCCAGAGCTGCTTCCATGTGCCAAGATGCTCCCAATCCTTTTTCTCCCACTCAGTCTCCTCTTCAACAATGATTCATTTTAATTACATAA
Organism: Homo sapiens; assembly: GCF_000001405.40. NCBI lineage: Eukaryota > Metazoa > Chordata > Mammalia > Primates > Hominidae > Homo > Homo sapiens. Next base: position 25,496,193 of record NC_000013.11, on the reverse strand, counting down.
TTACATAAAGTCATCAATTGTAGGAATGGCTTCCTACAATTAAACTTGGTAAAACAGTCAAGCAAAGAAAGCCCACACCCTCACTCCTTCCACAGGACAGCACCTTTCAAAGAAGTCAGACAATACAGCCAGGTTACCCTCGGGTGTTTCACGGGGAACATCTAGTGTTGGAGCATACAGCCTGAATGTGCATGAGCCCTGGTGATGAGAGTTCTGGTGGATAAACTGCTCAGTTAGTGCTGCCTGTATAAAGATGAGCAAGAATCCTGTTCTCTTTGTTCAAAGGGTTTTAATCCAGAAAGATGAAATATATTCGAACCAAGCAGCTTGAGGTGTACAGCTCAGATCAAGGTATACACAGTATGAAACTGTCAGAACACAGCCATGGGAAGTATAAAAGTGACTTTAAGCTATAAAAACAGACAGGGGTCTAGAGCAGTGGCTCATGTCTGTAATCCCAGCACTTTCAGAGGCCAAGGCAAGAGGATCTCCTGAAGTCAGGAGTTCGAGACCAGACTGAGCAACATAGTGAGACCCCATCTCTTAAAAAAAAAAAAAAAAAAAAAAAAGCAAGGCATGCATGGTGCATGCCTGTGGTCCCAGCTTCTTGGGAGGCTGAAGCAGGAGGAGGGCTTGAAGCCAGGAGTTGGAGCCTGCAATGAGCTACGATCATGCCACTGCACTCCAGCCTGGGTAACAGAGCAAGACTCTGTCTCTTAAAAAGCAAAAATACAACCAAAAAACCAAATAGGTAGGAAGAGAGAGCAGAGAAAAGGTAAGGAAGGGTCCTTCCACCTCCATCTGTGCTTTCCAGCTCTCGCCCACACAAGACTCACAACCCCACAACACCTCACCCAGTCCTCATCAACCCTTCCAGATCCAATCCTGCTGCTTCTTGGACTCATTCAAACCCCTTCTCAGCCTCTTACACAGGCCATTTCCAAGGCAATGGCACACTCTGGCCTTTCCTGAACAAAGACAGGTGGTAAAGTGGGTTGGAAGAAGCCCAGCCCCACCCTGGAAGGGCAGCAGCAGGAGGTTATAACTGGAACGTTGTCGACTTCCTGTTCTTGTTGTGTTTGCCCAAATGTCCTCAACGTGCTCAGGAACAACAACCAAGGTGGGCTTACATAGGTGTTTGGTTTGGGAGGTAGCTGGCCACAGGGAAATCTGCGGAGACACCTAATTCAGACAGTTTAAGAAGCAGAATCTTAAACAGATTTGAGAGGCAAGAGATGTGAAAAGAAAGCAAGCTGTCACCCAAGGGCTGCTAGCCAGCAGAGGGCCTCTAGGGAACTAGAAGGACATTGCAAAGCTCCGGGCTGGACCCCTAGGTCTGTGTGATTTTGCTGACATCACTGTGAAAAAAGAAATCATTACAAAGTCGAATTCGCTCACAGCTAGAAGGATTCGGACAGAAGGTGTCCAAAACAGTAAAAGGGAAGATGCTGTTAACTGTGTTTGAAAACAATTATAAAAATGTCAGAAGCTTCAAATCAGTTTTTATCCTTATGTTTTCAGTTTTTTAAACACAGATGAAGGCCCTGTGAATATCAGAACAACAGCAACGCGCTTCTAAAATATAGATGCAGATACCACAGAGCCTGCCCCTCATAAAAACAAACAAGCAGGCAAACAAACAGAAAAGCGGGCTGTGTCCCCACAGTCTCCTCTCTTTTCATATAATCCTTCCTACCTTCATCCCTGCCAAACAGGCTTTCATACCCTTTGCAGCATGGCTTTGTTCCCAGGAAACCTAATAAGATATTTATGATTGTTTCAATATTGGCAGCAGGAGTCTCTGCAGTGGCAGAAAGGTCAAAGCGATCCCTCCAACTACCCCCACCGCCCACCTTGGAGATTACATCTACTATACACACAATTAAATGCAGCAGACCCAGACTGATCTTTTCCTTGTAATTTTTTTAATCACCAAAGGATTAAGAAACGGAAGTACATTATTCAACACAGCAATTCTAAGTGGGTCCCTTAACAGACATTGACCCACATGTGTTTTCTGATGTCACCTAGGTTCTTGGTGCCACAGACCTTGGACAGCTCCCTGCCCCATGCACCATCCTGGCTGTTCCAACCGTTCTCTCTCCTCAAACTCTCCGCCCTACCCCAGCCCCTTCACTTTGAGCACTCTGCCTCCTCCCCATTTCATGGAGTAAACTGAAGCTTTAGAGTGGACGTGATTCACCTTGACACCCACACACACAAACCGACTCCCAAAGCTCTTTCCACCCTATTGATAAAGAAGTCTCTCTTCTTCTTGCCCAAATCAATAAACATTGCACCTGAGCTCACCTACTGGCAGCCCTCCTTTCCTGGTTAGCCCCTACACCTCCCAGGGCTCCTGTGCCACCTCCCCTCCACACTCCTTTTCCTGACCCTGAAACAGAGATCATCCCTGAGGTTTTCTGCCTTTGGTCTTTATTCAATGCACTGAACCATCTTTTCCATGTATGGCTGAAATTAGCACCAGTGTACTCATCAAATGGTTATCAAATTCACCCCCAGCTTGGATGTCTACCACAAGCTCTGTCTAGACCAGCATATTTAACTTCTCTGGATACACCTACCTGAATGTCCACAGACTCTGCAAGATCAACGTGATGACAACTGATGTCTTCACTTCCGGTTCCCGCATATGTTTAGTAATCCCACAGTGAGCTTTCTCAACTAAGCCAAAGAGTTGAGAAAACACCAAGGAAGCAAAAATAAAAAGCATAAAACAAAAAATGCCCTACCAAAAAGTTACACCAACAAATGGTTTAAGCGCCCCCATCAAATGAAAAAGGATCTCTGTGGGGATTTTCTTATGTAACTTCAAAAAATTAAAAACAAAGTTATGAGTAGTCATATAACACAAACATGAGCAAAAAGAAAGGAAAGGCTAAAATAGTAACATCACCACCAAGTTTAAGACAGAAATAATTAATGAGCATAAGGCCAGAGTAAAAATTACAGCCACATTACCACCAGTGTGGTACACTTTATTTTACATAAAATTAAATTTTACTCAAAATGTAAATTATGTTTTACATGAAAACATGTAAAACAAAATTCACAAGCAAATGGACCAAGAAAGCTGTAACAGGAGATTGATGCTATTATCAAACTGACTAATTGGACAGGCTAAAAATACAGATTCAAAAAATGTAATTAAAATGTCTAAACAAATGAATTTTGGAGCCTATGGAGAATACATCTTCCTTCCAAGCACAAAGGGAAACCTGGAATAAGTCCCTCGCTCCTCGTGCAGGCACTAAAGCAACAGGGAACGGACCCCACATCCTTGGACCACCTCCATGTCTTGCCAGTTTCTTCTTTTGCCAAAGGAAACTGGGCCCCACCTGCCTCAGACACTCCAAACAGCAGGGGCTGCGGTCACTGTAATAACAAGCCAACAGGTAATGGAAACACTTTCCCCACCACGATCAGAGCACAGCTTAGGGTCCATTCAACCACAGGATTTCAGAATTGAGGGAAACGTTGAAAACTCTCATTAAAGCCCTTCCCTTCACACAGTAGGAAACTGAGGGCTTATAAGACGCAGTGCTACATCTACAGAAACACAACTACACGGGGTGGGAGGAGCTGCACTCAAAGGTTAGAAACAGTAGGAGGGTCCAGACTGGGTCAAGGCTGGGCATCTTGTGATGATGGCTGAGGGTGCTGATGTCCCCAGTGTGTTTCACACCAAGAGAATTTTTTTTGTAAGCAGCCCCCTTCTCTATGTGGCAAAATTTCTTTCAGTGATAACTATAAAGAACATAAAATTGACCAAAAAAGAAACAAACAGCAAAAATAGTCTTTATTAAACTTGCATCTAGGCCAGGCATGGTGACTCATGCCTGTAATCCCAGCACTCTGGGAGGCTGAGGTGGGTGGATCACCTGAAGTCAGGAGTTCAAGAACAGCCTGGCCAACATGGTGAAACCCCATCTCTACAAAAATACAAAAATTAGCTGGGCATGGTGGCAGGTGCCGGTAAACCCAGTTACTTGGGAGGCTGAGGCAGGAGAATTGCTTGAACCCAGGAGGCAAAGGTTGCAGTGAGCCGAAATCACAACATGGCACTCCAGCCTGGACAACAGAGTGAGACTCCGTCTCAAAAACAAAAAAAATAAAACTGCATCTAATCATGCCAGTAAATAAAATAATAAAAATTTTTATCGTCCAAAAAAAAGAGAATAAAGCACAAGTATTTATTCAATGGTTTTTATATCTATGTAACAACTTGAATTTTGATCCTTTGGTTACAGACTGATACAATATTTATGTCATTAATTGGCAAGTAACTAATAAGTGAAATTTAACAAAACCAATGCTCTATCAAAGGTATAAACACCTACTAAATCACACCACTAATGTCATATTTTCTTTTCTTGACTTGGTCTTCAATTTTAAAACAATGAATAATTATTAATGAATTTCAATTGTAAGAATCTAGGAAAAATTTACCAAACTAAAATGTGAGCTTACCAAACAAAATATCATACCCTGCAGTTCATACTCTGTTTTGCTATCTTAAATGTTAGATGTAAAAAACCCCACGTGGTCACATAAAATGACAGAATCGAAGTAACTCAAGTTCTACTTTCTTAGTGTTTATAAACGCTGTACTGTCACTATTTCATAGCTACTATGTAAACTCAGGCGTCGGGCATGGTGACTCACACTTGCAATCCCGGCACTTTGAGAGTCTCTGCTGGAAGGATCACTTGAGGCCAGGAGTTCAAGACCAGGCTGGGCAACATAGCAAGACCCCATCTCTACAAAATAATCATAAATAAGTACATAAACTAACTAACTCCAGAATATGTAGCACCATGGGGCTCCTGGAGAGCACTGTGTCCAAAGGGAACTCCAGACCTGTCCTAACTCTTAGGACCTTGCTCTCAAAATGCACATGTACTGTTCAGTTGGTTGTGGGCACTGGAGACAGAGGGTTAACTGGGAATGCTCCTAATGAATTTCCACGTAGAATATAATCGTCACTTAAAAGAAATAAATCAAGTCCAACAGCACTTCAAAAAAAAAGAAAAAGTAAATAAAATAAATATGTGCTACATTGAAGAATATATGTGTGTATATTTTATATATATACACACTATATCTGCTATATACATATGTGAAATCTTTAAAAGTAGCCAGGCTTGTGACTGTAATCCCAGCAACTTGGGAGGCTGAGGTGGGAGGATCACTTAGGGGCAGGAGTTTGAGACCAGCCTGGGCAACACAGCAACACATCAAGACCCTCTAAATTTTTTCTTTAATTAGTCACGCATGGTGACGTGTGCCTATATTCCCAGCTACTTACGAGGTTGAGGTGGGAGAATTTGAGGCTGTAATGAAGTATGACTGTACCACTGCACTCCAGCCTGGCCCACAGAGTAAGACCTCCTCTCCAAAAAAAACAAAAAACAAAAAACAAACAAACAAACAAACAAAAAAAAAACAAAAAAACTAATTAGTAGTCACGGCAATTATTTAGAATTTAGTCCAAAAGAAGGCTTTTGCAGGGAGGAGAATGTTACTGCTGGTACACGGAGATGATTAAAAGCAGATGGACTTTTAGTGGGTTTTATTGTGTGGACCTTCTTATTGCCTGCACCTCAGGCAGACCACTCCCTAATGCATCCCACACAGCCTGTGATGCTCACCGACTGTAGGAACTCAGGCAAGTTATGTAACTCTTTCTGGTGTGTTTCCTCATCTGTGCCATGGAGATGCCAGCTGGGACTGGCTCTGCCTCACATCTGAGGCTCCTGGAGGACAGCAGCTTCAGGCATGGGAGCCCCGGCTCCTGGCCCGTCCGTGCTGTGCTCCGCGAGGAGAGCTTCTAAGGAAAGTGCTGTGGGAATTAAAGCTATACGGGGCTAGCCCTGTGAAGAGTGAAGCACCCACCTTACGGCTCAGGAAAAACAGGCCAGGAGGCTGCTCGGAGTTTCTCTCCCGTAACTCTTCTTTAAGAGGCTAAGGGCATGAGCCAGAGAGCAGGAGGAAAAAGGGGCCACGAACTTAGCCATGGAAATGGATCATTCAACATGTGTGTTCTCTACTACACTTCCCTTACTCAAATATACCCGAAAAGCTAAGGAGTAACCTTGCAGGCAGAGCCCTCGATATTCCACCACTGCGCTGCAACACCAAGCACCAAGACAGTATACACCGACTACCATAAAAAAATTTGTTGAACACACAAGTTTTAAACCTTGACCAACATAAATGACTAAGGATGCCAGCTGTCACATTAAATCCCAAATGTACCTCCATTTGAGGGTAGATATCCATCTGCCAAGTCTGAAGAAATTGGCATTAAAAGCATTTACCTCGGCAGCCCCCTTTTAGGAGTAGTTTATATATGAAAGTACAACATCAACACTACACAATACATCAATTTCCGAGGCATAAGTAACTGCACATCACCATGGGGGTTCTACTTTGTTCAATAAGCAATTAAGTGTGAAGGGATATCTGAGAACAACACATTAAGCCAATTCTCATTTTCTGTTCAATTCTGACCTTCGCTTGCAGAGCGCAGTCCTTCAGCAAAGGTTTTCCACTTCCCATTGGCAGGAACTGTGCGTCGTGCTGGGGAGGATGCGAGGGGAAACAGACAGACTTTGTCATCAAGGATGACACAGCAGAGCAGGAGAGTCAGAGATGGATAAAAATAGATGTGGTGCAGCATGCTAAGTTCCAGAGCAAAAGAGTCTGAGAAACGCTGCGGCACAGAGGGGCTGCCTCCGCCTGCAAACGGTGGAGATGCAGGACGAGGAAGAAAATGCTTGCTTACAGAGATGCAACCTGAGCCTGAAAAACAGGGCCCTCCAGGAGGACGAACTTGAGTAGATTAGGAGACAGTGTTCCAGGGAAAGTGCCGTGATTAAAGGCTGCAGCCAGACACAGGAAGAGGAGCCTGGGGAGATGGTGCGGTAAGCCGGGAATAGAACGAGAGTGGCCTTGTGTATCTTACTGGAGACAAAAGAGAAGCAGCGATGGTCCCTCAACAGGGAGAATCACAGTGCCTTGGCTGTTTTAGAACGATAACCACCAGCAATCGGGAAGGTGAAAGGGAAACTCTGTCACAGGTGGAGACACGAGAGACTGAACCAGCGCCAGTGCCATGAAAACAATCCACTCAACAAAAAAGCAGATCTGGTTTAAAATCTATACCCACCCCATCAAGCGTCCTCCTGGGCACTATGACTCTGTACCCTGGTCCTGGTGTATCCCAACCTAGCCAGGGTTGTCAGGGAAAGATGCAAATGGTAAAGTCAACCAGACAGCAAAAATGGGGGGTGGGGGGTGGGGGAGTCATCTGAATTTCCTTTAATCATTTATACCTATTTTTTAAAAAGTGGTGCTTACTGTGGTACACAGCAAGACATGAGATAAAGCATAGAAAAAGGACAAAAACACCACCAAAAATGACCGTGTGATAGAGTACTAAGACTGCTTTTGGTTTTTTTCTTCTTGAGACAGGTATGGCTCTGATGCCCAGGCTGGAGTGCAGTGGCATGATTTTGGCTCACTGCAACCTCCACCTCCCAAGTAGTTGGGACTACAGGCGCATGCCACCACACCTGGCTAATTTTTGTATTTTTCATAAAGAAAGGGTTTTGCCATGTTGCCCTGGTCTCAAACTCCTGAGCTCAAGCAATCCTCCCACCTCAGCCTCCCAAAGTGCTGGGATTACAGGCATGAGCCACCATGCCCAGGCAAGACTCCTTGTAATGGTAAAGTTGTAATTACTATATCAACGAGCAATAAGACTATTACATGAGGGACCTGGAGAAGTCAAATACACAGGGACAGAAAGTAGAACGGTGACTGCCAGGGGCACGGGGAGGAAGAACAGGGAGTTGTTTAACAGGGACAGAGTATCAGTTTTGCAAGATGAAAAGCTTTCTGGAGATTGGCTGCACACCAGTGTGACTATCCTTAACACTACTGAATCGTATACTTAAATATAATAAAGAAGATAAATTTCATGTTATGTGTATTTTACCACAATAAAGAGAAAAAAGAAAGAAAAAAGAGCAACAAGCCTACCCAACCTGTCAAACAGGAAGGGATATACGATATCCACGGCCACTGTACTGTGTCCTAGGCATTTTTGCATCTGAAATCTCATTTAGCTTCCCGACATGCTTTCTAGGGAAGTGTGTTTCCATCAAACAAACAAGGAAAGTCAGACTCAGCGAAATCATGGACTTGACCTAAGGTCATTCACTTGGTCCCTGGTAGAGCCAAGACTCATGTACTTGTTATGTTTTGTTCCTTATACTATAGCTAATTACCCTCCCACTCAGGCTATTACAAAAAAAAAAAGAAAGAAAGAGAGAAAGATTACACTGCATGTTTTTTCCATTACATGTTTAATAATTTAAAGTTCTCCATGATAACCTCAGGCAAACTAGAATTAATCTTCAAAATCAGGTTAGTGCAAAAAGAAAACATTTCTAGTTTGTTCCTGAAACACATTCATCCTATTCGATATGCACCTTACCTTTTAATCTCTACTAATACAAGACAATACCTGGTTTTTTTTGTAAAACCCAAGTGGTACATTCCAAAATTGATGGGAGAGTTGTTGTCAAACACACTATCTAAAATGCAACTACAGCAACAGCAAAATATATAAAGCACTCAGTGAGGTGCTGTTTAAAGTGCCTCATGCATATTAACTCATTTAATCTTCAAAAAATTCCTATGAACTATACATTGTTGCATGAGGGTGACAACAAATGAGGACCGCCTTCAGCAAAATCACCAGGAGTGCTGGCTACAAACAGAAATCAGAGCCTGCCCCAGACGAAATGAACCTAGATTTTTCTTATGCAATGGAAGGCTAAAAATAAAATACCTGATCTATATATCATCGATTCGCCAACCAAGTTACCTTTATATGCACAAAACAGGAAATGAGAGGTACATGACAGCCTGTGGAATACAAAAATGCCACGAACGAGAACTGGAAAGCAAAAGTAAATACTAGCACTGACATCATTCTGCAAAGACTCCGCAAAATTGTATTTGAGAATTTTATGGAGAACATAAACCTTGGCAAAAAGGTTTTACAAACAATTCACCTTTTTAGTTAGAGACTGTCTTTCAAGTCTTACTAAGCAGATAATACATCTTAGCTCATCACTTCTGCATAACTCAACCACAGCTCTATTTGTTATATTATTACTATTAATATTTTTAATTGAGACAGGGTTTTCCTCCGTCACCCAGGCTGGAGTGCAGTGGTGCAATCTCAGCTCACTTTAACCTCCACCCCCCAGGCTCAAGCGATCCTCCACCTCAGCTTCCCAAGTAGCTGGGACCACAGGCGTGCATCACCATGCTCAGCTAATTTTTTGTACTTTTGATAGAGATGGGGTTTCACCATGTTGCCCCACGCTGGTCTCAAACTCCTGAGCTCAGGCGAAGCACCTGCCTCAGCCTCCCAAAGTGCTGGGATTACAGGTGTGAGCTACCATGCCCAGCCTCTATTTGTTGTAACAATTGTTCCACGGGTATATGTGGAGCCATGTTGATGCTGTCCTAATTTTAAAATATTCAATGTATTTCAAACAGTAAGCAGCACATAAGTTTCTTTTAAAGGGCTACATATTCAGACTCTCTTCATTTTTTTCTAATGGTTGTATCTCAAAATATCAAAATTCATCATGTCCCTTAACACAATAGTTCAAAAAAATGGCACATAATAAATTTATCTTCAGGATATATAAGAAAACATACTTGGCTGTGAAGAATGCTAAATCAATATCTTTAAACTATTTATATAAAAAGTACTATGGTTTAAAATCCAAGTCAGTTAACTTTCTTATAATCTACTCTTCTAAAATATTTATAAATATCACAGGTTGATTTCTATAAAAAACGTATTTAACTCTATGGCAAACACCAGCACTGAATTGAAAATAGCTTCTTGTCTACTTAAGTGCATGACACATGATAAAAAAAATATTTGGAATACTGCATTGCACATTGCACCCATCAACCATCCATACAAAATACTAGCAAAGGGACCATAAAACTAGACACAGAAGGACCTCAGAAAGTGAACTAGACACAGGAAAAGACTGTCAGCAAGTAACAGATAGTCTCCAGCTTTCTCAGCATTTCCTCAGAGTTCGTACATACTAATATGGAGTACTGGAGTTTGGGGGTACAATTTTAGGGGCAAAAAATTGAAAGCTTTTCCAACCCTCATTTAAATTTTTGTTGAGTATAGGAGCAATGTTGTCAATTGGTGAAATAAGAAAACTCACTCTTTCCCAACAATGTGATAGAACACCCAACAACATATGAAGAGGTCACATATGCTCCCTGGGGCAGTCCTGAAGAGTCATCTCTATAAATGGGTCTGTGACTATCAAACTAAACATTAAGAGAACTACTAAATTCCTGACAGTCCAATACTAACTCAAATATAATGTGAGAATTAACGTTTTGTTATAGTAATTAAACATGTTTGCAGTTGTTATGGGTCGACTGCCACTTATGCGTCGGCCACAGTCTAGAACCATCATCTGGGACTCACAGGAAGCCTCGATGCAGAGGAAGAACTTTCAACACCAGCTCACTGTGGACTAGAATGGTTTTCCAGGTGAAATGGTGTGTCCCCCAGGAAGACAGATGTTCATGTGTAGGCCCAGTGAATTATAAGCGTTAAAAGATATGGCATGTGCCTATGTGTGTACACATTTAGATAAAGCAGTGGAAGGAGGTTGGTAAAAGTATGAAAAGAAATCTTCCCTTATGTTGTTTTCTGTCTTGGAGTTTTTTGACTTTCCAATGTCCACATTGTTTGGCTTACAAATATGACTGACCCATGTACAGAGAATAATGGTGGTACCTCCCCAACATACACACACACACGCACTATCCTGTACTTAAAATTACTTCCTCTGCTATGTCTAATCTTATACAGTGAACAAAACTTTGTTGAAATAGGTGTAGTGTTGAAACTGCATGACAGCTGACAGTCAAAACAGTGATACTGAGAGAAGTTCATGTTTCTGCCTTACCACGGCATCGTCATTATGTGAAATTATTCAGTTTACTCTGGTACATCACTGTTAGAATGGTCAATGAATTCTAATTTGTAAAGGTAACATTAAAAAATGACTATGAGGCAGTTTTAACAAAGCTGAGTACTAGAGAAATAATTGTGATACTATTCAGCAAATGGCCTTACTGTTTTAAAATAAAGAGCTCTATTTTTAAACTGTCAGAGCTTGGTAACGTGTTTCATATGCTAGACAGCAATACTTTCAAAACTTCCACCTTTCACTGGAATAAAAACAAAAGTGTCATATTTTTTATTCAATAATTTAAAGAATATTCCTGCCGGTTGCGGTCGCTCACGCCTGTAATCCCAACAATTTGGGAGGCTGAGGCAGGCGGATCACTTGAGGTCAGGAGTTCGAGGCTAGCCTGGCCAACATAGTGAAATTCCATCTCTACTAAAAATACAAAAAAATTAGCCGGGCCTGCTGGTGAACGCCTGTAGTCCCAGCTGCACAGGAAGCTGAGGCAGGAGAATCACCTGAATCCGGGAGTGGGATGTTGCAGTAAGCCAAGATCACGCCACTGCACTCCAGCCTGGGCAACAGCGAGACTCTGTCTCAAAAAAAGAAAAAATTTAAAATAAATAAATAAATAAATAATATTCCTTTATATCATTGAATCTACAGTTAAGTATTCAGTTTCCATATTATGCACAGTGCCAAGTTCCTCAGAGATATTCAAAGCAGAGCCCCACAGAGCCAAAAAGTTGATGGTCCCAAACAAGATGGAAGGGAAAAAAGGAGGGAGGGTAGAAAGATACAGATGCAGACTTTATAGTCACAATTCAATACAACTCTAGTCATACATGTGGACCAAGTTTAAGGTTTTAACCATTCTATCATAAAGAATTTTGGTGTTTGTTTGCAGGAGGAGGTGTCAGTGAATTTAATGTGAATTTATATGCAACTGTGTTCTTTCACGACACCAAAAGGAGAAGCCAGTTTCTTGATTTAACACCAATCCACACATGCACTCTCAAACACATTTTAGACTCATCTTATGCTCGCAGTCCAGCCTGCTTGTTCCTAGCAGTTACAGGCTAGAAAACATATATGTACAAAAGACCCTAATGCCCAAAACCTACCTTGTGATTCTTCAGCCTGCATATTTCTTCCCTTGGCAATGTGTAACTCTTGGGCAGAGTAATACGCAAGTCCACTTCCCTTTTCCCCGAGTTACAGCTTATAATTGATTGTTTTGGTTATCAAAGAATTAGAGAGCAAAATGAGTGGCAAAGAAGAACAACATTCGTAATAACCAGATAACTGGTGTCAATGAGCAACTCTGTGTGAGTCTGTGAGCTCTTACACAGTGCAGCCTTAAACAGGTACATTCTCATCTAATTATTTTTTTCTTGTAGACATAGGATCTCACTATGTTGCCCAGGCTGGTGTCAAACTCCTAGCCTCAAACAATCTTCCTGCCTTGGCCTCCCAAAGTGCTGGGATTACAGGCATGAGCCACTGTGCCCAGATGTTCTCATTTAATTCTCATCATGCTGTAAGCTATGACATTATTCTACTTCCAGTTTATTAATTGGAGTATCTTGAAACCAAACAGATCTAGAGGTAGGGAAAGATCTGTCAAAAGTTTGGTGTCTCTCCAAGAGCGCCAGTGCTGCCCCTACCTTGCTGGAGGAAGGAGCTCCTTCATGACGCAACCAACAGAGATCACCCCCTACATGTGTATCTCTGCTCCCCTGGGGTGGTCTCATACTGGGGTGAAAGGGGCTTTCTGCTATTCTGAGGTCAATCACCTTGCCCCATTCCACAGTTCAAAATAGTTCAAAACAAAACTCAGAAACACAAGAAACAGCATCAACACCTTCTCCGTCACTAACACTGGAACCTGGAAATCACACTTGCCTAGTGCTCTGTCCACTTACAGCCCCACTGCTAACCATCCCAAGTGCTTCTCTTCTCCTGCAGCAGTATAGCCCTGCACCTCTTCCTGGGCAATGACAGCAGCCTCATATGCTTATTCTAAATGCAGAGCAGGTGGCTGTGCACATCAAACCCAAGTACTATCTATCACTTTGTCACCTGGCTCATAAAAGCTTTTCTTGGCTATAGCAGCCCGTCTCCAGTAGCCTGGCCTTTCACAGCACTTTGTCCATCATCCCTTCTGTATTAGTCCGTTTTCACGCTGCTGATGAAGACATGCCCCAGACTGGGCAATTTACAAAAGAAAGAGGTTTAATTGGAATTACAGTTCCACATGGCTGGGGAAGCCTCACAATCATGGTGGAAGGCAAGGAGGAGCAAGTCCCGTCTTACATGGACGGCAGCAGGCAAAGAGAGAATGAGGAAGATGCAAAAGTGGAAACCCCTGATAAAACCATCAGCTCTCATAAGATTTATTCACTACCACGAGAATAGTATGGGGGAAACCGCCCCCATGATTCAATCATTTCCCACCAGGTCCCTCCCACAACATATGGGAATTATGGGAGCTACAATTCAAGATGAGATTTGGGTAGGGACCCAGAGCCAAACCACATCACCTTCTTCTTCCACATCTTTTCTGGAAAGACATACACCTGGCCGTTACACTCTTCTGCACCTCTGCACATGGGGTTCCCCATGTCTGGCCTGCCCTCCCCACCAAGCCCCACCCAAGTTTCCAGGCTGACTCGTACTCATCTTTCAGGCCCAGCTCATTGGTCTCTACTAGCAGTTTTGCCCCGTCCTTCTACTTTCCCACCCCTGCAGTGCTGCCACTAACCACGCACCCCCAATTCTTGACAGAGAGGGACTGCAATGCTTACCTCACATATACCAAATGTAGGATTATGAATGGTACTTAAGGAACAAGACTTATGATCAGTCTCAGAGTTCCTGGGGCCTAAAGTAAAAGTCAGACTGGGTCTGACCAGATGGTTTTCCTCTAAGGCGGGCCCTAATCAACTGAATCTAAAGCAGGTGGCTTCCAAGTGGGGTTTGGGAAGATGCTATCAGAGCTTATATTTATATATACCTCCAAAAAATAAGCTTCAGGAACATTTATTAAATGCACTGACACTGGTGTCCCAACGTAATTCTATGTAATGTGGCTGGAGAGGAACCTCTTTAATGGGAAGGGTGGGTGGTGCTATGGACTGAACTGTGTCCTTCCTAAAATTCATATGTTGAAGCCCTAACCCCCAATGTGATGGGATGCTACTGTTGGGCCCTTTTGGAGATAATTAGGATTAGATGAGGTCATGAGGGTGGGACCCTCAAGATGGGATTAGTGCCCTTATTAGAGACAGAGAGCTCTCACTCTGTCTCTCCTTCACTCTCGCTCTTGCTCTTGCTCACTCTCTCTGTTCTGGGAGGACATGGCAAGAAAGCAGCTATCTGCAAGCCAGGAGAGAGCCCGCACCAGAACCAGATCATGCTGGCACCCTGATCTTGGACTTCCAGCCTCTAGAACTATGAGAAGACGAACACCTGCTTACGCCCCCGCAGTCTATGTATTTTGCTATGGCAGCCTGAGCTAATACAGGGATAACAGTGGTACCCTCCCTGTCTGTCTCTCTCCTTACTACTACACATTTCAATTTCCAGGTCCCAGCTAGGTGGAGTCATCCATCACTTTATCCAATTTAAACTAAATTAACCCTCCCAAAAGAACAAATGGTTTAAGAATCATACAGGCATCCACATTCCTGGCTCAGGATGGAGGAGGAATGAAGGATGCATGGGCGTTGAGTCTCAGGAGGGCTCCTAGAACTGCCATGTGACTCTTCTGAGAGACCACTGGCCTGAAGTTGGCCACACAGTCGCTAGTTACAAGAGAAACTGGGAAATGCAGTCTGCATGTCCCATCAGAAAATGTGGGCAAAAACAATATTGGGAAGTAACTATGAAGACCAGTACTCCTGTCCCTGTCCCTGTCCCTGTCCCTGTTCCTCTCCCTGTCCCTCTCCCTCTCCCTCTCCCCACGGTCTCCCTCTCCCTCTCTTTCCACGGTCTCCCTCTGATGCCGAGCCGAAGCTGGACTGTACTGCTGCCATCTCGGCTCACTGAAACCTCCCTGCCTGATTCTCCTGCCTCAGCCTGCCTAGTGCCTGTGATTGCAGGCGCGCGCTGCCACGCCTGACTGGTTTTCATATTTTTTTGGTGGAGACGGGGTTTCGCTGTGTTGCCCGGGCTGGTCTCCAGCTCCTAACCGCGAGTGATCCACCAGCCTCGGCCTCCGGAGGTGCCAGGATTGCAGACGGTGTCTGGTTCACTCAGTGCTCAATGGTGCCCAGGCTGGAGTGCAGTGGCGTGATCTCGGCTCGCTACAACCTCCACCTCCCAGCCACCTGCCTTGGCCTCCCAAAGTGCCCAGAGTGCAGCCTCTGCCCGGCCGCCACCCCGTCTAGGAAGTGAGGAGC
Organism: Homo sapiens; assembly: GCF_000001405.40. Classification (NCBI taxonomy): domain Eukaryota; kingdom Metazoa; phylum Chordata; class Mammalia; order Primates; family Hominidae; genus Homo; species Homo sapiens. Next base: position 25,480,730 of record NC_000013.11, on the reverse strand, counting down.
GTCTCTGCCTGGCCACCCATCGTCTGGGATGTGAGGAGCCCCTCTGCCTGGCTGCCCAGTCTGGAAAGTGAGGAGCATCTCTGCCCGGCCGCCATCCCATCTAGGAAGTGAGGAGCGCCTCTTCCCGGCCGCCATCCCATCTAGGAAGGGAGGAGCGTCTCTGCCCGGCCGCCCATCTTCTGAGATGTGGGGAGCGCCTTTGCCCCGCCGCCCCGTCTGGGATGTGAGGAGCGCCTCTGCCCGGCCGCGACCCCGTCTGGGAGGTGAGGAGCGTCTCTGCCCAGCCGCCCCATCTGAGAAGGGAGGAGACTCTCCGCCTGGCAACCGCCCCGTCTGAGAAGTGAGGAGCCCCTCCGCCCGGCAGCCACCCAGTCTGGGAAGTGAGGAGCGTCTCCGCCCGGCAGCCGCCCCGTCCGGGAGGGAGGTGGGGGTCAGCCCCCCGCCCGGCCAGCCGCCCCGTCCGGGAGGTAAGGGGCGCCTCTGCCCAGCCGCCCCTACTGGGAAGTGAGGAGCCCCTCTGCCCGGCCAGCCACTCCGTCCGGGAGGGAGGTGGGGGGGTCAGCCCCCCACCCGGCCAGCTGCCCCATCCGGGAGGGAGGTGGGGGGTCAGCCCCCCGCCCGGCCAGCCGCCCCGTCCGGGAGGTGAGGGGCGCCTCTGCCCAGCCGCCCCTACTGGGAAGTGAGGAGCCCCTCTGCCTGGCCACCACCCCGTCCGGGAGGTGTGCCCAACAGCTCATTGAGAACGGGCCATGATGACAATGGTGGTTTTGTGGAATAGAAAGCGGGGAAAGGTGGGGAAAAGATTGAGAAATCGGATGGTTGCCGTGTCTGTGTGGAAAGAAGTAGACATGGGAGACTTTTCATTTTGTTCTGTACTAAGAAAAATTCTTCTGCCTTGGGATCCTGTTGATCTGTGACCTTACCCCCCAACCCTGTGCTCTCTGAAACATGTGCTGTGTCCACTCAGGGTTAAATGGATTAAGGGCAGTGCAAGATGTGCTTTGTTAAACAGATGCTTGAAGGCAGCATGCTCCTTAAGAGTCATCACCACTCCCTAATCTCAAGTACCCAGGGACACAAACACTGCGGAAGGCCTCAGGGTCCTCTGCCTAGGAAAACCAGAGACCTTTGTTCACTTGTTTATCTGCTGACCTTCCCTCCACTATTGTCCTATGACCCTGCCAAATCCCCCTCCGTGAGAAACACCCAAGAATGATCAATAAAAATAAAAATAAAAATAAAAGAATCATACAACAAAACCACAAATTGGAAATTATACTTATTAATAATGCAATTACAAGAAAATAAAAAGCAGCAGAATTGACACTTACATTCCTAGTAAAAGCTCTTTAAAACCATTTTACTAGGTTAAACATTAGGGTAATTTAATCAAATCTGACAAATCGGCCAAAAGCATTCAAAATAATAGAGAAGACTGTGAACAATATGTACTTACATCCATAATCCTTAACGGAGAATCTTGGTAAATATGTACTGGGTCTTCAGATAATAACTAACAATGATAGCACATGTATACCAATGTTTTAAATATACATATCAAAGGTTCATGCTAAAGAATTTTATGGGCTGGGTGTGGTGGCTCATGCCTGTAATCCCAGTACTTTGGGAGGCCGAGGAGGGCAGATCATGGGGTCAGGAGATCGATACCATCCTGGCCAAAATGGTGAAACCCCGTCTCTACTAAAATACAAAAAATTAGCCAGGCATGGTGGCACGTGCCTGTAGTCCCAGCTACTTGGGAGGCTGAGGCAGGGGAATCACTTGAACCCAGGAGGCGGAGGTTGCAGTGAGCCAAGATCACGCCACTGCCCTCCAGCCTGGTGACACAGCAAGACTCCAAAAAGAAAAAAAAAAGTGTTACAAATGGGACATCCAATGAAAAAGTTTTGGAGACCACTGATATAGACAGAGAACTTACATGAGAGTTAGGTCCACTCTCAAGCTGAAGTCTTTTCTAAGCTGAAACCTGCCAACACTCTCCAAAAGCCTTTCGTATGGTATATGTTATACGTAGACTGAAGATACATAGAATAATCCATCAGAGTGACTAACATCATCCCAAACTCAACCCCAAATCATTTTTAATGACATCTAATATAAAATAGTAAAGGCTAAAAACCTATGATTTCAGTTTTGAAGAGCTGGCTTTCATTTAAGAGAAAAGAATGGGTCAGCATTTGAATGACCAAACCCAACCTCATGGATTTCAGGAAATTTCTTTGTTAAACATCCCTACATCCCCACAATGGTCAGACCTCTCCTTTTGTTCTGTCTAAGCATTGTCCCTCTTGAAAGGGTTGCTGATTAGCATTTCTGAGTAAGCTTTTGCTGTCTGTTGAGTGACTCAGCTATAAGTAGTAGAACAAACACTTAGATGCAACTTTCTGGATAACGACACAGAAGCTCACATGACTAAACTGAGCAAAAACAGAGCAGTCTACTTTGTTACCTACTTTTTCAACTTAAGCAACTAGATCAGACATTATGCAAACAAACCCTTGGTGCTGTTTGTGAGCATAGGGAATGTTCTTTGATGCCCCGAGAGTAAGGGTTTTCCCATCTACTCATCACAACAAACATATGAAGATACTGATCCTTTTTTCTTCTGACCATCCTCCCTTCAAAATCATGTATGTTTCCAATTAAAGATCCAAACATTTACTAAAGTATTCAACAGAAAAACAAGAGTTTAGCATTTCATTCCTATTCTCTCAGATACTTCTAGTTGATTTTAAGATTTGTTTGAGAAAATAGTATACTTTTTTCTTTTTTGAGACAGAGTTTCACTCTCGTCACCCAGGCTGGAGTGCAATGGTGCGATCTCTGCTGACTGCAACCTCCACCTCCCGGGTTCAAGCGATTCTCCAGCCTCAGCCTCCTGAGTAGATGGGATTATAGGCACCCGCCACCGTGCCTGGCTAATTTTTGTGTTTTTAGTAGAGACGGGGTTTCACCATGTTCACCAGGCTGGCCTTGAACTCCTGACCTCAGGTGATCTGCCTGCCTCGGCCTCCCAAAGTGCTGGGATTACAGGTGTGAGCCACCACACCTGGCCGAAAACTGTATACTTATAGAAGAGTTGCAAAAATAATAGAGTTGACATCTATCCTTCGTCCAGTTTCCCCACAATGTTAGCATCTTACATCACCATAGCACAATTGTCAAAACTACGAAAGTAACACTGGCACAATGCTAATCCAATTACAGACTTTATTCAAGATTCACCAGTTTTTCCACCAATGTCTTTTCTGTTCCAGAATCCAATTCAGGGACCCACACAGTACTTACTTGTCACGTCTTGGGTCTCTTCCAATTCTGGTTGAGTTTTAATTTGTCTCACAAATCCTGATGCTTAATTCTTTTTAATCAAAAATCATAAATGCTTCCAAGTTCACAGCAGACAATAAGAGTTAACAGAATTTGGGAAGAGGAGAGAGGGGAAATAAATTACTGACCAAAATTCTCAAACCAAATGCTTTTACCTATTTTAAACAGTGGAAATGGCACAGATTTTTTTTGGTCAAATTCAAACTGGGCTCCATTATCCACCCACACAGGGGTCAACTTGATAAAGAAATCACCATGAAAGTCTGTCCTCTTAGACATTTGCTGTTTCCTTAGAAACACCAAATATAAAACTGGCCCAATGCTGACAGGCTTTTCTGTTTCTAAAAATACTCTTCAAGAAAGCTCACACATTCAATGGTTACCTGGAATGTACTATGCCAAAGCTCCCCCAGTTCCAATATTTTCGTCTGCAGGATTCCTCAAAAGACTTGTCCAGGGGTGTAAAGGTGATAACAGTTCTCATTACAAGACTCTTCTATGGCATTAATTGCTGCTGGTACATCGAAAATAAGAACTCAGGATTGTTGTGCCATTCACGTTCAGAAAGTACAGTGCCTGGCTTGGAAATTAACCAAGTATATCCACTTCTAAACAAAAAGCAGCATACCCAGAAGGAAAATCTTGAGACTGTTTTCAACATCAGCAATTACTCTTGATAAGGAATACTTTTACCTTTGCCAAACTTGATAAAGACAGCAGTCTCAAATCAGAGATTACATAACCTTGGTTTTTAAGATAATGATCTTTACATAAACCAAAAAAGTTATGATTCTGTCAGGCGTCATGGCTCATACCTGTAATCCCAGCACTTTGGGAGGCCAGGGCAGATGGATCACTTGAGGTCAGGAGTTCAAGACCAGCCTGGCCCATGTGGTGAAACCCCGTTCTCTACCAAAAATTCAAAAATTAGCTGGCCGTGGTGGCGGGTGCCTGTAATCGCAGCTACTCGAGAGTCTGAGGGGCAGGAGAATCGCTTGAACCCAGGAGGCAAAGGTTTGCAATGAGTGGAGTTCGCGCCACTGCACTCTAGCCTGGCCAATAGAGTGAGACTCCATCTCAAAAAAAAAAAAAAGTTATGATTCTAACTAGGATGCTGGTATTGCTTCTTTGCTAAATTGTAAGCAGCTTGTGCATTAAGACCAGATCCTACATAAATTCTGCAGCATTAAAACATTTAGAGGAGAATTCTTCATCCTCACAGTACTCAATGACATTGGATCTAGTACCACATATATAATCTCTCCCCACTATTCATGGACAAATTGGTTACTGAAGATTATTTTGTTCTTTTTACTCCTTAAGACAAAAATATTCTTTTAGAATTATGATCCCATCTAATTAAACTTAAGGGCTTCTGCACAGCAAAATAAACCATCAAACAGAGTGAACAGACAACCTGCAGAATGGGAGAAAATATATGCAAACTATGCATCTGACAAAGGTCTAATATCCAGCACCTATAAGGAACTGAAACAAATTTATAAGAACAAAATACTAACAACCACATTAAAAAGTGGACAAAAGATATGAACAGACACTTTTCTAAAGAAGACACACATGCCACCAACAAACATATGAAAAAAATGCTCACTATCACCGATCATTAGAGAAACGCAAATCAAAACCACAATGAGTACCATCTCACACCACCAGAATGGCTATTTAAAAAGCCAAAATATAACATACGCTGGTGAGGTTGCAGAGAAAAGGGAACACTTACACACTGTTGGTGAAAGTGTAAATTAGTTCAACTACTGTGAAAAGCAGTTTGGAAGTTTTTCAAAGAGCTAATAACCGAACTACCACTCAACTCAGCAATCCCATTACTGGGTATACACCAAGAGGAACATAAGTCCTACTACCATAAAGGCACGTGGACTCGAATGCTCACTGAAGCACTATTCACAATAGCAATGACATGGAATCAACCTAAATGTCCATCAACAACAGACTGGATAAAGAAAATGTACATATACACTATGGAACACTATGCAGCCATAAAAAAGAATGAGATCATGTCTTTTGCGGGAATGTGGAATGAGGGGGAGACCATTATCCTTAGCATACTAACACAGGAACAGAAAATCAAATACCGCATATTCTCACTTACAAGAGGGAGCTAAATGATGAGAACTCATGGACACAAAGAAGGAAACAACAGACACTGAGGCCTGCTTGAGGGTGGAGGGTGGGAGAAGGAGGAGGTGCAGAAAAAATAACTATTGAGGCCGGGCACAGTGGCCTATTACAGGTGTGAGCCACACCTGTAATCCCAGCACTTTGGGAGGCCAAGGCGGGTGGATCACCTGAGGTCAGGAGTTTGAGACCAGCCTGACAAACATGGTGAAACTCCATCTCTACTAAAAATACAAAAATTAGCCAGGCATGGTGGCACATGCCTGTAATCCTAGCTACTCAGGAGGCTGAGGCTCGAACCCAGGAGGAAGAGGTTGCAGTGAGCCGAGATTGCACCACTGCACTCCAGCCTGGGCGACAGAATGAGATTCTGTCTCAGATAATAATAATAATAATAACTATTGAGTACTAGGCTTAGTATCTGGGTGATGAAATAATCTGTACAACAAACCCCTATGACATGAGTTTACCTATATAACAAACCTGCACACATATCCCGAACCTAAAATATAAATTAAAACAAAACAACCAAAAAACAAGGTTAAAAAAAAAATTAGGATCTCAGCATTAATATTATAAACAATGATACTGTACCAACCTAGCATACAGTGCTCAATTCCTTTTTCTGTAAAGGTAATATTCTTTTTTTTTTTTTCTTTTTTTTGAGACAGAGTCTGGCTCTGTCGCCCAGGCTAGAGTGCAGTGGTGTGATCTCTGCTCACTGCAAGCTCTGCCTCCCAGGTTCACACCATTCTCCTGCCTCAACCTCCCGAGTAGCTGGGACTACAGGCGCCCACCACCACGCCCAGCTAATTTTTTTGTATTTTTAGTAGAGACGGGGTTTCACCATGTTAGCCAGGATGGTCTCAATCTCCTGACCTCGTGATCTGCCTACCTCGGCCTCCCAAAGTGCTGGGATTATAGGCGCGAGCCACTGCGCCTGGCCCTGTAAAGGTAATATTCTATTTAAAATTAACCTTGGCAAAGCCAACAAAAACTTACCAAAAATTTGTATGAAGTAATTTTCCTTTAAGGCAAACCAACCTGAAGAAATGCAGTAACTTGACAAAGCTCGAGTTACCACTGTAATGAAGTTTTTGCTAGCTAAAACGCCCACCTGAAATGAATGAGTCATTCAAAACTGAGTAACTATAAACATTCCTAACTAGCTTTGAAGACCTCATTTCAAATATTGAAGAAAACTGCCTTATGGCTTTGAAATTCACTATTTCAAATGGCATGCTGCTAATCACATAGAAAGATTACATATGTCTGATAGTGATGACATAAGTATTGCTCATTCCTTTGATCAGCACATTATTTCAAGATTTTTCTGGGGGAAAAAAACATTTTAACTTTAAACATTCTTGAAAATTTAGATATATAAAATTAAAAATTCACCACCAGTTTCCTCTAAATAGTGAGCTTTTGTAAGCATTTAATATTTAACTTAAAAGGATATGAGGCTATTTATACAAAATGTCCAGTACAGGGAAATCTACAGAAATATAAAGTAAATTTGTGGTTCCTTAGGGGTGGGGGGAGGAAGGGATGGGAGATGATAGCTAGAGTATAATATTTCTTTTGGAGGTGATGAAAATGTTCCAAAATTGACTGTGATGATAGTTGCACAATGAATATATTAAAAATCACTGAATTGTATACTTCAGATGGCTGAATTGTGCACTAAAACCTTTAAAACATTTGAAAGGAGATATGATTGTACACTCCAGGAAAAGGAGATCTTATTAGGTGGACACATACATAATCTTACATATGTATATAAACATTGAATCCCATTAATTACTATTCATTTCCAGAGGATGAAGAAAGTTATTGTTCTCATAGTTAAGGTCCTAGAAAATCAATCCCTAGTAGAAAAAGACTACTTCATAATTCTCCATCATTATGATAATCTGAATTCATTGGCTTCAATAATGAAAAACTTAATAAACCTACCACAGACTTCAGATCAAACACTGGTGGTATTTTCAGCGTCAAGAATGAGAACAAGGTTTGGTGAGACATCTATATACATAGCACAGTCCCTCCCAAAAATTCAAGGAATTGGCCAGAATTCAGAGTTCTCATGTAGTGCATACCCCTGGGGGTGCTGAGGCCACAATGGACCTCAGAGGGGACCTCACTCCTGCTTTCTAGGCATTTCCCTAGACCCACCATCTTTCTTCAGTCACATCAATTCCATTCCAGTAAACTTGATCCATAGAATTCCTGTCCTGAATGACAGCATGCCGCCCCTCGCTGCCCTCCCTTCCTCTGTATCAAACTCCCATTCCTAGTCAAATGCCAGCTTCCCAGAAAGGCAAGCGCAGAGCAACTGCTATGATCCAGAGGGTTTCAAACCAAAACTGGCTTAGGGTTGAGGAAAGTAGGGGAGAGAACTCTGTTCCAGAGAGGACAGGCCTGCCAAGGAGTACAACAAGGTAAGTTAGCCCTGAGTCAGCAGACAGGCCTGAGCCTCATCTATCCCATGTGGTCCCTTCTTTTCAAAAAGCTCAATTTAGGGGCAAAGGAACTGGGATAAACTCTCCATGCCCTGCCTCTAAGAAAACCATTAACCTTTTCTCCAGAAAAATTATATTAAAAAACAAATTATTTATCCTTTTATAAAAATATTCCTTTGAATAGCTTCATTAACTTTTAGCAAACATTCATGGCCAAGATAAAAGGCCTTATTTTTAAAAATCAATATTATCATAAAACTTGAGTTCAGTAACATTAAAGTGCTAAAATAATATGGCTCGACGTTTTCTCAAATCCTTAAACCATAATGCTAAGAAGCTTTATAATCAATTTTTTTTTTTTTTTTTTGAGACGGAGTCTTGCTCTGTCACCCAGGCTAGAGTGCAGTGGTGTGATTTGGGCTCATTGCAATCTCTGCCTCCTGGATTCAAGCGATTCTTGTGCCTCAGTCTCTCGAGTAGCTGGGACTACAGGCAAGCACCACCACGCCCGGCTAATTTTTGTATTTTTGGTAGAGATGGGGTTTTGCCATGTTGGCCAGGCTGGTCTCAAACTCCTGGCTTCAAGTGATCCACCCACCTTGGCCTCCCAAAGTGCTGGGATTACAGGTGTTAGCCACTGCATCTGGCCTACAACCAATTTTTTAATGAACTACAAGTCACTGATAACCATTAGTAATTCCTATTTAAACACAGAGTCAAGGCGAACCAAATACTCAAAGGCCATTTTAAAGAACATCAAGGACCACATTTTAATTTCTTAGACCCTATCCAGTGCATGCGGAAACTTACGCTCACAGTATAAGCCATGAACTCAGAAATTATATGAATTTTAATATATTTCAACTAATTCAATTATATACTTACATAAAGCTTTCAATACAATAGCTGGTAACTGACTACTTTATTCCTCACCAACCCACTGTACATCCCCAACTTACTCTGCCTCTCTCAAAACAGTACAGATGAAACTGCACAGCAGACAGCTACTCGGAATCCCTCTGACTAATAATACAATCAGTCTGGGTCAGCTTTCAATCTTGATTACAGAACAGGTAGTGAAGCTCCATTATCAGTGCTCTTAAAAATCTTTACCTTCCAGCTGGGCCTGGTGGCTAACACCTGTAATTCCAGCACTTTGGGAGGCTGAGGCAGGTGGATCCTCTGAGGTCAGTAGTTTGAGACCAGCCTGGCCAACATGGCGAAGCCCCGTCTCTACTAAAAATACAAAAATTAGCTGGGCAGGCGCCTGTAATCCCAGCTACCTGGGAGGCTGAAGCAGGAGAATCACTTGAACCCAGGAGGCGGAGGTTGCAGTGAGCCAAGATCATACCACTGCACTCCAGCCTGGGAGACAGAGCAAGACTCCATCTCCAAAAAAAAAAAAAACTTTACCTTCCATTAAAACAAAAGAATTTAGACAAAAACAAAGGCCTCTATTTTTTTTTTCTCCCAGCCTTAAGCATGCATAAATGGATAACAAAATTAAAGGAATTAATAGAAATTAAGCAAAAATACATCTTGAAAACACACTAAAGTTTAAAAAGAAAAGTAGCTCTTCAAATCCCATATCCTTATACAGTATATATCTTTTAGAAAATCATCTTTTTGAAAGCAATTCAATAGAAACACATGCGAGAAGGTGTAAAGAAATGGAACTACATGAGCAGTGCAGGATTCCAAATGGTTTAGGTAAATTCACAGAGTTGTGCAACCATCACCCCAAAATGAAACCCCATCCACATTCACAGTCATTCCCCATTTCCCCCCAACCTTTTCTCTCTTCCCCAGCCCCAGGAACCACTAATTTACCTCATAACTCTATAAATTTGCCTCTTCTGGATACTTCATATAAATGGAATCATGTACTATGAGGCCTTTTGTGACTGGCTTCTTCCACTTAGCATAATGCTTTCAAGTCTCATCCATGTTGTAGAATGTGTCAATATTTCATTCCTTTTTATGGCCCAATAATATTGCACTGTATGGATATACTTCATCTTATTTATTCATTCATCAGCTGATGGACATTTAGATTATTTCTACTTTGGGGCTATTCACAATAATGCTGCTGTGAAATATATGTGTATGAGTTTTTGTGTGGACGTAGGTTTTCATTTCTCTCGGGCAGATTACCCAGGAGTAGAACGGCTAGGTCATATGGTAACTTTACATTGAACCTTTTGAAGAACTACCAAACTGTTTTCCAAAGCAGCTCCATCATTTTTACTGTTTTCCAAAGCAGCTCCATCGTTTTTCATCCCCATCAGTAATGCATGAGGATACCAAGTTCTCTAAATCATTGCCAATACTTGTTATTTGTCTTTTTGATTGGAGCCACCCTAGTTTGTGAAGTGGTAACTCACTGCGACTGATGCTCTGTATCTTAAACGAAGCCCACACATTCTGAAATGGGGACTCAGCTATTCTTCTAAATTACACTTTTAAGTATAAAATATGCCCAACTGTCATTCTTAAAACCCAAAATAAAGCTGCATAATCTAACACTCCTTTAATAAGTGAAAATTCCACCTCCATATAATATGCACCATTATTCTACCCCAATAATGTCCAACTGCCTGACCTTTCTAAATAAAGATGTCAGGCTAAGTCATTTGTACAAGTGTTAGTGCAGTAGTGGAATACTTAAACATATAACAACAAAGTTTTTGTCTTCCAAAAAAGAACACTGGATTGGAACTCAGGTTTGTCAATAATCTATGTGTAACCTGATAAATCACTGAACTTCTCTACACCCAAGCATGGTGTTCTGAGCAGCTCACAGAACTACATCCTCTGAAGTCTCTCCCAGATACAAAGTTGTTTAAGCCTGAAAGTTTAATGAAATTTGAAAATGTACGAACACCCGTGATAAAGAACTAGCTTTGCACAGCAGAAAAAATTTTATCCTTAGTAGTCAGATGGGCTGGGTTCAATTTCCAGCCCTGCCATTTAGGAGCTGTATGACTATAGGTACATTATTTAGCATCTTTATATTCCAGTCTCCTGGCCTGCTTCAATAGGTTATGAAGATTCACTAAGCTGCTATAGCCAGGGTGTGTGACATAGCGGCCAGCAAAAGTAGACATTTAAACGCTAGCTTCTGTCCATCTTTCTGCTAACTCTGGGCAAAGTTTCGCAGCAAATGAAGACCTCTTAACAATTGTCGTGGACCACTGAGAACTGAATGTGATTCCTTGTGACTTGTGGGATTCCCTTATGAAGCACGTCCCCCATAGTATGGTCTAAAAATTGCTAAAGAAGGCTATCAACTGGCTTAAAACAAGGCTAGAAGGGGTTCCGAGAAGGAAGCCCAGGGATGAAAAGAGCAGAGACCTCGTTTTTGTCGGTGACATTAGAGTGAAAACTTCTCAGGGCTCAGAGGCAGGCTGGGCGCAGAACGGATGCGCAGGAGAGAACGGTGAGGGCTGCATTCGCATGACCCTACTGGAAGCGCGGGGCTGCACCGCGGGCTAGTGGGGTGGGGAGGGGGCAGGGGAAGGCTCTGGGGGAGATGGACGGGGGCCGGCCAGGTGCGCGGCCAAGCCCCGCGCAGGAGGACGAGCCCCTTCCCAGCTGTGACTCCACCGCCTTCCGCGCGAGCCGGCCGCCTTCTCCTACCTGATCTGGTTGTCGCGGAATTTGTTGAGATGCGGTTGGTTGAGGTAAATGGTGCGGGCGGGTGCCTCCAGCTGGTCTCCAACAGACGTGGCCCGGGACATCTCATCCTCTGCCTTCTTATAGCCCAAAGAAGAACGAACAGGTCCTGCAGAGACAGGGCGCAGGCAGAGAATACGACACAAAGAAGTCAACCGCCAGGCGGGAGGCTGCGAGCGCGGGCCGCGGGCGGGCGGCCACCGGCGGGGAAGGATGCTCGGGTGAGGCGGACGCCGCCTACGTACCTTGGCTCCCCCTGGAGACGCCGCCGCCTGTGCCGCGGCAGCCAAGGCCGGCCCCGCCCCCGGCCCCGCCCACGCCCACGCCCCGCGCGGCCCCTGGCGCTTGTGGAGCGAGCCCCGCCCCGGGAGAGCCGCCCCCAGCTCCTGCGCTCCCTCCCTGCAGGGACCGGGCCGGGCTGGACGCCCAAGCTGCTTGTCGGGCCGGGGTGGGCGACCGCGCGGGGACGGCGGGGGCGCCAAGGCCAGCGGCACCCCCAGCCATCTGGCCGAGCGTACCCTCTAGTCCCGGGAACTGAGCTCTGGAACTGGGTTTTCTGGGATCCTTTGATCTTCCTTAGGAACAGAGACAGCAGCAATGGGAATGCGCCCTGCAAGCAGCCACCGCAGAAGGAGATGGCGAAAGCACACCTCTGGACGCTAAAAATGGGCTTCGGAGACCCCAGGGTGAAGAGCTCGCTCCCACCATTGTCTGCAAGGGATCCGCTGCTCTTCTCCCTACATGCACCTGGAGACCTGAGTGCAGTAGCTGTCCCAACCCCAGCTCTGGACCAGCGCTCGAGCTTTCATTTTATTGCTTAAATTACTGTTTCTGTGGTTACGTGGCAAGCCAGCCTAGCTCAAGATTTGATTTCAGTCCTATGGGTCAAGCCTTTTTGGGTGGACCCAAACCCCTGCCCCCCAATAACCTTCACTTGAGACGTTCCAGCCTAGACCTAGAGAAGGATCCAGTTATTACTGAAACTGGTACCCGCACGTAGATCTTAACCTCATCTCCAACTCCAAGGCAGCATCCCTTCTTAGAAGGGGCTGCCCAGCTTGAGCAGTGACCTTCAGAGGAGAGGCGTCTGAGATAAAGGATCACAGAAAAATTAATACTCTACAGATGAAGACTTATCTTGTTTTTCTTAAATATACATTCGCCCTCTAATACCTGCCACGCTTTCCAACTATCAAAGAAACGGACGTTGCACACCATTAAAAAACTGACATCTTGGCCGGGCATGGTGGCTCAAGCCTGTAATCCCAGCACTTTGGGAGGCCGAAGCGGGCGGATCACGAGGTCAGGAGATCGAGACCATCCCGGCTAACACGGTGAAACCCCATCTCTACTAAAAATACAAAAAATTAGCCGGGCAAGGTGGAGGGCGCCTGTAGGCCCAGCTACGCGGGAGGCTGAGGCAGGAGAATGGCGTGAACCCCGGGGGGCGGAGCCTGCAGTGAGCTGAGATCGCGCCACTGCACTCCAGCCTGGGCGACAAGGAGACTCGTCTCAAAAAAAAAAAAAAACTGACATCTTACGCAAGTAAACCTTCACTTCCCTGTTACAAAGAATACTTTTCACTGTCATAGAGAAACACTTTTAAAGAGAAAGTTTTCGCTACATCATCTTTTTAAAGTGATTAGAAGGATGATAATCCTTATCCTAAGAAAGGGACAAGCGAAATGTAAACTCGTTTACTGAAAGCTGACATATTATTCCGAATATTAAGTAAGAGTTAAGTCTGAAGTGGGCTAAGGCTTCTCCCTTCACCTAGATGGGGACGCCTAGTGGGTGCAGGCTCCGGGGCTCAAGCCAGGTCCCTGGTCACAGGCCAGGCACACTCCAGTTTTCCTCTTGCTTTTTGCGTGTGCCCACAGCACCCTGGCTATTCCTCACTCAGACAGGATCCCTCATCTCCTTCCCTCCAACCTCCCACTCTCTGGGGTCTTTCTGGCTCCCCATGGGACACTGCTTGGTCGTCTACTCATCAACAAGCGGCAGCAGAGAGCAAGAATCCCTTCTTCCAGACTGTCTGGCCCACCAGCTGGGGCTCCCGGACTTCAATCAGGGAAGGCCAGGTGTTGGAGCATTTGCTGATGTAAGACAGATGGAGAATATTTTTGAAGCTAGCCTATATGGAAGTACTGCTTTTCTCTCTGCCCACTAACCCTGCCTTGTCTTCCTCCACAGTACCAGATATCATCATTACCTGATTTTATTTATGGATGCTCTGTCTCACTGCACCCAGAAGCCCAAGCTCCAGGACAGTAGGGACAGGCTGGGTTCACTGAACAGTGCGTGGTCAAAGTGGTTCATTGCTCACCTAGCGGCTCTCAGTTCCCCTGTGCATTAGTATTACCAATGCAGCTTCCACAATGTATTAGTTCCCGGGCCCTGCCCTCTCAGATTCTGTGGTCACTGTGTTTTGCTTCTAAAGATCACTAAGTGATGCTGATGAGCACCCAGTCAGGATCACTTGTTAGATGCCGCTGAGAACACAAAAACAGAAGATCAGGTTCCTGCCCTTGAAAATGTTCCCTCAATTAAGGCATAAAGGTGTAACCATGGTTACTTACCAGTGTGTGACTAAGAGTGGGCCCAAAGGTGCTAAGGAGGCTCAGAGGTCAGCAGCCTCTTTGTGCTGGGAGGGCAGGTGGTGGAATAGATTCTGAGTACAGACAGAAGAGCCTGGCAATGTGGGTGAGGTGTGGATTAGGAAAGGGAAGGGCATTGTAGGAAAGGGAAGGGCATTGTGGGCAAGGGCAAGAAGAGCTTAAGCAAAGGCCCAAGCAGACAAAATTGTATCAGGGCCAACTAAAAAAAACAAATCAACCCTGAGGGTCCAAACTGGGAAAAAGTAGAAAAAAAGTTCACCAAAAAAAATAGCCTGTGGCCAGACTGTGGATGACTCAATGCCAAGCAAAGAAGCTTGAACTTCATCCTGAAGGTCACAGGAGGCCACAGGAAGTTTCTGAGCAGGAGAGAAGAGCATCTGGCAGTGATGGCAAAGGGGGAAGAGCAGAAGAGGAGAATTTTTAGATAAGCGAACCAGGTAGGAAATTAATTCTACAATCTAGAAGCAAGATGATAAAAGCATGAATTAAATGGAGGTTGGGATAAAAGGATGGACATAAGAAACATCTGAAAAGAAAACCCTCAGCTGGGCATGGTGGCTCATGCCTGTAATCCCAACACTTTGGGAGGCCAAGTTGGGAAGGATGCCTTGAGCCCAGGAGTTCGAGTCCAGCCTAGGCAACATAGCAAGACCTCATCTCTACCAAAAAAGAAAGAAAGAAAGAGAGAAAGAGAGAAAGAGAGAAAGAGAGAGAGAGAGGGAGGGAGGGAAAGAAAGAAAGAAAGAAAGAAAGAAAGAAAGAAAGAAAGAAAGAAAGAAAGAAAGAAAGAAAGAAAGAAAGAAAACTCTGCAAGATTTCTGGGGAGGTGAGGTTTAAATGTGTGCACCAGGAAAGGAAGAAACACAAGACCACTGAGGTTTGAAGAAGACTGGGACAAAAAAAAAAAAATCACTGATAAATAACAGGAACAATAACTTTTCCAAACAAGAATTTAGATGTTGGATAACAAATATTGGAGTGAAAAAAATTATTGACACGAGTAAATAGTGATGACAGAATGAAGTGGAATAATATCTCCCACTTATCTACCTAGCATGCTTCAGGTCAACACAGCTTTCTATACCACAACAGGGAAAACCTTGGGATTTTTTCCTAGGTAGAAATAGTTATACCACCCCGCACCTGTCCCCAAGATTCAGATAAATTCTTTCTACCTCAGTGGCCTCATCTCAACCTAACCCTGTATTAGAAAAAAAAATTTTCAAAAAAAATTTGTGGAAAACATATTGCCTAAGGAAACATTACACCATCTACAGCAAAGCACATTATGACTAAGGTTTCATGAGATAATTCTGAGTTAATGCATTTTGCAAATACTACCACATAAAATGAGTATATGCTTACACCTCCACCATTTAAACAGGTGCTGTGTCAGCAGAGAGTGGGAGTTCAATAAATATCTATTAGCTGAGAAAGAAACCAAAGGGAAGGGAAAGAACTGAGAGAACAAGAGTAAGCAAAGAGAAAAGCACTAAATTTGCCCCCACCCTGCAAAGTGGAAATGCAGACAAGAGAGTGGAAGGTCAAGGCCGTGAGGGCAGAGACTTTGTCTCATTCATAGCTCTATCCCTGGATAGAGTGCCCTGGATCATGCCTAGCACCCAGTAGACAGTCTGAAAGAATATGTCAAATGAATACATAAGAGGCTAATGTAGTAGGTGCCTTTTAGGTACCTGCCCAGCCGCTGAACCAGCTGCTCCCTTCTCTGTCTCCCTTGAACCAGACCTCTTTCCTCATACAAGCCAGGGAGCCCATCAGCTAGGTCATACCGTGCAATACCATCTACTTGTTACAGCTCTTTGGACCAGGGATGGTTACTTGGTCCAAATTGGGCCACCAAGGGTCTCTCTTCTGGGAACTTTGACATGGGAACTGGTAGGGACCATTTCTGCATATGGCTGACCTATTAACATATACACACCAGGTCTCTAGATGGCCGTCTTCTACCCTCTGAGTGGACCAGGAGACAGAGAAAGGAATTTTTTTTTTTTTTTTTTTTTAGATAGAGATGAGGCAGCAGTTTTTTGGGTCCTAGGTCCAGTCCTCTCCGAGATCCCAGCTGCATTAGGGGGTTTGGGTTCCATGAGCCACCACTTGATCATTCTATAAACTTCTCATAACCACGTATCTTAACTAGTGTGGTAAAGCAGTATGCAGAGAACCTGTTTTTCCCTATAAGATGGAAAAGCAAAAAGGGTTAAAGAGGAGGGACAAATTCCTATTCACCTGTAGATCACCACCAGGTGCCCAGGATTTTAGATAATCTAGCACAGATGCTGTTAAATGCTACAAGCCAGACCCAGGAGGCTGAATCTGGCAGAGGAAAGTCTTCACAGCAATATCTGGGCCAGTAGGTTTTGATGAAGCCCCAAAGTGGGTGGGAAGTGCAAGACTAATGAGATAAGCACCCCTGTCCTCCTCCTCCTGCCTTCAGAGTTTCTGCCCGGGGTTGGAGAAAGAACAGAATGTTAGGAAATCAAGAGAGATGGTAGAGAATGCCCACCAGAGACCAGCAATAAGAGGACAGGTGAAGAACAGGGAAGGGCAGAGGAGAGCAGATCAGTTACAGTAGATACACCAGTGACCCACAGAAGCATGAGGGGGTGGAAGGGGAGGGACACTCAGTCAGCAGCTCACCTTCCACCAGCTCTAGCTCTCTGGTTGATGTCTCCTCCATGCACTTTGTTCACTTCATTGTACAAAACATATATTTTCATATTTTCAACCCTCTAACCACATGATTGGTCATGTTTTTCATTTTACTGAATGACTCAAATTCCTCATCGTTTCACTCACTTGGAATGTGTGCGTGGCAATAAGAATGTGGAAGTCACTGGCGAGGAAGCAAGGACAATGATGGACCTTACATTGTCAGGGGAGCAGGTAAAAGTGAGGACAACACCTAATTTCTATCCATTGCATAAACAAATTCCATGGAGATGGTTTTGAGGAAGAAAATGAAAAATGCTGACAGGTTTTTGAAATTTGTTCCAATACATTAAATATTATAATAATATGTATGTATATATTAGTTTATTTATGATAACTTTTATGTAACATACATAAAAGCATAAACTAAATAGGTCAGGGAGTTAAGAACTTCAAATAAGGGATTAAACATGAAAGAAGAGTTAGCATAAGGGCAAATTATTACTGTTTCATTGCCTTAAGTAACACAGAAACAAAATCCTTCACTCCAAACTGCAGTATTTTCACCCTAACTTAATTCAAAATGTTTAAAACTCCAAAAGGTGCTTGAGACATGTCTAGGTTATTTCCCTGGCAAAAAAGTTTCATTATCTCAAAAAAAAAAAAAAAAACACTTCAGAAAGAAATACCTTCATCTTCCTTCCTACACCAGCCACACAGGCCACCCTCATCATCCTCCCAACGCCAGTCACACAGGCCACCCTCGTCTTCCTCCCAACGCCAGTCACACAGGCCGTCCCACGTCAGTCAGTCTGTAACTGTGCTCCTTACGCACAGAATGAAAAGTCAAGGTGGAGTCAGACCCGGCTTGGACACTGTTGTGCAATAATATGTCTGGTCTTTGTCTTCAGTTCCTGTAAGGGAGCCTCTAAATCCCTGGAATTTCGCAGTGATAGGAGTATCTTTGCTATTCATGGTGGGCCCCTCTGTGCACACCTGAGTTCCTGCTAAGATGATGACTCATGGTGGGTTGCTAGATGGTTTAAGAATGGGGTCCAGCCATCCCAGAAAGGCCAATCATGTGGTTAGAGGGTTGGGGGTTTCAGCAGGGTGATTAAGCCTGACCTTCTAACCTCTGGGAAGGGGAAAGGGGGATGGAGGTTGAATTCATGTGACCAATGATCCAATTAATAATCCCACATAATGAAACCCCAATAAAAACTTGTGGACACTGAAACTCAGGGGAGCCTCCCAGGTTGGTGATTCACATCAGTATGCCAGGAAGTGACACATCTTGAAGCACAGAAGCTTCATGTTCAGGACCCTCCCGGATCTCAACCTCTGCATCTCCAATTGGCTGGTCCTGACTGGTACCCTTTGTAGTAAAACTGTAACCATAAGTGTAGCATTTTTTCTGAGTTCTTTGAGGAGTAGTAGGAAACCCTGAATGTGTAGCCAGTTGGTCAGATGTGCAGGTGGTCTGGGAAGCCCACAGCCTGCAGCTGGTCGTTGAAGCATGGACAATCATCTAGAGGACTGTGCCCTTAACCTGTAAAGTCTGACCTCACTCCAGGTAGTTGGTGTTAGAACTGCATTGCACACATTTCTCTGTGAACTCTAGAACGATAGAGCCAAAAGGGAAACCTTACTATCAGTCACAAAACCATATTAGCTCAAATGGAAGATATGATTAGAAGCCAGATCTGCAGAAACTTGAATCTGATTCTCCTTTAATAGAACAGGTTGCTTCTTGTGAGCTTAGGTAAGCAGGCTACCATCTGAGCCTTGGTTTCCTTATCTGCAAAATAGAAATCGATTACATAAATCAAGGGTTGGCAAATTTTTCTGTAAAGTGTCAGTTGGTGAATATTTTAGGCTTTGTGGCCACATATGGTCTCTATCTCATAGTCTCCTTCTTCCTCCTCCTCCTCCTCCTCCTCCTCCTTCTTCTTCTCCTTCTTCTTCTTCCTCACACATCTTTAAAAACGTAAAAACCAGTCTTACTTTACAGGCCATGGTTTGCTGAGCCCTTATATAAATTAAGTTCTTTTGCAATTCACAACCTGATTATATCCCAACTCCCATCTCAAGGAAATAATCACTTAAATTTCTATTAGCTGAAATTTCCTGGTAAACATAGGTATTCAAACTGTTATTACATGAGTTAAGAAGTTGGTTATGTCTTTTTTCTAATGTTTTAGGTACTTGAAAAGTATGTAAGTGTAGTTTTCTCTTTGCCCCCAGAAAAATCTCTAGGAAAACAGTGCAGTCATTACAAAGCCTTCGTAACATGAGGCACGTGTGCATGCATATACACATACATTCCGCTCCTCAAAAGAGTTTCAAGTTCAACTATGGCCTCTACCCCATATTTACAAAGATGTTTTATAATCCCTCAGAACACAGGCACATCAAAAGCAGTTCAGCCACTGGGGAAGCACTGGGCTGATTATTTCTCCTAATCAAACAGACACAATGAAAATGCTGTGCAAATACAAAATGTGATTATTTTAGCCTTGGCAGACACATTTCGAAGGCCTTTTCAAGACCCTCCTTTGCACAAACTGCATCTCTCCAAATCTAGCATCTGCAATCCACTTCTACCCAAGAATTCAAAAGAAATAAACACAAAGGGAAAGCGACACTGATGGGTCAGGATTTCTTATTACTGCAAATACTTGTTGGTTTCTTTCTTTGTTTCAGATCAGAGAAGATGAAAAGAGAAGTAACAGGCCATGGATTCTTTATGATTTAAAATATTGTTGGGTGTGGAATGCATTCAGTTATTGAGCACCTCCTGGATAGAAGGCATTTTGTGAAGTAGTGGGTAGGGAGAGGGGCATAAGCTTCCATTTTTACAGCAACAGAGAGCAAGAAATGTGGAAATTCAAAGCACAAAGATGGCTGCCAGTCTCAATGGGGGCCAAAGAAACAGGGCAATTTCATTCAGGAAGCCATTTGAAATAGGCTTATAAGAATGATTATGATTTGGCTGTGCAGAGAAAAAGCAGAGCATTGCAGGTGTAATTGCATGTGAGCAGGGACACGTGCTGGTGATACTTTATTTACAACCTAGTTGGCTCCGGCACAGTGGGTGAAAGTTGAGCCACTGTAATTTGAAGTCTTGTTTCCAATAAGTACAGCAATATACACTGGGCTTCTGTTCCTCAAAACCCATTTTATACCTTAGATGTATTAAATTTATCCTGTAAATTAAATGAAGACAAATGTGCTTTTAAGGAAATGTATTTCATATCTAAAACCAAAAACAACAACAAAAAAGAAAAGCTATGTTTCAAACACTCAACTCAGAGTAATTTTTCATATGGGTTGGATTGGTTGAGTTTTAAAAATACAAGTCCAGTTACTTCTCCTTAGCAACTTCCTCTGTTGCTAGGATAGACATTCTCCATTGCTCGTAGGACCCCAACACTGGCCCAAGTTAGGGACACCAGCTTTAAAATCTCATTGCTGATTCGATATGCATGAACACCATCTTTGAACAGCTAACCTAGGAGAGGGGCGGTTTCCTTTGAAGCTGTGGTTTGCCTGTCCTGAGCATATTTTGTTTGCTTCTTTGTTTGTTTTTGTTTGTTTGAGACGGAGTCTCACCCTGTTGCCCAGGCTGGAGTGCAATGGCGCAATCTCGGCTCACTGCAACCTCTGCCTCCCAGATTCAAGCAGTTCTCCCACCTCAGCCTCCCAAGTAGCTGGGATTATAGGCACCCACCATCATGCCCGGCTAATTTTTGTATTTTTGTAGAGATGGAGTTTCACCATATTGGCCAGACTAGTATTGAACTCCTGACCTCAGGTGATCCGCCCACCTCGGCCTCCCAAAGTGCTGGGATTACAGGCGTGAGCCACTGCATCCAACCTTGTCCTAAGCATTTTGAAGACCCACACAGCTTGGCCAAAGGCTCATGGCTTCACTGCAACCAACCCCATAGCCAGCCTACCTCCCCAGTGACATCAGTGACCCCTCTCCTGCTGCTCCTGAACCCCACCCATGATGACCTTCTTTCCTCAAGACATCAGCTCTGTTCCTTCTCCAGAGACCTGGTACTTGCTTTTTCTTCACCTAGAATGTCATTCCCTAGTCTTTGCTAACTAACTTCTTCCTGTCACTCAGGCATCAGCTTAAATGTCACTTCCCCACAGAAGCACTTTGTGACCACGCCCTAGCTACAGCATTCCCCTTCTCACTTATTCCCTAACACCACACATTATTTCTTGCATGGACATACCACTCCATAAAATGTGTGTGTTCATTTTCTGTCTTCCAACATTCTCTAGGAGCTCCAGGAGGGCAGGGCCCATGCTCATCTTCATCACCTCTGCATCCCCAGGAAATAGGATGCAGAAGGCATTCAGTAAACATGTTTGACGAGTGAATCAAGCGAACACAAAATTTCGCATTCTGTCTTAAGTGGACAGAGAAAAATGCAATTCTTTAAATTTAGTCTGCAACTAATCTGACCCACCTCCTAAGGCATCATCCTGTATAGAAAGCTGGGAAAAAATGGAAATGTCCAGTTTTGTTGGTAGCTCAGTCCAATGTGAAAAGTTTAAGTAAGTGGTATTCAGTCTTCCTTGAATAAGGATGCTTTAGCTCCCAAATCACTTCATCGTCCTCTGGCTTCTCTCTTGAAAATGGTGCTGGATCCATGGAGGGTAGAGATGGGGGCATGGGGAATAGTTGGGATCCTTACACATAAATGCCTTCTGCCTCCTCTGGTCTGCAGAATGACATCCCTGGTCCCCTTGCTGGCATTTGGATTATGTCTGTGACTGGTCTGGCTTGGCTTTGTCAAAGGGCATCTGTGTTCCCTAGATGGCTCTGCCTCACCTGGGCTCCCTCTGCAGAGACTACAGCACCTGCTGTGCTCTCTCTGCCACCTTCTGTCAGCCTCATTCCACAACCCTACCAAGCGAGGTCCCAGAGAGGCCCCAGGAGCTTTCAGATTAGCTCCCAGACCACATGGGAAGCACAAGTAGGCAGTTCAAGAAAACGGGACCTCCCTGTTGCTCCTCAGTATTATCCTCACTTATCCCACACACCTCATCTCTCCAACTGGGAAAACTTTCCCCACGGAGAGAAACATCAAGGTGTATCTCATTACATTGCTTTCTTTCCTCCTCCTGCCTTCCACTCCACCTTCTGGAAATCAAAAACAGGCAAGTGTTTTAATGCACTTCCCTCATGCCATTCTTCTGGATTCCAAACACTCCTTAAAATTATAGTGGCTGGAATTGCAGGTGCGCCCTAACACATGAGGCTTCTGCAGGGCATGGCGAGTGCACCTGTAAATTCCGGCTACTCAGGACGCTGAGGCGGGAGGATTGCTTGAGCCCAAGAGTTTAAGGCCAGCATGGGCAACACAGAAAGACCCTCATCTCAAAAACAAAAAACCTGCTTAGGTATCTCTTCTTTAATGTGGAAAATGTTGAGAGTCAAGCCATCCAACTCTTGTAAGTGTGAGATATTTATAATATAACTATATAAGGCAGATTAATATATACAATTAAGTATTGTATGTATTACAAAGAAGAATTAGTCTACAAAGTCTCCTCGTAAACAAAAGGCTGGCTTGCCTAATCCTGCTATTTTTGAAAGACATACGATGAACACGTCTTGATGTTTCTCTTGACATTCCTTCTAATCTTTCTTGGGGAGGTGGAGGCTCCAAGCAGACGGAAGTCAACAGTCAAGTACAAGAGAAAAACACATTCATTTGCTTCAACTATAGCCCCAGTTTCTCATGCCAATTATCCTGTCCTGTTTGCTTACAATCACTGGTCATATGAACCCAATGCTCTACTTCCATCAGCAGTCTTAACCCACTAAATACATGCAGTCAGATTTGAGCAAGTCACTACAGAGGCCAGCTCATTCACTTTTGTTCCCAACTCCACTGACACAAAATAGACTTCCCCAGTAGGATGGCTTTTCCCGACTCTCTTGTTGAGTTGACATTTTGTGTATCACGTTTTCTTCTCAGACACAGAAGTGAGAAAGTTTAAAATATGAGAAAATCTTTAAAAAGCAAGAGCACTGCCAAAGAGATGCATATGCAATCATCTGAATCCAAGGCCTCCACAACCGACTCAGGGTTGCCAGGTCGATTTGTTGTCTTTGCCATGTCACTAAGGTGCCATAGATGAGTGTGGTAAAAAGCACAACTATTGTTGAGCCTACCACTGTTCTAAGCATTCTGTATGTGTAAATCCATCCAATCCTCATAACAATCATATGAGGAGCATGCTTATTTTTAGAGATAATTTTTTAGAGATAATAAAAATGGGGCAAGGAGTAATGAAGCAACCAGCTCAATGCCCACAGGTGCATTTTTTTGTTACTATAAGAATCATTAATATGATCCTTATCTATATGATCATTGATATGTCCTTTTACCTACATAAATCATCTATCTGACCTTTATATAAATGAGAGTGGCATTTCAAAGAGTTTCCTGAAATAATAAAATATCTGTTGACTAACTGAATCTTTTATCTTTATTAGGTTTTGTGGGGTTGTTAAAAATAAAAGTATACTCCTAGAGTCTATGCATTAAAAAGAAATCCCAGTAGCCATTCCAGACTCACAGGCTTTAGCGGTGGTAGCAGTGATGGTACTGGGTGCTTAAGCCAGGAAAGGCCAAGTCCCAAATACTAAAGATTAACGTATTCTAGAGCAAGCTTGTCCAACTCGTGGCCCACAAGCCACATGTAGCCCAGAACGGCTTTGAACGTGGCCCTACACAAATTTGTAAACTTTCTTAAAACATGATGAGTTTTTGGGGGATTGTTTTCTTTTTTTAGCTCATCAGCTGCCGTTAGTGTTAGTGTATTTTATGGGTAGCCCAAGACAGTCCTTCTCCTTCCAATGTGGCCCAGGGAAGCCAAAAGATTGGACACCCCTGTTTAAGATAGGAACATGTATAAGAATTCAGTAAGTCAAGGAGGCAGGCAAAAAGGCTCAAGCAGACAGGAAGTCATTCCGTCACCATAAATTCTGGGCATTCTGTGTGCATAACGCAGAAGTTAAAAAACCCTCTCCCTGCTTTCAAAGCACTTGTAGTCTGGAGAGGAAACAGACCAATGTGGAAATAACTAAGACAGCTTCGAATGTGGAGTGCTTCCTTTCACCTGGACTTCCTTCCTCTCCGACGGTTCTCTGCCTGCCTACTACTCACCCCTTAAGACACAGCCCAGGCTTTCTCTCCTCTGAGATGTCTTCCCTTGTCGCACACTCTTGGGTTGGGTTAGATCCCCCCTCCTCTATGCATAGGGCCCCAAGGCACAGGTGGGCAGACAGCAATTCCAGAAAGCACATTTCTCAGTCTCACATGACCAACGTAACCATGTGCAGCAGTCCAGTCTGTGCATTTTCCACATTAGAATTATTCTGCTTATGTGTCTGCCTTCCCAGTTAACAAGATGTCCACTTGTATAAGTGTGGACTGTGCCCTACTGATATTACCATTATTAGCACCTGTGAGAGTGGAAGAAGCGGAGACAGTGAGAGCTATGGATGTTCAGAGTCTAAGAGAAAGACGAGTACTTCCAGCTGGGGAAAAGGGTGATTGGTTGGAGAGATTTAAGATGCCTTTTACTGTAAAGTCAGCAACTGGGATTCATCTAAAAGCTTCCAAAGCAAAGGGTAAAGATGGAGAAGAACATCCCGTGCAGTGAGACAAAGCCATGAGCACATATGCTGCAACATGAACAACTATGGTCTGGACTTCCCAGAGTGCCCCCTCCTTTGAGTTTGTGCTCTCCTCCACCCCATAGCCAGATAGACACACAAGAAAGAAAGACCTTCCTAGCTCTGCTTCCCTGCACGACACTTCTCTGAAGAGGAGGGCAAGGAGTAGAGAATGGAAAAACTATTTTGATAGACCAACTATAACAAACCAAAATGATCTAGTAGTGGAAACTTGTACAAAATTACAAGAAAGTAGAATAAGATGTGTTATAACAGATACAAATCAGGTAAGGTGTTGCCACAAAGGAAGGGTCTCTAATTATAAGTCAGAGGGTCTGGGATGCCAAGGAGGCAGCAATTGACCTCAGAAGCAGATTAAAGGAATGAACGGAGTCTGGCAGGTGACTGCTTGGCAGGGATAGGAAAGACAAGAGGCCTGGCATTCTTGGCACTCTTCCTGAATTTATTGAATTTCTAGCTGTATAAATTATTAGCTCCCCCCTTGAATGAAAGGCTTTTAATATCAATGAGCTACGAAATGAAATGTATAAGTTGATACAACCAAATATACTACCTGTACAGTATGATATCCTTATGATCCATAATTCCATGAAGATAAGGTATTATAGGCCTAAGTAATAAAAGCATTGTGCTGCTCCTGGGCAGAGCTCACCATTCTGCCAAAGGCACTACTTACAAATGAGCCAAGTATTACAGAACCCTGATGGAAAGGTGCCAAGCTCTCACTAATGTCTGACATACAATCTTGAATCATAGCTGAGTGTCTATGGCACACTCGACTCTACATACACTGCCAACGCACTAGCAGCAAGGAGGGCCACAATCAAGGAGTCTCGTATCAGGTCCAGAGCTCCCTTTTTCTGTGCTGACAGTCAGAGGCTGGGCCACACCCCTGTATCAGGAGACATTGCTGTGGGGCACAGTGAGGGGGAGAAGCAGTAATCAAGGGATTATATCCCTCCAGAGTTTAGGAACACCCTCTGAAACGGAACTCCATGCAAACTACAGACAAAATGGATTTACTTATAAAATGCGAAACACCAGCCACTCTAACAGAAGATCAGTAAATGTGATGCTTCTAAGACCAGAGTATCTCTTAAAATTCTACAAGTAGTTAAAGCCATTGTTTTGTTTGTTTTTGTTTTTTGAGACGGAGTCTCACTCTGTCGGCGAGGCTGGAGTACAGTGGCGTGATCTCGGCTCACTGCAACCTCCACCTCCTGGGTTCAAGCGATTCTCCTGCCTCAGCCTCCCAAGTAGCTGGGATTACAGGTGTGTGCCATCACGCCTGGCCAATTTTTGTATTTTTAGTAGAGACGGGGTTTCACCACGTTGGTCAGGCTGGTCTCGATCTCATGACCTCGTGATTCACCCACCTCGGCCTCCCAAAGTGCTGGGATTACAGGCGTGAGCCACCGCGCCCGGCCAAAGCCATTGTTAAGAAGGCAACTGTGCCACTGGCTCTACACTGCCAACCCAGTATGAGAGGGTCCCATCGGATGGGCAGTGCGGTCTGAGACCTGCCCTGCCCAGCTCTGCTTGCTTCTCTCGTTTCTGTCACAGCCATCAGATCAACGTCGCCACATGAAGGCTTTCTGGGCCCAATCCCACCCCCTCCCCATCTTCATCGTTCAGAGAGGTTGTCCCCAGTAAACCTCTCTTACTCCTAACTCCATCTCTGTCTGCTCGGCAGAGGACCTGAGTTGATGCTTCTCCTCTAGCTCCAGCTGACATGTTCACACTCATGAAAAGACAGTTTCTAGTTTGATTTGAATAATGACAACAGCACTTGAGCAACTGCTAGATGGTGGGTTGATGACAGGCATGCCGATGGCAAAGCAAGTAAAGTACACATCACATCTGCCAAGAGAGAGCCCAGCCACAAACAACACAGGGAGCCAAACGCAAAGAGACCACGCAGTTCGCCCCTGAGTGACATGCTCCACAGTGCCAAGAGACCATGCAGTTCACTCCAGAGTGACACATTCCACAGTGCCAGTTTAGCAGTCGCAACCTCATTATGACTAACCATCCTACCGCTCATCTATTTCTTTGCTGCCAACTACCAAACCAGTTCCTTTCCTCCCGCCACAGCCCTCCCCACTCATCAGTGAAACCCATAGCTTGTATCTAAACAAGGAAACAGAATTTCAATACCAGCTTCAGGAAAATCTATCAAAAAACACAGATCTGTACCCAAATTCACTGTACCCTAAAGCTAAGTATTAACACCTCACCTGCCTATTTCTTAGCCCTCTGGCAAACTTTTCCCAACCTCCTGGGACTTAGGAATCAAAAACCCTGTCAAGAAATGTAGTTCATTTCAGAAAGTTCTTCACAAAATCAAAACACTTTTCTTATAGAACGTTAGTCTTTCTTTAGAAGCAAAGCACATATTTAGTTTACATTTGTTTCTAATAAGATTAATAGGCTAGATACAACCCCACCTCAGATTAGGGACGAATAGAGGAAAACAAATGGCTACAGGCAGGCACCCTAGTCACTAGTCAGAAATGACAACTCAGGCAAGAACTAGCACAGAAGAATAAAAGCACACAAGCCAATCCCGAGGCCATAAGCCGTAAAACCCCAGCCATGAAGACAGCCCTGCTTAGACACAATGTAATCCCTGGCATTCACACTTACCATCTTGAGTCATTAAGAAAAGTTCTCCCAGTACTTTGGGAGGCTGAGGCGGATGGATCACTTGAGGTCAGGAGTTCGAGACCAGTCTGGCCAACGTAAGGAAACCCCTCTTTACTAAAAATACAAAAATTAGCTGGGCGTGGTGGCAGGCGCCTGTAATCCCAGCTACTCGGGAGGCTGAGGCAGGAGTATCATTTGAACCCAGGAGGTGGAGGTTGCAGTGAGCCGAGATCATACCATTGCACTCCAGCCTGGGCAACAAGAGCGAAAACTTCGTTTCAAAAAGAAAAGAAAAGAAACGTTCATATAACACTATTTTTTGTTTTTTAAAGACGGAGTCTCACTCTGTCACCCAGGCTGGAGTGCAGTGGTGTGATCTCTGCTACTGCAACCTCTGCCTCCTGGGCTCAAGCGATTCTCCTGCCTCAGCCTCCCAAGTAGCTGGAATTACCGGCGCCCACCACCATGCATGGCTAATTTTTGTATTTTTAGTAGAGACAAGGTTTCCCCATGTTGCCCAGGCTGGTCTCAAACACCTGGCCTCAAGTGATCCTCCTGCCTCAGCCTCCCAAAGTGCTGGGATTACAGATGTGAGCGATCCTCCCAGCCTACCCTAAGTTATTTTTAATTCAAAAGTTTCCTATTAAGTTTTTAAAAATTAAACGTTTAATTTCAAAAGTTTAAAGTTGCATTTTCAAGCCTCAACCTTACCTACTTAATTCAGTACCTATTGATGAAGCTAAAAAATATATTTACTGTTTTAAATATTTGAGATCGTCCCAGAAATATAAAATGTCTAATATAACATACAATAATGTATCTTAAATACATCTGTGTCTATAAGTGCTTTTATAGCCAGTGAATTACTAATGTATACTTAATACAGCCTGAAACGGGGTATCAATCTTTAATAGTGCTTTTCTCAAGAAAACTATATTGATATTTGACTTACACAAAAATATCACAGCCAAGCGGGAATAAAAAAAACAGTCATAATGTTACAAGGAGAGGAAAGCATCTAAATAGAAAAAAAAGTATTTTGGTGAAGAAGAGATTGAGAATCCTTCAACCCTGTTGCACCTAAGGAACAGGACATGACCTCCGCTCTGTGTGCGCTCAGCCCGTGGTGGTGGGACGATGCCAGAGGGGAATGTGGGTGGTCACCCGTTTTTCCATTCCCTGCGTCTACCATCTGAGCTGGGTTGTGACCTTCCCGCTCTCCAAGTTCTCTCACTCAAACCTGTGGACTTTTTTAAACTCATGAAGGTTAGGCCAGGCACGGTGGCTCACGCCTGTAATCCCAGCACTTTGGGAGGCTGAGGTGGGCGGATCACAAGGTCAGGAGATCGAGACCATCCTGGCTAACACGGTAAAACCCCGTCTCTACTAAAAATACAAAAAATAACCAGGTGTGGTGGCAGGCGCCTGTAATCCCAGCTACTTGGGAGGCTGAGGCAGGAGAATGGCGCGAACCCAGGAGGCGGAGGTCACAGTGAGCCGAGATCACGCCACTGCACTCCAGCCTGGGCAAAAGAGTGAGACTCCATCTCAAAAAAAGAAAAAAAAAAAACCATGAAGGTATATTTGCTTTTAGGAAAGGATACCTTTTCCCCTTTTAAACTCTACATTGAGATTCTGAAAACTGAACCCAGTGGGACACCTGTGGTTTTGGTCTGGGGTGACTTTTCACTATTGTAAAACAAAACAAAACTCCATGTTAGGTGACATCCAAGCAACTGACTCCCTCAACCTGTACTGTAGTGAACCTACGAAGTCTAAGCTAACTTAAAAGACAAAAAAAATTGCACATCAATTACCAAGGAAATAGAAATTAAAATGACATTATCTTACCACACAAATCGACAAAGTAAATACTAATTGGATTTCTGTTTCTGACCATGAGGGTGTAAGGAGGTATAGACTAGCCATTCCACTCTAACAACTAGACAACAGGAAAAGGGATAGGAAACAACTATTTTCTGATATCAAACAATAGGCAGGATAGAAAAGCAATCCCCAAGAGAAGAGAAACAAACAAAATGAGTGCTAGGATCGCACTCTCTTTCTAGCTGAAAATGATTTCTGAGCCAAAGCACAGTGAGAGGGGAACTCAAACAAAAACCTTGCAGTCTTGCTGAATTGAATTTGTAATGGAAACTAGAACACCTGAAATGAAAACGACACTATGTGGGATTAATAGCAGATTAGGCACTGCAAAGGGAAGGATGCATGAATTTGAAGACAGCAATAGAAACTCTCCAAAAAGAAGCACCAGAAGAAAAATAGTAACAGAGCATCGGTGACCTACGAGACAACCTCATGGGGGTCTAATGCATTACATAATTGGAGTCCCAAGGGAAAAAGGGGTTAGAGAGGAAAAGGACATAAATATCTGAAGAAGCAATGTGGAAAAATATTTCCAAATTTGCTGAAAACCATAAACCCAAAGGTCCAGAAGCTCAATGATCACCAAACAAAATATTTTTTAAAAACACATCAAGGCCCAGCACAGTGGCTCAAACCTATAATCTCAGCATTTTGGGAGGCTGAGGCAGGAGGATCACTTGAGCCCAGGGGTTTAAGACCAGTCAGGGCTGGGCGCGGTGGCTCAAGCCTGTAATCCTAGCACTTTGGGAGGCCGAGGTGGGCAGATTACGAGGTCAGGAGATTGAGACCATCCTGGCTAACATGGTGAAACCCCGTCTCTATTAAAAATACAAAAAATTAGCCGGGCATGGTGGCGGGCGCCTGTAGTCCCAGCTACTCGGGAGGCTGAAGCAGGAGAATGGCGTGAACCCGGGAGGCGGAGCTTGCAGTGAGCCGAGATCACACCACTGCACTCCAGCCTGGGCGACAGAGCGAGACTCCGTCTCACACACACACACACACACACAAAGACCAGTCAGAATGGCTCTTGGTAAAAAGTAAAAAAATAACAGATCCTTGCGAAGTTGTGGAGAAAAAGGAACACTTATACACTTCTGGTTGAAGTGTAAATTAGTTCAGCCATTGTGGAAGCCAGTGTGGTGATTCCTCAAAGATCTAAAGACAGAAAAATACCATTCAACCCAGAAATCCCATTACTGGGTATATACCCAAAGGAATTTATATCATTTTATTATAAAGACACATGCACGCATGTTCATTGCAGCACTGTTCACAATAGTAAAGATATGGAATCAGCCTAAATGTTCATCAATAGTAGAATGGATAAAGAAAATGTGGTACATATATACCATGAAATACTATGCACCACAAAAAAATTAGATCATGTCTTTTGCAGGAACATGGATAGAGCTTGAGGCCATTATCCTTAGCAGACTAACACAGGAACAGAAAACCAAATACCGCATGTTCTCACTTATAAGTGGGAGCTAAATGATGAGAACACATGGACACAGAGAGGAACAGCACACACTGGGGACTTTAGGAGGGTGGAGGGTGGGAGGAGAGACAGGATCAGGAAAAATAGCTGATGGGTACTAGGCTTAATACCTGGGTGATAAAATAATTTGTACAACAAACTCCCATGACACAAGTTTACCTATGTAACAAACCTGCACTTGTACCCCTGAATTTAAAATAAAAGTTTAAAAAAACAGAAATATTACAAGGGCAAAAAAGCACATTTCATCATGATAAAGGGGTCAACTCACCAACAGGAATTGATAATCCTAAGCATTTATGCATTTAATAACAGATATATAATGGAAAACTAATAGATCTGCAAGTTGAAATAGAAAAACCCGCAATTATACTTGGAGATGTCAATACTTCTCTCTCAGTAATTGATACAACACAGAGAAAGAAAATAAATAGTGATACACAAGATGTGAGCAAGACTCTGAAGCCCCTGGACACAGCTGACACTTAGGGAACACTCCATCCCACAAGTGAAGATGCACATGGACCCCTCCACAAGATACACCACAATCTATAGCATACAACAAGTCTCAGCACATTTAAAGGAACTGAAATAACATATGGCCTCTAACCACAATCACAAATCAATAGTAGAAAGCTCTCTGGGGAATCTCCATACTTTGAAAATTAAACAACACGTTTCTAAACTGTAGGGTAAACAAAGAGGATTTTTAAAAATCAGGAAATATTTCAAACTGAATAAAAATAAATATCAAAATTTGTGTGATATAACTTAGAAATCTATAGCTTAAATGCTTACATTAGAAAAATAGAAAGGTCTAAAATAAAGACGCTTTCTTTAAAAACTAGAAAAAGAAGAACAAATTATAAACTCAAAGGAGAGCAAAAAGAGAGAAAGATGAGAAGGGAAGCCAATAAGAAAAGGAGCAAACAAGAAAATTAAAGTCAGAATTGGTTCTTTGAAAAGATCTTTCTAAATAGATTTATCTTAGGGAAATCATGAGGATTTTTTTTGGCAGTATTGTTTATAATAGCAAAAAGTCAGAAATTACTAAGAACTTTAAGAACTTTATTGGCTGGGCACGGTGGCTCACGCCTGTAATCCCAGCACTTTGGGAGGCTGAAGCAGGTGGATCACCTGAGGTCAGGAATTTGAGACCAGCCTGACTAACATGGTGAAATCCCTTCTCTACTAAAAATAAAAATTAAAAAAATACAAAAATTAGCCAGGGCTGGTGGCAGGTGCCTGTATTCCCAGCTACTCAGGAGGCTGAGAAAGGACAATCACTTGAACCTGGGAGGCAGAGGTGGCAGTGAGCCAAGATCATGCCACTGCACTCCAGCCTGGGTAACAGAGTGAGACTCTGTCTCAAAAAAATAAATAAAATAAAAAGAGCCTTATTAAATTATCCTCTGTCTTCATGAGACTACTATGCAGCTATTTAAAATGCTACAAAAGAATATGTAATAAACTTGGAAAATATTCATGAGACCGTAGACAAAACATGTTATAAAATATGACACCATTTCCCCCACTTTTACAGAAAGGTTATTTGGGCAGATTAAATATTAGAATGATCTAGGCTTATTCAGAGTGATTTATTTTCCTTAAGTGTATCTCCCTCAGTTTTTTTCTGTTGACTTTATGTGTATTTTTAAATTACAAAATTAATTTTACTCCAAATATTAGCCAAAACTCTTCAAACAAAAACTAAGCTTTAAGTTTCCCTCTGAAATGTTCCATTAAAATGAGCTCTAGTGTTTGACAGCACAATAGGGTGACTATAGTTAACAATAATTTATTGTATATTTCAAAATAGCTAGAAGAGCATATTTTGAAGGTACCCAATAATATGGACAGGAAGCAGAGGAATACTAGGTAGAAAAGGACAGAGTCCCTGGCAAGGGTTCCACCCTCAAGCCTGGACCCATGGCCCTAAATGAGGGCTTCACATCCCCGTTTTCCAGCCCAAATGTCACCTTTTGGCACACCACACCCCATCCTGTGCCCATAAAGTCCCCAAGATCCACTGGTAGAGGAACAAAACAGCATGGCAGAGAAGGCAAGAAAAGAAGCATCTGAACATTGAGAGGCAGCTGGACATCAAAGACTACGGTTGGAGACATGTTTGGCTAGGGATAGTCTGAGAGGACTTCCTCCCTCTCCAGAGGAAAATTATCTTCCCACTCCATCCCCTCTCCAGCTCCCCATCCCACTGAAAGCCACTTCCACTGCTCAGTAAAATCTCTGCATTCACCATCCTTCGAGTCCATGTGACCTGATTCTTCCTGGACACTGGACAAGGACCCATGTACTGAAATGGCAGAGTACAAGGCTGTCACCCTGACCCTCCACTGAGCTGATTTAACACTTAGCCATCTGTGGACAGCAAATGCTAAAAGAGCACTGATTGTAACACACGCCCTCTGGTGCTCCAGAGGTTGCAGACAACCCCTAGACACTGCCATGGCTGGTACTGGATTTGTTCCTACTGGTGCCCAAAGGCACTCACCCCAGCTCCTGCACCTGCTCCCTGTGAGCTTCCCATTCCACAAGGGGCTTCAGCATGGCAGCCAAGTAAATGAGCCACCCCCATCACAAGTCCCACGAGGGGGTCAAGGGAACTCTCCCATCTCACCAACACAGAGAAATGATAAATGTTTGAGGTGATAGATATGTTAATTACCCTGATTTGTTCATTACCCATTGTGTGCATATATCAAAATAACATGTACCCCATAAATATGTACAATTATGTACCGATTAAAAAAAGAAAAAAAGTTTTTACTTAACAATTAAGGTGAGATGATCTAGCGTGCAAACCCCAGGTTAACCCCCCAAAAATTATTTGTCAAAACCTAAATATCTCTGCTATTTTACTGAGAAGGAAAGATATTATTTAGAACAAAGATGAAAATTTTAGTTTGTTTGCTTAGTCTAAAAAGCAATTTGAAGTTAACATTTAACGCAATTAGGAATGTTCTAATTGTTTTATTGTTGTTTAGAACTAGGTTTAAGGCCAGGTGTGGTGGTTCATGCCTGTAATCCCAACACTTTGGGAGGCTAAGGTGGGAGGATTGCTTAAGCATGGGAGGTCAACGGTGCAGTGAGCCATGGTTGCGCCATTGCACTCCAGCCTGGATGACAGAGCAAGACCTTGCCTCAACAAAACAAAACAAAACAAAACAAAATCCTAGGTTTATAAAAATCAAAGTTCTCTTATATAAACCTCTAAGACTTCTGTATGACATTTAGGGGAAATTTTTATTATTCTTTTCTGCTTAGCAAAAAATATTTTGTTCAGCTATAGCCAGATTTATTTTAGATAAACTTTGGATTTGTAATGTTCTTCTCACAATAAATATTTCATTCAATGAGAAACTTCATAAAAATACCAAATGATTCAGTACCGCAGTCTCATTAGAAGAAGATCTGGGGTTGGCAAAGTGATTTAGTTCCAAAAAAGATAATGGAATGAACAAAAAACTCAATGTACTGCGGGCGTGGTTCCAGGCTTTGGAACCCTAGGCAGAAGCATTTGTCCTGATCAGTTACACAAGTTACAAATTAACTTACTCAGCATATTTGAATGCCTATGACAGTAAACTAATCTTCTCATTTGAGGGTGAGGGAGGGGCAGGCAGCAGTCTGAAGAGCAGATACATGAAGAGATTTAAAACAAATTCTGCGCTCATTTGGGGAAGAGGGGGCTAGGTGAAAGATAAGTGGTAAACATAAATATACATTCTCTGTGGCATTCCAAGCACCATTAGAGTTATGAGCCATGCATTCAGAAATAGCACAGCTGGTCTTTCTCTGAATTGGGGGTGGGCAGGAGACAATGACGGCAGGCCTGGACGGACAGCCAGGGGAGCAGAGACTGATAGGACAGCCCAAGGGTGAAACTGAAGTCTCAGGAAGGCCATCACTGACATTCAGAGCACTTACAGCGCTCTATGGATAATTGCACATCCCATATCTCTCTCTGTCTCTCTGTTTCTCTCAGGCACACTCCACGCACGCTATCATTTACAGCAATCCCATGGTGTACACATAAACTTCATTTCATAGATAGGAATCTGATTAGTTGACCAACCGGTCCAGGTTCCCAGTAAGTAGTAGCGCTGGGAAGGAGGTCAGCCTTCAAGCTCCTCATCACTGCCTGTCTTGTACCCTCACTGGATGACCACCACTGGGTTCTCATCTGCAGGCATCAATCTCACCCCATCACCCTTCTTGGTCTTCGCTAATCCACCAAGCCCGTGCATGCATTTACTCCTATTCTGCCCAAAGTCTCCTCCCCACACCCAGCCACCATCTACCACCATCTACAGGAATCTTAATCATTATTTGACGCCAATGAGTCCTCCTCTGTAAAATTCAAATGGTATTTTTCTCACATAGTCTCTATTTAAGAAGCATAGTAAGAGTTTACATCAGGACATAAAGAGGTATATTTTGGCTAAAATTTTTTTTAAAAATCAATATTTGAGTAAAGTCAGCATTCCTGAATGCAGTCAATAAAACCACTGGCTACTTTGTGCTGGGAATATTGTAGTGCCTGAAAACAAAGATGAATGAGACAGCTGCTGTCCTTCACTGATCCTCCAGGGCAGGGATAAAGGAGACGAGGCTGCAAGTAATTTCCGAAGAGAACGCCAGGTGCTACCAGGAGCTTAGGTACCACAGGAGGGGTTTAGATTTCAAAGTTGTTTAAACTTAATGCTTTTATTCTTTCAAATAAAAGCATCTAATTCAACCTATTTTAATTGAGCTAACTGTATTAATACCTTTAAAATCATTCCAAGGGAGGCAAAGTTTTCTTAAACACAATGCAAAAGCAATAAAGAAAGAAAATGTGATACATTTGACTTCATTAAAATCAAAAACTTCTGCTTATTGAAAGGTATTAGTAAGAGGAATAGGGAAATCACAGGCTGGAAAAATATATTTGTAATACATGTATCTGATGCTTGCATCCAAAATAAAGAACGCATGTAAAACAATAAAGAATGTGAAAAGCAAATGTGCAAAAGGCTTCAACATGTTATTCACAAGAAGATACCCAAATGGCCAATAAACACATGAAAAGATGCTCGGGGCCGGGTGTGGTGGCTCACACCTATAATCCCAGCACTTCGGGAGGCTGAGGCAGGTGGATCATCTGAGTTTGAGACCAGCCTGACCAATATGGTGAAACCCCATCTTAACTAAAAATACAAAAATTAGCCAGTTCTGGTGGCGGGTGCCTGTAATCCAAGCTATTCTGGAGGCTGAGACAGGAGAATTGCTTGAACCCAGGAGGCAGATGTTGCAGTGAGCTGAGATCACACCATTGCACTCCAGCCTGGGCGACACAGTGAGACTCTGTCTCAAAAACAAAACAAAACAAAAAAAAAAAACAGATGCTTGATATCATTACTCATTAGAGGAATGCAAATTGAAACTATAAGGAGATATCACTGCACACCCATAAGTATGGTTTAAAAAGAAGAGCAACTCCTCACATTCTCCAGAATGTGCAACAGATGCTGGAGAGAATGTAAATTAGTTCAGCCACTTTAGAAAACTCTTTTGGCGGTTTCTAAGAGTTAAGTATACATCTACCTTATGATTGAGTTAATTCTACTTCTAGGTATTTTATCCAAGGTAAATTAAAAGTTACGTCCACAAAAATTCATACAAGAACTTTATTCACATTAGCAGAAAAAAAAAGGAAGCAACCTACATATCCATCAGCAGGGAAATGGATAAACAGGTGGGGATCAATCACACAGCAGAATACCACACACCACTGATCTCACAGACTGAATCTGCTGACCAAAAGAAGTCAGACCAAAAAAGTGCATACTGTACAATTCCATTTATATGACATTCAAAGGCAAACTAATCTATGGATGAGAAAAATCAGAACAGTGATTGCACTTGGCAGGAAGGGGATTGTCTGGGAAGGAGCAAGAGAGATCTAGAAGATCTAACCTAGAAGGGGTAAATGGAACTAGGCTATATTTTTATTTGGGTGTTAGTCACAGGTATATAAAAATGCATTCAGGTATGTACCTTACATTTATATACTTTATGCTAAATCTCAAAAATAAAAGACATTTAAAAATAAAATATGCCAAATGCATTTATCATTTAAGTGGCTTATTTTACTTATAATATTCTATCACTCAATGGATATTTGCTGATCACCTACTGGGTGCCAGGCACCCTTCTAGGCATGAGAGCCACAACAAGGAACAAAACAGATATAATTCCGTGCCCTCATGTAGCCTATGTTTTAGGGAGGAAAGAGAGACAATAAACAAAATAAACAAATAATTTATGCAGTATTTTATAAAGAGAAAAGTAAAGAACAAAAAATCCCAAAAGGGAATGGGGATAGGGAATGTAGACTACAATCTCAGCATTGCCCATGTAAATGGCTGTTTAACTTGAATCATGATAGGCGTGTATAACACATTCCATGTGTAGTTTGTTTTTTAAAATTGCATTTCTATTTGATCATTGTGAAGTATGATCCACTCACATTACATACTTAGAACAGCAGTTGTCTCACCTTGCATATTACCTTTATCTAAAATTAACTTACTATCCTTCTTTCTTTTTTACTTTGTCAGACAGAGTTTCTATTATTTATGAAGCACTCAAGGGAGGAAAAATCCAACAAAGCTCACGTTTACCCTTCACCATATCTCAAGGAGATGGCAATACTTCTTCCTAGGAAACTTTTCATGTTAAAGTAAATAGAAAATTCCATCTGAAGTGAAGATTAATCACTATAGGTTGCTATCACTTCAAACTCAACTTTTATTCAGTAGGTTTCATTTGCTATACATAATGGCACAACAAGAAAAATAATCCATCTCACAGTTATAAGGATGAAATTAAACCGTAAAAAACAGTCTATTGAATTTGGCAATGATTTCTTAGATATGATACAAAAGGCACAGTCAACAAAAGAAAAATAGACAAATTGGACTTCATCAAAGTTCAAAAAATTGTGCAACTATTAATACTATAAACAGAGGAAAAAGGCAACCACGGAATGAGAGAAAATATTTGCAAATCCCACATCTGATAAAGGATTAGTATCTAGACTATACAGAGAACTCCTAAAAAGTATCAACAACAACAACAAATTGACAGAGTCTTGCTCTGTCACAGTACTTGAATGGTCAAATATTTCACAGTAGATTTTAAAATGGGCAAGGGACTGGCATAGACATTTTTCCAAAGAAGATATGCAAGTAAATGGCCAAAAAGCACATGAAAAGATGCTCAACATGAACTAATACTCAGGGAAATGCAAATCAAAAGTACAATGAGATACCACCTCACACCCGCAGCACTTTGGGACGCCGAGGCTGGAGGATCACTTGAGCCTAGAAGTTCAAGAACAGCCTGGACGACATAGCAAGACTCCTCCTATCTCTACAAAAAAATTATTTTAATTAGGCAGGTACGGTGGTGTGCACCCATAGTCCCAGCTACTCAGGAGGCTGAGGCAGGGAGATCACATGAGCCCAGGAGTTTGAGGCTACAGCGAGCCATAATTGCACCACTGCACTTCAACGTGGGTGACAGAGCAAGACTCTGTCAAAAAGAAAAACAAACAGAAAATAACAAGTGTTGTGGAGTATGTGGTGAGAGTGGAACCTTTGAGCACTGTTGGTGGGAATATAAAATGGTGCAGCTGCTATGGAAAACAGTATGGCAGTTCCTTAAAAAATTAAAAGTAGAGTTATCTTCTGATCCAGCAATTTCACTTCTGAGTATATATGTACCCAAAAGAATGGAAAGCAGGGTTCAAAGATATATTTGTACACCCATGTTTATAGCAGCACTATTCACAGCAGCTACAACGTGGAAGCAACCCAAGTTGGTTTGCTTATCCGTGGATAAATGGATAAGCAAAATGTGGTCTATACATACAATGAAACATTATTCAACCTTAAAGGAAAGGAAATTCTGACACGTGCTTCCACATGGATGAAGCTGGAGGACATCATGCTAAGTGAAATAAGCAAAAAGTGATTCCACTTATAAGAGGTACTTAGAGTAGTCAAAATCTTAGAGACAGAAAGTGGAATTCTGGTTGGCAAGGGCTGGGAGAAGACAGGAATGGAGAGCTGGTGTTAAATGGGCACAGAGTTTTAGTTTTACAGATGAAAAAAGTCCTGGAGGTGGATGGTGGTGATAGTTACACAATAATGGGAACGTACTTCAGCCCACTGAACTGTATACCTAAAAATGATGAGATAGTAAATTCTATGTTATGTGTATTTTACTGCATAAAAATTTGAGGAAAAGGCAAACAGTCTAATTCTTAAAGTATATATGCCAAGCAGGATGTTGTAGGGTTGGGTGTTTGTTTACTATGGCAATTTTCCTGGAAATACAACAATGTTTATAAAAAGTATATCTAAAAGAATCATAATTTGTATCTAGATTGCAAAAACCTGAGCCTTAAGTTATAGGTAGGTTGATAAATGAATGAATTGAGAGGCCAGGAGAAGCCCAGAACGGTCAAGTATTTCACAGTCCACGCCGCACTGACTTCCTCAAACCTTCCTCTCATGACATGGATTTGATATAAATCACTGTCAGTTCTTCTGTGCTCAAGTCTGTGACATTGTTGTTCCAATGGTAAGGTTGGGACAAAAGCATTCAATTGCCAAAAGCAATACCTCTTGACACACAGTGCTTTAGAGTTTTCTCCTAACTAGAATTTTCATCAGTTATGACTTTCACCAAGTACAAGAAGTTGTCCAGAAATTCAGAATTCCATTTATGTTCTTTGGATTTCTATACTTTAGCAGCCATTTCATCACTGTTCTAAGCTGTAAGAGCAAATTAAAAACCTAACAAAAATTAAGCGTGGTATTTAAACTGAAATAAATAGCCTGAAAACAAACTGGGGGAGAGAAAAATAATTTTAAAGTAACAGAAACATCCTGATCCCCAATCAGGAGTTTATAGTTTTCCTTTTGATGACTCCTGAAGCAGAGAACCTATTCCAAGACCACAGAATACTATTAGACCATTTTCACATACAATTGCTGGATTTCCTGCTATCTACATATCATGTAATCCTTTTAAGTATTCATCTAAATAATTTGAATGCAAAAAGCTACGTCAAGGGTCTCAACATATTGAAAAATATATCTGGCTAACATTTACAAACTGAAAAAGAACTCCATAAATAATCATCTAGGCTGTGTTTGCTTTATTCTAAGCTATATGACCTATAATCCATACCTAGAAGGCATCGGATTGAAAAATTGTTAGCTACAGGTAACCATCTGCTCAAAAAAATCACTGCTTGTCACATTGTCCTCTTTCACCCATGCCTTGTGTAGACTGCATCTATACATTTTTTAAAACTTTGCAGACGTGTCTATTACCTATGGAGCAATATCTTCTCCAGCCGCGGGTGAGAGGCATGGTGTTCGGTCCTTTACACCCTTTACATGAAGACAACGCAGCAGTGACGTTTCTAAGTATTAAGAGATCTGAAGGCTGATCCTGTGATAATCTGGGGGAATTACATTATGCCCTGCGACCGTCCTGTTCTAGTTCACCTGGCATAGTTCTTGAGTACAAGTAACGTAGGATGGATGGTAGAGAGTTATACAGGACGAGGGGGAGCAATGTCTAATGGCAGGGAGGGACTTTCACCTACCAAATTAGCAAAGGAAAAAGGGGAAGGAAGAAAGAGGAAGGAAGAAACACTCAGTGGTATATCCTGACAGCACAAGTTCTAAACTAATGGGACCTCTCCTTGGCTTGCTTACTTTCCCAGTAACACCAGATGATTCATTCCTAGAGCCTGTGAGAAAATTACTGGGGAGAACCACCTCCGAGAGCCAGGCTTCCCCAGCATCTGTGTAGAGCTCTTTCTGCTGACCTGCATCTTCATGCAGAATTAAGTTACGCCAACACTAGCACCCCCTCCAGATCATATAAGAAGAAGGACAGATGGATGGCACATGCACCCCACAGAACTTCTCCCTTGTTAACCTTCTCTCATAAAATGACCTTTGGATTTTAATACTCAAACTCCATAGCCTGCAGTGACCTCTCAATATGATAACTTTTGGTTAACTTTTAATTTTTTTTTTTTTATAGACAGGGTTTTGCTCTACTGCCCAGGCTGGAGTGCAGTGGCACAATCATAGCTTACCATAACCACAAACTCCTGGGCCCAAGCAATCCTCCTGCCTCAGCGTCCCAAGTAGCTGGGGACTACAGGTGCACACCATCATGACCGGCTAATTTTTGAAAAAATTAGACAGTCTCACAATGTTTCCCAGGCTGATCTCAAACTTCTGGGTTCAAGTGATCCTCCTGCCCTTGGCCTCTCAGAGCACTGGGATTACAGGCATGAGCTGCTGTGCCTGGCCTTGGTTAACATTTACATAGAAAACATATATAAGTCCCCCAACTCAGTATGTTTAACAAAACCATATGTGGCAAATGTGTCTAGTTAAAACCAACAAAACAAGTGGTAGAAAGCTTTAAAAGTCTGACAAGCAGCAAGCAAGTGTGCAAAGGCAATGACATACATTATCCTTGAACATGATGGCAATATAACAGACTTTTTTTTCATTTAAAATGCCCTAATAGAGTCTGGAGCCCTCATACAAAGACATTTATGGAGATCTACGGGAGGGTGAGCAAAGCTCCATGATGTCCTTTTTTTGACCCTGAAGCATTTCCTGCCTCCCGGGAAGATTTCAGGTGCCTCCCTATTAGGCACACCCTGCAGGCACCAAGGCCACCAGCCTGGCTGACAGCCCCTGAGTTGAAACACTGGCAGGAATTACCCCGAACTGCCCTTGCCAGGTCCTGTGGCACACCCCAGGCAGGCTGTCGCTACGTTTTCTTCAGGGATGTTGTGGGGGATGTGGCCCTGTATCACAGCACCTTTTTGGATTCCTAAGGGA
Source organism: Homo sapiens (assembly GCF_000001405.40). Classification (NCBI taxonomy): domain Eukaryota; kingdom Metazoa; phylum Chordata; class Mammalia; order Primates; family Hominidae; genus Homo; species Homo sapiens. The sequence goes on along the minus strand of NC_000013.11, from coordinate 25,439,085 downwards.
GAAGTTCAATACTGGGCTCAGTATCAGAAATAGCTCGATGTCTCTGGAGCAGAATTTATCTCCTCTAATGGACACTAATTCTCGTGAGGGATCATGCCTCCTTTCCACTTTGAATTCTTAAAGGGTCTGAGCCAAATATATTCTCTCTGACCTCTGATTTTGTCTTCCTGTCCTTTACTCCTATTTTCTCTTATCCTTTGTTTTCTCATTTATTTTCATTTATGACACACCGTGTCACATAGGCATATGGGGTAAAAAATTCTTCCATAAAAAGGTCTAAAGTGAAATGAAATAAAACAAGTAACATAGAAATAAAAACCCAGCCAACTAGGCTGAATTTACTAACAAACTTGGTTCAAAGCTGGGAGATGGGGATTGTATGTTCTTTTCTTTCTCTTTTCTTTTCTTCTTTTCTTATCTCTCTCTTTTTTTTTCTTTTCTTTTGGAGACAGGATCTTGCTCTGTTGCCCAGGCTGGAGTGCACTGGTGCAACCATAGCTCGTTGTAGCCTCCAAATCCTGGGCTCAAGTGAACCGCCCACCTCAGCCTCCAGAGTAGCTAGGACTACAGGTGCACACCACCATGCCAAGCTAATTTTTGTATTTTTTTGTAGAGATGCAGGTCTCTGTTGCTCAGGCTCATCTAAACTCCTGGCCTCAAGCAATCCTCCCTCCTTGGCCTCTCAAAGTGCTGGGATTGCAAGAGTGAGCCATGGTGCCCAGCAGAGATTACATTTTCTAATTCATCTCTTACTGTCTTTGATCATTTGTAGAAAGTGAAAATCTTTCAATGGAAATCATCATGAATGGTTGATAATATATTTTAAAGCTTTTTTGAAAATAAGAGAAGGCGGTTTTTAGAGGTAGGCTCCTCTCTGACATTCACTGGACATCTCTGGCTTGTCAACCTCCTACCCAGACCCTTCCTCATTTCTCATCTGCCCTCATGGTTGAACTATCTCACAATTAAAAATCTACTAAAGGTCACAGAATGCCCTAAGGACATTCACTGATTTAAGACTTTAAAACAATACAAACACAATAAAAATAATTATGAACATAGTTTGTAATTAGAAAAAGACTAAAAGGGAAAGGGTTGTTTTCTAAAGGTTGTTTTCTAAAGCCTTAATAAATAAGGCTGCCTTATCTAATCATCAACATATAGTATTATATCCAAATTGGAGGTTGTCCAGTGGCAAAGAATCATTTTGGGTATTATAAAGATTCCAGGATATCAATTTGTTTAAAATTTGTCTGACTCCTTCTCCAAAGCAGCGTATACATGCTCTCACCCTTTCTCCCTACCTATTCTTTAGACTTCAGATAAAGCAGGAGCTTCCCTTAACATATTTTCTTTAAAATCCATTTGTAATACTGACTCTAAAAGATACATGACTCTTTAATTCTGTTTGATGGTAAGGTGTTACCATCAGGAATCTTTTAGAAATGCTAAATACAATCTCCAGCAATACACGGAAAAGCTTTATTTTAAAATAGTCGTATTGATTTTATTTACACTGATTTCCTGAACCTAACACAACTTCAAAAGCTTTGAAAACTGACTTTATATAAGAGCTTTGATCTGTTGAAAAGTCATCAGATTTCCTAGCAAGAACATATCCCTGGAGGAGGAGGGAGCAAAATATGTAAACATTAGGGTTTCTATTAAAGTAGCAATGTCAGGACCATGGAAACCTTGTTCCAAATCCATCAATTGATTAATTCTGAATCTGATTGAGAAGGTTATGGGCACACCTTCCAAGTCATCTTGGAATTTGACTTAAGGCATCTTTGAAAGCTCTGGTGCTAAGATGAAGTATTCCAAATAACCTCATTAAAAAGTGGGCAAAGAACATGATCAGAAACTTCTCAAAAGAAGACATATAAGCAGCCAACAAGCATATGAAAAAATGCTCATTATCACTAATCATCAGAGAAACGCAAATCAAAACCACAATAAGATACCATCTTACACCAGTCAGAATGGCTATTACTAAAGAGTCAAAAAACAGCTGGGCACGGTGGCTCACTCCTATAATTCCAGCACTTTGGGAAGCTGAGGCTGGTGGGTCACTTGAGCTTAGGAATTAAAGACCAGCCTGGGCAACATGGTGAAACCTCATCTCTACAAAAAATACAAAAATTAGCTGGGCATGGTGGTGGGCACCTGTAGTCCCAGCTACTCAGGAGGCTGAGGTGGGAAGATCACCTAACCCTGAGAGGCCGAGGCTGCAGTGGAACTGTGATTGTGCCACTGGACTCCAGCCTAGGTGACAGAGTGAGACTCTGTTAAAAAAAAAAAAAAGTCATAAAACAACAGATGTTGGCAAGGCTGCAGAAAAAGGGGGGTGCTTACACACTGCTGGTGGGAATGTAAATTAGTTCAGCCACTATGGAAAGCAGTTTGGAGATTTCTCAAAGAGCTTAAAACAGAACTACCATTCAACCCAACAATCCCATTAGTGAGTATATACCCCAAGGAAAATAAATCATTCTACCAAACAGACACACGCTTATGTTCATCACAGTACTATTTACAACAGCAAAGACATGGAATCAACCTAAATGCCCATCAGTGGTGGCCTGGATAAAGAAAATGTGATACATATACACCATGGAATACTACATAGCCATAAAAAAGAATGAGATAATGTCCTTTGCAGCAACATGGATGTAGCTGGAGGCCCTTATCTGAAGTGAATTAACCAGGAACAGAAAACCAATTACCATACCTCCTCATTTGTAAGGGAGAGCTAAACATTGAGTACACGTGGACATAAAGATGGGAGCAATGGATACTGGGACTGCTGGATTGGGGACGGGGTAGGGGCTGAGGAACTGCCTACTGGGTGCTGTGCTCACTGTCTGGGTAACAGGATCATCCATACCCCAAACCTCAGCTTCACACACTGTTCCCATGTGACAGACCTGCACATGTACCCCCTGAGTCTAAAATAAAAGTTGAAATTATTTTTTAAAATGAAAAAAGTAAAATCTATTAACAAGCCAAAAAAAAAAAGATGAAGCTTTATGGCTATGACCCAATAAAAAGATTGCCGGTGGCTTAAATTTAGTCTGAAAGACACACACACATACACACACTCACACACACATACACACACACACACACACACTCACACACACACACACACACTCACACACACACACACACACGATGCTTTTTCTTAACTGCGTGACATTTTTCATAAGATCATTTTAGTCTACAGTTTAAAATAAAATTTAGGGGAAGCATAAATAAGATTCTTGTTCCATGATTGCTTCTAAAATTAATAGTCTACATTATATTTTCCTTATGCAGGCCTCTTGAAGAAGAGCAGGGACATAAATCAATATAATACAATAAGTGTATATCTCAGTGGAGAAAAAAACCACAAGATCCATTAACTGTGCAAATAAGGCAAAAAAAAAGAAAGAAAAGAAAAAGAACAACACGTAAAACCCAACATAAAAACAAGAAGTAACTTATGCCATCAATTCCAGTGACATTTACACCTGAGAAGTACTACCTTGCGCTTGAGGCTAGATGATTCCAGAAGAAAGAACCTACGAAGATTATGTTGATAAAAACAAAACTTAAGCTTTACTGGCTTTCTCTCCCTGCAAATATAGCCCACATCATTTAATTGATTGTATAATTAAAGATTTCCAGCCGGGCGCGGTGGTTCACGCCTGTAATCTCAGGACTTTGGGAGGCCGAGGCAGGTGGATCACGAAGTTAGGAGTTCGAGACCAGCCTGACCAACATGGTGAAACCCCGTCTCTACTAAAAATACAAAAATTAGCCAGGTATGGTGGTGGGTGCCTGTAATCCCAGCTACTTGGGAGGTTGAGGCAGGAGAATCGCTTGAAACCGGGAGGTGGAGGTTGCAGTGAGCCGAGATCGCGCCACTGCACTCCGGCCTGGGCAAAAAAGCAAAACTCCATCTCAAAAAAAAAAAAAAAAGATTTCCTATGCCCAGGAACTCCTAGAGTTCAGAAGACTTCTGCTGTTTTCTATCAGTCTCCAGCAGATGAACACATAAGAACTCAAGGTGCCCCAGCACAGAACGGATGCATAGATCCCAAGAAGAGCAGAGGGCCTGAAGCACTTCCATGGTTTCTTTCTCATTAACGCCATCATCATCCAGGGATGAGACAAGATGAGATGTGAAATGCTACACAAGCCATACTTGTGTCAGTAATGCAGTGATATGTCCATACCAATAGAACACGTGCATGCTGGAGAAAATACCAAGTATGCAGCAAGCCTATTTGCACTTCATACCTCTTATAGCATGTGGTGCAAAAATGAAAAAAGAGTGAGAGACAAGTCATCAATAGAATGCATGGGGCTGGGTGCTGGGGAACACGGGAAAATAAAAAAGAATCGTATTTTAATTCTGTGATGGGGCAGCTACTGTGCTTGAAAAGAAAGTGGGGCCAGGCACAGTGGCTCATGCCTGTAATCCCAGCACTTTGGAAGGCCGAAGCAGGCGGATCACTTGAGGCCAGGAGTTCGAGACCAGACTGGCCAACATGGCAAAACCCTACCTCTACTAAAAATACAAAAATTAGCCAGGTGTAGTGACACACGCCTGTAATCCCAGCTACTCGGATGGCTGAGGCACGAGAAACACTTGAACCCAGGAGGCAGAGGTTGCAGTGAGCCAAGATAACGCCTTTGCACTCCAACCTGCGCAACACAGAGAGACATTGTCTCAAAAAACAAAAAAAAAGAGAGAGAAAAGAAAAAAAGTGGATAAGAAAAAGAGGCTCATGCTTCTCATCACACCTTAGGCAGGGAGCCCAGGTATGAGTCCTGAATAAATGACAAACTGTGGGTCAGTGTCCTGAATGCAAGCTACAGGCACCAAGAGCCTCAGCGCTAACCATCTCTGAAGAATTCCTCGCACCACAGAGGGGATGACCAATATTCCCCTTCTGCTCCCAACAAGCGCGAGATTTCTTCTTTTTTACATTCGGGGGTACATGTGCTTGTCTGTTACATGGGTATATTGCATCCTGGTGGGGACTGGGTTTCTAGTATACCCATTACCCAAATAGTAAACATTGTACTTGACAGGTAATCTCTCAAGCCTCAGCACTCCCACTCTTTTGGAGCCCCCAGAATCTATTATTTCCATCTTTATGTCCATGTGTACCCACTGTTCAGCTCCCGCTTGTCAGTGAGAACACGCAATATTTTCTGTTTCTGAGTTAGTTTGCTTAGGATAATGGTTTCCAGCTCCATCCATGTTGCTGCAAAGGACATGATTTCATTCTGTTTTATGGCTGTGTAGTATTCCATGGTGTATAAATACCACATTTCCTTTTCCAGTCAACCGTTGATGGGCACTTAGGTTGGTTCTATGACTTTGCTACTGTGAACAGAAGCATGTGATTTCTAATGCAGGATAGTTGTGTGTGGAACTAAGCATTTCATCTGAAACACAAGAATGAAGTATGTGCACTCACTTCCGTGTATACAAACAGCACTTGAAAAACAGACCTGAGGTCAGGATCCATGACTCATACCTGCAATCCCAACACTTTGGGAGGCTCAGGCAGGAGGATTGCTTGAGCCCAGAAGTTCAAGACCAGCCTCAGCAACAAAGCAAGACCCCCGTCTCTACAGAAAATACAAAAATTAGCCATGAATGGTGGCACACGCCTGTAGTCCCAGCTACTTGGGAAGCTGAGGTGAGAAGATCAGTTGAGCCCAGGAATTCAAGGCTGCAGTGAGCTATGATCACACCACTGCACTCCAGCCTGGGAGACAGAAAGACAGCCTGTCTCAAAAACAAAACAAAACAAAAGGAAAAGAAAAACAGACCTGAAATGAATTTCAGGACACAACTGCGATTTTCAGAGATAGTCCATAACACTTCCTTCTCTCCTTTCCCATCCCCTACTCATCCAGGAAGAAACCTATGGGAAAATGCCTTTGACCTGTGATCGTGGAAAGACAGAGTGCCAAGGCTTAGGAATGCAGACAGACCTTGCAGCAACTCAGCTCCCACAGATCAGATTTAAAAGAAATAGAAGCCATTCTACAGACTAACTCAGATTTCTCCAAACTGTGGAAAAGTACATAAGGAGCCTCACTGAAGCTAACTACTCCCCATTCCACACAGAGCCAAGAAAACCCCATGTGTGGCTGTGTCTCTTTAGACAACACATGTGCCGGAAAGCACGGGTCACAAACTGACCCTCTCATGAACTCTGTTCTAGTAGAAATAAAACACATACATTGAATAAAACAGCCAGGCTCCATGAAAGAACATCTACCACTTGAGAACATGTAAACATCCAGGAGTTCACCTAGTTATGCATCCTAAGGGAGTTTTTTCTGAGACTGCTTCCCTTTGAGAAGTGTAAACATGGTTATAAACATGGTTGTATCATCTGCAGAAAAAAAAAAATGACAGGAAGAAAATGAGCAGGCTAGAGGCTTGCAGCAATTCATGGAACATCATAAAACTGGGGTGCCCTTGCCTAGGAGCTCTGAGCCCTCCCACCAGCCCACAAGCACATCCCTAGGATTTTGGTAGAAACCATCAAAGCCCCCAAACTAAAGAAGTCAGGGTTCACACCAGAAGAAAACGCTCACTCCGTGTTTATGCAAATCTAAAGATCCCCAAGGAAAGAATGTCACCTGACATGCAGTGGCTGGGGTTTCTGTTCTATGCCAGGGTCCCCAGAGACATCCTATTCCCTAGGGGAGCACTGTAGATGAGGCACAAAAGTTGTTTTCTGGCCATGAGCACCCAAACACGTGGACACACAAGGACCTCCGAGGTAAACTGGCAAACTCCCCAGTGCTGCCTCTGCCCTGGCTCCTGTGCTGAGCGAGGTGGGCTCATACTGGCTACCGTAGCTTTCTTCATGCACAAATCAAGCCCCAGATCTTTAAAATGAAAACATTAAAAAGCAATTATGGTCATTAATTGATGCACGGATAAACAAAATGTGGGATATCTGTAAAATGGAATATTATTCAGCAGTAAATAAAAGAATAAGGTTCTAATTCAAGCTACTACACAGATGACCCTGAAAATATTGTACTAAGTAAAAGAAACCAAACACAAAGGCCACACACCATACGACTCAATTTAAAGGAAATGCCCAGAATAGGTAAATCCTTAGAGACAGAGAGTTGATTAGTGATTTTCAGGAGCTGGGAGACAGGGAGAAGGGGAGTGACTGTTAACAGGTATGGGGTTATTTTGAGGGGTGAGGAAAATGTTCTGGAACTAGATAATTGTGATGGCTGCACACCTTTGTGAATATACTAAAATGAATTTAATGTATGTAATTTATAGCTCAGGAAACAAAAAAATTAATTCCTATAATTTTCTGTATGTAGCTTATATTTTAATCAAGAGGTAAGCTTTAAAAAATAATACAAGCCCACACTTTACAGAGAAGCAACTCATATTAATTTTTTCACATTAAAAAATAAGGTTGCTTAGTTAGAAGAAATCAAGCTAGTGCTAGAATTGGATAATCTCAAATTGTTTTCCAGAGCTCAGGGGAAAGAAAATCAATTCCCATTCCATCATAATTGTATGAGATTCCCCCCCCGCCGCCGAAGTAAAAGTTACTATTAGAATTCATCAATTAAAATCTGTTTAGAGAAGCCGGGTGTGGTGGCTCACGCCTGTAATCCCAGCACTTTGGGAGGCTGAGGCGAGCTGACCACTTGAGGTCGGGAGTTCGAGACCAGCCTGACCAACATGGAGAAACCCCGTCTCTACTAAAAAATATAAAATTAGCCAGGCATCGTGGCGCATGCCTCTAATCCCAGCTACTCGGGAGGCTGGGCAGGAGAATCACTTGAATCTGGGAGGCGGAGGTTGCGGTGAGCTGAGATCACACCATTGCACTCTAGCCTGGGCAACAAAAGTGAAACTCAGTCTCAAAAAAATAAACAAATAAAATAAAATCTGTTTAGAGAAATGTGTACTTAACAATGTTGAGGTTTTCTAATCCATTCAAAGGCTATGTTATCAAAATAACCAGAAGACAGACCATATGCACACACCCATTATGTGTGTGTGTGTGTGTATATATATGTGTGTGTGTGTGTGTTTTAGGAAGGAATAGCCACTTAAACAAGGAGTGACAATATTAACCAGTTTCTTCCCTTGAGTTATAATCATGCTTAAAAGACCACTATAAACTACCTTGGCAGGGTGTGGTGGCACATGCCTATAATCCCAGCACTTTGGGAGGCCGAGGCGGGTGGATCATCTAAGGTCAGGAGTTTGAGACCAGCCTTACCAACATGGTGAAACCCTGTCTCTACTAAAAATACAAAAATTTGCTGGGCATGGTGGTGGGCGCCTGTAATCCCAGCTACTCAGGAGGCTGAGGTAGGAGAATCGCTTGAAACTGGGAGGCGGAGGCTACAGCGAGCCGAGATTTCGCCACTTCAGTCTGGGCAACAGAGCGAGACTATGTCTCAAAAAACAAAAACAAAAACAAACAACAACAACAAAAACCTATCCCCTCATTTGCCTCTCAAAACATCTCAAACTGTCCTCTAGTCTGATCATTATTCACTCCTCAGTCGACTACAGTGGCCTTCTGCTACCATCTTCTGAAATTGCTCTGCCGAGGTCAATGACAAGTCTTTGCCAAATCCAGCCGTGCACAACCACTCCTGCTCCTACAAAACTCCTGCAGCATTTGGCATCCCCCATTCTTGCAGCAATCCCTATTTGGGCTTCTAGGAATTCACACTGTGGTTGTTTCCTTCCTGCCCCTCCACACGGGCCCCCCCATGTCCATCCCTTACCGGAGACGCCCCCACAGTTGCATTTCAGCCCCCGTCTCAGGCTGCACATTCGCCAGAGGTCACAGCCTCTTTTTCTGAGGTAGGCTGGGGCCTGGACCTCTCTCATGGACCCGAGCCCACATTTATAGCTGCTTACTAGACACCCCCACCTGGAGGTCCTGACTGCTCCTCCAGCTCTCTAAAACGGGAATGGAATTGTTTACCTTTCTGCAAATCTACTATTTATCTAAGGGCTCAAAACCCAAACATCAGAGCCATGACTGATTTTCTCCCTCTGTGATTGCTGGCTCCTAAACCTTCCTTGTTTCACTGCCAAACTGTCTAAAAGCCCAACCCCTCCTCAAAATCCCCACAGCCATCCCTCTCCTTCAGAACCTCATCCTCCCAGCCTGGACCACTGCACCCTGCTGACTCCTGCCCAGGCCACCTCCCTGTCACCAATGTCTTACCCCTGGCTCCAAGCCCTGGAGAGCGCTCCCTGCCCAATGCTGTGGCCTCCTCCTGGCCCACACGAGGAAGCCTAAATGCCTCAGCGCATCAGACAAGGCCTTTCCCAGCTGGGCTCAAAGGGACACCTCCTGCCCCCTCAAATAGCAACTTCACCCAAGCTTGTGAGGAATGTGTATCTCCCCACTGGTACCAAGTGCCTGCGGAACCACCGGGTTTCCCACACGTTATGTGGCAGTCTATTAAGGTGACTCATTTCTTTAATAATTAATACACTTGAAAGGGAAACATTCAAGGGTACAAATGACTGCAGCATGAAGAACTATTCCACTCCACCCACCCAGCCATCCAGCTGACCATTTTCCTTCTTGGGGAGAATGGGGTGAATCCCCCAGAATTCGGAGAGTCCTTCCAAAGAGTGAACATGCAAGATTACTTCTTTTTTTTTTTTTTTTTTTTTTTTTTTTTAAGATGGAGTCACACTGTTATGGGCCCAGGCTGGAGTGCAATGGCTCCATCTTGGCACACTGCAACCTCCGCCTCCCAGGTTCCAGCAATTCTCCTGCCTCAGCCTCCCGAGTTGCTAAGATTACAGATACCCACCACCACACCGGACTAACTTTTTTGTATTTTTAGTAGAGACGAGTTTTCACAATGTTGGCCAGCCTGGTCTCAAACACGTGACCTCAGGTGATCCAACCGCCTCGGCCTCCCAAAGTGCTGGGATTACAGGCATGAGCCACGGTGCCCGGCCACTAGATTATTTCTTTAGACTTAACTCTCTACTTCCCCTGGTATGGCAGCAGATAGCACTCACTATCTCTTAGGAATCTTCAGCCTCCCTTTCCATGGCCTGGAGCAGTGTCACCAGCTGCCTAGCTGGGGGGCATTTCCCAGACCTGTTCTGGGGTCGTGCTGTGAGCTCTTACTAAGGGGACTTGAGCAGAAGTGACACATGTCCAGGCTGGACAGAGGCCATCACGCCTCTGTGCTGCCTCCACTTCTCTCCCTTTTTCTCCAGCTGATGCATAGAAATGAGGCAACATTGGAAAGACCCTGGGGTCCCAAATCCTGCTTGCGAGTGGGCTGCCTGCTGAGCCATTCTATGAGCAACATGTAAGGCTGACGTGTTTGAGCCATTATATATTTGGGGGTCTGTTATACTTGCGAGCATTGCCCCAACAAACACACACCTTGCCACCTCCTCACACTTAAAACACACCTAGGTCAGACATGCCCTTCTCTCAGAGGCTCCTCTTGACTCCTGCAGGGAGGGTGAGACGGTGTTCCCTGTGGTCCCACAGCACTTTGTTCATATCTTTAAATATCACACCCAGGGGTTTAAGTGCCATTCATGTGTTCATAAGTCTGTTTCCCACAATAGACTAAGATCTCAAGGAGTAGACACTATGGCTCATCCTCGAACCCAGCACATCTAGCATTCGGTGCTCCATTCGCATTTACTGAAAGAACAAGTTAACACCAAGAAGTAGTGGTCGGTGTGGTAATGGTGGCACCAAGTGTGCAGAACTCTGTAGGAAGTAAAGATTGGAAACTGAGGCATGCTTCATAAATGTTTTTGTCACAGGACCAGATAAATGTGCCCACTTCTTTTTTTTAAGTTTTAATTTTTTTAATTAACAGACTTTTTTTTTTGAGACAGGGTCTTACTCTGTCACCCAGGCTGAAGTGCAGTGGTACCATCACAGCTGACTGCAGGCTCAACCTCCCAGGTTCAAGCGATCCTTCCACCTAAGCCTGCTGAGTAGCTGGGACTACAGGCGCACATCACCATGCCTGGCTAATTTTTGTAATTTTTGTAGAGATGGGGTTTTGCCATGCTGCCAAGGACTAGGCTGAAGTGATCTGCTCTCCTCCGCCCCTCAAGTGCTGGGATTACAGGCATGAGCCACCGCACCCAGCCAACTTGCTTTTTCTTTTTTTTCTGAGACAGAGACTCACTCTGTCACCAGGCTGGAGTGCAGTGGCTCGATCTCGGTTCACTGCAACCTCTGCCTCTCAGGTTCAAACAATTCTCCTGCCTCAGTCTCCCAAGTAGCTGGGACTACAAGCACCTGCCACCATGCCCAACTAATTTTCCTATTTTTAGCAGAGATGAGGTTTCACCATGTTGGCCAGCATGGTCTCGATCTCTTGACCTCATGTTCCACCTGCCTCGGCCTCCCAAAGTGCTGGGATTACAGGCATGAGCCACTGTGCTCAGCCATTTGTTTGTTTTTTTTAGAGAAGTTTTAGGCTCCCAGGAAAATGAGCAGTTAGTGTAGAGTAGTGGTTGCCAACCTTTTTGGCACCAGGGACCACTTTCATGTAAGACAATTTTCCCATGACCCGGGCGTGGAGGGATAGTTTCAGGATGATTCAAGCACATTACAGTTATTGTGCACCTTATTCTATTATTATTACATTGTGATATATAATGAATTAATTATGCAAATCACCATAATGTAGAATCAGTGGGAGCCTTGAGCTTGTTTTCCTGCAACTAGATGGTCCCATCTGGGGGTGATGGGAGACAGTGACAGATCATCAGGCATTAGATTTTCATAAGGTGCACACAACCTAGATCCCTCACATGCACAGTCTAATGCTGCCGCTGATCTGACAGGAGGCGGAGCTCAGGCAGTAATGGGGAGCTATGGGGAGCGGCTGTAAATACAGATAAGGCTTCACGTGCTAGCTCGCCCACTGCTCACTTCCTGCTCTGCAGCCTGGTTCCTATGTTGGGGGAACCCCTGATGTAGAGAGTTCCCACATACTCTCTCACACCCCCTCTGGCTTTCCCCCTTTATTAACATCTTGCGCTGGTGTTTTACATTTGTTACAAGTGATGAACTGATACTGACATATTATTATTGTTATTATTATTATTTTCCTAGAGGGAGTCTGGTTCTGTCACCCAGGCTAGAGTGCAGTGGAGTGATCTCAGCTCATTGCAACCTCTGCCTCCCAGATTCAGTCGATTCTCCTCTCTCAGCCTCCCGAGTAGCTGGGATTACAGGCATGTGTTATCGTGCCCAGCTAATTTTTTTTATATTTTTGGTAGAGACAGGGCTTCACCATATTGGCCAGGCTGGTCTCAAACTCCTGACCTCAGGTGATCCACCCGTGTCAGCCTCCCAAAGTACTGGGATTACAGGCATGAGCCACCGTGCCCGGCCCTGATACATTATTAACTAAAGTCCACAGTTGGCATTAGGGTTCACTCTGTGTTGTACAGGCTATGGTCTGGACAAGTGTATAATGACATGTAGCCACCATAATGGTATCACACAGAGTAGTTCTACTGCTCTCAAAATCCTCCGTGCTTCATATAGTTTGGATATTTGTCCCCTCAAATCTCATGTTGAAATACAATCCCCAGTGTTGGAGGTGGAGCCTGGTGGGAAGTATTTGGGTCTAGGGGTGCGGCTCCCTCAAAGCTTGGTGCTGCCCTCATGCTAATGAGTGAGTTCATGTGAAACTAGTTGTTTAAAAGTGTGTGGCACCTCCCCCACCACTCTGTCTCTTGCTCCTACTCTTGTCATGTGATGGGCAAGCTCCTGCTCCTCCTTCTGCCATAAGTCACAGCTCCCTGAGGCCTCACCAGAAGCAGATGCGGGCACCATGCTTCTAGTACTGTGTGCAGATCTGTGAGCCAGTTAAACCTCTTTTATCTATAAATTACCCAGTCTCAGGTGTTTCTTTATAGCAACACCAGAATGGCCTAACACAATGCTCCACTCATTCATCTCTCCCTCCCCCAACCCCTGGCAACCACTGATCTTTCTACAGTCTTCATGGTGTTGCTTCTTGCAAGATGTCCTCCAGTAGGTGAGTGGATAAACAAACTGTCATCCATTCAGACAAAGAAGTACTAGTCCACAATAAAAAGACTGAGCTATCAAGCTATGAAAAGACATAGAGGAAGCTTAAATGCATAGTGCTAAGTGAAAGAAGCCAATCTGGCCGGGCGCAGTGGCTCACGCCTGTAATCCCAGCACTCTGGGAGGCGGAGGCGGGCGGATCACAAGGTCAGGAGATCGAGACCATCCTGGCTAACACAGTGAAACCCCGTCTCTACTAAAAAAATACAAAAAATTAGCCGGGCGTGGTGGTGGGCACTTGTAGTCCCAGCTACTTGGGAGACTGAGGCAGGAGAATGGTGTGAACCCAGGAGGCAGAGGTTGCAGTGAGCCGAGATTGTGCCATTGCACTCCAGCCTGGGCGACAGAGCAAGACTCCATCTCAAAAAAAAAGGAAAGAAAGAAGCCAATCTGAAAAGGCTGCATACTGTATGATTTCAAATTTATGACGTCTTGCAAGTACTAGAGATCCAGTACTAGAGCGAGACTCCATCTCAAAAAAAAAAAAAAAAAAGGAAAGAAAGAAGCCAATCTGAAAAGGCTGCATACTATATGATTTCAAATTTATGACGTCTTGCAAGTACTAGAGATCCAGTACTAGAAGCTGATGTTTTTCCTAGTTAATTTTTTTCAGGCATTGGGGGGTGCTGGGGGGAGCTTCTAGCATTAAAAATAGGAGCAAATTGATCTTGAGCAGTAGTTGGAGGCACTGTAAAAAGCAAAATGTATATACAAAACACAGCAGTAATGGAACCCAAGTGCTCTAATGATAGTATAAGAAAAGAGGGTAGCCTATGTACTGAGACTTACACACAGAGTATATATTTCAGGGTGTGTACTTCAGCCAATTTCTTCATTTTTAAGTGATGTGCCATGTCGTTACCTCTTTAAAAACCACTAGTAGCTAGAAAACAAAATGAATCTCCACCGTCATCACTGAAATGCACATGATCTATCAGGAAAACTTGCAGGAAACATCTTTAATGACATAAATCAAGCCATCTTTATTTATTTATTTGAGACCAAGTTTTGCTCTTGTCGCCCGGGCTGGAGTGTAATGGTGTAATCTTGGCTCACTACAACCTCTGCCTCCTGGGTTCAAGCAGTTCTCCTGCCTCAGCCTCCCAAGTAGCTGGAACTACAGGCGCCCACCACCACATCTAGCTAATTTTTGTATTTTTAGTAGAGACGGGGTTTTACCATGTTGGCCAGGCTGGTCTTGAACTCCCAACCTCAGGTGATCTGCCCACCTGGGCTTCCCAAAATGCTGGGATTATAGGCATGAGCCACCGCGCCTGGCCAAGCCATCTTTATTGAACGGTTTAAGTGAACTTGTTTCCAAAAAGAAGTTTGGCGGAGTGTTTTATCACCATGTTTCAAAGGAACCCTGTAAATATTTTAATGTGTTTTACAAACCACTTTCTATTAAGCGTTAACAGCAGTTAGACTTAAATATATGCCTATGACTGAGACATCCTGCTCAGAGGTCCCTGCAGAGATCATGAGCAGTACTCAGAGGAGAGAAGAAGGGAATCACCAATTAACTTCCTCCTATATTGGAAGGTGGCTGGAACGCCAACCCACCTGTGTTGATGATGTGATTACAGAGCATCTAAGGCTGAAACAACACTGCCATGTGTTAGAATGATCTGCTATAGAAGAAAGGACACAAGAATGGGAAGAATGGATATTGGGCCAAGCAGGTGAGTGGAAACATGGAATCATTATCTTCGGTCAACACATATTTATAACAGATAATAATAAGCACTTTATGCAGTGAGAACAGGATTCCCAGACCCTCTGCTGGGCCCACAGAAGAGGTTTCTTCTCCTGAGCATGTCACAGAAGGTCCACGATCCCCTTCTCAGCTCTATTTCCCACACCAAGCCCTGCAGGACAACTTGCCTTTCTAAGACACCGTGTGCCGACAATTTCACATTGTTGATGGCCCTCCCCATCTGCCACCTGGAGAAATCTTCCAACCTGGCTCAAACCTGACCCTCTGAAATCCTCATCCTCACATCCCTCTTTAAACTTTGCCCACGCTGTCAGTGGACACAACTCACACTGTTAGAATTATTTGTACACACCTCATTGCTGTTCACTGGCTTGTAGATTCCTTAAAGGGAGACATTTAGCCTCCTTAATCTCTAAATCCCAAGCGCTTACTAGTCCCTAGTAGACCTTAAATTATATTGTTGTAAGGAAAGATCTATGCCAAACATCTGATCTCCAACTAATAAAATTGACCAAGAACTTATAAAAAGATGCTCAACTTAACAGTAGTCCGTAATACACAAATTATAAGAATTAAAAACACATTTGACATCCTTTAGATTGCACAACCTAAAAAGACTGATGATATTCATTGCTGCTTTGTCTAAGTGGAAATGGGTACTCTCGTAGATTGTCATATAAATATAGACTGGTACAGCTTTTAGAAAAAAATCACATGGAAGTGTACTACAAAATTCAAAACCCGATTCCACCCTTAGAATTCTATCATACAAAAATATTCGAAAATGTACACAAAAATGCACATGACCAAGGATCACTCAGCAAGCTTTGTAAAAGCCAGACATCCTAAAAGTTTATTAACGCAGATTCATTTCATTGCCTTGGTACACACACACTATGAGATATATTATACTGCTTTAAGATAGGGTAGACATATACAAATAAGGAAAGCTATCAAAGATACATTAAGAGAAAAAGAAAGTTGCTAATAATGTTTAATCTGATCTAATTAATTTTTTTAAAAATGAAGGAAGGCTACGTGTGGGTAAAAAGGCCTAGAAAGAGCACTGAAAGTGAAGCTCAAGTGATGCCAGTGCCCATCTGTCCAAGAGTCAGAGGGTGGAAGTTGATGCCTTCCGTCATGATGCCACGGTGGGGGTGGAGCAGTGAAAGAAGACACGTGAAAGTTGTCAGAACCAAAATGGAGTCACTAATGTTAAGATAACCCTGACAAATAGAGCCAAGGAAGGCCATGAAGAGAGGGCTGTCATTCATGTATGCCTGATAACAAAAACTATTACCAAAAACTGCAAAAACCACAACCATGCACAAAGCTATCAAAACCTGACACAAAATAATACTTTTGTAAGGACATTTGCCCCAGCAACAGCCTGTGCAACCTCAGACAGGTAGCACTCTTGTTACTGATCTTTGTAGCCAAGGATAACTATTTCAAACAATTATGTAAGCCTCCTCATTTTTTCCTTTAAAAACTTTGGTTTCCCTTTACCTCTCTGAATACACCACAGTTTTCACTATGGCATGTACATTCCCATTGCAATGCCTATTTCCAAATAAACATCCTTCCTTGTAAAGAGCCTCTCTGTGTGTGTTATGTAGGCTGACTCGTGTGAAGGTCAAGTTCATTGTTTTATTAAAAGCATGAATAGTAATGGGAGTTTCTTATGACAATATATGCAAGTATCTTTTGGTAATTTTTTAAAAAGGCTGTACTAAAAGCAAAACAGGGAAGGCAAGGATGTTTATTGACAGAAGACTACAATGTCAACGGGGATTTTAACTCATTGGTCTAATGGGGACCTTTTAAAAATCTCTAAATAGAGCCAGTGGAGCCTTCCAAGTGTGTGCTCTCAAACCTCACATTTGGCCTGACATGAAGCCTTACAAACAGGTCAATGCTTTAAAAATAAACACTTCTTAGTCTATTAAGCAAATGCTTGTGCCAAAATATATTACTAAGATCAATCATACTTGCTTTCAAAAATGCCTCTGTATGTATTTACTAAGTCCTTAAGAAATTATTTATATTATTACTCTCGAGTCATAAGTGTTTTTGTCTGTTTAAACAATACTATAGGAACAAGCCAGAAAAAAAAGAGGGGGCAATGATACTGCTTTGTCTTTTCTGAAAACCAGAGCTCAGGGTTTGAGCCCTACACCTCTTTTCATCACTTTCAAGCATTGTTTCTTATCACCATTTCATAACTGGTGGGACTGAGGTAGGGAGGACGTAACGAGCAGATCTGTTCTAGGTACTGCATGATATGGAAAAATGCTGATGAATTTAAGAGAAGCAAAAAAAGGAAAGAAATGGAAATATCCTCAAAGAGAACTTTCATCTGATGTTGCCTTTATCAGTCCTGCCAAGCCGTGGAATTTGGCATCAAATACATACACACGGTTGCTTCATCTGCAGCAATTTGCTTGGCACCACGTAGGGCCACTGCAGGCTATATAGATCAAACTCCATGTTTGTTTTCTTTTCTCTAGTGTCTACTTCCAGTCCTGTACAAGTAAAAACTAATAGTTGCTTGTGTAATTTTCAAGTTTCCATATAGTTTACTTCTCTTTTAAAAGGAGAAAAGGGCCAGGCACGGTGTTTCACCCCTGTAATCCCAGTCCTTGGGAGGCTGAGGCAGGAGAATCACTGGAGCCCTGGAGCTCAAGATCAGCCTGGGCAACACAATGAGACCCTGTCTCTACAAAAAGTTTTAAAAATACCCAGGTGCAGTGGCATGGGCCTGTAGTCCTAGCTACTTGGGGGGCTGAGGTGGGAGGATGATTTAAGTCCAGAAGTTCGAGGCTACAGTGAGCTATGATCATGCCACTGCACTTGAGCCTGGGCAACAGAGAGAGACCCTGACTGTAAAAAAAATTTAAAAGAGGAGAGACTACAAGTTTTAGAGAAACACGTTTAAAAATGTGAAAAGGACAGTTTCTGTGTCTCACACATAGTAAAGAATGGAGCTCTGGAAGGACCTAGAAAACAAAATGTACTCCTAAGTAAGTATCTGGTTATCCACTGCAATGCTAGGACCACTATGGGAATACTCTATGCGAAATGATTTTTAATCTGTGCTTTCTATGTCAAAGTGATTAGTAATATTTCTAAAGAATGTGAGCTCTCTGTTGATCTAGAATTATATCACACTTTACACAACAGACAAAATCCTAAGTATTTCATGCACAGTCTTAGAACCTCAATCAAAGCTTTAGAAATAAAGGGAAGGCATGGTTGAAATAAAATAACCTCAGGAAGACATCCCATGGAAGTAATTTCTTAAAGTAGGTAGAGGTTTGTACAGAGCTGTTTATAGCCACACCAGTTAAACCTTAAATTTGTCATTTAATGCTTGAGCTTACTAAGAACAGAACAGAGTACTCAAATGAAACTGAGCTTCTTGTGTTCAAGTTGCCTGCATGGATATCGATTCCTACCATCAATATTCCGGAAATATTTATAGGTAACTATCTGTGACCATGCGAATGAGAGCATTGAACTCTTTTCTTTTTTAAGTTCTGTGATACATGTGCAGGATGTGCAGGCTTGTTACATAGGTAAACATGTACCATGATGTTTTGCTGCACAGATCAGCCGATCACCTAGGTAATAAGCCCTGCATGCATTAGCTATTGAGAGCATTGAATTTTACAAATCAAATATGAAGCTCATTTCAATTATCACCAAAAATTTTATTTTGTAGTCACCAAATTGCATCTAAAAGCCTATCTATTGTTCAATGTAATAAGCTCAAGGATGTCACATTTCCCAGAGAACAGTTTTTAAAATGCTAACCAGGGAGGCACAGCCTCTTCCAAAGCCTTGAGTCTGCTCTAGCCAAAACCACTCCTGGCCACCTGGTCCCACTTCATCCTTGTCTTTGATGGCCACGGAGCCCCGCTGTGCCACCTTCCTGTCTGTATTAACCTTCTTCTGGCCAATTCATTCTAAAATGGTTCTTTTCAAGTGGTTTTTTAAAAAAATACAAATGAAGAATTTGTAAATTACAGAAAGAAAGAAGCCTGAAAGGACAAGGAGGACTCCCTTTGGGCCCTCTCCCTATCTTTCAAAATGAAATCAAAATCTGAGATGCTCCCAATATTAAGTCTGAACGCTGAGTCTGTGACTGATTTTACACAGAAACCCTTCAATAAAAGCGCCTAGAGCTCTGGGAAGATAATGTACCCACCATCAGTACATACATTTTTCCTTGAAGTATGTATCGTATTCCTTTCTAGAACTATTCACCCACCTGCCTCAATTCTCTGTTCCTTTCAATTGTCAGCAGAATCAGAGCCACAACTGCCTGCATGTGCATTGTCAGAAAATATAAATTAAGGGCCAGGGTTCTTTGCAGAGCACTCTTTCCTGACCACCTAGAGTAATGATCATCTATTCACATTGCACCACTTAATAGCCCTTGATTATATTTCACTCTCACACTTGCTGTTTCCTAATCGTTAATCTTATATTTCCAATTTGATATAAATTCCCTGAAGCAAGATATTATATCAATTCTTTAGACACCTGCACAGAATCAACACTTGTACTAAAACATTACGGTTATGAGAACAAATAAAAACCTCACTGCTGGTTTTCAGGGGCTCTTCCCTGTTTGCATCATGGCACTTCTTCTGTTCCTGGAAACTCCAGCTGCCCAGTGAGTAAGTGCGTTGGGCATTAGTCAAAATGGCCTAAAAATAGCATAAAAAATGCTAAAACAGCATAAAAATATATTTCCTTGTTTCTTTGGGTCTTCACTCCTGAAAGTTCCCAGGTCACAGAAAACTTACATGAAACGTGTATGCTTTTCTCTTATTAACCTGCCTTTTTTAACAGATGGGGGCCTCAGCCATGAGCCTAGTGATGGGGGAGGAAAAGAAAGTAGATTCTACTCCCCTACAATAGCAACATCAGTATTTCTCCATGTTTTAGATGAGGGTATTTGGAGTTAAGTGATTGGACCAAAGCCCCAAGGGTGCAAGTCACTGACCAAGACTAGAACTAAAGTTTCCAGGGCCAAGTGCCTGGAGTCACTGCACTAAATGATGACAATGGGAACCTAAAACTTCAGAGCAGTCACATATCTCAGCAAGAGTATGTGGAGCTTTTCCTCAACACGTGCGTGCACACACATGCACGCAGACACACACACATATGCACACACATGGCCCTGGTTCTAAGATGATTCTGACACATCCTTCTTCCCCCTCCCTTCTCTTCCTTTTTTCCCCCTCTTCCAGCCCACTACCTTAAGAATCCCTTCATTAGAGGATGTGGTTCTGTTTTTGACACAAAGACCCAGATGAGAAATCTCAGAGCAGCCCAACTTAGGATGAATTCCCTCTTACAAACTGACTGTTAAACACAAGTACATATAATCAAGGCAAGGAAAATTGGTGCTTCAATAGAAAATGATGAACTGTTGAACTCACACCCTTCTGCGATATTTGATTCTAGCATTTCATTGTCTGAGCTCTGCGAATTGTGGATCTCGGAAGGCGATACAAAATCATCCTTGTCTGTAGACATGCAAATGCTGTCAGGTGGCAGCTCAGCTCATTGCTCCCACCATACTGTGGAAGATGCCATTTTGGCCTCTATTTGCACATTCATTTCATTCTTTTTGATCTACAAATGCATCTGCTCTTTGCATTCTGCCTGGAATCAATTGTAACATCTTCCCAGTTCTCTCTTTAACGCTATGTCTATGAGAGTTATGATTTAACTTTTTGGAAAAAAAAATATCCTTTAACATGGTACGGTACTAGATCTAGAGGAGGCAGAGTAGCCTTGTCCCCAAGGAGACCACAGTTTCTCAGTGAAGGTCTGGCACTGCAAGGCTTAAAACCCTATTTGTTACCTTCTATAGGGTACTGCCATTTATCCATAGACTTTAAAAGACTGCAAGAAAACGTCAGCTGATGCTGCTTTAACATAGAGCCTTTCCTAGTTCCATGCAAATGTTAAGGGCATTATTACGGGACAGTGGGGATCTTTTGATACAGAGTCCCATTATTCCACATCTGAGGGTATGTATTCATTGGGAGCTATGTCCTGGTCAGGGAGACCTTGGTTCCCTAATTGCTAATGGGAGAATTAATGGGCTTCCTGAAGCAAGCCACCGAAGGAATAGGCGGGTTGAGAGAGTCTGTTAACAGGGGGAAATGAGAGTTTATTGGACATATGGGTATGAGAAGTGTAAGAGGTAAAATCTGAAGCTTACAGCATTAGCAAGGAGTCCTGGGATCATGGTACACAGAGCACCAGTTAATTTTACTTTCAGACACTTGAGTGCCAATCAACTGATTCCACAGTAAAACTGACTGCATACTGTGTCCACTGTATATCTGTTTATGCTTAAAGATTTTAATACTGACTTGAGATTTGCTATGCATAAGTTAAATCAATGAACATTTGGTGAACATCCCTGCTGAGGCAGACACTGTGTAAGCACAGAGGCACAGCCAGCAGCCTCCTGATCAGAATTGTGCTATTGCTTCTGAGAAATGCAGATTCCTGGGCTCCACCCCAAATATAGTGAGTCAGAAATCTCTACTGTAAATAAACTTCCAGTCCTACGCACCGAAGTTTCAGAATCACTGAGCTAGAATAATTATCCTAACAAGTCTAAATTGAACAATTGGGCTATAGAATTATCAAATTTGGAGTGTTAAAGAGGCTTTAATCCCATCTGTACCATGAAGTTAATAATACCAGACTTTCACCTGCTCATAAATGAATAGACTTACAGGTTGTCCAATACAACTATCTCATCTATGGATGAAGAAGATGGAAGCCAAAATGGTAAAGAAACTGGCCAGTGTCAAGCCCAGACCAAAAAGGCAGGACTTAGAAGCCAGGCATTTGGGGAAATGGGAGAAATGAAGTAAAATAAGAGCAAACATTCCTGGGTAGTTAGGATCCAGCTTTGTAGAAGGTGGGGACTCAGTTACACCAACAGGCTGAAGATGAATGAAACACCTGGCTCAGCCTAAACTGGGGGAAACTAAACCACACCTGTCTCCATAAATGGCCAAGAATTAATGGGAAACTGGGGACAAAAGAAGGTCTCAGGATGCAAAGATGACAAGCAAGTGAAAGAAACTCAATACCTCAATACTTCATAATTAAAGTTCTGATAAATGGCTTTACTTGATCTGGAATCCAGTGTTCTAAACCACCCCCCGAGATAGCCCAAGTTTTCAACCACATGGCAATTCCAAGCAGCAAAAGTGCTCAAGACTGTACATCACTCATGAAGAAACACAAATCATAAGCACAAAATATGGCTTGGCTTATTGTTCCTTTCAAATATCTTTACTTTGTATATGCCTCAGTATTTTCAACCTGAAAAGAAGTTGCTTTATGTACCTCCCATGAATAAAAGAAAGTCAAAAAGCTGAACGATACCATTCAGAGGCTAATCATAAATATTAATAAAGTTAACCCTTCTGGAAGTAGTATTGACAATTTATGCTTCTCCTGGGCAATTTGTAAGTCATGTGATACAACAAATTACAGCTAATGTTTCCTGAGGGCTTTGGAATTTTTCCATTTTGAGAGGACTGGGTGGGAGAGTGATACGGGTTCTTGAATCTGTGTAAAGGAGATAAATATGCAGACATTAATGCTGTCCAGAATCAATGCAAACTGTCTGCACTTGCTCTGAAAACACATCATCTAGGGCTCTCATCTTCTAACCTGGTGCCAGGACTAATCCTGGAGTCTTCCAAGAGACTTTCAAGTGAAATCTATTGATAACATTTTATTTTAAATGGGGGTGGGGTGGGAGCAGGGGAACAGCAACACAAACAAGTCCAATGGCAATGACAGGACAAGCCCTAGTGTCTTACCATCTGCAGGCTGCCAATGCCCTTTCAGTTTTATGGGTTTTAACAGGAATTTTAATCACTGAAATACAGTTCTCAGATAATCCCAGTAATTCATTCAACAAATGTTTATTTTCTATAGTAGAAACAGTGAACCAAACCCAATGCCTGTCTCATGGAGGCTGCAATCTAGGGGGTGGGTGGAGGTGAGCACATGATAAATGAATGAATGTATAACGTATTCAACAAAGAAAAAGAGGCCAGGTGTAGTGGCTCATGCCTGCTATCCCAACACTTTGGGAGTCCAAGGCAGGAGGACTTCTTGAGGCTGGAAGTTTGAGATGAGCCCAGGCAACATAGTAAGACCTCATCTCTACAAAAAATTTTAAAAATAGCCAGAGTGGTGGTGAACACCTGTGGTCTCAACTACTTGAGAGGCTGAAGCAGAAGGATCCCTTGAGCCCAGGAGTTTGAGGCTGCAGGGAGCTACAATTGGCCTCTACACTCCAGCCTGGGTGGCAGAGCAAGATCCTGTCTCAGAAAAAAAAAGATAAGTGGATAGAGAGGGACCAAGTGACTAAGGAGACCACCTTTAGATGTGGAGGCCAAGTAGGCATTTCTGAAGAGGTGACATTTGATCAGATAATTGATTGAGATGAGGAAACAAACCCAATGACAGAACCGAGACAGGGATGTGCTCACTGCTTTTGAAGAACAGCAGGAAGCCAGTGTGCGCGTGTGCAAGTCAAGAGGAAGAGACTCAGGATGTCAGTTAGGGCTCAAGAGCTGGACCACATAGAGCATTTACCCTGTTGAGCTCTGGTTTCCGTCTACATAAAACTAAAAAAGCCACTTTGCAATTCAAGTGGGAGTGTCATTTGATCTGATGAAATCTTCAAAGGCTCAATCTGCTGTAGGCTAGAGAATAAATGGTTGAGGAAGGGAGCAGGGTAGAGGATCAGTGCAGACTCCAGTTGAGTGATGACAGTGGCTTGGCCCAGGGCCTTAGTTGTACAGATGGTGGGAAGTGGTTCTACTGGGGACCTGTTTCAAAGGCAGAGGCAGCAGGATTTGCTGAAGGACTAGGTGAGAGAAAGGGCAGTCAAGCATTGCCCCAAGATTTGGGGCCACATACTGGATGCATGGAGAGTACATGGGGAGGAGGATATGCTAACTGTAATATACCCACAAGACATCCAACCATGTTCATAGGCAAACGTGACAGTGAATAACATTCTGTGCTATTGGATCTGTAGTGGTGAAAATGTTATTCTAATGCAAAAGCTTAGAAACTCTCATTGCTGTCACAGTCTCAGTTGGCTTTCAACGCCACTTTTCTCCGAAACCATCTCTCTATACCATCTCCCTGAGCAAAAGCATCATGCTCTTTTGCTTCTTCTCTGGCAAATGGGCAATGTGTGTGCTCCCCTGGTAAAGTATTTACCCAGCACCTGCTCTGCATGACCCTGTGCCACAAGCATGGGACAGGAACTAATGAAGAGATGAATGATAGCTGGGTTATGGGGTGAGCACAAAAGAAGGGAAAATAAGCAAATAGCAATGAAGGGCAATTCTCTCAGAATGAAGTATACACTAGGTAATTAACCACAACTTGGGCAATGAAATTCAGCATCATGTGTACTTCTGAGACTTTGCAGTTTGGAATTAATACTATGAGTGGGATTATTAATATTTAAGAAACCTCAGTTGAATAGATGAAGGCACTCAACTTGTGGGAAAGTGACATACACGTAAAGTACATCCAGGGACTGGTTAGTATGACGTTCCAGACTAGGTCCTGTAGTTGAGAACAGCCAACTTAATCTCCTAAAATTTATTACATTTACTTATATAGTTTATTATGATGAGTACTTCTGTTTAAGAAACACAGCCCAGCTGGGCACGGTGGCTCAGACCTGTAATCCCGGCACTTTGGGAGGCCAAGGAGGGAGTATCACCTGAGGTCAGGAGTTCAAGACCAGCCTGGCCAATATGGTGAAACCCTATCTCTACTAAAAATACAAAAAATTAGCCAAGTGTGGTGGCACATGCTTGTAATCCCAGCTGCTCGGGAGGCTGGGGCAGGAAAATCGCTTGAACCCGGGAGGCAGAGATTGCAGTGAGCTGAGATTGCATCATTGCACTCCAGCCTGGGCGACAGAGCGAGACTCTGACTCAAAAAAAAAAAAAAAAAAAAAACACCACAGCCCTTGTGATAAGATAGTCACGGAGTCAAGTGCCAGGTTGTAATCACAGTTCTAGTTATTGACAAGTCATCTGGTCTCTGTGGGTCCCGGTTTCCTAATCTGGGAGTGAAAGTCAGGCTTAGTGATCACCAAGGTTCCTCCATGGTTCTACTCTCTGATCATCATCACCCCACATGGCCGATACTGACCACGCCTCACGCTCACTCCGCTGCCCTCATGAAGGCAGGAAAAGAGCCACCAACTATTGAAGATTTTCAGTCAATCCATGGAAAAATGATAAACCTCATCAGTCATCAAAGAAATAAAAAAACAGGGGATTGTTAAAGAATAAAATAGAGCAGCTTTTAAGGGAATAAAGAGCCCTCCTGAAATGATGACAAGGTCTTTGGCCAGCGATGGAAGACAGACTCCAGGGAAGAAGACCTTTGTCCTGCACCTCCTTGGCCTCTAAATCGCTGGTAACTTACCCTTCTGGCCTCTAGATTCCCATTAAAAAGGAAAAAACAGAATGGCTTGAACTCCACACTACACTTAAGGATAAATCAGAATCAGAAATAGCAACTAAGCTCACTTAGATTTTAACTTAGATTATCTCATTATCAATTAAGGTTGTAAGTCTTTGGAAAAATAACACTTTGGGAGGCCAAGGCGGGCAGATCACCTGAGGCCAGGAGTTCAAGACCAGCCTGGCCAACATGGCAAAACTCCGTCTCTACTAGAAATACAAAAATTAGCTAGGTGTGGGGGTGGGCGCCTGTAATCCCAGCTACCCGGGAGGCTGAGGCAGGAGAATCGCTTGAACCTGGGAGGTGGATGTTGCAGTGAGTCAAGACCATGCCAATGCACTCCAGCCAAGGCGACAGGAGGGAAACTCCATCTCAAAAAAAAAAAAAAAAAAAACAAAGAAAAAGAAAAAGAAAAAAAAGTCTGACTACAAGTATAAAAGATATTCTCACCAAAACTACTAGAAGAATTACTTCTATTGCAGTACTGCACCAAAAAATCAAGCACAAAGCTAGATTTTTGTTTTGGTTTACTGAGTTTACAAACTGATCCCTTTAGGGCCAGCACGGTGGCTCACGCCTGTAATCCCAGCACTTTGGGAGATCGAGGTGGGTGGATCACTTGAGGTAAGAAGTTCAAGACCAGCCTGGCCAACATGGTGAAACCCCGTCTCCACTAAAAATACAAAAATTAACCAGGTGTGGTGGCACACACCTGTATTCCCAGCTACTCAGGAGGCTGAGGCAGAATTGCTTGAACCTGGAAGGCAGAGGTTGCAGTGAGCCAAGATCGTGCCACTGCACTCCAGCCTGGGCAACAGAGCAAGACTCCATCCCCCCCCAAAAAAAATTGATCCATTTGGTATTACTGAGGTATGCTCATGTAGGTCCTACCTGGACACTGTGGGGTCAGAGAAGGAACAGGCTGGTGGGTGACCAGTTGGCTTTGCTGCTCTGTGATGAATCTATGATTCCCCCATTTCCTAGGCCCCTACCTCCTTTTTACCATTATAACTAGATGCACGAGGCCTAAGGGGAGATGTTCTCCACCTTTTGCTCCCAAAGAAGTCTTCCAAGAAGCCTGAAGGCCCTTCTTATAAGTCCTTCGGCAGCCACCTGGCCAGTGGTTCTGTGGATAGTAGGTGTTTTGAGCTCTGCTTTCCTTAACTGGATTATTTTAGCATCTAATATAGTTTGAGCACAGCCTGTGGCTATAGAAGACAGATGATCTCCAAACAATCAGATGCGTGCCCTCCATCAGAAACAAAGTTATTGCTTGGAAGATAAATCCCTTTAGCCTCCAGTCCCCAAATATGGTGGCTTAAGCTGTAGACCTTATAGAATAAGCAATTTCTCACTCTTGAATACTGCTTTATGGCATCCTAGGTATCCTGCAGGAATCATTAGATAAACTGCTGCCCATCATTAAATAACTCCCTGGTACTTCTGCCTCTGAAGCATCCCTATATAGAGTTGTTCATTTACATGATCCAAGCAGCTCGACCCAGCCTATACCTGTCCCCCTCCTGGAGGATGCCTGCCTGTCTCTGAGAGGGGCACCCACCACCCCCGGCCAAAGGAACTTTCTGTTTACAAAGTAGTCTGTATTTTCATCCAGACTATTGTCAACATTCCCTACAAATCTTTACAGCTAAAAAGAAATCTGTACAGGTCTGACGCAGGAAGAGACAGAATTACAGGAAGACAAAAACTGCATTTTTATTTAGATAGTTTTAGGAGGAGAAGAGTTTGGGCAGGAAGATTTAAAGTTCTTTTTATTAATTTGTTTTCCATACTGCAAAAGAAAAGGTAAAAGTCACCCAGAATCCTACCACTTAGAGAAATGTAGATATCAGAAATGAGATGAAATGATATTAACTCTCCAATCACATTGCACTCACAGTTATGTGTGCTGCCTTCCAGTATCGGCCAATTTTTAATGCATGTATGTATATATAAATATGTATGTGTATGTATGTGTACACAAATAAACATGCACTTTTTAACATAAAATGGAATTATGCAGTATTTTTTTAAAACAATACATTCTGAGCATCTTCCCAGAGCAGTGAACTACAGAGCTATGGCACCTCATTATATGGCTACACTTAATTTGTTAAGCCAGTCTTCTCAGTCTCCTAACAACAATATAAAACATTTTTGCTGACAAGATAGACAACTCTCTGAGATTGGCAGGGACTATAATTCCTGCTTTATGTATTAGAAAATTAAGGCTCTGAGAAAGCTAAGTGATTTGTGAAAACTCATGTAACCTGATAAGTTGGGAGCCATGAAGCAAACATTAGATTCTCCCTCTTCATCCAGGTCTCCTCTCACAGTACTAGCCACCTCTCAGGAACCAGCAACCATGTGGAAACACACCTGATATTCTCCTTCTGGCTGAGTAGGACAAAGCATGAGCTGCAGCAGGGGAAAAACCTTTAGTCTTTGCAAAAGAGATCACCCTCCTTAAAACTTATGAATAGTATGGTATATCCCTAGTATAGAGCTAGTTTTAAAAGAAGATTGTAAAAATTTTATAAGTTTGACAACATTATAAATAAACCATCATCTTTTGCTAATATTGTCATAATGAATTGCTTCCAGGAGAAAGGAAAAGGGAAGGACCTACCTGAGAGATTAAGAGCCCAGAACTCCTGGAGTACAGTCAGTAGGGGAACAGAGATGTTAAAAACAGCAGAAAAACTGGATGAACATAACAGGATTGGTTATACGAAGGTTTTGATAGCAAGAACAAAGGAAAATGGTTAAAGGAGTGGTTGTGAAAACTTGGAAGCAGGCTGCAGGCCTAGAAGGGAGTAGAATCAGTTCAGAGAAACTCTCAAAGTGAAATTCCAGGGATGATGTTGGCTCAGTCAACAGCCAACAGAGAAATTCCCAAGTGACAGCTATGGTTACTGTAGACTGAGCACCTATCTCACATTAGACACTGAACATACAAGTGACTTGATCTTCAGACCATCCCATTTATGGATGAGGAAGCTTTCTGTGCACGTTCTTCCAGCCCTTACTGCAAAGCTTAGCAGAACACCTGACCCTTACGCAGGGCCTTGCTCACAGGAGTACTGAAAAACTGTGTTGATTTAATAAGATCTGCTGTACAAGGTACTAATCCTTTTACTTTGTTTAGAATGAACTGACATGCACCATGCACAGTGTTGTGCACTGAGATTACAAATAAGAATAAGATATGGTCATTGAGTTCAAATAACTTAAAATCCAGTGGGAGAAGCAGGTATGTAATGACAGCAGAAGCAAGTGAATTAACTTCTATGTAGGAATAGATGCCACTGGGGCTTTGAGGAAATGTTAAATTCATTCTGACAGAACAAAAGGTGAAAAGCTTCCCAGAACAAATAGCATTTGACGAAGGTCTTGAAGACAAACATGAATTCAATAATCAGAAACTGGAGGGAGAACACTTTACCATAAGGGGGAAAAAAAACCACTACGGACTGTCTACATAAATTCTTTTACACTTGTAAGTGCCATGGCTGATGGGAGACGCTAATGGGGTTTATGTGGTAAACCAAACCACTACAGCAAGAGCCGTGCAGAAGGCTGAGCACACGTTGTATGTGATGTATTCAGAAAATCATTCTCCTAATGGCTGAACCCATTAGGAGAATGATTTTCTGAATACACATACAAAAATATGTATATTTGTGTATACAAATACATACACATACATATTTCTATATACATACACACATTAAAAAGCAGCCAATACTGGAAGGCAGCACACATAACTGTGAGTGCAATGTCATTGGAGAGTTAATATCATTTCATCTCATTTCTGATAGCTACATTTCTCTAATGGCTGATGGGAGTCAGACTATACCCTAACCACGACTATCTGCCATAAAAGTAATTATGGTGTCATTGCAGTACAAAATTAGGTGTCACTGCAATACAAAAATTCTATTACCTCTACTGGCAAAACTTGAAAGGCAGGTGATCCTTCCTGATTGCAAGCCTGCATCTCCTGTTTCATTGATGTACATCAACTTTTTAAAAATTCTCAATATTTTCCCTAGTTATCCTCTCTGGGGAGGTACCACACTTGACTAAGCTTCATGGTGCCTGATACAGTGTTTTTGCTCTGTCTGAAGCTCATGATGAATCCATACAAGAATGTGAAAGAAGATATTATCATTCTTTTGAATCACTTTTCCCATGTACTCTTCCAAGTTACCTGTTTTGCCATGTCTTTCATATTTTGGCTTGGCTATTTGCTATGATATTTGGAATATTACATCTTAGATCTTGAGCCCTGGATGTCCAGGATCTTGTCTTTTTGTTTTCTATTTTTCCTGCTTCAACACAATTATGCTCAGGGTGATATATAAATGTCCATAATTATTCCCTTTCTCCCTGAAAGGAAATGAGGCCCAGAAAATTCATTTTCCGTAAATAGACACAATAGACATTATTACTGAGCCTGCAGACTTTAAGTCAATACTTCAGTAGACAGCATGTACCAGGGCTGAGAAGAGATGAAAGCAGGCCTGCTGGTCTCGCCAATAGTGTTATTTTCAGAAATTGTTGTTTGCAAAAAAAGAGGGCTTTACAGAAAGATCAAAATAGAAAAGGGCATACTAGTACAGAAAAATAAGAAAGATATTCAAATAACAATTCCATGAAATGACCTATGAATTTGCAAACTATAATTGAAGGTACTAAAATCAAGCATCACAACAATGCTTTATTTCTCTAACTATTATTATAATTCTTTGCATGTTTGCAGAAAGCTCATTATTTCCATATTTAAGCTGCTCCTTTTGCAGCATTCCAAGAGGATCATAATATTGTTCTGCATCTACAATCAGAAATTAAAATTATTGGATGTAAAATTAGTTTCCTTGAACTAGCTGAGCAAGGAACCAAGAAAGTGGTCCCAAAGCATAAGAGATCTGAGGAGTCTCTAACTATAAACAGTCTTTTAAAATAAGGCCAAGATTATTTTGGGAAAGTAAAGAGTTTAGGGCTTAGTGTAGATCACCTATAAATAGAACTCATTAATAAGACATTACTACAATACTTTGCAAATTTTTACCTCATTATATTAAAACCTAGTTACCGAATAAACATCCACTGACAGAAGACAGAAGAAAAGTATATTTCAACAAGATTAACACATCAGTGTGCATGAGCCTGCCACAGGGAACTGCGTACAAGTCTTCACTGCTCACCATCCTGTCTGTGGGAACCCAGAAGGGCAGGGCTAACTCACCTGGGATCCTGCACAAGCTTTTTTTTTTTTGAGACGGAGTCTTGCTCTGTCACCAGGCTGGAGTGCAGTGGCACAATCTCGGCTCACTGCAACCTCCGCCTCCTGGGTTCAAGCAAACCCCCTGCCTCAGCCTCCCAAGTAGCTAGGACTACAGGCGGGAGCCACCATGCCCGGTTAATTTTCTGTATTTTAGTAGAGACGGGGTTTCACCACGTTGGCCAGGATTGTCTTGGTCTCCTGACCTCGTCATCTGCCTGCC
This sequence comes from Homo sapiens, assembly GCF_000001405.40. Classification (NCBI taxonomy): domain Eukaryota; kingdom Metazoa; phylum Chordata; class Mammalia; order Primates; family Hominidae; genus Homo; species Homo sapiens. The sequence continues at coordinate 25,408,162 of NC_000013.11, read as the reverse complement.
TTGGCCTCCCAAAGTGCTGGGATTACAGGCATGAGCCACTGCACCCAGCCACATTTTTTTTTAATGTCAAATATATATATATTTTTTTACTTTAAGTTCCAGGATACATGTGCAGAATGTGCAGGTTTGTTACATAGGTATACATGTGCCATGGTGGTTTGCTGCACTGACCAACCCGTCATCGAGGTTTTAAGCCCCGCATGCATTATGTATTTGTCCTAATGCTGTCCCTCCCCTTGCCTCCCGTAGGTGGGAGTTCATGTCTTATGCTCCCTGGTATCTCCCACAGAACTGATGTGATGCCATCCAAGGCATGTTTGCTGATTTATTCCACTTACAGAAAGACAGACTGCAATCGCCTTTGGAAACCCATGTAGATCTCCCCAGCAAAACCCAGGGAGGAAGTCTTTCTTAACCCCTCAAATATCCTCTTCAGTTTTAATCCACTTTCTTCTAGGTCTTTCCATTGTTTCCTCATGTGCAGTCTCTTAATAGCTGCTCATCATTTTCCTCATAAAGCTCTTTTATAATCCTCCTCAAAATCAAATAATCCCTACTTGTCAAGCTCATAACCACTTCCCTAGGCCTCAATATGGAGGGAAATTATAGGTAGTGGGAAGATAGCATCTTTTCTTACTCTTTACTGACTTCACTGAATATTTGGGATATGAGTTTCTCATTTAGATTATGTTTCAGTATTACCATACCTGATGCAAATTGCACTTTCCAAAATACATACAGTTGGAAGAGTTTGGTTTTTTAAAATTGCTTCCTTGTCTGCTGGGTTTTAACTTTTACTAGTGAGGAAGGGTCTTCATAGGGAGCAAAAATTCAATTAGCCTTTTTCTTCCTCAAGATTCTGGGTACAGGCTGGGAAAGAAGCCAAATGATGAAGCTTTAAGAATGAGTCTGTCTTGCCTCCCCCAAACTGCACAGCTTTCCTCCTTGGCTTGCAGGCCTTGGTACTTATCAGCAGTTTTCCTAGTTTGATTAGATTTAATGATAGAATCTTTTCTTTCATGAAACCTTGGGTGGACACTGAGAATATCATCACAACATCTGAGATCTAGGCAGTCTCTTCTGCGGTTCTTAATTCAACCCAACCGTGGTATCTTTAAGTGGCCCTTAAAATCACCACTGCCAGGTAAGTGTCCTTTCTCAGCAATGCTGTTGCTGTCTCCAGAATCTGGAAGCAGCGGTAACAGGCTGGAGCCAATGGAGAGGGGACGCTACCTTGGTGGCCTGACGATCTGAGAGACATGGCCATCTGCCAGCCTAAGAAAGTGGCCCACATGAAAGCCACCGCTTGAGCTGAGGCATTAGCTATACAACGGTTTGTGAAATATAAGTATCTGACCTGGAAGAGATAACATATTTTCTGGGAAGAGTAACAAAACTGGTTCAGCAATCCCTACTCAAGAGCTGGCCTTCCGGAAGTGAGGTGGATCCCCAGGAGGGAGATGAGGCAGGAGATTCCAACCCCAAACATGGTCTCCATGCCAGCCACCTGGAGAGAGCCAACTCCAGGCTAGACTCAGATGTCACCTCCTCTGTGAGCCCTCCTTGTCCTTTCTGCATTCCCAGGCAGATATATGAGTGCCCTCTGTTGGGCTCTCACTGTAGTGTATGCATAGTCCTATGAGAGCATTGGCCATGTGGAAGCAAAAGCAACTCCACCTCCACCTTGGGAGCTAACCTACCATGTTGGCTTTTGATTAACTCCTGCTCAGGGAAGGCCTCTAAGATTTCCAGTTTACCTATTGTTTCTGCTGTAAGAGCAGGTACTTACCATAAATCTTGCCCTTAGGTCAAAGCAACCTTATGTTATCATACTTCAATTGCCTACACCTCCCTTCTGAACCACCAGTCCCCTATAGTCTGTAAGCCCTGGATTTGAAGGATAATAGCACCGGGATGCCACCATCTCTCTGCCACCTGAAACAGAGGCATGGCTCCTGTTCGTAAGTCCCTGTTAAATGTTTCTTTCTGAGAAACTGTATATGTCAACCTCTTTCTTCAGCGTCTCTGCTTCCTCAGAATTTGGGGGTAAGTTTGCATAGACCTGACCACTGGAACAGGTCATATTGCCCCTATCAGGCAAAACTCTTGATTTACCCATCTTTGAGTTCTTAGTGCCAATCATGTCCTGGAAGGTGAGTCCTCAAAATATTTTTGATGAATGAATAAATGAATGAGTGAATGGATGAATGACTCAACATGCCAGAAGCTAGGTTGAGAGAAGACATGAGTGGGAGAATAAAAAAAGAGTTAAAGGGGAAGCAGAGAAGGCTGTGTGCCTATGGATAAATCGCTTTTTCCATTTCCCCCAGAATGTTCCTGCCTAGGACGTGCACTTTGAAGTGCAAGGCACTGTCTAGCCTAAAAACATAGCACAATAGTGTATATAATGCTATATCTTAACACTTTGTTTCTAATACATGATATCTAGGATTTTGTCCATTTTTTCAAAACTCATGATCCAGAAGGTGTGGCCCTGAATGAGCTTTATTTGTTGGTTTGTCAAACTCTCCTGGAGAGGCAGGTTACAAGTTTGGGCAGTACCTGGCTGCCCAGGGAGCCGGTCCTGCATAAGCTCTTTAGGGTCTCAAGAGAGCACGCTGGGAGTACCCCAAGGAGAGAGGTCCGAAGCGAGGGAGGATACACCTGCTGGGAGGCTGAGATACGTGGGCCATACTCAGAAAGAAGACCTGGGGGACTCCCAGAAAAAAATGAATGAAGGGAGATGGGCTTTAATGCTAAATGTCTGTGCATTCTAATTTAACTGGATACATAAGGGCATCCATGACTCATCATATGCGGTAGATCCCATTTCTCTTCAGGACTCCATTTGCTGGACTCGGATCAACTTTTCAGCAGCCTCTTCCCATCCCTCCCCTTGAAGCTGAGCTTTTGGAAAGTGCTGTCTACACTTTCGCATCTGCGCCTTCCCTCCTCTTCTCCTTCTGCACTGTAATCAGGCCTCTGTCCTGAGCCTTCCAGGGAGCTGCTCTCATCAAGGTCTCCAACAGCCTCTTGCTGCTGAACCCAAACACCCTTTGCCAGCCTTCATCTGACCAGCCCGGCAGCGTTTGGCCCTGCTGAGCACACTCGACTTGAAATTCGGCCATCCCTGTGCTTCCAAGAGACCACCCTCTTCTGCTTTCCCCCAGCGCTCTGGCCACTTCTCAGTGGCATTTCTAGCTTTCTCTTCCTCTCTCTGCTTCTCCCTTAGATGTTGAGGTTTCACCGAATTCTGGTCAGGGCACTTTTTCCTCGCCTCCCCTGTTCCCAGGGCTACTCTTCCATCACTAGAACATCAGTTCCCACGAGTGCCCATTGATGACTCTCCAGTCTCTCACCTTCCAGCACCACACCCTCAGATCCAGCTGCCTGCTGGACACCTGCCCTCCCCCACACAGACACCTCAATCAGCACAGCCAAAAAAGAAAAATGATTATCCCTACACAACCCTGCTCTTCCTCCCGCGTTCTGCACCCACCCAGTTGCGCAAACCAGAAATCTGAGCAGCACGCTCGCCTCCTCTTTCTCCCTCCTTTCCACATGGATCAAGTTTCTCAGATGCACATCCACTGCCCACCACCCTCACTGCCACTCCCCTGGGTGTTCCCCCACTTATTCCTCTCCTTGAATGCTTTCCTCACTATGACCACTCTCCAAGCCACTCTCCACGGTGAACCAGGGCCAAAATCCTCAAGTGTGAATCTCATTGTGGCACGGTCACATCCTCCAAAGGATCTTCACCACCCTGCAGGTGAAGTTCAAATCCTTTAACCAGGCTGAGCTTTTCAGTCAATTCTGCCTTGCTCCACAAATGCCAGCCAGGTGGATGCTTCCAGCTCTCCTCCCCAGCTCTCACACATCTCCAGGCTTCTGGTCACCTTGGCTTTGGTCATGCTTGCCACCCCCAGCTTCCTTATCTGCATAACTGAGGCTTCAGTCTTAAGACCACTCCCCTCAGGAAGCCTGCTCTGGCCTCTGAGTCTCAGTGATTTTCCTGTGTGCTTCCTCTACTTTCCCTGCTGAAGCACTTACCAATCAGCCCATGTCTCCCACTGAGCCATAAGTTCCATGAGAGCAAGGATTATACCTAATGCACCAGTACATCCTCAGCACTTAACACGGTGTCTGGCATAGAACAGGTATTCAATAAACATTCAAATGGATGGATGAGTGAATGAATGCATGGATCCCTTCCTGCAGCCCCCTCCCTCCTTCATACTTCTAGGATTTATCTTACCTGGGATAAATAAAGCAAACCGATAATTTTGGTATTGATTATAGCAACTATCTGCATTGGATTTTCATGGACACTCCCAACTTTGAGTCATCTACTCTTTTAAACCACTGATCTCCAAGTGCCATAGCTGCAATGAGGGACCAAGGAATTAAGTTGGCAGGCCAGGCAACATTCCATTCAAAATAAATATATGTTAGAAAAAATATTTCAAGACCATATGTTCCTATTGTGTTCTGGAAAAAGTATGGCTGCCACACAGATAGAGGCAACCACCTAATCTCCTGATCTAGAAAGCTGGCCTAGAATGAAAAGTCTGGATGCAGAGGAATTGAAAATGTATTCGAGGTCATTCAGTGAGGTCCCAGTGAAGCTGGAGATAGGATCCACAACTCAACTTGAATTCTCTCTTTAAAGAATTTTCTGTACTTTTCTCTAGCACAGTACATTGCTGTACTTTCCAAGCCTGATTTAACTCAATATTATAAACTAAGCTGGACTGGCCTGGGAACAACCATTTTCCCAGGCAAACCCATCTGGGACCTTTGTCTTAGTCTCTTCCTCCCGCTGTAACAAAATACCACAGGCTGGGTAATTTATAAATAGAAACCTAGGTCTCACAGTAATGGAGGCAGGGAAGATCAAGATCAAGGCACCTGCAGATTCAGTGTCTGGTGAGGGCTGCTCTCTGCTTCCAAGATGGTGCCTTGTTTGCCGTGTCCTCTCATGGTGGAAAGGCAAAAAGAGGTGCTGTGGTCGGAATGCTTGTGTCCCCTCCACAGTTCGTATTGAAATGTAATCCCCAATGCAGCAGTATTAAAAGGTGGGGCCTGTAGGAGATGGTTAGGTCATGAGGTCTCTGTTCTCATGGAGAGGACTGGTGCCCTTATAAAAGGGATTCAGGGAATGAGTCCATCCTATTTTCCTTTCTATCTCTTGCATGTGATGACATGGCAAGAAGGCACCATCTTTGAAGCAGACACAGGGACCTCATCGGAAACTGAATCTGGCTGTGCCTTGATCTGGGACTTCCTAGCCTCCAGAACTGTGGGAAATAAATTTCTATTACTTATGAATTACTTAGTCTAAGGTATTTCATTATAGCAGCCCAACCAGACTAAGACAGGGCAAACTTGCTGCCTCAAGCCCTTTCATAAGGGCATTAATCCCATTCTCAAAGGCGGAGCCCTCAGGGCCAAATCATCTCCTAAATACCCCACCTCTTAATACTGTTGCACTGGGGACACAAACGTTCAAACTATAGCAACCATATTTCCATGAGGGGCTTTTTCACTGGAGCCCAGTCTGACTCAGCTATACCCTGCTGAACAGGCAAAGAAAGAATTAGATTGAACCAATAAATCATATGTTTGATTTGGTGCTGACCCAGGAGCCAGTGCCAGGGCACACCAGCACAGAAGAAAAGAAACGATGCTATTTTTAAAGGACCTTTAAAATCATCCTGCCCTTTCATCCATGCAGAAAGATACTCATACCCTAACACACGCAGGGCCAAGTGTCCATGAAGCCTGTTTGTGTCTGACACCTTGCTCTCATATACAAGAGCCGCCTTGACCCACCGTTTTGCTTTCTGCAGTTTCAGTTCCTTGCAGTCAACCATGGCCTGAAAATATTAAATGAAAAATTCCAGAAATAAACAACTCATAAGTTTTAAACTGCATGCTGTTCTGAGTGGCATGATGAAATCTCGCACCATCCTGCTCCTTCCCACCTAGGGTGTGAATCATCCCCTTATCCAGCGAATTCACGATAAGGATGCTCCCAGCCAGCCCATTTAGTCACTTAGGAGTCTTCTTGGTGGATTGACTGTCGTGGTATCACAGTGCTAGGATTCAAGTAGCCCTTATTTGACTTACTAATGGCCCCAGGCTGGGTGCAGTGGCTCATGTCCATATTCTGTATTTTGGGAGGCTGAGGAGGGAGGATCGTTTGGGCCCAGGAGTTCAAGGCTATAGAGAGCTATGATCATGCCACTGCACTCCAGCCTGGGCGACAGAGTGAAACCTTTTCTCTAAATAATAATAGCCCCAAAGCACAACAGTAGTGATGTTGGTATATTATTATCATTGTTCTATTTTATTATTGTTGTTATTAATCTCTTACTGTGCCTAATTTATAAATTAAACTTTATCATAGGTATGTATGTGCAGGAAGAAGCATAGTGTTTATAGATTTCGGTACCATCCGAGGTTTCCGGTACCTACTGGGTGTCTTGGAATGTGCACCCCATGAATACTGGACACATCTACTGCTTTTTCCCTCCTGAACCAACAAGCACTTATTTCTGTCACTCACAACCTAACCTGATTGTATTCATTGCTAAAAAAAAGAACAGCTTGAAGCAGGAGAATAATAATGAAAAATGGTTATTTTCAGAGAAAAAAAGCTTTTGGCTGCCACTTAAAGGAAACAAGAGCCTTCTTACCACAGCCCGAGAACAAACATTTATTAGTAATCTTGCTGCTAGCTCTTTCTTCAGATTCAATTTATAACTCGATTGATATCAGCATTTGTTACAGTATACTATTTCAGGTTGAAAATATTTAAGAAATGCCACTTCTTTTTAACACTTTCAGTAAAAATCATAACAATCCTTTTCATTTGCCCAATACTCATTTTAAATGGCACATTTTAAAGGGCTTTTGCATCCTCTTTCACTTTTATCCTCACTATTCTGCAATACTGGAAGGAAAAGAATGTATTCAAATTTTACTGAGAGTGCTGCGTCTCGGAGGAGTTAAGGACCGTGTCTCATTTCCGAGCTGTGCCGCACACTCACTGCACATCTGGTTCATTTTCCTCTAAACCCAGAGTGCCTGGCAGTTATTCTACGAATGAAGAGAAGAAGTTAGCTATAAATGATTCCCCAAGACTTGGTAATAAAGAAACACTAGACAAAAACTTCCTGTTAAGTGGGCAGTCACAGAACCAATGTGTATTCAGGGCTGACATGCATAATACATCCTTCCTGTTGTTGAAATATCAAAATGCTTCCACATAGTGATAAATAGCCACTGTCCCAAGGCCTTCTGTGGTCCCACAATGCCGGCCTTCTCAGACCCTTTCCCACAACCCTCAAGGCCTTCCCGTAAGCCAGTAACTGCCACAGCATAGGAGGCCCAAGAACCTTTCTGCACCGTTACAGCAAGAGTCTGTGTTCACTGGTGTGACCTCATGCTGTCTGGTGTTAAATGGTTTAAATACCCACCCTATGTATTACTGTGCAGAACCATAATGGATGTGCATTAGAATAATCCGGAGTCATCGGGAAAGGATTCAGTGGTGTTCAGAATCCTCTGGTTAAGAAAGCAAAGAAGTGTTAGCAACAATATTGTGTATATTTCAAAATAACTAGAGAGGACTTGAAATGATACTAACACATAGAAATGACAAACATTCAAGGTGTTGAAGAACCCAAATGCCCTGACTTGATCATCACACATTCTATGCAGGTAACAAACACTCGCATGTACCCCATAAATATATAAAATATTATGTATCAATAAAAGAAAAAAAGAAAGCAAAGAAGTGGAAAATTTATTTCAGTAAATGTTCTTTTAATATGACCTAAAGAAACAAAGATTTGGCATTTGGAGAGATAAACTTTAGTTATCCAGATAAGTCATTTATGTGGAATGCTGTGTTCCTCAGAAGCACCAAGAAACCAGGTGTGGTGGCTCACACCTCTCATCCCAGCCACTTTAGGAGGCTGATGTGGGAGGATCTCTTGAGCCCAGGAGTTCACACACTATCCTGGGCAACATAGGAAGACCCTATCTCTACAGAAAAATTAAAAATTAGCTGGGCGTGGCAGTGTGTGCCTGTAGACCCAGCTACTTGGGAGGCTGAGGTGGGAGGATGGCTTAAGCTCAAGAGTTCAAGGCTGCAGTGAGCTCTGATGGCTTCCTCAAAAAAGGAAGAAGAAAGAAGAAAAGGAAAAAGGAGAAAGAGAAGGAGAAAAGGAAGAAGAAAAAGGAGGAGAAGAATAAGAGGAGGAGGAGGAGGAAGAGGAAGAAGAAGAAGATGAAAGAGGAGGGGGAAGAAAGGGAAGAAAGAGAAGAAGAGGAAGAGTAGGAAGGAGAAGAAGAAAGAAGAAGAGGAGGAAGCAGAAGAGGAGGAGGAGGAAGAGGAGAAGGAGGAAGAGGAGAAGGAGGAAGAGGAAGGAGAAGAAAAAGAAGAACCACGGGCCGGGCGCGGTGGCTCACGCCTGTAATCCCAGCACTTTGGGAGGCCGAGGCGGGCGGATCACGAGGTCAGGAGATCGAGACCATCCCGGCTAAAACGGTGAAACCCCGTCTCTACTAAAAATACAAAAAAAAAATTAGCCGGGCGTGGTGGCGGGCTCCTGTAGTCCCAGCTACTTGGGAGGCTGAGGCAGGAGAATGGCGTGAACCCAGGAGGCGGAGCTTGCAGTGAGCCGAGATCCCGCCACTGCACTCCAGCCTGGGCGACAGAGCGAAACTCCGTCTCAAAAAAAAAAAAAAAAAAAGAAGAACCACTAAGAAATCAGGATCTTACTATACACCAGTGATTCTCAGAGTGTGCCACAGACCAGCAACAGTAGCAGCAGCATCCCCTGAGAATTTGTGAGAAATGCGAATTCTTGGTCCCATCCCAGACTTCCTGAATCAGAACTTCTGAGGGTGGGAAACAGCCACCTGCATGTTAATAAGCCTCCAAGTGACTCCAGTGCATGCTTCAGTGTAAGAACCACTGCCATACCCAGCAGTCCCCACACTGGGTGGTATATCACATCCTCCTTAGAGCTGGTTATTTACACATGCAGATTAGATACCCAGGTCCTGCCTTCTGGGATCGTGCTTCTGCCAGTCCACAGATTGGCATTTCGTGATCACTGTTGTAAACTGCCACAAATTTTCAAGTAGAGGAAAAGGGTAATAGTAGTAAAAATATCTTATTATACATATGTACAGAGCCTGAAATTTATGTCTGCCACCTGTATTATTTTTTTTTCATATGCATTACTTCAGTTATGGATGAACATTTTACGGCAGACAGCACCCTTTTCTCTCATGAAGTCTTTCTTGGTCACCCTCATACCTGGTGAGAAGGATGCTCTTCTCTTTCCTGCCACTTCTCAACCTCACTGATAGCTCTTAACAGAGCTTATCATGTTGTATTGGAAATAATTCTGCAGACACCTTCCTCCCCTCCTGAGTTCCTCAAGGACAGGGACTAAGTCTCATTCAAATTTGTGTTTCCAGAAGTTTTAGTACAGGGCATGTAGTCAACAATGTTTATTAACATCTACTGTATGTCTAGCACTAGGGACACAGCAGTGAGCCAGGGGGAGCAAGGGCTGTCCCCATGCACCAGATGGCCCACAGTGATCACAACTGGGTAATTGTACATATGAAAGCTGTAACCCCAAAATAAAATTATAAGCTCCCCAACCGACTGAATGGATCCCCTCCCAGCCAAGGGGATTCCAAGAAGTACTGAAAAACTAGCTCAGGCCATGATAGGAAGGAGGGGGTCAGACATACCTCATTATACATTCTCTCTTTTGATGTTTAGGCGCAAATGACCATCATTAACATTAAAGTAGAGATCCAAAGACTGACAAAATAGACTCTTTTTAGCAATAAGACCCCAACTCCAGTCTGCTCTGGTGTAGCATCACATGACAGATAACAGGCTCTAAAGGTAATCAAAGTATTTACCCCAAAATATATTTTTTTGACATATTTTGGAATGGCCCTGCAAAGCCATCTCATGTGGGGAAAATTTACATTCTGTAAGGAATCTCCTTCCATTTCCAGGTCTTTTCCTGATCCAAGAGATTAACTAAGAGTCTGACACCTTTTAAGTTCTGATAAGAGACATTTACCATCTATTCTCCCTAAGGCTGCTACCTGGAGGCTTCATCTACATAACAGGACCTTGGCTTCCACAATCCCCCTTATCTTAACCCATGCATTTCTTCCCGCTGCCTTCAACAATTCAGGTGAAGCTGAACTCTTTCAACCAATTGTCAATCAGGAAATCTTTGAATCCACCTATGACTTGGAAGCCCCCACTTTGAGATGTCACAGTTTTCTTGGCCAAACCAATGTACACCTTATATGTATTGGTTTATGCCATTGCCTATAACTTCTAGCTCCCCAAAATGCATAAAATCAAGCTGTAACCCAGCCACCTTGGGCACATGTTCTCAGGACCTGATGAGGCTGTCACAGGTCATGATCCTCACATTTGGCTCAGAATAAACCTTTTCAAATATTTTACAGAGTCTGGCTTTTTTCCTCAACAAAGCATAATGACCAATAGTAAAGGAAAATTCTCAGGGTTTCCCAGTGAAGAGAAAAATGGGTCCCCAGAAATGGACCCATATTGCAAGCAGCCCGTCCTGGAGTGTGACTGTGCACTGAGTCAAGGTGGGTGAGGAGCAGAGAGGACCCCTCCACGCCTTATTAGGAAGTTGTGGTCATGGGCCAGCAGCAGCAGAGTAGGCAGGCTGAAAGGGACCTGAGCGTCACAGGATTTCAACCACTTGTTCATAGAGGCTGGTGTTTTATGACTTGACAGAAAAATATCAGTATATTGATGGTTTTGATAATTCATGTGGACTTTCACCAGGTCCTATAAGAAGGAGACAAGCCTTTTTCTAAGGTGCTATAGGACAACTGTCTGCATGGCCTTGGAGACCCAGCTCTTCCCCTCCTCACTGGTAGTTCCTAAGGACAACTGGAGAATGTGCTGGGAATGCGACAACCTGAGATAAGGAGGCACTGACCAGAACAGCCTAGGCTCTGTTCCCGTCTTCCTAGAACAGGATGTCCAGCAAGGCTTTATTTAACTCAGCGAAAACAGCCACCCCCACCCCCACCAAGGGGCACGCCTTTGGTGTCAAAGACAAGACTCCATCCGCCTTGGGCAGCTTTCCTGAACCCTGAGGGACTGGTCCGCCATGGGCCCAGGCTTCTACCATCTCTTGCTGCCTATCTGTGAGTAATAAAGCTGCTTTGCTGAAAGCTTGCTGTGTGAGTGTTCTGTCTCACCACAGTCATGCCAGTGGATTGATAACATTGCATATATTGGCAAAGTTTTTAGAGTCCTCCCCGCAATAGATGTGTCTGAAAAGCCTGAAAGTAGAAAGGAAAGGAAATGCATACTTGCTAGTGGCAGGCGCTCGCCCACAACTAAGAGTCAGTGTTAAAAACATGAAATTTCCAGCCCCAAAATAGAGTTCGTGAGAGCAAAGATTGGGAACATGAAGATAGTAATGCACCCAAGAGCACCCTCATGATTGCAGGCTACCCGGGGTCAAGGGCAAATTAGGCCATGTTCCTAGAGGTAAGAGCCAGGACAGAAGCCGGCTGGGACTGAGAAAACAATACCCTAAAATCAAGGCCTCAGAAGCAGAAGTTTCTCTCTGACCTTCTTTTGCCCTATTGTCTCTCAGTCCCATCATCCCCCAGGCTAGCCATAAAAACTAGAATCCCTCTTCCTCAAGGTAGGTCATAGAAACTAGAACCCCTTTTCCCCAAGGCCAGCCATAAAACCTAAAAAAAGCACTCTAACTTTTCCTCTTTCTGTGTAAAAACTGGCCATAAGAAAGTTATCTGACCTACCTTGTTTGACTGTAGGCCCTAAGTTCCTCATTGCAGAGAGGATCCCACTCCACACCAAGAAGGAAGATAGGCTGCTCCAAGAGAACGAGAAGAATCCAGACAGGCAGGCCTTGCTGGGTTTCCCCACTCAGTCTATTAACATTGGATCAGGGCTGGGCGTGGTGGCTCACACCTGTAATCTCAGCACTTTGGGAGGCCAAGGCGGGCAGACCACGAGGTCAGGAGATCAAGACCATCCTGGCCAACATGGTGAAACCCCCTCTTTACTAAAAATAAAAAAATTAGCTGGGCATGGTGATGCACACCTGTAGTCCCAGCTACTCAGGAAGCTGAGGTAGGGAAAGCTCTTGAACCCAGGAGACGGAGGTAGCAGTGAGCTGAGATTGCGCCACTGCACTCCAGCCTGGGGACAGAGTGAGACTCCGTCAAAAAAAAAAAGAAAGAAAAATTGGATCAGCCAGACACAGTGGCTCGTGCCTGTAATTCTAGCACTTTTGAAGACTGAGGCAGGGCGATCACTTGAGGCCAGGGGTTTGAGACACCCCTGAGCAACATAGCAAGACCCCATCTCTACAAAAAAATTCAAAAATTAGCCAAGCATGGTGGCACATGCCTGTAGTTCTAGATACTCAATAGACTGAGCTGGGAGGATCGTTTGAGCCCAGGAGTTCAAGGCTGCAGTGAGCTATGATTGCACCTTTTCTGTCCAATCATCTCTCTTCCTGGCTCTCCATACTTTGTTAAACCTAAGCATAAAAATGGACAATTTTCCTTTATCTTTTGGTCTTTATTCTGAAGGCTCCCATGTATACGTTAATAAATGTGTATGCCTTTTCTCCAAGTAATCTGCCTTTTTTGAGTAGATTTTTTCAGCAAACTTTCAGAGGGCGAAGGGAAAGCTTTCCCTTGACCCCTACAAGCCACAGAACTGAAGGTGAGGATGACAAGCAGAGTCTCAAGGCATTTTTAAAAAAGACAGAAGCCCCCTCAGGCCCAAGACAAGATCTCTGGCTTTGGTAACTAAGTGGACACATTGCAGATGGACCAGCAGCCTACTGAGGGATGACCAGAAGAATGCCAATAGTGGGTGGAAAACCCTGCCCCTCTACCATCCTAGGTTCAGGAGCGAGGGCCCTGCTAATCAAACTGAAAAAAGACAAATGAAGAGAAGAAAAGACATGCAAATTTTATTTGACATCATAGTTTTAGGAAGACATAGAGTCTTTGTATGTATATAGAGAGAGACCCAAAGAAGTACATAGGCTAGAGAGCTTACATACTACTTCAACAAAGAATGATAAATTGTGAAGCTGTGACAAGACAAAGGAAAAGGGAAGGCTTCTAAGGGCAATAAATTGTGGGAGGGTAAATATGTGGGGAAATTAATGGAAGATAAGGCTGCTTTAGTAAGGCTTGTCATGCAGGCTCCACTCACTGCTCTGGGCTGATAAGACTCTAGTCATCTCAGGTGACGAAGAGTTATTGTGCTTTTTCTGGTATGGGAGAGGGAGACACTTTTACAAATGGAAATTTATGTTCTGTTTTTAGCCAGATAGGGGAAGGACAGTAAGCCTTTTTTTTTCCTTTCTGCATCTGATGTTTCTTAATTGCCTTCAGCTCAAAATAACCCTTAGTCCAAAAGGCATATTTCAGGGTGACATATTATGGTCCCCTTCACAGGCCTGGCAAGCCTAGATCTGACCTATGTCATCAATCCGGCCAGCAATTGGTCTCTGCCGCCTCCTGCTTTGTCTTTATCTTCCTCTTCTGGTTGGTTGCCCCTCAGGCTCGGGGGCACAGCCTGGATTCAGCCTGCCACATCCTAGTTAGACTTGGAGTTTTATTTTGTCTTGGTTTTCAGTTTGCTTCTTTTATTTTGTTTTCTATTGTTAAGTAAAACACAGATACCAAAAATTACACAAAGCAAGTTTATGTCTTAATGAATTATCCTGAGCAACATCTTTGTTGATGCCTGCCTGAATCCAACTTCCCTGCATCACTGCTAGCCAGTAATGAGCTCTCCTTCCACTAGACTCTCAGCCTACCAATGGCCAGAACAGGCAGACATGTCTAATCACACTATAGAGAACAAGCCAAGCTCATCTACAGGCTGTAAACTCCACCTAAAATACTGAAACCATCCATCAGAATCTTTACAACCTGCTTTAAAGATGCACTTACAAGGTGATGACAGTTACAGTGATCATTCACTTCATTTTTTTAAAACAACCAGGACAATAAAACAGTACTTATAGAATAACTATCAAAAGCTAGGCAGTTTGCAGTTCCTCTCATTGATCCTAAGATAATATTCCTGTTTTATAGGTTACTACACTGAGTCTTGGATAAGTTTCATAGTTTTCCCAAGATCCCATGATCAATGTTCAAGATTCAACCTCAGTCTACCTGATGCAGAACTCTGGACCCTTCCCAGCTAACCCCACTGTCTTATGTCAGATTGTCAATAAATGTGTACTGAGCATGTATTATAGTCAAGGCATGCACAACATAAAATGAACCTCAGATTCCTAAGATGCTGTAAGTTATATAGAGGAGTCAAAAAGTATATAAATAGGGGCTGGGCACAGTGGCTCATGCCTGTAATCCCAGCACTTTAGGAGGCCGAGGCAGGCAGATCACCTGAGGTCAGGAGTTCAAGACCAGCCTGGCCAACATGGTGAAACCCCATCTCTACTAAAAATACAAAAGTTAGCTGGGCATGGTGGTACATACCTGTAATCCCAGCTACTCTGGAGGCTGAGGCAGGAGAGTCACTTGAACCCAGGAGGCAGAGGTTGCAGTGAGCTGAGATTGCACCACTGCACTCCAGCCTGGGTGACAGAGTGAGACCCTGTCTCAAAAAACAACAATAAAAAAAGTATGTAAATAGGTTGGGTGAGGTGGCTCACACTGGTAATCCCAGTACTTAGCCAGGAGTTTGAAATTAGCCTGGGCAACATAGTGAGATCCCATCACTACAAAAAATAAAAGATAATTAGCCAAGCATGGTGGCACGCGCCTGTAGCCCCAGATACTCAGGAGACTGAAGCAAGAGGATTTTTTGAGCTTAGGAAGTTGAGGCTGCAGTGAGTTATGATCATGCCACTGTACTCCAGCCTGGGTGACAGAGCAAGCCTCTGTCTTAAAAAAAAAAAAAAGTATGTAAATAAATTTGAGAAGGCTAAAAAAAAGTATCCATGAACTAAAAAGTGGTACAGATAAAGTGTCAATATGGCTCAGGGAAAGAAAAGCTTATCAATCTTTATCAACCATGAAGGGTCCCAGGGAAAAGGGGACATTTGGGTTTGGAGGGACATGTCAACCTGAAATAATCAAAAGGATCAGAATCCAGTTCATTTTTCTTTTTTGTTTTTTTTTTGTAGAGATGAGGCTTCATTGTTTTGCCCAGTCTGGTCTCAAACTCCTGGCCTGAAGCAATCCTCCTGCCTCAGCCTCCCAAGTCACTGGAACTACAGGTATGAGCCACCACGCCCGGCTTAGAATCCAGTTTTTAAAAGTTTATTCAAGCAAAAAGTTGTAAATTGGCATCCTAGAAACACATGCTCCAGAGAAATGGGGTCACTGCTCTGAAGTTCAAAGTTAAGGTCTTGTTTTTGTAAGAAGAAAACAAAGAAATTTAACAGGATTACAAAATTTTTTTATAAAAGGCTAGTTTATGAGTTACAATAATTTAATTAGTTACAGTTTGTTTTCTTTTCTGAAAGCCTTCTGATTTCTTTTCTAATTTAAAAGAATATATTTAACATTCCACCTTAGACTGTGTGATACTCATGAAGTCTGTGTGAGGGAGCAAAGAGGGAAGTTAATTTTACACTGAAGATCAACAGTGGAGAGGGAAGAGGTCTTCCATGGGACTGTTTAGTCATTTACAACATTTTACAAAACAATATAGGTAAGGAAGAAGGCCAATCTATGATCAGAGAAACTAAGGTTACAGCTCCTAGGTTACAACTGCCTGTCACATGACTCGGGTCCCAAAATCACATTCCCTTAAGGCTCAAAATAATTTAAAGTTTCAACAGCTTAGATTTTAAATTATTTTCACAGACATGTGCTGATGTGCAAAGGAAAGGTGCAGTATGCACCAAAGAAACAGAAAGTTCTTCTGACTAGTGTATCAGGCACTTGAGGGGTGGTGCTCATTATCTATTGCTGCGTGTGAGGTCAGCCCCGGAGAGCTTCTGTTGACCAGGGTGGGCTGAGCTCACTGCACTATCACATTGCACCAGCTCAGCACTAAACAAGCAGACCCAGCGACAAATTGGCTGCCTTTGCCCATCCACCTGTGCAAAGGAATCTGATAGTTTGACTTTTATATGCATGCATTTATATCAAAGTGTGATAGATGCCTGTTGGCATTTTCCAAATCATTTTTTTCAACCGCATATTCTTGATGAGGAAAACGTAACTGTTGCATGCTGAGATTTTCCCTGAACCCTCCATCCACTCAAGACAGCCTGTTCAAGAGTCCCCACTGTGGCCTTCCTTCTGTACGGCCTCTGTATGGCCTCCTGGAAGGGCAAAAACGTCAGCATCCATACATGTAAGTTTCTTTCTTTTCCAAAGGCCAAAACTAAGCTACAATGCTGCAGCTTTAGCTATTTTTTGTACTTGTTGACCTCTTATGATATTCAAGGCACTGAAGTAGATGGCAAGGTGAGCTTCCTGCCCCCAAGGACACACATGGAGAGTAAAACAATGATGTAAAGCAGTATACAGTTACTGTTATTAGCTTCACCTTTCTTGCTGTTTCCCCCAGCAGATTCCTAAGAACTTCTTGGGGAAAGGGATTATGATTTTTAACTTGTTTAACCTGTTCGTGAGTCAGTGCCTGGCACGTTGGTGACCTGAAACAAAGGTCGTTAAATGAAGGACAAATAAAATAGATGATGAAAGAATGGGTGGATCAATGATGGATGGATGGACAGATGAATAGATGGGTGAAGAATGGACACATGAATAGAAATTCAGAGTAGGGAGAAATTACTGCAGGTTGAAGTATGAAGGAGGAGATAAGGCTTGAGCTGGATTCATTTATAATAAAAATGCAGATGAAGCCTCATATCCAGGAGTCATCTTCTCTGATTTACTGATTCTTCCCAGAAGCAGGATACACCTCAGTGGCTCATTCTGTTCTGCCTTATGCCATTTTACCTCCAATTATCCCATTTCCCCTCTCTCCTGACCATTTAAATCTACTGTCCTTTGAAACTTAGCTCAAAGAAGCAGGGGAACTAATGAACAAACTGCAGTCCATCCCTATAATAATAGAACACAACTCAGTAATCCTAAGGAATGAAACCACTGAGATATGTGGCAACATAGATGAATTTTTTTTTTTTTTTTGAGACGGAGTCTTGCTCTGTTGCCCAGGCTGGAGTGCAGTGGCATGATCTCGGCTCACTGCAACCTCTGCCTCCCGGGTTCAAGCAATTCTCCTGTCTCCCTGAGTAGCTGGGATTACAGGTGTGTACCACCACACCCAGCTAAGTTTTGTATTTTTAGTAGAGAAAGGGTTTCACCATGATGGCCTGGCTGGTCTCGAACTCCTGACCTCAAATGATCCACCCAGCTTGGCCTCCCAAAATGCTGAGATTACAGGCGTGAGCCACTGCACCTGGCCGGATGAATCTTAAAAGCAGTATGTAAGTGAAAGAAGCCAGACAAAGAAGACTGCACACTGTTTGATTCCATTTGTATGACATTCTGGGAAAGACAAAACTACAGAGTCAGAAATCAGATCAGTGGTAAATAGGGGCTGGGAGAGGGGAAGGAAACTGAGTACAAAGGGACAGGGGAGAACTTTAGGGGTGATGGAAAATCCCTATCTTGACTGTACACAGCTATGTATTTGTGAAAGTCATCAAGCCACATTATACACCCATACACTATGCATACTATACACCTCAAAAGGGCACATTTCACTGTGTGTAAATTATATCTTAATAACCTTGACTTTTAAAAAGCCAAAAAAATGGGCTGGGCAAGGTGGCTCATGCCTGTAATCCCAGCACTTTGGGAGGCCGAGGTGGGTGGATCACTTGAGGTCAGGAGTTCAAGACCAGCCTGGCCAAGATGGTGAAACCTCATCTGTACTAAAAATACAAAAATTAGCTGGGTGTTAAGGCACATGCCTGTATTCCCAGCTACTCAGAGGCTGAGGTAGGAGAATCGTTTGAACCTGGGAAGTGGAAGTTGCAGTCAGCTGAGATCGCACCACTGCACTCCAGCCTGGGTGACAGAGCAAGACTCCGTTTCAAAACAAAACAAAACAAAACAAAACAAAAGGCAAAAAATTGAAACCTAACTTGTGTCCTCTTCTTAAAAGTTGACCATGACCACTCTTTGCTTCAAGTGTTCATTTATCCTCACAACTCCTTTAGCAATTAATTATGCCTTGTGAGCATCTCTTCTAGTATTGCCTTGGACATCGCTTACTTTTCACTGTTTCCTTTTTACATGTCCAGGTCTTCTCTCCCCAGCCAGATGGTAAACACCTTGGAAATGGGAACTATGGAGTATTATGCATCCTTCATCCACAACTATGAATCCAGGTCACTGACTGACACATTAGACACAAAAGATGTTCAACAAATATTTGTTGATTTGAGTAAAAAGCAGCTAAGTGAAGCTACTCGGTGTACTTCTTCAATCCAAAGTTGAATTTGATAAACAGGTTCACAAATGCATTTCTCCATTAATTACCAAACACAACTTTTCTCAACACCTCTCAGGGTGTCTAAGTCAACCACTCGTATATTTCACCCTCGGTGCTCTAGTTCATTTGTCCCTGACTAACAGAAGGGGCTGAAGATTTCCAAGTAACCCTAGACCAGTTTAGCATACCTCCCAGAAAGTGCTTGGACTGTGCCAGTGCTGATGCTGCCTTTTTTCAGCCTGTTGTCTTATTTCCTTGGCTGACAATTACTGGCCTCATTAAGCCCAGAGTTTCAGTATTTTAGGGGGGAAAATATGACAGAAATAATTATTATACTCAACAAAGTCATGTTCTACTTTAATATTACAAAAACCCAACAATTTCTATTTGATTCTCCTTACATCTAAAATGCTAGAGTTTCCTGTTTCCAAACTTGCCTATTTTCAATTCCTGGAAGTAAAACAGTGGCTACTTCCAGCCTTGGCTTCCCCCAAATTTCACTGAGTGCCACCATCTTGACCAAGTTCTTGTTTGTCTTATCACAGCCTTATAACAGGTAATTTAATTGTGATGAGTCTCCTATTGGGTGCAGGTCCTGTGCTCACTGAATCCCCCTGCTGCAGAGCTGCATTTCTTCCACACCACAGAGCTTGGCCCAAGACCCTTTCATTGGATTCCCATTGGCTTTCTCTTCCCTGGTGAATCTGTTTTCCATCAAACATGTGGAGACATCATTTCCTTCAGCCTGTGTTTCATGCACACCTGCCCTCACCCCAACTTCCCCTCCTGCCCATTGCTGGCCGTGTCACTGCTCCCGTGTTTAGCTCCCTCCTGATAAGGGAGGAGACCACCCCTCACATTGTCTTATGCCCAATTTCTGCCTCCAAAGAAAGAAGTAAAAACTAAAAGGCAGAAATGAAATCCACAAGCAGACAGCCCGGTGCCACACCTGGGCCTGGTAGTTAAAGATCCACCCCTGACCTGATCGGTTATGTTATCTATAGATTACAGACATTGTATAGAAAAGCACTGCGAAAATCCCTGTCCTGTTCTGCTCCATTCTAATTACCAGTGCGCGCAGCCCCCAGTCACGTACTCCCTGCTTGCTCAATCGATCACGGTCCTCTCACACGGACCCCCTTAGAGTCCTGAGCCCTTAAAAGGGACAGGAATTGCTCACTTGGGGAGCTCGGTTGTTAGAGACGTGAGTCTTGCCAAAGCTCCCGGCTGAATAAAGCCCTTCCTTCTTTAACTCAGTGTCTGAGGGGTTTTGTCTGCGGCTTGTCCTGCTACACTGAGACAAGCTCTCCTGACCACAGGAACTGGGAACTGTGCTGAAGTGTCCTTGACTTCTCCCCCAGGAGCCAGCTTTCTTCTTTTCACTTCCTTTATCCCTTCCTTCCTTCTTTCCTTCCTCCTTCTTTCTCTCCTTCCCTCCCTTCCTTTCTTAATTCTGACACTAAATAAGGTAACACAACAATATCTCAACCAAAACAGCCCTCACCATAAAAATAACTGAAAACACTAGTAAAGAGATTTTTTTTTTTTTTGAGATGGAGTCTCACTCTGTTGCCCAGGCTGGAGTGCAGTGGTGCAATCTTGGCTCACCACAGCCTCTGCCTCCCAGGCTCAAGTGAATCTCCTGCCTCAGCCTCCTGAGTAGCTGGGATTCCAGGCATGTGCCACCACACCTGGCTAATTTTATATTTTTAGTAGAGACAGGGTTTCACCATGTTGTCCAGGCTGGTCTCAAACTCCTGACCTCAGGTGATCCACCTACCCTGCCCTCCCAAAGTGCTGGGATTACAGGCATGAGCCACCACGCCAGGCCTAGTAAAGAGATTTTAATCAGTATATAGAAACATTTGCAGATTAAAGAACGAAACCCCTATCTTTAAACTTTTAAGTTTAAAGACCTATCAAAAACTCTGAAAATTCTAAAATTATTCAAGTTTTAGAAAATTACAGCTCTAAATAATGTTCCAGTCACTCCAATTGTTCTCCTATTTCTCTACGTGCGCCTCGAAGTAAGTTGATAAATGGGTTTGTCGTTTATGCCCATTTTAGCGACGGGTGAGGTCACTAAGGCAGTGAAGCTGTGCACATCCCAACGACAGAAGTGGACCACCATTAAACCCAGGCTCTAGCAGGTGAACCCCACCAAGAGCTCAGCCCAACACCCGAAATAGTTAGAATGTGCTACAATAACCTAGGACGTGACTAGGACTGAGACCACCTCAAAGTGACCCACAAAAGCAGAAGCGAGTGCGTAGAGATGAATGTGTACAAACACGCAGAAAGAAAAGTTTCAGGTCTGGAAAAGACAGGTCCATTTAGACCCTGCAGCACAGACCCATTTGTGCTATTTAAACTCCTGCTAAAGCATCCAGCTTGAGGCTCATGGCTGCTCACCGCTGCCCTGGAAATCCTTGATTGCTTTCTAGGCAGAATCACCTCGGCAATGTTTCTCCGGTTATTCACTGTCTTAGTCCCAAGCACGGAATGAGCCAGTTCTCTATATTAACAAGGCTAAGGAAGTGGGAAAATTATCTTCAGAAAAGTCCAGAGAGAAGTGACTGAATCCTGTTTTTTGTTTTGTTTTGTTCTGTTTTTTTTGAGATGGAGTCTCGCTCTGACGCCCAGGCTGGAGTGCAAGGGCGCGATCTCGGCTCACTGCAAGCTCCGCCTCCCGGGTTCCCGCCATTCTCCTGCTTCAGCCTCCCAAGTAGCTGGGACTACAGGTGCCCGCCACCACGCCCGGCTACTTTTTTGTATTTTTAGTAGAGACGGGGTTTCACCGTGTTAGCCAGATTGGTCTCGATCTCCTGACCTTGTGATCCGCCCGCCTCAGCCTCCCAGAGGTGCTGGGATTACAGGCGTGAGCCTCCGTGCCCGGCCTGTGTTTTTTTAATAAGTAGTTGAACACCAAGAATCCTGTATTGACAGGATCCACTGACAAGAGGTCCCCAGAAGATGTGTTCTGTAGGGAAATCAAGGCAGAGAAAAAAACGCCACCAATAAATTGTTTCAGAATCTGGAATTAATGTGGGGGTCATAGCTTTCATTCTTAGAGAGAAGAGGAAATGGCTATTTGGATTCCAAGGGAAGAACCATTCATCACTATTAATCTTCAGACTACCACATGGCTTAGCATAGTTTGCTGAAGTACAAGTTTGAATGGGTGCCACCTCAGCCTGCCTCGATATTCCCATCAGTGACCAGGGTAGGGGTGGAGAGGTTGGTTAATCGGACTCTACATAATGACTGAGTTCCTCTAAGTTTAACGAAGCACCATCATCACAAAGAAAACTGGTTTTGTTTCTCGGGAACAACTGAATTCTCCCATGCACTCACCGATGTGAGCAGACTTTTATAATGCTCTTTGAAAATTAAGCCCGGCCAGGAGAGGTGGCTCACACCTGTAATCCCAGCACTTTGGGAGGCTGAGGTGGGTGGATTACTTAAGGCCAGGAGTTCGAGACCAGCCTGGCCAACATGGTGAAACCCCATCTCTACTAAAAATACAAAAATTAGCCAGGTGTGGTGGCTTATGCCTGTAATCCCAGCTACTTGGGAGCCTGAGGCAGGAGAATCGCTAGAACCCAGGAGGCAGAGGTTGCAGTGTACCGCTAAGGTCGAACCACTGCACTCCAGCCTGGGCAACAGAGCAAATTGTCTACAAAAAAAAAAAAAAAATTTAAGCCCAAGTCTGGGCAACACAGGGAGACCTCATCTCTACCAAAAATTTTAAAAATTAGCTGGGCATAGTGGTGTGTACCTGTAGTCCCAGCTACTCAGGAGGCTAAGGTGAGAGGATTGCTTGAGCCTGGGATGTCAAGGCTGCAGTGAGCCCTGATTGCACCACTGCACTCCAGCCTGGAAACAGAGCAAGACTTCATCTCAAATAAAAACAAAAAAACTTAAGCCCACCAGGGGGATCATTAAACTGTCCAAAGGCATTGTATCCACATGAAATTCGAATTATATGAAGAGAAGTTACCAATCCAGTTATAGACAAAATAAAATGGAAGAGGTTCAGCTCTCTATGCCCCTGGTATATTATTCTAAAAATAATAACAATGTCTTTTTTAATTATTAATTTTATATGAATAGGTAATACTTATTAAGTTTCAGATAGTGTGAAGTGCTTTATATATGTTATCTTGTTTAAGTCTCAGTAATTCAGTGAAGGAGGTATTACTACTGACATTTTATAGAGGAGGAAAGTGAGGCTGAGCGAATTAGGTAACTTCCCCAAAGATACCCAGCTAGTAAGTGCCAGGATCAAAATGTAAAAGCAGGTCTGACTGGACTCATCTGGACTATAACCTTGCCTAAACAAAGGGCTGAATTCAGCATAAACTGCAGCACAAGTCACATGAAATAGCACAGCTCAGTTGGCTTCCCTCCTCCACCAGCATGCAGGCATTTCAGCAAAAGAAAGGAAAGAGCAATATAAACTCCTTGCATGGCTAATGTGGTCCCTAAAGACACTGGGTTAAGGGTTAAACCACTAAAACACTGGCCCTCTGAAAATCAAAAGACTAACTAAAGCCCTTTGGAGACGGCTTCCCCACTGTTTATGGAACATGGAGCTGCTTATGTGGAAGAAACATTGAGCAATATAGCTCAGCAAAGCAGCCACTGGTGCAGCCCAACCCGGGGCATGTCCCACCCATCCCTGCACTTGCTCAAGGCAGTGTCACACAGCCCTGCAGCTTTTCACTGCCTCCTCCTGGGACTCCCGACTGCCAAAAAACTGGGATGGGGGTTCTGGAATCATAAGACATTTAAGATTCATGAACACCAAGAAAAAGAGGAGGCAAACAGAACTTAAATAACAAAACAATCAGAAAAAGATTTTTAAATAAGTGTAATTCAGAACCTCCAGGAAATGGGTGCATATTCAATACATGAAGCAATACTAGGCTGTTATGAAAAAAGAGTCAGTTAGAGATCTTTCCAAGAAAAAAAATAATTGTTGAAATAAAAACTTGATAGATACTATGAACTGGAAAGGATAAAAACAAAACAACGCAAAACAAAGCTGAAGAGCGAATTACCAAACACGAAGACAAAGACAAGAATTCTTCAAAAATGGGGCACAAAGAGATTTAAGGAAAATTAAGAAAGCTGGGAGCAAAGACAGAAGTGGCAAGAGCAGTCTAATTCTAGAGTTGCCACCAGAAAAGGGAGAATGCATGGAAGGCCACACTTGAAGACATGAGACAAGAGGACTTCTCCCCAAAAAAGAAAGACCCAGTGTCAGATTGCAAGATCTTTCCAGTGTTGACCAGACAACAAATGGAATAAAAGGAATACTTAAACCATCGTATTGAAATTTCAGAACATCAAAGATAGATATATCATTAAAAACTAATCAAAACTAAAAAAATAGCTAAGCTGCAAAGGAACAAGAACCAGACTGATGTCTATGCTCATCAGCAAATCTGGGTAGGAGTAAGATAATAAAGCAGGGTGCCAGAGAAAAAGAATTTTGAATCTAGAATTCCTTAGACAGCAAAACTGTCACTTACTTGTGAAGATGACATGAAAGCGTTTTTAGGGACATGAAAAAAATAAGACAGATGGCCACTCACAGATGCTCCCTAAAAGATCCCCAGGGATCTACTCTAGCAACGGGAATAAAACCCAAG
The DNA here is from genome assembly GCF_000001405.40 of Homo sapiens. NCBI lineage: Eukaryota > Metazoa > Chordata > Mammalia > Primates > Hominidae > Homo > Homo sapiens. Next base: position 25,383,955 of record NC_000013.11, on the reverse strand, counting down.
GAAGCACAGCTGAGTAAAGAAAGTCACACATACCTGTTATCCAGAGAAAAATAATTACTCTCTGGAACCAACTCAGATGACTGTGACAAGGGAGAAAGTAGGGGAGAGTCAGGGGTAGGGAGTAAAACTGTGCCAAGGTTTTTGCCTTCTTTTTGTTTGGAGAGGGTCACTATGGAGAAGAAAAGGATATATATACTAATAAACTCTAGCCATTGTTAGGGACAAAGTAAGTAAATACTATATTCATAATATAAGTATACCCTCTAAAAGAATAAATTTAAATGTATAATTTCAAAAAGGTAAGCAAAAATACTATCAAAATACCTTGAAACGCCAGAAGTATAATTCATGAAAGAACATATTGATAAGTTGGATTTCGCTAAAGTTAAAACTTCACCCTGCAAAAGACACTGTTAAGAGAATGAAAGACAAGCCATGGACTGGGAGAGGATATTTGGAAAACATGTTTCTGATTTTTTTATAAAGGACTGGCATCCAAAATATACAAAGAACTCTTCAAACTCAAAACTAGGAAAACAAACAACCCAATTAAAAGATGGACAAAAGGCACACGCCTGTAATCCCAGCACTTTGGGAGGCTGAGGTGGGTGGATCACAAGGTCAGGAGATTGAGACCATCCTGGCCAACATGGTGAAACGCCGTCTCTACTAAAAATACAAATGGAGATTGAGACCATCCTGGCCAACATGGTGAAACCCCGTCTCTACTAAAAATACAAATATTAGCTGGGCATGGTGGTGCACGCCTGTAGTCCCAGCTACTTGGGAGGCTGAGGCAGGAGAATCTCTTGAACCCGGGAGGAGGAGGTTGTAGTGAGCTGAGATCGTGCCACTGAGCTCCAGCCTGGCAACAAAGCAAGACTCTGTCTCAAAAAGAAAAGGCTGGGTGTGGTGGCTCACACCTGTAATCCCAGCACTTTGGGAGGCCAAGGTGGGCAGATCACGAAGTCAGGAGATGGAGACCATCCTGGCTAACATGATGAAACCCCGTCTCCACTAAAAATACAAAAAATTAGCTGGGCATGGTGGCGGGCACCTGTAGTCCCAGCTACTCGGGAGGCTGAGGCAGGAGAATGGCGTGAACCCGGGAGGCGGAGCTTGCAGTGAGCTGAGATCGTGCCACTGCACTCCAGCCTGGGCGACACAGCGAGACTCTGTCTCAAAAAAAAAAAAAAGGACAAAAGATCTAAACAGATGTTTCACCAAAGAAGATATACAGATGGCAATTACATATGGAAAGATTCTCAACGTCATATGTCATGAGAAAATCACAAATTTAAATAACGAGACACCACTACACATCTATCAAATGGCTAAAATTCAAAACACTGAAAGCACCAAATGCTGGTGAGGATATGGAGCAATAGGAACTCTCATTCATTGCTGGTGGGGATGCAAAATGGTACAGCCACTTTGGAAGACAATCTGGCAATTTCTTCCAAAACTAAACATACTCTTAGCATACAAACCAGCAATCACACTCCTTGGAATTTTCCCAAAAGACGTGAAAACTTATGTCCACACAAAAACCTGCACAGAAGTATTTATAGCAGCTTTATTTATAATTTCAAAAAAGTGAAAGCACCCAAGATGTTCTTCAGTAGGTGAATTGATACACTGTGGTACAGATAGGCAATGGAGTATTATTCAAGGATAAAAAGAAATGAGCTATCAAGCCATGAAATGACATGGGGGAATGTTAAATGCATATTGCTAAGTAAAAGAAGCCAATCTGAAAAGGCTTCATGCTATATGATGCTAACTACATGACATTGTGTAAAGAGCAAAACTGTAACTATGGAGACAGTAAAAAGATCAGTGGTTGCCGGAGGTTAGAGAGGAAGGATGGGATGAACAGCTGGAGCACAGGGGATTTTTAGGGCAGTGAAACTCTTCTGTATGATACCACATTGGGGGATACATGCCATTATACATTGTCACGGTGTGACACAGTGTGACATCATGGTGTGACGCTATGGTGCTGAATTCATAGTGTTAACACAGACATCATCACAATGTTTACACAGACGGCATCCCCACTTCCTCTGCACAACACTGCCGACATTGCCCTGTAATATCTTGTCAACATATCATCCTGCGTAGAAGAGCCTGGCGGGTGGTCTCAGAACTCTGGACTAGCTCTCCTACCCTGGGGCTCTTCAGCCACACTCTATACCCACGCGTAGAAGGCCAAGATCTCCACTGAAAAATATCACAGACTGCAGACAACACAGCTCTCATCATATGGACTCACAAATTATGAGTGAAATCAAAGTAACCACACACTGATACAAGTTATCAGACAACTAATCATCACATAGTATCATCTTGGTTGCCATCACTGTGTTTATTATCACAGTCCATAATTTCATCAATGTAGTTTAAAAGAAATGCCTAAAAACTCAAAGTCTTGAACAATTTTAAAAGTCCAGCAGCATCCCCTGGTAATAAAACCTACCTTTGTCTTCCTAGCAGGACTCAGAGCCACTCACAACCTAATGGTATTTGAACATTATCTATTCAGACTTCTTCTCTTTTGTATTTACTTCCTCCATTTTTCCAACATGCTTATTTGAGAAAGTAATATGTTATGGAGAAAATGTGCAGTAGCAGGAACACATTTTTAAATGTATTGCTTTAAAAGGTGCTCAACTCCCATCAATGACCGGTCTCTGAGAAGAAAAACATTGCTGCTGAGACGCCCACTGGTCTTCAAGAAGGTTGTTGTGTAGGACACTAAGATTTATCATGCAGTCAAAAGTGAGATTAATCATAAATCGTGAGTGTGTTGAAGATCCTCTCCATAAATACTGACTGATAATATCAGACCATACTAAAAGACGCAAGCAACCAGATTCTATTAGAGATTAGGTTCAAAGAAATATAATGGTATTTCCTAGTGCCATGACCCAGTTCATTTTCAAAATTAACTGAAGGTGGATATCTTAGAGTGTGCCCGAGGGAGATACTGACTCAAGAGGAAGATAAATAACCCTGAAAAAAATGCTGGAGGGAGGGGGCAGGGAAGAAAAACAAATTTTTTTTAATACTTGGGGAATCCAAAGACGTGGCTTTAGTTCTTTCACACTGGTACTACCCTTGGAAGACCAGACAAGTCCCTGGAACTTCACCTTTCATGACCTTGGTTTCCCTGTGTAGCAATGGGGGTGTTGACCGTCAGATAATTTTATTTCTGCAAGTCTGCAATTCCATAAATAATCAATTAAAATATTTGGACTAGATGATCTATAATTTGTTCACCAATAGAAATATAATGCAGACCACATATACAATTTTAAACTTTCTAGCAGCTGCACTAAAAAAGTACAAAGAGATACATAAAATAATTTTAATAATATATTTTATTTAATCTCACATATCCAAAATATTATTTCGATATATAATAAACAGAAAACATTATGAATGAACTGTTTTATTTTCCTTTTTCATACTAAGTCTCAGAAATCCAGTGCACATTTTGCCGTTACAGCCCAGCTCAACCATGACTCACCATTTCTTCAGCCACATGCAGCTAGTGGCCACTCTACTGCGCGGCAAAGATCTGTAAAGTCACCTTCAACTTCAATAATCTGACTCTACAAAGTATTGCCTACTCTGTACAAAGTATCTTGGGCTCTCTAAAGGACAAATATTAGACAAGCAAGCTACAAGCTCAACAATTCTACTTGCCCAAGACCAGGGAGAGCTCCTCCCTCATCTCTCATCTCCCTGGTTTCCATTTGTATGGCTTGATTGCAACCCAGCTGTTTTCCATCATGACTTGCACGTCTCTCTGATGCTGCATGGGTTCAGGCCTCATTATTTTACACCTGGAGTATTACAACAGCCCCTAACTGTGCATTTCATTTACAATCTTCACTCATCGCTGTGTTTGCATCCAGCCCAGTTTATTCTTACCCGAGAACCCTTCTCAGTTGCCTGCCCACGCTGGTGTCTTCCCTTCCAGAAAATTTGCCCAAACTCTAACACCAGAAAATCAGACAGTAGAAGAGTTCAATCGAGTTGAATAAATGTATTTCCAAGCTTCAGGAAGGGGCAACAGGAAAATGAACTTAGAGTGGACCCAGAAAGACTGTTTATTTCTATTATTCTCTCCAGCACAAATGGACAGCAGAGTAACCTGGGGACACGGCACGCTGGGGCAGGGGACGTAGCAGAAACGGCACACTATCTTACACGCTTAGCAGGGCCCGCTCCGCCGAGTCCCAGAAGACCACTTAGTTTGCTACATATACAGTAACTACTGAGGGTTAAAAACAAAAATTCTGCAGTTTTAAAACCAATGTTATGTTTCCTCAATGCATTAGAATAAAGACAACAAAAAGAAAATGGAAGAGACTTAAACAAGGATAATCATTATGTGACTAAAAATAGCTGATAAGAGGCCTGATCCCATGGTGCAGTAACCAAATATATTATCAGCCAGGCCACTGTTCTCTCCTTTGAATATGAATGAACTGCTCCCCGATATTAACATATCATGACCGTGAAAAAAGCAACTGTCTTTGAACTAAATATCTGGAATGAGATTCCAAATGTCAGTATAGAGAAGTACTCACTCACTCCATGGAGTAGTTTGCTTACCCCAGTTTCCTATATAATCAGTCTCCATAATGTGCTTAAAATATTTACAGTAATCCTGGGATCCTCGGTGCTGCATTTGGCTTACACAGTATCTCTAGAGATAGAAAAGGGAGGAGGAGCACCCAAATGCTTCCCTGCAATGTGTGAAATGTACATTGCTGATGATTTGGCAAAAGATTACACAAGACAGGAACACTTACTTCTGAATGCAAAACCTCTGAATCAAAATTAAGGAGCCTGCCTTAACATTCTCTGCAAAAGAGGAGAAAAGAAAAGAATATTTCTCCTATCTGGAGTATTTCTTCTCTCCTGCCTTTATTTAAAAAGAAAAGTATACAAATATGCATATAGAATTTTTAAATGGGAGGCAATAATAATATATTTCTCAGAGGGATGGTGTGAGGATCCGTAAGAAAAATATGCGAAAAACACTAAAGGCATATTAGTAATTACCTTTATTATCTTTGTTCTCACAGCACCAGACTCACTTCCTTTGCTCTCTTCCCAACAGCACTGCCTGCCATCAGTGGCGCAGTATCAGGTGGGCAGAGCTGCAGAGTAGCTAGGACAGCAGGGCCGGAGACAGCCAAGTGCTGTCAGTTATGCAGGCTAGTGAGGAATATGTGGAGGAGGTGCTTCACTCGCAGTTTTGGAACCCTGTAGCTATTCACCCTGTATATGGAACAGATGCTAAAAAGAAAAAAACATGTCAGCTTGGAAAGCAGAAACTCATACTAACCAACTCTGAAGTGAGAACTCCAGTGAAAGCCAAAAATAACAAAGTTCTCTTCTCTGTGACAAGAAAGGGGTATTAAAAATTCAGGCAACCTGAAACAAACCAATCAAAATGGCATAAATCTTCCTGCAATATTTTACCATATTCCTGAATGCAGCTTTTTCTACACTCACCTGGGAATGATTGTGATGGAAAGCAAAATGGGCAGTATTTATAAACTAATGATTACAAAAAAAAAAATGCAAAACTCTGGAAAAAAAACAGAGTTAATGAGGATTAGATCACTTTTTAGCATGAAATATTATATGATAAGCTTTACAGGGGCAGTAAGGGAGGGAAGAAATGAACCGTCAGAGCAAGAGACCTATTCACATAAACAAGCACACATGTATCTATGGTAATATTGGGCCCAGTAACCCTCCCCCACCACAGCTGGGGAGTGACCAGCATCATTCATGTGCTCTTTTTTTTTTTCTTTAGAGGAAGGGTCTCGCTCTGTTGTCCAGGCTGGAATGCACTGGTGCAGTAGCTCATTGCAGCCTCAAATTCCTGGGCTCAAGCAATCCTTCTGCCTCAGCCTCTCAAGTAGCTGGGACTACAGGCATGTGCCACAATGCCTGGCTATTTATAATTTTTTTGTAGAGATGGGGTCTCACTATGTTGTACAGGCTGGTCTCGAACTCCTGGCCTCAAGTGAACCTCCCACCTGGGCCTCCCAAAGTGCTGAGATTACACACGTGAGCCAACAGGCTTGGCCATTCAAGTACTGTTTTGTTTTGTTTTGCTTTGTTTTGTTTTGTTAGAGAGAGAGTCTCACCCTGTTGCCCAGACTGGAGTGCAATGGTGCAATCTTGGCTCACCACAACCTCCACCTCACAGACTCAAGTCATTCTCCTGCCTCAGCCTGCCGAGTTACAGGGATTACAGGCACGCACCATTACCACTTGGCTAATTTTTGTACTTTTAGGGTTTCACTATGTTGGCCAGGCTGGTCTTGAACTCCTGACCTCATATGATCCACCCGTCTCGGCCTCCCAAAGTACTGGGATTGCAGACATGAGCCACTGTGCCCAGCCATCCAGGTACTTTTACGACAGATCTATGCAGGCAGACCCAGGCAGCCACTGGGGTGTGACAGGTCCCCACTCCTTACTCTATTCCTGGAAGGGCTCTCTCCTGTCCTGGAGTAGGTCCTGTTTCTGTGTTTGCCCTTGATAATGATGGGGAGAAACTCCCAAGGCATGGAAGTGAGATCACTTTTATTTTTAGCCCTTCTTAATGGTTGTTAACATTTGTGCTGAGCACTTTTCCCAGCCTAAGTGGATGTAAATAACATCTTGTATCCAGTGTGGTATTGACCAGAAGTTATATTTAGTAAATGTAAAGATCCAAGGAGGAAGAATAGAGACCCTTCTTTAGAGGCACTGTATACACTTCGTCTCATAAATGCTTAAAAACTTTTTCGAAAATAACTGTAAAATATTCCATTTGTCTAGCTGGCACCTCTGAGGAGGGTTTAAGATAACACATCCGTTGTAAATGTAAAATCAATTACTGGACAACGGAAGGCGTCCGCAGAGGTGCTTATTGGCCACCTGTGGGGTAGAAGACGGCCTTGTAGTCAGGACTTCTTTCAACAGAAGGTGATGACCTTCAGAGCCACTACAGGATGAACACTCTGTCCAGAATCAGAGCTCCTGGTGAGTAAGCGCTTATTTCTGCAATCATTTACACCTGGATAATGACAGTAAAAGAACATTTAAATTCTCCTGTGATGACTATGAGGTCCTCTCCTAGTTAGGCCTCCATCATTAGATTTAGAAAGGAAAATAATAACAAAAGTTTTGCCAATTCTTCTATTACATAGGATAAATACCTAGCTGGAGGACTTTGCCTTAGATGACGATGGGCAGCATGGGAGAAATCTAACATGTTGTCGATATCATCTTGATAATGTGTCAGTTAGTGCATGCACTTATATGCACATACCCACAGACCACTACCAACCACCCATGAAGTGCAAATTCTTATTTTTATCTTTATCTGTAACAGAGGTAAATGAATCTTTTGAATGCCATATAGGTAGAAATGACAGTGTTAAAACCTGAATTCAATTCTCTTTAACCCTAAATTCTGGGGTTTTAACCCCTAGATATACTGCCCTTAAGAAACTTCCAAACAGAATCTAGACCATTAGACCAAGTCCAAAAACTGCCCATGACAGAGTTCAGTAAAATCTGTAATTACTGAGCACACAAAGGGTAGTATAGGAAATGGAAGCAGGAGAAATTAGATTATTATCTTTATTTCTTATCAAGGAAGAGAAAACCATATAGAATCAATGAGCGTATTCTGTTGCATTTAGATCTGATATTGAACTAGGCAGGTGGGCAATGATAAGAACCACACTGGACTTGCTAATTAGCTTGTCCTGACAGAAATTAAGCAGCAAGTAAGGAATTTCTCCGAATTTTTTTTTCATTTGTAAAGTGAAGGGATCAGACCATCTCTGAGATATCCTCCAGCTATTACATTCTCACATTAGCACGGCTTGTATTTTCAGCTGCCCTGATTCTCCTCCTTGAAACTTGGGGCAGGTTGTTCTGGCAAAAACAGAAAACACACATTAAAAAATACCTTTGATGACCAGCAGAGGGCAGGGTGAGTTGGGTGTGGAATTTAGAGGAGGGCTCCAGGGGCAGTTTCTAGAAGGTTTGTAGTCCTGGTCCAAACGGTGGCTCACGCCTGTAATCCCAGCACTTAGGGAGGTCGAGGTGGGTGGATCACGAGGTTAAGAGATCGAGACAATCCTGGCCAACATGGTGAAACCCCGTATCTACTAAAAATACAAAAATTAGCTGAGTGTGGTGGTGGGAGCCTATAATCCCAGCTACTTGGGAGGCTGAGGCAGCAGAATTGCTTGAACCCGGGAGGCGGAGGTTGCAGTGAGCCGAGATCACACCACTGCACTCCAGCCTGACGACAGGCTCAAAATAAAAAAAAAAAAAGAATATTTGTAGTCCTCTGGGTTCTGCACTTGGTCTGTGCACTTCCTGCCTGCCCGTTCTTTCACTAAGTCCAGAAATGCGGTAAGATAGGGAAGAGCTTCTGCCATAGACAGCACTGATGCTGTCGTCCATAGAAAACAACTTCCTTCCTTTCTGTCCCCACTCCTCCCCTCCCACAACCCCCAACACCCATATTCACATGTACACCCTTAATTTCCTTACTCATCTGGGTCAAGGTGAGAGAAGAGAGTTGAGAGCTCTTCCCACGTGCACTGTAGTCACTGCCTAGACCATAAGCTCTGTGAGACACACTGCTGTGTTCCCTGCTCTGTCTCTAGCACCTAGAACCATGCCGGGCACATAGAAGGCACTGATATATATTTGTCACTGACTTTGTTTCCATTCTAAGGGGCTCCACCCTGAGCAGACTGTAAGCACTATACGGGCAAGAGGATCCCCATGGTCACAAATCTTTGGATTTTCATCATTTGGTAAAATGAGACACACTGGCACCAAGTAGATATTTGGGGAAAGCTAAAACTGATCAAAGTGCAATTGAATATGCAGAACAAGATAAGAGTCAAAGATGGCTCAGACAAGAAAATATTCCAGAATTATTTTTAAAAATAGTATACAGCTCAGCATATACTCTTGAAGCTGACTGTGATCTGCAATCCTTTCATCATTAGTTTATTTTTTAATAATGAGAAGTAGCAGACTTCACTAAAAATCACACATCTTTGTTTAGTATTTTTATGGGAGTACACGATTGTCAGGCCCTCTGCCCCTGTTTCCATCAGTGTCCCCAGGAGCCCACACTATGCAGATCCTCTTTCTTCTCCATACATTATGCAAATACCCTAAACAGGCCCCATCTCAGAGCCTCCACTCTGTCTCCTGGAACTTTCAGCCTATCATCAGCAAGATCCCTCACAACCCGACCCCTCTGACTATTCCTGAAACTTCTTGCCTTAACTGCTCTGCCAGGAGGACCCTGCTTCTCACGGTTACTCTCAGATCACTGCCTTCCCCCCTGCTCCCTAAAAGCTTCCTGCGTTGATGTTCATGCCGTCAGACTGTAGAACAGTCTCAAAACAAAGCGACCTCTCTTGAACTCACATTTTCCTCCAGCTACCACTCGATCTGCTTCTCCCCCTGCCTTTTCTGCAATATTCACTCAAAAGAGTTTTCCGGACTTGCTGTTTCCAGTTCCTGTCCTGTTACTCTTACACCTGCTCTATTAGGCGTTCTTCCCCACAATGATATGTTAACAGCTCTTTTCAAGATCACCAGTGACCTCCACTTACATGACAGTTCTCCAGCCTCATCTTTATTGAGCTCAGCAGCACTGGGCACAGGTACACCCCACCCCTTCCTGAACATCTCCACACTGAGTTTCAGAGCACTCCCTCCGGGTTTCCGGGGACCTCCCTGGCCATCCTCTCAGGCCCCTTCTGTTGACCCTCATCTCCCTAACCTCAAAATGTTAGAGTGCCCAGGACTCTATCCAAGGACCCCTCTTTTCTAAGTCACATCTGTACACATTGACAGCTGATCACATAATTCTTAGGGGCCCGTGTAAAATGAAAAGGTGGGCCCCTTGTTCAAAAATTAAGACTTTCAAGACAGCAACACTGGGCAGAACATCCAAGCAAGTGCTGACTCTTGTAAGAGCCAGACTCTGAGCAGCTGCAGGGCATACACTCTTGGAGCCGGTCCTGCCGACGACTCTTGAATCTCTATGTCTGGCCTTGCACACTCCCCGGAGCCCCAGACTCATAAATCCAGCTCTCTACTAATCATCTCCTCTTGGATCTATGGTAGGCATTTCAGACCAAATTCTTCACACCCTCCCTTACCGCAAAAGAGAACCCTGGTCCTCCGCAGTTTCCCCATCTCAGCAAGGGGTGCATTCTTCCGGTGTCTCAGACCAAAACCCTTGGGGGCATCTTTGATTCTTTTCTTGTACTGAAGCCCCACATCCAAATCATAAGCAAATGCCTTTGGCCCCACCTGCAAAGGTACAGAGGGTGTCCCCAGGTCTCCTCAGGCTGCCTCCACCTTGGGAAATTCTCACACCTGTATGACTGCGCCCTCCCACTGTCTCTCTGCCACAGCTCTTCCCTGCTATTTAGTCTTGACCCTGCACCCCGTGACCCCTTCAGGCTGGGATTCTCCTCAAAATGAATGTGAAAGTGTCCTGACTTTACCCAAGTTTAACAAACATTGGCTTAAATTACCTGATAAGCTTGCTTCCCTCTCACGTTACTCAACTACAGAAATACAAAAGTCGCTTATTTTTATGTGCCTATTTTCTCAAAACAAATAAAAAAGCACGAAGACAAGTGACCCCAGCTCCAAACTGTACACCCTCTACCTTCCTCATGTCAAAGATCTACCTGCAAACTTGCCGCAGTCCTGAAACGGTAAGAAATCATTTTTGGGGCTCCTCTTTACGTCTGCATTAACTAATGGTCTAGGTAACCCTATCAAGTGTCATAGCCACATAACATCCAGCTCCACGACATCATAGTTTCTAAATGTGTTCTATAATCATAGAACGCGGGCCTCTAACAGTGTGAGTGGTCGGGTATGGTACATGCGTGTTTGGCTTTAGGTTTCGAGTTCCAACACCCAGGCGCCTGCAGGCAGGGTATGTGTACGCGTGCGTGTGTACGTGTGTGTGTACCTGTGTGTGTGTGTGCGCGCGCGTGTGCGTGTGTGTGTTCGTCTCCAGATGGTTGTATGCACGGATGGTTATGAGCCAGTACGTCGCCGCTGTGAGCGCGCGAGGACCCGGGGCTCCAAGTGGTGAGAATCACTCGAGGGACCCTTCGGATGCCTTTTTCCCCCTCTGCTTTTGAGCTCTGCAGCACAGCGGTGCCGGCCGCCGGCAGGGAAGGCTGCATCTTCTCTGCGCCGCCAAACCGTGCCCACCATCGCGGTGACTGCCGCCTAGGTCGCATCCCTGAGCCGCATCCGCGCGTAGGGGCGCACGGGCACGCGCACAGGGAGGCCGCACACACACACACACATCTGTACAGGGACGAGCCGGGGGTCTCTGACGCCCGCCGCTCACCTCGCCCCGGCCTGGAGCCTTTTGGCCCCGCAGGTGCAGCGACGCCCAGCCCCCGTGCGGCCAGCGCGCCGCGTCGGCGGATCCTGCAGCCCAGAGAGCCCAGGGAGCCCAGGGAGGGGAGCGGGGCGCGGGCGGGGCAGTGTCGCATAACCGCAGGCGCGCCCCGCGCCGCCCCCGCCCCGGGCCCACCCTCCCTCGCCGCGCCCCTCCCAGCTCACCCACGGACGAGCGGATCCTCGACCTCCGCGGCAGGGACATCTTAAGAGCTTTGTCCAGGCCTGCGCCGTTCAGCATCTCGCCCGTGTCGGGGGCTCGGCGGCCCCGGGCGAGAGACGGAGGCTACGCGCAGGGCTGGGCGCAGGGGCCGCCGCCCGAGGACCATGGGTGGGCCAGCGCCTCGCCGGGCTGCTAGCTGGCGGGGACCGCCGGCGCCTGTGCCGGGCCGCGCCCGAGGCTGCGCCGTCCGTGCCGCAGCGGCCAATGCGGCAGCATCCGCGAACGCCACCGCGGCGGGCCCCGCTGGCCCGGGCTGCGGCGTGGGGGCGGGGGACCGGCCCTGAGCGGAGCCCCGCGGGAGGAGGAGCGGACGGGAGGCTGGGAGGGATCCGCAATATTACGCAGGACCGGGGCTTTTAGGTGTCGGGGAAGGCGATGGGGAGGGCTTGGTGGGGTGGGAGATTGGGCCTGTACTTTCGGGGGCTCTTCCAGGAGAGGGGTGCACCTGGGGGACTCGGAGTCTCTGCCTGTCTGCTACCTATTTACCTGCCTGTCACTTGTCCTGTGCAAGTGGAGGCGCTGTGATTCCCCAGGACTCATCCAGTCCCTTTCTTTTCGCAGTTTCTGTTCTTCCGTGCCCAGCCTGGTGGGATCTGTGTAGGGACTTCGTGGAAGGGTTATTTCCAAGGTGTCTGATGTGTGGCTTGGCACTCAGAGAAGTCGGGGGTCTCCAGCCCCCCACTCTCCACAACCTGCCTGACATTCTAACTACGCATATTAAAGCTGCAGGTAGCCCTAGGGAACCTTAACAGCAACCTTCTCAACCCCCGCACGCACACACACACACACACACACCCATCGACACACACACACACACACACAGACCCATCGACACACACACACACACACCCATCGACACACACACACACACACCTTCTTTCATAAAACAAAACCATCGAGAGGTAAGATGACTTGTCCAAGGTCACTTGATCTATTTTTTGTTTTTTCTTATCGCGTAATGTTTAGACTGTGCTTGGTCTTTCTGGGCACAATCCCATGAAGATAAGAAGCTATCTTTATTGTGCCTGATGACATTCTGACCTCGGAGTAAAAACGGAACAAAACAAAAATAAAACTGTTCAGGTGAAAGTCTGACCTTGCTTTTACTGATGCGAGCATTACATTTCTTTTAACCTAAATTAACATTAGGGACTGACAAGGAGTAGTACAGAGTTCAGCAAAAAGAATCTGTGCTAGCAAAGACAGCAGTGCGGCCTGAGCTCCTCCTGCCTGGCCTCTGCATCTGATTTTATTTTCTTTTACTTTTTTTTTTTCTTTGACAGAGTTTTGCTCTTGTTGCCCAGGCTGGAGTGCAATGGCGCTATCTCGGCCCACTGCAACCTCCGTCGCCCGGGTTCAAGTGATTCTTGTGTCTCAGCCTCCCGAGTAGCTGGGATTACAGGCGCCCACCACCACGCCCAGCTAATTTTTGTATTTTTAGTAGAGACGGGGTTTCACTAAGTTGGCCAAGCTGGTCTCGAACTCCTGACCTCAGGCGATCCACCTGCCTCGGCCTCCCAAAGTGCTGGGATTACAAGCGTGAGCCACCACCCCCGGCCTCTGCTTCTAATTTTCTTAAGAACAAACATCCAGGCCGCGCGTGGTGGCTCACGCCTGTAATCCCAGCACTTTGGGAGGCAAAGGCGGTCAGATCATGAGGTCAGGAGATGGAGACCATCCTGGCTACCGCGGTGAAACCCCGTCTCTACTAAAAATACAAAAAAAAAATCGCCGGGTGTGGTGGCAGGTGCCTGTAGTCCCAGCTACTCGGGAGGCTGAGGCAGGAGAATCGCTTGAACCCAGGAGGTGGAGGTTGCAGTGAGCGGAAATCATGTCACTGCACTCCAGCCTGGGTGCCAGAGTAAGACTCCACCAAAAACAAAACAAGACAAAACAAAAAACAACATCCAAAGGGACAGGCAACTTACACTGAAAACTGCAGGCTGGCAAGAATCTACACTAAATGTAGCTTCAGGTAGGATTCTTTACCTGTCTCTTCTGGGCCCTCAAAAAATTTTTCTGATAAGAAATGAATCTTTATCAGGAAGATGAATCAAAATAAAATTTTCTAAATTGTTGAGCTAAGCTTCAGAGTGGGAGAGGTTTTCTCAGTGGATCTTCATTGCTGCTGAGGATAAATCTTAAAGCTGGGGCTAATCCTAGGACTGGATTTGTCAAAAACTTGTCACTATGCTTCAGTAAATCTTCTGTCTATGATAACACCTTGAGGACCTAACCAGAATTGAAAGGAACTTAAAAGGAAAATGTGGTTTTTTTCAATCCCCAAACTTCAAGATAAATAGAAAACATTTTGGGTTTTTTTGCTCTGACTTAGGTGGGAATAGAAAGAGTAGATAAAGGTTATTTTTAATTTTTAAGAAGCAGAGTATGTTATATATAGAATATTTGCCTTGATCACTGAAGAGTGACCAAATGTCCCACCCTGACTTTGTGCAGCCCCATCATGAAACAGAGTTGTTGCTGCTCTTTCTATGTTTATCTTCCAATAACCAAACTGCCCTGACAGCTTTGTAGGTGTGTGAAATATACCTCAGTTGGTGCACCTTGAAGATCACAGCATAGACTGCAAGGAGCAGTAGGTGAATATTTCACAGCAACTTGTGTTGTCTCTTTGATGTCTTGGTTAATTCCCCTGATCTGACTGCCTCTTGGAATGTTGGGGAGATCAGTAGGTTGGCATTGGCCAGAGTCAGACCTAAATCCCATCTCTGAGGTCTTCAAGGGAAATATATGCACAAAGGACAAAAGCTAGCAAATGGACAGTATTTATTATTATGCTTAGAATCCAGTGCCGATGTGGATCACCCTGTGACCCAGGCTTGGCTTGGAGACATCCTTTCACCCTTGCCAGAGGCAGCCTAGGTTAGAACCAAAGGAGATAAAGAAGCCTGTGAGGAGAAACAGCAAACGCAAAAGGCACCGCAACCAGGACAGTCAGGGAAATGTGCTCTGTCTGTGAAAGCAAGAACTCCTCAACAAAGAGAGTTTGCCTCAATTCTTAGAGCCACGACCCTACGCGTTCACAAGACAGGTAGAAAGGCAGCCTGCAGCCCCCAGTAGGAGCCACACCAAGTCCCTAGCACTGTGGGTCGATGAGTGTCATTGAACTTAACTAAGCCAGAGCAGCCCTTTCCTCCTGGAGGAGGAAGTGAAGGGAAAGGGAGAATTCTTTTTCTTTCCCTGAAAGGCAGCTGTCGTCATCCTCTCATTATTCTGTGTGCCCCTCTCCTTATGCAATAAGTTGAGCCAAGACAGACTGATCTCCCAGGAGAGGATCCGACCCTCCAGTGCTGTGACGGCACAGAGGCTGCCTCTCCCTTTCCCGGTGATTCCCAAGGAAGGAGAGGCCAGATCGCTTCTCTTGGCAGCCCACTCCAGTGTTCAAGAACTAGTGTTTTGAAGCAGTTTGTCCTCTGAACATCTTAAATTTCTACTATTTTAACTTAAGCCTATCCTTCCTTTTTAGTCTTCATGGTCCTAGAAAACAGTCAGTTGGCATCCTTCTCAAGAAGTTCTTTTATACAAACGAAGACTTCAAGCCATCTCTTAAGCCCTTCTTTTCCTCAAACTAAAAAAGCCCCATTTCCTTTTTAAAATGCTTATGTGTGCGTCTTTACCTTTTATATCTGTATACATATATGTATATATGTGTAAACATTTTATCACTTTTTTATTTGAGACAGAGTCTCACCCTTTTGCCCAGGATGGAGTATACTGGTGTGAACATGGCTAACTGAAGCCTCAACCTCCTAGGCTCAAGCAATTCTCCTCCATTAGCCTCCCAAATAGCTGGGACCACAGGCACGTGCCACCACACCCAGCTACTTTTTGTATTTTTTGTAGAGACAGGATTTCACCATGTTGCCCAGGCTGGTCTCAAATTCCTGAACTCAAACCATCCTCCTGCCTCACCTTCCCCAAGTGCTGGGATTACAGACATGAGCCACCGCATCTGTCTACATAAACACTTTAAAAAGAAAATGGCATATAAGTAGCATGTTAAAAATTATACGTAAGCATGTACCAATCATCCTTGTACCTGTTCTCCTGTTTAGGAAACAAAGCAGTATAGGCCTGTTGAAAGCCATTTGTGTACTCACCCCTAATCCCTTTCCTTTCCCTCTGTCCGCAGACCAGTATCTTCATAGGATCTCTTTCCTCTCTCTTGATTATTATCTAAAAACTAACAACTAAAAGAGACACCCCGACAGCATTGGGCAAAGGATCCGGGAAGGGAGATGATTTAATGGAAATCTTTCTTCTTCGTCTTCTTTTTTTTTTGAGATGGAGTCTCGCTCTGTCACCCAGGCTGGAGTGCAGTGGCGCGATCTCAGCTCACTGCAATCTCCGCCTCCTGGGTTCAAGCAATTCTCCTGCCTCAGCCCCCTGAGTAGCTGGGACTACAGGCACGCGCCATCATGCCCGGCTAATTTTTGTATTTTTAGCAGAGACAGGGTTTCACCATGTTGGCCAGGATGGTCTCAATCTCTTGACCTCGTGATCCACCCACCTCGGACTCCCAAAGTGCTGGGATTACAGGCATGAGCCACTGTGCCCGGCCAGAAATCTTTATTCTTTTATGAGGTTCTTATTAGGCATTCTGTAAATGCATTTTGATGACTCTTAACTCTTCTCATAATTCTTCTCATTTTACACATTGTTTTTAGAGAGCAATGTCCCAAACGAGACTTGGAAGAACTATTTAGAACTCTGAATCTCTGTCTTCCTAACAACAAATGAGGCAGTTGCCCCAGACCCCCTCCCCCAAAATTATTTCACTAATTCATTAACATCATGTCTGGCATTTGATGCTGGCTGACAGCTGGAACCTTAGCTGGGGCTGTCAGGTGGTCACCTGGTATACCTACCTGTGGCCTTTCTGCCTGGACTGCCTCACATCCCAAGGGTGGACATCCCAAGAGACAGTGCCAGGCAGAAGCTGTATCACATAGTCTAACCTAGCCTTGGAAATCACGCAGCATCGCCCCCACCACCTGTTTGTTAAGGCCGTCACAAAGGCCTGGTCAGGCCAAGGGGAAAGGAAATAGACTCCATCTCTTGATGGGACAATGACAAGATTCTGGAAGAATGTGAGAGCTGGAAACATTGTAGCCATTTCTAGAAATATGATTTATCAAAGCTGGCAAGGAGCATTTCAATTTTAATAAAGTTTGTTTATAATTGCACCATAATCACATACTATTTATGGAAAAATTAATGAAAGAGGTATAAGACCTCCACACTGAAAACAAGGCATTTGGATTCCCAAAGAACAACATTGAAGGACTTAATGCTACTTGATTTCAAGCCTTCCTATGATACCATTACCAATCAAACAGTGTGTTGTAGGCATATGAATAGACAAATAGATCATTGAAACAGAATAGAGTCCAAAAATAGATCCACACATGTACGGTTAACTAATTTTGACAAAGGCACTAAGGCCATTCAATAGAGAAAAGATAGCCTTTTCAATAAATGGTGCCGTAACAGTTTATACCCATGTAGGAAAAAAAAAAAAAGCTTTGATCCCTTAACCACACACCATAATTAACTAAAAATCAATCATAAACTTAAATGTAAAAAGCTAAGCACCTAAAGCTTCTAGAAGGAGGCCAGGCGAGGTGGCTCACGCCTGAAATCCCAGCACTTTGGGTGGCCAAGGCAGGTGGATCACCTGAGGTCAGAAGTTCAAAACCAGCCTGGCCAACACGGCAAAACCCCGTCTCTATTAAAAATACAAAAATTAGCCAGGTGTGATGGCAGGCACCTGTAATCCCAGTTACTCGGGAGGCTGAAACAAGAGAATCACTTGAAACCAGGAGGCAGAGGTTACAGTGAGCCAAGATGGCACCACTGCACTCCAGCCTGGGCGACAGAGCAAGACTCCGTCTCAAAAATAATAAAAAAAAAGGAACAAGTGCTAAATCATAAAATAAGCCTCAAAAACATTAAAGTAATATTTGAAACATATTCTAGAACAATTTAACTAAGTTAGAAATCAGTAACAAGCGCGGCCGCGCGACCTCATCGAGGGGAGAGGCAGCCGCCGGGATGGAAGTGTTCCTCACCATCCGGCGCCACAAGACCAGCATCTTCACGGACGCCAAGGAGTCCAGCGCGGTGTTCGAGCTGAAGCGCATCGTTGAGGCCATCCTCAAGCTGCTGCCAGATGAGCAGTGGCTGTGCTAGGACGACCAACTCTTGGATGATGGCAAGACACTGGGTGAGTGTGGCTTCACCAGCCAAACAGCACGGCCACAGGCCCCAGCCACAGTGGGGCTCGCCTTCCGCGCAGACGACAGCTTTGAGACCCTGTGCATCGAGCCGTTTTCCAGCCCGCCTGAGCTGCCCGACGTGATGAAGCCCCAGGACTCGGGAAGCAGTGCCAATGAACAAGCCGTGCAGTGAGGACGCCCGAGTTCCCCCCAATAGAAGAGATTTGGGGGGGAAAGAAACCAATAACAAAATAAATACATGTATTTTAAAGAACACGGTTGGGAAATAACTCTAAATAACCCCTTCTAAATAACTCATGAATCAAAAAAATCAGGCTAAAAATTAAGAAATACTTAGAAGTAAGCATTTATAAATATAAGATATCAAACTTGTGGCCTAATGCTCAATTGATACAAGGAGGTAAATTTTAAAACCTCATCTTTATATTAGAAAAAAAGAAATTTAATACAATTATTAGCTAAATGTGCATTCTTAGAAATTAGAAAAAGGGCAATAGATTAAACCCAAAGCAGACAGAAGATACTAAATATGAGAACAGAAATCAATGAAATAGGAAGAAAAGACACAATACAGAGAATCAACAAGGTCTAAAGTTTACTATTTGAAAAGACTAATAGAATAGATAAAACGCTGGTGGGACCTGGGGAGAGAGAATGAAAGAAGGTAGCTTATAAAAAAGGAAATACATTATGACCAATTTGGGCTTGTCCTAAGAATGCAAGGGTAGTTTAACAGAAAATAAATTCATGCAATTTACCACGTTAATGGATTAAAGGAGAAACTTATCTCAATGGTTTGCTTGAGAAGCAAGAAAGACACAACATTTTCATGTTTAAAAAAAAATGTATTTGGCAAACTAGGAATACAAGAAAACTGCCTCAACTACATAAAGAGAATATTTAAAAATATAACTCTTACTGGCCAGGCGTGGTGGCTCACGCCTGTAATCCCAGCACTTTAGGAGGCTGAGGCAGGCGGATCACGAGATCAGGAGTTCAAGACCATCCTGGCCAACATGGCGAAACCCCGTCTCTACTAAAATACAAAAAAAAAAAATTAGCCAGGCATGGTGGCGCGCGCCTGTAGTCCCAGCTGCTCCAGAGGCTGAGGTGGGAGAATCACTTCTGGAAGGGAGAGGTTTCAGTGAGTTGAGATGATGCCACTGCACCCCAGCCTGGCAACACAGCAAGACTCTATCTCAACAATAACAACAACAAATATATTTATATATATATATATATATATATGTATATATATGTGTGTGTGTGTGTGTGTGTGTGTGTGTATATATATATATATATATATATATAAAACCCTTATTAGTGACATTCTGAGAGTATTTCCTGTAAGATCAGGAAAATGACAAGGACATGGGCTATTATTACCACTTCTATTCAACATTGTACCAAAGCACTCAGCCAGGAAAGTAAGAGGATAAAACCAAATAAAAGACAAAAGGTTGAGAAAGGAAGAAACAAAACTGTTTTTTTTTTTTTTTGAGACAGAGTTTTGCTCTTATTGCCCAGGCTGGAGTGCAATGGCACAATCTCAGCTCACCACAACCTCCGCCTCCTGGGTTCAGGCAATGCTCCCGCCTCAGTCCCTCAAGTAGCTGGGATTACAGGTGCACACCGCCACGCCCAGCTAATTTTTGTATTTTTAGTAGAGATGGGGTTTCACCATGTTGGTTAGGCTGGTCTCAAACTCCTGACCTCGTGATCTGCCCGCCTCAGCCTCCCAAAGTGCTGGGATTACAGGCATGAGCCACCATGCCAGGCCCAAAACTGGTTATTTTCAAGTGATATAATTGTCAAAGGACAAATCTATAAAACATATAGAGATAAATTATTAGAATTAATAAGGGTTTAGCAAAATTACTGAATACAAATTCTGAAATTATGTTTCTATTCAATTTTTTTGTTTTTTGTTTTAACTTTTTTATTTTATTTTATTTTATTTTATTTTATTGTTTGTTTTATTGTACTTCAAGTTAAGGGTACATGTGCACAACGTGCAGGTTTGTTACATATGTATACATGTGCCATGTTGGTGCACTGCACCCATTAACTCGTCATTTACATTAGGTATATCTCCTAATGCTATCCCTCCCCCTTCACCCCATCCCACGACAGGCCATGGTGTGTGATGTTCCCCGCCCTGTGTCCAAGTGTTCTCATTGTTCAATTCCCACCTATGAGTGAGAACATGCGGTGTTTGGTTTTTTGACCTAGTGATAGTTTGCTGAGAATGCTGATTTCCAGCTTCATCCATGTCCCTACAAAGGACATGAACTCATCTTTTTTATGGCTGCATAGTATTCCATGGTGTATATGTGCCACATTTTCTTAATCCAGTCTATCATTGTTGGACATTTGGGTTGGTTCCAAGTCTTGGCTATTGTGAATAGTACTGCAATAAACATATGTGTGCATGTGTCTTTATAGCAGCATGATATACAATCCTTTGGGTATATACCCAGTAATGGGATGGCGGGGTCAAACGGTATTTCTAGTTCTAGATCCTTGAGGAACCACCACACTGACTTCCACAATGGTTGTACTAGTTTACAGTCCCACCAACAGTGTAAAAGCGTTCCTGTTTCTCCACATCCTCTCCAGCACCTGTTGTTTCCTGACTTTTTAATGATCGCCATTCTAACTGGTGTGAGATGGTATCTCATTGTGGTTTTGATTTGCCTTTCTCTGATGGCCAGTGATGATGAGCATTTTTTCATGTGTCTGTTGGCTGCATAAATGTCTTCTTTTGAGAAGTGTGTGTTCATATCCTTTGCCCACTTTTTGATGGGGTTGTTTGAGTTTTTCTTATAAATTTGTTTAAGTTCTTTGTAGATTCTGGGTATTAGCCCTTTGTCAGATGGGTAGATTGCAAAAATTTTCTCCCATTCTGTAGGTTGCCTGTTCACTCTGATGATAGTTTCTTTTGCTGTGCAGAAGCTCTTTAGTTTAATTAGATCCCATTTGTCAATTTTGGCTTTTGTTGCCTTTGCTTTTGATGTTTTAGACATGAAGTCCTTGCCCATGCCTATGTCCTGAATGGTAATGCCTATGTTTTCTTCTAGGGTTTTTATGATTTTAGGTCTAACATTTAAGTCTTTAATCCATCTTGAATTAATTTTTGTGTAAGGTGTAAGGAAGGAATCCAGTTTCAGCTTTCTACATATGGCTAGCCTGTTGTCCCAGCAGCGTTTATTAAATAGGGAATCTTTTCCCCATTTCTTGTTTTTGTCAGGTTTGTCAAAGATCAGATGGTTGTATAAGTGTGGTATTATTTCTGAGGGCTCTGTTCTGTTCCATTGGTCTATATCTCTATTTTGGTACCAGTACCATGCTGTTTTGGTTACTGTAGCCTTGTAGTATAGTTTGAAGTCAGGTAGCATGATGCCTCCAGCTTTGTTCTTTTGGCTTAGGATTGTCTTGGCAATGTGGGCTCTTTTTTGGTTCCATATGAACTTTAAAGTAGTTTTTTCCAATTCTGTGAAGAAAGTCATTGGTAGCTTGATGGGGATGGCATTGAATCTATAAATTACCTTGGGCAATATGGCTATTTTCATATTGATTCTTCCTATCCATGAGCATGGAATGTTCTTCCATTTATTTATATCCTCTTTTATTTCATTGAGCAGTGGTTTGTAGTTCCCCTTGAAGAGGTCCTTCACATCCCTTGTAAGTTGGATTCCTAGGTATTTTATTCTCTTTGAAGCAATTGCGAATGGGAGTTCACTCATGATTTGGCTCTCTGTTTGTCTGTTATTGGTGTATAGGAACGCTTGTGGTTTTTGCACATTGATTTTGTATCCTGAGACTTTGCTGAAGTTGCTTATCAGCTTAAGGAGATTTTGGGCTGAGATGATGGGGTTTTCTAAATATACAATAATGTCATCTGCAAACAGGGACAATTTGACTTCCTCTTTTCCTAATTGAATACCCTTTATTTCTTTCTCCTGCCTGATTGCCCTGGCCAGAACTTCCAACACTATGTTGAATAGGAGTGGTGAGAGAGGGCATCCCTGTCTTGTGCCAATTTTCAAGGGCAATGCTTCCAGTTTTTGTCCATTCAGTATGATATCGGCTGTGGCTTTGTCATAAATAGCTCTTATTATTTTGAGATACGTCCTATCAATGCCTAATTTATTGAAAGTTTTTATCATGAAGGGCTGTTGAATTTCGTCAAAGGCCTTTCCTGCATCTATTGAGAGAATCATGTTGTTTTTGTCATTGATTCTGTTTATATGATGGATTACATTTATTGATTTGCATATGTTGAACCAGCCTTGCGTCCCAGGGATGAAGCCCACTTGATCGTGGTAGATAAGCTTTTTGATGTGCTGCTGGATTTGGTTTGCCAGTATTTTATTGAGGATTTTTGCATTGATGTTCATCAGGGATATTGGTCTAAAATTCTCTTTTTTTGTTGTGTCTCTGCCAGGCTTTGGTATCAGGATGATGATGCTGGCCTCACAAAATGAGTTAGGGAGGGTTCCCTCTTTTTCTATTGACTGGAATAAGTTCCCAAAATGCTCTTTGGAAAAACGACAGGTCATTCAGATCCCACTGTAACTTGTGTTTCTTTCTCCCAGACATGGCATCACCCTTTGCAAAATAAACCTCTAATCAATTGAGATCTGCCTCAGTCACTTTTTGGATTACATAATGAAATGGAAAACTAGTGGGAATTTCCATGTACTTAAAAAGCAAATTCTCAATTTTGTAAAGCAAAGCCAAAGGCCAAGAATAGACAAGACACTCTTAAAATGAACAGAGTAGAAGAACTTAACCTACTAGATTCGTTATAAAGTTAGAGAAGTTGGTAATTAAGACTCTATAGTAATTAAGTGTGGTTTCAATGCTGAGAGAAACAGACCAATAGAGCAGAATAGACAGAAAAGGATGCACACATACATGAAACTTGGTCTATAACACAGGTCATACTTAGAGCAGTATGGAAAAAACAGATTTTTCAACAAATAGTGTTCAGTTTCCATGTGAAAAAAAAATAAAATTGGCCTGGCACAGTGGCTGGCACCTGTAATCCCAGCACTTTGGGAGACCAAGGTGGGTGGGTCACTTGAGGTCAGGAGTTCAAGACCAGCCTGACTAACATGGTGAAACCCCATCTCTACTAAAAATACAAAATCAGCCAGGCTTGGTGGCCCACGCCTGTATGCCCAGCAACTTGGGAGGCTGAGGCAGGAGAATCGCTCGAACCCAGGAGGCAGAGGTTGCAGTGAGCCGAGATCGTGCAATTGCACTCCAGCCTGGGCAACAAGAGTGAAACTCTGTCTCAAAAAATAAATAAATAAATAAATAAATAAATAAATAAATAAATAAAAATGAAACCAGATTTCTCACATCATACACATGAGTCAGTTTCCAACTGAGTCAATTTCAGTTGGAAAGAGTAAAACTATCATAGTGTAATATGGAAAATAACTTTTGTTTCGCTCCCCATCTCCCAAGAATTGGGTTGTTTATTTTCTTTCTTTTTTCTTTTTTGAGAATAATACCTTTATAACTTCTAAGTAAAGAAAGATTTTTTTAAATAAACAAACATAACACAAGCCATAAAGCAAAAAATGAGGAAGTTCAACAGCATTAAAACTAAGAATTTCTGCTCATCAAAAGACATGAAAGATAGAAAAAACAAGCCA
Source organism: Homo sapiens (assembly GCF_000001405.40). Lineage (NCBI taxonomy): Eukaryota > Metazoa > Chordata > Mammalia > Primates > Hominidae > Homo > Homo sapiens. Next base: position 25,360,301 of record NC_000013.11, on the reverse strand, counting down.
TGAACTGGGATTAAATATGCATAAGATAGTTAACCAACAAAGGATGAACAGCTGACATTTTTGAGTTAATAAGAAAAAGATAATGCAATAAAAAAACGGGCAAAACATATCACAGATATTTAACAGAAAAGAAACGTGAACAGGTCCATAAGCATATGAAAATATTCTCAAGCTGTAGCAGGACAAGCCTCAGACAAAACCCTTCAGACACTGAGTTAAAGAAGGAAGGGCTTTATTCAGCCAGGAGCTTCTGCAAGACTCATGTCTCCAACAACGGAGCTCCCTGAGTGAGCAATTCCTGTCCCTTTTAAGGGCTCACAACTCTAAGGGGGTCCGCATGAGAGGGTCATGATCAATTGAGCAAGCAAGGGGTTCGTGACTGGGGGCTGCGTGCACTGGTAATTAGATTGCAGCAGAACAGGACAGGGATTTTCACAGTGCTTTTCTGTACAATGTCTATAATCTATAGATAACATAACCGATTAGGTCAGGGGTCGATCTTTAACTACCAGGCCCAGGGCATGGAGCCAGGCTGTCTGCTTGTGGATTTCATTTCTGCCTTTTAGTTTTTACTTCTTCTTTCTTTGGAGGCAGAAATTGGGCATAAGACAATATGAGGGGTGGTCTCCTTCCTTAAACCTTATTAGTCATTTAGGAGCTAAAAATTTAAACCACTGGGAGATTCCATTTAATACCAATTAGAAAAAATAAAGGAATTTCTCTTCACTAAGGCTAGTAGAGATGTAGAACAGGGCTTCTCAAACGCTGCAGGTGGGAGCGTAAATTCACAACGTAAAAGACTTTGAACATTTGCATACTCACATATTCTGGAGGAGTGTCTGTAAACCTTTTGACCATTCACCATAATAAGAAACACATTTTATATCCCAACCCAGTGTGCCAACATGCTTACAAGTAAAATCAGTTTAACAAAACAATACTTGCCCTTACTGTATGTGATATGCTCTGATATTTTATATTTTTTCATATAACAGTCTTCATGTCTTTTGTACCAGTCCTACATAAATTTATAGAGTCAATTCTGGCAGTTTAGACTCTTTACCTTGGGCCTTCATTAACAGATTTTTCTGGGGTGAAGTAGGATGAACCCTGTTGTTTCTGTTTTTTCGCTTTCGTTTTTTTTCCCCATTGTTTCTCTTCACGTTCCTGGAAGTTATCTCAGTTAATTACAGGACTTAATATACTTAAATTGCACATTAATTCTCCCGACAAATACCTTCTTTGATCCAACAATTTCCCCCGCATGGTATTTCACATTTTAGATTCTTTCCAGTTTTGCTGTGATAACATTTGTGGGATCTTCCTCTGAGAATAGTATGCATTCCCTTCATGTCTGCAATATCAACCTTCTGGGAGATTCCTACGCATGCAGTAAAAGGAACAGCTATGCCAGGCGCAGTGGCTCACGCCTGTAATCCCAGCACTTTGGGAGGCTGAGGCAGGTGGATCACCTGAAGTCACGAGTTCGAGACCAGCCTGGCCAACATGGTGAAGCCCTATCTCTACCAAAAATATAAAAATTAGCTCGGCTTGGTGGCTCATGCCTGTAATCCCAGATACTCAGGAAGCTGAAGCAGGAGAATCACTTGAACCCGGGAGGAGGAGGTTTTGGTGAGCTGAGATCACTCCATTGCACTCCAACCTGGGCAACAAGAGCAAAACTCCATCTAAAAAACAAACAAAAAATGTGGCTAGTGTGACTGAGGAAATGAAATTTTCATTTGATTTACTTTTCATTAATCTAAATTCAAATAGCCACCCAAGGCCAGTGGCTATTGTTTTGGAAAACACAGCTCTGGACATTGTCATGATCAGTAACTGGAAAGCCTCTCTCCCAACCTCATTTTCAATCATTACACTCTACTAATCATCACGTTCTACTAACAGCTTCTATTTTTCCAGCACATTTTTTCTAATATCAAATCCAGTGATCCTTCCAACCCTATGAGACCTAAAACCCACTGATTCTACAACTAGTCCATTGTCCCTCGATTCTGCATTTTCCCCCCTCGCCCATTTTGAATGCCATCATCTCCCAAACACTTGTCCCTCACCAGCTTCATTGTTTCTGTTTGGCAAAAACTGAAACCTGATTTAATCTGAGTCTCTTCCATCTACATGCTGAAATCTTCACATCTCAATGTGGAGATGAAAAATGCCCAGCTCGGCCTGGCGCGGTGACTCACGTCTGTAATCCCAGCAGTTTGGGAGGCCGAGTGAGACAGGCGGATCACGAGGTCAGGAGATCGAGACCATCCTGGCTAACACGGTGAAACCCTGTCTCTACTAAAAATACAAAATTAGCTGGGCGTGGTGGTGGGCGCCTGTAGTCCCAGCTACTTGGGAAGCTGAGGCAGGAGAATGGCGTGAACCCGGGAGGTGGAGCTTGCAGTGAGCTGAGATCGCGCCACTGCACTCCAGCCTGGGCAACAGAATGAGACTCCATCTCAAAAAAAAAAAAAAAAAAAAAAGCCCAGCTCATTGAATTCATGACTGCCAACCTCAAGAGCATGTCTGGGCATTGCTTGGCAAGCTAACTTCTTCACTCTACTGCTGCGCCGGGGTAACTATTTTATATCTTCTCTCTCTTCAGACGTCCCTATCTCCACTTGCATCACCACTGTTAGCTTTCACAAGCTTCCACCCGCCCATCTCCCACCTTCTAGCGTCTGTGTCCATGAACTCTGCACTTTCTTTTGTTACTATGTCTCTGCTCTTACTTCAGTTTCGTCCCCCCCGCTTTTTTTTTTTTTTTTTTTTTGAGACAGAGTCTCACTCTGTCGCCCAGGCTGGAGTGCAGTGGCACAATCTTGGCTCACTGCAACCTCTGCCTCCTGGGTTCAAGCGATTCTCCTGCCTTAGCCTCCTGAATAGCTGGGATTACAGGTGTGTGCCACAGGTCTGGCTAATTTTGTATTTTTAGTAGAGACAGGGTTTCACCATGTTGGCCAGGCTGATCTCAAACTCCTGACCTCAAGTGATCCGCCCGCCTCGGCCTCCTAAAGTGCTGGTATTACAGGTGAGAGCCACCATGCCCAGCCTCTATTGACCTTTTGGCTGTCTCTCTTTGTATATTTATTGGTGGTGGTAATTGCTCTAGGCATTACAATATACATACTTAAACTTTCAAATCTATTTAGGGTTCATAAACCATTAAAACCTTGCAACCGTGGAGGTCCCTTTCCTCTCTGCCAAATACTCTTTATGTCAGGAGTTATCATAAGTATTATATCAACGTACCTTGAAAACCCTGCCTAACAATGTCATAATTTAGGTTTTAAATAGTCATATGTGTTTTAAAGAACTTAATAGGATCCAAATTTCCATCTTGTATCATTTTCTTTCAACCTCAAGAAACCCCTTTAGCATTTCTTATAGAGGTCTCCTAGAGACAAATGATTTGTTTTCCTTTATCTGACAATGTTTCTATTCATTTTCATTCCTAAAAGTATATTTTCACTAGATATAGAATCCTGGATTGACAGTTTTTTTCTTTTAGCACTTTAAAGATGTTGATCCACTGTCTTTCATGGTTTCTAATGTGAAATCCATGATTATTCAAATAGTTTTCCTTCACGTGCAATTGGTCATTTTTCTACAGTGAGTTAGAACTTTTCTTTATCTTTGGTCTTATACAGTTTGATTATGTCTGGGCATGATGTCTTTAAACTTGTTCTGCTTGGAGTTTGGTGATCCTTTTGAATCTGTACATGTATGCCTTTCACCAAATTTAGACAGTTTCTGGCTAGTATGTCTTTAAATGTTGTCTTTGGCCCACTCTTTAACTCTAACACTGGTGTTCTTATTACACAGATGTTAGATGTTTTGATATTATACCACAGGTCCCTAAAACTGTATTCATTCTTTCTTTCTTTTTTTTTCTGGAGACACAAAACTTGATTTAATAGAAATTTTGTTTGTAGTTCTTACATTTTCAGTGTGAGCCGATCTGTTACCCACTGCCCCACCCAGAAGTGGCCCAGTCCTGGGGGCAGGGGAGAAAGGGAGGGGTGAAATGAGAAGAGCCCCATTCTTCCTCAGTGCTGAGGAGCTGAAGATGCCACCCCCTTCTCCTGCCCCACTCTGGGCTCCAGGAAGGAGAGCAGATGGAATCTCAGGCCTGCAGCTTCTCCACACCACTGCCCCCCAGGTTGGAGGGGAGCTAAGAGATATGGTGAGAGAAGGGGACAGAAGCAAGAAAAGATGTTGATCAAGAAAAATGAGAACGGGGAGGGCTGAAGGAGAATCAAAGATATAACACCAGTAAAAAAATTTAAAAAAAAAAAAGGTGAGGGTAAGAGTTGGGGAGGGGAACAAAACCAAAAACCACCCCAAATCCGAACGAGCCTGGAAAAAAATGAAAGTTCTCGAGTATCATAGAGACATTATTTGGCGCGGCTGGCTCTGCAGTAGGAGCGCTCATATTCATTCTTTTCAACCATTTTTCTCTCAGTTCAGATTTGATCATTTTAATCGATCTTCAAGTTCACTGACTCTTCTATCATTTTCATTGTTATTGATTTCTACAGTAATTTTTATTTATTATTTATTTATTTATTTTGAGATGGAGTCTTGCTCTTGTCACCCAGCCTGGCGTGCAATGGCTTGATCTTGGCTTACTGCAACCTCCACCTCCCTGCTTCAAGCGATTCTCCTGCCTCAGCCTCCTGAGTAGCTGGGATTACGGGTGCCCGCTACCACACTCGGCTAATTTTTGTATTTTTAGTAGAGACGGGGTTTCACCATGTTGGCCAGGCTGGTCTCGAACTCCTGACCTCAGGTGATCCGCCTGCCTCGGTCTCCCAAGTGCTGGGATTACAGGTGTGAGCCACCGTGCCTGGCCTCTACAGTAAATTTTTATTACAGATACCATAGTTTTCAGTTCTAAGATATTCATTTGGTTCTTTATTGTAGTTTTTATTTCTCCACTGAGATTTCCTGGGTTGGTTTTGTGTGCATGTGTGTGTGTGGGGGCGGGGTTTGTTTTTTGGTTTTTTTTCCTCACTTCATTGAGCATCTCAGGGTTGTCTTTTGTCTTGGGGATGGGTCACATTTTTTTGGTTCTCTGTAGGTGGTAAATTTTGTACAATGTCCTGGGAACACTGTCCATGCTATGTCATATAAACTCTGGATTCTATTCTAATCCCTTAGAGAATGCTGATGTTTTGTTCTATCATACAATCACCCTGGTTAAATTCAGACCATAAGCTCTGTTTTGCCTTCAGTGATCCAAGCCTCAGTTCAGTTCTTTAAGCATTTGCTCACCTGGTTTGGGTCTGCCCTGCACATGCGTGGTTTGGGGTTAATCTGAGACTTACACAGATTATGGAATTCCCTTCTCTGGCTTTTTCCCCGTCTCAAGTGCCCCCTACCACACATACGCTCTCTCTAGTCTACAGGGGCTCTTTTGCCTGACTTCCCGTAGTCAGAAAGACTGAATTTATTTTATTTTATTTTGTGTGTGTGTGTGAGGCAAGGTCTCCCTCTGTCTTCCAGGCTGGTGTGCAGTGGCACGATCATGGCTCACTGCAGCCTCGACCTCCTGGTTTCAAGGAATCCTTTCACCCCAACCTCGCAAGTAGCTGGGACTACAGGCATGCACCACCATGCCCAGTTAATTTTTAATTTTTTTATAGAGACAGGGTTTCGCCATTTTGCCCAGCTGATCTTGGACTCCTGGGCTCCAGCAGTCCTCCCACCTCACCCTCCCAAAGTGCAAAGTGCTGGGATTACAGCCGTGAGCCACCGTGCCTGGCCCTGACTGAGAAGTTTCTACTGGAGTTTTAGCCACATGAATTGCACTGATCAGCCACTGAAGCCTGCCCCTGGGGCAAAGTATTGAGGGGGAAAAAAAACAAAAACAAAAAATAAAACACAAAATATTAAAAAAAAAAACACCCCAAAGAACAAAAAAAGATAATGGGAAACAGCCCCATGAAGTTCTCTAAGTTTTGACTCCCTTCCACAGTCTGCCTTCTGTTACATACTATTCAAAACCCTCAAGTAGCTTTTTTGTGTTTTATCCAGAGTATATATCTGTAATCAGCAGAAAGGATTGGCTACTGGAGGAATAGACCATAATAGCCAGATCGGGACTCCCCCCACGCTCCTAGGACCCCACTCCAGTCGGGCTGTCCTCCTTAGCGCTCCACTCACCCACACTTCTCAGTGCAACCAGATATTCCCATCCTTGACAGTTCACTCCTTTCTCCTGTCTCATGGACATGCAGAGCCTCCCTGCTGCTTCCTGCTCACTACTCCGACTTCTTCATGTTGGGAAGCCCCAGACCTTATCTCTTTTCTAAGTCACTCATCTGTTGATCATCTGACCTGATGAGATTCCCACATTCATATCACCCCTCAGGCCTCTCTTCTAAACTGGACTTGTGTTTCCAGCTGTCTGCTCCTCATGCCCACTTGTATGTCTAAAGACATCTCAAACTTCAAATGTCTCAGACTGCACGCTTGATTCTGCAGCCCTTTCCCCACCTATTCCTCCTCCAGTCTTACCCTTTTCAATTAATGCCAACTCCACTTTTCCCAACACTCAGACCAAAATCCTCAAAGTCTTCTCTGATTCTTATTCTCACCCTACATTTCATCTGTCAGCTAGTACTCTCAACTCCAACTTCAGAATATATCCAGAGTCATCCTCCACACTGCCCCAGCCTGCTCCAAATTGATAGGGAAACAGGAGCATAGGAGAGCCAGGATGACACCATTTTGAAATCAACTCCATCTTAAAGCCAGCAAGGCACACTCCTTTGCCAGTGACGACCCATGATCATAAGATGTTTACAGCTAAAGGCTGGGCACGGTGGGTCACGCCTGTAATCCCAGCACTTTGGAAGGCCCAGGCAGGTAGATCACCGGAGGTCAGGAGTTTGAGACCAGCCTGGCCAACATGGTGAAATCCTGTCTCTACTAAAAATATAAAAATTAGCTGGGCATGGTGGCAAGTGCCTGTAATCCCAGCTGCTCAGGAGGCTGAGGCAAGAGAATTGCTTGAACCCAGGAGGCAAAGTTTGCAGTGAGCTGAGATCATGCCACTGCACTCCAGCCTGGGTGACAGAGCGAGACTCCGTCTCAAAAAAAAAAGAAAAAAAGATGTTTACAGCTAAGGAAGCAATTTAGGAATGCCTGCAAGGACAAACGACCATGACAGCAGAATGTCCAGATGTCCCAATATCGCATAACAATATATGCTTTTAAGATGTAGCCATGTGTTGATGTACTCATGCACTAAAATGCCAAAAATAACTTTCTTTAAATCAACAAAGTACTAAATTTTGTCATGCTGTCAGTCCACCCACACATAGACATAACTTAGCCTAGCTTTTACGTAGATAAGACCCTTATATAAGAAAAGTTTAATACAAAGATGGCACATTCCTCCTCTTGCCTTCTGAGGATACCCTACTCTGTATCTGAGTAGGTTTCAATAAACTATCTCTTCTCACTGCACTCTGCAACTCACCTTGAATTCTTTCCTGCACGAGATCCAGGAATCCTTTCTTGAGGTCTGGACCAAGACCCCTTTTCTGGCAACAAAATCACCCTCACTTCTCACCTGAATTGCAGGAATAGCCTCTCAACTCATGTCCTCATTCCTTCTTGCTGTGGTGTTTCCCAGCTTGGCTTCTAAATTCACAGTTTGTGGAAGATCGTTCTCTGTTGCAAAATGTTTAGCATCCCTGGTCCCCAGTCATTGTGGCAACCAGTACCCCCTCACACATGTGCACATACACGCACCTCCAACATCCTGTTAAGATGGGGCCAGATGTTACCTCTCCATACAAATCCTCCAAAAACAGGATCTCACAGTGAAAGCCAAAGTCCTTATCAAAGCCCACAAGGCTCTATGCAATCTGATGACATTTCATTTCTCTGTTTTCAAATGCTATTTTCTGGGCCTCTTTTCTCCTTATCTCTGCATGGCTTCCTCCCTTACGGCCATCTGTCTTTACTCAGTCACCATTTTCTCAGCAAGACTTTCTCTAGCTGCTTTATTTAAAATTTCAAGCTTCACCCCCAGCAGTCTCTATCCTTCTCTACTTTTTTTCTTTCCATAGTACTATCACCCCCTAACAGCCTACATATTTAACTTATTTATCTTATATATTGCCTATGTCCCCCAACTAGAATATATGTTCTAGTTGAATGTCCCCCAACTAGAGGGCTGGATTTTTTTTGTTTGTTTTGTTTTGTTTTAGACAGGGTCTCACTTTGTCACCCAGGCTGAAGTGTAGGAGTGTGATCTTGACTCACTGCAGCCTCGAATTCCTAGACTCAAGCGATCTTCCCACATCACCTTCCTGAGTAGCTGGGACTACAGGTGGGTGCCAACACTCCCGGCTTATTTTTGTATTTTTTGTAGAGACAGGCTTTCACCATGTTGCCCAGGCTGGTCTTGAACTCCTGAGTTCAAGTGATCCTCCAGCCTGGGCCTCCCAAAGTGCAGGGATTACAGGCGTGAGCCACTGCACCTGGCCTGGAATTTTTGTTTGATGTGTGCACTTACCTATTCCAACACTTTAAAAAATGTCTGACACATAATAGTTGCTCACAAATATTTGTTGGCTAATTGGATGAACACAGAAATGGTATATACATAAGAATGAGTTGCATAATATGCAAATGGACAATAAGTATGTGAATAAAGATGTTCAACATTAGTCATTAGGGAAATGCAAATCAAAAGCACAATGAGATACTACTTCATGCTCACTGGGATGGCTATTAGTAAAAAAGACAGACAATAAAGGATATGGAACCCTCCTACATTGCGGGTAAGAATGTAAAATGGTGCAGCAACTTTGGAAAAGTTTGGCAGTTCCTCAAAATATTAAATATAGAGTTACCATATGACTTAGCAACTCTGCTTCTAGGTATATACCCCAAGATAATTGGAATCATGCATTGACACAAAAATCTGTCCATGCATATTCACAGCAGTAATACTCAATAGCCAAAAAATGGAAACAGATGTTCATCGGCTGATGCATGGATAAATAAAATGTGTTATACCCACACAATCAAATATTATTTGACAGGCATGGTGGCTCATGCCTGTAATCCTAGCACTTTGGGAGGCTGAGGCGGGTGGATTGCCTGAGCTCAGGAGTTTGAGACCAGCCTGCGCAACGAGGTGAAACCCCGTCTTTACTAAAATACAAAAAATTAGCCAAGCGTGGTGGCGGGCGCCTGTAGTCCCAGCTACTTGAGAGGCTGAGGCAGGAGAATGGCATGAACCCATGAGGCGGAGATTGCAGTGAGCCGAGATCATGCTGTTGCACTCCAGCCTGGGTGACAGAGTGAGACTCCATCTCCAGAAAAAAAAAAGCCAAACAAAACAAAATTATTTGACAATAGAAAGGAATGAAGTACTACTCATATGTGCTACAACATGGATGGCCCTTGAAAACATTATGTGAAGTGAAAGAAGATGAAAAAAAGAAGTGAAAGAAGGTCACATTTATATAAACAAATCCAGAACAGGCTAGAGAGGCAGAGAGTAATGATTACCTAGGACTTAGGGTGGAATAAGGAGTGACAAAATGTTCTTATGGGTTTTTTTTGGGGGGGGTCGGGAGGGTGGTGAAAAAAATGTTCTAAAACTAGACTGTGGCCGGGCATGGTGGCTCATGCCTGTAATGCCAGCCCCTTGGGAGGCCAAAGTGGGATGATCATTAGAGGCCAGGAGTTCGAGACCAGCCTGGGCAACATAGAGAGACCCTATCTCAAAAAAAAAAAAAAAAAAAAAAAATTAACCAGGTATGGTGGCACATGGCTATAGTTCCAGCTACTTGGGAGGCAGATGCGGAAGGACTGCTTGAGCCCAGGAGATGGAGGCTGCAGTGAGCTATAATCACCCCACTGCACTCCAGCCTGGGTGACAGAGACTATCTCTAAAAAAAATTTTTTTTTTTGAGACAGAGTCTCGCTCTATCACCCAAGCTCGAGTGCAGTGGTGCAGTCTCGACTCACTGCAACCTCCGCCGCCAAATTCAAGCGATTCTTGTGCCTCAGCCTCCCGCGTACCTGGGATTACAGGTGCTGCCACCATGCCCGGCGAATTTTTGTATTTTTAGTAGAGTCGGGGTTTTGCCATGTTGCCCAGGCTGGTTTCGAACTTCTGAGCTCAGGCAATCTGAAAAAAATTTTTTTTTAATTAAAACTAGATTGTGATAATATTGTACAACTTTGTGAATACACTAAAAACTACTGAATTTTACTTCAAATGGGTGAACTGTAATGGTATGTGAATTATATTTCAATAAAATGTGTTTTTTTTTTTAAAAAGAGTGAGTTGCATAATTGGAACTTAGAAGTATTTAATTCACTATACTTGGTAAATTTTATTTTGCACCGACTTTTCCTACTCCGTGAGTTTTCCACCAGTGCCTTCTATACATTGAATTAGTGGTCTGCTTCCCAGTTCCTCTAAATACTCCGAGGATCTGGTATATGAGCCATTAGATTGTCCTTAAACACCAAAGGCAAGTTTTATTTCCTTAATTCTAAACATCTTGATCAAACCTACTCTAAGCTTAATGTGCTTTTCTTGAATAATGGGATTTACAAAATGAGAATTAGAAGTTCCTTAAAGGTAGATATTTGTTGATTCAAGGACTGCTCAGAACTGTATTTTTCTTCCTATTTCATTGGTTTCTGTAACACTGGGTTTTCGAAATTCAGTTAAAACCTGTGATTTGTTGCCTGAAAGAGAAAAATCGTTTAGACTGTATTATGACAATAGTTAATATTTATTGCATCTTAGCTTACACCAGGAATATATTTAAGCACCTTACGTAAGCTAAACCATTTTAATCTTCACAGTCAACCTATAAGATGGATTCTTATCTTCATTTTACTAATGAGGCACAAAGATGTTAAATAACTTGCCTAACTAGAGCTACCAAGTGATAAAGCTGAGATTCTAACCCTAGTAGCATGGTTCCAAGGCCTATATGGAGAAAGATCAACAGGGAGGGTCACTGAAGTAACCCTTTTCCCACTGCATTATTTAATTAATAAACATTAATAGAATCTGGTTAGACCGTAAGCAAAAATAAACCCAAACTAAGACAGGGCTCCTGTCCTGGGATTATGCAGCCTAATATGGGAGACAAAGATACCACCAAATAATAAAAATATAACTTGGTAAGCCTGTATTGGAAGCCTGTATTAACCAGAGTGAAGAGGTACAAACTAACTTTGTCGGGGGTAGTTAGAGAAGGATGAGGAAAGATGATGCTGAAGGGCTAACAGTTACTCCAGACAAAAGAAACAGCCCCTGGTGTGAAAGAGCATAGTGTTCGGGAATGGTCTTGGTGTGGGAAAGTGTCAGGAGGGACTGGTAAAAGTAGAGGCCAGACTATGAGGGGCTTTGTATGTTACGAAAAAGAGTTTGAAATAAAGAGCACCAATGAGTATCGGCTTGACATGACCCTGTTTGTGAAGATAACTGTAGGAGCTCTGATGATGAACAAGGGTAGACAAAGAAAGCAGGGATACCAAGTAGGAAAATGCTTTAACAATTGATATAAGAGGCAAAAAGAAGCAAATTAAATTATCTGTAATTTATTTCTCTTTTAGACATATAAGCCATATTTGCTCCCAGAACCACGGTCTGCACCGTCTACAGCAGCATAGTCTAACAGAAATATAATGCGATCCACATATATAACTTTAAATTTTATACTAGCCAGGTGTGATGGTGTGTGCCTGTAATCCTAGCTACTTGGGAGGCTAAGGTGGAAAGATTACTTATCCCAGGAGTTCAAGACCAGCCTGGGCAATGTAACAAGACCCTCCTATCTCAAAATAATAATAATACATTTTATACTAACCACATTAAAACAAGGAAACAAACATTTTGAAATATACTTATTTCAACATGTCATCAATACAAAATCATTAACAAAATATTTGGCATTTTTCATACTGTCTTCAAAATCCAGTGTGAATTTTATACCTAAAGAATTTTCAATTTGAATGCTAAATTTCCTTTGAAATTTAATTTGCATTTAGATTTTATAAATTTTACAATTGACAATGTAGACTCATATACTCAAGTTTTTCCAAACACACTTAAATGTCGCCCAATATTTGAATGGTGTGTCAGTTTTTAAATTTAAATAGATAAAAATTAAAGTTAAAAGTTCAGTTCCTCAATCACGCCCACCACACATGGCCAGTGGTTACCACTGTGGACAGTGCAGACTGCACTGCTTCTCAACCAAGGGAGAACGACTTGCCAGACACTCCCTTGTTGGATTATAATAGATATCCACAAAATATGTTTATTATCAGGATTTAAAAAGAATTTCTCGTTCTAAATCAACTGCAAGTAAAACATGGTATAGAGGAGTAGAAATTCTCGACACCAGAAGGAGTAAATGCTCAGCACATTATTGTTTTTTAAGTTACTAAAACAAGAGTATTGTTCTTTAGATCGATCCTTGTTTGGCTAATTGAGAAGATGTAAACAATGATTTGAAAGAATTTTTATTAATGCACCTATAAAAACATCTACAAAAACAAGCTCCATTATGGCCTTCTGTTAGCTGTATATGGAGTAGACTCCTAAAACACAGCCCCACTACAAAACACCTGAAAATAATGAGGGCAATTTTTAAAAACATCTTTTAGATGCATAGCTGAATTAGCCAAAAAGTAAATCCTTGGAAACCAAAAATGAAGTGAAAGTGTGAAAACGTTGGAGCACTGAGACTTGTGGTTGCTAACAAAGACATCGAGGTTATAACCCTGCTCAGGAGGCAAGCCGAGGCCCAGCAGCCTGTGGAGATTTACTTATTGTACCCTAGGTAAATTCTCCCCTTCTTCCTTACCAGTGCTGTTTTTAGCTGAGTGCAGGACACCTAGCAAAAGACATTCCCCAGACCTACTTGCAGCTATGTGACTAGGTGCTGGCCAATGTGGTATGAGCAGAAGTATGCAACTGCTGGCTCATACTCCTGAAAGGAAAGGTATTCTCTTCACTCATTCCTTCTTCCCATGAGCTGGAATGCAAATACAGGTTGAGAATCCCTAACTTGAAATGCTCCAAAATCTGAAACTTGAGTGCCAACATGAAGCCACAAATGGAAAATTCCACATCTGACCTCATGTGAAGGGTCAGTCAATACTACATTTCACACAAAAAATTATTTAAAATATTGTATAATATTACCCTCAGGCTATGTGTATAAAAAACATAAATGAATTTCATGTTTAAACTTGGATCCCATCCCCAAGATGTCATTATGTATATGAAAATATTCTAAAATCTGAAATACTTCTTGTCCCAAGCATTTGAGATAAGGGATACAAACCTCCTCTGGAGGGTGAAGTGTTAGTTGCTTTTTATTTTGAACCCCTTTATGTTGTTCAAATTTAACATTTTAAATACATGGTTCTTTAAACTTGTAAATACTTCATAAAATATAAACCATATTCATATTTATTCCTCAAAGCCACCTATTTTCTTGATTCCCTCAGGCCAAATTAATCTCCTCATATACTCGAGAATTTTTCTTGTATCTTTTTTTTTTTTTTTAGATGGAGTTTTGCTCTTGTTGCCCAGGCTGGAGTGCAATGGTGCGATCTCTGCTCACTGCAACCTCCGCCTCCTGGGTTCAAGCGATTCTCCTGCCTCAGCCTCCCGAGTAGCTGAGATTATAGGCATGTGCCACCACACCTGGCTAATTTTTGTATTTTTAGTAGAGACAGGGTTTCTCCATGTTGGTCAGGTTGGTCTTGAACTCCCGACCTCAGGTGATCTGCCCACCTCAGCCTCCCAAAGTGCTGGGATTACAGGCATGAGCACCACGCCTGGCCTTCTTGTATCCCTTTAACTTAAGAAAGCCCACTTTATATCATTAATTTATGTAAAGTTAAAAGCCTACATAGACTCTACATAGACTGCCTGGGTTTGAATTCTGGCCCATTCACTTGCTAGTTGAGTGGTGATATTATTTAACAACTGTGCCTGTTTTCTCACCTGTAAAAAAAAGGAACAACACTACCCAGCTCACGGGATTGAGGACTAAATGAGTTAACGTATGGCAGCTCATAAGAGTAGATCCTGGCCCCTGCTTAGCACTGTTAGCTATTGAGTATAGACAATATCCTACCCATATGTATTTATATTCCTAAATTCCCAGCAGTGGATCACACAAATTATTAAGGAATGTTTACTGAATTAAACTGACTTGCTTCCCGGGGGATTAAAAGAGGGGTGGTGATGACAAGAAAGGAGTTCTCCCCAAGTTAATTCTGCAGCACACTTGTCAGCAATGAAACCTTTGTAAGCCTGGTAGGTTTTTTGTTTCCATTAGCTGACAAATAGACTAGGTAGAAAAAACAAACACATTCTACTGAATGAATGGGAAAAAGGCAAAAACCATTCTGGGCCACAGTCAATTTTTCCATTAATCCCTACTCTCTCCTATGTATGTTGCGGCCTCTCATTCTTGCCTGTCTCCCTGGTTCTCTTGAGCTTTTTAAAGGGCCAGTTGATCTGTACCAGCAAGTCTCACTTGGTCTGAGCATGTGGTGCTCTTTTGAGTCACAGGGGTCATACAAGCCTTCCAGGAAGGGTTTTCTTGTTAAACTTCTCTTTGACAGTTCCTAAAATTCAAATAGTCAAAATGGCTCTGCTTACCTTTTCCAAGGTGGACAGACCCCCCCCCACCGCCCCCATCATCCAGTTGCTGGGATGATGCTTTTCTCCATAAACCTCTTCATAGGGAACCAGCAAGAAAAGGTCAAAGATGGACTGCACAAGTCCGGCTCTTGCTTCTTTATAACGCTCTTTACACCACAGATAGTATTCCCTCTCCTTTTAAATCACATAGACCTAGGTACTTACCTTACTTTGCCCTGATCTATCACATACTTGTAGTTTCCCCCATATGAACTGTGTAATCACATTACCTTCAGTGCCTTTCAGTTAGTCATGAAAATCAGCACGCTATTCCTTGATCAGAGACAGGCAGTAAAATATTGTGCTTTGGAATTAAACAGGTCTGGGTTTAAAACCCAGCCCTATGACTTAGCTATGCGACCTCAAGTAAGTTGCTTAACCTTAGCCTCAGTTCCTTCATCTATAAATTGGGTATTTCTGCTTTACACAGTAATATTCAGACTAAACATGGTCAAGTATATAAAATGCTGAGTGGTACCCAGGACAGACTATGCACCCAATAAATGGGGATGTGATGTAAGAGGCAAAGAGGACTTTGTGCATGAGATTTAAGTTAGGTATGCCAACTCAAGACTTCCCAGGACACTGGCTCATGTTAGCAAGGCCCAGAATCCTGTGACTGAATAAGCCTGTCTTGGTGTGTGCTTCAAAAAGTGTGGCAAAGTCAGCCTTATTCACAGAAAAGGTAGGACATTAACTCGGATTTACTATATTATCATCAGAAAGGACAGGAAATAACTGGTTGTAATAATGTAAATGACCTCATACCTACTACAGGATAAAAATTTGCACTCAATTCAAATCAAGATGGTTAGTAAAAATAATCAAACAAGAATCTAATAAAAACTTTGTTAAAAGAACAAAAGACCCAACAGATGCATGTATCATGCTGTGCTTATTGTTGTCAATTTCCCCCAGGACGTATTTTGTGTAAATCCAATAAAAATCTCAGAATTTTTAAAGAAAAATCAAACTCAATAAAATAGACACTAAAGTTCATCTTAAAGACTAAGTGTCCTAGAATAGCCTCCCCACACAAAAACAAACAAAAAGGCTAAGATAAAGCAGCTTCCTATCAGGTATACAAATAAAGCATCCGGCTACAATGATTAAGGCAGTGGGGTATTGGTGCAGGAAGACCTAATGCTTCTCAGGTGTCAGGGGTTACACTATCCAAATGCTTTAGATTATATTATTAGTATAACCACCCATGTATATCATCCTTATTTTCTAGAGGATAAAGCTGAAGTCTAGAAGTTACATAACTTGCTTAAAATCACACATGGTCAAGGCGGGATTCTGAACACAGCTGACTAGACATATCTCTCAGGAAAAATATTAATACCTATTATCTACAGAGGTCCTACAAATCATTAAGAAAAAACCCTAATTTGGTATAAAAATTGCCAAAGGATATAATAAGCAATTACATTAACATACAAATAGCTGATACATATTAAAAAGGTTGACCTCACAAAGACTTATAATTAGGATTACAATTAACTGGGATCACAAAGAATACTAGGAAATGGATATACATGCTGGTAGGAGTATATATTTGTATAGCATTTTGGGAAGGCAATGTGACATTAAAACACACAATTTATATGACTTTTCAGCAATTTATTTCCAGAATCAACCCCGAAGAAACTGAAATAGTCAAATGAACCTAACCATCCAGAGAATAGTTGGTGTGGGGTGTGTGTGTGTATGTATGTGTGTGTGTGCGTATATATATATGTGTATATATATATATATATATATACATATATATGTGGAATACTACACAGCCACTAAAAAGGAATGGATGAATTGGCTGGGCATGGTAGCTCACGCCTATAATCTCAGCACTTTGGGAGGCCGAGGCGGGCAGATTACCTGAGGTCAGGAGTTTGAGACCAGGCTGGCCAACATGGTAAAATACATCTCTACTTAAATCTCTACTAAAAATACAAAAATTAGCCAGGCGTAATCATGCCTGCAATCCCAGCTACTCCAGAGGCTGAGGGAGAACTGCTTGAACCCAGGAGGCAGAGGCTGCAGTGAGCCGAGATGGCATCAGCCTGGGCGACAAGAGTGAAACTCCATCTCAAAAAAAAAAAAAGGAATGAATTAATGGCATTTGCAGCCTGGATGGGATTGGGAGACTATTACTCTGAGAAGAAACTGCACATGTATACATATGTAACTACCCTGCACATTGTGCACATGTACCCTAAAACTTAAAGTATAATAATAATAAATTTAAATAAATAAATAAAAATTTAAAAAAAGAGAAGAAACTCAGGAATGGAAAACCAAACATCCTATGTTCTCTAAGTGGGAGCTAAGCTATGAGGATACAAAGGCATTAAGAATGATACAATGGACTATGGGAACTTAAGAGGGGAAGGGGTGGGAAGAGGGTGAGGGATAAAAGGCTACAAACTGGGTCAGCGCCTACTGCTCAGGTGATGGGTGTACCAAAATCTCACAAATCACCACTAAAGAACTTACTCATGCAACCAAATACCACCTGTTCACCAATAATCTATGGAAATAAAAAAAATTTTAAAAAATTACATTTCCTAAAAAAACCACACAGTAGTTGAAACAGATCATTGTACACCCATTCTATGGGACAGTATGTAAAAAGTAAATCTATATAGACACAGAAAGATGCTGATGATATACTAATAGAAGGGAAAAAGAACAAGTCCAGAACACAAACTTTTTAACCTATTTGTTAAAAAAGTAAAGAGGGATCCAAGAGAATAAAATGTGATAAAAAATCAGAGAGAATATAAAAGAAAAAGAAAAGAGAAGTAACATTTATATATTCTTTTAAGACATATTTAAAAGGGTCTACAAGGATACATATCAAACCATCAGACTGCACACTAGGAAATGGAAGGGAATTAGGGCCCAAAAGTTCAAAGGGATTTTTCCTTTTTTACTCAATATTATTCTTTATAACTAAAAATGTTCACTGTTTTTGTCATTTTGAGAAGACAAAAGCAAGTGAGAAATAATTTACTATCTTATGTTCACTCTTCTGTTTAAAAAAGAGCAAGATGTATAAACCAATGAAGGGAATATACTAAAACCCAACCGGAGACTAAAAGAGCAATAATAAAATTACATATTAAGAACAGCTACTGACACCTATAAAGAATCAAAGCAACTGACACAATAAATTTTATTGTTTCCATAATAATAGGCTCTGGACAAAGACAATGGAGACAATGACAACACATTTAAACTCCTATAACAAATTAATCTGTTACAAATTTCCAGTGGCTCAACATATTAAAATGCAAAACATATAAAGAAAAAAACAAGAAATATAAATATTCAGATTTTTGCAGTACAATGAAATGTCTTTTAAAAAAAGTTTGTTGTAATTGTGTATGTAATTCTGACAGTAATTCAAAACACAAAATCACACATTTTCCCTAACTTCCCATGTTCTGGATCTGGGGACTGCAATATTACAGAAATATGCAAAAATAAGTTTAGTGCTCAGAGATAAATAATTTTCCTTATTTCAATGCATCAATGCGCAAAAATTTCAATTCAAAAAAGCCAACCACTGCTATATGCAGATAAATAAAACATTTGACAACACTTTTATAATCAAACCCAACATTATACAAAAAATGTGTGGCACATGCACATACGTGTGCATATGTGTATGCAATGCCTATTTTAGAAAAAAGGTGTCTTGATGAAAATGATTTTGAAAATAGTCACTGACACACATTATATACAAAACCTTTTATATAAAAAATTAAACTATTTTCAATGAAATTCCATGTTCACATCCTATCTGAAAATTGCAATTGAATCATAAATAGGTCTACTAACGAAATCATGGCTAAGGCAGTTCTCTTTCCAAGGGTTTTCTTTTATATCCACCTGATGTCACTAATACTAATGTAGTCAAATATACAGATGCAACCTGACATGCCTATGCGTTATTACCTGGAGCTCTGTTCACTGTTATAATGGGAGAATTTACAGTTGCTACAAAGAATATTTTTCTTTTTTAAAATATACTGGTTTCTCTATTCCAAATTAAGCACTTACTTAAGACATTAAGAGGCTGAGAAGCCACTCCATTTGGTGTCAATATCAATAGCCCTATAAGAAAGAACTCTGTATTGGAATAGCTAGAAAAGTTCTCACTAAAGTGAGAACTTTAGTGCATCCTTCACCTGCATAGAATCAGTTTGGCTAATAGCTCTTTGCCCCAGAACACCAGTCTGGAGTTCAAATAGGCTCCTGAAAGTTCATCTCAGATAAGAAAAAAACATCTCACAGAAGCAATGTAAGGACACACAGGATAATAAAATGGTTAAAATCTGTTTGATGAGTCTTACTTACAGCATTCCTCATTTGGAGGAGCTGCTATAGGTTAAGGTGGAAACAAAAATGGAAAAGATCAGGGGCAATAAAGTTGAGTTGGCCAAGTATTTACGCCAGTAACCATTTCAATAAGTCTTTAAGCAAACAACTGCAATGACCTGGTACCTCTAAGCTCATCATTCTACAAGCACTGAGGATATGAAGCTTAAAAGGTGAAAACTTGAATACCCTTAGAAAAGGGGAACAGTCTGAGGCAAAAGTTGTAGGCCTGTAAATATATATTTTATTTTATTTTCATCTTTTTTGAGACGGAGTTTTGCTCTTGTTGCCCAGGCTGGAGTGCAGTGGTGTGATCTCGGCTCACTGCAACCCCCACCTCCCGGCTTCAAGTGATTCTCGTGCCTCAGCCTCCCGAGTAGCTGGGATTATAGGTACCCGCCACTATGCCCAGCTAATTTTTGTATTTTTCGTAGAGATGGGGTTTCACCATGTCAGGCTGGTCTCAAACTCCTGACCTCAGGTGATCCGCCTGCCTCGGCCTCCCAAAGTGCTGGGATTACAGGCGTGAGCCACCACGCCTGGCGTAAATATGTATTTTATATGCACACACAACTGTGTGTATTATTCTGTATATATTTACATACATATTCACAAGATGCCCTGCAGTATAATTCAAAAGGCCTTTAACAAGGAACAAATTGATTCTAGTATAGGCCCTAGAGTTCACACCACCTGTATAAGAAACAAATGTGCATGTATTCACATAATGTAAACCTCATCAACAAAAACACTAGGTTAAATAGTAAGTTTTAGGTTAATGGTTTCTAACCATTACCAATCAGTGATGTAATCAGAACATTTCTTACACTGAGAATCAAATTAAAAAGAAAACACAGCTGGACTTTAAATTCCACAAGAAAAAAGATGTTCAGTATGGCAAACATGAAGAAAGTTCAAATTCCAGAGTAGGGAAAAATATCAAAACTTTATAAATCTCCTGGGATGCAATTTAATTACTGCATCATTAGAAAAATAGACTCATAGAATGAACGGTGCTGCTATGGATTCTCTCAACACATCAACCCATGTTTATCTTTTTCCTCTTTTGTTTCCAGCTGGAGGTTTCTTCAACTGAAGGAGTTGTCCTCCTGTTCCAAAACCTGCAGAGGCAGGATTGGACACCCCAAAAGTCAAACCAGCTGATGCCGTGATGCCAGGATTGCTGAAGTTAAACCCAGATGTACTTGAGCTGCCAAAGCCTTATGTTTAGGGAAAAAAATATTCATATCAGAAGTTGAATTCCAAAAACAAATATAAAAACAGGGAGGAGCAGTAAATTTCTATCTAAAAGAATACATAATCTGTAAGAATAGCAAATATATTAAAGCCCTAAATTTCTAACATGAAATTTTAACAGGAAAATAATATAGCTAACAACTAAGTGGCACCCTGAAAGAGAGTGTAGTGATGCAGGTCAAAAGAGAAACCTTAGCACAAATTACTAAAATCTATATAAACTTCAAGTTGCCAGAAACTTTCCTGTTAATTAAATATGTCAAGGTGCCTTCCTCCTTAGACCCACCAAAAACATTTTATCAACATGTAGAAGAGAGACATTCACATATCTGGACCTACCCTTGCAATCCCAAGTCCTCCAGGAAAGCTTCAACCCACAATGTTCAAGACAATGAACAAACAAAAGAGCAGTACTTACTGTTTTGATTTTATAAGAGCTTTTGCAAAATTAAGATCTAGTACTACTACTGCCTAGTTAACTAATACAATATTTCAATTATAATCCTGATAACATGGAATCCTATTATTATCTTCCTCCACTGGAACTGCTGATTTTAAACGCTACTTAATTCCTTCAAATTCTCTAAATTTAAACACATCTTTCACAGTATTATGTCATTACATTAGATATGGTATTTGTCCCTAAGCACTGCACATTAAAACAAGCCATATTTACCAATATAAATGCAAAAGTAGATGAAATTTGGAATTTTTCATAAGAAGAGTCAAAAAATTATACCTATTTCAAAAATGAACAAGAAACTAAATTAATAATCATTTGTAAGACTGTGGTATTCTTAAAACCAGAGGGACCCTGGAATAGAAATCATTCTCCAGGATGAATTATGACAAAAAACTTAAACTTTCACAATGATGGGTTCCTTTTTGTAATAATGAAGAAAATTATTTAACCATGAAGTTAGTCACTAGAGTTCAAATGAATCTCTGAGTTAGAAGATGTAATTAATTATTAAATCAAACTAAGAAGTCTTGTTAGAAGTATTTTACAAACCTGCCCTTTAGTTTATGAGAGAGATAAAGTAAAATGATTAGTTAGGCTTGCACACTTCATCCAGGGAGTAAAAACTGAATCAGGGAGGGAACTTTTTGGGTTACTGGAAATAACAACACATACTTTTAAATTAAATAATTTACACCTTTAAATTTGCCTGAAATCCAGGCAGAAACACACAAACCTGCACTAAGACTTCCTGAGGGTTTATTTGTTGTTCCAAATCCAAATGTGGAGGCCCCTGTGGTGCTGCATCCAAAACCAGAGCTAGTTCCAAATCCTAGTGGAAGGGTAATAGAAAAATATACAATGGCACATAAAACACAGGTTAAAGGATATGGACAAGTACAACCGAAAATCATCAGAGGTCTAACAGATACAGTGCTGAAAAACATGGCCTTATTAAGGAAATCTGCTTACTCCTTTGCATGAGA
Organism: Homo sapiens; assembly: GCF_000001405.40. Lineage (NCBI taxonomy): Eukaryota > Metazoa > Chordata > Mammalia > Primates > Hominidae > Homo > Homo sapiens. The sequence goes on along the minus strand of NC_000013.11, from coordinate 25,338,481 downwards.
CTTTTAGAAGAACTAGACTAATTCTGAAATAAAACGTTTATATCTATTTAGACTAAGTTTGTGACCCATCAATTTTTAAAGAACAAGGCCATAAAAAAGAAATTAGTATTTTCTCTTCTAAATGTGCTAGAAAATTTTACCCACCATTCAAGTATGATTTTAGTCAGTTATAACCATTTCCACTTTAGGGGTATTTCATTTCACAAAAAAAGGACTAAATACATTAATAAGCATGACATGCACTACAATGTAAACACTAAATACTACAAGGTTATTTTACTCTGCTCTTTCCCAAAACATTTTTAATTAAGAATCTGAAACGCTGAAAAACTCTGCATAACTACATAATCAAGCACTTTAAATCTACTCAGTAACAGTAGATTCCTGCCATACTACCAGCCAGTTTAACAGTGAAAAATTGGTGGTGAGAAGATCATGGTTTTTCTCTTAACAATACTATCTTCATCATTTAAAAAAAGAAGTATTTTTCATCACACAAAGTTCATGACATTCTAAGTACTTGAAGACTAGTTTCCACTCTCCTAAGAGACAGGTGCTCTACAAATAAAGTTCAAATTCTTTTTTGGTTATTTTGCAATAGCTTATCTAAAATACTGAGTGTGACAGTATCATTGCCTGTAACAATAAGAAATGTGATGGCAAATTAATTATAGATTATAGGAATTATGCTATCTGCCAGATTCTAATAATTCCTAATTTAGAACAGAGTCTATATTAAACAACCGTAATAGCTTATAGGTCTCCCGTCTTATATTTTAGTGGAAATAAGGGCAACTTATTCATTACATTATAATGTGCCTGTGAAAATACAACCAACTTTCAGTTATCCATATCAAAGAATTGTGAATGCATTTGTATTTAGCATGATGTTTTTGCAGAGGACTTACCTTACTAACCTTATGAAAGTATTAAAATAAGCTTAATTGCTTATGTAAACAAGCATGTATATAGGCAAATTTGCCAAATGTGCTTAGAAATGGACATGAGTTGAGCTGTTCAATTCATAATAATTTCCCTAAGTACTCATTTTCAGAAAAAAGAAGATACTGATTAGGAGAATGTATATCATCCAGAAGTAGTTCAGACTCCAAACTAACATTAAGACTATTAATTTTAAGATTTTTAATTAAGATGATTAAAACTAAAGAATTCTCAAGTTCATGTGTCAGCATATTGCTTTGAAAACATGAACATGCCTACCACTTAATTTTAATACTTTATATTTGCTGTTCACAGAAGATGGAATGATTCTTTAAGTTCTAAATCTAATATTAGAAAGCAATAATTATGTTTGAGAATCATTTTTGCCAGATGGAACCTTAACTTCCAAAATAGCAGGAGATTCTCTTAGAAATTTTTTTTTACAGGCTAGTATCAATTCAAATATATAATAGTTCAATGAAATATTAGAAAAGTTAAAGTGTACCTCCAAGGTTTGAAGAACCTAAGCCACTTGATTGCAAGCCAGTGCCAATACCTGAGCCGAATGGCGTTCCAAAACTAACTCCCAGAGATGGCTGTGGCCCTGGTATAAAAAAAAAAAAAAAATGGGGGGGAAAAAAAACAAATTTGCCTTACTCTTTCAAGATTAAAGATTCTTTATGAAATTATTTTTAAAATGAACAGTGATTACTTTTAACTGATTCCATTTGTTAAAACTTAGTTTTCAGGATGTCTCTCCAGTCTAACTTACCTATCCAAACTGATTTATCTATCTAAAAATTAAAAAAAGATTTTAAAAAAATTAACCTGTTCAGAACTAGACAATTAAAAGAGGCTTACCGCAATGAAAGACGTTAGTTTAATCTACTAAATAATTTGAAATCTTTAATGTATCATAAATTATCATTCCTTTAGATTTACTTCTAGAATTATTTTAGATCTCCTCACTTGTTTTCTGATAAAACTAGTTGGTATAATCAGTAAATGGTTTTTACTTTTTTTAATCGAGCTCCTTAGTGTTAGAGTCAAGTCTCAATTGATCAAGAGAGACTGACACTAACATGGCAAAACTATCATGTTATTTCATAAGAGTAAGTACCCAAAAAACTAGGCATGATTTCTCATATGAAATATAAATGATATATACAATAAGTAGATAAAAAACAAGACAATGTTTTATTTTATTAAATTTATTGTTCATTGTAAAGCAAATCAATTACACAGTAACATGACAATTCCAACTTGTTCACAAAAAGTGATAATTGAGTTCTATTCTTAAGCTCTGCTACATTACACCACTTATCACCTGATTAAATAAAGTAATGAACATTTACAAAGGCACCGCTGTGTACCTTGACAGATTCAATACATTCAAGATTTCAATTCAGAAGTTTCTTTCCAACGTTTTGGAAAATGTACTCAGAAGCAGAACGATTAGTCATCCTTTTCCCTCTTGTTACTTTAAAGATTTTGGCTGAGTTTGTTTGGCAAGAATAGCATCAAACTTACTAGCCTCTCTTTTAAACTACTATTTTTTTTTTTTAAAACTAAGCAGAATACAAAAATCTAAAAATCTCTCATTTGGATAAATAATTTATGAAAATTATTCAATAAACTTCATAGTACAATCTTCAGTATTGTCTTTTTCAAGCACAGTGATCAGTGCATCTCAAAGATGAGGGAACTGTCAAAGTAATATACACACTAAAATTTAAATTTTTAAAGAAATCAAAGCCTTCAAGTTATCCAATGAAGAATGAGGTTTGTATATTAAAAAGGTAGTGTAAAATTATAAAGCATTTAAAGAAAAACAACCGAGGAACTACATTTTGCTACACTGGGACAGAAACTGGACTTTTCGAATAGCTTCTAACCCAGAAAACAAACAATAACTAATAGCAGCCAGAATTCTTATACTACTATTAAAAAAATAATTTAAAATTTTACATCCAGTTTGAGATCACTTTGAGAATAAAATACCTGCCTAGCAGCTCTTTTGTAAAATGTTACTATAGGAAAAAGAAACCAAGCATATTATTATACTTTCTGATTCCTAACAAAAAACATAAAAAACACATGTCCAGTTCTTTAACATTGAGAGACTTGTTTGTCACAGGTTAATAGGAGGCACTGCTGGTGGAAGACCCTAAAGAATAATGCACACCACAGCCCTCAGCCTTGTAAGTCGTAAGAGTTACTCAAATAGCATGCTTTTTGTTGTGTGTGGGTCTGTTGTTAAGAGCAACAGAACATAAGATTTTTCTAATCATCAATATTCAGAATATAATCAAGAACTCATATCTAATGATGACAAGACTTTCCATTGCACATCAGATACATGATATTTTTAGTTTTGTACCTTCACACAAATTCTGAAGGCAACATCATTTATAAAACTCGTAGGCAAATGTATAACATTTTTTAATAGTAAAAACTCATGATAAATATCTCCCATGCCAAAGTATTAGCATATATTACACTCTGGCCACCATATATATTAGTTTCACTATTAGAAAGCAGTCTAAATCCTTCAGGCAAAAGTTACGTAAACAATTCAAGAAGTCTGCTTTGAAATTTGAATAGTCATCCAATGAGAGGTTCTTATTTCCATAAATAAAATTAAGTTTGTAGTGATATATACCAATGACTGGCCAAAGTGAAATCTTCATGTAGAGTAACATTTTACAAAAGTTACCATATAATATATTCACACACAACAAAACCAGGTTTAGCGCTGTAATTCATATTTTCCAGAATAAATTTTACTTTCTTAAAAGTAAAACTGCATTAACAGAAAAAGGACTAAAGTGCTAAAAATATTTTATAATTTTCCATGATCACCCCAAATGCCTAATGTAATTAGTATGGTTATTTCTAAGTCACATTTTAAAATAATTTTTCTTTAAAAAACCTAAAATGCGTTTTCCCCAGTTTGAAAAATTTTACTCTTACTGATTTAATGGGGAATGTTCCTTTGGTTATTAAATACAACAAAATCACAAAACCACAAGAAACTAAGATGAAATACTTAATGTTTCCTATTTAACACTACACCTTAAATGTCCAAACCTACACTAAGCTAAAAATTAGGAATTCCTAACAAAACGTCTTGGCTCTCCTTAAAACAGCAGCTAAGTCACATAAGAAAGTCTTATTATGTAAACATCAAGAACTCTTAAAGTGTCAAAACACAATAGCAAAACTCAATCCCAGATACATTGCTAAAAAACCTATCCTAAATTAAAATTATACTGAAAAGCCTAATGTAAATGTCTTCAGTTTTTCAGGAGGCTTGGGAAGCACTTATAGACAAGTGTCAAGTTCTGCCAACATGGAACTACGTTATCCACGTTATCGATGCTCATGATTTCATACACAAATAGCCTGCTGGATTTTCAATTCTCTGCAGCCTTCAGAACAAATAACTGTAAATCACACATGCCTAAGCCCTAGTATACTTTTTCATTAAAAAAAAAATTGAAGGAGGACAAAGAAGTCGTTTAAGTCTATTCCTCCTCCTCTGAGAAAGATACAGAAGCCACCTTCAGAAGGCAGCAGTCTAAGAAGCTATTTGCTCTGTGCCCATATTCATGTTAATAAAAATTTCATATGCAAATAAAAGCAAAACCCTTCTGATAACTCAAATCTTGTATAGATCAACAGTGATGTATAAAAACAATGCATAAGCTCTCTCTACCCTCATCTAGATGGTCTAAAATTTGTTACTGGCACTTAAAAACAAAGATTTCACAGAAGTCACAGGGCATAAGGGATAACTTATGGGGTACAAAACACCATTTGATAAATAGGGACATTTCTAAATGTATCTAACAGAGCTCAGAAATCTCACATCATGGTGACATGACTAAAAATAACGAAAATTTTGACTGGGAAGGCCTGGGAGACCTTTAGAGAAACAAAAGGAGAAAGAAAAGATAATGTAAAATTGTTATCACTGTTGTTTAGCTTCTCAGTTCTAAGAATTCATACAATTCAAAGCGAAAACACTGTAAGGTTGTTTAGGTTAATAAATTATAATTTCTGCCATCTGATGAGAAAGCCCTTATGTGGACTTCAAAGTTTCAGGGAAGAGTGAAGGCAGTCAATTTCCCCAAAGCCTGGCAAAAGTCACAGACAAAATTAAAGCCTATGAGCAAAAGGCTCCTCAAGAATACTCCAGATTAAGCTAACATTGTCAACCACCACAGAGGGCAAAGACAAAATCTATATTGTCTACCTTTGTATTCCTCGAGCCCAGCACATAGTAGGCACTCATTTAGAGAATGAACACACATCTCCATATGTCCACAAGCTCAAAATGTATAAGTGAAAACCTATGAATTTCTCAAAATAATAATCTATAGATAAGAAAGTTAAACACACACACACACACAAACCCTTGACAGGAGATTTTGCTTCAAGTTTAGGTATTTATCATAGAATATATTCACTTACAACATAACTTTTTATATAACTGACATTTCTCAAGTTCTATTTAATAGAATGGAAATTCACTATGTTTAAAGAACACTTAACCAAATCTACACTTATCTACTTTAGGATTAATACTGGCTCTAAAAAGTAAACTAGTACTATGGTTGGTTTGATTAACTGGTTAGGTAATCATGAGAGCTGATGGTCATAATTATGGGATTGAATCCTTTTAAGAAGAAATATCAATCCTCAAAGGAATCAATCCCATAATGACTTTTTCCCTCCATAACTTAACAATGCAATCCTACACTCCAGCCAGCTAGAGAGCTACCAGACAGTGCTCGTGCGAGCCACTATTCACATGGGTCCAGCCACGGGATATGGAGGATTTGGCATAAATCTATCATCAACCCTTTACTTATGGCAAGTCAATTCTGTCATCTCCAAATGTGAAGAACAATTTTTTAAACTGCCAATAGTGAAAACCAGAGAATGCTTCCCTAGTATAGGTAGCTTGAATGCAATCTAAATATGTATTAATTTTTTTGTGTGTATTATAATGTACTACTGGACTATATGGAACTCTCAGAAAGACACATGCTATTGAATAGTAAGCATTACTAAGAAATTTATGAATGATTAAAATAAAAAAATCAATATCGATTAAGACTATTTTTCCATGTCAAGCTTCAAACCTGACAAAAGGGATGGCAGGATTAAGATAACTATTAACCTCCGAAAGACACAGGACCAAATAAAACACTGTAGAATGACCACAAAAAATGTTTCTCTAATTAGAAGTGTAACTAAACCAAGAAATAAAACAATCTGCTTTCCATGTCACCAATTATTTTCATCTGTTCAACTTCCCAGTTGCTCCTTAATGTGCAATCCACATCTCAAAACATCTTTTTCCTGCTCTTGCTGTTCTGTTCACCTTGGAAAGGTACAATTCTAGCATGTATCATCTTCAAAATTTGGTTTAGAGGGCTTGTATTCTGTTTACAGTCAACATACATACAAACAAGCCTATTGATCTTCAACATACCTTCAGTCAATAAAAGCATACTTCATCCTGAATGTGGGTACTTTGTAATCACTATGTATGAGGAAAATGAGAATGCACCACCTATCAGTATCATATATGAAAAATTCAAAGAATGGATGGATGATCTCTGACTTTAAAACAATAAATGGTACAGTCATGATTTCAGAATCTAATGTTATTCTTAAATGTAATTCACTAGTGAAACACCATGTTCTAAAGGGCATTTATAGCATTACAGCAAATAACATTAAGTAGATTCACAATATTCAATATCTAATTGATGTATAATTATTGCTAAGACTACCCTGCCTTTTTTATCAGGTATGTTTATAATCGTGTCCATCACAATTTTAGATTGTATTGGAACAGCTACTCATAGAAATTTCTTCAGTGCTCACACAAATGGAAGACTTATAAAAACGCACATAAATGTTCTGCATTGGAACAGTAAGAAGCTATAACTTGAATGCGTTCAGACCTGTAGCAGGCTGTTGCTGCTGTGTAAGTGTTGCAGCCATGGCAACGGCTGCTGCGTTTGGCATGGTGCTGAAAGGAGTGGGTCCAGTAGTAACTCTGGGTGTGTTCTGCCACTTCTTGGCTTCTGCTCGCCTTGTTTCAAACACATCAACAGCATCTCCCAAGAACATTTTCCTGTAGCCAAGGTACTGTTCTTTCAGAACCTAAAAGAATAATAAACAAAACGGCTAAATGAAGTTTCACATTGACTATGGTTAATATGTGGATGAATATAACCATAAATTACCAAAGACAGTCCCAATATTATACATTCAATCCAAACTGCAAATTAGAGTGCTAATAATGCACTTTGGTGTAGGAAATGATGAGTTCAAGAGTTCTACTGCTCCCTTGAATAGTTTACTCCCTATCTTTACAATATGCTTCCTAAAATACTGTCTTTGTGAGGCCTTGTTTAAAATAAATCAGCTAAGCTTTTAGACAGAGTAATATTTAAATACTCCATCAATGTGCAGATGGATGGATGAAAAGAATTTAAAAATAAATATTCCAGTTTTTCAAGAAACTTTCCCCTCAAATGTCCAACCTTTTCATAGCCTTTTGATTAAAACAGTTTAAAAAAAAAAGAAAGAAAAAAAAGTCAGCACTAAATATACATACTTTTAAATACATTTTTTAGAAGGCCTGGGTAACACATGCTAAAATAAGGTGTTGCACCTCAGCAGTGGTTGGAGGGTATGATGAGGGCTTCTACTTTATTGCTATTATTTGACCATTGTACAATGAGACTTGATTCATGTTAAAGTTATGAACCCAACCACCCGCCTCAAAGAAAAAAAGTGTTTGTAACTCCAGAGTAAGAAAAATTCCCAAGTTCATAAAGTGAGCTGCTTTTACCCAATGCAGCATCTGCTTTGATTAAGGCCATCAACAGCAACAATTCTGTTTCACTTTAGAATTATTTTATGCTTTCATTGAAGATTTAGCCTAATTTAGATAGGTTTTTAACCACTTTTTGAAGAGACACAGATTTTTCATATTTCTTACATTTCTTAGCAGAAATTAGTAAACATTAGGTTCTGATTATAACAAATACAGCACTTAAAAATCTTACTGTTGTTTATAGTATTTAAAAGCTATCATCGCCCTTTTTGTGTGGATGTCAGTGTTTGATGTTCCAATTCCAAACTTTGCTACATTTATGATGTATTAAAAAAGGGGGCCTGCCAAGAACTGGATACTGGGGAAGATACAAAGCCAGAATCAAGACATATGATGTAAGAAAAACAAGCACTACCGATCTCTTGCAAATCCACCCTTCCTTGTCCTGGGCAAGCATCAGTATCCCATAAATTTTAGTTCTACTTCAGATAATGGAAAATAATGATCCACCTTAGAAACTTAAGACCAAGACCATTAGTTAAAAGAAACAGCCTGGCCGCGGTGGCTCCCACCTATAATCCCAGCCCTTAGGGAGGTCTAGGCAGGAGGACTCCTTGAGGCCAGGAGTTAAGATCAGCCTGGACAACACAGCAAGTGCCCCTCTCTACAAAAAGTTAAAAAATTAGCTAGGTGTGGTGGTGCATGCCTGTAGTCCTAGCTACTCAAGAGGCTGAGCCTGAGGCGGGAGGATCGCTTGGGCCCAGGAGATTGAGGCTGCAATGAGTCATGATTACGCCACTGCACTCTAGCATAGGCAACAGAGCAAGCCCTTCTCAACAAAACAAAACAAAATAATAAAACAAACAAACAAAAACCTTGACATCAGCCATGATTTATAAAACAAATTGCTAAAACTTCCAAATGTGTTAATGTTCCTGAGGCCTGGCTGGATAGAATAGTTAACGCCTGTTTCAACAGATTACCTAATGAAAAACAAAACGAACAAAAAAATGTCTTGTGAGATTTCTACAAGAAATAAAGAAACCTAGAGCTTAGTTTGCTCACTAAACTAAGCTAAAAATAATGGCAACATACCAAATCTGATTATAAAATATTCTTTGGTTCTTGGGAATATCCTTTCGTTCCTGGGTTGCTTAAAGAGTAGGTCAAAATTTCATGTCTACAACGTTTATTTGACGTGATCTAGGGCAGTTTTATGTGGTCTTGGTCTCACTGTTTTATGGTCATATTACCAAAAATGATATATTTTCCAAACCAGAGAGGAGACAGTGCTGCTAAAAAAAATGTACGTTTACACCTGGCATTTGCTCTGAAATACTTCGTGGGGGGAAAAAAAGCATCTTCTGTGGAGCATTGATAAAACAAGTTCAGCAGGGTTTTGATAATGGTTGCAATTAGGTAGTCATACCTGGGCATTCAGTATAATGATAGCCTACTTTTGTGTATATTTGAAAGATTTCATAATAAAAATTAAGGAAAAGAATTCTGTGCAACGGACTTCAAAGTGCCATACATTAATTTTATTAAAAAATTAAAGTAACATTTATTATAGACTAATAGAATTTTTTTAAATCTGATAAAATTCCTCCTTTAGAACAAAATTTAAAGATTTGGGTTACAGTTTTAAATCTACTAAAGCAAAAGGTCTAAAGTGCACTACCATTTCAAAAATGGTGTAATTTAAATGGTTTACTTAAAAAAATCCTGTTACTATGCATGAAATCAAAATAAAAATGAAAATGTTGATAATTCCAATTAAACTCTATTCTACACAGTTGATAATTTATCTAGACTCAGGTTTCGCTGCTTGAATTTTAAAGGTATTTTGGACCACATACACTCCAAGATTAAAGAGTTTAATTACATTTGCTCAGTTAGTTAGAAAAGATGTACTTACCTTGAACATTTCACTTAAATACATTTTTAAAACTAACGTTATTATGAGAGTCAAAATATTCAGGCTGGGTGCAGTGGCTCATGCCCATAAATCCTAGCACTTTGGGAGGCCGAGGAGGGAGGATTGCCTGAATTTAGTAGTTCGAGACCAGCCTGTGCAACATGGCAAAACCCTGTCTCTACTAAAAATACAAAAAATTAGCCAGGCATGGTGGCACGTGCCTGTAGTCCCAGCTATTCAGGAGGCTGAGGCATGAGAATCACTTGAACCCAGGAGGTGGAGGTTGCAGTGAACCAAGATCATGCCACTGAACTCCAGCCTGGGCGACAGAGCAAGAGTCTGTCTCAAAAAAAAAAAAAAAAAAGCGAGAGTCAGTCTAAATATTCAGTGATAAATCATTTTATTTACACTATTTAATAAACACAAACAGTTCCCTGTATTTAAAAGGGAGAAATGCTGTAAGCCGGTTTTTAATGCAGTGGCCAATAAACACTTAAAACAGATAAAATTAAGGTAGTACAAAATCATTTGCTACTAAGAATGCTTATTTTCTTTTTTTTTGAGATGGAATCTTGCTCTGTTGCCCAGGCTGGAGTGCAGTGGTGTGATCTCGGCTCACTGCAACCTCCACCTCCTGGGTTCAAGCGATTCTCCTGCCTCAGCCTCCCAGGTAGCTGGGACTACAAGTGCCCGCCACCATACCCGGCTAATTTTTGTAATTTTAGTAGAGACGGGGTTTCACCATATTGGCCAGGCTGGTCTTGAACTCCTGACTTTGTGATTCGCCCGCCTCGGCCTCCCAAAGTGCTGGGATTACAGGTGTAAGCCACTGTGCCTGACTAAGAATGCCTATTTTCTATAGTGCTATTTATAGTAGTAAAGAAATAGAAACCACCTAAATATCCAACAGAAAATGGGTTAAACAATGTACAACCATACAACAAACTCCTATGTTAACTATTAAAAATGATATTCAGGAAATATGTGTATTAACATAGAAAGTTATTCACAATGCACTGCTTAAAAAAAAGTTATAATAACAGACTACAGCGTACTTGGATCTTTTTTAAAAGAACAGGTATTATCAATCGTTATGTCTGGGTATGTTATGGATTATAGTAGTTTTCATCTTTTCACTTATATGTAATTTTAGCTATTTCTGTATCAAGCATGGACACATTTGTCCCCAGATGAACAAATACTTGGGTCTACATATCCAGGTAGATAAATGGGTAATGAAAACTTACCTTTACATTTTCATGAATAGACTGAAGTTGTGCCGCTAAAGCTACAAATGTTTGATAAATTTTCTGCATAGCCATTGACAAATCTATAAAAGAAAATTACATTATCACCCAAATATATACATATATATAGCACAATCCATTTTATTTTTCTATTTGAGTCCAATTTTTGGCACAGTTAACGTGTAGGAGAAAAAAACTCTATCAACGTTCTCATGGCCAGAGAACACACAGAGTAGCAGACTGAATGTCTACAAAAGAAATCTGGGGGGAAGGCCCTAAGATTTCTGTCCTTGTTACCACAGTAACAATTCATATAATAAAGCATATTATATTTATAGGGAATAAAGGAGTAGTAAATGACTTTTAAGGAAATTTTCTTAAAGGGGCTACCAGTAGTTATCCAAAATACCTATTATATAACCACATCTATCTCCTACAAACAAAAGTTCAAAAAAAATTACCACAGTAAGCATGTTACCTTGAGGGGTTATATGTGAATTATTTGCTTGAGTGGCAAGATGGTTTTCTAGTTCTTCAATCTGCTGCCTGTACTGCTGAAGCTGTACCTCAAATTGCTGAACCAAGATTCTGAAGTAGCTTTAAAAAACATTTAAAAAGTCAGATCAAATATTTTTTTAATTTGGAGTGACAAATCCAAATTAAGGAATATTCTGCAATCATTTAATAGTCTTCAAAAGTATCAAGGTTATCCAAGGAAAGGAAGGACTGAATAACTGTGACTGGAAGATATTAAGGAGAAATTACAAATGCACTGTGAATCCCAAATAGGATGCTGAAACAGAAGTACACTAGTGGAAAAACTGGTTGAATTTCAGTAAGTTTAGTAGTTTAGTTAATAATATTGTAACAATTTTAGTTTCCTGTTCTTGGTAATTATACTATAGTTATAAGTTAACATTAGGGGAAGCAAGGGAAGCGATATAAATAAATTCTCTGTACTACTATTTTGGAAGTTTTCTGTAAGGTTAAAATAAATTTAAAATAAAGTAGAAACGTCTACCAACCAGATTTCAGAATTAAGAATTTATAGTCATTTTATCAATGAAATTTATAATCTGAGAACACCATAGTATACTACAGAAAGCACATGTAATTATTGCTACTTTTCTAATAAATTTACCCACAGAGAGTGCTAGACAGATAAAAAAAAAAAAAGAAGGTATCTTGAATAGTATACAGAGGAATCTGAATGTCTTTCAGTAAACAATGGGCAACCATGAATGCATTTTGCAAAATTAGCTCTGATGGCAGTATTAAGTACAAGACAGAGGGATAAAATAGTAGAGGAAGTCCAGTGAGGAAGCACATCTCATGCCAACCTGAGTAAGACGAATATCATGGGCATTATGAATTTCCTGATTTTGAGAACTGTTAAGTATGAGAATATCCTTATTTTTAAGAAATATCCACTGAAGTACTTTAGCATAGTGAACATTATTTCTGCAAATAACCCAAACTGTTTGGGGGAGAAATGTATATACACACATAGAATGTGAGGAACAAAAATATGGTAAAAATGTTAATATGTAGGAAATTGGAATGAAAGGCATACAGGAATTTTTAGTTCTCATCTTGAAACTTTTCTGTAGACCAAAATTATAATAAAAAACTAAAAGAATAAAATAAGTAAGGGGCCAGGCGTGGTGGCTCACATCTGTAATCCCAGCACTTTAGGAGTCTGAGGCGGGAGAATCACTTTAGCCTAGGACCAGCCTAGGCAACACTGTGAAATGGCATCTCTACAAGTTAATTAATTAATTGTGAGGGACCAGGAATCAAACAGACCTCCACCACTCAACTCACTTTTGCATACCTCAGTCTCTTTATCGCTAAAACTGGAATAACAACAGCTACAGAGATCTTGTGAAATATGAAGGTAAAGCATGTATAGTCCTAAGCACACTGCATGGGAAATAGTAAGCATTTGGTAAACATCAGTTATTATTATCTTCATCAACATGGAAGGACATAAACAGGCAAGATATATTTTACATGTATGAAAGCCAAATGTATATATACAAGCTGAGTGATGTGATTACAGGTTGGTTTTTTCTTCTACTTATGTATATTTTCTAATTTTTCTTCCAGAACACGTATTACCTATTTAAATGAATAATGGTAATTTTCCATTACCAGTAAAATTTAATAAAATGGAGTAGACTCTGTAAGTAATATGTACATGAAGTATAAATGCGTAATAGTGGTGAAAAGCTCAGATCTTAGCCTTCACTTACCCTGCAGTCAAATGGTGTTAATGGAGATAAACCTTTTTAGGGTTATTATGAAATTTAAAATCCATGTAAAGTGCTTATTGGCTCAGCCTTTCCACATAGTATACTAAAAATATTTAGTTTGTATACTATTATTACTGTTCTGCTTTCTGAAAGTGAGAAACATTTGTTTTTAAAAATCCAGCAACTTACTCAGCAGGAGCTGCATATTCATGTTGAAGTCCAGGTGGTGTCTTCTGGGTTCTTAAAGCTATTTCAGCATTCTTCAACTCCTAATATACCAGAGGATTTAAAAAAAAAAAAAAAAGCCAGTTAAGAGTTATGTTAAAAATACCGTACGAAAAAAAATATTCAGTCTCTGGACTGAAACTTCAAACAATACCTTGGAGGTTCATGCTATAAGAACATATTATGGATGAAGCTGCTTCACAAGTTGCTAAAACCTTTCAAGAGCAGACAAATTACAGTTTTAACAAACTTATAAAGAGCTGTAGATCTATTTTTAAAACTATAGATTTCTGTAGGATTCACGAAGTGAATTCATTTACAGCGTAAAGATTATACTACTACTTAAAATCATTAATATAAACGCAGAAAATACTTTTTTTTTTTAAAAGGCAGGTGGCAATAATAATGTTGAGGCTGAGGCAGGCACAATTAACATTTGGGTGCTTGCTATGTACCAAACACTATGCTAAAAGTTACTTCTCAAGGACAACATTACAATGTAGGGAATGTTTCTCTTTTTATAGATGAAGAAATGGATTTACAAAGCCATTAAGTAACTTGCCCAATATCATGCTGCTAGAAGACCGAAGAACTGGATCTTTTAAAGCTTACACACTCAACCATTCTTATATTGCTTTCTACAATTCCAGCCAATGTTTTTTCAAGATTAGTATTGTTTACCCCCTTACATTCCACATTCCTATCATTTCACTATATTTTCGACCTCTATTTAAGTATTCTTTATTTCACAAAGAGTTACTTTAACTTTATATTCCCTGTAGCAACATCTCTTCCTCATTAAACTGCCAAGCTGCTAAGCTGATGACTGTTTTTTCTACATCCTTTTCACTCAACTCAGGCTTCCATCCCACCCCACTCCAGTACAAATACATGTGTAGATGATTCAAGACTCTGACCCCTGCTACCTCTCTAAGCACTGACTCTAGCCAGGCCCAGACTCTCCTAACACTAAACTGCTTGTAGATCTTCAGACATGCCCATACCCTCGTTCATGATACTTTCCTCTTTTTCAAGACTCAATGTAAAGGTATTCTACACTGGACAGATGATAAAAATGCCCACTTGAGGCCTCTGTGCCCCTACAAAACCCTTGTACCTGGATCATATCACCTGATGGATTTAACTCTCTCCCTAGTCTAAGTCTTGATCCCTAATGCCTGCTGAAGCACCTGGCACATAACAGATCTTTTAAAAATGTTAGTTGAATGACTGGAGAGCTGAACTCAGTAATTTAACTTCAATAAACCATGCGGCCCCCACTTACCCCAAAAGAACCACCATCCTATTTTAATTTAAACTCAAGTTACTTATTAAAAATGAAGTATATAAAAGACTTTGTCTTCCATAAGAATCTGGTCTGCATCAGTTCTAACTGCAGAACTGCTTATATTTCCCAGAAAGGCTTTCTTTGAAGAAAAGGTTTTAGGGTTAAATAAGATTGATACTTTATAGAGGATTCAGAACATTTTTTTCAATTGGTAATTCACTAGACTCTTAGTAGAGTATTAGTTCCTAGCTACTAGACATTAGAGTAATCTTAGATCAAATTTCTTTAAAAATGTTTATTTTTTTTTCTCTTTTTCTTCTTCCCCTTTGACCTGGTGAGCATGAAATAAAAATCTTTTTTTTTTTAATTTAATTTTATTTTTTAAGTTCCAGGGTAGATGTGCAGGTTTGTTACATAGGTAAACGTGTGCCATGGTGGTCTGCTGCACCTATCAACTCATCGCCTAGGTATTAAGCCCAGCATGCATTAACTATAAAATTCCTGAAATTCAGCTCAGATGATTCTTCCTTAAGGAAACTTTGACTCCCAACCTCTTATTCCTTTGCCACCTTTATGCTCTTCTCAATCTTTTATTATTTCATTCACCCTACTAGACTTTTAGTACCTTTGGAGTTGTCTTTTTATCTCTAAAAGACTATTAATGTGCCCATTATATGACAGCTACTCCACAAACAGCGGTGAATGCAATCATTCAGTTTTCGAGTTAAAATGGGTCCCATTACAGCATTCACTTCTTTCTTTCGAGTTTGCCTCCTCCATTATTTTGCTCTAATTATGTTTTCTAAATAACTTATATATAATTTCAAATATTTCACATAATTTCATGTGATGTTTAATCACAGTCTAAACATTCTCCAGTATAAAAACATAATTAACTCTTTCTATTCCCTAGAAAGGACATAGGTGATGATTAGGAAGAGTAAGTGGAAAGGAAACATGGGGCAATACAGGTTGAGTATCCCATATTCAAAAAGCTTGGGACCAGAAGTGTTTTGGATTTCAGAATTTTTCTGATTCTGGAATATCTGCATACATAAAATCAGGCACCTTGGGAATAGGGGATAGAACCCAAATTTAAACACAAAATTCATTTGTGTTTCTTATACACATAGCCTGAAAGTAACTGTATACAATTTTAATAATTTTGTACATGAAATGAAGTTTTAACTGTAACCTATCCCATGAGTTCAGGTGTGGAATTTTCCACCTGTGGCATCATGTTAGCACTCAAAAAGTTTTGGATTTTGCAACATTTCAGATTTTGGATTAGGGATGCTCAACCTGTATTACATTCATATTTAACCAAATAAATGTGTTAAGAGACCAGGAAGTCTGAGGACAGACAATAAAGTCTTTGAAATTCCTTTAGCCATTACAGTTTAGAGTAGCTCTTTTAGTAACACATCATTATTAAAAAGATTACAAGATATTCTCCAATAGTGGACTTAAAGACCCAAAAGCACCTTTAAAAATTTTACTTAAAATACTACCACTTCGTTTGTGAAGATCACAGCCCTCTGATAAATCCACAGCAAAAAGGCGTATCTCACATGAAGTTCATTAACAGATCAGGGACAACTTCACGGAAAGATTTCTAGACTGCTATGATGAGATCAAGTATATTCTGTAATTACGGTAACTACAACACAAATAAATCACCTATCGTCATCCTTTCCCACTGAGGTAGAAAAGAACGACATATATTTAATATGTATTGTATATTACACCATAAGGAGGAAAAACAAGTAGACATTAGTGACAGACAACATTAGCCACATTACTATTTATTTTTATTTGTATTTTTTTGAGACGGAGTTTTGCTCTTGTTGCCCAGGCTGGAGTACAATGGTGCAATCTTGGCTCACTGCAACCTCCGCCTCCCAGGTTCAAGCGATTCTCCTGCCTCAGCCTCCGGAATAGCTGGGATTATAGGCATGCACCACCACGCCTGGCTAATTATTGTATTTTTAGTAGAGACGGGATTTCAGCATGTTGGTCAGACTGGTCTCGAACTCCTGACATCAAGTGATTTACCTGCCCTGGCTTCCAAAA
Source organism: Homo sapiens (assembly GCF_000001405.40). Taxonomy (NCBI): domain Eukaryota; kingdom Metazoa; phylum Chordata; class Mammalia; order Primates; family Hominidae; genus Homo; species Homo sapiens. The sequence goes on along the minus strand of NC_000013.11, from coordinate 25,321,671 downwards.
GTGCTGGGATTATAGGATTGGGCCACTAGGGCCGGCCTACTATTTTTAAACTAAGATTTAACCACGACTTGCAAGTCATCAAATTTAATATCCACACAGCATGATATAATTTTTATTTAAAAACCGACAGTTAAAAAACATTATTTTCTGACTAGCTATGTTTCCTCTTATATAATAGGCCAATTTAGCCAGCAACCACACTTACGAAACCTAGTTAGTTAACAGCATAAACTCTGGAGTTGGATTACCAGGGTCTGAATCCAGGCCCTTCAACTTACTAACAAAGCTCTGTGCTTTTTTTCTTATTTATATAATGGGGATAATAATTCCTACCTTGTTGGGTCTTTTCAGAAATACTTAATGCTTTTAACAGATATAAATTGCTTAGGATACTGTCTTGTATACAGAAAACGCTTAATAAAAACTCATTATTAAAGTATATGAGTTATCTGGTTTTCTACCGGTATGCATGTATCAAATTTCATAATTAAAAACAAACAAAACAAAACACCTTATTTCCATTTTGGAAAAAACAAAACAAAAAAACCCTACGGTAAAATGGCCATAAGTTGGTATACCTGAGCAGTTTCTATTTTCAATTTGTCAATGTTGAGAGTGTTTCTCTGTATTCCATTGGCAGCCAACGACAGGAGCTGCTTCAGAGCTTTAATATCTTCTTGTACCTTAAGCATTGCTTTTGAAGACATTCTACTAATTTCTTCTTGAACTTGTTTCTGCTCCTTCACAAATTTCCTAAAAAATATATTTAAAACTGAGTTTTAAAAAATGTATCTTTGGTTTCCTACACAAAATATATATATACTTAAAACAGTCCAAGTGTTTTAAAATACAAAACTAAAAATTCATCTATAGTTCACACTTTTTTACAGAATGGAAGTTATACAATTTTAATTCCTGTTGTTCTGCTTTTTTTCTGATTTCTAAAAGCACTAACATTTTAACCCTAGTTAAGAGATGCTCCTCTAGGATGCGATTTTAGGAGGAAGAGATGCTCCCCTTAAGAAGTATTCTAGAATTCTTCAAGTGTTATTTATCTAATTATATTTGACACTTACTGGAGATTTTCAACATCCTGGCAGATGACAGGAGGTAGATTTTCATCCTTCAGAGCTTTACTATCCCTAAGAAAAATGCAAAACATGTATTAAGGTCATTGAGATTTTAAAAAGTTGACAGCTGAGTTTTAATAGAGTATTAGAGTATTAAGACACAAGAAAATATAGCAAAAAAGCACGTATGGCTTCTCTGGATGATTTCAAAGCTCTTTATAAAAAACATAAATTTATTGTAAATAGGATCTATAAAATAATTTTAACAATTCATCTGACATGAAGATTTCTTATCTAAGAAGATTGGCATCTATTAAAAACATACTTAAAAGCATATGACTAAATGTCTAACAAAAAAATCAGAGAATACTGCAAATTGGGTAAGATGTTAAACTAAGTTCCCTCTGGCTTAAAGATTCTGACTGACAATTTATTCCATTCCAAAATATTAATGTATTCATTAAAGAAAGTCTACAAAACTTCTCACAACGAGATGCTCAAAATACTTTTGAAAAATAACTTCAGTTAGTTCTTCAACATGCATTAGAATGAAAAAATAAGACCTAGGCAGAGCTTACAGGAATAATAAATATTTAATGAGAACAAGAACAAGTGACATCTGGCATGCTGCAATGGAATCATGAGTTAGATTTCATAACCCTTATGCAGATCTTAGTTTCTCTAATCTTCTTCATTTAAATAGTAAGCTAAAATATACACAGGATGTTTGTAAGGAGTGAATTTGTCATTTATTTATGAATGCTTTATTTAATATAGTACAAATCATGTGAGAAAATATAATTGGTAATAAGAAGAATGACCATCTTCAAACATATATATGATGTATATGGAGGCTATTCTCTTCACTGAAAACACCAGGACATAAAACGAGACTGGCACAATAATTCATATATTTTTTAAATGCTCCAAAAGTAAAGTTCCATGAGTTGTTCAATATTTAACAGACTAAAGAAATAAACACACATATTTGTATTTATTTATATTAGAGAAATACCAAACACCTTTCCAGAAATAGTTTTAAATTTTCTTAATGACTAAAAACTAAAGATTTGACCTTTCATTATCTTACCAGAACATACGTCTATTATTTTACTTTTAACGAATACCATTACAAAAAAGTTTTTTCTCCTAAATGTATATGATATTTACTTTCAATTATACCATCTGCCTACAATTTAATAAGTTAAACTCTTCAATTAAAATGCCTTAAGGGTAAATTTGTAAACTTACTCTGGTCTTGTTCCCGTTTTATCACCTAGAAAATTCAAGAAGCTTCACGTAAAAAAAATTGGTAATTGAACAACATACTCCAAATACAAGCTTTAAATTAACACAAATTAAAGTATAAATATAAACTGTTAAGCATTTCTTTGCTTGCCTCATAAACATCATGTGATGTCATGACTCATCATGAACTCAGAAGCAAAGCATTTTATGAAGACATCTGTACACATAAGCAGATATATGGCAGATGTACATATACTTTCAAGGGCAAGAATTTCCCTTTCTCAACCCTCGTCATGAACTCAGAAGCAAAGCATTTTATGAAGACATCTGTACACATAAGCAGATATATGGCAGATGTACATATACTTTCAAGGGCAAGAATTTCCCTTTCTCAACCATCTTCCGTGAAAAATATCCTGTATGGAAAATTTATGTTGTTGCCTACCAGTTTAACTCCTGATAACTTTACCTGACACTTTTTAAGGCCCTATCAGTACAGAATACTGTCAGATTACCTGTACTTCTCCAATCTGACAATCCCTTAAAACAACTATCACAATTTATCTTCCCATCTGCCATGAATACCTTATCACACCCTCACAACAACGGACATATTTTATAAAAAACCTTGCCAGTTATGTAGGTGAAAAATGCCACTTCATAATAATTCTTAGTTTATATTTGGTGAAGAAAACCATTTTCTTCAAATGCTCATGAGACAAGTATATTTCTTCTTTCATGAACTGCTTACTTGTGATTTGCACACTTTTCTTACGGTATTTTTCTTATATATTTCTAAGAGCTATTTCAACATTAAGTATATTATTTGTCTCATTTACATAATTTAATATGTATTTCTAATATTAGACTCTTGTAAGATGTATCTCAATTTCAGAGATGTTAAAATGTGAAAAAATAAGCACCTAAAAATCAAGCATTTTGGGCAGACTGCTTGAACCCAGGAATTGGAGACCAGCCTGGGCAACAGGGCAAAACCCTGTGGCTACAAATTTTTTTTTTATTTCTGAGACGGAGTCTCACTCTAGTGCCCAGGCTGGAGTGCAGTGGCGTGATCTCAGCTCACTGCAACCTCTGCTGCCCAGGTTCAAGCAATTCTCCTGCCTCAGCTTCCCGAGTAGCTGGGATTACAGGTGCCTGCCACTGTGCCCGGCTAGCTTTTGCATTTTTAGTAGAGACGGGGTTTTACCATCTTGGCCAGGCTGGTCTTGATCTCCTGACCTCATGACCCACCTGCCCCGGCCTCCCAAAGTGCTGGGATTACAGGCGTGAGCCACTGCGCCTGGCCAAAAAATTTTTTAAAAATTAGCTAGGCGTGGTGCTGCGTACTTGTGGTCCCAGCTACTTAGGAGGTTAACGTAGGACAATCACTTGAGCCAGGGAGGTGGAGGTTGCAGTGAGGTAAGATCACACCACTGCATTCCAACCTGCATGACACAGCAAGTCACTGTATCCCAAAAAAAAAAAAAAAAAAAAATCAAGCATTTTACTTTCCTCATTTACCTTTTACCTCTGCACATGGGGTTTTACTTTTTTACCTCTTTCATCCAACTGTAATTTATGTTTCCATGTTTTGTATTTTATTAAGATTTTTTTCTTTCATATTTAGTATCTCTAAAATTGCCACCTATCTTCTATAGACGTCCTAGATTTTATGAGACATGGAAATAAAAATAAGGATTTCATTTTATGTTTCTCCAAATAATTCACCAACTTTTAAATTGACTAGCATATTATTTCTTTGATATGACATTTTATTATATTTTGTAAATACTTACATACACACAAACATGTATATAAAAAAAACTTGAGCCTGTTTCTACCATGGATCCCTGATTACCATGGACCCCCAATTAATCTACCTAGCTTTGCCTCAGTAATACACGTGGAGCTCTACAAAAGCTTCCTAACAGTTCTCCATGACAATTCTTGCCTTCCTGAATGCTATTTTCCATATGGCTGTCAGAATGCTCTTAATCTTAAAATACAAATCTCATCAAATCCCTTTAATAGACCCAAATTGCCTGAGGTATTAATATAATGACAAAACTCAACATGGCAAATAAGGACTCCATGACTTCTGGAACCTCATCTTTCTGCTCTATGGCTAATCTGGCCTTCTATCATTTCCTCAAAAGGGTCAAGGTCCTTCTCATCTCTAGTCTCACTTGACGCTGTCCCCTCTTCACTGAATGCTGTTTATTGCTACTCTCTATCTGGTTAAATCCCACACTGGTACTGCAGGGCCCAAGCTAACTGATACAGCTACTAGAAACACAGAAATCATTTGGATTAAAAAAAAAGAATCCCTTGATATAAGCAATAGATAAAAGGGAACTGGGATGTAGTAATCAGAGATCCATAGTAGAAACACACCCAAGTTATTTATATACATGTTTGTGTGTACATAAATATTTATAAAATTTAATGTCATATCTAAGACATTTATTTCATTTATTGTATATATTCTCCTTGCTCAACTCTATCTTAGGTACACTATGAAAGCAGGAAGATGTGGGGAGGGGCAGAGGAGGGGAGATTAATTTCTTACATTTATCTTACTCTTCTGCCTTAGCCTGCTCTTTGAGCCTAAAAACAATTATAATAGAGAAGTACTCTCATGCTTAAAATAAAAGTAATAGAAGTGGTACCAAGCTATTCCACTTGAGTAAACAAATAAGCTGCTAAGGCTGCTTTCCTAATTATGGAGTTGCTACAGAGAAAACTAAGTAAAAACAAACTTTGTTTAGAAATTTGTCAATTTTCACTGAAAGAGAAATCTAAACTTTGTAAAAGTTTAAAAAGGTTTTACCAACTTTAAAATAGTAATTCACCCTAGAATAGTATCTCCTTATAATAAAACCTGTGTCCAGTTTTTTAAAAAAAAAGTCATATAGATACACAGATACTATTTCACAGCTTCATCCATTTATCTTTCTTCAGAGAAGTTCAATATGTATATATATACCCTAGTATATATGGTATATATTCTAGTGAAACATGCTTTCATCAGAAGCAGAAGAGATGGTGCAAAACAAAGTAACACAAAAAACAATGAAAACATTTTCAAAATGAATTTGGATTAGCAAATTTTTAAAACCAAGATTCAACGTGGCAAGGGCACAGCAAGAAAGGTATTTTCATACTGGTTAGGGGGTAAACTGGTAAAATCTTTCTGGGAAAGCGATTTCACAAACTATACACTAAGAGTCTCCAAAATATCCCTCTCTTTAAGCCAATGATCCAATTTCCAGGTATTTTCCCTAAGAAATAACCAAAAATATAAACAAGCATTGATAATAAAAGGAGACACCTACATGTCTGGCTCTGCTAGGGTTTTACAAATAGTAACCCTCAAACCATTTAACAGATAAGGAAAAACCAAAGCACATAATATAAGTAACTTCAATAAGGTCAGAGAGCTTATAAGCAGTTGAGCCAGGATCTGAACCCGGGCAATTCCACTCCAGAGCAGACACTCTTAAACTACTATATTATGTTGCCTTTTTAGATAAATGCCCAGTGTTTTACTTCCCAAAGTAAAACATCTGGAAATAAACATCTAACAAGAGAACAATGGTTGACTAACTTATCCATCCATAAAACTGATATTAAGCAGCATTAAAATATTTAAAAAGAGTTACTGACAGACAAATGCTTCTGATGTTAGATAAGAACAGACTACAAAACAATACTGCATATGTATCATGATCCCTATTAAAAAATACATATTCGTATACACATTAAGATAGCTAACTGTTACTACTAAATATATAACTGCTAATCTTCCACACAAAGGAATTTTGAGCAACCTAGACATTCCCTCAACAGAACTGTTAAAACATAAAGTTACAACAGCATTACTTACTCTTTTTATCTGAGGAGCTACTGAAATCTATACCACCAAGGCCTTCATTGCCTGCAGTTGAAGTAGCTGCTGTAGTTCCCAAAGTCAACCCTAAAGCATTCTGTCCAAGTCCTATAAATAAAACATAACTTATAAATTCCATCAAAAGACTACAACAATTTCCCCTTACTGATCAAAGGACTCTAATGCTTTTAAAGTTGGATCCTAGATTTTCTTCATATTTGATTTAGGCAAACAACAAGAAACAAGCCTGGAGATGTTTTGGCCAAAGACTGATAACCTTTCTTGAATTCGATGGCATATGCAGTTTGGATGATGCGATTTTTCATTATTACGAGGGCCAGAACATATATCAATTCAGTATGTAGGCACTCAATCTTCACTTGTTATAAAGGGGTTTTGTTACAGAGGGCTTTTAAACCCTCTCTACAAAAGCAGTTTCAGTTGGTGTATTTTCAGGTGAATACATCTTGTCTTACAAACACACTTTGGAACTACATACTTTTAAGATAATCTAGTGTGAATTTATAACATTTGAATATAACATGTATTGAATATAATTTCATACTCCCAAGTTCGTTTCACAAAACTTAAAAAAAAGTATTAGAATTCATTTGCTTATTTACATCTTCCCTCACTGACAAAAGGAATAAAAAGGACCAGACTACGGTTAATCATAAGTCATTAACGTACACTTGTGAGTCAAGCGCAAAATTTCAAGCATCTTGTGTTGATAAATCTGTATTTCTTTTTTATTGTTATTATTGTTTTTGAGATGGAGTTTCGCTCTTGTTGCCCAGGCTGGAGTGCAATGGCATGATCTCGGCTCACTGCAACCTCTGCCTCCCAGGTTCAAGTGATTGTCCTGCCTCAGCCTCCCAAACAGCTTGGATTACAGGCATGCATCACCATGCCCAGCTAATTTTGTATTTTTAGTAGAGATGCGGTTTCACCATGTTGGTCAGGCTGGTCTCGAACTCCTGACCTCAGATGACCCACCTGCCTTGGCCTCCCAAAGTGCTGGGATTACAGGTGTGAGCCACCGTGTCCAGCCTAATAAATCTATACTTTTATAAGACCATGCATTACTGAGCTAATACAATTTTTGTTCTTTTTAGAAGAGATGTTATCTCTAGATCAGTTTACTGACTCCTTAAACAGGCTCTTCTTTGTTTCCTTATCTGGTTAGTCAATATTGAGAAAGAGGAAAATGTATTTCTAAAATATGGCTAATAGGCTGGGTGCGGTGGCTTACGCCTGTAATCTCAGCACTTTGGGAGGCCAAGGCAGCCGGATCACTTGAGGTCAGAAGTTTGAGACCAGCTTGGCCAACATGGTGAACCCCCTCATCTCTACTAAAAATACAAAAATAAGCCAGGTGTGCTGGCACACACCTGTAATCCCAGCTACTCAGGAGGCTGAGGCAGGAGAATCTCTCTTGAACCCTGGAGGTGGAGGTTACAGTGAACCAAGATCACGCCACTGCACTCCAGCCTGGGTGACAGAGCAAGACTCCATCTCAAAATAAATAAATAAATAAATAAAATACGGTTAATACATCCAATTATGTATGAAAACCATCATTTTATAATTTAGTTTTCATATTTAAAGGAAAATATGCAGATTAAAAAGTGACCTGCTCAAAGTACTAAAATAAAAATAAGTACATTTAAATATAAATATTTACTATTCTGGAGAATAAATACCATCAATTACCTGATGTTCCTGTGTTTGTACTCTGGAAAAGTGAACCTCCCAAACCAGCTAAGGCTCCCCCTAAAGAGAGGCCTGTTGATGCAGTTGTAGTTGTGGCTGTTGTCCCACCCAAATTATTTAGAGTAAATCCTGTGGATGCTATAAAAAGAGAGATAGTAAGCTTTCAAAAGGCAACTTATTTAACAGCACCATAGAAAAATACAAATACGATGTTTTTAAAAACTGACATCCATGATAAAATTGGCTCTTTGGAAGAACTACTTGCTAAAAATTACATACTTAAGAATAAAGAGAAATAGCAGCTTCAAAGCAAAAATCTGCGACAGAAATAAGGGCTTTGAGGAGTATTAGAATGGTACCAGGTAACTGATTCTAGATAGCAATATTGTCTTCAACCCAGGCCACCAACTTCACCTTCATATTAAATGAATCATAAGCCAGGCAAGGTTTATGCCAAGTCTTTGTCTTCCCCTGTCACTAAATGCCTCCTTCAAAACAAAGTCAATATTAACAGCTTTACATTTTACCTCTCTAGCCCTCTCCCCTGCTTTGCTCTCTAAATAGGGACATCAAGACAGCCTCTCCTGCTTCAATGCTCAAAGCTGAATTTTCTTCTTTATAAATCAATAATTTCTGTAGTAAGGTGACTATCTATGTTCTCTAACCAGATAAAATTGAAATTTAACCATTAAATGCAACGGTTTTTCATTCTGCCTCACCTGCTGGAGTTGATGTCAGAGCAGACGAAAGAGTCAGACCGCTAGCTGAGGTAGAGGTAATAGGTAGAGCAAATGGTGTGGCAGATGCTGCAGGTTTATTGAATCCTAAACTGAAGCCTGTTGTAGCTGCAGATGTAGTGGCTGGCGTTCCTATTTAAATAAATAAATGAATAAACAAACAAACAAAAATCCTACTTTACCTGTAAGTGTTCTATTATACTGGTTTCAATAAGGATCCTTAAAAGTTCATGATACTACCTTTTGCCAATAGAAGAAGGGTGTATCTGTGAGAGAAAATATGTAAAAGTTGAGACTAAACCATGGTGAACACAAAAAAGATGGCTCTTTAAGAAAAACAAAAGAATGGCCAGGTACAGTGGCTCACGCCTGTGATCCCAAAACTTTGGGAGGCCAAGATGGGCAGATTGCTTGAGGTCAGGAGTTCAAGACCAGCCTGGCCAACACGGTGAAACCCTGCCTCTAGCTAAAATACAAAAATTAGCTCAATGTGGTGGTGCACACTTGTAACCCCAGCTACTCGGGAGGCTGAGGTACGAGAGTCACTTGAACCTGGGAGGGGGAGGTTGCAGTGAGCTGAAATCGTGCCACTGCACTCCAGCCTGGGAGACAAGAGTGAGACTCTGTCTCAAAAAATAAAAAAACAGAAAAGAAAATCCAATCGATGTAACATATCAATTTTTATTCTACTCCTAGATTTACCTCTAATGCAGCATTTATCCTCCTCCTTTCCCTCTCAGCAGAAAAATGGTCCCTCCTCTCTAATACTCTATCAATAACCATTCTCTATTCCTTTCTTCTGGCCCTTGTGTCTCTGTCAGCCCCCAGCTGTCTCCCTATTCCTTTTCAGTCCTTTTTTTCTGTAGCTCTCTTTCCTCTGTTCATGTCTTAACTGACACTTCCTAGAGTTCCATTCCTACCTCCTTACTTCCCCAATGACACACCCACTTTCATCATTTCTCCTACAGGTGATTAAGTCTAAACTGACATTTACCTAAGTCCTCATTGTCTAGTTCTATCTTGATGTCCCTTTGGCCTCCTACATATCTCACCACAAACATTTTTTGCTATATCTCCAACCTTGCTCAGTTCAATTGCTTAAGCCAGAAACCAGTCATCCTTGACATCCTTTCCTTCTCCTGTACTCCATTAGTTACAAATCCTGTCGATCCTACTTCAGAAATATCCTGTACTACAAGCATCCTTAAAAACCTTAGCTTAGGCCATATCTCTCTTAAGAACTACTACAACAGCATTTATTTCTCTGGTATCAGTCTCTTCTAACCTCTAATCTATTCTTAAAATTATCTTGGTTACCTTAAAAAAAAAAAAAAAAAAAAAGACAGGTGCCGTGGCTCACGTCTGTAATCCCAGCACTTTGGGAAGCCAAAGTGGGCAGATCACCTTAGGTCAGGAGTTCGAGACCAGCCTGGCCAACATGGTGAAACCCCGTTTCTACTAAAAATACAAAATTAGCTGGGCGTGGTGGCGCATGCCTGTAATCCCAGCTACTCGGGAGGCTGAGACAGGAGAATTGTTTGAACCTGGGAGGCAGAGGTTGTGGTGAGCTGAGATCACGCCATTGCACTCCAGCCTGTGCAACAAGACCAAAACTCCGTCTCATAAAAAACAAAAACAAAAAGAAAACACAAACAAAAAACCCCCACAAATATCCTGGTGATTCTGCCCAATTTAAGGTTCCTATTAGCTCTAGATTGTCTTTAAAATAGAGTCTAAAGGCACGACATATACCTCCCTTTCCTATCTGGTCCCAACCTGCTCCTCAATTCTCAACTCTGCCCACCATTTCCACCTCTGATTTCTAAGCTCCAAAACCAAAATACTTCATATTTCCCAGAACGCTTTTATGACTGGGCCTTTGCACTTGCCACTCCTCTCTCTGAAGTGCTTCCTGCCCATAAAGTAAACCATACTGTTTTCTTCCTCTGCCTTTCATGGTGCCTCTACATCTTTTAGGACATTTATCGGATTATACAAGAACATGTTAATATACCTGCCTATCCCTTTCACCTCACAACAGACTGACTGTCTTGCTCCAACCCTTAGCAGTTCCCAATGTCATCATCAAGGACCATCCTCACCAGCAGTGCCACAATATTCAATGTTCAAGGCATTATGTAGACACAAGGCTGCATGGTTAGGAAGTAGTAACTGCTCAAACAATATTAAATAAAGAAATGTATGAATGACCTGCATGACTTAACCTGAAATCACTGAGAGAAAAGAAGCCAGAAACTATGCTTCTGGATTGCCCTGATCACAACTAGAAGTTCCTGCCAGAGTGCAGTGCTTTGAAATCACGTATGGGGTTACAACCTCAGAAAACAAGACTCAGGCTTGGTGTGGCTCAAGCCTGTAATCCCAGCACTTTGGGAGGCCAAAGAGGGCACGTGGCTTGAGGCTAGGAGTCCATGACCAGCCTAGGCAACATACTGAGACCTTGTCTCTACCAAAAAAAAAAAAAAAAAAAAAAAGGCCAGGCACAGTGGCTCACGCCTGTAATCCCAGCACTTCGGAAGGCCAAGGCGGGTGGATCACCTGAGGTTGGGAGTTCGAGACCAGCCTGACCAACATGGAGAAACCCCATCTCTACTAAAAATACAAAATTAGCCAGGCGTGGTGGCACATGCCTGTAATCCCAGCTACTCAGGAAGCTGAGGCAAGAGAATCACTTGAACCCAGGAGGCGGAAGTTGCGGTGAGCCAAGATTGCACCATTGCACTCCAGCCTGGGCAACAAGAGCAAAATTCCGTCTCTAAAAAAAAAAAAAAAAAAAAAAAAAAAAAATTAGCCAAGGGTTGTGGTATGTGCCTGTAGTCCTAGCTACTTGGGAACCCCAGAGAAGATCGCTTGAGCCCAAGAGTTTGAGGTTGCAGTGAGCTGTGATGGTGCCACTGCACTCCAGCCTGGGCAACAGAGGAAGAACCTGTCTGATAGGGGAAAAAAAAGCAAAAAAGAAAACAAGAAGATTCACTTGCTTGTGTTTGCAGCTGATCCAGTCCAAAACTTTGCTGATAAACAGATGTGTTGTTTTCTGTTAATAACAGGTGTAGCATCCAAATGAAGAAAGTCTGCCAATCCTTAACTTAAAACTCAATTTAAGAGCTTCTGAATGTTCTTTCATTTCCTTTTCCTTTCCTTTAACTTAAAATTCAATTTAAGAGCTTCTGAATGTTCTTTCATTTCCTTTTCCTTTCCTTTCACATTGTTTACTGCCATCCAGATTGAAAGCTGGCTGAAACCCTAGTTATTCACATTCCCTTTAGCGTTAACACTACAGAAAGTATTATGTCTTTGGATATTAGTTCAATACCCTCAATTTTATAGATAACTAAAAGCCCCAAACATTACCTAAGGCCTCACAAGTATTTTAGAGGCTTAATTCCAAAATTTCTGGCTTAAAGTTTGGTGTTTTTTCCACTAACTGGAGTCAAATGACTAAAAAAGTAATATGAAATAAACTTCCACATTAAAAACAATTTCTGCATTTAAAATACTTTTCTGAATTATAAAAGTACTCTACGAAGTCATTCCTTTTTTTCACTACTCAAATACTGAAAGGTTCTCCGATAAGTCACCATCTGTGATACACACTTTTTTCTATACTCCAGCTCTGTGAAATATTAGAAGAGAGAAGAGTAGAAAGATCACTCAATTTATTAAAATTATTAGAAGACCACAGAGCTGGGATCTTTCCTCAAAAATTCTTACCCAGAGTTAATCCTGTAGTTATAGTTGTTGCTATTCCTGGGGACAAAAAGAGAAATAAAATTTAATCATCAATGAAGATGACATTCTTTAGGTTTACCTGTCATAAGGGAAAGACTTAAAATCACCCTCAGGGAGTGACAACACTTCTAATTAGAACAATACATATCATAGTATCTGCCACTAATCACGCATTTTTCCCATAGCACTGGTTTTCATATTACAAGCCATACATAATTTGATTAAGGAATAAAATTTATAAAATGCAAATAACTATTGCTTATAACAAAATTAAGCAAGACCAAAAAAAGCAACTCCAAACAAAATGCTATACTGAGCTGTCTCAAGCAGCTCACTGACTAATCTGCTCATATTTATTCCTGTAGTTCTTCCATTTTCTAGATGTGGCTGTGAAATGTGCTGCACTCAAAGCTGGAAGATCAACGCAAAAAGTAGTAAGAATGACCAAGAGGCTCTAAGGGTAGAAAATAAGGGGTAAATAAAGAAGCAAACTTTTTAAATGGTCAGCTCCAGTGAAACATTATTTTTCCAGCTGTACTAAAAACAAAAACTTTCTATTGTTTTGAAACCTTCAAGTCCTTTACCTATTGCCCTTTTCCCACTTTGTTTTAATAATACAAAAATGTAAAACATCTCTTAGGAACGTAAATTATAGACCAGGCATGGTAACTCAGGCCTATAATCCCAGCACTCTGAGAGGCCAAAGCAGGAGGATCACTTGACCTCAGGAATTTAAGACCAGGAGGAGACCTCTTCTCTACAAAAAGTAAAAAAGTAAAAAAAAAAAAAAAAAAATTAGCCAGGCGTGGTGGTGCACACGTGTGGTCCCATCTACTCAGGAGGCTGAGGTGGGAGGATCACTTGGGCCCGAGAGGCTGCAAGGCTACAGTGAGCCATGATCATGCCACTGCACTCCAGCCTAGACAACAGAGCAAGACTGTGTATCTAAAAAAAGAAAAAAAATAGAAATTATGTTACAGTAAGGGTGCTGATTATCTCACGTATGTTAATGTTCCAAATTGATAAAGCTGGCTTAAACCACAATCTCCACTAAGGAAAAACACTACATTATATAATCCAAAAATTTAAATTAATATTTGTATGTTTTCCTTCGTTATATCAGAGTAGATGACAGTCAATGATTGGGCCTATCACTAGCCCTTAATTCCAATTCCTTGCATTTCTTTTCATCTTAGCATTTACCATTTTTTAAGGTCTACTACCAGTGATGATCCTTGTAAAGAGAGATACAGGACACAATTTAGGAAAGAATATCCCAAGCCTACTCTCTGACAATGTGATCAGATCCTCCTCACCTGTATTTGTTCCTCCTAGAGTGAACCCAGTGGCAGGTTTAGATCCAAAGAGCCCGGTTCCAAAACCACTTGAAGGAGCAGATGTAGTTGCTGGAGTTGAAGTACTTCCAAGATTTCCAAAATTGAGCCCCACAGAAGGGTTGCTTATTTAAAGAAACAAAAACAAAACAAAAATCACATGCACAAAAGGAGGTCTACTAGAGCCAATATTTACTTAAGAAAAATAAAAATTAACTCTTCAAGATAATTTCATTCACATAACATATCTAATACATTGTCATAGGACCCAAAAAGAAAAATAAATTTACCTTTAACCCATCAAGTTCAAATATGTTTCTGTTCTTCCTTAAAAATAAATCCACATGTAAAAGTAGTCTTAAAAAAAAATAAATCCACATGTAAAAGTAGTCTTAAAAAATACAATACCAGATTTCAGGCTGGGTGTGGTGGCTCATGCCTGTAATTCCAGCACTTTGGGAGGCCGAGGCAGGTGGATCACAAGGTCAGGAGTTCGAGACCAGCCTGACCAACAGGGTGAAACCTCGTCTCTTCCAAAAATACAAAAATTAGCCAGGTGTGGTGGTGGCACACGCCTGTAATTCCAGCTACTCAGGAGGCTGAGGCAGGAGAATTGCTTGAACCCGGGAGGCAGGTCGCAGTCAGCTGAGATAGTGTCACTGCACTCCAGTTTGAGTGACAGAGCGAGACTCCCTCTCAAAAAAAAAAAAAAAAAAAAATACAATACCAGATTTCAAGAAAAGCAGTCTACAGCAATAAGGATTCCAGATCTCAAGGTAATCATAAGTAGGGATCACAATTATTCTGCTTTCACCAATGTTTGAAACCTAGCATATTTTTAAATGGTCATAGAAAAGTTATTTTAAATTATCTTCACTAGCTTTCCATTGCTACATTACCACATTCATGGGGCAATGTGGTGTTGGGGAGAGTATAGACTTAGGTATTTTACCACCAAAAAAAGCATAGAAAAACTAGTGGGGACATTTCCTGGCAAAAGTTAAACGCAAAGCAAAATCACCCTGTCTCAGGATCATGTATTCATTAACAGAAACTCTTCAGAGCACAGTGCAAAGCTTAAAAAAAGAACAGCTGATAAAAACAAGTGAAAGTGAACAAACTTCACAACTTTTCAACTACTCTTATCAAGACTCAGGGGTTCAGATTTGCTATGAAAAGGTGGGAAGACAAACTGTGAAAATAAGCAAATTTTGACAAGTTGACACTTCCAAAATTATGTAGGAGATTTAAGGGAGACTATACAGCATAATGGCAAATTCTCTTTATCCTACATATTTATCTTTATTATTTCCTTTGCTGCCCTTCCATAAAGAATAATCACCATGGGAGAACCCAATGTCATTTTTAAAGTCTCAAAAGCCCTGGCAGCAGTAGTGTGGCTGGGTTCCAGTACCAATCCCCCCATGTTCTGGTACTTGTGTGCCATTACTTAACCTTTCTGAGCCTCTAT
The DNA here is from genome assembly GCF_000001405.40 of Homo sapiens. Taxonomy (NCBI): domain Eukaryota; kingdom Metazoa; phylum Chordata; class Mammalia; order Primates; family Hominidae; genus Homo; species Homo sapiens. The sequence continues at coordinate 25,306,459 of NC_000013.11, read as the reverse complement.
TTCCTCATCTGCAAAACAGGAATTAACAGTACCCACTTAGCAGATTTTTTTTTTTTTTTTTTTTTTGAGACGGAGTCTCACTCTGTTGCCCAGGCTGGAGTGCAGTGGCACTCCGCAAGCTCCGGCTCCCGGGTTCACCCCATTCTCCTACCTCAGCCTCCGGAGTAGCTCAGACTATAGGTGCCTGCCACCACACCCAGCTAATTTTTTGTATTTTTACTAGAGACAGGGTTTCACCATGTTAGCCAGGATGGTCTCAATCTCCTGACCTCGTGATCCACCTGCCTCGGCCTCCCAAAGTGCTGGGATTACAGGCGTGAGCCACCGCACCCGGCCAGCAGAATTTTTTTTTAAATATAAGGGTTCAGAGCACAGGATGAATTAACTTCAATAAATGTTGTTATGACTGTTATCATTAGGGATACTTATAAATTTAACTAAACATATTATGTACAAGGCGTTATGCCAGGAATAGCAAGGGAGCAGAAAGATGTCCCCTAGTCAAGGAACATGCCGTTTACCAGGGGGATAAACAACACAAATAACTGTACTCCAAGCCAGAAGAGTTCTCCAAGTTACTTGGGTCCGGGTGTCTTCAATTTCATAATCAGCTTAAGAAGCCACTCAAATTTTTGCAAACACTGGGAGACAAGGAGGAAAAGAAATACTCAAGCAGGAGATAATTCAAGCAGTAGAAATGTACACACCTTCAGTAAGTTTAGAATTACTATAAGTAAGATTATAATCAAGTACCAAACGATGGCAAAGAGATACTGCAGAAGTTTGAGGCAAAGAGCTAATCACTGTGAGGGGAATGGAGGTGGAGGAGCTTATTAAGGGTAGAACTTGAGATGTGCCATCCATACTGAGTAGGTAAAAGGAGAAGTACTGATTTTTAAAATGTGTTTGTGTGCACCTTGGGCATATGAAGGCGAGGCAGGAGACAAAGCAGGGCGGTAAGCTCTCGCTAACAATTAAAACACAGATCTTGACCAGGCCGGGTGGCTCACACCTGTAATCCCAGCACTTTGGGAGGTTGAGGTAGGCAGACTGCTTGAGCCCAGAAGCTTGAGCCCAGCCTGGGCCACATGGTGAAACTCTCTCTACCGAAAAAACAACAACAAAAAACTTCCAAAAAACAAAAATTAGCCAGGCGTGCCAATGCACACCTGAATGTAATCCCAGCTACTCAGGAAGCTGAGGTGGAAAGATCACTTTAGCCCAGGAGGTGGAGGTTGTAGCGGGCTGAGATTGCGCCACTGCATTCCAGCCTGGGAGACAGGGCAAGGCCCTGTCTCAAAAAAAAAAAAAAAAAAAAAAAAAAAAAAACCCCACAGATCTTTAAACATTTAGTCTTAATTTAAAAGGTATTTTTAACAACATATTGCTACAATCAAAACTAAGTGAGATCACACACACAGAAACCTAAGTGAGCGCTACAAGCAAAAGAATATAGTATGTAATGGCTATATCCAGACAACATAGGTAGTACAACCATAAAAGGGGCATATATGCCAAAACATTTAGCTTAGCTGGTAGTAGTCTGATCGTATTGTTATTTTGACACTGTTGTGTGTATAATGTGGAGTAGGGTAAATGAGTATTTGGGGGATACTAAAACATTACTGCCGGCTGGGTGTGGTGGCTCACGCCTGTAATCCCAGCACCTTGGGATGCCAAGGTGGATGGATCACCTGAAGTCAGGAGTTTGAGACCAGCCTGGCCAACATGGTGAAACCCCATCTCTACTAAAAATACCAAAAATAAAAATAAAAAATTTAGCCGGGTGTGGTGGCGTGCCTGTAATCCCAGCTATTTGGGAGGCTGAGGCAGGAGAATTGCTTGAACCCGTAAGGTGGAGGTTGCAATGAGCCAAGATCACGCCATTGCACTCCAGGCTGGGTAACAAGAGTGAGACTGTCTTAAAAAAAAAAAAAAATACATATATATATATATATATATATATATATATATATATATAATCTTGACAACATAACTGAAGACATTATGAAGTATTACATAATGAAAGTTGAAAATACTGCCAAAGAAACACATCAAAATGAAATTTTTCTCTACCACAAAAGCAAGAGAGAAATTTTGGTGGCAGTGAAATTTACTAAATTCAAGAAAAGCAAAAGCTACCCTAAACTTGACCAATTATTGCCTCAAACCAATGTTATCTGCCAAGGACTTGATAGGATGTACTGTAGAAAAGCCAACTTGACTCAATCACATCTGGAATGTTATTTTAACTTGCCCAGCTTGCCCTAATGCAGACTTGGTAGCTAACATAATAGCTAAGATTTACTGAGCACTTAGCAAGTGCCAGACTTGATGCTAAATATTTAAATACTTCATCTCACTCATCAACTCAGGTAATATATTATACTCCTTTTCCAGATGTGAGAACTCCCCTAAAATGACCAACCTCAAGACATCAAATCACTAGGTGGCACTAGGGGCTGTCAGGCCTCCCAACCAGCACTCTAACAAATTTATGTCGGACAGTCTCCTCTTTCATTAATTTATCCAAGCCTCTCTAAAACTTGGGTAATTTTTTATAGCTTATTACTAATAACTCATTTGCTCAGTCATTCAAATTGTTATTAAAGCCCTTTTTCTATGCCAGGCACTGTCCTTGGGACTGACAATGAGGTGGGAAATTAAGACTCAGACCTTGCCCTCAGGCAGTTTCTAGTCAGTGAGAGACATAGGTATTAATTATTCTAGTGCTGAGATCTGACAACAAACAAGTTAACAATAAATATAACAAACTGATTACAATTGTGATCAGCACTCTAAGAGTACTAGGAGAATGGAAATCTCCCCTAGACTGACAGGTCAGAAAAGGCCTCTCTGGGGAAGAGACCATTTGATATTTGCAAGGAAGGGGCTGGCAAAGCCCACTTGAAAAGAGAAAAGGCCATGTTGCTAGGACAGGCTTTCTAAGATCAGGACCATGAGAGAAATATAAAAATTAATTCATCAAGTCATAAGCAACATTAAAAAAAAAAAGAAATAGAAAATATCAAAGTGCATCCCATGAAGTAAGGGTATCTTTCTCTGAAACTTCATTTCAGTTATTTAGGGTGGTAGTTGTGTGTTTGTTTTTAACAGTGGGTCTGCATAGCTAAAATAAAAAGATGGGCTCAAGATGAGTCCCGCTCAAGATGAGTCCCCAGAGGTTCCAGCAGAAGTGGACCTTGCAGACTATGGTAAGTTTTTTTTTCTTTTTTAAACTTCATTCTAACGATGGCGGGTAATGATTAAAGAGAGAGCAATGGGAATTTTGTTTTTCAATTACTCTGGCTAAAATGTGGCAGAACAGATTGAAGAAGTTGATTGGAGTAGTTTTCATCTAAAACAAGAAAGACAGCTGGTTAAAAATCTGACAAGAATCAAAATTATTTTCATAAGAATGTAAGGATCAAGAGAGCAAGACTCTTAATACCTAAAACAGAGCCTTGCACATGGGAATCTGTCCAATAAATATTTGTTCCACGAATGACAATAGCCTAAGCAGGGTTGTGGAACTGGAAATAAAGACAAACAGAAATGGCAGAAGTAACATTATCAGAACCTGTTGTTGAGCGAGTAGAGTAAGAATAACGGAGGTATGGATGAAAATTCAAATTTCTGAATTGACTGTGTAGTCCGTGGTTCCTCCTCCCTCCCTTTTTAAACTGCAGGTCATGCTTAAGTATTTGCCTTTTAAATCTACAGCCACATCTTTTAAGCTTCAGGAAGTATCTTGTTGACAGTGTGCACACTCCTTAACTTTATGAACCCCTCCACCTTTATCTTAAAAAAAATTGAGTTCTAAAGCTTAAATCTCTCATTAAAATGTCTCACCACTTTGTTTCTTTCTGGATAGTTATGTTTTTGTCGCCACCTGAACTAATGGGTTGCACAAAAACAAGGAACATGCTACCTACGTTTTGTAATTTAAGTAAAAGACAAATTGAGTTATTACAACACAACATTCTCGCATCAGATATACTAATCTGCACATACTGCAGAAAATTACCACTAATAAACACTGTAAAAAAGTGTTTTTGTTTTTTTTAACAAAAACAGATAAGGTCCCATGTGGCACAAAAGCTTGAAAAGCTGGTTAAAAACCACAAAGTTATTAAAACACCGTCATATCCAAAACCGCAAATGCTGCAATGAAATCGGAATTATCTATCATAAAACTCCACAGTATGCTATAATTTCATTCATTCATTCAATGTTCATTCTATGCCTAAGACTGACACATCGCTAAAGCTCCGGGGTAGACCCCAAGGCCCTTCCACGCAGTCAAGACCCCACTAGGTCCAAATAATGCCTGAACTATACGTGGATTCTGGAAACCTCACAGCACAGAACCCATCCCGCCCTCCACTTCACCAGGCCGCGCTGGGCCCGGGTACCGCGGCGAGAGGCCTACGACGCCGGGCGGCTAGATTAAGTGCTTCTCTCCAGCCCCACTGGGAAGGAAGCCAGAGGGAAGAGACAGGATGGGGACACCAAGGGAGCTTTGCGGGGGTGGGGGTGGGGGTGAATCCGGCCCAGGAAGGCGAGAAAGTGCGGTTACCTAGACGCTCCCGTTCCGAAGGAGAAAACGCCGCCTGTGCTGGTCCCGCCGGCGGCCACGGTGGTGGAGCCCAGAGTCCCGGACCCGAAGGAGAACCCTGTGGACATGTCTGGCCAGGGCTCGACGCCGTCAGCAAGGCGAAATGGGTCTGGGACACTTCTCTCGCCTCAAAGCCGAGGCGGGCCGGGCAGCATCTCTCTCGCCCGGCACGGACCTGGCGGGAACTTCCAGCCCCAACGGCGGCGAAGGCAAGGCTGAGGGGGTGGAGCAACCACGCAAAAGTACGCCCGGCGCTCGCCGCGCGCACGTAGCCCGCCGGAAGTGTAACCGTCACGCAATGAGCCCTGGTACGTGAGTGGGGGACGGCGAGCCGCGCAAGGTACGCTGGGACCAGGCGAGAATAGGCGTACTGCCTAATCTCTTAAAGGAGTAGGCTCCCAGAGTTTAAAAACAGTAAAACCATTTCTGTCATTTTTTAGTTCTTCTATCGTAGCATCTGTACTGACATAATCCGCACTTTAGGGTGATGAATGTCAATTGCTACTTCTATCTAGCCTCCTGCCAAAATTGATGCTCAGAATCGCAGAATCGGGGAGGTCCCTCCTGAGCATCTCTAAGCTCCCCACTCAGAAAAGGAGGCGGCTTCGGGCTTTCGTTGGCTGCCGCCCCATCCCTAAGAAGGAAGGGGAGCGTGTCTGCTTCCTGAAGGTTCGGAAATCAATCGAAAATAATCCATGCAACCGTCCCACGACGTGAGCCCCACCCCTGCGCCCCAGGCCTCGCGGAGCCAGTTGGTCGCAGTTGTTGCGAGCCCGACGCCCAGCCCCGAAGGGGGCCCAGAAGAGCGTCCCAGGCGTCCGTGGGGTGGCCGGCTGTGGTCCTGGCGCCCAGAAGTGGCCAGGCCCGCTGGATTTCCTGGGATGCGGTCAAGTCCACAAATACTGTCCGTGCATCCTGATGCTGGAGGGCGGGACCTTGGGCCGAGCGAGTGTGGCTCCGCCAGAAGGGCCCTCGGACACAACCGGTGCTGGAGGAACTACAAAGTGGAAGGATTAGGAAACGCACAGGAACATGTACGAAAGAAGGCGAAATGTGAGGTGTAACTTACATTTCTAGGATAACTCAAGAAAAATTCGCGTTTAAAGAGAACCTCTCTGGCGAAGCATCAGGAAAGGCTTCCTGGTGGTGGTGCATTCGAGGGTTGTCATCATAGTGTTAGTTTTTATTTTTCCCTCAGGGATTGTTACATTACTCCCCCAAATGGTTTTCCTACTCGTGATCTCTAACAAAATCCATCCCATAAGCAACCCCCGGATTTATGATCTAAAAAGCCCAGTGGCTCTTTAGTTTGGCACTTGATGACCTCCGTATGATTAGTCTTTCTAACCTCATCTCACAGTTCTCCCTAATTCAGTACTTTAATCTTCCGTTGAGCTTGGGCATTGCCACCAGCTGTGGACTGAACTATTTCCCTCCTCCCCCAATCCATATGTTAAAGCCCTACCCCACCCCAATATGTTGGTATTTGGAGATGGAGCCTTTGGGAGGTAATTCAATTTAGATGAGGTCACCTTGGTGGGTCGCCCATGGCGAGATTAGTGCCCTTATGAGAAAAAACAACGAAGAGCTTGTTCTCCTCTGTGTGCCATGTGAGGACAGAGCAAGAAGGGGCTTTCACCTGGAACCCAAACTGCCCCATCTTTATCTGGGACTTAGCCTCCAGAATTGAGAGAAGTAAATGTCTGTTGTTATAGCCACCTCAGTCTATGGTATTTTGTTGTATCAGCCAAGCAGACTAATACACCACCTCTGTGTTTGTATAATTAAAAAGAAACGTACATTTTATTTTGTTTTTTAAATTTAATTTATATTTTACTTTATTTTGAGACAGAGTCTCGCTCTGTTGCCCAGGCTGGAATACAGTGGTGCCATCTCGGCTCACTGCAACCTCCGTCTCCTGAGTTCAAGCGATTCTCCTGCCTCAGCCTCCCAAGTAACTGGGATCACAGGCGCACGCCACCACGCCCGGTTAATTTCTGTATTTTTCAGTAGAGATGGGTTTTCACCATGTTGGCCAGGCTGGTCTTGAACTCCTGGCCTCAAGCGATCTGCCCACCTCGGCCTCCCAAAGTGCTGGGATTACAGGCGTAAGCCACTGTGCCCGGCCATAACATTTTAAACGTCATAGAAGTCATAATGGGAATGATAAAAAAGAAAAAAGGGATATATTTGGATTAAGATATAAATAAAAACTTCATAGTTATCGAACAGGAGGCAAAAATAAAAGATTGTTGTGAGTTTTAAAGCTTCGGTGATATAGAGAAAGCTATTTTCAGTGATGGCTATAGGGTGGTCAGTAAGAGGATTGTTCACATAAAGTCTAGGAGACTTCCTTTTGACTGAAAAAAAAAAAGATCCTGATGATTTTTATGGGAAGATAGAAAGGCACTCCCTATGTCTTTTGATTTTCTCGTGTATTCTTTCCAAAACTATTGAAGAATACCAACCTACAATTAGTAATAGCAAAATGGCTGGCACTTAAATATATAATAATGAACAAGACTTGTAATATTCACAGGAAAGAAAGAACATGTAAAAATATCATAGGGACTAATTTCCTAATAGGGGAAACTGGGTGTGAGGAATATGAGCACACTATGTAATAATTCTGTAAATCTGTAACTTTTTTTTTTTTTGGATGGAGTCTCACTCTGACACCAGGCTGGAGTGCACTGGCTAGATCCTGGCTCACTGCAACCTCCGACTCCCTGGTTCAAGCGAGTCTCCTGCCTCAGCCTCCTAAGTAGCTGAGATGACAGGCATGCGCCACCATGCCCAGCTAATTTTTGTATTTTTAGTAGAGCTGGAGTTTCACCATGTTGGCCAGGATGATCTCAATCTCCTGACCTTGTGATCTGCCTGCCTCGGCCTCCCAAAGTACTGGGATTACAGGCGTAAGCCACCGCGCCCAGCCACATCTATAACTGTTTTGAAGCTGAACGTTTATAAAAGAAATAAAGGAAGTCTGACTTAGATTAAAGTTTGGGTTTTGGGGGAAGCCATTCCAATTAACAAGCAAACTATCCTTTCAACTTTATCAAAATTTTAGTGTAGCATTTCTTGCCTTGTATCTGGCAGAATATTTTAAGTTATACTACATAATAAATCCCCAAATCACTCAAGGAGGAGCACTGCAGAGACAAAATCTGGAATATCTGATGAGCAGTATTGCAATCTACCACTAGATGCACTAAGTATAAGACTAAATCTTGGAGACCCCTTCTCATCTCATATACCTTGTGCCGCTTGTCCTATTAGTGAAGAAAGAAATTACATCCTTACATTCTACAGAAATGAAACTCCAAAGAAAGCAGCTTTCAATAAGCTCAATGGTTTGGTTAGTGAATGGAAAACAGTAAAATAGCAGTAACTGAGCATTACGCATACATAAGTCTGAATCCTATCTGCAACTGAGCAGAACCATGGAGCACTGGAATCTGGCTTAACCTTCCTGACCTAGTCTAGGTAGAGTAACAAATCCTATCCCAAAGGATCTTCTAAATATTACGCTTTTTAACATTAGAGGACTTGAACCTATGTGTCAGTTCTATGTGAATTGCTGCTTCCAGGGATGAAGCAAGTGCTTCAGATTCTAAATTCTAGAGTAGGCCATCTTGTCTTTCCTTGCTTCTTATATTGTAAGCATTCTGTTAGAGAACTGCATCTTTTGCTGATTTGCCAGCAGGATGATGACATTGTTAATGTCATAATCAAACTGAATTATCCAAACAGAAATAGCACTGTAAAAAATTTACTTTTTTTTTTTCTTCCTTTTTGAGACAGGGTCTGGCTCTGTGCCCAGGCTGGAGTGCAGTGGCACCATCTTGGCTCACTGCAACCTCTGCCTGTCTGGCTCAAGCGATCCTCCCACCTCAGCCACCCGAGTAGCTCGGACTACATAAAGGTGTCCACCACCATGCCCGGCTAATTTGTTTATTTGTAAAGATGGGTTTTCACCGTGTTGCCCAGGCTAAAACTTCTAATTTGTGTTTGCATTAACATATCTAAAATAGGTTTGCTTTGGTGGGGGTGTTCAGATCAGGATAACCATTTGAGAACCTCTCTCAGCAGCGGTTCTAAGACAGAAAAGAAGTGGGAATCTGAAGTCTATTGAAAGGAGTCTGTAATATCTCCAGTTCTGGTCCTCTGAAATATCCAGAAAAGAGGTTATCTTTTAGAAATTACATGTAACCATTTGCCTTCAATCACAGTCTTTATCTTGAAAATTATTCTCAGAAAAGGTCTTAAATATTTTAGGGTTTTAAATATTTGAGTAGTGTCCTTCCACTTTAAAAATTCATTAAGTTCTCAAGTGATTGAACAACAGCAACAACCAAATGTATATAGAGAGATAAATCAATAATGCAAATTATAGGATGACTGTCAAAACAAGGTATATGGGTGTTCATTGTAATAATTTTACAACTTTTCTGTAGGTTTGAAATTTTCAAACTACAAAGTTAAGGGGGAAAAGCTTAAAGTTAAAACAAAAGTTCCCAATCACAGGTCAGAACAGTAATTGTCTATTTCCTGATGAATTTTTTCACTCATCACCCAATAAATGAGAAAAATAAATGTAAGGAGTTATCCATAAAGCTAAATGTATGTAATTCAAACTATAGTCATTTATTTTGAAATACACCCTTCCTATTGGCAGAGATGGGACCTGAAAAAGTTGCTTTTATGACTTGACAACTTTAGTGGATAAGGAAGGCTGAGAAGAGAAACTAAGCAATGTCAACATAAGATAAATGATGGACGCTGTCTTCTGGCCACCAATATTTATTCTTTCCTTCCTTCTTCCTTAAAACCTCAGTTTTCTCCAAAGTGGCAAACTAACCAGATAAACAACTATATGTCTCCAGCTTCCTCTATAGGTAGAGGTGGGTAGGAAACATGAGATGAGACTTCCAGAATCACTCATTTTCTTGGGGACAGATAGCTGGCATACATCTGTTTTGACTTTCTTCTCCTTTCTTCCTACTACCTGGAACTTAGACACAATGGCTGGATCTCCAATAGCCATCTTGGTCCATGAGTGACTTTAAGAATGGAAGTCATATGCAAAGGAGGGTATCACAAAAAAATAGTATGAGCTTAGGTCGTGATGGTATACTGTAGAGGCACCATACCAGCCCTATACTACCTACCTTCAGATTTCTTTTAAATGAGAGAAAAGTCTATTTGTATGTTATTTAGTCCATTAGAGCTGAATCTTTATTATTCATAACTAAATGTAATATACCTTTTTAGTAGGAGTTCACCCCAAAAGATGAATTTTACATGCGTTACTGAGGAAACCTAGGAAATATCCAAGATTGACAGAAGTCAATAATATATATAGGGCTGGAATATAACAATAAAAATGCCACCAACAACCTATTATGTAATTGCCTTGAAACACGCCAACAGAAAGGCAGTGGTCAACATGTAGTCTCAAAAAAATGGGAGCCAAAGAGGAACAATATATCTGCACTTATTGCTCTCACCTTTCATGGAAACAAGTCATTGTGCTTGACGGATACACATATTCTGGTCACTAGACAGATGTCCACCTCCATGAAGCAGGAGTATATTCATGTCTTTTCCATGTCATGGATAAAAGTTCCTTAAGCCTGCCCAATTCCCTTTGCTCTGAGCAGTTTCCCCATAATCTAATTAGACCTCTTTTATTGCTAAGAATAGGAACTCTCTCAAGGTAGTTCAAGCATAAGTGTGTGCATATATGGGGGAGGTGTGGGAACACAGAGTTATTGTATAGACACAGACAAGTTTCAAGGGAATCCAGAAAAACAGGAGTAGCCAAGCTTTGTGTATATCAGAAACCAAGAGTCAGCTTGTAAGAAATGAACTAGAGAGAGCTGCACCTACTTCAGGGAATTAAGGCATTCTGCAAGCCCCAGAGGTTGGATGAAGGGTTAAGTAATTGACTGAGTTGCCCAAGGGAGAAAGAGGAGGCATTCAGGCATCTGCTGCACACAAATCAGTGATGCCAGATTATAAAAGGTTTTGTCAAGTAAGACCTGATGCTCGGGGAGCCAAAACAGGAGCTAGAAAGCAAGCAGGAAGAAAGTGGGCCAAGACGGTCAAAACAGATTCTCCTACCCCGTCCCACCTCCATCCCACTGTCATCAAACCTGGGTGGTATAGGGAAAAGGAGAAGCTTTGAACTGGATACATTTTGAAGTATATATGTCAGATTACTCTAAAATATGAGAGAAACAGGTACTTCTCCAGGATCAACTCAAGCTCCTATTGAGGAGAGGTGAAGAGACAGCCAGCAAAGCAGGCTTGAAGGGTAGCGGTGGAGCAAAAGAAAGATACTGTCTGCTCGCACCCCACAGAACCCAGTGTTCAATAAAGTGGTCATGTAGACTAGAGCATGACTAACCACTGTGTCGGCCAATGTCAATAGCAAGTGCAAAAACCCAGACTCAGATACCACTTGGCTAAATCATCAAGGTTTACTTATCTAAAGGATTTAGAGAGAAGGACACTTAGAAAAAAAAATGGCTAGTAACCTTTTTAAAGACAGAATGAGGAGCCAGTCTCTGAACCCCTAGATCCTGAAAGAGTAAGCATCACACCAACCTTATGGAAACATAATACTAGTATGTCTTCCTCCAGCCCAGCATGAGTATAACCTGGACATGTGCACTTCCTTGGGCCAGGTGTACCTCCTCAATTGCAGAGGTGCAGAGTACATAATGTGATCACTTGAATACAGTATACAGTGCATTCAGACAAATTTCATCCTGAGACAAGTTCAGTCTCCCCAAATGAACACAGCCTGATCCAAGCACATTTCTGAACTCCATGGTGAAGATCTAGAATGAGGATCGACAGGTATCTAGATATTTCTGGGAACTCTAGGATTTATTCTGCTTAACATGTACATACACACAACTATTATTTATTGAGCATTTATTTATTATTATTATTTTTAGAGATGGGGGTCTTCCTCTGTCACCTAGGCTGGAGTGCAATAGTGCAATCATAGCTCACTGCAGCCTCGAACTGCTGGGCTCAAGTGAGCTGAGTGAGCTCTGATTGCTCCTGCCTTAGCCTCCTGAGTAGCTGGGACTATAGGCAAAGGCTGCTATATCCAGCTATTGAGCACTTATCGAGGCCAGCTACTATGCTAAGTACTTCTGTTCATTATTTCATTAACCTGTACAAATAACTCAATGGATAACATAATGATAAGTACCACTATTTACAGATAAGGACATCAAGAGTTAGAGAAGTTAAATAATTTGACTAAATTCACAGCTAGAAAGTGGCAGAAATGAGATCTGAATTCAGATATCTTTGATTTCACAGAGAATTCTAATCATAGACTTCACCTTCTTCCATAAAACTCCTAGAAATAAAAGCCAAGAAACGAAATCAAGTGAAATATTTTTGCTCTTTTAACGATTTATGCTTACTTAAGAAGCACCAAGATTAGGAATTGTGATTGCTTTTATAATATTCCATTCGCTGGTAAACAGTAAACATAATTATAAAAGCATCCACTATTTACAATAGCAAAAGACTTGGAACCAACCCAAATGCCCATCAGTGATAGACTGGATAAAGAAAATGTGGCACATATACACCATGGAATACTATGCAGCCATAAAAAGAATGAGTTCATGTCCTTTGCAGGGACATGAATGAAGCTGGAAGCCATCATTCTCAGCAAACACACAGGAGCCGCAAAACAAACACCGCATGTTCTCACTCATAAGTGGGAGTTGAACAATGAGAACACATGGACACAGGGAGGGGAACATCATACACTGGGGCCTTTCAGGGGTTAGGGGGCAAGGGGAGGGAGAGCATTAGGACAAATACCTAATGCATGCAAGGCTTAAAATCTAGATGGGCCGGCAGGGTGCGGTGGCTCACGCCTATAATCCCAGCACTTTGGGAGGCGGAGGCCGGCGGGTCACGAGGTCAGGAGATCGAGACCATCCTGGCTAACAAGGTGAAACCCCATCTCTACTAAAAATACAAAAAATTAGCTGGGCGTGGTGGCACGTGCCTGTAGTCCCAGCTACTCAGGAGGCTGAGGCAGGAGAATCGATTGAACCCAGGGGGCAGAGGTTGCAGTGAGTCGAGATCATCATGCACTGCATTCCAGCCTGGGCGACAGAGCAAGACTCCATCTCAAAACAACAACAACAACAACAACAACAAAACAACCTAGATGATGAGTTGATAGGTACAGCGAATCACCATGCCACATTAATACATATGTAACAAACCTGCACATTCTGCACATGTATCCCAGAACTTAAAGAAAAAAAAAAAAAAATGCAAGACAATAAATTTCTGTTGTTTAAGCCTCCCCCCCAAAAAAAGCACCAATATTTTATTGTTAAATGTAAAATATTTTCTTACATAATAATAAAAATATCAAATATCTCTTGTGCCTTTTATAGGGGCACTTTTCATTTTTTTTTTAGTGGTGTAAAAATAAGCATTAAACATTACAGAGAAACAAATGCAGAAAACTCTGATTACATGGTGGCTCATGCCTGTAATCCTAGCACTTTGGGAGGCCGAGGTGGGCAGATCACTTGAGTACAGGAGTACGAGACCAGCCCGGCCAACATGGCGATACCCCGTCTCCACTAAAAAATACAAAATTAGTTGGGTGTGGTAACGCACACCTGTAGTCCCAGCTACTCAGGAGACTGAGGCTTGAACCCAGGGGGCAGAGCTTACGGTGAGCTGAGATGGCGCCACTGCACTCCAGCCTGGGCAACAGAGTGAGACTCTGTCTCAAAAAAAAAAAAAATCTGATTCCTCATTATTTCAAACCGTAATAGTAGTTTCTTTCATGCTTTTTGTGAATTTTAACTTTCAATTTTTTGTGCAAAAAAACTCCGTCTTTAATTGCAAAGTCAATTAAGAAAATGATATTTTCTTAAAATCATCAAATATTAGTCATGTCACTATTTTAAGTTGTTTTTGTAGGCACATGTAAGAAAAAACCTGATGTCTCCTAGAAGTTGGATGATAAAGGAAATTATAAATATATACATTAAAACAAAATTAATTAAGTTACAGATATGTCTCCTTAAAAAGACAGCATAGCTTCTATACCACATCTTGATATGAACCTAGCAGATGAAATGGCATATCTAAAGGCAGAATAGGGCCCTTAGAGGGAGGATTGTTCAATAATGAGGCCTAGTTTAGGGAAATCTAATATTTCCCTCAAATAATGAATCTTCAGGGCTGCCTCCAGAGGCTTGCCTGGCCCAGAGCCCCTCCTGCCTTTTCTTGTGGTTGGTACATCCTGATAGGCTGGCTGATGCATCAAGATCTTTGCTGAATGGCAACAGCCTCTCCTATCATGCAGCTAGTTTCCCCTGCTCTGAATTCATGCTAACTAAGCAATCTTCTCAACTGTAATGTGACCTCCCCCCACGCTTTATAGGAAGAGAACATGCTGACTTTCATTCCCATCTGCTTTCTTGTGGTCAATGATTACACTGGTATTTTGATATTCACCAGTCTAACTAACCCTAAAAACAAGTCTCTTCCTGATTATCTTCCTTCAGATTAGTTTGTAAGTTGCAGTGGACTACTCAATTGAATTGTAACAGTATTAAGTGTGCTCTTGGCATAATTGATGAGATCAGGCAGCAGAAAATGCTTAATCTGATGAATTTTATTGTATGTCAACATTTTTAAAGGGAAGGATAGGAATGTAGGAACACAGGTGCATATTGAATCCTCTGAAACTGGATCGTGTGCTTTATAAATATTACTAACAATAAAACAAATATTAGTGAATGAACCTCTTCTCTTTCCAATGTCTCTTCATTTCCCACCCCTTGTATTGAGGGGAAATGGGTCTCTTTGTTCCTTGCAGTAATCACCAAGGGGAGAGCTGGCAACAGAGAGGCAGATGGCCTGGATCATCTGGATCCTATATATGGTACCTGACTGGGGCTTCTACTCAGCTACTGCTGCTAACAGGACATCTGTTCCCAGAGCTCCCTGTGCCTTTCACATGCACAGGGTCTTCAAATAATGATGTAGGGACCCCCAACAAAAGTACCAAGCCCCTACCCCATCATTCAATAATGAAGCTTAACAATAGGCAAATTCTCCTATAAAGAGTAAGTTTCCAATCAGCATTTTATTGCTGGAAAGGACCATTAAAGATGATTAGATATTGGAGGATCGCTTCTGACATCAAAGTCAGAGACCAAAACAGCAAACGTAGAGAGAACCTAAAAGGAATAGGGTTCAGGAAGCAAAAATTACAAGAAATACATAAATAAATGAAAACTATTATTCACCTAGGAGAGATGAGCTCTTACATGTATCAGAGCAGGAGGCTAGAAAACAAATAAATGAACAAACTGAAAAACAAAGAAAAATAGGAAAATGTATGTAACCAAAAAGATCTCTTCACTTAGAAACAATAACATTCTAGTAGACAAACCTTGTGCTCAGATTTTGGATTCTTTTTTTTTCCAGTTAGGTCATCTTGGGTTCAGAACAGATCTTGGATTCTAATAACATTTTCCAATAAAAGGAACCAGGGCTCCTTGGGGAAATGGATGATTCTAGGGCTGGGGTGGGAAAGATGCAAGATGAGCCTGGAGCATCTTGTGGTATAGCATACCTGTATTCCCAGCTACTCAGAAGGCTGAGACAGGAAGGTTGCTTGAGCCCAGGAGTTTGAGGCTGTAGTGCACTATGATCACACCTATGAACAGCCACTGCACTCCAGCCTGGGCAATATAGCGAGACCTCATCTCTAAAAAATAAATAAATAAATAAAAATAAAGTCTATTTAAAGTGAAAACACTTAGAAATTAAAAATATAAGCCAGGCACAGTGGCTCATGCCTGTAATCCCAGCACTTTGGGAGGCAAACCTTGTGCTCAGTAGACAAAAAAGGAAGAAAAAGAAGAATCCAAGATCTGAGCACAAGGTTTGTCTACAATTATATATGTATGTGCATGTATATGTGTGTATATATATATACATACACATACATACACACATGTACATATATATAATTGCAGCAATTAAAAATATTAGAAATAATGGAGTATTCTAAAAATATTAGAAACAATGAAGTATTAAGAATTTCCTAGAGAGTAGATTAGAAAGGTAAATTCTTAAAAAATAGGAGTGAAAGAATAGTAAAATTAGGAAGTCAGACCAGGAATTTCTACTGAAAAAAGAAAGGGGCTGGGCACAGTGGCTCACATCTGTAATTCCAGCACTTTGGGAGGCTGAGGCAGGCAGATCACTTGAGCCCGAGAGTTTGAGACCAGCATGGGCAACATGGAAAAAACCCGTCTCTACAAAAAATACAAAAATTAGTCAGGCTTGGTGGTGCACGCCTGTAGTCCCAGTTACTCAGGAGGTTGAGGTGGGAAGATTGCTTGAACCTGAGGGGTTGAGGCTGTAGTGAGCTGAGATTGTGCCACTGCACTCCAACCTCAGTGACACAGTGAGACCCTGTCTCAAAAATAAATAAATAAAAATAAAACAAAATAAAAAGAAAGGAGAAAGGACAGGAGGGAAATAGGAAAGAAGAAAGATGAGGGAGAGAAGAGAGGTGAGAAGAATAAAAAAAATTTTTAAAGGGAAAAAAGAAAAAGGAAGAAGGAAAAAGAACGAAACAGTAATTATTACAGAAATAATACAAGAAAATGTCCCAGAATTGAAGGACTTATGTTTTCAGATTACAGAGCTCAAAACACTGGGCAGAAAAATAAACAAGAAAGCTAAGTTTTATTATGTTGAAATTTTAGACCATTGGAGATAAAGAGATCCAAAAAGCATCCTGAGAAAGTAGAAGCGACACCTAAAGGGAAATCGGAATGCCAGCGGATTTCTGAACAACTGCATTGAAAGTCAGGATATGTCTCTGGGAGCTTTCAAAATCCTAATTAAAATTACAGAATTCTAGACCTAGCCAAACTTCCCGTCAAGGATTTATGCTCCATTCACCCTTTCTCAGGAAGTTAATACAGAATATACTACATCAGAATAAAACAATGCAAGTAAGTAAATCAAGAAAGATAAACCACAGGATCTAAAAATTCAGCACAAGTAACCAACACATTTCTCAGGCCCATGGTGAGGAGAGTCCCAGGATAATATCCATTCAGTAGGCTCAGAGAACACAAGTGCAAACTGGAGCAAAAGGAGAAAAGGCTCCTAGAAGCATCTGGAGACCTCTAAAGAGATGTCTCGAGGAAAGATAATGGAACTGAGTGATTGCCAGATTTAACCATAAGGAATATTCTATCTAGTGCAAGAGTATTCAACTCAAGAGTCAAAGAAACGTCATTTAATATTTTATCTGTTATTTTACTTTCTTTCTGTAAAGCTAGGTAATTTTCTAGCCTATCATATTAACATAAATAGAACTTTAATATGGATTTTGAGAAGCAAATCAATGTAAAACAGTTGTTAAGAATACAGACTCTGAAGTCAGCCTGTCTGGCTTTATAACATGGATCTTGGCTTTATCTGCTATGTGATATTGGGCAAGTTACTTCACTTCATTGTGTCTCGCTTGTCTCATCTCTAAAATAAAGAAAGCAATAGCATTTTCCTCAGAATACCCGTAAAGCACTCAGTACATTTGGTCACCTGACATCATTATGATTGCCTCTCTGTGAGAATTGGTAAAGAGAGGACACAGGAAGTGAGGAGATGAGAAGAGGGAGGATAATCTGTAGGGGAATGGGGAAGGAGGAAGTTGTAAATTGGGAGGAAAATGATATAAAAAGTTTTGTTAAGAAAGTCTTGCTGTATGCTATACAATTCACCTCTTTCTGTTTTCTCAAAAAGCAATCCTCAGTAAAGACCTACATTACTTTTCTCTCTCTCTATATATATATATATGTGTATATATATATATATGTATATATATATATATATATATGTGTATATATATATATATATATATTTTTTTTTTTTTCTGAGCAGGATTTGTGGGGTTTTTTTTCGGGGGGAGGGGGTGGATGTGATACTGTACTAAGGTTGGTTTCTAGGTGGTTTAATGTAACTCTTATTACATATTTAGCTTAGAGGAGTCAGCAACTCCACCGCAAAGGCTGTTGTGTTTAATAACCATCTCCATTGCTTTGGCAATCTGTCTGAAACATCGTAGGCACTCAAAACAAAACAAACCAAGACAACTTGAACAAAATGAAACAAATAAGTGAAACAAAATTTTTAATTATAAAAGAAAATTTAGATGTTAGGCTTTTCTAACACCAATCACAGTATGAAAGATGAAGATTACAAACCTTAACCGGCTTAGTACAGAATACTTACAAAACGTAGAGCAGAGTTTCTCGGACTCTAACTCCTGACCTCAAGTGATCCGCCCGCCTCAGCCTCCCAAAGTTCTGGGATTACAGGCGTGAACCACCGCGCCTGGCATAGAGCAGGGTTTCTCAACCTCTGCACTGTTGTCATCTGCCGGATAATTCCCTGTAGTTGGGGGGTTGGTCTGGTGCCTAGTAGGGTGTTCAGCAGCCGACTTGTGACTTGGCCTCCACCCACCAGTTGCCCCCCGCCGCCACCCCCCCACCACCACCATTTGAGACAACCAAAAATATCTCCAGATGTTACCAAATGTCCCCCGGGGAGAAAACTCACTCCAGGCTGAGAAGTACCACATTAGACGTGTTCTAACAAAAATTACCTGTAACCCTCACCTAGAAATGTAAACTTTTTGTTTACATAAATAAAAATTACAGAGCACGGCTACATTGAACTTATTGTTCCATAGTCAGTTTTTTCTTCACTCAGTAATGCAGCATTAACATTTTCGTTATGTGATATCCCTCTACAGGATGAGTTTTAATGGATGCTGGTGCTAACATCGTATGAAATTGAGGTAGGAGGCGGGACTCTGACACCAGACCAGATTGAGGACTAGCTAATCATCATACTTTACATAAGGAATCCGTAGGATTGGAGAGTTGATTGTTTCAAATAAGGCTGGTTTCCTTATTTGGTTATTTCCTTAGAATAATAACTCCAAATCTGATTATTTCCTTAGAATACATTCTTATGAGTAGAACTGCAGCTCAAACTAAATTTGGTGCTGTCCAGTGGTATGGCGATGGACTTCAGAACATCCTCCACTCTTGCCCTCACCCCACAAGAACCCTTTACTCGGGATCCATTCTCACGCAGTCTTCCTCCCCGACCGCCCCGCGCGTCCGCTCGGCGGGATGACAAAGACCGCCTCGGGTGGGGTGGTGAGCAGTACCGGCCTCCTCCAGCAGGGGGCGCTGTGGGATCCGCCGCTGTCCGGGACGAACCAGCAAGCCGCTCTCGGTCCACACACGCTCTGTCTGCCTGCCCCGAGTCCCCCGGGAGGCCGCGGGGTTTGGGGAAGTGTTTCTAGGAGACGGCGCTCACCGGCTGCACCTGCGCCGTTGACGCCACCGGGGCCGGCAGACAGACCCGCGGCGCTGGCTGGTGGAGGGAGTTCCCGCTTGCTCTCTGTCGCTGTCACCGCCCTGTTTCTGTAGCCGTATGGTACGCCTGTGAGACCGGCTGCCGGCTGACGTCTCCTTGCGATGGAGCATATCCGGACGACCAAGGTAGTCGGGCGCGGGATCGCCAGTCTTCAGGGGCCCTGCTCTGACCCGGCTGAGGCAGGAGGAGACGAAGGCTCTGCTGGCCTGACTGGGGCTGGGAGCCGGCCCGGCGGAGACCCGGCCCGGGGCGGGAGGGTCTGGCCAGGCCTGGTCTGGGAGGGCAGGGTTAGCTTGGGCCAAGCGGGGTGCAGAGGCCTCCTGTACCTACAGGAGCAGGGGTCCCACTTTCAGCATCTTGGAGTGCGTAGAGATAAGTCTGGGAAAACTGGTCACCGCCCTCCTAGCTCTACGTTTTCTCGGGCAAAATTGGGGCTCCTTTAACTTTGGAGTCTTTCAGCCTTTCGTTGCCTCATCAACCGGAAAACCGTCTTCAAATTAACATTATGATGCTGTGTAAGCTTGTCCTTGCTCACATTTCATTGTCCCGTGTCACAGATTCACAGTACGAGTTTTGGAGGAACCGAGATCAGCACTCCGCTCCACCTCCCTTTGCTGTCTCGGTCTCCAGTCTTTCGCATCCGGTGTTTCCGTGTCTGTGCTTCATACTTCAGGCATTGTCCTGTGTCAGTAGTCAAGAGTTCTGGAGAAGGGAAAAATGTTATTCCATATTTTAAAAGGTCGGATGCAGCTTTATTCGATTGACCTTATTGCACTCCATGCTTAATTTTTGTGTGTGGAAGACCTTCATTTTGAGAACGAACAAATATTTTTATTTCGTTACAAATTTAAAAACGGAAGGAAATGACATCAGAATGTTACCAAATTACGTTTCCAACGACATTTAAGTTTAACTTTGAGAGGGAGAAAAACATAAATCGAGACGAGAAGAATAACATTTTAAAATCACTGCGAGCCCACTGCAAGGCAGCCTCTTGACGTTTTGGCAAAGCTGAAGCCCTTTAGTTGCTGCCCATCTTAAAATTACGGCTCATTTAGGGAACCACAGATGTTCGTTATCTTCATTGTTCCAAGAAGAATTTGTGTTTTTAAAAATTTTTTAAATGTTTCACAAACCTTTTAAAGGTATACATAAATTTTTATTGGAGCTTGTCTTTAACATTGTGCATACCGTATCTAGTAAAATTGAAGATTCTGAAAACTAACCCCTTAACATTTTTTTTTAAGAGAAGAAAGATAAAATAACTTGAGAATTCAAGTTGTGGGTACTTAAATTTTGAAAATGGAAGGGTGCTTAAGTCTATAACCAAACTCGTAGAAGGTGCACAGAGGAAAAGAGGACTAGAGTGGACATTGGATCAGGTTCTTGTATTGGTTCCAGATATGTATTATGTAGTAGCTAAGTGCACGTGACTTCCTTCTGCATCAGTTCGAAGCTCCTCTATTTTTCATATGCTTTCTACGGTGCATAGCACACAATCGAAAACCGGTAAAAGGCTGGGCACGGTGGCTCACGCCTGTAATCCCAGCACTGTGGGAGGCCGAGGTGGGCGGATCACTTGAGGTAAGGAGTTCGAGACCAGCCTGGACAACCTGGCAAAACCCCATATCTACTAAAAATACAAAAATTAGCCGGGCATGGTGGCAGGCGCCTGTAATCCCAGCTACTCAGAGGCTGAGGCAGGAGAATTGCTTCAACCGGGGAAGTGGAGATTGCAGTGAGCCAAGATGGCACCAGTGCACTCCAGCCTGGGCAATAGAGCGGGACTCAGTCTCAAAAAAAAAAAAGAAAGCCGGGTGGGGTGGTATGTACCTGTAGTCCCAGCTACTCGGGAGGCTGAGATGGGAGGATGGCTTGAGCCCACGAAGTGGAGGTTGCAGTGAGCCAAGATTGCGCCATTGCCCTCCAGCCTGGGTGACATAATTGGGGGGGGGGGGGCGGAAAAGAATAAAAAATCAGTAAAAGTAAACTGAATCTGATCAACTAGAGCAAATCCTATTCTTAGGTGGATGATAAGAGTGAACAGACTTGGAAAATATTTAGGATCCCTTGGTTATTTTAAATCTTTCCTCATTCAATTTATTATGAATATATATCTTTGTTTTTATTTGTAGAGTTGTAGCCCCTCTTATTAGCTCTTTGAAAGTTGTCACTGGTGACTTTCATTTTGTCTGATATTCCTCCTTATCTACCAACTGATGAACTTTTCTTCAAGTAATGCTCTGATTTTGACTTATCTTTACACAGTGGTCTCATGCTAGTGGTTTAATAAGGCCTTTTTAGAGACTAAGAAATTTCTGATGAATTGTCTATTAAAACTACTTTTCAAATATGCTCCTTTATTACTTTGGGTTGTTTTTCTAGTATTGGATCACTACTCTGGAGTAATATTAAGTGAGTGTATGTAGACCGCAAATAAATATTTTCTAGGTACCTAGTATGTGCCAGACACTGTATTGACACTGGGTATATAACAGCAAGATAGAGGTGGACCTCAGGGTACATTCTGTTAATTGTTGTGGGGACTGTAACATGTTCTTAAATTATTAATGTATTGGGAAATAACTTACTTTTAAAAGATTGGTTTGAACATAGCCAAACTTTTGTTTCCATTATGCATAGCCTTCACCTGGATTTAGTTAGTTTGCTGCAAAAATAAGTGTAAGTATTTAAAAAGCAAAAGTGGATTGTTTTAGATTTATTAGCTGTTTTGACCTCTATGTAGTTTAGTCATTAGGATCAAAATTGACCGTAGAGTGTCCTTTATGACTATTTAGTGATTTTTGTTGTTCAGTCAGCTCTATTTGAAAAGTAATAATTACCATTTATTGAGCAACTATATGTCAATATAGCCAATTATACAATATTATTACTTTATAATATGTACAATTGTATAAATCTGTTAATTTATACATTATCATCACTGATCTCTTAAATAACCCTGTCAGTTGGGTAGTATTATCTCCATTTATAGGTGAGGAGGAAATAGGCTTAGAGAATTTAAGTAACCTGCTCAATTAGTTCACAAGAGATAGAATTAGTATTTAAACTAAGGTGTGTTTAACTCCAAAGACTATGTATGCTCTTTCCAGTGCCTCTCTAGTTTTAATCTAATTGTTAAATGTGCATTAGTATTAATTCAGAAATAAATGCTGATGATAATTCTAAGAGCTTCCCCCCCAAACCTCTTTTTGTCATAAATAAATAATATTTATGCGGTATTGTTTTTAAATAATATTTAGGATCATTATTGCTTGCTAACCAGAGATTTATCAGATTAAGTATTTTAGCTGAATACTAATGAACATATTTATCATTCT
The DNA here is from genome assembly GCF_000001405.40 of Homo sapiens. NCBI lineage: Eukaryota > Metazoa > Chordata > Mammalia > Primates > Hominidae > Homo > Homo sapiens. The sequence goes on along the minus strand of NC_000013.11, from coordinate 25,284,007 downwards.
GTTTTGGTCACATTTGGTTTACTAACTGTATAGCATCAAAGATGCCAAGTCCCTGAATCTGGATTTCTGAAAGAGCATTTCCAAGCTACACTTATGAATCATGCAGCTACTACCTATCGCTTTGAGCTCTCATTTTGCCATAATGACATAGTCCTGCCAAGAAACAATGAGAAATATGCAGAGACAGTTCTTTATGCAGTCTTTCTCCTTTCCCTGCCAGTACTTTGGCTGACATTATATATTGATGTCAAATGATATTGTCTTACCTGTGAATGGAACTTTACTGAATGGAATGGAAGAACCTTTTTTAAGCTATAAATGAAAGGCTGATTGCTAGCGTTTGTAATCAAATGGAATGTCCCATAAAAATCTGATCCTACTAAGGCCCAAATTGAGTTATTCCAAAAGTTATGCCTAACATGTTCTTTAGCTTGCTCCCTCTTTTTGTCATTAGAATGTGAGATCATCTATGTATGTATACAAATATACCTTCCCTCTGAAAGAAGAAAGGAGATATAAAAATAAGAATGGATCAAGAATAAGGAGAAACTGATATTATTTAAATTGTCTTTGAAATAAAAGCCAATAGGTTTTGAGGAGCACCTGAATGCTTTTTTCCAAGTAAAGTGTTGTTTTGATTTTCACTAATACTATCCCATTTTACAGGTGAGGAAACTGAAACCCTGAGAGAATTAATAAAATAACTTGTCCTGGCTCACACAGTTAGTTCTACCAAAGAAGAGGTGGAGGTGGGAACTTGAATGTAGGTCTTTCTGATAGCAAGCCTATTCTCTTAACCACACTCTCTTGCCTCACAGAATAATAATCTAATCAAGAGATTTGATTAGTCAGTTGGGGCAGTGTGAGTAAGAACAGAGAGGAGGGGTGGATAGAAGAAGCTTAGGTGGTCAGATTTTTTTCTAGTAGCTAGCTGAATGTGAGGATCTAGTGTGAGGGAAAAGGTCTGGCCTTGAGTAGATTTGGGAGGGAGTTGTTTGTGTTTAGGTAAATCATTGAAATTTCTATTGTGAATGAGTTTATGCAAGGAGAATATGTTGAGACTCTGTGGAGAAAAGTCTAAACACTTAAAAAGGGACAAGCAGGCCGGGCATGGTGGTTCACACCTGTAATCCTAGCACTTTGGGAGGTCGAGGCAGTAGGATCACTTGAGGTCAGGAGTTTGAAACCAGCCTGGCCAACATGGTGAAACCCTGTCTTACTAAAAATACAAAAAATTAGCTGGGCATGGTGGCGGGCACCTGTAATCCCAGCTACTTGGGTGGCTGAGGCATGATAATCACTTGAACCCAGAAGATGGAGATTGCAGTGAGCCGAGATCGTGCCACGGCATCCAGCCTGGGTCACAGAGCAGCACTCTGTCTCAAAAAAAAAAAAAGAAAAAAGAAAAAAGAAAAAAGAAGAGGGCGAGCAAGCAGAGGAGGAGAAGCCGGATGCATTTGGAAGAGGTGAAGCACAGATGGGAAGGTGACAGTCTTCCGTGTTCTAATTTCCTTCTCTGCTCCATCCTCTGGCTGCTTCCTCCTCCTTGGGCCAGGCACTGTTCTAGGTTCAGACAAAAACTCCTGCCCTTATAACTTATCTAGTTGGAGAAGAGGTAACAATAAACAAAATTAAGTTCAATGTATTGTATGTTAGATGGTGGTAAATGCTGTGGATAAAAATAAAGCAAGCCAGGGCTCTGAAGAGTATGAGGGTTGAGGAGGGGGTTTAAGGGAGGACTGCTATAAATTGAGTGGTTAGGGAAGCTCTTACAGAGAAGGTGACTCTTGAGTATAAACCTGAAACTGGTGAGGGAGTAAGCCATCCCCACATGGGGGATGGCGGGGAGAGTCCCAACAAAGGGAACAACAGGGGCAAAAACCCTTTGAGGGCATGCCTGGTTGCTAAGAACAAGCAAGACAGCTAGAGCAGGGTGAGTGAAGAAGAGCACAGTAGAAGATTAAAGTTGGGGGACAGGGGCAAGTTACTGTAGTCTTGAAGGCCACTGTAAAATCTTTGCTTTTTTTGAGTGAGATAGGAAGCCATTGATGGAATAAGCAAAGTAAGAAAAAACTGAAAAGTGCCCACTGGATTTACGATCTGAGGTTACTCTCTCCCCTCTTGAGGTCCATGACTGTTTCATTTGATAATTTATGCAGCCAGACACTGTTCTAGAAATTGGGATACATGAACAGAAACCATAATCTCTGCCCTCCACTTCCTGCACACAACTTGATGTGCTTTCTTTTTGAAAGCTAATTCTTGGCAGGATGTCAGTGTGAAATGATTCTGAGAGTCCTAGATGAGTGCCTGGCTATAGGGAAGGAGTGCGACAAGCCAGAGGAACAGTGATGGTGCACTTTCTGCTTCAGTAGCCACAGCGTCTATTGTTATGTAGTTGTAGAATAAGTACAACTGTTGGTCACAGAAGTCTGAAGAAGGCCATTGGTCCCTTCCTGTCCCAGAGGCCACTTTTTCCTCAGGGATAAAGAGGTGTCTGAATTTTCTGAATGTGATTCTGTTTGTGTGACTCCCTGTGTTTTTCATTTGGAATCTTTTCTTCTTTTTTTTCTTTTCTCTTCCTTTCCTTCCTTTTCCTTTCCTCTTTTCTCTTTCCCCTTTCCTTTCTCCTTTCTTCTTTGTCCTTTCTCCTGTCTTTCTCCTTTCCTTTCCAACAAGATCTTGCTCTGTCACCTAGGCTGGAGTGCAGTGGTATGATCATAACTCATTGCAGCCTCTACCTCCTGGGCTCAAACGATCCTCCTGCCTTTACCTCCCAAGTAGCTGGGTCTGCAGGAGCATGCCACCATGCCTGGCTAATTAGAAAATAATTTTCTTTTTCTGTAGAGATGAGGGTGTCACTATGTTGCTCAGACTGGTTCTCAGACTCCTGGTCTCAAGCAATCCTCCTGCCTTGGCCTCCCAAAGTGTTGGGATTACAAGCGTAAGCTACTACACCTGTAGTGGCCCCAACATTTTCTGAGTGTGATTCTGTATGTGTGGGGTTCTCTGTGTTTTCCAGTTCTAATTTTATAATTGGCTGAAATTTGAACTTTCTGCCTGGACCATTAGGGTACCTTTTAGTGCAGGCCCATAGTTGGCAACAATTCAACTAAATAGTCCTTAAAGTAATGTGTGTTGGCATTTACCATTCCTCACCAAAGCGACATCTTCCAATTCCTTTCTCCTTGCCACATTTTCGTTTTTCGTTTGTTCTTTCTTTTCCCAAAGTCTTTTTTTCTTTTTTTTCATTTACTTTTTGGCTGTGATGATACCTATAATTTAAGGATCCTAATAGTTTCTTAGTACTTCAGTGTTAGTGACCAGAAAGAATTGTAGTTGCTTCCTAAACATCTGACTTAATACATTTCCAAGAACAGACTGGGGAAAATCTGTAGCAACATCTGTAAAATACTTTTAGTTCCTTGCTGAAAGGGGGAAATATAAAGAAGCAGTTGGTTTTTAGAAGTTGACTAAGTCTGTGGTTTGAAATTTGTATGCCAATGATTTTAGCAAAGAAAAACATTTGATTTCCCCTCCTTAGGGGTGAGGGGTGGGATTTGCCACAAAGAGCAAAATAATCAGTGTATTTTCTCAGAAATTCTCTTATTTTCTTGAGAACTTTAGTGTAAATACTAAATAAATGTTGTGGAATGATTTCAGATTAATTTCACTATCTGTCACATTCATATGGAGATTACCCATTGAAGCAGTTGTATGTAATGATTTTCTGTTATATAGATTTGAATATAAGTTGGTTTATGCTAAGATAGTCCTCAGTTTGTTATATTAAAGACATTCCTTTCAGACATTTTCTTCTCTGTACTACTTTATCTTAGTGAATGGCAACCAGTGTGACAAGCTTAAAACCCTTAAGGAATCTCTGTTTTTCCTCCTTTCTTCCTTCCGTTATCAGTTTTGTTATTATCTCAAGATGGACTTCCTCTCTGTCACAGCTTACTCCAGGCCCTAATTATATCAGCCAGTCACTTAGATGGCTTCATTAGCTTCTTACCTGGTTGCCCTTAATCAACTCAGCATTTTCTCCACATTCACACTGGAATGATCTTACAAGCCATATTTCCTAATGGACTACTGTGCTTAAAAACCTCTGTATCTTTTTTAATCTACAGCACAGATTTTGTACCTTAACATATGGTTTTTTTTTCATCAGATAAACCTCTGCTATTGAGACATAAATGTTATATTTCCTCTGTTGAGAATTTTGTATTTTCCCTATTCCCATTAGTGAAGAACATTTTGCTGATCTGTGCTTTCATCATTTACAGTAGTTTCTTCCAACTATGGAGCACCTTAAAATATGGAATTTGCCTTTTAAACTCCATACGCATCCTTCTTCCTTTCTCCATTTGAACTTATCTGGATAGTAGCTTGACATAGAGGACTGTCAGGGCTCTACCTACTTGACTAGATTACTAACTACAGTAGTTTTGCAAATATTTACTTGAGCACAAATATTATTGCTTATATTTATTAGGCAAATAAAGTACCTGTATTAGTCCATTTTCACACTGCTATAAAGAACAACTCAAGACTGGGTAATTTATAGAGGAAAGAGGTTTAATTGACTCAAGTTCCACATGGCTGGAGAGGCCTCAGGAAACTTACAATCTTGGTGGAAGGTGAAGGGAAGCAAGACACGTCTTCTCATGGTGGCAGGAGAGAGAGAGAGCAAAGGGGGAAAGTGTCCCACTTTAAAACCATTAGAACTCATGAGGACTCACTGTGAAGAGAGAACAGCATGGGGGAAACCACCCCCATGATCCAATCACCTCCCACCAGGTCACTTCCTGCACACATGGGGATTACAATCCAAGATGAAATTTGGACGGGGACACAGAGCCAAACCATATCAGTACCTGACATTTATTATCCAACCTTTCAGTAGCTTTCTGAAAAGAGATTATTGTCCTTATTTTAGAGATAAAGAAATGAGATACAGATAGATTGGCCCTTAGTTGATAGCCAGTACATTTTTGTTGAGTGAATTAGTAAACTCTTTCCTGATAGTATATATTTATCTACATGTTCTTCAAAGATGTATGTGTGTTTGAGTGTGTGCGTGCATGTAATGGAGTTGTGCATCTGTTTTATTTTATTTTATGACAGAGTCTCGCTCTGTCACTCAAGCTGGAGTGCAATGACTCAGCCTCTGCTCTGTGCAACCTCTGCCTCCAGGGTTCAAGTGATTCTCATGCCTCAGCCTCCTAAGTAGCTGGGATTACAGGTGTGCACCACGATGCCCAGCTGATTTTTTTTTTTTTTTTTTTTTTTTTTGCAGAGTCTTGCTCTTGTGCCCAGGCTGGAGTGCAGTGATGCAATTTCGGCTCACTGCAACCTCCACCTCCTGGGTTCAAGCGATTCTCCTGCCTCAGCCTCCCGAGTAGCTGGGATTACAGGTGCCTGCCCAGCTAATTTTTGTATTTTTAGTAGAGACAGGGTTTCACCATGTTGGCCAGGCTGGTTTCGAACTCCTGACCTGAGGTGATCCACCCTCCTTGGCCTCCCAAAGTGCTGGGATTGCAAGCTGCGCCCGGCTGCTAATTTTTATATGTTTAGTAAAGCAGGGTTTCGCCATGTTGGCCAGGCTGGTCTCAAACTCTTGGGCTCAAGTGATTGCCTTACCTCTGCCTCCCAAAGTGCTGAGATTACAGGCGTGAGCCACCACACCCGGTAGCAGTTGTGCATTTTAAAGGATCAAAGTTGTAATAAGCTCCTTTAAAATGTGGGAGAAATAGATAAGCTGAGGCTGTTAATATTTGGGAAAAGAGCCTAAAGGTAGAGAAGGAAGCTAGCCTCATGTGTGTTAAGAGTCAGAGGAATTAATTTGGAGTTAAAGTTAGAAGAAATGTCAGTTGCATAAGATGAGCAGGTGAACTTATGAAAAATACGGATTCTTAGTCTCCATCTCCTCAGATAACTGAGTGAAGTTGGGGTGAGGCTTTGGATTTGTACTTTTGCAAAGTTTTAGAGGTGATTCATATGAACAGCTAGGATTTGAATCCTGTATAGCTGACCAAAATTAAAGATCTAACAAAGAGAATTTCAGATTATTTTGCATATAAAACTAAGGGGAGTCAGGAAATAGGCTTAGAGTGTTGGAAAGAGCATTTTCACCACAAATTTCCCACCTTGATAAGAGACCCAGCCAGAAAGAACTATACAGTTCTAGAGGAGTGATTTTATTCTAATCGAATGATGGAGTGGGGATAGAGGATTGAAAGTCCAGACATGTACTACACACAGAAAAAAAACCCAAAACCAAAAACTGAACTATACCTATGTGTTCTACTAGTAGTTTTCTATTTGCTTTTAGTTTGTTGCTGGTTTATTCAAGAATTACTGAATGAATACCTACTGTTCACCCACTGTGTAGGGAAAAGATAGCAGAGAGATGAGGAAAAGTATAATGGGATAAAGAAGAATCTTATTTAATAAATCAAATGATTTCAACAAAAGGGATCACTGGTAAATTGGGCACACCTTCTGGTTTTCACCTGGGGGAATAATTTTTCTGTGGCCGTTCATCTTAGTTCAACAAACATTTATTGTGTCAGACACTCTACTAACCGTTAGGAGATATTCATGCATAAATGAAAGACAGTCTTTGCCCTGGGCTATGTTAGTCTTTAGTGGAAAAGACAGATACATGAACAGAGGCTTTCATTATAATTTAGGAATTACTTTAATAGTGGTGAAAGGGGCAGATTTAAAAATATTTAGGTGATAAAAATGGTAGGAATTGGTGATTGATTGAATGTTGGGGGTTGAGAAGAAGTCATAGGATCATTCACGGATTTCCAGTGTGGGTGACTTGATAAGGATGGAGGAGTAACATTAACTCACATCCAAAATACAGAATTAGAAATGTATTTGTGAGGGGTGAGAGGGGAAATCAGTTTTGCGTTCAGTATGTATAACACGGCTCAAACACATCTAAGTGGAGGCAGTATAGCATAGTGGGAAGGTGTTTTGGCTTGGGAATCAGATCACATAGGTTTATGACTAAGCTATACCACTAGCTGCTTCTAGCTGTATGACTTTGAGATGACTAACCAACCTCACCAAGTCCCAGTTTCTGTGGGGACAGTACTAGTACATACTACACAGGAGTTGTGAAAATTAAAAGAAATAATGTATGGTAAGCACTTATCACAGCACTAGGCACATAGTGAGACCTCACTAGTATGTCAGGAAATATTATCTGTGTAGCAGACAGTGTGAACTCAGGAGACAGCAGAGCTGGACATACAGTTTTGGGAGTCATTAAAATATAGGCTAACATAATGACAGTAGGTAAGATTCCTATAGAGAATGGACCCCTGAGGAAGAGTAATAGTGAACAGGGGATGGACAGAAGAGGAATAAAATCCAAATGAAAAGCGGTGTGATTGTTTTGCATGTATAGAAGCTTTGTAGATACTTGTGCCTCATAGAGAAGTTACAACTTGAGGTTTATAATTGGAGCACAACCAGGAATATTTATGATCTTCAAAAAATCCACAAATTTAAAATTTCACATGGATTTCTTTTTAAAGCAAACTTCCTATTTAAATAGTAATAAAATCAGCCCCTCCCCACTTTTAAACTACTTGCCAGTAGACTTTTTAATTTTTTCTGAGAAGCTATTTGAAACTCTACTGAATGATGTGGACACAAATTATTTGCTTGAGTAGTGTTGATACTTTGTGGTAACCTTTATTTCCATATATATTCATCAACTGTCTTCTTGTTAGAGCCTTAAAAACTTTGTTTTAATAGCTTAGGAAATGATATGGTTTGGCTCTGTGGCTCCACCCAAAAAGACAGGTGAGATCTATATTGCAATAATTGCTCGGTGGTGGTTGGCCACAGTGCCCTTTCCAGCCAAGTCACGCACAATGAAGAGGAGTAAACAGTAGTTGATCCCATTTGTCTTAAAAGGTGTTTAAGTTTGGATTTGCAGTGTGTTGTAAAATGAAGCTAGATTTTTATTTAAGGGAGAAATAGTCCTAAACAGTGAAATAAATGTTGACCTCTAAGAGAAATCTTTATTCAGGTTTTTAAGTAGAAAGCCTTCCTCTCCCCTCCCCTCCTCTCCCCTCCCCTCCTCTCCCCTCCCCTCCCCTCCCCTCCCTTCTTTTTTGAGACGGAGTTTCGCTCTTGTTGCCCAGGCGGGAGTGCAGTGGTGCAATCTTGGCTCACCGCAACCTCTGACCCCCAGATTCAAGTGATTCTCCTGCCTCAGCCTCCCGAGTAGCTAGGATTATAGGCGCCCGCCACTACACCTAGCTAATTTTTTGTATTTTTGATAGAGACGGGGTTTCACCATGTTGGGCAGGCTGGTCTTGAACTCCTGACCTCATGATTCCCCTGCCTTAGCCTCCCAAAGTGCTGGGATTACAGGCGTGAGCCACCACACCCGGCGGTAATGAAATATATTAATATATGGGAGAAAATTGTAGAATTAATGAGCTAGTGTTTAGCTATCTAGATGATTTTGAAGATATAAACGATTTAAAAAACTGTCTGCAACCTGCTGGTACACATAAATTAACTTTTGTTTGTTTGTTTGTTTGTCTTTTTGAGATGGAGTCTCACTCTGTTGCCCAGGCTGGAGTGCAGTGGCACAATCTTGGCTCACTGCAACCTCCACCGTCTGGGTTCAAGCAATTCTCCTGCCTCAGCCTCCCAAGTAGCTGGGATTACAGACGTGTGCCACCATGTCCAGCTGATTTTTATATTTTTAGTAGAGGTCTCATCATGTTGGCCAGGCTGGTCTTGAACTCCTGCCCTTAGGTGATGCACCCGTGTTGGCCTCCCAAAGTGCTGGGATTACAGGCGTGAGCCACCGTGCCTGGCCCAAATTAACATTTTTTAGGTTGGTAGTGGTTATTTCACTTTTTTTCGTAAGGATGAATAACACAAAGATTCCCAGCAGTAGCCTCCTGCACATTCCTGGTTAGCCCTAGTCCCACTCTCCACGCCAGCAGCAACATAGTGTGTGTGTGTGTGTGTGTGTGTGTGTGTGTGTGTGTGTGTGTGTATGTGTGTGTGTGTGTGTGTGTCTGTCTACTAGTATTCATAAAAACATACTATGTGCCTTATCAGCTCAGGCAGTAGAGGAGGCCAAAGCAGCATAGGACATAATCTATGCCAGGGAATTCAGAGCTGCAGAGGAATGCAAAGCCAAAACATAAGTAATGAACTGATTTTCTAATAAGGATTAATGTTAGGAGGCAGGATGTTAGTGAGTCTTGAAGAATGCTTGCCACTTAGCTAAGCAGAAGAGACCATTTTAGAAACAGAGAACAGTGTGAGTAAAAGCCCAGAGGTGGACAAAAAACAATCATTGCCCTGGTGTGGGATAGTGAAGAGAATATAGAGACTAAGTTGGAGTTGGCAACCATTTAAATGTTTCCTGATTTAATTTTTCTGGTAGTTTACTCTAAAACTAGATAATAATATATTTATTTTTTGATTTTCCAACTTTAGATAAAAATGTTGACTCTTGGGTATGAAAAATGTTTTTGCTTATTTGTACTGTACCCCTGTTTCTTGCTACCCTCAATATAAGTGTTACTGTTTTTTACAATGTGGTTCTCTATTGGTTACATTTGTAACTGTAAATAATCTCTATGTTATTTGTGGCTTATACATTCCCCAAAAAGATATATGGAATTTAACAGTAAGTATTAAATAAGCTCTTATGATTTTAGGAGGAAGAAAAAATTGAGAATGTTGCATGTAAGTCCTGGGCTAACAGAAAAATAATTTATACTACTTTTGAAATGAGAAATAATATCTTTTTTTCTTTTAGGTCGAACAAGTAAAATTACTTGACCGATTCAGTACCAGCAACAAGTCATTAACAGGAACACTGTATCTTACGGCTACACATCTATTATTTATCGACTCTCATCAAAAAGAAACCTGGGTAAGGAGGACCGCAGCTGTACTATTTATCATAATAATAATGGACTTGGTCTGTCATGTTTTATTTTGAATGTGTATAACACAATTTTTAATCATTGGTTACCTATCTCAACCAAAATATTTTTTGGTCTCCAGATCACTCCTGCCCTCCCTTCTAATAAATCAGTTATAGAATATGTAACATGGAATTCTATAAAATACCACACTCTTATCTCCATAAATAATTATGAAATACCTGTTGTTCCTAGGCCGGATGCGGTGGCTCACGCCTGTAATCCCAGCACTTTGGGAGGCCGAGGTGGGTGGATCACGAGGTCAGGAGTTCAAGACCAGCCTGGCCAACATAGTGAAACCCCATCTCTACTAAAAATACAAAAAATTAGCTGGGCATGGCGATGGGTGCCTGTAATCCCAGCTACTTGGGAGGGTGAGGCAGGAGAATTGCTTGAACTTGAGAGGCGGAGGTTGCAGTGAGCCGAGATCGCGCCATTGCACTCCAGCCTGGGTGACAGTGTGAGACTCTGTCTCAAAAAAAAAAAAAAAAAATCCTATTGTTCCTTTTAATTTTTAAAAATCTAAAAAATATGTACACATTAACAGATCAAACGGATTGTTTGGTATATTCCACAGTGTTTTTATACAAATTTTAATTAGGGTACTTATTTTTTTTGCTAGTATAAATGTTGCAATGTACATATACATGTAAACAACATTTTGTGTATTTATATGAGACATATGTATATGTTTCTTTCTGTATATTTGCCAGAGTTTCTCTGGGATATTTGTCTGGGAGTAAAATTATTGGGTCTTGAATAAGTGCATATATAACCTTACTAAGTATGTCACCTCTTCAAAATGGTTGTTCCAATTTATTCTCAGTAGTGTATTACACAATGTTGTACATCCTCAACAACATTGATATTGTCAATTTAAAATTTTTTGCCTATCTAGTAGATGTCCAATTGTAATGTTAATGAGCTGATTATAAAGAATTTACCCTTTTCAGATAAAGAAAAAGGAAAGAGTTTCCTTTTCTTTTTTTATTGGGTTGTTTGTCTTTTATTGATTTTATAAAAGTTCTGGGCTACAAATAGAATTACCATTCAACCCAGCAATCCTTTTACTGGATATATACTCAAAGGAAAATAAATCAACCAAAAAGACACGGGCATTTGCATGTTTGTTGCAGCGCTGTTCACAATAGCAAAGCTATGGAATCAACCTAGGTGCCCATTAGCAGTGGATTGGATAAAGAAAAAGTGGTGCATATTCACCACAGCCATAAAAAGAGAACAAAATCATGGCCTTTACAGCAACATGGATGCAGGTGGAAGCCATTATTCTAAATGAATTAACACAAACAAAAAACCGTATACTGCGTGTTCTCACTTATAAGTGGGAGCTTAACATTGGGTACATACGAGCACAAAGATGGGAACAATAGACATTAATAGACTAATAGAGGTGGGAGGGAGGGAAGTAGAGGAACAAGGGTTGAAAAACTACCTCTTGGGTACTGTGTTCACTGTCTGGGCTATGGGTTCAGTCAAAGCTCAAACCTCAGAATCATTCAGTATATTCATATTACAAACCTGCACATGTACCCACTGAATTAAAAAAAAAAGTATTATTCAAGAAAACAAATAAAGAGTTCTAGGTTATAATGCTTTGTCAGATGTGTGTGTCATAGATAGCTTTTCCCAGTGTGTGGCTTGTCTTCTCTGTTTTTTATTTTATATGTCTTTCAGTTGAAGTTTATATTTTTAATGTTATAGATTTTTCATTTTTTTCTTTTATTGTTTGTGCTCTGTTGTGACTTAAGAAATCCTTTCCTATGTCAAAGTCATAAAGGTTCTTCTATATTTTCTTCTAAAAGCTTAAGTTTGATCCTGTAAGTTGTTAATACATCTGGGAAATATTTTGGTGTATGATGTGACTAGGGATTCATTTTTATGTTTTCGTATAGACGACCGGCGCCATTTATTGACTGTTTCATTCCATTCGTCTTTAGTACCAGCTCTGTCATAAAAACATCTTCCATGTATGTGAGGCTCTGCTTTTGAGTTTTCTTTTCTATTCGTTTGGTATACTGACTACACTGTACCACACTGTTTTATTGACTATAGCTTTTAAATAAATTTTGATATCAAGTAGAGCATACCCTCCCAACTTGTTCTTCAAAATTGCCATGGCTATTTTGGATTCTTTGTTCTTCCTTTTCTGTTTTAGAATTCATTTAGCACACATTTATTGAGCATATACAGTGTGTTTCATATCACTATTCTAGATATTTTGGAAACAATAGCCAATAATAACAGGTACAAATTCTATCCTCATGGAGCCAACATTCTAGTGCTGAAAGATATTGATAACATCACCAATAAGTAGGTAGATAAGTAAAATACATAGTGATAAGTGCTAAGCAGAAAAAGAAGTAGGAAAGGTGGTTAGAATATGGGGCTTGTGTCTCTGTGCCTGAGAGGAAGAGACTTGGGCATGTTTCTGTGCCACTAGCTCTGCCAGCTTTTAGAACCTCCACTTTATAGATGAAGAAGCTGAAGCTCAGGCAAGTGGCAATTCATTCATTGTTACACAGGCAGTGTAGAGTAGTAAAATGAGCTCACGTAGACTGTGTTGTCAGGTAGCTTTGGGTTCAAATGTCAGCTCTGCTGTTCACTGCTTGGGTGACTATGTCAGGGTGCTTTTGGCTGTAAGTAAATGAATACCTGACTGAACATGGTGCCAAACCTTGCAAAGCAGGAGAGGTGGGTAGGCTTTCCTCAGTAGCCCCATTGCTTATCAGGGAGGAGAAGCTCTCTCAGAAGGCCCCCAGCTAACTTTCCCTAACATCTGATTGTTTGAAAATCCGGACACTTGGCTACTCCTACCTGAAAAGGAGGCAGAGAATGTAGATCCTAGTATTTTTTATCTCTTGAGGGAAAAGGATGTTGCAAGTAAGGAAGGGGGGGAGGAATGGCAGACCAACAGTGTCTGCCAAAAAGTATGTAACTTTCGAGCTTAGCACCCACATAAAATGGGTATATAGCATCAGTCATCATGTAGGGCTTTTGTGAGTCTTAGATGAAAGAAAATATGAAAAACATCTGTGCGTAAAACATAGTAGTGGCGTAAATCATAGCTGCTCATACTATTTTTCTAAGCAGTTGAATCAAGATTAGAGGTCAATTATGCCTCCCAGTCCAGAGATTGATGTTGCTCTGTGGTACACCCCTGTACTGCACATACTGTCATACTGTTCTCTTCTCTTTCTCTCTTTGATTGTACTCTTCTGATTTCCCCAAGAAGGCTAACCAATTGATATATGATTCTATATCAGCTGTTAAGGAAACTCACTTGAGATACTGATCTTGGAGAAGTTGTATTCCCTAGAGGCACTGGATCCCTTCTTCATCCAGTGTTTGTCCAAGAATTGCCAGGAATTTTACCTAGCAGTACCTTCTGAAATAATTAGTCATATTATCATCCACTCCATCTACCCCTCCTTTGTCCACTTGCTTCAGTATTTTCTCTATTATCCATCTCGTAGAGATATAAATGAAGGCTTCCCGTATAGCTATTCCCTCAGCTGCTGGGAATGTAGTTTGAGGGGCAACAAAAAGATATCTGTGTTATTCTCTACTCTCCTATTGTTGTCTTTTAAATGCTTTCTTATCAGTATATTCCCTTATGTTTGCCCTAAATGAAGTTTGTTTAATATACTAGAGCCATAGAAATGAACATTTTAGATCCAGAAGGGGCCGTATCAACCTTATATCCTTTTTCTCACTTTACAGTTGATTATGTTTTCAAAATCACATAACTAGTTAGTGGTAGGACCAGGTTTCTTCATCATTTTCTTCCTGCAAATACTTTTGGGTTTTTATAATTAAAATCAGAACAGTGATGTACAGGTTGAATATCCCCAATCCAAAAATTCAGCACTGACATGATGTTCAAAGGAAATGCTCATTGGAGCATTTCAGATTTCAGATTTTCAGATTAGGGATGTCAATTGATAAGTATAATGCAAATATACCAAAATCTTTAAAAATCCAAAATTTGAAATACTTCTAGTCCCAAACATTTTGGATAAAGGGTTCTCAACTTGTAATATTACAGTTAGCTTTTATTCCTTATTCTCTGTTTAAATGTTATTATTAGATCATTTTTAGTAACTTGTCACAGGCGCATTAATATAAGTGATAATGGTGCTAAATCTTAGCCGTAAGGACTATATATGTGTGTGTGTGTGTTAATTATTTGTTCTCTATGTAGTTTTAATTTCCATTGACAACTGCTTCTCTCATTGTTTTTCAAGCTTTTCTTGATTATTTAAATGCATTTAATTTTGCAGGTGAACTTTAGATTTAAGATGTATAATTAATATTAACATATAATGTAATAATTACATAATATATGTGTATTATATAAATAATCATCCCTCACTACAAAACAAAGCAGATTGGAATTTTTAAACTGAAATTTATGTTGAATTTTTAGATTAATTTGGGATAAATGGATCTCTTGCATGATTAGGAGCCTATGATCTTTTATTCTCCAGAAAAGTTTTCTATAAATATTTTAATAGGAGTGTTATTAAGAAAAAGTAGGCATTTTTAGTAGCAAACAAAATATTATTGGTAGTAGGTGAGAACAATAAGCATATGTTTAAAATACCATCAAGTATTGAGTTTATAGTAGGACTTTTTATTCATTCATTTAGTAAACTCTTATTGTGATAAAGGAGGTATCAGGGATGACATCCATATTTCTGGCTTGGGCATTCACATTTAAAAAATTAAAGTTGAAGTGTGTGATATATAACATTTGCAAGCTTTTTGATTTGAGGAGGGCAATTATAATGTTCCAGGTACTGTGTTAGGTGCTGGAGATGTAATGTTGATCAACTCTGCACCATGCCACCCCCAAGGTCCTCAGCCTCCCTCCTGTGCTCATGGGCACCCAAAATTTCAGCCTCAGAAGCAGTTTCCAGAGGGGCCAAGGCAGCTAGGGGCTGGTGTGTCAGTACCGCCCCAAGCACATGCACACCCAGCTAGATCACGACAGTATCTGGGCTTGGCTATTGGGACATGTCCACAACTTTGCTCTACCACAGAACAGGCAGTGGGAGTTGGGAGAGGCCAGGGAGTGGGAGCAGGCACTTCTGAACCTGCAGGGGGAGGGGGTTTCCTAGGCCCCCAAGAGCACAGGGATGCCTGGGTCCAGAGCCATGGCTGGGCGGCTGCAGCTGTGCCCGGGAGTGTGGCTCCTGCCCTGCCAACTCGGTAGGGTATGGGGCTTCCACTGGGATCACCTGTTCCCAGGTCTTGCCTGCTCTGCAGAGCGCGCAACCCTGGCTGCACCTCCCCCACTGCAGCTGGCATCCTCACAGTGGCCTTCACTGTGAAGGAAAAGTATAGCTTGATCTGCAGGAAGAAAAGGGAGGGGGCCTAACTTACTTGGAAAGGGTTGTGGGGCATGTCAGGCTACGCTTTTGGTGTTATTATGAGTTTTGAGCAAAGACCAGAAATGTGTCTAGAAGTTCTTAGATGAAGAGGTAGTGTTAACAGTATTCCAGTTAGTGGGAGCATCTGACCATGTGTAAAGGAGCTCGGTGCATTTGAGGAGCCAAAAGAAGGCTGTTGTCACTAGAACATAGTCAGTGATCGGGAGAGGGACTGGAAATGACTAGATTCCCTTCCTTTTCTTAATCTGCTTTTCAATGTTCACTACTGTGTTGTAGAAAATGGATCAGAGGGTCAGGGGTAGGTATGGAGAGAGCATTTAGGAGGCTGTTTGTTTATAGTAGTTCAGGTGAGAAACAGTGGGGACATTACAACTAGGGATGTGACAGTAGAGATAGAGAGAAGTAGATGGGTTACAGAAACATGTAGGAGATGCAGTTCCCAGGGTCTGATAATGTCTTGAGTATGTGGACTGATGGAGGAGGGATCAGAGTGACACCCATATTTCTGACTTGGGCATTCAGTCATTTTAAAAACGTGAAGTTTGAGTGAGTATGTAACATTTTCAACTTTTTTTGAGGAAGACATTCTTAAACTTATGCATTCTAGAAGAGAATATTTAGTGCTTTCCATGTTGATGACCTGGATGTTTTTTCATGCTGTAGATATTACACCACCATATTGCCTCAGTAGAGAAACTTGCTTTGACTACTTCTGGATGCCCCCTTGTGATACAGTGCAAGAACTTCAGAACTGTGCATTTCATTGTTCCCAGAGAAAGAGATTGCCATGATATTTACAACTCTTTGCTACAACTGTCAAAACAAGGTATTGTTCTTAGAGACCAAAGCTTACATGCTCAATTTGAGATGGGTTATCTAAGATACTTTATTTAATGTTTTATTATTGTTATTTTATCCTTTTTTGCTCTGACAGTCAGGTTCTTTTGTACTCTATCTCCCCCATATTGGCCTGAAAGTAATTAGAAACTATTGATCTGATATAAGAATGGTGTCATCAGAAGGGGTAATGGTAAGGAAAAAGTAAAGCATTTATAGTAGAGACTTACAAAACCACAGGTTTATATTAATCTTTTAAGTCTATTGATGGCAAGTAGCACAATGTATTTTTTAAGTGGGTATTTCACAATCAAAGAGAATGACTTGGAAGTTGATATTACGGAATGATAAAAGGAAGGTCAAGGTCCTTTGGTGGCAGTGGGACTAAAATATTTAATAGATTTGAGTGGGAGATACAGAAGATAAGCAGAGAAACAAGAGAGGGTGAATTCTATTTTAGTAGAAGTAAGGTTGAGAGGGATAGCAGTCCTAAAGAAGAACCTTTTTTTTTTTTTTTTTTTGAGATGGAATCTTACTCTCTCGCCCAGACTGGAGTGCAGTGGCACAATCTCAGCTCACTGCAACCTCCGCCTCCCAGGTTCAAGCAGTTCCCTGCCTCAGCTTCCTGAGTAGCTGGGATTACAGGCAGCCACCACCACACCCGGCTAATTTTTGTATTTTTAGAAGAGACGGGGTTTCACCATCTTGGCCAGGCTGGTCTTGAACTCCTGACCTTGTGATCCACCCTCCTCGGCCTCCCAAAGTGTTGGGATTGCAGGCATGAGCCACTAAAGAAGAATCTTATCGCTACTTATGCCCTGTGGATCTGGTGACTTCCTTCCCCAAACATGACTTGAATTATATGTCGGACTGGATTTTGGTTGAGCAATCTGGATTGCTGCCTGCAAGAGTGGTCTCAGAGCAGGTCTTTGTTCATTCTTCTCTCTGAGCACATCAGCCTGTAACATCCTATTGTCTCAAATTAAGCCAGAGTTTATAGTAAGGATGATTCTGAAGCACCCCAAGAGTTCTGTGCAACAGTTGCCATTTTTAGTCAACAGTGTCCTATAGGGATGTATAATGCAGTTTCATGTTCTGTATCTGTCTCTAGCTTCTCATTATAACATTAGTCTATTTTACATCTCATTTGGGAAAGTGATTAGTAGGAAATGTCTATTAGTGTCTTTATCATTTTACTTTTAAGAAAAATACTGCAATAGAGGATTTAACATGTAAGTCTAACTATTCTGACTGTATTTATTAGCTTTACTTTTGTTGATGACAAATCCAATCTCAGATTGATATGTGTGCTTTTTAGGTATAATCATTTGCATACTGAACATCAAATGTATTCAGGTATTAGCCATCTCTTTGAAGATTGTAAAGAGAAAAATGAAGGAAGAAAACTGAAAAATTACATTTATTTGTAGTGTATAAGTCTTATAAATTGCACTTAACATTTAAAATTTTGTATTCTGTAGCAAAATATGAAGATCTCTATGCATTTTCTTATAATCCCAAACAAAATGATTCAGAACGACTACAAGGCTGGCAGCTCATTGATCTCGCTGAGGAATATAAGAGGATGGGAGTGCCAAACTCACACTGGCAGTTGTCTGATGCCAACCGGGACTACAAGGTACCTTAACAACATTTTGGAGAAATTCAGAAAGTGTTAGTACCAGAGGGTTAGAGAGTGTCAGCGTAGCAAGTTGTCTGTGTACTGAAATGTGCTGTTCTTGCATTTAATAAGGTTTAAAGGTTTTTAAAGTGGTTTTGAACTAAGAATACAATGGTTATGTTTTGTTTGATATTTACAGATTTGTGAAACTTACCCCAGAGAACTTTATGTTCCCCGGATAGCAAGCAAACCAATAATTGTTGGTAGTTCCAAGTTCCGGAGCAAGGGAAGATTCCCAGTTCTTTCCTACTATCATCAAGATAAGGAGGTAGGATGCTTTTCTTTTGATTTTAGAAATAAAGTATAACTCATCTTCAGGTTTAAGTATCTAAAATAACACTTTTTTTTTTTTTTTGAGATAGGGTCTCGCTCTGTTGCCGAAGCTGGAGTGCAGTGGCACCATCTTGGCTCACTGCAACCTCCACCTCTCGGTTCAAGCAGTTCTTGTGCCTCAGCCTCCCGAGCACCTGGGACTGCAGGCGCGTGCCACCATGCCTGGCTAATTTTAGTAGAGACGAGGTTTTGCCACGTTGACCAGGCTGGTCTTGAACTCCTGACCTCAAGTGATCCACCTGCCTTAACCTCCCAAAATACTGGGATTACAGGTGTGAGCCACTGTGCCTGGATCAAGAACACTATTTTTTACATTAAAAGATTGCTAATGGAGAAGCACTGGCTTTTTGTTTAATTACGTTTTTGCAAATTTAAAACAAAACTACTCAAATACAGAAATTTTCATACTTCTTGTCATCTTTTCTTGACCCTCCCTTCCTTCCAGCAGTGACTTGAAAATAATAGAATTAGTTAACAGATAGGATCCTCTTTCTTTCCTGTGGTTCTCTTTTGATTCTGCTTGTGTTTGGGAAAACCAGATAGTTTTGATAAGACAACCGCTGAGACAAGGGAGAGAACCAAGGGCATTTCAGGGTCCCATTTTAATAGTAAGCTCAAATCAAAAGGATTTTGCAACATGAAACAGTGGAGGAGGCATCTTTATAGTGAGATGCTGTAATAAGGGTTGCTTATATTAGTAAAACTTACCTTTGTAGCCTACTAATAGAAGGCCAAGAGGTACTGTATGTTAAATGGTTTACATGTATGTCTTCCTAACTTTGTAAGGTAGGCTTTACTAATTACCTGTAACTTTCAAGTGGGGAAACTGACATTCAAAGAGGGTAAATTACTTCCTTGTCTCACAGCAAGTAAGTTGAGGAATTCTGTGCCATTTCTGACTCCCAGTCCTTTGGGACCTGATTTTGTTTTCTCTGAGAACTTTTAGAATCCTCTTTTTCCCCAGTGTTCTGAAATTTCTTTTTTTTTTTTTTTTTTTTTTGAGATGGAGTTTCTCTTGTTGCCCAGGCTGGAGTTCAATGGCGTGATCTCGGCTCACAGCAACCTCCACCTCCCGGGTTCAAGCGATTCTCCTGCCCCAGCCTCCTGAGTAGCTGGGACTACAGGCGCCTGCCACCATGCCCAGCCAATTTTTGTATTTCTAGTAGAGACAGGGTTTTACCGTGTTGGCTAGTCTGGTCTTGAACTCCTGACGTCAAGTGATCCACCCGCCTCGGCCTCCCAAAGTGCTAAGATTACAGGTGTGAGCCACTGCGCCCTGCTTGTTCTGAAATTTCACAGTAATGTCCTTTTAAATCTCATCCAGAAACTCAGGTCTCAATTTTGGGAATTTGCTTCTCTATTTCTTTGATAATTTCCTCTGTTCTATTAATTTTCTTTGTCCTTTTTATTTATTAGTTGACAATTGGGCTTTGTAGAATAAACTTCTACTTTTTTAAAAACTTTCTCCTTTATTTTTCATTTTTTTTTTTGGATTTTCTGGAAGATTTCCTCAACCTCATCTCCAGTCTGTGTCTTAGATCCTTTTTTTGCTGTGGTGTTTTTAATATCTGAGAGCTTTTCCTATTTTCTGAAATTTTTAAAGATGGTTTTCTATTCCTGGATGTGATGTTTTAGTTCTTTGAGGATGTTAAAGATTTAAAAAAATAATTCTCATGCTTCCCACATTAGTTATTGTTTTGCTCAGAGTTCCATTTTTTTCTATTTATTTAGTGTTTTTGTCTTTCATGTCTTTCAAATACCTGTTTCTTGGCTGAGTTCTCATATTCAAGCTGTTTTGAAGTTTGTGTGCAGGAATGGTTTGTATCTTGGGATTCTTTCTTTGTTTTCTTTTTTCTTTTTTCTTCTTTGAGACAAGGTCTCGCTTTGTTTCCCAGGCTGGAGTGCAGTGGCACAATCTCGGCTCACTGCAACCTCCGCCTCCTGGGTTCCAGTGATTCTCCTGCCTCAGACTCCCAAGTAGCTGGGATTACAGGCATGTGCCACCATGCCTGGCTAATTTTTATATTTTTAGTAGAGATTGGGTTTCACCATTTGGCCAGGATGGTTTCGAACTCCTGACCTCAGGTGATCCACCGGCCTCGGCCTCCCAAAGTGCTGGGATTGCAGGTGTGAGCCACCGTGCCTGGCTTTGGGATTCTTTCTGTTGTATAAGTTGGTTTCCTTAAAGAACAAACCTCTAATTTTGGTCCCAATGTGTATAGTAAGTCTGGCCATGATCCAAGGGTGAGAAGAGTGATGTCAGGATTTCACATTTTGTTATGTAGACTTTACTTAATGCTCCTAGTCTTTGTGAGTATAGGGCTTCACCCCTGCCCACAGCTGTGTCTATTGTCTATAGAGTCTTCAGGTTCATCCTTATCATGGAATAAACTTTGTCTTCAAGGTAAGGGAGAATCTGGTGGTCTTAGCTAGTTCTCGTACAGGCATTCAAGCAGTTCTCCTTTTTTTCAGTTATATACCTGCTCAAGCCTTCAGAGGTTTTGAGCCTTTTGAGATTTTGCTGCACAAAATACCTTGCTTCTTACTGACTTAAGGGAGTTAGCAGCTTTCTTTGTCCTGTAAAATTGGTTATCACTTGCTAGTCAGCTGTCATCTCCCC
This sequence comes from Homo sapiens, assembly GCF_000001405.40. Lineage (NCBI taxonomy): Eukaryota > Metazoa > Chordata > Mammalia > Primates > Hominidae > Homo > Homo sapiens. Next base: position 25,263,133 of record NC_000013.11, on the reverse strand, counting down.
AAATTTTATTGACATCTCTATGTCTTTTTTCCCATTCTCTTTGTCCCTGTGGTTTTATGCATTTTAACTTTCTTTATTCGAACCTGACTTGGATTTTGGGAAGGAGCAGAGGCAAAGGGGTAAGGGTTTAGACAGAAGTTTCTAATCTGCTTTTCACAACTAAATCACAGAGAGGTTAAATGGTTATGGCCTCTCTTGACACAGCCATATGTGTAAACATTGTTTATTGGAAAGTTGGGCTGAAAATAGTTATTCTGTGAACAACTTAACAAATCAGAAAGTAGGTCTGAAAAGAATTTAATAAGGCAATGTTCATTTTCTACTGTTTTATCATATTTTCGTGGTTTTATTTTGTGAGTTTAAAATATGCAATTGTGTGAATTTGCATGTATTTTTGTTTTCCATTGGAGAAAAAGTATATGGATCTAAATCTTTTAAATCTTTTTTTAGGACTTTAAACAATAGTAGGCTGGGCATGATGGCTTATGCCTGTAATCCCAGCATGCTGGGAGGTGAGGTGGGCAGATCGCTTGAGCCCAGGAGTTGACAACCAGCCTGGGCAACATGGCAAAAACCCATCTTAACAAAAAATACAAAAATTAGTCAGGCGTGGTGGTGTGTTCCTGTAGTCCCAGCTACCCTGGAGGCTGAGTTGGAAGGATTGCTTGAGCCCAGGAGGTCAAGGCTGCAATGAGCTGTGATCACGCCACTGCATTCCAAACTGGGTGACAGAGCAAGACCTTGTCTCAAAAACCAACCAGCCAAACAAAAAACAGTAAATAATGAATCCAACCACTCACTACTTATAGATAATTCTTGCTCTATTCGATTGACTGTATTTTAACTCAAATTTGAATTGAAGGTCATTTTTCTCATTTTATATTAAGATTGCCGATTTCTAATTAGAGATCTTAAAACCTTTAGAAAGTAAAAGTTCCAGTGTTGCTACTTAAAAATTCTTGTTCTATTTTTATTGACTAATCTTTTACTTGAACTTCAGTTGGAAGGATCCTGTAATCTAAATGGAGCGCAGAATGAAGATAACAGTAGGTTACTTCACAGAGAATTGACTGGGTGTTATTTCTTAGGACCCAGGTTTCTTCATCAAACTAGATAAGGAGGTATTTAGTTTTCTTATGAGAATAGAATATTGGGAAAACTTAGGAATGTCAAAATATTGAAATAGTATTTAATTCAAAGAGGATCTTAAAGTTAATGCCTCCTAATTATCATATTTGATTTTAACACTTTTGGCTTTTTTTTCTTGTAAGCATCTTTAAAGACATTTTAGAGATCTTTGCATAATCTCTTTTCTGTCCTTTAAAAAATAGGCTGCCATTTGTCGATGTAGTCAGCCACTCTCTGGATTCAGTGCCAGGTGCCTGGAGGATGAACATTTGCTTCAAGCCATTAGTAAAGCCAATCCAGTCAATCGCTATATGTACGTCATGGATACCAGGCCAAAAGTATGTATTTTAAATACAGTACAGTCTGCTAGTTTAATTATTTTTATTACTTTACTTAATGAGAGTTAATAAACTTGCCCATATTTAAAATATCTGAATCCTAGTTTTAAATTAACTAAGGCTAATGATACTAAGGAAATCAATCCTTTATTTAAAGGATACCAATTTAGAAAACCAATTTCTGAGTAACTCATGGTGATTTCTTACATCTTCTGATATATATAAATTCAGGAAAGCTGAATTGTATATTGAGAACTCTTGCTAGTATATAAGTCTTATGTTATTGTGAAGAAATAATAAAATGTGTGTTATGAAAAATAAATTGTTACTATTCTTTTTTTTTTTTTTTTTTTTTTTTTTTTTTAAGACAGAGTTGCACTCTGTCACCCTGGAGTGCAGTGGTGTGATCTCGGCTCACTGCAACCTCTGCCTCCCAGTTCAAGCAATTCTCCTGCTTCAGCCTCCTGAGTAGCTGGTATTACAGGCACGTACCACCATGCCTGGCTAATTTTTTGTATTTTTAGTAGAGATGGGGTTTCACCATGTTGACCAGGCTGGTCTCGAACTCCTGGCCTCAAGTGATCCGCCCACCTCAGTTGGCCTCCCAAAGTGTTGAGATTACAGGCATGAGCCACTGCGCCCAGCCTAAATTCTTATTATTCTTTTTTGAAGAATTTTCAATTGACAAAACATTTTTATGCTAAAATAATGGATTTTAGCTTGAAATTTTCAAGAAAATAAGGAAAACAGTTAACTTAGGAAACATTGAACTAGAGAATTTTAAATAGTGAACAGGAATTTGGGTTATCTTAGGCATCTTGTGTGCTATGGGGCCAAATTTTTATCATTGGGACAAATTTCAGAGTCCCTTCTTCTTTTTATTAACATAGTTAAACAACCAGTTCATATAGGATCCTGAAACTAAAATAATTAAAATCCTCAGTGGTAATAGCTAACGTTACTTTTAATTTTTGTTATAGCGTCGCATGCAGAGCTGGTGGGCTACACAAAAGGACATTGGCAGAATTATAGTGAGGATTTCTTCAAAAATCCAGAATGATGAGAAAATAAGAGAAAGCAATGAGAAAAAGCGAGTGAGCAATATAGAACGCAAGTGGTTTTTAGGCAGCTTTGTGAAAGGAATGGTCACTATTTTAGAAGTGATTCTCATCATTATGCAATTTCACAAAAGATAATTTAGAAACCAGAAGAAGAGATTAATTTGAGTAAATTGTACTTTGGGAGGCCACGGCGGGTGGATCACCTGAGGTCAGGAGTTTGAGACCAGTCTGACCAACATGGAGAAACTCTGTCTGTACTAAAAATACATAATTAGCCGGGCATGGTGGTGAATGCCTGTAATCCCAGCTACTCGGGAGGCTGAGGCAGGAGAATCACTTGAACCTGGGAGGCGGAGGTTGTGGTGAGCCGAGATCACGCCATGGCACTCCAGCCTGGGCAACAAGAGCGAAACTCCGTCTCAAAAAAAAAAAAAAGAATTATCTGGCTGGACATGGTGGCTCACACCTGTAATCCCAGCACTTTGGAAGGCTAAGGTGGGTAGATCACCTGAGGTCAGGAGTTTGAGACCAGCCTGGCCAACATGGCAAAACCCCGTCTCTACTAAAAATACAAAAAATTAGCTGGGTGCGATGGCAGGCGCCTGTAATCCCAGCTACTTGGGAGGCTGAGGCAGGAGAATTGCTTGAACCCAGGAGGCAGAGGTTGCAGTGAGCCGAGATTGTGCCATTGCACTCCAGACTGGGTGACAAAAAAAAAATTAATAATTATTTAAAAATAGAAATTGATAACTTGATAATCTTTTATTAAAAATAAAAGACTTTATTAGGAGTTGAGAGTGTTGGTGATATCTCATAAGAAAAATTCTGGAACACTTTTTTGATAATATTAGATATAAAAGGCGATTGTAATATGAGACTTTTTGAAGATGAGGTCTGATACAGTGATTTGTTTTTCAGGACCTCATAGTTCTTATTTGTATAATTATCTTCTTCACAGAAAATATATCATTCTTTGATTGTTTTACTAGTTAAATGTAACTCAAGTAGTAATAATGTGGAAGCATTTTTTAACATCTAACTGTAGATTTTACTTTAGGTACCGAATAACTAGTGAGTCAGTAGGATACAATTTAACTGTACTTGTTACCAAACTGAGGTCCAATCCACAAAATGAAGAGCTCCTTTTCTTCTAATTTAGGCTTCGTTTTATCCACGTTCATAAGAATTTTTAATAAATTGTGTTAACATACTATATGAAATCCTAGCCTGGAAGAATTAAGCATGACAAATCCTAAGGGACCACTGACAACATTTTGATCTAATAGCTAAAGACCATGGGCATATGAGCAATCTGTTTTTTCCTGGAGACCAGTTTATTTTTGGCCCAATTCTCAGAGATGTATCAGGATAGCCGATTATATGCCATATTATATGATGTATGGGCCTCCAATAATCTCTCATATAATCTCCCTCAAGTAATCTGAAGCATATTTCAGATCTGATTTTCAGGTCCCTATGGCTCTCAGAATGATCAATGCCCTAGGCTTGTTCTGAAGTAAACTCATAGGTTCATTCTGTAAAAGGAAAGTCCCCCAGCCAGCTCTGCTCAACTGAATCATTTAGAAATTAGATAGGAGACATTTCTTTCTTTTTAATTTTAAAATATTACAAACATATGGAAACTGCCTAAAATATAAATGAATTGGTTTCATGAACTTATGGGAACTTTGACCTTTCCATTATATAGCAATCGTATTACTTTATTATCTCCTTCATTACTATTTAATAATGTGGCATTTTTACTTACTAAAAGATGAATGGTAGCTTATTCAGTTTTGATGAGTTCCTTTAAACTGCCTCCTAGCTAAAATACTGCTTATTTAATATTTTCATGACATTTTGGTAAATTAAAAAAGTAATTTGTCTCTAAATTTCTAAAACTTTTAATTTTAGCTGAATGCAATGGCCAACAGAGCAGCTGGAAAAGGTTATGAAAATGAAGACAACTATTCCAATATTAGATTTCAGTTTGTTGGAATTGAAAATATTCATGTCATGAGGTCCAGCCTTCAGAAATTATTGGAAGGTATATTATTGCTTACTTTTTTAGACACCCTTGTCCAAAAGAAATCTAATGCTAGTCACATGTAATTTAGAATTTTCCAGTGGTCACATTTTAAAAAGTAAAAAGAAACAAGTGAAATTAATTTTAATAATATCCTTACTTAATATATTATAAACATTATTTTAACATGTAGTCAATATAAAAAAAATCAGTAATGAGATATTTTTCTTTTCATCAACTCTTAGAAATCAGGCATGTATTTTACACTTACTACACATCTGAGTTTGGACAAGCCATATTTCAAATGTTTAGTAGCCGTATTTGGTTAGTGGCTGCTGTATTAGACAGTACAATTCTAATGGTTTTGCAAAAAAAATGTTATTAGATAGATATTCTTGAGTAGTCAGTACAATAAATACTAATTTGTAGTAATGTTCATTTAAATATTCCAGTCATAGTATAGAATTTAAAAAATTAAAATATAAGATTATTTTTAGTTAGATGCTTGTGCTACAATGTTTTTTAAGAGATTGGAGCATTTTTGTAAGCACGGGAATAATAGAAAAATATATCCAAGAATCAGTTATTGAGCTTTTAATAGCATCTTTTCATTTATAGAGTCTTGCCTGTTTATTTTGTCTTCTTTCTTCATTCACTTATCTAGAGAGATCTTGAAAAAAGAAATGCAGAAACTCTAGCCATATTCTAATTGAAATATTTTTATACCTCTTTCAGTCAATGGCACTAAAGGGCTTTCTGTCAATGATTTCTACTCCGGTTTGGAGAGCTCGGGATGGCTTCGCCATATCAAAGCTGTTATGGATGCTGCAATCTTCTTGGCCAAAGTAATACTTTATCTTTCATATTTGGTCTTGGGGTCTATAATGATTGGGAAGGAGTAGATGTATTCTGTTGGGGGCTGGTATCTATTCATCAGATAACTTTTATTATTTTTTACCTCTTTAATGAGCTTCACTTTATTTTCAGCCTTAAAAATATCATGTAGCACTTAATGTAGAAACTTAAAAAGATGCTCCTAAATACTTTGAAGTGGCATTTTTTCTTTGTTTTTTTTTTGTTTGTTTGCTTGTGTTTTTGTTGTTACCATATTTTGTTGTGTATTTTGGAAATTATGCTGTGACATTATCATTGCAGGCATAGCACTTCCTTGTAACACAATACCTGCTAGTATGATTTTCAAGTAGAATTTATTGGTTTACCTTAAAGTACGCTAGAATGTATGTGATCTTTCTTTTCAGGCAATAACAGTTGAAAATGCAAGTGTGTTGGTGCATTGTTCCGATGGTTGGGATAGGACTTCCCAGGTTTGTTCCCTGGGTTCTCTTTTATTGGATTCCTACTACAGGACAATCAAAGGATTCATGGTAAGGATTTATTTGGTTAGACCAATGGTTCTTAAGTAGGAGTAATTTTATGTTCCTCCAGAGGACATTTGGCAATGTTGGAGACAGTTTTGCACTAAAGGAAATGATGAGACTGGCATCCGTGGGAGTGGCCAGGGATATTGCTAACTAAACATTTTATAATGCACAAAATTTTTGCTGGGGGGTCAGCCTCACAGCAAAGACTGATCTGGCCTGTAATGTCAGTACTGTCGAGGTTGAAAAACCTTGAATTAGACTTATTTCCATTTGTGCTAACACTGACAATAAGCTTTAGATTTAAATAATTTTTTTTCCTAAAATGTTGCAATGGAAATATTCAGTATTTTCTCCCTCATTTTTATCTAACAAATGTAAATAATGTAATAAAACAATGCACAAATAAGAGTACTTAAAATTAAATTCTGAAGGAAACCTTCTATTTAAAACACCTGCATTAGTAAGTGTAATAACATATTAGGCATGTTTTATATCTGAAGATAAAATTTCTAGTTGAATAGATTTTCTCCTTTGTGAAGATAAAGACCTAGTTCCTTTTTTTTGTTTCTTTGCTTTTAAAGGTATGATCAGATTTTTATTTGCTTGCTTTTAAACGTGTGAGCAGATTAACTTATGTTTTCAAAATTTACATCTTAACTCATGGTAAATTAAATGAAGAGATGTTAGAAAATTTTCATTAGTCTTGAATTATTAAATACAGTGCCATCTTAAAGCAAAGGAAGATTTAAAATCACCAGTCCCTTTTCAGCACCGCTATTTTTTGCTGCTAACATACCGACTCTGGGACAGGCCAAGCGGGAGTGCTGCTAATAAGAAAATAATGCTCAGCTTACCTTGAGAGTGTACGATAAGGAATATTTTCTTTGCCATGTTTGGCTTTAATTATTTGTTAGACATCCAAATGAAATCATGTAATAAATGGGGATGATGTGAGAGCTTCCCAGGCAATAGGAACAGTGTAAATCAAAGCATAACCTCTTTGGGTGACTGCAGGTAATGTGTGATGGATGGAGTTCAGAGTGAGTATTAGAATAGGGGGCTTGGAGGCAGAGGAATAGAGTGGGGTCAGGGCCTGAGAAAGAGAAGGCTGGAATGGGGCTTTCCCCTCTTTGGATAATGGGAGCTATTAAAGAGTTTTAAACAAGCAAACAGTAACTTGATTAGATGTGCTTTTTAAAAAGGTGGCTTGGTATCTTGAAGGCCAAAGGGAGTGGGAATGGAGGCTAGGAGGCGAGTGTAGACACTATTATGATAACTTATGAGACAAAAGTTTTTAATTTTACCAAACTAAAATAGTAACACACAAGTGAAGGGGGAGGTGATGGGTTCCAGGGATGTTTAGAGAGTAGAGTCAGTGGCTGGGCGCAGTGGCTCACGCCTGTAATCCCAGCACTTTGGGAGGCCAAGGCGGGTGGATCATGAGGTCAGGAATTCGAGACCAGCCTGGCCAATATGGTGAAACCCTGTCTCTGCTAAAAATACAAAAATTAGCCGGGCATGGTGATGTGTACCTATAATCCCAGCTACTCAGGAGGCTGAGGCAGAAGAATTACTTGAACCCAGGAGGCGGAGGTTGCAGTGAGCCAAGATTGCGCCACTGCACTCCAGCCTGGGCAACAGAGTGAGACCCTGTCTCAAAAAAAAAAGAAAGTAGAGTCAGGAAGAATTGATCATGGATTGGATGTGGGATAGAAGAGAGGAGTCTTCCTCTGGGATGATTTCCAAGTTTCTGAATTAGGTGCCAGGATGGATGGTGCTGCTCTCTGGCTCTTCACTGAGATAAGCCAAAGAATACATTTAGTGAGAAAGATATTGAGTTATGCTTTAAACATGGTTTTGTAGAAGAATGGCAGAGAGACCAGAATAAAATCTGTGGCTCCAGCCACAAGGTCACACAAAGTGGTGAAGCTGGGATTGGAGCCTGTGCCTGAGCTCCAGCGACTACATCCTCAGCCACATCAGTGTATAGCCTTCTGCGGAAAGCAGAGGCTTGAGACAAAATCAGAGAAGCTAAAACCAGCAGTTTTGACACTATGAAAATAATGTGCTTGGTGACTGTATAGTTAAGTGATAAAGTGTACTAAATACTACAAATATGTGTTTAGATTAGACTGAAAAAGTTAGAAATCTGTTTTTACAGTGGAGTGGGTAAGTAGAGAAGCTGTGGCAAGGAAAACATAAAGTCAGTCCATTCAAGAGGATAGATGTTAACACTTGGATCTGAACATGAACTCAAGTAAGATGATTTGATTAAAATAATTGGTCTTTTTATCATTAGTTTTTTTTTCTTAAAAAAAGTAGTATATAAATAATATAAAAAATGTACAAGTAAGCCAAAAGTTTTAAAATATCCACCTCAGTCTACCACCTAGAGTTATCCTTTGTTAGCAGTTTTGGTTTACATTTTTCTAGCCTTTTTCCTATGATATATCATCTTCATACATACAAAAACTTAAATGTAATACTGCTTTATAACATGTACTTTTCACTTAAAATGTAATAAATTCAACGGAAATAATTTAAGTCACGAAACTACTCTATTTCTTTTTATGCATTTTTATTCTTCTTTAACCCCACCTCGAATCAAGGTTTTGGCATTCTTTTGCCTGTGGTTTTTTGTGCTGTTTTGTTTATAAGTTAAAAGTGTACAGTAAATACTGTTTTTAAACTAATAAGATTTAATCCAGCCTAAACAAAATAATTGAAAGTAGTCAGAAAGTGAATTTTACTTTTTCTCATTAAGGTTTTAATAGAAAAGGATTGGATCTCTTTTGGACATAAATTTTCAGAGAGGTGAGTCACAGTTACACAGTCATATATTTTATAAAATTAGTAAACCAAGTTTAGAATGCCAAAATGTTTCTGTTCCTTATGAACTCACATGCGTGATGGGAGGTAAGAGTGTCATGGTTTTTACTGTATTTTACGTAAAGACATTTAATTTTTTTCTGTAATTTCTTTCAATTCTAGTACGCTTGTTAATTTTCATGACTATTTATTACCTTCCTTTTGGGCTGCATTTTATTTAGAGATGGTAACAGATCCTTTAAAGCTGTGGTTTAAAAACTCATAAATGGTTTCAATAAAAATTCTAGTTTTGCATGCTAATGTAACAGTGCTTTAGGAATATTTTTGTATGTTTAAGATTAACAATACCTGAACAATGGACCTTTCAGAGGTGTTTTTAAAAGCTTATACTTTCTGTGGGGTTAGGTGTGGCCAGTTGGATGGTGACCCAAAGGAAGTCTCACCAGTGTTTACTCAGTTCTTGGAATGTGTGTGGCATTTGACCGAACAGTTTCCACAAGCCTTTGAATTCAGTGAAGCATTTCTTCTTCAGATCCATGAGCATATTCATTCATGCCAGTTTGGAAACTTCCTTGGAAATTGTCAGAAGGAAAGAGAAGAGCTCAAGTAAGATGATTCAATTAAAAGAGTCTCCTTTTCCCCCTACTTAGCCGAGGTCTAACAAAAATCATGTTTGAAACTTAATAAAATATCTTGACAATTTGAAAGTTTATTGTAAAGATTTTATTTTTTGTATTTCTAAAGCTGAGTACCCTTCTAATATTCCCCCACCTTTCAGCTAATAGTAAAAGCACATTATAAAATGTGTTTTGAAGTGTAGCATACATACAGAAAAGTACATAGAGCGTTAAGTGTGAAGCTCAGTAAATCTTACCAAACTCACACACCTATGTAACCAGCACCCAGAATATGAAATGTTGTCAACACCCTGGAAAGTCTCCTCATGCTTCTTTTCGGTCTGCATTTATATATTTTAGAACAGAGAAATCCTTATGCTGTTTAATTTCCCAGAATGTATCAGTCGCTAGTTTTAAAGTGTAAAATATTTTAAACTGTTGGTTTGTTTTAAGATAGGATGGAGCCTTATAGCTCTCCCCACATTTCTAAACAGACAGTTCTTTGGGGAAAATAAATCTAGCTATGTTGGCTGCAGCGTGTCCGTCCTTGAGTAGGGTCTCAGAAAAGCCCTGAGACACTACTTGACCCTAGTTCATGTTATTTCCTGACCAGTCTTCGGGGATAGGGGTTTTTGCCTAAATTTTGCTGTAAGGAAGATCTCTGGAGTAGGTCTTAGAGGTCCTATGTATATTGTTTTAGGTTGGGCTTCTGAGTTTGGATTTCTTTATTGCCTCTTACAGTAGGCAATAAAGAGCACTTAACAGACTTTTGAACATCCAAGGGACATATTAAGGAAGCTAAATCTGGTAGTATTTGAAGATAGCCACATGCTCACACTCCCAACAGAGTAAACAGCAGAACTGAGAGCATGTGGAAAATTCTAAAAATGCGTAAAGGGAATAAAAAGTGAATAGAGAATGGTGGAGATGAACAATCAAAGAACATTGAGGCTTTAGCTCTATGTTACAGTGATTCAAAATAGTTTATTATAATTTGGAGCACAGAGGTAACTCTTTTCCTGGAGTACAGAGCTATTTTAGGAAAAACTATTCTTAATTAGTGCCAAACATTCTCAAAAATGGAAAGATGGAAGTAAAAGTAGATATTTCCTAGTAGTTTTTCTCCAAGACACACCTATGGGTCATCTTAGGAGTTATGGAAAAATCAGGAGATTTTCCACTTTCCCCCTGGATACCTACATTATGTTTACTTGGTAAATGTCCAGTCTAAAACCATTCTTACCTTTGCCCAGCTACTCTTAGATTTGCAAAATAATTGGCTTTTAAAATTCTTGCATAACATCCTGATTTTGCCTGTTCCCTTTTTGTACCCACTCACACTTACGTGTGCTCCTGCCCTATGATACTCGCCACTACGGCCCAGACGTGGGGTTAAGAGAAGGCCAGACAGAAAGATGCATTAGTGTCTTGTTCTATGTGTATGTTTGTGGTGATTTGAAGTAGGTGGAACAGAGACCAAGTTTTTGAAATTGTGTGAGTTGAGAGGAATCCCTTAAAATATATGGTTGTGAGAGAAAATGTTATACCTGTGTTGTGTTCAAGAAACATGACTTTATTACCTAATTATGAATGAAAAAGGAGAATAGAGATAATACAGAATTCTGAGACAAGGTTAGACTGTGAATACAAGAAAAAACTAAAATTTAAATCTGCTTCGGAAGCCATCGCCTGATTTATAAAAATGAATATTACCATTACTACTTTGCATCTATAGGAAAGATCTCTGTGTTTTTCTCATTATATTAAGGTTGAAGGAGAAGACTTATTCCCTGTGGCCATTTCTTTTGGAAGACCAAAAGAAGTACTTAAATCCTCTCTACAGTTCCGAATCTCACAGATTTACAGTTTTGGAGCCAAATACAGTATCTTTCAATTTTAAGTAAGTTGACATCATTGGAGTATTTATACTTGAATTTTCTCAAACACAATTTATTGAAACTTTTTTTTGTCATAAAGGTTTTGGAGGAACATGTACCATCAATTTGATCGAACACTGCATCCTAGGCAGTCTGTATTTAATATAATTATGAATATGAATGAGCAAAATAAACAATTAGAGAAAGATATTAAAGACCTAGAATCTGTAAGTATTCTGAAGTATCTAATATATTTGGAATGTGAAATTAGTTTACGATTAGACTAATATTTGTATTGTTGGTGTAAATCAGCACATAAACTTCTGAAGTAAGCAGTTTCTTCAAAATCAGGTCATCCCTACTTTGATTGAATACGTTAGTTCGAATCACTTTCTTTGTATTTTAAAATACATTAAAATACCGGAAGTATATAGCATAACGTATAGATAAACATAATAACTATCTGTGTACCCACCAGCTAGCTTTTGTGGGATTTTAACATTTACTATATATGCCTCAGATCTTTCTTGTTCTTGTTTTAAGAAATAAAACATAGGCCGGGCGCAGTGGCTCACGCCTGTAATCCCAGCACTTTGGGAGGCCGAGGCGGGTGGATCACCAGGTCAGGAGAGTTTGAGACCAGCCTGGTCAGCACAGTGAAACCCCATCTCTACTAAAAAAATAACAAAAAAGTAGCCGGGCATGGTGGCGCATGCCTGTAATCCCAGCTACTTGGGAGGCTGAAGCAGGAGAATTGCTTGAACCTGGGAGGCGGAGGTTGCAGTGAGCCAAGATCATGCCTCTGCACTCCAGCCTGGGTGACAGAGCAAGACTCCATCTCAAAACAAAAACAAACAAAAAAAAAAGAAATAAAACATAGATCTATTTGAAGACCCTCTATACTCTTACCCAGTCTTCACCCATGTATCACAATTTATAATACTGTTTTTCTTGACTTAAAATATTTTTACTGTGTATTGAAAAAATACCAAAGACTATCTATAATGTTTGTATGAGTTGTAAAGGGAAACAGACAATGTATAGGCCAATATACCCTTCACTCTGCTTAAGAAACTGATGTTTTAAAACTATATAAAAGTTACCATACTGTTTATGTGCTTCATTTTGCTCAACAGTGTTTTGACATTTATCCATGTTGATACATGTAGCTTTTATTCATCTTTTTATTAGTAACTACTATATAACTTTATATTATATGAATATATCACAGTCTATCCATTCAGCTATGGATGAATATTTAAATTGTTTTCAGTTTTGGATTTCCATGATTACAAATGAAGTTAAATGACTTTCCATATTTGTTGGCCATTTGGTTTTCCTTTTCTGTGAATGGACTGTTCAAACCTTTGCTCATTTTTCTGTTGGCATATTTGCCTTTTTCTTAGTGATTTGTAAGAGTTGTTTATATGCCAGGCACTAATTCTTTGTTAGTTATATATATTACAAATGGTTTTGTCCAGCCTATTGTCTTTTCCACTTTATTTATGGTATGCTATATATAGATGTTTTGAATTTTCATGTCAAATTGCTCAATGTTTTATGCTTTCTGTGTGTGTCTTGTTTAACAAATCCCTCTCTACCCTAAGACTTTCCTATAATCTTTTTTCTGCCATCCTATATAAGCAAAAAGGATCAGTAAGTATATATATATTTTTTAAATCCTAGACAGTTATAACAGTAAGACTGTCTCATCTACCTCTCAGGCAGGAGTCTCCCTTAGTCATCTTTTAGATAAAGAGGTAATGACTGCTTGAGTAAATTGTAGAAGGATATGGTCAAGAGAGGCAAGTCCAGGATAATAGGTAATACAAGATTATCGGGACAGTCCAAGAATTTGGAGAGCATGATACTCTGCCACAGGACACTTTAAAAATCTTCTGTTAAAAAAGTAAAGTTCTGTTGTGTTTAAAGTCTGTTATTTTTACCTAACAAACCACTGTAGGAAAACCATGTAAGAAAAACTCTATATAGTCAGTGAGCCCTTTAGCTACACAAGTTTGTTTGTTGTGTTTTCAGGGTGAATGTTTCATACACATTTCTTTTATTATAAATGTTTACCTGTTATGCTTTCTAGGTAATATATGTCCATTTTAAGTGTGGAAGCCTAGTGATCGCCTGCAGTCAAGTCTTGCTGGATTGTTTGTTTAATAAATATAAAAACTAACAATTTTCCACAGCAAAAAATTGTACACAATTAGGATTTTCAACCATGTCATATGCATTAAATGTTTCTACTTTTTTGAGATTTAGTTTTGCATTATACATACAGAGAACATATTTTGCAAAAGCATGTTTTCTTTTTTCATGTAACATATTGTGGCTTATGCAATTAGTAATTTTTTCAAATTTGTGTTTGTTCTAGAAAATTAAACAACGCAAAAATAAGCAAACAGATGGCATCCTCACCAAGGAATTGTTACATTCAGTTCATCCTGAATCACCTAACCTCAAAACTTCCCTGTGTTTTAAAGAGCAGACTCTGCTACCCGTAAATGATGCTCTTCGAACTATAGAGGGCAGCAGCCCGGCAGATAATCGTTATAGTGAATATGCAGAAGAGTTTTCTAAATCAGAACCTGCTGTGGTCAGCTTAGAGTATGGTGTGGCAAGAATGACTTGTTAGACTCATAGAGTTTTTTCTGCAATGATTGCAGTACAAGAAAAGGATTATTGTGAGGATGGTCTGTAAGCATAACCAAAAGGAATTTGTCTAATAACAATTTTAGGGTTTAACAGTAGGCTAATAGTTGAAGGAAGGATAATAACTACCCTTGTGAGAGAAATAAGTCATTTTAATTGCATTTCCAGCAAGGAATGACATTCAGTTCTGTAAGAAATGAGTGGTATTTGATGTATTTACTCAAAACACAATTTGCACTGTACACTAGTGAATTGACGTTTATGATTTATGTTAATTCAGCCAAACATAAATAACCTTCCTTAAGTACAATTTAACTTCAAGAAAACAAAATTTGACAACATAGTTTCTTAATAAATGATATGGCATGTACTTTCAATTATGTAGCTTTGTAACTATGAATATTTACATATTTTGCCTTTTAGTGATATTTAATGTTAAAGTGCCATGAAAAATATTTCTAAGAAAGCCTTAAATTCCCAGTGGATTCTTTACCCTTAAGTTTTACAGCCTACAACAAGATTTTTTGTTTTGTTTTTCTTCTGGTCAGCCTTGTTTTGTTTGTAAAGAATTGTGCTCTCATTACTGCTGGGGGTGCATGCTACAATACTTCTATATAAACACTTGTAGAAGTACACTGTTCACGTTTAGCCTGCCCCACTTTTGTATTCAAAATTAATGAAACTGAAGGTTTATTCTGATCATAATTTGTTTAGTGCTACATTTGATAATTTATTATTTACAGCTTAGAATATTGATTTCTTGAATACGTATAAGCACATTTGACTGTCTTTTATATATGGATTACTGCATTCCATTGATTCTTATTTTGTGGTTGGCTTTATTTCTTTCACAACTGTGTAAGTTTAAAGAGCTAAAGCTCTAAAACTGTTCTGAGAAACAATGAATAGTACATGTATATGTATATTTTTAAACTGCCTTATTGCTCAATGAGTTGCTGTTCCTGGAGTATCTAACTTTCAGTTTACTCAAAAACTTTTGGGTAAATAAAAAAGGGAAGTACAGATAGTTTAGGTTGTGCATGGTTGCATGAATTTTGAAGTCATTTCTATGTGGAGCATTATTTTTCTTCTTGTTAAATATAGAAAAAAAAAGAGATTCTAGTACAAAGTTACTGTTTAACAAAAGCAACATAAACTCTGGGAAAGATTTCATTTTGCCATGTTATATTTACTGTTTATTCTGTGTACTAGTACATATCTTTAAATTACCAAAAAACAAGAAACAAAACATAAAAACCCCAAAACTATCACTTGGAATTAGCAATATCACCCAACTGGCTTTAAAATTGAAAATTTAAATAACATGGTGGCATGAAGTACAATTCGAGTATTAGGCAATTTGCATAGTGTTCCTCATGCTACTTTCTGTTACACCTCTATTATATTAGTTTTGAATATAAACATCTTTTTCAGACCAAAAAAAACTTTATTGTATGAGAGCTTATCTTATCCTGTTTATTTTTCCAATGCTTTTCTGTAATACATTATGTAATTTAAAAAATATTCCTTTTTAAACAGCAACAGAAATGCACTATAAAATATAGTATGTGATTAACCAATCCTGCTTCCATATTTAAGCACTGGGAATGGAAACTTAATCTCTGTGACTACAAAGGGAAGTTTTTGTGCCTTGGTGTTCCAGTCACTGATTGTGGTTTTAGAATCTTCTGTGGCTGACTTCTTGTATTCAACTCTGGTTTATTATCTTAATCTTCAACTTCAGACATATATTTGTGTGTTTATATGCTCACAGGTGGACTGAGAAATCAGTTACATCTTAAGTGACCTACAGGGTATATGTTGGCAAAAGCAGACTGTGTATATGTCTTATAAAGTTGAATTTATGTTCAGTGTGTTTGGAAGTGTATAGCATGTAAATTACTTCATATATGATTTAAAGGTAATTAAATGTTCACATTTTACTTTGAATGTTTTTCTTCTGGATAAAACAAATGGAATCAAGTTGTAGTTGTTTTTTTTTTCTTCTCACCTAGGCAAGTAGACTTGCCCATTACATTAACATAACAGCATAAGGTTTGAGGAGTTTATTTTCCAAAAGTTTGTTGATAAATAATACCTGTTTCATACAAAAATAATTTCCAGAATATTTAAAATAGGTATAGTGGGCTAAAAGGCCCATCAGATGTAGGTAATAATGTCATTAAGTTTTCATTTTGTTCCTGTCACTTGCTTATATTACAATCACTATTTTTTTGTGCCCTTGCCAACTTGATGGAAGGCAGGGTCCATTGAGTACAAACATTCGAGGTGAAATGTCTCTCCAAAGGCAGATCTGGATGTAAATATGAGGAAGAAAATAACTGGCTGACAAGAGGATAATTTTATTGAGGGTGTTTTGAAAAGGTCAGCTAGGCTAGAAGTAGCTCAGGGAATCTTGAGTAAAGATGAAGGGAACTCTTTTAAAACAAATTCAATTTATTTGGTCGGGTAGCAGAGCAGGGAGGTGGTGTCAGTCAAGCCTGTTTTGAAACATTTTTTGCAGAAGGTCAGCTTTAAAATATTGAAAAATTTCCAGTTGACATGCTAAGTTGGATTAAATGCTGATCATTTATAAAACTATATAGTTGCTGCAAAAGTAATTGGGGCTTTTGCCATTGAAAGTGATGACAAAAACCGCAATTACTTTTGCACCAACCTAATACTACAGTTGCAGACTTTTATTAGTGACGCTGATCTTCATTAGTCAAGTTTTAGTTATTTTGTTGGCTTTTCCATGTAGAATTCCAAGTGACATTAACATACTTTGATTAATTAAAGAAAATTTGGAGACTGTTTAAGATATATGTCTAGATATCAATGTAAACTATAAGCTTTAGGAACTTACATCTAGAAGAAAGCCTGGAATCTAGAATAATTATCTCAAAAAAAAGTATATATACCATTGTACTTGATATAAGAAAATGTAAACATGAAACCTTGACATTTTAATAAACAGTATTTGTGCTACTCTAGTTATTTCTAGGAAAGTAAAATATCCATTTAAATGGCAACTTTTATAAAATAGTGGCCTGCATAACTGAAAGGAACTTTCAGAAGCTAGTAGTAGACTCTATAGCCCTGGTGTTCAGTTTCTGATTCAGTAGTTAGGGGTTGGGACTCTGGAGTTAAAATCATTTGCATACCAATAAATTGTTTGCACTTAGCAATATTTTGGATATTGTGATGCAAATGGTTGGGGAATCATACTTTGAGAAACACTGCTGTAAACCACCCATCATGGTCAGTAAACATCTTGTTTGTTCTTAAAGGGATGCCGAATTATTCTTTTTTTTTTTTTTTTTTTTTTTTTTTTGAGACGGAGTTTCACTCTTGTTTCCCAGGACAGAGTTAAAGTGGCACAATCTTGTCTCACCACAACCTCCGCCTCTGGGTTCAAGTGATTCTCCTGCCTCAGCCTCCGGAGTAGCTGGGATAACAGGCATGCACCACCACACCGGGCTAATTTTGTTGTTTTAGTAGAGACGGGGTTTCTCCATGTTAGTCAGGGTGGTCTCAAACTCCTGACCTCAGGTGATCCACTGGCTTTGGCCTCCCAAAGTGCTGGGATTACAGGCGTGAGCCACCACGCCCCACCTCAGAATTACTCTTGTATAAAGAGCAACAGGCTAGGGAGCATCACACTTCTGAAACATTGTGATACAAGTGGGAGTGAGAAATAAACCTTTGTTTTAAGCCACTGAGAATTTGGGCTCTTTGTTACTGTGGTGTAAGCGTGCCCCTCCTGAGGGATGAAACCATTTGTACAAATTTCTGTTTTTCCATTAGTTCCCAAATGGCCTTTGTCCTGCTATTTTGCGTCAGTAGCCAGCTGAGGTTTGTGCATTGCATTTGGTTGTAGCTCATCAGTCTCTGTGTTGAACAGCCGGTCACCTCTTCCCCTCTGCATTGACCTTTTGCACCAGACCAGTTGTAGTTTTCCCACTTTCTGCTTTTGTCTGATTGTTTCTTCGTGGTGTAATTTAACTTGTTCCTCTGTCTACTGTACCTGCTGTCAAGTAGGTACTAGATGAAATTCAGAGTTAGCATTTCAGGAAAGATGCTGTGTACTTAATATTGAATTACTGCGGGAGGATATAATGCCAGGTGGTTCCATTGTTAGTGACGCTAAATTTAATCACTTGGTTATCTTTTCATTGTAAAGATACATTTTTTCCCTTTGAACTCAGCAAATGCTCTATGGGGTGATATTTTGGCATCAAATTGAATATCCCTTTCCTTAACAACCTATCCATTAATTATACTTGCCCAAATCAGTTATTTCTTTGGTGTTACAAAATGCTGATTCTCTAATTTTGTTTTAACTTTTTACACTTATTTGCCTGCATTTGTTTGTTTGTTTGTTTGAGACAGAGTCTTGCTGTGTTGCCAGGCTGAAGTGCAGTGGCGCAATCTCGGCTCACTGCAACCTCCGCCTCCCGGGTTCAAGTAATTCCCCTGCCTCAGCCTCCTGAGTAGCTGGGACTACAGGCACGTGCCACCATGCCTGGCTAATTTTTTGTATTTTAGTAGAGACGGGGTTTCACCATCATGTTGGCCAGGATGGTCTCAATCTCCTGACCTCGTGACCCCCCACCTCAGCCTCCCAACATGCTGGGATTACAGGTGTGAGCCACCACGCCCGGCCTTGCTGGCATTTTTAAAAGAAGTGCTGGGTCCAGTGAGTACACATACACTGGAAAGCAGTGAGAGGTGAGGCCAGCTGGACTTCTGGGTCAAGTGGGGACTTGGAGAACTTTTGTGTCTCAAGAGGATCGTAAAACGCACCAATTAGCACTCTGTAGCTAGCTAGAGGTTTGTAAAATGCACCTATCAGTGCTGTGTAAAAACGCACCAATCAGCACTCTGTGGCTAGCTAGAGGTTTGTAAAATGCACCAATCAGAACTCTGTAAAATGGGCCAATCAGCACTCTGTAAAATGGACCAATCAGCACTCTGTAAAATGGGCCAGTCAGCAGGACATGGGCGCAGACAAATTAGGGATTAAAAGCTGATCACCCCGCACCCCAAACCCTCCCAGCCAGTAGCAGTAACCCACTCGGGTTCCCTTCAACGTTGTGGAAGGTTTGTTCTTTTGCTCTTCACAATAAATCTGGCTGCTGCTCACTCTTTGGGTTCCTGCCACCTTTAAGAGCTGTAACACTCATTGCGAAGGTGACTTCCTTCATGAAGTCAGCAAGACCAGGAACCCACCAGAAGGAACAACCTCCGGAAACAGCAGGGTCCAGTGAGTACAAACATTCAAGGTGAAATGTTTCTCCAAAGACAGATCTGGTTGTAAATATGAGGAAGAAAATGACTGGCTGAGAAGAGGGTATTTTTGTTGAGGATGTTTTAAACAGGTCAGCCAGAGTAGAAGTAGCTCAGGGAATGGAGTAAAGATGAAAGAATTTTTTATTTTTATTTTTATTTTTTGAGACAAGTCTCGCTGGATCACCCAGGCTGGAGTGCAGTGGTGCCATCTCGGCTCACTGCAACCTCCGCCTCCCTGGTTCAAGTGATTCTCCTGCCTCATCCTCCCAAGTAGCTGGGATTACAGGCGCCTGCCACCACGCCTGGCTAATTTTTTATATTTTTAGTAGAGACGGGATTTCACCGTGTTGATTAGGCTGGTCTTGAACTCCTAATCTCAAGTGATCCGCCTGCCTCGGCCTCCCAAAGTGGGGAATTCTTATTTATTTATTTACTTAGAGATAGAGTCTCACTCTGTTGCCCAGGCTGGAGTGCAGTGGCACAATCTCAGCTCACTGCAATCCCCACCTCCAGGTTTCAAGCGATTCATGTCTCAGCCTCCTGAGTAGCTGGGACCACAGGGACACGCCAGCATGCCCAGCGATTTTTGTATTTTTTGTAGAGATGAGGTCTCATCTCACCATGTTGGCCAGGCTGGTCTTGAACTCCTGACCTTAAGTGATCTGCCTTCCTCAGCCTCCCAAAGTACTGGGATAACAGGCATGAGCCACCATATGTAAGTAAACACCCTCCTGAGACAAGCCAATATAAACAAGTCAGGAGACAGACAACAAAGGCACCCTTTATTAAAGATACTGCACTTAATTATAGCAACGAAAGAGGAAACTCTTGAACTAAGAAAACTGCTAAGACATGCATACTCTTCATTCTTCTACATAGGATTATAGTCTGTAAGTTTTGAGCATGGTAAAGATAGCATCGATGGATAAGGCATCAATTTTTTTTTCTCATTTTTTTCATGTAGTTAAGATCATTTGCACTTTTTCTGTGAATTATTCGTGTCTTTTGCCTATTTTTTTCTAAAAAAATAGGTAGTTATTAAGAGCTTTTTATATTTTGTGATATAATGTGCAAAGGAACAAAAGTTTTCTTGGACAAATGGTTGATTCCAAAACTGAAGGGAGAGTACAAGGTGAGCCTGAGATATCGGAAAACAGACCTGCAAATAATAATCTCCCAGTTTGTCATTTGCTGCTTATGTTTTTTGCCTTGTAGAAGAGTTTGACATTTAGGAGGTAGAATTGTATTAGTCTTATATTACTTCTTGTTTTGAATCGTAATTAGACTGCTCTAATACTAGGTTATAAAGGATTCACTCATGTTCTCAATATTTAAAGGGTTCTATGTCTTTACATTTGATTGATCCATTTGGAATTCATTCTGATATATAGAAAGATGTATGGATCCAAATTTATCTGTTTCCCAAATGGCTACCTGGTTGTTTGAATCATTTATTAGTAAGTTCATCTTGTCAGTGATTTCAGATGTCACTTTTATGTAGTTCTTGATCCTGTTCTGTAGCATGTGTATCTGTATTGATGTGCCAAACCCATCCAGTTGTATTTATCTAGGCTACATGGTAGAGCTAGCTCTGCCTCATCACTCTTCTTTCTCAGGGTTTTCTTTGCTATTCTTTTTATTTTGAAACAATCCAGCCTCACTGAAAAATTGGCAAGTACAGAAGGGACATTTTTTCCTGAATCCCTCTGAGAGTAAGATGCTATGATATGATGCCCTATGTTCCTTAAATATTTAAAGTGTGTGTCCTGTAAGAACAAAGCCATTTTCATATGACCATGGTCACACTTCTTTCTTAGGTTTTCCTGAAAACGTTGTTCCATTATTTTCTTGTTTTGTATATTGTCAAGAAGTCTGAAGCCAACCTGATTTCTTTCCCTTGTAAGTGACTTGGTTTTTTGCCTTAAAGTCCAGTGGGTTTTTTTTTTTCTTTTTAAAGTCAATAGTTTTGCAAGATTATGTCTTGACTCCTCTAAGTCAGTTTTCCAGGTATACTATCATGTAGATTCAAGTCTGCTTGTATTTAGGCAGTTTTCTTGAATGAGTTTTAAACATTGTTTTTCTTTCCTTTTTTAGGAACTCAAATTGTATGCATATTAGATCTTGTTTATCTTCTATACGTATTGCTTTCTGATCCTGTTACCATCTTTTGTTAATTTCTATTTAATTTTTTGGCACTTTTAATTTCTTTCCTTTATGTTTTTTATTGTATGTCCAGTTATTCATATTTCCCTTTGCAAACAACATTTAATTTTTATTTCTGAAATATTTTCCTTTTGCTTTAGCTTATTTAAGTTCAGTAGTTCTTGTTTCACTTTTTTCCTCCATTTTTATTTGAGTTTTTGTATTTATGATAAGTGGTGGTTTATCATATCAGTACTTGCATTTTTACTTCTATTTTAATCCGTCTTTTAGTTTTGTTACCATTTGCCTGTGCCTGTAATCTTTCTCTTTTGGGTTTCATCTATTGAAAAGTTTTATGTATAATTTTTTTAATTAATAACTTCACATGAATGCTTGTTCGTTTTTCATTTTCTGTTCATGAGTATTTGTGTTGGATTTGCCTGGACCAGTGATAACAGACAATCCTATGTAGAAGAATGGAAGAGTTTGCATGTCTTAACAGTTTTCTTAGTTCAAGAGCTTCCTCTTTCATTGCTATAGTGAAGTACAGTGTCCTTAATAAAGGGTGCCTTTGTTGTCTGTCTCAACTTGTTTATATCATCTTGTCTCAGGAGGATGTTTATCTTTAGCTGTTTTCTTCTCTTCCATTACCTCTACCCTTCCAAGATATTCTTTTCAAAGATATCCTTTTAGAACTAATGTTTTCTCAAGACTGCCCCTTCCTTTGACTCCTCAGTTTTCAGACATGGTGTCAATGTTTTTACTGAGAGAGGGATCCTTTCCTTCTGGGAATGAGCTCTAGTTGACATTTACTGATCCATCACCAGCAAAACCTCATTGAACTCTCTTCTATGCATTCTTTACCTGATTGTCCACTCTGGTATAGACGGTGGATCTACTGGTCTCAGGCCTTTATTTCTGCAGTCATATTTAAATTGAAATTTATAAAATTCTCTGACTCTTAATAATGTTGCAAGTGTATGCCAGGGCAATTTAGTTTGTCCTCCCTGTTGATCTGTATGGTTGTTTTGGTGGATGTGGAAATTCTAATTTGGGTAGCTGCCATTTATCCTGTGGGAACCCAATCCCCTCAAGTATTCTTTTGTTCATTACTATTGTGGTAAAATATACGTAACACCAACTTAACATTTTAACAATTTTTAAATGTATAATTCAGTGGCATTAAGTACATTCACGATGTTGTGCAACTATTACCTCATCCACTTTTCATCATCCCAAACAAAAACTGTGTACCCATGAAACAGTAATTCCTCATCACCCCACCCTCAATCCAGCCCCTGGTACCATCATTCCACTGTCTGTCTCTATGAATTTGACTATTCTAGTTGCTTCATATAAGTAGAATACAGTATATGTCCATTTCTGTCTGGTGTGTTTCACTTAGCATGTTTTCAGGATTTATCCATGGATTAGCATGTATCCAAATTTCATACATTTTTTCTGGCTGAATAATATTCCACTCTATGTATAGACCATGTTTTGTTTATCCTGTCATCAGTTAATGGACACTTGGATTATTTCTACTTTTTAGCCATTGTGAATAATGCCGGTGTGGACATTGGTGTATAAGTCTTCAAGTCTCAACAAGAACTGAATAAGAATTTTAATTATTTTTGATATATACTCAGAAGTGAATTACTAGATTCTATGATAATTCTATGTTTAATTTTTTGAAGAACAAACTTTTCCATAGCGGCTGTTTTACATTCTTACCAACAATGCCAAAGGGTTCCAGTTTCTCACATCCTTGCCAACACTTGTTATTTTCCACTTTATTTTTATGACAACCATCCTAATGATTATTAGGGTATGAAGTGGTATCTCATTGTGATTGTTATTTGCATTTCTGTAATGATTAGTGACATTGAGCATCCTTTCATGTGCTTATTGGCCATTTGTATATATCTTCTTTGTTTTTTTCTTTTGAGATGGAGTCTTGCTCTTGTTGCCCAGGCTGGAGTGCAGCAATGCGATCTCGGATCACTGCAACCTCCACCTCCTGGGTTCAGGTGATTCTCCTGCCTCAGCCTCCTGAGTAGCTGGGATTACAGATGTACACCACCATGCCTGGCTAATGTTTGTATTTTTAGTAGAGACAGGGTTTCACCATGTTGGCCAGGCACGTCCTGAACTCCTGACCTCAGGTGATCCATCTGCCTCAGCCTCCCAAAATGTTGGGATTACAGGCGTGAGCCACCATGCCCGGCCTGTATATATCTTCTTTAGAGAAATGTCTACTCAAGTCCTTTGTTCATTTTTTAATTGGGCTTTTTGTTGAGTTATAGAAATACTTTATATATTCTGGATATTAATCCCTTTAGATATATGACTCACAAATATTTTCTCCCAGTCTGTGGGTTGTTTTTTCATTCTATTTACAGTGTCACTTGATGCACAGAAGTTTTTACTCTTGATAAAGTCCTATTTTTTCTTTTGTTGCATGTGATTTTGGTGTCATTTCAAGAAATAACTACCAAATCCAACTTTGCAGAGCTTTTGCCCTATATTCTAAGAATTTTATATTTTTATGTCTTACATTTAGGTCTTTGATTCACTTTGAGTTAATTTTTGTATACAGTGTTAGGTAAGGGTCAAACTTTATTCTTTTGCATATAGAGAGCCAGTTTTCCTGGTGACATTTATTGAAAATACCATCCTTTCCTCCACTGAATGGTCTTGGCACCTTTGTTGAAACTCAGTTGACCACATATGTGAAGGTTTATTTCTGAGCTCTTTATGTTATTCCATTGGTCTGTATGTCTGCCCTTATGCCAGTACTACACTGTATTTAAATAAATAAATAAGCTTATTTATTTATTTAGTAGAGACAGGGTCTCACTATGTTGCCAAGGCTGGTCTCTAACTCCTGGCTTCAGGCAATCCTCCAGCCTCAGCTACCCAAAGTGCTGGGATTACAGGCATGATTTACCCTGCCAGCCGACACTGTTTGATTATTGTAGATTTGTAGTAAGTTTTGAAATCAAAGTGTAAGTCTTCTAATTTTATTCTTTTTCAAGATCGTTTTGGCTGTTCACGGTCCTATGAGATGGTGAATATGTATTCTTCCATAGGTTTTTCTATTTCTGCAAAAAATACCATGGGATTTTAATAGTTATTACGTGGAATCCGTAAATTGCTTGGGGTAGTATTGACAAATTAACAATATTGTCTTCCAGTCTGTGAACATGGGATGCCGTCTCATTTATTTGTGCCATCTTTAATTTCTTTTAGCAATATTTTATAGTTTTCAGTGTACAAGTGTTTAGTCTCATTGGTTATTTATAAGTATTCTTTTGATACTATTTTAATGGAATAATAATAATAATAATAATTATTATTATTATTATTATTATTGAGACAGAGTCTCACTCCAGTGCCCAGGCAGGAGAGCAGTGGCGTGACCTCAGCTCACTGCAGCCTTGACCTCCAGGGCTCAGGTGATTCTCCCACCTCAGCCTCCTGAGTAGCTGGAACTATAGGCAGGCGCCACCATGCTCAGCTACTTTTTTTTTTTTTTATTTGTCTCACTATGTTGCCCAGGCTGGTCTCAAACTCCTGGACTCAAGTAACCCTCCTGCCTTGACCTCCCAAAGTGCTGGGATTCTAGGCATGAGCCATTGTGCCTGGGCTAATTGTTCTGACTAGAACTTCAAGTACTGTATTGAATAAAAGTGGTGAAAGCTGGCATCCTTATCTTCTTCTTGATCTTAGAGGAAAAGGTTTTAGTCTTGCACCCTTGAGTATGGTGTTAGCTGTGGGGTTTTCATATGCCGTATGGCCTCTGTTATGTTGAGGTACTTTTCTTCTATTCCTAGTTTGTTGAGTATTACTTTACTGTGAAAATGTGTGAATTTGGTCATGTGCTTTTTCTGCACCAAGATGATCACGTGAGGCTTTTTCCTTCTTTCTTTTAATGTGGTGTATTACACTGATGGACTTTCATATGTGAACCACTCTTGCATTTCAGGAATAAATCCCACTTGGTCATGGTATATAATCCTTTTAATGTGCTGTTGAATTCAATTTGCTAGTATTCTGGTTGAGGATTTTTGCATCAGTATCCTTCTTTTCTTGAAACGTCTTTTCTGGCTTTCATTCAGCTATTCCTTAACGTTGGCAGAATATAGGTTTGTAAACTAGAGGAAGGGTGGCCACCATGAAAAGCTGACCACTTCGGCAAGGAAGAAGGAAGAAAAACATTTCTCAGATTTATTAACTGAACCATCATCCTTTTGCTCATCTTAAATTGCTCTGTTGATATGGTTGTCAAAAATATGAAAATTAAACACACAAGGTTCATATACAATATATGAGAAATTTTAGGTGCACTCTAGCCAAGCTATCTGAAAGCAAACATGGAATATCATAAAAGAAATGAAGTTGGAGATGTTGAATAGAACACATGTGTGTGAAACTGGGTGAGTGAGAAGCTCTTATTCAAATTACCAGATCACCAGACATTATTATCAGAGGATGTTGCTGTTCCTCAACTTAGTTTCAAAAGCTTGACAGAAGAAATTGTCAGCTCCTCTGCCCTCTGTTTTTAACTGATCCAACTGCATGCTTGTATACAAGACAGTTCCTCCAGGAAGATGTAAATTCCGAAGTCTTTATCTAATAATGTATTCGCTAGAAATAGCAGACAGTGGGCAGATTGTCAAGAAATAAGGCCTTGACAAGCAATCTTGGCATTTGAGGAGGGGAAGGAGGACTGGTGGCAAAGGCGTTGTGGCAAGGGAGGACCTAGGGGAATCGTGGAGGATTTGGGGCTCACTGGAGCCAGCAGAAGGTAGATTTTTTGAGCAGCTGGTAGATAGCGAAACAAAACATCAGAGAGTTTGGGAACAAAAGTTGAGTGGGCAGAGAGGGTGCCCTTTTCCTTCTTTGCTTGTCCTTGCGTAAGTCTGGGGGAGGTGTGTGTGTGAGAGAGAGAAACAGAGAGGCCTGTGGGACTGGGTATCTCAGGTCTCAGGGCTCAGCATCAGCTCCCTCTGCTCATACAAGCCCCAGCCTCGTTCTGTATTCCCCTTCAGCTCACTCGAATTCCTCTCCCCGCAGAACGTCTATTTAACGTATTGAATATATGCCCTTCGAGATGCTTGTCCTGCAAGTGTGTGTGTGTGTGTGTTTAAAATTTACATAGATGTTACTGAGTCCCTCTTTCTGCCTCTTCTGTTTTTGTGTTTGTTTGTTTGTTTGTTTGTTTTGCTTTGAGATGGAGTCTCGCTCTGTCGCCCAGGCTGGAGTGCAGTGGTGCAATCTCGACTCACTGCAACCTCCATCTTCCGGGTTCAAGCGATTCTCCTGCCTCAGCCTCCTGAGTAGCTGGGACTACAGGCGTGTGTCACCACACCTGGCCAATTTTTTGTACTTTTAGTAGAGACGGGATTTCATCATGTTAGCCAGGATGGTCTCGATCTCCTGACCTCATGATCCGCCCGCCTCAGCCTCCCAAAGTGCTGGGATTACAGGCGTGAGCCACCTTGTCTTACTCATATTATCTCCTTACTCTCCTTTCCTATGATTCTTTTTCCACGTTGCCCCCAACTCCCCCCAATTTCTTTCAGTCATTTGGCATTTATTGAGTGCCTAGTGCATGCCAAGTAGGGTGCTGGGTACATTACAGACATTGTTTGGTTCAGTATTCACAGTAACCCTGCAAGGACAGTGGTCTTTTCCTCATTTTTGTGAAGAAGCCAACTCAGCAGTTAGGTAACATGCTCACCATTACACAGCCAGCAATCTGTATTCACACTTAGCCTTGCTATTCCAAAACCCTTCTTAATCTTCATTAAAAACAATTCACCCAGCTCTCTCTTAAATGAAGAAATGATACTGACCAACGTGGCCATCTCTTAGGACCTAGGTAATCTCACTACTTGCAGATTTGCTGGCACTCCCAGCTAATGTGTGTTCAATGCTCATGGGAGGCAGCACAGGGCAGTGGTTAGAACACAGACTCTGGAGCCTGGCCGGTCCCTGCTCTGCCCCAAGCATCTGTGAACTTTGGACAGGTTGGCCATCCCCTCCCTCGAAAAACAAGCCAGGTTCGATGTGGTCGAGTGATGAAAAAGAGGTTTGCATGTTTTTAAATTCATTCACTTGACAAATATTTGATATGCCTACCACATGCCAGGTATTATTATAGAAACTGGGGACAGAGAAGAGGACCAAATACAAAAGCCGGTGTCCCCAGGAAGCTTACCTTCCAGTGTTAGCAGGTAAGATGGCTGCTATGAAAGGAAGGACAGGGGCCGGGCGCGGTAGCTCACACCTGTAATCCCAGCACTTTGGGAGGCTGAGGTAGGTGGATCACCTGGGGCCGGGAGTTCAAGACCAGCCTGGCCAACATGGCGAAACCCCGTCTCTACTAAAAATACAAAAATTGGCCGGGCGTGGTGGTGGGCGTCTGTAGTCCCAGCTACTTGGGAGGTTGAGGCAGGAGAATCGCTTAATCTGGGAGGCGGAGGCGGAGGTTGCCGTGAGCCAAGATTGCACCATTGCATTCCAGTCTGGGCAACAAAAGCGAAACTCCGTCTCAAAAAAAGATTAAGGAAGGACAGGGACCTTAACTTGAGGACAAACAGTAGGCTGATAACTATGATGCACCACTGTCTGCTGTGTGCTGGAGCCTGCTTCTGACTAATTGTGTAGTTCATTCTCCAAGGGCAAGATTTTATTTTCTAACAGCTTTATTGAGATATAATTTACGTACTTTAATATTCACCCATTTTAAATGTACAATTCAGTGATTTTTAGTAAATAGACAGTTTTGCAGCTGTCACTTCAATCCCATTTTAGAACATTTCCATCACTCCATAAGGCTCCTTCACACAAGAGGAAGGTGTAGTTTTTGGAATAAATGAAGGGAGGTGGTGTTTTTTGTGGAGAAAGTGCTGGCCCAAGGACCAGGAGAACCAGGACCTAGTTCCAGCTCTGCAATGGGCTCTGGGAAAGGCACCTCCCCACAGGGCCTCATTCCCTCACCTGTTACATGAAGGCATTGTTTGCCATGTTCCTTTACAGTTCTAAAATGTTGTGATTTAATTTAAGGAAGATCCAAGTATCTGGCAGTTCGAGAGGGACGCAATGGAGAAGAGAGATTTAAACTATAAGAGGAAAGGGAGTGTTTGCTAAGCAAATTATCGGAGGCATTCATGTGGGGAGTATGGGGAGTTAGTAAGGAGGGGAAGACTCAGGGCCTTCGAATCCAACCCAAGGATTTGAGTCCATCGACTGTCAGGGAGGTACCAGTGAAACTTTCGGTCATTCGTTTTTTTATAACAGAGAATGACCCAAGGTATGGTAGGCTGAAATGAGGTTCAAGTTTAAATCCTATCAATAGGAAGGAGAGTTTGAGCAAGTCAACCCCTGTAATCTTCTGCTTCTTTGTAGAGAATATCAACCTCACTGAATTGAAGTTAGTTGACAGGTATGTGTGAAGCACACAATCAGGCTTGGTGCCAAGTACTTGATGTTTTAATACAAAAGCTATTTTATGAATATTAATTTGGTAGCAACATAGTGAGTGGATTGGAGGAGAGCCGGTAGTTCAGTGTTTCTCAGAATCTGGTTCCCTGATCAACTGTGTCAGCATCACTTAGAGTACCTTGTTAAAAATGTAGACTCTTGAGCTCAGTCCCAGATCAGATGATCTGAGCATCAGACTGGGCCCTGAAGACCAGCATTTTCATAGGCTCCCAGGGGATGTTTATGCACATTTAAGAACCAGTGTGACAGGTTAGCCCTTAGTAAACATTACTTGTTTACTAAGTAAACAAGTTTACTTATTTTGCTGCAAGTTTACAAGTTTTGCTGCTGTAAATTACTGCTCTTATAGCATAAAGAAGTCTAGCTTGGGGAGGGGTCATCAAAGACTTCCTTTTGACCTGTTTGCATATAGGAGTAGGCTTTGGATGAATGTGTAGGCTCTAGCCAGGTAGGAAGGGGAAAGTTATCCAGTTAGAATATATATAGAGGCAAAGAAGGGACATCATGGCTTTTGGTGGGGAGCAACATATTTTAAAATATGATCATAATGAAAATGTGACTAGACAGTAGTAAGAGCTGTATTGGATGTCATATTGAGGAAGATGGAGAGGCAGTTTGGAGCTTTGGTTTTAAGCAAGAGTGATACAAGGTCAGATTGAATTTAGAGGGCCTAGGTATGAGCGTGGGTATAAAGCAGTGGTGACTTCCAGGTTTTTCACAGGCTGACTGGGATAGATGGGGCTGCCATTCATCTAGGAAGGGAATAGAAGAATCAGGTATGTGGGAAAGAGGCTTAGGTTTTAGGGGTATTACATGGAGATGTCTCTGAGACATCCAAGTGGAGCTATTTATACAAATTGGAATATGAGGCTGGTGTTAAGGGAAGAGATGTCAATTAGAGTGGGAAATCTGGAAGCCACCAGGTTATAGTGCAGAATTAAGCCATGGGCATGCATAAAATTTTTCAGTTCTTAGAATAAGATAAGAGATCTGAGAAGGAATCCCTCAAAACTGGGCAGACCTTAAGAAAAAACAGCAAAAGAGAGCGCACTGGAAAACCAAAGAGAGACAGGATCCAGGGAGGAAGTGTGATTGAGAAAATTATTAACTATGTCCAGTGCCACCTAGAGGTCATTTAAAGAGTAGAAATTGTCCCTGTCATTTTCATTTGGCAAGAGCAGTTTCAGTAGAGATTAGAGGCCGACATTAGGCAGTAGAGGCTTTATAGTTTAATGGGGGACATGAGTAAGTAGAGACCATGAATGCAGACTACATTTTTATCTTTATAACTTTTTTAATAAAATAACTGAAGTAGGACTGGGCATGGTGGCTCAAGCGTGTAATCCCAGCACTTTGGGAAGTCGAAGTGGGAGGACTGCTCGAGCCCAGGAGTTCAACACCAGCCTGAGCAACATAATGAGATTCCGTCTCTACAAAAATTTAGGTGTGGTGCCATGCATTTGTAGTCCCAGCTACTCGGGAGGCTGAATTGGGAGGATCGTTTGAGCCTAGGAGGTCAAGGCTACAGTGAGCCATGATCTCTCCACTGCACTCCAGACTGGGTGAAACAGCAAGACCCTGCCCCCCCACCAGAAAAAAAGAATTGGAAAAAGAGAATATATTAAAGATATCCTAGGGACTGGACATGGAAAAGGAAAAATGTCTCATTTCTTGTTCTGGACTATAAGGCTTTCTTTTAGTGGCAAGAAAGTGTTATTCTCTTTTTATCCTCGACACTTAAGCACAGTGCTTGCCATCCCGTTGGTGCTCAGGAAATCCTTATTGATTGAATAGATAGGTGGATGGATGGATATACAGGTCCAAACTTTTGAGGTTTTTTTTTTTTTAATTTTGGATTGAGTTGAGAAGAAATTTAAAGGAACCATGTTAAAATATTGCTACATACCAAGAATTATACTTTTAAATTTCAAATAGCCTGTGACTTTTCCATTTGCTAGAATTTCTCTCTTTTTTTTTTTCTTTTTCTTTATTTTATTTTGAAGCAGAGTTTCACTCTTGTTGCCCAGGCTGGAGTGCAGTAGTGCAATCTCGGCTCACTGCAACCTCCACCTCCCGGGTTCAAGCGATTCTCCTGCCTCAGCCTCCCAAGTAGCTGGGATTACATGCCTGGCTAATTTTGTATTTTTAGTAGAGATGGGGTTTTGCCATGCTGGCCGGGCTGGTCTCGAACTCCCGACCTCAGGTGATCCGCCTGCCTCTGCCTCCCAAAGTGCTGGGATTACAGGTGTGAGCGACTGCACCTGGCCCTTTTTTTCTTTTAATAGGCTTTCTCTTTCCTTCCTCCTAATTTGAGGCAAATATTTATTCTAAATATTTGAGTGCATTGCAGAGTTAGAAGCGAGTTAGGATTTTACAATTTGAATGTTAATGCTAGATAGAATGCAATATCATAATGGGATGCATCCAATATGGCTAAGAGCCTTCTGCCACTGGAGAGACCCCACTTAGAGGGCCTCTGTGCTCTGCAGCACCTCCTGGCAGTGGGGCTGGGATGGGGGGACTAGGGCCGCACCTCCAGGAGTCAGGCCAGGTGGCTCTTTGCCAAATGCTTTCTGAAAAAGTGCGATAGTAATAAATGTTTCATGCCCCTCCTTCCTGTGCAGCTACTAGGGAAGTGCTTTCGTCTTTGGGAGATGTAGTGTTTGTGGCTGTTTTCTCTGACTGTTCCCACTGCTTTAACCCAGTTTCTCACTCCGCAAGGGCCATTCATTTCTCCACTTACCCTTTCTCAAGGCATTTCACTCCAGATCCTCTGATTTAGTGTCCATTTTCAAGTCCCTGAGGATTTTGACTTGAACTAATAAATGTACAGCAGTTGCTCTTCCGGGACTTTATTTTATTTTTTTGAGATGGAGTCTCGCTCTGTCGCCCAGGCTGGAGTGCAGTGGCGCAATCTTGGCTCACTGCAAGCTCTGCCTCCCAGGTTCACGCCATTGTCCTGCCTCAGCCTCCCAAGTAGCTGGGACCACAGGCGCCCACCACCACGCCTGGCTAATTTTTTGTATTTTTAGTAGAGACGGGGTTTCACCGTGTTAGCCAGGATGGTCTCAATCACCTGACCTCGTGATCCGCCCACCTTGGCCTCCCAAAGTGCTGGGATTACAGGTGTGAGCCACCGCGCCCGGCCCCAGGACTATATTTTAAAGGATAAATATAAAAATAAAAGAGAGGAAGCTTCTCTGTATGGTGAAGATGAGTAAGTGGTAGAGGAACGGAACTCTCAGCTGTTTACATCTGACTCTGTTCGTTTAACCTCTTTGCCTAACCACGTGTTGGTAAGTGTTTCAGGTGTACTTTATTAGGACAAATTTTTGGTTCCTCCATGTGGTTAAGTGACACATGCATTAAATACTTTGCAAAGTGGCTAGTTCATTATATGTGACTAATTCATGTTGCTCTTCAAGAAACATTTTGTGAGTGACTTATGGGTCAAACATTGTTTAAGGCACTGAAAATGTGAAAATAAGACAGAAGAGTTTCTGCCCTGAAGGGTCTCATAAGATAGTGGGGAGAGAGGCAGCATGTAATACAAGAAAATGGACAGGCCGGCTACACCATTCCACCCGTGACATGGCCTGTGATGACTGGGTTTAGGAACAAGAGAGGGATGCTTTTGCTTTCCCTCGCTGTAGACCAGATGGGGGCATGTGGTAGGAGTCAGGAGCGCTCTACAGGAGAAATGGTAGTTGAGTTGAGTTTTAGGTGATAAGTAGGAATTCACCAGGTGGAAGAGGAGGAACATTCAAGATAAAGAGATTAACAAAAACAAAGGAATGAGGCCAGGCCGTGGCTCATGCCTGTAATCCCAGCACTTTGGGAGGCCAAGGTGGGTGGATCACCAGAGGTCAGGAGTTCGAGACTAGCCTGGCCAATATGGTGAAACCCCCGTCTCTACTAAAAATACAAAAATTAGCTGGGTGTGGTGGTGGGCGCCTGTAGTCCCAGCTACTTGGGAGACTGAGGCAGGTAATCACTTAAACCCAGGAGGCAGAGGTTGCAGTGAGCTGAGATCGCACCACAGCACTCCAGCCTGGGCAACAAGAGCAAGACTACATCTCAACTAGTCAACAAAATCATGACTAGTCCAGGGTGCTGCAGGCTCTCTGATGTGTTGGTGGGGATAGGTAGATGGGAGACGAGGTCAGAAGGTGGTGGTGGCCAGACGGTGCAGACTGTATTCTACTGGGAGCAGGTGCTGCGCTGTAAGCCTCTGGGAGCTGGAGGTTTTTAAGCAGGAGGTTACATAATCAGACATACTTTAGAAAGACCTTTTGGAATGAGGGCAGATTTGGGTTATCGGGTGTCAGATGCCTCTGGAGCCTTGTGCCACACCCCCTCACCTCACTCGGGGCAGTGAGCACTTTCCTGTGGCTTGGATGCACCTGGCACTAAAGCTTTTTTCCCAAGAGTACACCTCACACCTTCTGCACCCTGCTGTAGGTATTCTCCAGAGCCACTGACTCCAGGTAGGTTGTGCCCAGCTCAGAACCACCCAGCTCCAAAATGCAGGAGATTTAACCCTTTCAGGGGATTCCCTCACACAGGGAGGGATGGAGCCAGTGGCCACACGCTTCTCCTGGTCCATTCAGAGAAGCAACCTGCATGTGCCCAAGTGGTGGCACCGAGCCCCAGTTGCCTACAGAGGTGATCTCAGTAATTCATGTTTATGTTGGTTTTGCTCCTCCCATTATTCATTGGGCTCCTTCATTCCTGCCTCTTTGAGTAGTTTCCAGGTCGGCTACCTGCTCACAGGTTCTAGCAAAGCTCTGCTTTAGGGAAAGGAGGAGAGCGGGGATCCAGCATGAGACAACAGGTTCCAATGATGAAGCTTTTGCAATTGCTCAGGCAGTGATAAAACAGCAAACATTGCATGCCGGGATGTCAAGTAGGGGAAGGAGTAGGGACAGTTGTAGTGGGGAGAATCAAAAGGTCTTGAGGAACAGTTCAACGTGAGGGTGCAGCAGAAATAGGCATTTCTGATATCTCTTGGATTGCCGGCTGGGACCACAGTGTCATTAACCAAATTGAGAAATAAAGCTGCAGGGGTCGGGTATATGTGTGGGAGATTATGGGTTCTGCTTTTCATGGGAAGGATTGAAGGCACTGTGGAAAGGCAGGGGGAGACGGTTAGTAGGAAGCTGGGTTCAGGAGTCTGTAGCTCAGAAAACAGGTCTGTTTCTGGCAGTTTTGTGACTCATGAAAATACAAATATTATCTCATGTCAGTTGCATGGAACTCTTTTCCCAGACCTTTCGGGAAAGGGTCAGGTGCAATGAGAGCGCCATGGCAGTGCCCCTCTTTCCCCTGCCTCACTGTTTAGTTGCCTATCACCATCTTCTTCCCTTTTAAACATTAGAACATTTGCTCATTACAAATCATATTATCATGGCTTTATTATTTAATTTTGTCTTCCTGAGAAAAGGGTTCATGGTAAAGACAGAAATGCCTCCATCACCCCAGAGAGCAGGACACACAGGAAGGAGGGGCAGGTGTGCAGGTGAGGGGCTCGGGTTTTGTTCCAGGGGCTCTGGGTAGTCATCAAGAGGTGCAGCCACCAAGGACCATATATGCTTGGGTCAAGAGGACACCTACCTGGGAGTGGGGAGGGTTGACTGGCTCTGCCATTGTAACCCATGTTCTACTATCCCCCTTGTCCCTCTTTTTAGCTAACCTCTTACTCATCCTTCAAGATCATCGTAGGCCAATGAATCCTTGAATTTGTGGTCAACAAGAGGTCTTCTGTAGGCTGAAGTCAGGGCTGAGTGGTCTGCTTGTGATCTCCTAGGAATTCAAGTAAATCCATGTACTTCTTGAACATAGCTCATAGCAGAGGACTGAGCCGTGAAAATGCTTACATGCCTGCCTCCTCTGACACATTATAAGCTCCCTGAGGATGGGGACCAAGGCTTATTTCATCGTTGTATCCTCAGCATCTGACCAATAGCAGGCACTAAGTCATTACTGAAAAGAACTGAGCATGACACCCAAGGGAACAGATGAGGTGGAGGTAGGACAAGGAAGACTGAGGAGTCTCCATGGAACCTTCCAGGGAGAGACAGTCAATAAACTCTCATCAGTCGAAGTGATTTCTATTGTACAGTGCAAACCTATGTGTGCCGTGAAAAACAGTAAGGGCAATAGGGCTTAGGAGGAGGGGAAGGCTGTGGGTGCCTGGGGTGGCAATGGGGAGCCTCACTAAGGAGGCAAAGATGGAACGATGAGGGTCAGCCATCAGATGGAAGGCTCTAGAGCAGATGCTGCCAGCTAGGCGAGGACCAGGTGGGCCGAGCAGACACTGGCTTCAGCGTGCCCTCTCCTGCCCACCGTTCCCATCAATTTCAGCACTACTGCAGAAAGAGACTTTTAAACAGCAAACGTCAAGCGTACACTTCACGAGGACAGGGACCTTCATGTGTGGGATGTAACTCAACACCCGAGGGCATAGTGGACGCTCAATGAAGAGCTGTTGAACAAATGAAGGGATACAGAAAGTCAAGAGGGGAAAGGTTTGGAAAGCGGCGGATGTGTCGTGCGAAATGCAGCACGTGGTGAAAGACAATAAGCACCCGAAGAACCTTGGTCTTTGTTCTTATTTATTTATCTGTTTTTATCATCTCCTATTTATTTATGGTCAAAGGCTGACCTATAGAGTGTTCAGTTGTTCTCCACAGTGGTTTTACTAGTGTGCTTGGAAAATAGGAATGAGCTATTTAGAGGATTCTCTTACGGTCCTATTCCGGAGTTTAACTGCAGCCAGTGAAAACATCCTCGCTCGGTGGTGTAGCGTCACATCCACAATCAAATCAGTATTTCACTCTTAGAATATGGACTGCTTCTGTCTATATCTTCACAGGTGTAAGATTTATGTTTAACATTGGCATGAGAATAAGTGAAAGTCAGGTAGTCAAATATCCTTTTGTAAATAGGAATAGGGTAAAAACCCTTTAATATAGGATTGTAATACTTGGCATTCAATTTATAATTTTTGTAGCATTCAATATATGGACTCAATTTATAATTTAATGCATAATTTAGTTTTATAATTTTATAAGACTATATACTTATAATTAAATTTACAATTTATAATTTTGATTGCCTCTTTGTAAGTTCCATTTACAACTCCTTGTCTGCCACAGAGACTTAACATTGTAGGGAACACGTGTGGAGAATCTCTTACTCTTTTAAAATTGAAAGTCATGGCTCATGCCTGTAATCCCAGCACTTTGGGCCAAGACGGGCAGACTGCTTGAGCTCAGGAGTTTGAGACCAGCCTGGGCAACACAGTGAAACCCTGTTTCTACAAAAAATACAAAAATTAGTCGGGTGTGGTGGTGTGTGCCTGTAATCCCAGCTACTCAGAAGGCTGAAGCACAAGAATGGCTTGAGAACGGGAGGCAGAGGTTGCAGTGAGCCGAAATCATACCACTGCACTCCAGCCTGAGTGACAGAGCGAGACTACATCTCAAAAAAATAAAAAAATAAATTAAATTAAAATTAAAAAACAAGTGGAAGTCAGTAATTAGAAAGCCCAAAGATTAGGCTCAAAGTGTTGTCTGGGGTGTAAGCCTGAAAGGGAAGCCTCTTAAGTTCTGTGGGGTTCACTTTTCGAGGTAAACTGCAGTTGTTTTGACAGGGGAAGTCTGCTTTTAGCCATTTCAAATATTTATATTCTTATTCCAATTCACTCATAGACTAGGAGCACATTCAAAGATAAGCATTTAAACCACAGCGGAAAGTAGAGGCCTCTGATGGAGCACATTTAAAACGTGTCCTCATCTGGGGAAGGAGATATATTATTCAGTCAAAGCAGAAGTGAGTGCAAGAAATAACCTCCACTAGATTTTTGCAATTACCGGGATCTATTAAAGTGGAAAAAAAAACATTTGTTGGAGATCTACATCAGTGAAATCCAAACATTTTAAGTCCAATTTTCCTCATGGAAGAAAGACCACATAGAAGAGGGCTCAGGACTGTGAGGAGCACAAGGTTCCCGCTGTGCCACCAGCCACTCAGCCCTTGTTGCCCACTCAGGGTCTCCAGGAGCAATCCTGTAATTCCCTCCACAGACTCTGGGGACCTGATACATCTTTCCAGCTGCCTGGAGGTTCTACCCCTTAGCATTGGCTCTAGAGTACAGTTGATCTGGCTTTTACGCTTGCGTCCTCTGAAACAAGTGCACACGTTATGGGGACTTGCTGCTACAGAAATTTTTCAATGTTTGGAAATTTGCATATGTTCAAGAAATCTCAAAAAAGTGCCAACCTTACTCAGTACTGATCCCCTTCTGTGGATGCCCACACACCTTCTCTCCTCCAGCCTCCAACATCCCCTCGCGCCGCTTCCTTCCCTGTTCACAGAGAACACAGACACCATCAGAAAGAGCGGCCCCTGATTCCACTCCCCATGGTCTCCACAGCCAGTGGCCAGTTTTCATTGCTCCCTTTCTCCGGTTCATTTAAGACATTTGATGTGTTTGGTCATCCCTCTTTCATGGAACATTTTATGCTGTTGGCTTCCAGATGCCACAAGCTCCTCCATCATAGTATGTGGCTGTGGCCCTGGCTACCTGCATCCCAGGAGGGCTCTGCACAGCCACCAGCTCTTCCTGTCCTTGGATTGTAATGTAGGGTCTAGGACCCATGTCTTAGCACAAAAGGAGCTGGGAAAAGTATCGGGGCTATTCATTTAAAATACGGTAGGTAGGTTCCACTTTATATGGTGGGGAGTTCCTCAAACTTAAGAGGGTTAAAAAAGATGACCGCTGTCCATGTGGGACCTTGACCCAGTGAAATTTGGGTCACTGATGCAAGGCCATTAGTGCCTAAACCGGCAATGTCTGGTGAAACTAAGGTTTTGCTACCTATCAGATTTATAGGATATATTGAAATCAACAAGTGTGTGTGTGTGTGTGTGTGTGTGTGTGTGTGTGTGTGTGTTTTCTTTTTTTAGATGGAGTCTCACTCTGTTGCCCAGGCTGGAGTGCAGTGGCACGATCTCGGCTCACTGCAACCTCCAATTCCTGGGTTCAAGCAATTCTCCTGCCTCAGCCTCCTGCGTAGCTGGGATTACAGGCAGGCGCCATGATGCCCGGCTAATTTTTTGTGTATGGAGACGGGGTTTCACCATGTTGGCCAGGCTAGTCTCGAACTCCTGGCCCGCCTCGGCCTCCCAAAGTGCTGGTATTACAGGTGCCGCGCCCGGCCTGTTTTTGTTTTTAAAGAAAGCAACAAACAGATGAGCTAAGCTTAAGAAGCAGAAATGAGTAAAAACAAAAACAACAACAACAACAAAATAAAGCAAAGATAAAAAACACTGTTAATGAATTATTAAAAAGAGAACATCAAAAAAGCCAATAAACCTGAGAGCAGTTTCTTAGACAAAAAGTAATCAAGTAGGCAGACTTTCAGAATATCTACTTAAGGGTGAAAAAGACAAATGAAACAAAAGAGAAAAATAATGTGGCAACACCTTCAACCCTCTCCTGGGCATCCACAGAACCCCCAGCTAGTCTCCCAGCTGCTAACTACTCTTCTTCCCAGCCTGAATGTTGCTGTTCCCCTAAATTCATATCTTGGAAACTAATACCTGCTATGGTAGTGAGGCCTTTGGGAAGTAATTAAGTCATGAGGGCTGCGCCCAAATGCATGGGATTAGGGTACTTATAAAAGAGGCTTGTTTCGGGGAAAAAGTCTCACTGACTGCATTTTTCCTCTACTTCCCCATCACC
This sequence comes from Homo sapiens, assembly GCF_000001405.40. Lineage (NCBI taxonomy): Eukaryota > Metazoa > Chordata > Mammalia > Primates > Hominidae > Homo > Homo sapiens. The sequence goes on along the minus strand of NC_000013.11, from coordinate 25,224,520 downwards.
ACAAGAGTCAACGCAGAAGACTTCTGTGACCAAATGTGTGGGTTTTTTCCCCCCGACACGAAGCAGCAGACACTAGCTGGGTGTCCTCCAATTCAATTCCAACACTACCCGGAAACAGTGTCAGATCCCACAGGTTGGAGGCTCCCTGGCATTGGGAACTGGATCCCACAGTCCCCAAGATTCCCGTCATACGCCCTGACACCAGCTGCAAGTCTGGACCTCCAGAACTTCTGACCGGACATCTTCAAGTTAGGGTTCCTACGACCCCCTGTTTGGGTTTGATTAATTTGCTGCAGCAGCTCACACGACTCAGGGAAACACTTACTTGTTGGTTTATTATAAAGGATAGTACACAGGATACAGATGAAGAGATGCATAGGGCAAGGTATGGGGGAAGGGGTTCCGAGCTTCCATCAACCTCCACGTTTTCAGTCATCTGGAAGCACCTGAGCCCAGTCCTACTGGGTTTTTATGAAAGCATTCCTTTCCCCGAGGACATGAGATGGGACCCACTCGGGGGAAGGTCTTAAAACCTGCAATCAGAAAGGCAGGAGAAGACTGGTGTTCTGCCTTGGGGCAGGCGACAGGAGGGCAGGAGAAGATCAGAGGCTGTCCCGAGGCCCAACACGCCCAGCATTATTACAAAAGACTGTAACAAGGTGATAATGGTTTGGTTGTGTCCCCACCCAAATCTCATCTTCAATTGTAATAATCCCCATGTGTCAAGGGTGGGGCCAGGTGGAGATAATCGAATCACAGAACGGGTGTCTTTCCCCTGCTGGTCTCGTGATAGTGAATAGGTCTTACGGATCTGATGGTTTTATAAATGGGAGTTCTCCTGCACACGTTCTCTTGCCTGCCGCCACGTTAAGATGTGACTTTGCTCCTCATTTGCCTTCCTCCATGATTGTGAGGCCTCCCCATCCATGTGGAACTGTGAGTCCATTAAAGCTCTTTCCTTTATAAATTACGCACTCTCAGGTATGTCTTTATTAGCAGCAGGAGAACAGACTAATACACAAGGGCTCTGGGAGTTAGGAGTGAGGAACCGTGGAGGAATGCCTACACATATACCCTGCACTATACATCTCATAACACCACGGGGCTCAGGGGAGCTCCCTTGCCGCTTCCCATGTGAGGACCAGAAGGCACCATCTAGGAGGAATGAGCCCCCACCAGACCCTGAATCTCCTGGTGCCTTGATTTTGATTTCTCAGCCTCTAAATTTCTGTTGTTTACCAATGACCCAATCTAAGGTATTTTTTAGCAGTGAAAATAAAACAGACTAAGACACTGCCCCAACTCCATGTAACAGCCCAACTGACCATATAGCATACACTGGATCATGTCACTGTCCACATAAAATCCTCCGGTGTATGGCCGTTGCCCTTAGAGTACATGCAACCTCCTCACGATGGCCCGGAGGCCTCTGATTTCACCTGTGCCTACCTCTCTGGCCTCCTTTATCATTGCCTGCCTACCTTTTCTTTCTGCCCTTGCTTCTGTTCCTTAACCTACCAAGCTTGTTCTGGCTTCAGAGCCTTGTACTTGCTACTCTCCCAACCAAGGCGTGCTGGCCCCTGGCCTTGGCAAGCCTCCCGCCCTTGAAATCGCAGCTCCTTGTCTTCCTGGAGACCCTGTCTCTGACCAGCTCATGCCAGGCAGCCACACCTGCCCACCTCCACCGTCTGTAATCCATTTGTTGACTTCGTCTGTGGTTTCCAGGATTTTTCCAGTCGTGTTCACAACTGTGTTACCAGCAGCAAAATCAGCTCCAGCCACAGTGATTAAATCCTTAAAATGTGATGTGGCAGACACCTTACTACGAATTAAATCTATAAAGTCAAATGCAAGCAATCAACATTTGTCAAATGAAGGAAGGGATCATTAAGTATGCAGTTTTAAAAGATTATATCTCATAGTAAATGCTTTTAAGTGCTTATAAATAGAAAAATCTTTATTAACTGGACAAAATAGGAACTTTAATAGACCCATAAAAATAAACTTAAAAAATTCAATAAAGATTTATTTCCACAAAATTCCAAAACAGAAAACTGTAGACCAGACTCACCTTTTAACATAGATGTGAAGTCTTACATAAAACAGTAGCAAATTACCACAGGCATGTGCCAACATGCCCAGCTAATTAATTTTTTAAAGTTTCCTGTAGAGATGGGGTCTTGCTATGTTGCCCAGGCTGGTCTCGAATTTTTGGGCTCAAATGTCTGATCCTCCCACCTTGGCTTCCCAAAGTGTTGAGATTACAGGTATGAGCCACCATACTTGGCTGAGTTATTGTTTACATATTATAAAATTCACTTATTTTAAGTGTACAGTTCAATGTTTTTTAGCAAATCCACAAGTTGTGCAACCATCACCAAAATCCACCCCCAGAGCCTTTCCATCCATCACCCCAGAAAGATCCCTCATGCTCTTTTGCAGTCTTTCCCTCCTAGCAGCCCCAGCTCCAGGCAATCACTGATCTGTTTTCTCTATAAATAAAATTTTATTGTCTAGACATTTCATATAAGGAGGGTAATGTGAAGTGTGACCTTTTGCATCTGGCTTATTCGGCATATTTTTGAGATTCCTCCTTGTTGTACATCTATCAGTAGTTCATTTCTTTCTATTGCTGAATAATATTCCATTGTCTGAATGGACCACATTTTAGCCATTCACCAGGTCAAGTGCATTTGGATCATTTCTAGTTTTGGGTTATGAATAATGCTGCTGTGAACATTCACATACAAGTATTTGTGTGGATATATGGTTTATTTCTCTTGGGTAGATAGAGAATAATTTATTGATCAAACTGAATTTTTGTCTCAAGAGCCAAATGTTGTTTTGCAGATACCTTTGTAATTTTCTTTTTATGTGGTGTTGTATTCAAACCTTGAGTTATATAGCTAAAGATTAACATATTGATGAATATGTGAATATGAGATGTGCAGCTACAAGGCTGTTAAAATTTACTTGGCATCTGGTATAATTTACTGTCATTCACTAGTAACTACCTCTACGCTTCCTGTCTGGAATAAAAATGACATATACGTTTTAGTTACTATTCTGCTAATACCACCAGAAGTCCTAGCAATTGTCATTTCAAACTGTCTGCTGTGAGGTGATAAAGCCATCTAATTGTTTAAAACTTGTTCCCTGTGGCCAGGTGTGGTGGCTCACACCTGTAATCCCAGCACTTTGGGAGGCCGAGATGGGAGGATCGCTTAAAGCAGGAATTTGAGACCAGCCCGGACAACATAGTGAGACCCCCATCTCTACAAAGAAAAAAAACAAGCCAGGCATGGTGGCTCACACTTGCGGTTTTAGCTACTCAGGAGGCAGTGGCAGGAGGATCCAGGACTTGAGGCTACAGTGAGCTATGATCATGCCACTGCACTCCAGCCTGAGTAACAGAGTGAGATCCTATCTCAAATAAATTAAAATAAAATAAAAAACTATTACTTGAATATATCATTTTATACTATCCCTTTTTGCCCTTTTATGTTTGAAAGGCATTTCACATTTGAAAACTGGGATTGAGGCTTAAAGGGACCAAGAACAAGAAGTAATTTACTTGAAAACATTTTCAAATCCAGAACAACATGTAGGATAGTTTATTAATTTCACAGAGATGCGGAAAGATTAGGAAATTTCCCTTGCCTTGATTTGCTCTGTTTTCTGGCTTCCTGTACTGCAGAGAAATCTAGAGTGTAATTCTACATTTAGACATTTTTGACAGTATAAGTAGGAAAGTGTGTGATGATGAGGAATGATGAGGATGCACTTTTGGGATAAAATATGTGACTTTATGAAACAATATCTAAAGTAATAAATGTGAAACTCAGAAACATTTCCTATAAAATTGAAAAGAAAACCCAAGGATATCTGCCATCACTATTAGTACTTATCATTTCTGGGATTTTCTGGGCAATGCAATTAGAAATCAAACGGAAATAAGAGGTCTAATTATTTAAAAGTAGAAAAAAGTCACAGGCAATATTGTTGTCTACCTAAAAAGCACCAGATAATCTACTGGGAAAGCATTTCATTTGATACAGAATCAGCAAAGTGGCTGAATGCAAGTTTTTTTTTTTTTTTGGAGGGGGGACGGAGTTTCACTCTCGGTGCCCATGCTGGAGTGCAGCGGTGCAATCTCGTCACACTGCAACCTCTGCCTCCCGGGTTCAAGAGATTCTCCTGCCTCAGCCTCCGGAGTAGCTGGGATTATAGGCGTACCACCACACTTGACTAATTTTTAGTAGAGACGGACTTTCACCACGTTGGCCAGGCTGGTCTTGAACTCCTGACCTCAGGTGATCCACCTGCCTTGGCTTCCCAAAGTGCTGAGGTTACAGGCATGAGCCACTGTGTCCGGCCTGAATGCGAGATAAATACCTAAAAATTGTTAGCTTGCTTCTGTCCCAGCCAGCAACCTGCTGCATTCTTTCCTTGGTCTAAAACAGTCTGTCATAATTCAGAAGTGTAATCACAGCCTCCTTCATTAAGAAAAAGTTGTGGTTTTGTCTTCTTCCTTCCTCTGGAAGGTTTATCACACAATACACAGAGAAGTTGGGAGGGCTGAGGAAGCAACTCCACTTAAAATTCATCTTAAAGGTAAAAGAGTCACTTAGATAAGGTAGGGGTGTGTGTGTGTGTGTGTGTGTGTGTGTGTGTGTGTAGAGGGATAACAAACATACAACACAGAGTCTTCATGCTGTTTAAAGGGTGGCTTGAAAAAAGAATTACCTACAGAGTCGATATCAATTGGTACAAGTTGAATAATTTAAGACCTTTAAGTGTTCCTTTTAGAAAAAGAAATCAACAATTTATTGATTACTGGAAGGAAACGCATACATGAGGCAGTGGAATTGGAATGGAAGAAGAAAGTGGAGTGAGGTGGCGCCCTCTCTCTGAGCAGAGTTATCAGGGAGACTGAGTTTAATAGTCCTTACCTTTACAGTAGTGGACCTTGCAGATCAGAGGCCTCTGCTTCCCAGGAAGGAGCAACACACACATAGGATGCAAAATTCCGTTGCTTCACATCACACTTTCCATCCCTCCCAGTTAAAAAGAGAGGGCTTCTGTCAGTGGGGTCAGCTTCTGGCCCAGTAGCTTTAGACATCAGATAGCCTGAGGGCTGCTACTGGCTTCGGGCCATGATACACCTTTTCCAGTCTTGGCAAAATGAGTGAAGGGTTGACAGTATAGTGAGTACATGTGTGTGGGGATCAGGTTGCTAACTATCTTCTCTTGGGGCAGATGATTCCTGTTTCTGGGGGCACGTCATCTCTACATTTTTTTCTATTATAGTATCCTTTCTTTGTTTTTGTTTGTTGATTGCTTAATGAATTCATTTGGCGTAGTGGAATGCTACTGCCTAACTCTACTTCCCCTTTTGCTCTGGCCAACGCATCTTATTTGTTTGTTTGTTTTTTGTTTTTTTGTGAGACAGGGTCTTGTTCTGTTGCCTGGGCTGGAGTGCAGTGGCACGATTATAGCTCACTACAGCCTTGACCTCCTGGACCCAACTGATCCTCCTGCCTCAGCTTCCTGGGTAGCTAAGACTATAGGTGTACGCCACCAAGTCTGGCTAATTTTTTAATTTGTTTGTAGAGACGAGGTCTCACTGTGCTGTTCAGGCTGGTCTCCTGGGCTCAAGTGATCCTCCTGCCTCTGCCTCTGAAAGTGCTGGGATTATAGATATGAGCCACTGTGCCCAGCCTATTTTATTTTTTATTTTAATTTCTTTGCTTAAATGTATTCATTTATTCTTTTGTTCAATATATAGTAACCATCTACAGTGGAATTTAGTGAAGCTTACGCCAAAAGCAAAGAAAGCAACTTTGTCCCCCTAAAACATGCTTTGAGCTTCATCAGTTCCTTAAATATCAATATGGGTAAGTTTTAGATTCTTTCCTGAGAGGGTGGAATGAGGAGAGAGAATGAAAGATTTTAGAATTCTAAGGAGAGGGGGAAGGATATGGAAAGATGAATGTGAGGCCCCCAAATTCAACCTTGTCAATGTCCCAGCTTTTCAGGCATCTGAATGGATGACTGTTGACCTTGGTAATTTCATTAATGTCAACAGAAAAAGTCGTTCTTAAATCACATGCGCACTTTACAGATGATTGAAGGAGGCGTCAAACATAAAGAGCTGCTGGGTCTCAATCCCAGAGACAATCTGGGAATCATTTTTTCAGATGTTTAAACTTGGCATGAGTTGGGCAAACTTACGAAAGCCTGATGAAACCACAGCTGGTCTTTCCTAGGCCAGTTCCCCTTTACTACCTCTCTCTAGCCCTGGGCTGTACGTGACTTAAGGGCAGGGGCCAAGTCTTGCTTACTATGAATCCTGGTACCCAGGACAGTGCCTGGCACATTGCTAGTGGTGAGGAAATATTCATTAGTGTATGAATTAAAAAATGCTACCTGACGGCATAGGGTTCCAGGAGCTCCTTTTCAAATCAAAACCTGATTCCATCTTATTGTGGGATACCCTGAAAACAGCTGCTTGTAGGGGAAATCCTTTAAAGAGACCGAAACTTCAGGGAATTGTTTCTTTCGATCCCAATTTTCTACCATGTCATTAAAATGAATGAGGGCCATGGCAGAGCCACTAAACTTGCCCCCAGTTCCAGGCAGATCTCTTAAATTCCCCAGAACACACTTTCCTTGAATGGTTGCACCTTCCAATGCCTTCCCAGTGCACTTGGAATAAAATCGAACCCCCTCACCACATATGTAACCTTCTCTCTGCCGGCCTCCCTCTCAAGCACTTCACTAGAATGTGATGAAGGGAGCCTTTGTCCTCCGCGTGAGTCCTTTCTTAGGAAGACAAAATCAAATGCACTCTCAAAACCATGCTATTACCACTTCTCATGTATGAATGCTGGCTCATTGAAAAAGACAGCGATGGGAACTGACACAGTGGGATGCAGGAAATAAGGGGCATTTTCACAGCACCCTTAGCCTGGGAAAAGAGCTACGTTTATTAGGGAGTTGGCCTTGAGGAGCGGGGCCTCATTGTGCTCATCTGGGTTTCCCACTGAGCTGCCACTCAAATGGCAGCTTGATTGGAAGCTGACAGCCCGTTGCCATGGCCAAGTGAGCGTCCAAGTAGCATCTCCACTGAGAAACAGCTGTGGGAAAATGCTGCTGCTGCCCTGGTGTCACTGGCATCCATACCAGCACTTTTGGAGTTAACACTCTAAAACTTTAAATCCCTGCAGCCTCCCCTCACCTAGAAGTTGCTTCTGGTGGTTGGTTAAGCGTCATCAGGCAGCTGGAATGCACAGAGATGACTGCATTGCCTCATCACCCTTTCATGAATATAGTCATCACTTAGGAGGAGGACATTCTGACTCAAACGTCTTTGCTGTCATTGCAAATGCAATTTACAGTTCAGAGATGTATCCAATCGGGATGAAGCAGAAGAAAGGAGAACAAAATTTGAAATTCCAAATTTAAATTGAATCACAGTCTAGTTTATCTTTTATAATTAATGACAACATGTACTGTCACTGATAATTTCAAAATTCTAAATCCCAAATCTGAGGTAATTACAATTTAGTAAAGTCATTATCTCTTTTGATTCCATTTGTGTCCTCTTAACTGCTGTTTTAAGTAAGGCTCCAGGTGTTGTGAGGCTTAGACCTTTTTCGCCTGGTTTTCTATTCCTTAGTCTCATATTAATGACTTAAGATTGTTTTGACTTAGACTTATCTGACTTTTTAGATGAGCTGTTTAGTTTTAGATCAGTCTTAGATTTACAAAAGAGTTGCAAAGGTAGCTCAGAGAATTCCATATACAGTCACCCCTCAGTATCCACAGGGGACTGGTTCCAGGACACCCAACCAATATGAAATCTGTGGATGCTCAAGTCTCTGATAACAAAATGGCGTAGAACTTGCATATGACCTACACACATCCTTCTGTGTACTTTATTTTATTTTATTATTATTATTATTTTGAGACAGGTTTTTTTGCTCTGTTGCCCAGGCTGGAGTGCAGTGGCGCCATCTCGGCTCACTGCAACCTCTGCCTCCGGGGTTCAAGCGCTTCTCCTGCCTCAGCTTCCTGAGTAGCTGGGATTACAGGCATGTGCCACCACGCCCAGCTAATTTTTGTATTTTTTAGTAGAAATGAGGTTTCACCATGTTGGTCAGGCTTGTCTCAAACTCTTGACCTCGGGTGATCCACTCGCCTTGGCCTCCCAAAGGGCTAGGATTACAGGCATGAGCCATCCTTCCATATACTTTAAATCATCTCTGGATTACTTATAAAATCTTATACAATGTAAGTGTTATGTAAATAGTTGTTTTACTGTATTTTTAAAATTTTGTACTATTTTATATTGTTATATCATTACTTTTTAATTTTTTCAGAGTGTTTTGATTGGCAGCTGGTTAAACTCATGGATGCAGAACCCGCGGATATAGAGGGCTGACTGTACTCCATGCTGTTTTCCCTGCTGTTACTACGGCACATTTGTCACAACTAAAGAACTGATATTCGTCCATTCTTTTTTTTTTTTTTTTTTGAGACGGAGTCTTGCTCTGTTGCCCAGGCTGGAGTGCAGTGGCACGATCTCTGCTCACTGCAAGCTCCACCTCCCAGGTTCACGCCATTCTCCTACCTCAGCCTCCTGAGTAGCTGGAACTACAGGTGCCTGCCACCATGCCCGGCTAATTTTTTGTATTTTTAGTAGAGATGGGGTTTCACCATGTTGGCCAGGATGGTCTCAATCTCCTGACCTCGTGATCTGCCCGCCTCGGCCTCCCAAAGTGCTGGGATTACAGGTGTGAGCCACCGCGCCCGGCCTGATATTCGTCCGTTCTTATTGACTAAACTGTATGCTTTATTCAGATTTCATCAGTTTTTCCTTACCATTTTTTTCTGTTCCAGGATCCCATCCAGGCATCATGTTTCCTTAACTTCCTTTGGTCTGTGACAATTTCTCAGGTTTTCCTTGTTTTTCATGACCTTGACAGTTTTGGGGAGTCCTGGTCAGGTATTTTGTAGACCGTCCCTCTATTGGGATGTGTCTAATGGTTTTCCCACAATTGGACTGGGGCTATGTGTTCTTGGCAGGAAGACCACAGAGGTTAAGTGCCGTTCTCATCACATCCTGTCAAGGGCACATACTATCAAAATGACATATCACTGTTGTTGTTGACCTTGATCACCCGGCTGAATAGTGTTTGTCAGGTTTTTCTGTTGTTGAGTTACTTATTCCCTCCTTCCATCCTGTAGTCTTTGGAAGCAAAAGTAAGTGCAGCCCACACTTAAGGGGGTGGGGAGTTAAAGTCTGCTTTTTGATGGGGGAGTATCCATATACATTATTTGGAATTCTTTTATATGGGATGGTTGTCTCATCTCCTCCACTTATTCGTTTATTCATTTTATCTGTCATTGTTACCAGATGGAAGGTCTTGACTGTGAGTCATCCAGGTTCTTGGCGTGTTGAACAAGGAATTGAACAAAAAGCACAAACAAAGCAACAAAAGAACGGAGTAGTGAAAGCACAGATTTATTGAAGGGAAAGTTTACTCCACAGACTGGGAGTGAGCTTGAGAAAGCAGCTCAAGAGCTCCCCCACCAATTGCAATGTTTAGGGTTTTTATTAGGCTAAAAGAATTTGGTAACACTCCTCGGTGCCCTTTAGAGGCCTCCAATCAGTTACACCCTGTGGAGGATTGGCCCGCAACCAATCAGAGGCTGAAGTGGAAATGACCCACGGTCAATCAGAAGCTGAAGTGGAAGTTTCTGTCTTGTTATCCCAGGAGTGAGGATGTGGCCTGGATGCTGACCAATCTTGCCTAGAACTGGCTGTGCCTGCTGTTCTTTTGCTTTTGAATTCCCTATTCTCCTGCCTCATAAGAACTCACAGATTTTTATTTTATAGTTTGGATTATAAATGAATATGATGTTATTTACTTTGTTGCTCAAATTGCTTGAGCTTTGACCACTGGAACTATTTCAGGTTGGAAACTCATCTACTATTAAAAAATATAAAGTGACTGTGAAGTTTGGAATGTCAGAGAGAAGCCAGTGGCCCCAGGGTTAGTTCCTCAGGGTGTCTTGTTTTAATTTTATTTTAATATTTATTTATTTATTTATTTTGAAAAGGAGTCTCATTCTGTCACCCAGGCTGGAGTGCAGTGGCATGATCTGTGGCTCACTGCAACCTCCACCTCTTGGGTTCAAGCGATTCTCTTGTCTCAACCTCCCGAGTAGCTGGGACTACAGGTGCATGCCACCATGCCTGGCTTATTTTTGTATTTTTAGTAGAGTCAGAGTTTCACCATATTGGCCAGGCTGGTGTTGAACTCCTGAACTCACCCGCCTTGGCCTCCCAAAGTGCTGGGATTACAGGTGTGAGCCACCGTGACCACCTGGGTGTCCTGTTTTGAGAGCAGCGAAACCTGGAGCAGGTGACAGTAGATGGGTAGCTTGTCTCTAAGATGCCACCATCAATTCCTCCCCTCCCTGGACATGCAAGCCACCTCCCCTTTGGGGGTGGAGTCTGTTCCTCCCTCCCCCTGACTCTGAGCCATCCTCAGAGACTTGGTTGGCCACTAGCATGTGGCAGAAATGACATGTGGGATTTCCAGCTCTGCAGCTTCTCCAGGCCCTGCCAGGACACGCACTCAGGAATGTCAGCTGCCACCCCATGCAAGATGTCTCAGGAATGCCTGCACTCACCATGCTGGAGAGGCCACAGTGTGAAGCCCTGGAGGATGAGCTGCCAGGAAGAGAGGGAGAGGCCAGGAAGGCCCCAAGTGCCAGACATGGGAGTGAAGATGCCATCGTGGAAGTGGCTGCTCAGCCCCAGCTCCCAGCTGACTCCTCATGGGTCCCAGACAGACTTCTCCCATGCCCCTCCCACACTGTGAGCAAAACCAAATGGTGGTTTCTAGCAACGAAGTTTTGGGGTAGTATTAGAACTGTTAAAGAGGAATTATTCTGAACTTGTTAAAAATGGCAAGGAAGATTTTATTCAAGACTGTTGGAACAGGGGTGTCTTAGTCTGTTTTGTGTTGCTATAAAGCAGGGGTGCCCAATCTTTTGGCTTTCCCTCGGCCACACTGGAAGAAGAAAAATTGTCTTGGGCCACACATAAAATTCACTAACACTAACGATAGCTGATGAGCTAAAAAAAAAAAAAAATCTGTGCATAAATCTCATTATGTTTTAAGAAAGTTTACAAATTTGTGTTGGGTCACATTCAAAGCTGTCCTGGGCCTCATGCAGCCTGCAGGCTGCAGGTTGAACAAACTTGCTATAAAGGAATACCTGAGACTGAGTAATTTATTTAAAAAAAAAAAGGTTTTTTTTTTTTTGGCCCGTGGTCCTGCTAGCTGGAAGATTGGGCACCTGTTGAGTGCCTTCGGTGACTTCCACTCATGGTGGAAGATGAAGGGCACTGGTGTGTACAGAGATCACATGGCAAGGGAGGGGGTGAGGGAGGGAGGTGCCAGGCTTTTTTTAAACAACAGCTCTCGTGGGAGCTAATAGAACGAGAACTCACTCATCACCTTGAGGACGGCACCAAGACGTTCATGAGGGATCTGTCCCCATGACCCCGACTACTGTCATTAGGCCCCCACCTCCAACATTGGGAATCAAATTGCAACATGAAGTTTGGGGGACAAACATCCAAACTTAGGATGGAGTCAAGACTATAGCAAGGAGTCAAGACTACTGCAATAGGGGAGGGAGATTGAACTCGGCTCCAAACACAACAGGGACAAGTGGGGATTTATAGCCAACAGCAGGGTAGACAGAAAATTACTAAGAGGAACATGGTAGGATTCTTTGCTAAAACTAGGCTCAGAGGCCAAGGACAGGGACCCAGGGTGAGGGCTAGATGAAAGAGGGCTCAGAGGAGCTGATTGAAGTTTGGTCAAGGAAGGAGTCCTTGTCATTATGCAGCAAGAGATGACCAGAGGCTAGGAGGGAGGTGGCCAGCAAGTATGGCAGAGGAGGCATGAGCTTTCCTTGACTGCTGCTGTCCCTGTTGCAGGAATTGCTGCAGGAGCTGGCCCCTGGCTCTCTGACCCTGTGAGGACTTGAGTGAAGGTTACGAGTCTTCACACTGCCTGCTGACAGTACTAGGAGCGGGGATTTGAGATCTTCACTTCAGTGTGTCCTTTTGACAGTAAATCCATTGCTCACCTCTGTGAGTGAAAGGGGTCAGGGCCAGGGCTACCCCACACCCATTGCTTGTCTCCCTGTGGCACTGCCATAGATGCCACCTGTTCTAATGTCAGCCTCCCCACGGTGGTTGCTGAGAAACAGATGCATTTTCTTTGAAGGCATCTTTGTAGTTATCCATAGTCCCAATGTGATCCCTTATGGTGTGGTGTGAGGCCACTGCCTGGCAGCTCCTTTGCCAGGGCTGGTCCCTCGGTGGTGGTGTGCGGGGAACCCAGCATGCACTCATAGCCTGGGGAGAACCCACGGATGGTGGAAACCTAGTTCGGGGGCATAACAAGGCCTCCGTGGAGGGTGCTGGCACGTTCTCTCCCCTCCCAAATCCAGATAGGCCCCATTGTTCCTCAGCAAATCTGGGATTGGCCCCAATCAATCAGCCACTCTGCAGTCACCACCAGGGGCTCTCTGGAAGACACCAGGAGAGATGAGTCCCCCAACTCCACAGGCTGTCATCAGCCACCAGCAACCTCCGTCTCAGAGAAGAGCAGGAAGAGGGGAGACATTTCCAAAAGACCCAGCATTTTACCTTACAAGACTGAGCGTATCCTAAAGGTGACACCGACATGATTCTGTCAGGCTGAATTCACTGAGCCCAGGTAAATTTTGCCCTCACCTCTCTCCCTGCAGTGTGAACGGTTCTTGAGAAGCAGCAGCTCAGGTGTGGCGAAAGCGGAGGCCTGTCTCTCTGCTTATTTGGGGGAAGGGGTAAGGGTGGGACCCACCCTGCTACGACACCGTCCATTTTCCAAATATAGTTTTTACCCCGTGCCACAGCTACTGGGGGAGTCCAAACACCACTTTCTAAGTTTGCACACATCCAGCATTTCTTCACATGTCAGCAGCATAGGTGGGCTTTTAAACTTCCTAGTTATAAATGTCTCTTTAATCATCACTCCCACAAAGGGCCTCACTGCTGGTTTCAGGATAATCACAGAGTCATGTGATGAATGAAGCCCAGAGCTTGAGACCTACTTGATGTGGCACGAGGACTGCGGCCTGCCTAATGAGCTCGATGAGATATTTATGACCCTCATGTTTCAATTTCAACCAAAAGCCTGGACTATTTCCTAAATATTATTTTTAATCGAGATTTGCAGAATCTGTATTCCAGAAATATTTTATCAGTCATACATTTTCCTTCTGAAATTGCTCTCAGGAAGTCAGAGCTCTGTGACTGTGATCACAAAGTGCCCGTGCATTCGGAAAGCCTACGAGCAGCCCTGGGCGGGCTCTATTGGGAGTGGCTGTGGTCAGGAACACTGGCTTCCACTCTGCATTCATCAGCATCAGTACTGTGCACGGAAGAGAGGGAGTCTGAAATGGAATTTTAAAATGACATGAGGCTGGGCGCTGTGGCTCAGGCCTGTAATCCCAGCACATTGGGAGGCTGAGGCAGGAGGATTGCTTGAGCCCAGGAGTTCAAGGCTACGGTGAGCTATAATCATGCCATTGCACTCCAGCTTGAAAGACAGGGTCAGATCCTGTCTCTAAAAACAAAAACAAAAACAAAAACAAAAACAAAAGAAAAGAAAGGAAATGACATGAAACCTTTGGATAGGTCTAATTTTCCCTCCTGCCCTAGGGTCACACAGTAAGGCAATGACAGTGCCATACGGGGGAGAAAAACAGACCTTGCCCCTAAAGAGGGAGTAATGACATCTCACCTTTGGGTAGAGTTTTACAGTTTACAGAGCTCCTCGCAATCCTTCTCATTTAACCCTTGCAATACCCCAGGGAGGGGGCGTGCTTACTGTCCAGTTACAAAGGGGGAAGGAGAGTCTGAGAGGTTCCAAGGACTTGGACCAAGGTCCTGGGGCCACTACACAGGAGCCAGGGCTGCCTGTGCTTCTGTTACCACAGAGAGACTGCTGGACCAAAAACCCCAAAGCCCAAAGACTTAATGTGTGGAATCCTTCAACATGTATAAAGAATGGGACCATTTATCATCCCATTCTATTTTCACCATAAGCCTTTAGATTATGTGTAGCAGGATGTGTTTTTCTCATTTCACAGTTAAGGAATCTGAAGATGAAAAAGATGAGGGGACATTCCCAAAGTCGCACAGCCCTCAAGCCAGTGCGAAAATGTGGACCCCGCTGCCTTGTCTGGTGCCCATTTCTGGAGAGAGAAAAGCACCGCTGGGTCGTGGGGGAGACTGGCCGGTGGCAGCTTCTGGCATCTCACCTGTCTCTGCACGGGTTAAGGTAATGCTGGTGCAGGGACACACAGCTGTGGCTGTCTTCTCTTCTCCTTCCAGACCCAGACCTGAGGGACAGCATGGGCTGGAAGGACAGGCCCATGGGTGAAAATCCTGCCTTTGTCCCAGGACCTGACATTGTCAGATGACTTCCCACAGTTGTCTTTTAGCATTGCTCCCCTAAACCTCAGTCTCCTTCTCTGCACAATGAGAGTCGTACAGCAGCAAATAAACACGTGCATGCGACACTCACACCTGGACATCCATTGTCCATTTCTTGTGAGGATGCACTTGGATGGTGTGTTGAATGATGACAGTCAACTTGTATCAAAGCCTTTATTTTTTTCTTTTCCTGGGACAGAGTCTTGCTCTGTCACACAGGCTGGAGTGCAGTAGCATGATCTTGGCTCACTACAACCTCCACCTCCCAGGTTCAAGGGATTCTCCTGCCTCAGCCTCCCCAGTAGCTGGGATTACAGGCACCTGCCACCACACACAGCTAATTTTTTGTATTTTTTTTTCTTTTTTTTTTTTTAGCTAGAGACAGGGTTTCACCCTGTTGGCCAGGCTGGTCTCGAACTCCTGACCTCAAGTGATCCGCCCACCTCAGCCTCCCAGAGTGCTGGGATTACAGGTGTGAATCACCGCGCCCGGCCTTCAGAGGCTTTTTCATGGGCCACTCAGCATGCATCCTGACCCTTGATCCTTGTCACTGCCTGAGATGGGTAGTATCATAGTCCTCACTTTACAGAGGAAGGGAAGTCCCCACCTGAGGCCACCCGTTGGACAACAGAACGTGGATCACACCAGAGCTTCACCCAGTCATGCCCTGCTTCTCCCAGTGCTGGCCCAGGGCAAGGGCTCCTTGGGTACTAAGCACTGGTGTTAGACTTTACCTTCTCCGCGGAACCAGGAGTTTTGGAAAATGCCCCTTACCAGTCCATGTGAGGGGTGGCCTCTTAATGAAACCTAGAAAAACCCAGTGACAACAGGCCTGATTTTTAGTTTCTGTCAGAAAGCCTACATCATTATGCTCAGAATGAGGGAATTGGTGATTTTATAGAAATGGCTTATTTAAGAGGCTTAACACAGTGCTATCTGGGCCAGGGCATTTTTCCCGTGGGAAGCTTTTGAGAGCATTTATCTTTAATGAAACAGACTAATATTAAAATGCAGTTAATACCGTAAAACCAATATAATTTAGCGAGAAAAGTTCCTAAAATGACTGTTTCTTTGCAGAGCATGGGATGTAATGAAATGAATCGTCTGTTGGAGGCTATTCATTAATTCCTCCCTGCCTCTCCCTGTGAGACCTGTAAGTCCATGGGTAGGAAGGACGGGCCTTCTTAGAGTAAGAAGCGTCTCCCCCTGTCTTCGCCTCCCGTCCCTTCTCTTCCCTCCTTCCTTGCCCCCCAACCCCGCCACCTTCTTCCTTCCCTTCCTTCCAGTATTCATTGCTTAACTGCACTGTGACAGGAAATGTTACTGGGGGCCAATTAATGAAAAAAAGTCAAGCTTTTAAAGAATTAAAGTTAGTGTTATTCAGAGATCTTAGGCTGAGGCCAGGTGTGGTGGCTCAAGCCTGTAATCCCAACACTTTGGGAGGCCAAAGCAGGTGGATCCTTTGAGGCCAGGAGATTGAAATCAGCCTGGGCAATATGGTGAAACCGCAACTCTACAAAAAATACAAAAATTGTCTGGGCATGGTGGTGCATGCCTGTAGTCCCAGCTACTCAGGAGGCCGAGGTGGGGGGATTGCTTGAGCCCAGGAGTTCAAGGGTGCAGTGAGCTGTGATTGTGCCACTGCACTCCAGCCTGGGTGACAGAGTGAAACCCTATCTCAAAACCACCCCCCAAAAAACCCAAAACCAAAAAACAAAGGTGTTAGGCCAAGCATGGTGGCTTACATCTGTAATCCCAGCACTTTGGGAGGCTGAGGCAGGAGGATCACTTGAGCCCAGGAGTTCAAGACTAGCCTGGGCAACATAGCAAGACCCCACCTCTACAAAATATTAAAAAAAAATAAAACATACACCAAAAAATCTTACTGACTGGAGCCTAGAGCCCAGAAGCAGCCCTTTAGAGAGGTTCTGTCAGACTGCTCCACCACAATATTTCAGCCTACAGCTTATATACAGGTCCCAGCTTACTTTTTGCATGTGCAAAAATCACATCAAACTTGCACAGATGTTACACTGACACAGAATCACATCAAGGTTTGGGTATAAGAGCACATCTGGTTATAGATTACAGAGGAATAATCCCTAACCCCATCAGACATTTTGTGTAGGAAAAGGCAAGGACTCTAGGGTCATTTATCTTTTAAGGAATATAGTGACTCTGGCAAGAGACATAGGGAGCCACGTGCTCTATCCTGTTTTGTCTTCAAAGCATCTTTTCGGAGAGCTGCTGTATGTCGTCACAGAGTCAGGGGCTTTGTGAAATTCTGCTGGAATGAGCAAGCTTGGCTTGGCTTTTGCTACTTTGCCTCTCATAGGGATGATGATGAGCAAGACGGATGAGGTTCTGCCTCATGGAGCTCATGGTCTGAAGGGAGAGGCTTACATCAGTGAGCATCTGTTTCCAATGGAGAGAGTGCTGTGAAGGACAGATGAGGTGGGAGCAGAGCTGGAGTAGGCTGAGCCTGAGGCAGCAAGTGAGCAGGTGGCACTTGGGAGCCAGGTGGCCAGAGCCCAGTGGACGAAGGGGACAGTGGCGGGAGGTGGGTTAGGACAGAGCGAAAAGAGCCATGTTGCCAGGGGTAGGTAGACCGGGTTAAGGAGTTCAGACTTGATCACCCTAAGAAAAAGGGAAAATTCCTGGAAGGTTTTAAGCAGGAGAGTGACTTCCTTTATTCTAAAAGTAGAAATAGAAGAGAAGATGCTGATGTGGTCTCTACGGAGCTCCTGCTATCCACACCAGCTCTGGAAGCTTGGCCCATTCTGTAGGACCTCCATGCTCCCTGCGATTCCGGCCCCAGGTGCTGAGACATCTATCCTGCACGGGTCCTGCACAAGGGGTCTCACTTAGAGGGGCAGTGCAGGTAAGTGAGCTGGGACAACCATGTGCAGAAGGACAGAGGCTGTGCAGTGTGAATTGCTCACTCAACAAACACTTACTGAGTCCCTCCTGGGGGCCAAGAACTGTGCCAAGCATAGCAGGTGGTGATGTAGCCACAGCTTCAACCAGGAAAATGTAAGAGCTGATTTATTAATTGATTGATTGATTAATTGAGATGGAGTCACACTCTGTCACCCAGGCTGGAGTGCAGCAGTGCCATCTTGGCTCACTGCAACCTCCGATTCCCCGGTTCAAGTGATTCTCCTGCCTCAGCCTCCCGAGTAGCTGGGATTACAGGCACACACCATCACACCAGGCTAATCTTTGTATTTTTAGTAGAGATGGGGTTTCACCATGTTAGTGAGGCTGGTCTCAAACTCCTGACCTCAGGTGATCCACCCGCCTTGACCTCCCAAAGTGCGTGAGCCACCGCAGCTGGCCTGTAAGAGCTTTTTTAAAATTTTTTTAAAATTTTTATTAAAAAAATTTTTTTTTCTGGTGTAAAGATATATGTATATATAGTTAGCCAGCAGGACTCAGTTGAGATGATCCAAATTTTGTTGACCATCCAAAGCATGGTCCTCAGGAGCCAGTGGAACATACGTCTTCTTCTCTCCATCAGGCCGAATCAGGGTGTTGACCTTGGCCACATCAATGTCATAGAGCTTCTTTACAGCCTATTTGATCTGGTGCTTGTTGGCTTTAACATCCACAATGAACACCAGTGTATTGTTGTCTTCTATCTTCATGGTGGACTCAGTGGTCAGCAGAAACTTGGTGATGGCATAGTAGTCAAGCTTGTTTCTCCTGGGGGCACTCTTCCAAGGATATTTTGGCTGCCTCCAGAGTTGCAGTGTCTTGGACCAGTGTGTGGTTCTTCTTTTCCTTCTCCTTCTTCTTCTGGCTGTGGATGCCTTTCTGCACTGCCTTCTTGGCCTTCAGAGCCTTTGCTTTGGCTTTAGGAGGGGCAGGATCTTCCTTCTTCACCCTCAGCGCTATCTTGTGAAAAGGGTCCAAAGAGCTTTTCTAAAAGCAGCAGTTGGAAGATCTGTTTTGTGGGTGATGGGTGGTTTTTTTTCTCCATTTGCTATCCAGATAATTGGACAACACCTGAGTGAGACGTGCCTCTGGCTGGAGACTGTGGAGTACTCATGGGCATCAGGTAGCATGGCCAGGGAGGAGAAGGGGGCTCTTGTTCCTGCACATCTGACAGAAAGAAGTGTCCTCGGTGTCAATACATAACATACAGGAGCAAACAGGACTGGGCCAATCTCTTAGTCACTCCTCGAGTCACTCAGCCTCACAGGTGTTGTGAGCTCCTGGAAGAAGTGAAGCAAAGCTATGCAGTCTCGGGTCAGGTGAACTCAGCTGGAGGGATGAGAATTGTGTTAGTATGAAGAGTCAAAAAAATCCACAGTCTTTATCCAAAAACTTTACTTTTTTGCTTTATTATATTTTATTCAGATTATTCGGTTAATTTCTTTGAAGGCCCATGGCTTGTTAGTTGAAAGTCAAAGCTCTTTTTCTTACCAGGTGCTTCCCCTCCTCAGCCCGTGTTTCTTCATGGGTGGGTTCAAGCCAGCGGTGATGGTTCTCACTTGTACTAAGTAAGAGCAGGGTTGTTGAGGGTGATGTGGAATGAAGCATTTCCCAAACTACTCAGTGGCTGCTACTGTCTTTGAGCAGTTCCCATGCGGTGTGTGAGTCCAGGCAGTGATGACATGAAAACAGTCAAGGTGAGCATAAAATCATTATTCGAGTGTGAAGTCAAACTACTGCAGTAAGAAAAATCATTCTTGACTCCTTTTTAAAAGTGCACTTAGCACACATTTCTCACAGCAGGTTGGAAGGATTCTGAGAGAGTGCACAAATTTCCACGTGATGCCACTTTTTAAAAAGAAAACCATGCAAGTGAAGTGCAAAGGCATCCAGCCTTTGATTTTGGCCTTGAATCAGGCAGCCAATGAGCTGCTGTACCATCCCCCCTGTCCAACTCCTCTGTTGTTCTAAATGTAAGCCGCAGGTGCTTCCGTGCTCTCTCATCTAGCACAGACCTGGTGTCTGACATAGAAGTCTCATTCTTTTCCTTTCCTTGGATGACCTCTGAAACTCTGGCATGCAAAAGCACACATGTCTATATGGCTCTTTCAGATACATCATTTACAGCGCTGTTAATAGGCACACTTGGACACATACACCTTTATTGTTTCTCAATTTTTTTTTTTTTTTTTTTTTTGTGGAGACAGAGTTTCACTCTTGTTGTCCAGGCTGGAGTGCAGTGGTGCAATCTCAGCTCACTGCAACCTCCACCTCCCAGGTTCAAGCGATTCTCCTTCCTCATCCTCCTGAGGATTACAGCTGCATGCCACCATATCTGACTAATTTTTGTATTTTTAGTAGAGGCAGGGTTTCATCATGTTGGCCAGGCTGGTCTTGAACTGACCACCTGCCTCAGTCTCCCAAAGTGCTGGAATTATAGGTGTGAGCCATCGCGCCTGGCCTATCTTTTCAATCTTAAAAGCCACGCATCTAGCTGCTGTTGTCCAGCATGCAGGCAGCATCCCCGATGCCGGTGCCGCACTTGCGGCTGCTGCCTTAGACCCCCAGGTGGACAGAGACTCGGATGATGGAAGCACCAGGGTGGAGGGGGATCTGCATCAGGGGTGCTGGCAGGAGACTTTTCACGTTGCCCCCGAGGACAGCCACCACCATGGAGAGGACCAAGTGGCACTGAGGGACATGTGCTGTGCACATATGGATGGACCTTCATTGCTTTCCTGTCCCCCGCAGAGATGGATAGGCTTGTGGTCCTTTCTCTTTTCTTCTTCCTTAAGCCAGTGAATGTCTTTTAAATCTTTTTTCCTCCATAGTTCCTTTGTCTTTGGTTTCAGTTTTTCTACACTCTTTTCTGAGGTGTAAAATATTCTAGATAGAATCATAACGCTTTAATACCATCTTCTTCACCTCCGGAGCCTCATCACCTGGCACCTGGTGTGCATGTTAAAAACATGCGTGGTGAGTGAATAAACTACTGAATTTGTTTTTTGTCCACACACACGCACTATCCATGCATACCAAAGCCACAGCAATTATGACATT
The DNA here is from genome assembly GCF_000001405.40 of Homo sapiens. Taxonomy (NCBI): domain Eukaryota; kingdom Metazoa; phylum Chordata; class Mammalia; order Primates; family Hominidae; genus Homo; species Homo sapiens. Next base: position 25,203,948 of record NC_000013.11, on the reverse strand, counting down.
CATGCATAGAAAGCTGGAATATATTTCACCATGGGAAAAATGTTCTTATTGATTCAGAATCAAAATGGAGAAGCAAGTACAGGATGATGATCTTAATGAGCTCTTTTAGAGCCAAAGAAAGGTACTTATCTGGTTACTTTAAGTAAGGAGGGTTTATTAAAGGGACATGTGAGGAAATAAAGAAATGAGGAATGTGTCACCTGGCAGGGGTCAGGAGGATAGAGGGGAAGCTTTCCCATTCTGAGTGCACAGCAGCTCTAGGGACGGGGCTATGTGGTTCCCGGGGCAGCAGGAGCACTGACGTCCCTTCTGTGTCTCAGCGCCGCTCCCCTCTCTGGTGCTGGCACTCCCTCTCTACCCGGGCATGACTTATTTCTCCAGGGATCCTGTGGCCGCTGCTTCTTCGCCTCGATGCTTTCCCAGGCTGCGGGGCCTCCAGGGCTCTGCTCCTGCCTTCCCTTCCACTTTACTGCCCCTATTTTCTAACTCTGTATTTCACATTCAAACTCCCCAAGAGGAGGATCTGATTCATGTGTGACAGTGGTGAAAGTTAAATTAACCCCCGAGCCCAGAGCATGGATATTCAAACTAATGAAAACAAGCCACACTATAACGTGCTTCAGTGATTGTCAGAAACCAGCTAGTTTAGAGACGATCCTTCGTTGGGGCTCTCCCACCACAGGCCTCTTAACGTGGACGTCAGCTCCCCCTAACTAACTTCCTTTCAGGAGAAAACAAAGAGAAGTCCAGCCTCTAAGACTGAACCTGCAAACCCAGAGGAAAGGACCCTTTTCCCCTCCCCATTCTGCCATCCCTCGCCACCCTCTCTACCTCCACTCACCATTTTCTCTCCCTTCCTTCTGGATTCAACTCTCATCTCATTGCCCTCTGAGTCCGCTCCTCAGGGCTTCCTGGCAGCCGCATCTGCAGATGCTGTAGGCTCCTACACCCCTCGCTCGCACTGTTCTGGCGGATTTTCACCTTACCTCCCCACTGCTCCCTGTAAGTACGCTAAAGGCTGTTTGTGTTTTGTTGTTGTGTCACAGCCATGTTGGTCCTTTGTGAGTGCCACAACCCCCTACGCTTTCCCCTGCCCCGACTCCATCCATTCCCGCCTCCCTGGCTCAGCAGACCCAGGCTTCAATCTGGGGAAGTTGAGGCACAAGCAAAGCCAGGCTGGCAGTGTTGCCCAGTGAGGGGGCACTGCTGGAGCCCCGCCCTGCAGCTCCGGATCTCATGTCCTGGAGTAGCACCGGGCCTGTTTCCCACTTTTCATTCAGCTTGTTCGGCACGTCAGGGCACAGGAGGCAAGAACAAACCTCCTCACACTGGAGAACTCAGCTTCGTTCCTGTCACCGCAATCACGTGCGTGACTGGTTTCAACTCAGAAAGACTGGTGAATGCGGTCTTAGAACTTGCCTTGGGCAGGGCTACGAGGTGGAAGTAGGCGGTGTTTGTCCTTGGTGCCTGTGGTGACAGTGTGGTGGCTCACCAACAGCCAGTCCCCTGCTTTCCCTTCCTAACAAACTCCCAATTCTGTTCTGGAATAGGTTGACTGAGGGAAGATGGAAGCAGTTCCACAGGAAAAATCATGATGAGTCTAAACCCACCATGAGAATCCCAGTCCCCTTAGAGAGGGATTGGGTTGGAGCAGTGGGGAGTGGGGATATGGGGCCCCATTCTGGCCAATGAGATGTAAAGTCTGTTGGGGAATTTGGCAAAAGGTTTTCCATTCTGTTGAAAATAGAGTTCCATGAAGAGGATTTACCCTTTCCTTCCTGCCTTGGCATATTGTCGTGTGAGGATGTGATGCTTGGAACTGTGGCAGCCATCTTGTGACCAAGAGGGAAAAATACAGAGACAGCAGAGAAGCTGACACAGAGCCTGGATACCATCAAATCACTGGATCAATACGGAACTGTCTTCTTCTGTACTTAGTATATGGAATAACAACCCCCCTTGCTTTAGCCACTCTTAGTCACGTGTTCTGTTACTTGCTGCCAAAAGCTCCCTGACTGATGTAGCAGACACCAACATACCTCTGGACCTCCTGGGACAGGCCCACAGTGGTGGATTTAGCCTGGGGAAGCCTGCTGCACACAAGACTGAGAGGAAGGGTGGATAGGAGGGTGGATGGATTCCTCTACTGACAACCTTAGCCAAGAAATGGCACCAGTCCCCAGAAGGTGACAGGATCTGCTGTTGTCCCCACTTATGACCCCAGATGCCACCCCAGTCAAGTGTCCCTATTTGTATCTCTCAGGAGATGATTCGGAAAGGAAACAAATGAGGGGACTCAGAAGTCAATCCCATTGCTGAGCCATTGGGCTAGGATGAGGTGTGGTCCCCATGGAAGAGGGAACCCACCCAAAGCCATTGTAAACGGCCGTCATCTGAGAAGGCCAGGCTGGAAACCCAAATGCGTGGGGCTGTGGGGTGGGGAGGGGGAGATAACCAGTGGCCAGCCAGAGGAGCTGATGCCCATGCTAAGAGACCTGTGGGTGGGAGGGCCCCAACAAAGGAGAGTCTCCACAAAATAAAGTAAAATCCACCCAACCCTGAAGGAAAAGGAGCTATGACCTCTCCCAGGCCCAGAAAACACCAACCTTTGATCACAAAGGCACCTGTTGGGTGAGGAAGTTCCTGTCCTTACTTTTCCTTTGGAACACTGGGCAAGGAAGAGATGGAAAGCTTAGGGAGAAACGGGAACCCCTCTTTTCCCTCTACACCTTCCAGCCCAAAGAAGAAGCAAGCTGTGAGAAGCTTTAACATTATAAAACGTTTTTTAAATTATTATGAAGGTTTTCACATATATACAAAAAGACTACAGGAATGAACCCCCATTCACTCATCCCCTACTCTCAACGATTATCAGTATTCCGCCTTTTATGTTTTATCTATTCTGCCCTGACACTGTTTTTCCTAGAGTGTTTTAAAGCAAATCCCAGACATTGCATCACTTTACTGGTATGTACTTCAGTATATGTCTCTAACAGATAAGGATATTTAAAAAAAAAACATAACCACAATAACATTATCACACCCAGCCGAACTAATACTATTCCTGTAATATCTAATATCTAATAGGCAGTCCATGTTCAATTTCCCTGCTGGACTCAGAAATGAATTTTTCAGCAGGTTTCTTCAAATCAGGGTCTGAACAGGACCCTTGCCTTTCATTCATGGGATAGGCCTCTTAGCACCTCGCTTTTCTCCTGATGGATTTTAGCAGCCACTAATGATTGCCGCGAAGCTCCACTATTTCTTTTGGGGGTTGCAAAACTGTGATTTTCTAACAATGTAATTACTTTGCTATCAATTAGGTGGGTTCTTCTATTAAGCACAATTTTCCCCTGTTGACTGTTTGGTTACTCTGAAATGCAGTCTGTATATGAAAAGCAGAATAGGGCCGGGCGTGGTGGTTCATACATGGAATCCCAGCACTTTGGGAGGCTGAGGCAGGCAGATCACTTGAGGTCAGGAGTTCCAGACCAGCCTGGCCAATATGTTGAAACCCCATCTTTACTAAAACTACAAAAATCAGCCAGGTGTGGTGGCAGGCGCCTGTAGTTCCACCTGCTCAGGAGCCTGAGGCAGGAGAATCACTTGAACCCGGGAGGCAGAGGTTGCAGTGAGCCGAGATGGTGCCACTGCACTCCAGCCTGGGCGACAGAGCGAGACTGTCTCAAAAACAAACAAACAAACAAACAAACAAACAAAACAGCAGAATAATGCTGGATTCTTCTACGTTATAGACCGATTTTCAGAATAATGTGTAGGTGCCATAGCAGCCTCCAAAGGGAGCTGATAAGTTTGGTATTTTTGTTTGTTTGATTGATTTAGTGTTACTATAAGCCCATGAGTTTTTCCTATATTTGATTGCCACCATCTTTCTTTTTATGGTGGTCAGATTTTCCTCTTTGGTGAGCTGATGCACCTTCAGGTTGGGTCCTGTGTTGTTTTGAAGATGTGGTCTAATTATGTCCTTGCCTTCAGGATCAAGAAATCTTAGGCTCATCTTGTACATTTTCTGCTCCAACTCTGACACCAACCATTTCTCCAAGGAGCCCTGGTTTCTTTTAGTGGAAATTGGTACTTACAGACCAAATCTGTCTGGAGAAGCATTTCCCTTTAAATTAAGTTGGAGATTCAACTATAACATGAAATTGGACATTTTTAATTACAGAAATGAGACTGTACTAAAGTGAATGGAAAGACTTCTGTTTTCTGAGGCTGATGAAAGTCTTGGGACCTGCCCTAACTCACGTCTAGCTCTGGGCAAGTGAATCACCATTTCTAGCCTCAGGTTTTCTCATTTGTAAATGGGAATAGCAACACCTACCTCAGTGGACTATGATGAGAATGAAGTAAGAGAGTTCATGTGTAAGGATCTTCGTCTAATACATATTCACCCAGCGGTGGTAGTCGTGATAGTTGTCATCTTTGAAGCCCAGAGCAGAGACCCACCCTGCCAGAACACCAGGGAATGCCTGGGTACCAGAAATTACCCAGAGGATGGAGGGTTCAAAAAGGATGGCCAGATGGGGACTGGCACAAGCCATCTCACAGCTGAACAAGGGTTCACTGTGCACATGTGCGGATGTGTAGATACACATGCATGGGCACAAACACTGCTCTGAAGCAGCATACCCCACACTGCAGGCTGGGGGTCATACTGAGAGCACGTCAAGCATTCTGATGATGTGTGGGCTATTATTAATAGTAATTGCAGTAATCACATATGAACCCAGCATAGGAACTGCTACTATTGCCCTGAAAATGTGTGAGTTAGCAGCCAACTCTTTGGAATACTGAACACATGATTGCACCCGGCAATGAAAGAAAAGGGAGAAACGGCACGTGTCTGGCCTCACTCAGAGGTTTGGTGGTGATTTTACCCACTTCTTCATGTGCTGCTGCTGAACATAGCTGGTCAAGTGACCTACAACTGAGGAGACACAGGGCTTCAGATGACAAGATGAAGCCAAATTCCCAGCCTTTCCTAGGAGAGCACATCAGGTATGCAAAGTAGTTATGAGCGCCAGGAATATTTCCATGTAGAGAATGAAATAGAAAGGAGCATGGCCGTGAGGGAAGGCGTGTGTCTGTGAGGGAGAACTGTTTTTGGTTCCTGCCCACTGAGATTTGGGGTTGTTGGTTATGAATCACTACTGCAGCAGAAGCTCACTGATACATGGTAGTCTTTCAGAACGCCTGGCACTTCGTGGTGAATAAATATTATTAATAAAAAAAGAGCCTAGATGCCAAACAAACTATGCTCTCTCTACTCACACAATTTTTCTCTGCTGAACAGATCCTCTGAGCACATTGGATGGGAGGCAGAGGGTGCATGCTTAGGGCAGGACCTCAGCAGGGTCCAGGCCCTCTGTCCCTCCAGCTCCCTCAGCCCCTCACTCAGGATGTGCATTGGACCTTTCTCTACATCGGTGCTGTTCCTTGCCAGGTCTGTTTTTACTCCTGCCTCTGGTGGAGCTTAGGGAGGACCACTTGGGGCCATGTCTCCAACTTCAGCTCCGTGAGCCTCCCACCCACCCAGTTCTCCCACCTGGAGGGCACTGCAAGGCCCGCAGTAATTAGGGTTCTCCAGAGAAACAGAGCCACACATATCTGAAGCACCCTACACTGACAGGATGGGTGTAAATAGAGAGAGGGATATATTTTAAGAAATTGGGCTGAGTGCAGTGGCTCATGCTTGTAATTCCAGCACTTCAAGAGGCTGAGGCAGGTGGATTGCTTGAGCCCAGGAGTTTGAGACCAGCCTGGGAAACATGACAAAACCCTGTCTCTATGAAAAAAATACAAAACTTCGCTGGGTGTTGTGGCACACGTCTGTAGTCCCAGCTACTCAGGAGGCTGAGGAGGGAGAATTGTTGCTTGAACCTGGGAGGTCGAGGCTGCAGTGAGCTGTGATTGTGCCACTGCATTCCAGCTGAGATTGCGCCACTGCATTCCAGCTTGGGAGACAGAGCAAGACCCTTTTCCACAACCCCCATCCCCACCCACATAAAAAGAAATTGGCTCACGTGATTGTGGGGGTTGGGAAGTCCAAATTTCATGGGGCAGGAGACCCAGGCAAGAGTTGATGTAGCTCAAGTCCAGGGGCAGTCTGGAGGCAGCATTCCCTCTTCTTCAGGAGGCCTCCATTTTTTACTCCTTTAACACACTGAATGAGGCCCAACCCCATTAGGGAGGGGCATCTGTTTTACTCAAGTCTACTGATTAACTGTAAATCACATCTAAAAATGCCTTCATAGCAACATCAAAACTGGTGTTTGACTAAATATCTGGTGGCCTGGCCACCTTGACACGTAAAATGCACCATCCCAAGGCCTTCCTCAGCATGAGAGGAGGCAGCCACCAGAGTTGATCTCCATCGCACAGGTCTACTGAAGCAGCTGGAACACGGGTGACAAACACCGCAGCAGTGCTTCTCTGACTCAAAGGCATTCTGAGCTGGAAACAAACCTGGTGCCTAAGTCAGGTGGAATTGCCAGTCACCTGAAGAAGCAGTGGAGGCAGGAAGAAGTCGAGGTGTTTGTTCACTGCTAAATAACATGCTTCTGTGTTGGGCTCTGCAAAGGTCTGTTTGGTGAACTTCACTCAGGGCTCCTGAAAGCTGCCCCCAGCCTGAACGCAAGCACTTGAGGAGACACGAGGAACATCTGGTGAAGAAGCGCATGACACCAGAAAGGCGATCATTTTGTTTACACTTCGCCTTGGGTGAATGAGTTTGAGGGCAGAACTGTGGCACACTGTGGTGGATTAAGGATTCTTTGCCACTTCTATCACTGAGAGGTACAGGCGACTTCCCCTCCCCTTGAATCTGCACTGGCCTCGTGACTCACTTGGCTGATAGAATGCAGAATCACTGTGCCAGTTCTTGGGAAAGCCTGGAAGCTTCACGTTCGTGCTCGTGTTACCCAGCCGCCATGGTGTAAGGAAACCCAAACTGTTCTCCTGGAGACAGCAGCGACATGGGGGACTCTGGAGGATGAGACACTACACGGGGACAGTGGGACCTGGAGTGGGGAGCGAACCCACGATCTTCAGTGTACAGCCAGCACCCAGCCCTCAGATGTGCGAGACACCTTCATGGTCCTTCTGGCCAGCCCAGGCCCAAGACAGACACATTGGTGTGAGCAATGCATGGGGACACCCAGGAAGAGCCACCCATGCAGGTCACAGAACCATGGGAAATCATGAAGTGTTATTTTGAGTCACTGTTTCACGGTGATTTGTTATTCAGCAATAGGTCACTGAAACACATACACAGAGTGGCAAGATGAAAACAATTTATCCAGGAAAACATTCTGCTCTCAGAAGACAAAGGAAAACCAAGATTTGATACAAAGAAGTAACCCACTCATCACTTACTTTGATGGGAACTGTGCAAAGAATGCAAAAGAGTCTAACGATTAGAGAAACAGAGCAATTTGGTGGCACAAAAGTTTCTGGGTGCTGGAGAGAATCACATCTTTGTCATAGCTGGCTGCAGACTTTGGGCCATAACTTTTCTGACTTGGGGCTTGGAAGGCACCCCTGGAGTTGTGGCTCTCAGAGCTCTGATGGAGGACAGTTTACCATGCGGGGGACATGCAGAAGGAATGGTGTTGGTGGAAACCTGGAGGAATGGCGTTGGTAGAAACCTGGAAGAACATCTGAAATAAGAGCCCAGCCCCTCGATCTTCGGGGCCTCCGAGTAGTGGTAGCAGGAAGTTTTGATGAACTAGGAAAGGATGAAAACAAAGGTGTTCTGATTGAACTTCATGCTCCTAGTTGATGACTTTAGCAACCTGGAGCCCAGGTGTAGAGAACTCAGGGCAAGGCATGGTGGCTCACGCCTGTAATCCCAGCACTTTGGGAGGCCGAGGTGGATCACCTGAGGTCAGGAGTTCAAGACCAGCCTGGCCAACATGGCAAAACCCCGTCTCTACTAAAAATACAAAAATTAGCTGGGTGTGGTGGCGCACGCCTGTAATCCCAGCTACTCAGGAGGCTGATTTAGGAGAATCACTTGAACCTGGGAGGCGGAGGTTGTGGTGATCTGCAGAGATCACACCACTGCACTCCAGCCTGGGAGAGAGAGCAATATTCCATCTTAAAAACAAACAAACAAACAAAAACAAGAGGAAAGTAAACCCAGGTCTGGTTATTGTCAGAGCCACATGAAACCACAGCCAGTGATGCACCCTCCTCATGGGCAGCCTGGGCTTCCTGACTGGCTACTTTCTTCCCATCAGTAAGAGGTTAAACTCAGAGTGATGAAGGCAGATGGGAAACAAGTGAAGTTATTAGCTGCCTACAGTGAGAAGCAATACCTGCCCTGAATCAAAAACGAAAAAATGCCCAGAAAGCTCACTAATGCCATAACCAAAGGAAGCACTTTGTAACAGGCCCTTCCAGCCAGGACAGGAAAACCAACGGATGCTCGGGCTACCAGAGGGGAGAGGTGCTCTTCCTTCAGGATCCAGAGAACAACATGAATGAGATCTGAATCCTGCTGAGTTTCTTAGCAGCCCTCTCTATGTGGACATGAAGACCAGTTGATGTTGATGGTTTGGGGAAAAGTTGTTTGTGTTGAAGTAAATGTTGTGGGATTGGGGAGATTACATTTGGAACAGTGAAAATAAATGTTATAATATTATAATTTCAACATATTATGTTTTAATGTGTTTCTATTTTTAAATGTTTAAAATGTAAACGTATTTTAAAGTGTTATACTTTTCATTTCATTTTATTTATGGTAATATTTACTGAATATAAATTATTAATTTTTATGTAATCAGACTTATTAATCTTTTCCTTTCCTCACTATACATTTTTAGTAAACTATTTTTTTAGAGTAGCTTTAGGGTCACAGCAAAATTGAGTTGAAGGTACAGAGAGTTCCCATATACCTCCTGCCACCCCACCCCCACAAACCTCCCCTTACTATCAACATCCCACAAGAAAATGGTACATTTGTTACCACCGATGAGCCTACAAGGACACATCATTATCCCCTAGAGTCCATAGTTGACATTAGTTCACCCTTGGTATTGAACATTCTATGGGGCTGGACAAATGTACAGTGACATGTACCCACCATTATAGTACCATACAGAGTAGTTTCACTGTCTTACCAATCCTGGGCTCTACCTATTCATTCCTTCCTCCTCCCATTTTTTTATTTTTTCATAGTTGTGACTGTTCCAGAGTATCATATAGTTGGAAATCATACATTATGCAGCTTTTTCAGGTTGGCTTCTTTCACTTAGTAATATGCATTTAAGGTTCCTCCATGTTTTTTCATGGCTTGATAGTTTAGTTCATTTCTTTTTAATCCTGAATAATATTCCATTGTCTGGAGGGACCACAATTTACTTGTCCATTCACTTACTGAAGGACACCTTGGTTGCTTCCAAGTTTTAGCAGTTATGAATAGAGCTTCCATAAATATTTGTGTGCAAGTTTTTGTGTGGACATAAATGTATTGCTTTTAATGCATTGGGTAAATACTAAGAGCTACAATTGCTGGATTGCATGGTAAGAACATGTTTAGTTTTGTAAGAAACTGTCCAATTGTCTCCCAACCTGGCTGTACCATTTTGCATTCCCACAGCAATGAATGAGAGTTCCTGTTGCTCCACATCCTTGTCAGCATTTAGTGTTGTCAGTATTCTGGATTTTAGCCATTCTAATAAATATGTAGTGGCATCTCACCATTGTTTTAATTTGCATTTCCTTGATGACATATGATGTGGAGTATCTTTTCATATGCCTGTGGAGTAGCTGGGACTACAGGCGTGCATCATCATGCCTGGCCAATTTTTGTATGTTTTTGTAGAGATGGGGTTTTGTCATGTTTCCCAGGCTGGTCTTGAAATCCTGAGCTCAAGCGCTCTGCCCATGTTGGCCTCCCAAAGTCCTGGGATTACAGGTGTGAGCCAACTCACCTGGCTATAAGTATTTGTTGACTGAATAAATGAATGAATGTGGTTACATGTTTGTCAATTAATTCACTCTGTTTTGTATGGATTTTTTAAAGATTATATTTGTTTTCTTTATGAGATTGCACAATTTAAAGGCAGAGATCATGCCTCATATGAACTATGTCCATTCATATATTCATACATTGAACAAGTATTTATTGAGTGGCTACTATATGCTAGCTGGGCACCGTGCAAGGCATAAAGGATACAGACAGATTTGTTCCCTATTCCTGTGAAATTTTCAGCTGAGTCAGGAATGCAGATAACTAAATAAGGAATAAAATTAAATAGAGTGCTTATTTTACTAGGAGATCCCTATGTTAATTCTCTAAGATTAACGTAGTGCCTGACATACAATTGTTTTTGAGTCAAATAGTTCTTCAATATGAGCTCTACTGATATTGATGTCATATGACTACTGAGAGATTATAAAGAAATTAATTTCATGCTTGTTTTCGCAATTGTTCCCAGTTCAACCTCAAAATTAATATGGAAGTAAAAAATGTTATTCTAGTGACACACTTAAACCAAGCTAATATAAATCTTAAATCAGCTTAAGTAGTAATAAGATTCAAGCATCTGTTGTCTCCAGAAGACATTGTTATGTGTTAACTGCCCAAGAACAAGCACTTGTTCTCAGCTCAGCAAATGACTCTGCCCAGGGTGAAGTACTATGTCTCTCTTTGAACTCCAACCCAGTTCATCTCTCCAAGCTCAACTGCGTTCTCCTCTTCTCTGCCTAGAATCTCCCTTGTTGTGGATTTCAGACCTTGAGTGTACAGCTCCCCATCTGGACTCTCGTGAAGGTCGTGGTAAACAACACACAGAGCATCTCTTTGTCACGGGCTCAGCTGACACGTCTCCCTCCCTCACCACTGCCCCGCCAGCCTCCAGCAGCACATCTGCGGTGGACAATGAGTCTCATTTCACATTTTGGCTCTGCGGTAGGCATCATCATGGGGACAGAATACACACCACAGGATAATAAACAAGGGACTGTTCAAGAACAAATATCAAAATAAAGACAAAAGGAAAGAGGAGCTGTTTGTCTCTCTATTCTTCCAGTTTCCCAGCATTTCTTCACAGGTCATGAAAACCTCCAGTTCCATCCACCATAATGTTTTCCACCTTCAAAGGCTTCTCTGAAGAGAGACTGTAGTGTTTGTCTTGGGATAAAATTTGCTTTCTCCGGCATGTCTGTCCTGTTGAGCTTTATCCAATGGCCCGGGCAAGAGACAGCAGCGTATAGGGAGGACATTGCTGCTGGGATCACCAGCAGGAGGAGCCCAGAGTGGCAGGGGAGGCTGGAGTGGGGTCCAAGCAGAGCCGTGGCCCCCGCTGCCTGCTGTTGGGGGAGTCAAGTGTTGTGGGGTGACGCTTGGGAGTCAAGTATTACGGGATGGTGGTGGGGAGTCCAGCAAGAGAGAGAAGGGAGAAGAGTCAAAGGGTGCTCCCGGGGGGTCCTCCCAAAGCACTGTCTCTCATGTGGGCAGCTCTCTTCTCCTCCCCACCCACAGGGCTTCTGGAAGGTCTCCTGCAGAGCCTACCTTTCCCTGAGTTGGTCCTTATTCACCTTATTCACCTGAGTCTTAGGGACTCAGAGCTCAAGGTATGCATCTTGAGCATGTTACTGAACCATGTAACTCATTCTGCCTCCATGTTCGTGGGGTGCACACAGAAAGGTCCACAAAAGCCATGTGTTTGCTCAGACAGAGGCCCCACAAACAGGGCTGTGTGTGCTGTATTTTCTTTCTTTCTTTGTTTACAGACAGAGTCTCACTCAAGTGACCCTCCTGCCTCAGCCTCCCAAAGCACCGATATTACAGGTGTGAGCCACCATGCCTGGCCCTGTGTACTGTATCTTCTTTTCCACATACACAGTAATGCTATTTACTTTTTAATTAGTAGAATAACCAACTCCTCCTGGTTTGCCAAGAACTTTCTTGATTTTGAAGCTGAAAGTCCCATATCTTGGGAAATCCCTCCATTTCAGCAAATTGAGATGGTTGGTCACATCTTATCAAGGAAATTTGTAAATTACAAATTTACTCTCAAGAAAATTTGTAAAATGTCCATATGTCCTCTTTAAGTAGGGTCTGTATTTTGCTGATTTTTGTGTCCCCTGGCTGGAGCAGCCAGCCTTGGGCATGATAAATAGGTGTTCACCATTCACTTGAGAAGTTACTCCTTTCTGCTAGTAGAGGTGGAGTGTGCTGACTGTCCATGCACTCTCAGTGGTCGCTCTGAAATGAAAACCTTGCATTTAGTACTTAGCTGAGCTAGAGGTAAAGTGAGAGGCTGTAGGACAGAGATTTCTCCTGCATAAAAGAATCTGAGGGCTGGGTGTGGTGGCTCACGCCTGTAATCCCAACACTTTGAGAGGCCAAGGCCAGCAGATCACCTGAGGTCAGGAGTTCAAGACCAGCCTGGCCAACGTGGTGAAACCCCATCTCTACTAAAATCACAAAAAACTGCCGGGTATGGTGGTGCATTCCTGTAACCCAGCTACTCAGGAGGGTGAGGCATGAGAATTGCTTGAACCTGGGGGGCAGAGGTTGCAGTGAGCAGAGATTGAGTGCAGTCTCCAGGCTGGGCGACAGAGCGAGACTCCGTCAAAAAAAAAAAAAAGTAGCCTAATAGTTGGATTAATACGTAAAAGATTTGGTAAATAAATCAATAAACTCCAAAGGGGGTAAGAGTGACTTCATTTCAGTTATTTGAAAAGGAGGTAGAAATATTTAACAAAGAACACTCTTGATGGGAAGAAAAATGGAAGGATTAAACAGAATGACCCTTTAGCTTTTGGATTTTATAGGCTTTTCCAACATTATGAAGATGTATGTGTCTCAGGGAAATAACATGATATAGTTTGAAGGCTAACCAGTGAAGTTTCCTCATTTGTAGAATGCGAGGCTAAAGGAGGGAGACAAGACTCGCTCTGCACTTCCCCAACCTCAGCCTCTTTAGGCGACATCTGTGTGGTAGCATTTATTATTCATGAGTGTTCTTTAAAGCAAGAAAAATTTGAGGATCAAATAGGATCTTTCAAGTGTAGGAACTATTGGGCATGACTTGTTTATGGCAGTCAGTAAAGGATGGTGAAATACAAGTGTGATTGATTGTAAAAGCACTACAATTTCGCTTCATTTTAAACATTGCATTTGGCTAAGGAAAATCAGTTCCTTTCCCAAGCTTTTAAAAAAGGATATAAAGATGTTGTCTGGCTTACATATCACCAAAAAAAAAAAAAAAGAAAAAGAAAAAGAAAAACAAAAAACAACCAGCACACATTATTTTTTCTCAGCACACATATGCCACAAAGTCACAATTATCTATTTATTCTGGGATTAGACATAGGGCTGCACCAAGAACAGATTAAAATGCTCTGACTTCATTAGTTTAATTAGGGAGTTCCAAAGTAGATTTTTGCAGCTAAATTCTTTGGCCATGCAGGGTGAGCAGCTGTTGCCCAGACACTATCCTCAAAGGTAAAGCTCCCAACGCCACGGTCTGCAGAGCACTTGCTCCTCCCAGGCTGGCCTCAGTTAGCCATCGTCGGGGAAGCCCGTGGGACCACATCCTGCAGTCCCAGCTTGCAGGACCTATACAGCCACTTCAAACATTATTTCCAAGAGAGACCCCATTGACCTCTTCTGTTATTATTCAGACATATGTTAAGCTCTGCAGCAGGACTGGCTAGATCATATGCAGTGCCCAGTGAAAATAAAAATTCAGGGCTTCTTGTTCAAAAAGTATTAAGAATTTCAAAACTCACCAGTGGGGCATTAGCCCAGCATGGGCCTGGTGCAACTGATGCCACATGCCATGAAGCAGTCCTGCTTTGCAGTCTGAATCATGCGTATGATCTGAGCTGGGGTTCTTTCTCTCCGTCCCTCTCTCTGCTCAGGTTCTACCATACTCTTCTACACAGGAAGCCAGGCTGAGGTCAAGAGTCATTGTGTTCTGTACACAATGCATACATGATGGATTATTTACCAGGTGAGGGCCTCTTTATTTGTACCTCATGATATAATCCCTAAAAGCTGCTATTCATGAAAGGAAGTGTGCTATTCCTGACTGAAGAATACGAAAATGTCCTCCAGCCTAAGATTCAAATATTGTTGAATGTCTTTGAGATCCTCAGCCAGGAAGACAAATGCTATTTACAGAGATCTGAAAGACTCATAATGCAGAACTATGGTCTGATTTAAAAAAAAAAAAACACCTAAAATGAACAAGCTCTAATTGTATAACAGAGATTTTGTAAAAGATCTTTCTCAGCAACAGTATTCTGTTACTTGGGCATCATAATGTCCAGAAAAGTAGAGACAAGCAAGCTGGAGGTTATTTGGAACATTAGCAAGCCAGCTACGATGGCAGGGTGGCACCAAGTTCCAAACAAATTAAAGGTCTACAGAGCAGAGCTATCAACCAACCTCTTGATCACTCCCCTGCTTAACCTTCTCCTTCTTGACCCTTAGCTATGAGTTTTCTACAAGATGATTCCTTTACCCCCTTTCCTTTCCTCCTCTCTGGTTCTTCATTATTTTTTCTCATCAATTGCATTCACTCCCATTGCTTTGACTGCTGCCTGTAAGGAGAAGGCTCAGAGAATTATTCCAGTCTGGTTTTCCCCAGTGTTAGCTGTGCATCTCCATGTGCGTGCTGGCCACCTTGACCCTCCTGTGCCAGATGTACCTGAAATTCAATCGGAGAGAAATGAACAGCAACTCCCAACTCCCCTAGTCATTAAACTTCAGCATCCTTCAGTTCTCTTTTCTCTCCTCTGTTCACCCTTCACGTTCAGCCAGGTAATTACAATGTGGCTCTATGCCCACAATGTTTCTAGAATTTACTCTTTCTTCCTGTCTAGCAGCAGATGGGCGACTGAACTCCATGCTCATGTCCCGGTTTGCCCCCTGTAATCTGCCTGCCTACAGACAATGATAAACTCCCACCTGCCCCAAAACTTCAATATTTCCCTCTGCCCACAGAATAAACCCTTTAATTTAGCATTTACAGCCTTCCTTAAACTAATCTTAATCTATCTTCAAGCTTCCCCTCCCAAAAACTACTCCTTTGTGAATCGTACCCTCCAGCTCGAATCAGCATTCACACCTTTTGAGGACGCTGCACGCTTCCCTATCCCCAGCCATTCCTGTCCTGCCCCATAGGCCTCTGCTATGTTAGGAAGGCCTCCTCTCCGCATTTTCTCACCCACACCAGGGAAGCACCCCTGGTTACCCCTGTCAGGAGTCATTGTCCTCGTTTGGAGGGTCTGAATCCCACTGAATTGTGCCTTTCAAATGGCACTTGTTCCACCTGGTCATAGGCAAAATTTCTGTCCTAGATTCTGTAAGCTACTTGAGGATAGGGCTTGTGTCTTATTTTGCTTTCCTGAGCTCAGTAAATAACTTTGAATATGATTGACTAGATGCAGATGTAGTTATCACAGCTGTCACATCCAACTATATAAGTGGCTCTATCAACATCGTGTTTAATGTTAACATCATGTTTAATGTCACTGACGATGATGTCTGAGAATGTGGTCTGTTAACACACATCACCACCACCACCTCTTGCTGTCTCTGTTGCTACCACCTTAGCCCAAACCACCAGGAACCTTCCTAATTGGCCTCCCCATGCCACCTTGCCCCTAGATCCAATCTCCACATGGCAGCCAGGTGAGATTCTTCAAACGTAAGCTAGTTCTCACCAGCCCATGTTTAGAACCTTCTAGAATTTCTGTAGAGAAAAGGCTCAGAGTCCTAACCTCATAAGAAAAGATAACTAGAAGAATTGTTTCGATGCTGTATTTGTACACCAAATGCACAATGTCATTATACATTTAGAGGGTATAAAAGTCAGGGATGCTGGTGGAGAAGCTCAAGTATTTCCCAAACCACCTAAGCTGCTGGTAGCTGGGTTCCAGCTGGAGCGTGTTCATGTGGGAAGAATCAGAAAGGAGATGGGGATCCCTGCAAGTCTGGGTCCTGCTTTGGTTTGGAATCTACTAGACAGCCAGTTCTTTCTCTTACACTCTCTTCCACCCTAGCCACTAATCCCTTCCACACTCTCCGGTCCTGCCTTCTCCCCACTTCCCCGCAGGGCAGGCTGCAGGTCTAAATGGAGCCATGGCCCTTTCCTTCCAGGAGAACTTTCCTGTCTCTTTAAGGACAGAGAATTCTTGCCTGGTTTCCTCGGGCTTCGTTCCTGCCAGAGAGCAGAGAGTGGGAGACAGGGAAACATGCACTGGGGTGCCTGTTGTCTCCAGCCATCTGTGTACGAAGTGAGAGGACCAGAGGCTTGTACTCAATGTGAATACAATGCTTCACAAGGGCATGAGAAAAATTCTGTTTAGTTAGAATGACAAACATCATTTTCACAGGTGTGAGAAGAAATTGTCAGCATACAGGCCGGGCGCCATGGCTCACACGTGTAATCCCAGCACTTTGGGAGGCCGAGGCAGGCCAACCGCCTGAGGTCAAGAGTTTGAGACCAGCATGGCCAACATGGCAAAACTCCGTCTCTACTAAAAATACAAAAATTAACTGGGTGTGGTGGCAGGTGCCTGTAATCCCAGCTACTCGGGAGGCTGAGGCAGGAGAACCGCTTGAACTCAGGAGGCGGAGGTTGCAGTGAGACGAGATCGCACCATTGCACTCCAGTCTGGGCAACAGAGCAAGACCCAGTTAAAAAAAAAAAAGAAAAAAAAGAAAGAGAGAGATAGAAAGAAAAGAGGGGGCCGGGCGCGGTGGCTCACGCCTGTAATCCCAGGACTTTGGGAGTCTGAGGCAGGCGGATCACGAGGTCAGGAGATCGAGACTATCCTGGCTAACACGGTGAAACCCCATCTCTACTCAAAATACAAAAAAAAAAAAAATTAGTCAGGTGTGATGGTGGGCACCTGTAGTCCCAGCTACTCGGGAGGCTGAGGCAGGAGAATGGTGTGAACCCAGGACGCATAGCTTGCAGTGAGCCGAGATTGTGTCACTGCACTCCAGCCTGGGCGACAGAGCAAGACTCTGTCCAAAAAAAAAAAAGAAAGAAAGAAAAGGAGGGAGGGAGGGAGGGAGGAAGGAAGGAAGGAAGGAAGGAAGGAAGGAAGGAAGGAAGGAAGGAATTGCAATGAAAGAATAGTGTCGCATGGACCACCTACAAGAAACTTCTCGCACATTAGTAACAGGGAGTTATTCTGGTGCTTCATGTTGTTGGAGGGAGGAAGGGAAGAAAGAAGCTTATTCAAGTACAACCCACCTGCAAGCCCCTTGTCTGTTCTCAGAGAAGCTGTGAATAGCTGTTGTGCTTCTGAGACCTTGGAAAGATGTGTGCGTGACCGCATGTCTATGAAATTTCAGAGATCCCGCTTCAGATGGAAATATTAGGAGCCCTTCCCGGTCTTCATGAATTCACCTGTGTCAGCTGCAGAAAGGCTGCAGTGGGGTGATAGTTTCGGATTGATTAGTCAGAAGCTAAATGTTGAACAGAGGTAGCAAGATGAGCACTTTCTGTGGGTAGCCCCCCGAGTTTTGCTAGTCTGCCAAAAAGGGAACCATCTGTATTGGAAAGTGTGGTTCACGGTGCAGGTCGTTGCTGAAGGTGAGTTAGGAATCTGTAGGGCGGCCCAAAACTAGCACATGCACCCGGTGCGCACTCGCAGGCCACAGAGTCCTCACCCACCCTCCTGTGCCTTCTGTGCCCTTATAGAAATCCTGCCAGCATGTCACGGAGGCAGTCTACCAACAGGACGAGGAGAAGTCAGAACACCGAGATCTGCCTTTTACAAACGTTTGAACTGTCCAGCTTCCACTTTGAGGTGGTAGTTACCAGCGCAGGGTAGGGAGGGCAGAAGCACCCATTGGCAGGTGCGCCGCCTGCGCCTGGAGGGAAAAGGAAACCGCAGCTGTCTTTCCCACACTGGCTGCTCCCTGCTTTTTGATTTTTTAAAATTTTTCCAAACAGTAAAATTTCCATTTTCCCAGGCACCTGGGCTCCAAATATGCGTTATCTTTGAAGACTTGGTAAAGACAGCAGATTCATATAGAAGAATACAAATCACCCAGCGTCCTAATCCAGAGCTGGCCACTGCTACTGTTGATTAAATTTCCCTTGATGCATATTGTTTTACATGGTTGACACTATCCTGGGTGTAGTTTCAAGATTGTGTGTTGCTTTTTCCTTGCTCCGAAGGGAGTGGGGAGAAATGTTATCATAAGCATTTTCCCATGTCATGAAAAAATTCTTCATACAATAATGCGAGGGGAAATGTATATTATTAGCAACTGATATGAGAATTCCTTTTAGGGGAAAACTTGCCTTTTTAAAGAAAAAAAGCTCTGAGGAGAAGTGTGGGGAATCATTTGTCAGTTGCTCCAGGAAGTAAAGGAAGCAAGAGTGAGTGAGAGACAGAGCCGGACTGTGCAATCCCAGCCCCATCCAGGAGCCGCACAACCATGGCCAATCACCCAAATCAAGAAATACTCGAGGGAAATAGGAACTGAATTAAAGCAGCCCTGGGCAGGGCATAGCCAGAAAAAAGCACTTGAAAAGAAGCTCTTGGTAATCTACAAAGTTAATGGGAAAGATTTGCATTTCATAAATTGTGGAAGGGAGAATCAGGGCATATTAATCAGACATCTGAGAGACTACAAGGAGGGCCCCTCTGGTCCCTCAGCTGGCATCAGGTTGATGTTCACAAAGTCTTGGTGGTTGCTCTGTGTTCCATTAAACAGCAATATCATTTAACTAACACTTTGAATAAGTTTATGTTCAGATTATTTACTTGAACTTTGAAATCACAAGGTTGAAAGGCACAAGCATTTTAAATTAATACCTGGTCATTTTGAAGAATGTCTATGAATTTCCAGATCTACAGGCAGCGGTATGAGAGCCATTTCTCTGCATCCTCGCCATCACCTACCTGCTATTTAGAATCTACTCCATACGCCACTGCCTCCATGAAGCCTTTTGTGACCTGCCCAAGTGTAAATAATGTGTCTTATAAACCCTATAATGTCTCATGTTCCCTGCACCCAGGCAGTGAGTGATTCTATTTTGTTTCATATTCTGACTATTAGCATGTATACCTCCTCCTTGAGCTATGCTGTAAGCAGCTTGAAGGTAGACTCTTGAGGCTTTCTTTTGCTTATTGTAAAATAAATAGTGAAGGGGAGCAGAAGCCCATGTTTCTTAAAGAGTGGGCAGCCCTTGCTGCTCTGATTTCATGTCTCCTGACCCAGATTCATAAAAGGATCAGGTTCTAAGATCCTGCTGTTACAACTGATCTGGTGCCTGCATCAGTGAGGACTCTGGAGAACAGAAAGCTGCAAATAGGTGAACAGTGTTGAGGCAGAAAGGGCATGAGGTGGGGTGAGATTCCAGCATGGAGTGTTAAAGAAATTATTTGAGAAGGGAAGTTGTGATTGCCAAGCGTCAGCAGGGCCTCAGTAAGAACATCCTGGCCAGACACAGTGGCTCACTTCTGTAATCCCAACACTTTGGGAGGCTGAGGCAGGAGGATGACTTGAGCCCAGGAGTTTGAGGTCAGCCTGGGCAACATAGCGAGACTCTGCCTGTACAAAAACACAAATTAAAAAATTAGCTAGGCATGGTATTGCATGCCTATAGTCCCTGCTACCTGGGAAGCTGAGGCAGGAGGATCACTTGACTTCAGGAGTTGAAGGCTGCAGTGAACCATGATCTTGCCATTGCACTTCAGCCTGGGTGACACAGTGAGACCCTGCCTCTAAAACAAACCAAGACACATCCAGACTGACCTAATTTCTTTTGCTGCCAAGATCATGGGTGAGCACAGTGCTGGTGATGGTTCTTTTGGCTCCTGAGTCAAGAAGTAAAAATGTGTGCCCAGACAAGTTGGTGGATCCAGAATTATCTGAACAACTCTGCCTTATCAGTTTGCACAGGTTGCAGATCAGTGTCTGGATTTTAATATGGAGAGAGGTTTTCCATGATGTTCCTCAGAGCTCCTTCTTGTATCTGAACAGGCCAATAGTTTTATCGATGACTTTGAAGAAGTTGTGGAAGGAGGAGGGAAGTCATGAGTCAAATGCAGGTTTGACTGAAAGCTGAGTGGACCATGACTGCAGTGGAAGATGAAATCAATGAGTAAGACTGCTAGGCCAAATTTCACAAAATATAATTTAACTTTGGTCTTTCAAAGCAATTGCACAATTACAGGGTAGGGGGGGCATCAGAGTTTCAAGTAACAGAATTTCTATATGTTGGTCAAGAATTCCTGTTGATTCAATCTCCATATTTAAAGACAGGAGATGATGGGCCTTCTGTTCTCACCAGGCCAGACATACCTTGGAGTATGACATTTAGTTCTGCAACACATCAGAAGAGAGGGACAGTACCATTCCACATTTTATAAGAAACACTTGAAGAAAGAAGAAGCTTGAAGAGCAGGAGACTTGGAGATACTTGATAGCTAGTTTCAAATACCTAGAGAGATGTCATTTTGTGTATGCATGAATTAGTTTTCTAGAGGGGCAGTATGGTGTTGAATTTTCTGGTTCTTGGAGTTTCTGCACATGGATGCAATAATATATGCCACCTGACATGCTCTTTTTTGTTCTCCAATAAAGAGGCAGAACTTAATTACCCTCTGCTTGAATCTGGTCTGGCTCTGTGACTTATTTTGACTGACAGAATAAATATGTGAATGTAATGTGTATAACATCTGAGGCTAGGTCTGTACAGATATGCAGTATTCACCTTTTCTGATTAAAATGCTTGCTTTTGGGGTCCAACTGTCAAGAAAAGAAGCCCAAGCTAGTTCTTTGGTGTGAGCCACATGGAACCTCCCAACTGTCCTTGCCAGATGTGTGAGTGACACCATCCTGGACATCCTGGTCCTAGTGGCCATCATACTGCAATCCATGAAAGACCTCAGTTGATGCTGTGTGGAGCAGAAGATTCGCCCAGCTTAGCCCTGACAAAATATCTGATCCACAGAATTGTGAGCAAATAAAATGATTACCATTTAAAGCCATTAAGTTTTGGAGTAGTATGTTACTCAGTAGTAGACAATCAAAACAGTGATTAAGAAGATATATTATGAGGCTGGGTGCAATGGCTCACACCTGTAATCTCAGCACTTTGGGAGCCTGAGGAGTGCAGATCTCTCGAGGCCAGAAGTTCAAGACCAGCTTGGCCAATATGGTGAAACCCCATCTCTACTAAAAATTAAAAAATTAGCAAGGTGTGGTGACATGCATGTGTAATCCCAGCTACTCAGGAGGCTGAGGCATAAGAATCACTTGAACCTGGGAGGCAGAGGCTACAGTGAGCTGAGATCACACCACTGCACTCCAGCCGGGGCGACAGAGTGAGACACAATCTCAAAAAAAAAAAAAAAAAAGAAAAGAAAAGAAGAAGGTATACTAATGGAGACAGAGTGCTTTGCCACTCAGTAGTTACTGACCTTGAGCAAATCACTTAATTTCTTTGTGCCAGTTGCCTGATCTGTAAAATGGGAGACCCCACCTCATGTGATGACTGTGGGGTTAAATGACTGAATGCATGAAAATCACCTGAAACTGCATCTGGCCTATAAAAGCTGCTCAATACAGGAGTATAACTAGAACTAAGGGAAGAAGCTGTGAAGATTAAAAAGAAAATCAGCTCTAAAAAGAAAACTCTAGTGGGATTGTCAGGACATGGAGTAAACTGCCTCTGGATGCAATGAAGTGCTTTCCCTGGAAGCATTCCAATCGTGACTGGCTGGCTGCTTATACAATTTTGGGATTGAGGACCCTGCTGACCTTGAGATTCTATGTTTCCGTGGTGCTGGGGATGAGGTAGGCATTCTATGTGCTCAATAGGCTTTTCTCGAATTGACTTAAGTTAGATATATAAGAAAGAAGTACTCACCCAGCTAAATCATGACAATTTCAAGATTACCCAACATATTTTATTTGGCATAATGTTTTCTCATCAACCATTAATGTTCCTGAACACATCCTTTATCTGTAAGATAAAGGACTTGAAGCAGACCTAAGTGGCTTATTAATTATTGAATGGACTGCTTATACTACCTTCCTGCCTGCGAATTCAAAGCTGGAACATGAGGCAAAGCCACTCTGCCTCCCTGCCCAGAGAGGGACTGTCCCAACCTCCCCAGTGCAGGGGCGAAAAGGCACAAAGACACAGATCTCACTTCACTCCTCTGCAGCTTCTGAGAACACTTAAAACAAAACAGCCCCAATGTAGCCCCTGAAATGCAGAGGTTCAAGAAAGGAGAGGTACCGATTTCTTCAATAGTTCACAAAGGAATAGGGAGGTCTGAAATGGAAATCTTTCTGCCTGTGACAGTCTCATAAAGTGTCCCCAGACTGTTCCCAAGGGCCCTGGGCAATAACAACCCTAAAATCACTTGTAATTCAGCTGAATATTTCTTACCAGGTCAGTCTAGGGCAGGGCTCCAGATAGGGACAGAGACTCAGGAGAGCAGTGCTTCTGGGCCAGACAGGGGTGGGGCCCCAGGCTTGCTTCCTGTGCTATTCAGTTTCTCCACACTCGGACATCAAAGACAGTGATCTTCTGACTCTAAATGAGGGCAGACTGACCCAAGAAACAGGGACAGGTGGTTACTTTGCTACTCACTCCGAAACCCCACATGGGGTATTTTAATAGTGTTCTCCATCTGTCCAACCTCAGGGGTTAATCCCTTCCTAATCTGAGCTGTAATAATTGGGTAATCAGACAAGACACTCCAAAAAGCCCAGGCCATAGTTTTGCTGTTCTTTTTGGCTAGACTTTTCTTTTATTAGAGTGAAGTATAGCTGACCTAGAAATTTCCTGTTTCAGCTTCAGTCTTCCACTAAACAAAAGCAGACACTGCTAAGAAGGATGCATGTTTAGAAAGCACAGCCCTCCTTCTTGGGGGGAATTTCAGTCACTGCTCACTGAACACACAGGAAGGAGAGCTGCTATGCGCAAATCACATGATCCTGCTTTTTGCTACAAACTGAAAAAAAAAAAAAAAAGGAAAGAACAGAAAAAGCCCCCAAAGGCCCATAGTTAGCCTGGGCTAATGAGCTCACTGGTGTGAGTCCAGGAAACATCCCAGAATGAATACATCTGCTGAGATTTCTGTCTTTTGAAAAAAGTAACCTTGCTGTGGTGGATAGCAAATGAAACATCAATGAAAGCTGCATGAAACCGGATCAGGGACTTAACCTAAAACCCACGAAGAAAACCTGGTAGGTGGTTAGGATCCGGGACAGAAGTAAGCCTGACTATTTGAGGATTAACCATCATGGAGGAAAACATAGATTTTTTTTTTTTCAAAGAAGAAGAAGAAAAAACTAACACCCAAGCTGCTGAGGCCTGATCACACTGACCTACAATCCGGGATGGAACAATGGTACTGTCGGCCTGATGAGCTGGAGAGTTCACACCAAACCAAGTCTCACACTGACGAGCCTCCTGGTCACCGTGCAGGGCAGGCATTATGATTTATTCATGGTAGCACCCAGCACACGGGAGAGACTCTATAAATGCTCACGGAATGGAATGGACACCATGGGGGTCCTTTCTAAGCTACTCTGGAGGTGGGAATAACCACAATCAGGTTTTTAATCTAGTGTATTTCAAACATTTTCTAGACGTGTTTGCTTTAACCAAAAAATACATTCCCCTAAGGGAAGGCTGAAGGGTAGGGAGAGAGCTGGGAGCAGGCGATAGAGATTGGTACAGGGAGGTCTTGAGAGGAAATGCACTGTCTTGCGGGAGGGGGAAGCGTGGAGGAAAGTGAACCCACTAGGGAGACGGAATGCTTCCTTTCCCCACCACAGCTACTGAGTAGGTTGATTTGTAGCACATTCTGCCAGCTGCCTGCTCTAATCTGTTCTCTCCTTCTGTAGTAATAGGAATGTGGCCAGGCACGTGGTTAGACCATATTTCCCACTCTCTAGTAGCCAGATGTGGCCATGTGACTAGATGTCACCCACAGAAGTGAGAGGAAGTGATTTGTTCCATGTCGGAGTCAAGCTTCTTAGAAATGGACGTGCTTCTTCCGGGATCTCTTTCTCCTTCCACCAGCTAAATGCAGATAGCAACAACCACACAGTGGGGACACAGAGAAGTGAAGCCTGGGGCCCTGAATGATCACATGGAAGAGACTCACCCTTCTGGTTTCAATATTTGACTTATAGGTGAGTGCTATGATCTGAATGTTTGTGCCCTCCCCAAATTCATATGTTGAAATCCTAATCTCCCAGGTGGTGGTATCAGGAGGTGAGGTTTTTGGGGAAAGGATTAAGTCACAAGGGTGATGTCTTCATGAATGGGATTAGTGCTTTTATAAAATAGGGCCAAGGGAGCTCATTCCCCCTTCTACTATGTGATGACACAGGTAGAAGGCACCATCTGTGAACCATAAAGCAAGCCCTCACCAGATAGCTAATCTGCTGGTGCCCTTGACCTTGGACTTTTCAGCATCCAGAACAGTGAGAAATAAATTTCTATTCTTTATAAGGCATTCAATCTATGGTATTTTGTTATGGATGCCCAAATGGACTAAAACAGTGAGTAAGAATAGACCTCTATTGAGTTGACCTGTTTTATTGTGGGATCTATTTGCTACACAAACTAGCATGATCTTAAGTAGCATATTTGACTACCAAGGGAAGTAACCCACCCTGCCATGTGACTCAAAGGGGGAAAGGAGGTCATGACCCAAGAAAAGGAGTCATCCGCCTCTGATTGAGATGATTGAGCCACTCAAGTGCAGCTCTGCTGGTTGGCTGATGTGCCTGTCACAGAGGGGAAGAACTGTACTTCTCACTCTCATCACAACCCTCTTTCGGTAAAAGTCAGAGCCAACTTATGGGAAGTCAGCCCTGGGGCACCACGATGACTGACACTGTATAGAAATTGGCCTGAGCATTTTTGTGATGTATCATGGGAATATGCTGGGCCTCTGACGGAAACAGAGGATCTGGGGTCCCAGTCTTACATGAGAAATGCATAGGAATTCATTAGCTGCACAGAGACGGTAACAGCATCTCAGATGATAGCTGCAATGTTTAGAAAAGCAAGAGGACAATAACATATTCAGGAAACATGCTCAAAATTGTTGGAGCATAGACTGTGAGAGCAAGTATATTTGTGTATTGTTTGTAGGAGGTTAGGGATGGGGCAGGGCTGAGCAATTAAACTGGAATAGGTAGGCAAAGATACAGAAAAAATGGTAAGACTCAGCTTTCAGAGTTCAAAATATGCTTTTGAAGTCCATTATATCTTTGGGGAAAAAAAAGTTTTTTTGTTTGCCAAAGCTACGGTCATTTGAACTTCAGGAGCCGAGATCTTGACCTAAGCAATAAGTTTAAACAAATATGTAATTGCTCTGAATGTGGTTTTGTCTGCTATCTAGACGACTTAAGATCCCAAGACTTTAGGAAATGGAAGAAAAGAAGTTGCAGAGGAGGAAAGTGCAGGACAAGTCCCCAGATGGCCTTGGATAACCAGCTCTTCCCCCATTACTTGCCTGTGGTTCTCAGAATAACTGTAGAATGTGCTGGGAATGCAACATCCTGAGAAAAGGAGGAATTGGCTGGGATAGCCTGGGCTCTGTTCCCGTCACCCCTAGAACAGGATGTCCTGCAATACTTTATCCCAGCGATCCCTGGGTCCCCTGGCCATAAAACCTAAGGCAGAGTGTGCTTTCACAGTCCCTCAGCTGTGGTGCAACATAGGGCACATGCAAATGGGCTCCATGGGGCCTGGGCAGAACTACTGAGCCTTGGAAGATTGCTTCACTTAACTTGCTGTGTGAGTTCTCTGTCTCACTGCACTTGTGCAAGTGGATTGCTACTGGTGCATAGTTACCGGTGAAGTGTTTAGAGTCCTCCCCTGGGATTGATACCTGTGCACCGTGAAACTGCTCCACAGAAAGAATGCAAGAGCCTGCTGAGGGTCTTTAGGAAGGGGCTCTGCTCCCTGCACCCTCCATCCAGATTAGCTCCTAAGGAGTGGGGATAAGACACCCCTCCCCTCATGAGCTTAGGGACCTGAGAGTAGAGAGGACCCTGCTACTGTCTGAAACACTCGTGTATGTCCTCAGTGCTGCCATGGCAGGGCCAGTGGAGGGGATCTTAAGATAAGGGGCAGAGGCAGACCTGGAGCGGCATGAGAAAACTAGAGAACGTTCCCATGTCTTTTTGATAGAAGTGGAAGTAGCTGGGAAAAGGGGCCATGATTCAGAAGGGTCGCACAGTTGTGATGTGGGGATGCCATGGCAGAAAGCAGCTTGCTTATATGGCTGGAGATTGGGGGCAATGAGAAACCCGGGCAGAAGGCCTACCTTAGCTACACAGGGTGGTTCATGCTGTGTGTACGTGCTGGGTGGGCTGGACCAAGGCCTGAGTGCGAGGCCAGCTTTGTGTCAAGAAGCAGATGCAGAGTAGGGTTTCTTTAAGACGAGCAAAAGTACACCCAAGGGGCAGGGACTTGGGCTTCCTATCGGTGTCCCACTGTGGTGCAGATCATTTCTGCAGCCCCCCTGCAGCTTCCCAGTCTCGAATCTCTGAGCCTGGCCTCCTCATTAACAACAGAGGGCCCTCATCTTGGGCTCTGGTTCTGGTTTGCATCCCTGCTGGTTAGATGATTCCCACTGTTTATTTGGCTGCTCTCTAACAGGGCATCTATCCATGCCCAAAGCCCTGGCATCCAGTCCATGCACCCTCTGCTATCTGACCTCATTCTGCCCTGTTTTTGGCTGCACTGCACCCACCTTGGTGCCAACAGCTGAAGAAATCCCACCCCCTGTGCAATCTGAGATACAATGTTTTCTAAGAGTAGCTCTAGCTAAATGGCAGAGCCAGAGAAAAGGGAATTATTGGGAGGAGCAGTTATGGTGTGACATGTTTCCCAGGCCATTCTGGCTTCCATGCAGGGACTAGAGAACAGGAAGAGCAACAGTAGTCCTCTTGTTCTACCCTATCCACTACATGGGAACTTTGATACCCGTCTTAGTTTCCTCCTAGAAAATCCTGAGAGACCCCAGGGTGTCACATGTGTACGCCAAGATCTACCCTTCTTGGTCAACACTGTTTTCCTTCTTGCTTCCTCTGGCTGGCAGTGGTACTGTCCCACACTGCTGGCAACCCCAGAAGTGCCATCAGTGACCCCGAACCCTGCTGAAGGCCTACACCTGCTGAAGAAGCTCATGCCCAGTTTGAACCCACTCATGACTGAGCCCAAGGACAGTCTTGTCTGTGCCAAGGGTCCTGGCGGCTGCGTTGAAGGACTGAAGGTGAGGCGGATGCTGTCACCGTTGCTGGTGATGTCGTTTGTTGTAGGTTGAATTGTGTCTTCCAAAAGATCTGCTGGAGTCGTAACCCCAGGTCCCTGTGAATGTGACCTTATTTGGAAATGGGGTCTTTGCAAATGTAACCAAGGTGTAAGTTAAGATGAGGTCATACTGGAGTAGGGTGGGCCTTTAATCAATGTGACTAGTGTCACTCTAAGAAGAGGTAAAGAGACACAGACAGGCACGCAGAGGGAACATAACATCTCCGCCTCAGACCGAGGCAGAGATTGGAAAAATGTGTCTCGAAGCTAATGGATTCCAAAGATTAAACAACTGGAAGCCTGGGGGGAACATGGAAACTGCCCAAATACCAGTGCTGTCAGCTGCCACATGGCCTGTGCCCCCTTGGTGCCTACCAGCATTACAGGGAAAAGCTCATTTTGCCTTTTTTGGTCTTCTGTGGCACTCCCCTTGCCTAGAATCCAGGTACAAACCCATGGGAGGTGGGCAAAGGTAATGTCCTATGAACTTGGAACACCTCCCCTCTGAGCTGCTCCTTTACTCTGCAGGCTACATGGGGTTGTAGCTCCTCCTGGGATGGGCTCTTTCTCCTAGCAGCCTTGACTGTGCACTAGGGTTAATGTGGAAAATCATGAGTTGCAGTGGGCTTTTCGATCGCATATTACTAATTAGAAATAAATTTATCCTCTTAATAAGCATATATCCAGAACAGCTATTAACTCATAGTGAAAGCTGATGTTTGGGGAAATCAGGAATCAAAATATGCTAAAGAAAACACAAGAACTTCAATTTAGCTCAGGGCCTAGTATTCTCAGACCTGTAGCCCTCATGCTGCTCATCCTAGCCTCCAGCCTCAGCTTCCCAGGCAAGGGGGTCACGGGAACATGCCGGCAGCATTGCATCTGGTGCCAGGCTTTCTGCAAGGAGCGTCCACACATTTCTCTCCTGGCACCTGTGCACTTCACATTGTGGTCTCAGCTTCCATGAGGCCCATGGAGGGCAAGGACAGGCCTCAGATACAGGAAGACAGTGGACAGCAGGGGACTTTAAGACCAGTGGCTCTGAGCTTTTTTCTGTTCATCTCATAAAGAGGAACTTGGGCTGGACATTTGGGGGTTCTCACTGGCAGCACAGCTTCTCAAGTCCACCTTGGAGGATAATCCCAGGTGGGAATGGACATGAGCAGGGAGGTAGACATTTCAGCCTGGGGTGAGGTCAGGAGCTGGCCAAGTGGTCTGCAGATGGGAGGTGGTAGTCTCAACTCAGGTATTATTTCCAAACCGTATTGATGAACCATTATCCCTTTAAAGACCCACAGCAAGTTTAAGGTAAAGCTAGCAGCCTCCTTAAGCAGCAATGCTATGACATATGAGAAGTCCCTTAGCAGCAGCCACACAGCAGCTCAAAGGGAAGCTCCTCGGTGGCTCACCTAGGATAGAAAATTCCACCCAGTGCTGGGTGCGGTGGCTTATGCTTGTAATCCCAGCACTTCGGGAGGCCGGGACGGGCAGATCACTTGAGGTCAGGAATTTGAAACCAGCTTGGCAAACATGGTGAAACCCCGTTTCTACTTAAAAAAAAAAATTAGCTGGGTTTGTTGGCGTACACCTGTGATCCCAGTTACAGGCGAGGCAGAAGCAGGAGAATTGCTTAAGCCTGGCAGGCAGAGGCTGCAGTGAGCCCCGAGATCACGCCACTGCACTCCAGTCTGGGTGACACAGCAAGACTCTGGGAAAAAAGAAAGAAGGAAGGAAGGAAGGAAGGAAAGAAGGAAGGAAGGAAAGAAAGAAAGAAAGAAAGAAAGAAAGAAAGAAAGAAAGAAAGAAAGAAAGGAAGGAAGGAAGGAAGGAAGGAAGGAAGGAAGGAAGGAAGGAAAGGGAAGGGAAGGGAGGGAGGGAGGGAGGGAGGGAGGGAGGAAGGGAGGGTGGGAGCGAGGGAAGGGAGAGAGAAGAAGGGAAGGAAGGAAAGGAAGGAAAGGAAAGGAGAGGAGAGGAGAAAGAAAGAGAAAGAAAGGAAAGAAAAGGAAAGAAAGAAAAAGAAAAGAGAAGAAAGAAAGAGAAAGAAAGAAATTCCACCCAGTAAGCTTTGGGCAAAGGGCTGGACTGCTTTGAAGGCACCCTAAAAAAGGAAATGATGATGTGATGATGATGTGATGATGATGATGATGATGATGATGATGACGACGACGTTAAGTTCTCAAATGGTTCTTCCTGTGTTTCTCTTGTTTTTTTTTTTTCCTTTTGAGTACCATCCTCCAGAGAAGCTCACTACCTAGAGAAAAAAGCCTCAACAAAACGACAAATACTTCCTGGTGCCAACAAAGAAAAGCCCACACATGTCTTCCAGCAAAATCCACTTGCTGTTTGCATTTGTGATACGTCTTATTGTTTTGGAATGGCTTTTCCCTGAAATGTTTCCCCTCGGTCCTGTTCTCTATTCCTTTCTACTCTAATTTTCTATTCACTCCCAAGCTGGGGCAGGATGGGGGAAAAGAATGAAAGAAGAAACTATAAACAAAAATGGGAGTGCTTACGGTAAAATTATCTTCACTGTCATGTTCTGTCTCTCAGGGAAAAAAAAAATCACCATTTTGCTTTCTCCACTCTTGACTGTGAAGTTTAATATAAGGTATGGCTCAGTCTTTGTGATGATTCATAACCTGGCTCTAACCAACAAACCATTGGACCATCCTGCGCCTCATCTCTCTCCCCTACAGAGTCTCTCCTTACCTGTCTGGCTTTTGGGGTAAGTTCCTTTCAGCTGACTTCACCCTCGTTTTTCCCACTGTCTCTGTAACAAGGACTTTGAGTAGGACGCTGGAGGGTCCTCACTCACACCGCAGCCTCTACAGCTCCCATGCCCAGTGCCTTCAGATTGTTCCAGGGGTCCCTGCTTTCTTCTATCTCAGGGCCAGTAACTCACAGTGAGGGCACCTTCCGCAGGCTGAAGACAGCTTTGTCTCTTTCTCTTTGTTTGAGTGTTGATGTCCCAAAAGAATGATATCCATCCCAAAGTCCTCTATCAGATTTCTCCCAGGAGGCCCAAAGATTCTCATGTAAATTAGAGTCACATTTGACCTGTCCTGATGGGTGAATAAGCAGACCACTTTCTCCCAGTGGAGAAAGGGAGATTTTTTAATAGGCGACTTACTTTTCCTTGATCCCAGTCACAAACTCTTCCAAACTGACAGAGCTACATAGTAACCCACAAATCTAAGCAACTGTATGGGTGTGTGTGTGTTTGTGTGTGTGTGTGTGTATGTGTGTAAAATTGAGAGACTTTCTATTGTTCTTCAAAAGGTTGTAAAGACGTAACAAATGGGTTTCTCTTTACAGTTCCTTACACGTGGTCTCCCCAGAAAGCACTGAGGACTCTGATTCATCATGTCAAGCGGTCAATTAGAATCCGGGAAAGCCTCTCTCTGGCCTCACCTTACTTCCTGTACCAGGAGAGATGCTCATCAATAGTGAGAAAGAGTTGATGGGATTAGAGTCTGGAAGTGACAACCTCTCCTGAACCTGAACTCATTGATTTCTTCGTTTTACAAAACAGTGTTCTTGAAAAAAATAAACAAAAAAAGGAAATAATACAACTAAGAACTCCAAGGTCTAAATTTTAACCAGCTGTATCTCATAACAACAGAAGCTGCAATGGCCAACATACGTCATTTATAAAACGCCAACTTATGTGGATGGGGATTGGGATTTATTGGCCTAATGCAAAGAGCATATAAAAAATGAGTAGGGAAAAGACTACTGTTTGTGTATATATGTAATTATTACATATATTCTTAAATGATATTTAATAAATAATCAAATGATTAAATAATATATACTATATATACATGTTATATTTATATATGTATATGCTTCTCCAAATTTCTTTTTGCTAAAAAGCACTCAGCTGGGATTATGAAATCAGATGTCAAGATTAGAATATTAGCAGTCACTTTTTAAATCAGAACACAGAACAGATCCCTAGACTGAGCTGTTCCCAGAAAAAAGGTTTTCCCTCTCCCCAGACCAGGCAGGTAGGAATGTCTGCAGAGATCCCTGGACACACAGGGACCCCTGCCAAGCTTTTCCTGCTCTGTACATTGGGGAAGGGGACTACAAGTCAGCCCTGGTGGTATGGGGGAGGGGAGTGGTACCGCAGTGACAGGAATAATGCCACTGTCCTGCTGAGTGGGAAAGGAGAGGGCAGAACCCGGACTCGAAGGCCCACCTGTGGAGTGGGTCTGAGATTCCCAGCCTGTGTGTCTCGGTCAGCTTGTCTATTGTTATCAGATGTGGGCTGTGCCGCAGCATCTGTGACTTCATCCCGTGGTGGCTGGAGTCTGGGATAAAAGTCATGGTTGTCCCAAAGGTGCAGGCAAACTCCACCCCGGGGAGCTGTTGTGCTTGCATTGCTGGGCTGCTGATAGACTGATTGAGTGGTGGCGTGTACTTTTGTCACAAGAACCATAACCACAATGACAGCCACACAGCATGGACCTAGCGTGTGCTCAGCTCTGGACAAGACATGGATGTAGGCAGACATGCTTCCTGCCTGCTGGGCTTAGTGCACCAATGCTAAGGACAGACATGAAGGGCTTGGGAAAGGCATGAAGATGCAGGGAGTCTAGGAGAGAGGATAAGAAAAACAAGCATTTTGTGGTGGGTTGAATTGCGTTGTCGTTTTTAGAGGCATTTCGTGATCCATGGTTGCGCTCCCGTGAAGAGCGAGTCTAGAGAAGGAATCCGAAGGTGGGTGAGAGTTGAGGGAATTTGAATTCCATAATTACGACTCGAATTTCTGCAATCAGCTCGCGGCTGTGTTGCCTGCTCCTGCCACAAAAACGCCATGCAGCGCCGAGCCAAGTCGGATGGAAGTGGGTTAGGGTATTATATAAGCCCTTGCGGGAGGGAAGATGGTCTTTTATGTGTGTTTCTTTTGCAGCGGCGGCGGCGAGCGCGGCTCAGGTTGATTTAGAATACGGGTGACAGTGGCCTGGCGCGAGCCCACTGCTGACGAAAGCGGCTTATCCCGCGCGGTTTCCATGGAGACGAGCCGGAGCCGCGGCGGCGGCGGGGCTGTCAGCGAGCGCGGCGGAGCTGGCGCGTCCGTGGGGGTCTGCAGGAGGAAGGCGGAGGCCGGGGCCGGGACCGGGACCCTCGCGGCAGACATGGACTTGCATTGTGACTGTGCCGCCGAAACGCCGGCCGCCGAGCCGCCGTCGGGGAAGATTAATAAAGCTGCCTTCAAATTATTCAAGAAGAGGAAATCGGGTGGCACCATGCCCAGCATTTTTGGGGTCAAAAACAAAGGGGACGGGAAAAGCTCGGGTCCGACGGGGCTGGTGAGGAGCAGGACCCACGACGGACTTGCCGAGGTGCTGGTGCTGGAGAGCGGCAGGAAGGAGGAGCCGCGCGGCGGGGGCGACAGCGGCGGGGGCGGCGGGGGGCGGCCGAACCCGGGGCCCCCCAGAGCCGCAGGGCCCGGCGGGGGCTCCCTCGCCAGCAGCTCGGTGGCCAAGTCGCACAGCTTCTTCTCGCTGCTGAAGAAGAACGGGCGCTCGGAAAACGGCAAGGGAGAGCCTGTGGACGCGAGCAAGGCCGGCGGCAAACAAAAGCGGGGGCTGCGGGGGCTGTTCAGCGGCATGCGCTGGCACAGGAAAGACAAGCGGGCCAAGGCGGAGGCCGCGGAGGGGCGCGCGCCCGGGGGCGGCTTGATCCTACCCGGCTCGCTCACCGCCAGCCTGGAGTGCGTCAAGGAGGAGACGCCCAGAGCCGCGCGCGAGCCGGAGGAGCCCAGCCAGGACGCCCCGCGAGACCCAGCAGGTGAGCCCGCAGGGGGAGAGGAGGTGCCCGCCCCCGCCGACCGCGCCCCAGCGCGGAGCTGCCGAGAGGCAGAGGGCCTCGCGCACCCCGGCGACACCGGCGCCCGGGGAGAGGACGCCGCGGGGCATCGGCGCGCCGAGCCGGGGCCCGGGGAGGTCCGCACGGCAGAGGACGCTTCCAGGACGGGGGCCGTTCCCGTAAAGACGGTCCCCCTTGTCGACTCCGAAGGCGGCAGCGGCCGGGCGCCCGCCGCCCCAGACCCTGCCTCTGTCGATCCACCCTCAGACCCGTCGGCAGATCGTATTTGTTTGATGTTTTCTGACGTGACTTCACTGAAAAGCTTTGACTCTCTTACAGGCTGTGGAGATATTATTGCAGACCAAGAGGAAGAGGCAGGTCCCAGCTGTGACAAGCATGTCCCCGGGCCAGGCAAGCCGGCTCTGTCTAAAAAGAACCCCGGCGTGGTGGCCTACCAAGGAGGCGGGGAAGAGATGGCCAGCCCGGACGAGGTGGACGACACCTATCTACAGGAGTTCTGGGACATGCTCTCCCAGACCGAGGAGCAGGGACCCGAGCCCCAGGAGGGCGCGGCTAAGGTGGCAGCTGCGCTGGAAACCAAGGTGGTGCCCGAGACCCCCAAAGACACCAGGTGTGTGGAAGCGGCCAAGGACGCGTCCTCGGTCAAGCGCAGGAGGCTCAACCGGATTCCCATCGAGCCCCATCCTAAGGAGGAGCCCAAGCACCCGGAGAAGGAGCAGCAGGAAGGCGTCCCCAACAGCGACGAGGGCTACTGGGACTCCACCACGCCAGGCCCAGAGGAAGACAGCTCGAGCAGCGGGAAGAAGGCGGGCATCCCCCGGGATAGCTACAGCGGGGACGCGCTCTATGATCTCTATGCTGACCCGGACGGAAGTCCAGCAACCCTTCCTGGAGGGAAGGACAACGAGGAGACGTCCTCCCTGTCCCGGTTAAAGCCCGTATCTCCAGGCACCATCACCTGTCCACTGCGAACACCAGGCAGCTTGCTGAAGGACTCTAAGATCCCTATTAGCATCAAGCACCTGACCAACCTTCCATCTAGCCATCCCGTGGTGCACCAGCAACCCTCCAGGAGTGAGATGCCCAGAACAAAAATCCCGGTTTCCAAAGTGCTGGTCCGCAGAGTCAGCAACCGGGGCTTGGCTGGGACCACCATCAGAGCAACGGCCTGCCACGACAGTGCCAAAAAGTTGTGAGGTCTTCCAGGCCAAGGTGGATGGGCCCCATGCCAAGGAATACAACTTTTCCCTGGAAACCACTAAAGTAAGTTTTGCTTTTCCTAAAGAAAGTCTTTTAGGACACCACCCGTCCCCCGCCCTGCTCCAGAGCGTGGACCGAGGAGGTCTTTGTGCCCTGAGCAGGGACCGGATAACACCAGAAAGAGGGATGCTACACGGGGGTTTCTCCTCTCAAGATAAGTCCCTGAGAATTATTTTCAAGCACTTTTTTCTTTTTTACCTTTAAGTTTTTCTTCCTTTTGCTTTAATATACTGAACACTTGGAAGTCACCTTTACTTGCCTTTGCAGAAAACAGAACTTAGCCAAACCTAAGTAAGAGTCATGCCTGGATATTGGGATAAGCCAGTGTCTAGAGGCCTGAAGGAACCGCTGAAGAACCAGAGGAGATCTCCTCTTCCAAGACACGTTTCCTTCCTTCCCTTCTTTCCTCTTTCCTTTCCAGTTAAAAAAAAACAAAAACAAAAACAAAACCCTTTGCTGTATCACTGTGTGGAAAATACCTCCAAAGCTGAAAGAGCCAGGTATTTACCTGATGAGCAGAGGGGACCACTGATTGGCAGAAAACTTCCCTACGTTCAGTTGTTAGATATGCAAATTGATAAGGATCTAACACTAGGAAAATAAAGGCGAGTTTTGGTTTGGTTGGTTTCAGTCATTTGTTTGGGGAGATATAAAAGGCTCAGGAGAGCAGGCTTTTGCTTTTGCTTTTGTTTGTTTCTTCCCCCACCCAGTGCAGAAATCAGGATCAGGGAAAGATTTTATTAAATGCCAATAGATACAGTATTTAAGCATTTATAAACTGAAACCTTTTCATGTGAAGATAATGCATATTTTACCGTTTATCCAGCTGTTAACATTTTGTAATCAGTCAATTCAATAGAATTATTCTGGATAATTCTATATCTAGAATATAAAATCTGGTCTTATAGCTAGACATGATGATGGTCCCCAAACCATTGATGTTCTGTTATGTACTGTAATGGGAAGCGATTCTGATTTTGTTTTATATGGGTTCTCTGGTTCTCAAAAAAAAAAAAAATCTATTGTGCTGGTGTCCCAGAGGAATGGCTCTGCCTTGTTTTGGGTAAGAGTCTGTTTCTCACCCCAAACCCTGTTTTCAGATTTTTTTTTACCTTGATTGTAAAATTTCAGATCCAACCATTCCTCAATATAATGAGTGCAAAATGAGGAACACATAAAGAAAAACAATAGAAAGATACAGTTTTTCACATCATTTGCCTTTTGCTTTATAGACTTATGACAAAGACAAGTGTGTTCAGAATATGACACTGGCAAGCTTATGTATTGTAAACACTTTATGCCAAGTTTTTTTTGAAAAGTGGTTTGCTTCTATGTATGTTTTCTAATATTTCAGATGAAACATTTATTTCAGAAAGGGTTATTATATGCCTAGTTTGAATGATAAACTGAAGCAGTTCCTAGAATGCTATTAGTGTCTAATGATGAAATTAATATCCTTTTTGAAATACACTTCAGTGTATTTAATCAAAAGACCAGAGCTTCTACTAGGAGGTGATTCATCATACCAGGAAGATTATGCATATTCACGTGAAACTGCACATATGTAAATGACATGAACACTTCTGTATAAGTCTCATTTCCAGAGAGATTGCATTAGTAATGAACTGTTATTACATGCTTTTTAAGTTTGTTTTCTGTTTCATAAATGAAAGAACAAGGCAAGTTAAATATATGAAAACCTATTTTAATAATATGAAGAAAGTAACAAAATAAATGGACATCAAAGGAAAGCAAATTGAGCCAGTAGCAGAAAGTAGGCCATTCCCCATTTTAAATTTGCAGTGATTCAATTAGGAGAGGTTTGCTGAATTTCTTCATTAGTCATATGACTGGCTTTTATTGCATTGTCTCAGATCCATAATGTTATTTCAAAGTAATCTTTTAATATTTAATTTCTTTATGTGTGTAAATGAGGCCCTATATGCAGTCATAGCCTTAAGCATTCTGAACACACTACCAAGAATTCATATAAGCATCTCACACTCACGTGCTCATGCACTCAACTGTGTACAGACTAACAGACAAAAGACATCTACTCTAGATCTGGAAATTATTTTTGAAATTATTTCTGTATTAAACAAGGGATTTACATTTGATTTCATGCCGCTGGTACTATTTAGGCTCAAAATACATTCATCTTCCCCTAGTGAATGGAGAAAATATAAATTTTATTCCTAGCTGTAAAACAAAGGATCTTGATTTCCTTGTTGTACATTTTCCTGCAAGGGTTATATTCTCCTTTGCATGAATCCATGGCAAAGTTATGTTGGTTCATTTGTTCAATTGTACAGGAAAGTTAAGAATACCTGAAAAACTTATGAGAATATTGTAATAGTAAAGGCAATCTATTTCTTAAGCAGTAGAAGAAAAGTTTTTGCTTTCATAATTTTAGGACTTAATCCTCCATTTACACCATTATGCTGTGTCTCCTCTTTATAAGAAAAGGAACACGTGAGCAAAGTTTATCTTAATTTCCACTGACCTGTCAATTAACCAGTTATAAAAGATATAAAATATTTTCTTTTAAAATTTATATTTTCCACTTTTTTTTTACCTTATTTTTTAAGAATTGCACCCACACCAATCAAATAAAGGATTTGGGCAATGAATTAAACAGCCTCAATCACTTGATGGGAAATCCCTGGAGTGGCAGGAAGAGTAGATTCTCAACTTTTTCCAACCATAGAAAAGGGATCATAGTTGCTTTCTTGTGCCAAGGGCTACTTTCTCTCATTTGTGTTCATGGAGATTGTTTTTTCAAGAATTTTCCTAGATTTACATTCCAATTTTTATTAATACATTATATCTAATGACCTTGTGAAGATTATTCAGGCCCATATTTGCTGACTTTTTAAGGGAAGGATTGGATAGAGGCTAATTATATCTTTCCCACATGTATGTATATTCTAAGATACTTGGTTGATTGACTTCCTTTAGTTGAAAGGCTGCCCAAATTAGACAGGAAAAAGTCAAATCAATTGTTGGGCGAAAATTTATCGGTTGGTTTAATAGCTCTGCACAAAGACAGCCTGACTTGAATGTCTATATTACACATACACTGTTATTTGAAACACTCTGCTTTAGTACAGATGGTGGTTGATGCGTTTATCCTGCCATTAGCACCAATTGGGAGAAATTTTACTACAGCATTTTAAATAATCACAAGAGTAAATAGATTTCTATTATTTTATCTAATAACAACAATAGAATATAGAATACAAAGGACTTCCTCTAGATACATTTTATTTTATCTAATAACAACAATGGAATATAGAATACAAAGGACTTCCTTTAGATACATTTTCCACAAATTATCTGCTTATTTAAATACAAAGGGTTTAATATCTATGAAGGTAATAACTCACCGTGTTTAAAGGATTTATTTCTTCATCTCAGAGGTAGTCTTCAAGTATTTGCAGTTAAACAGTATGCAAATAGCCCTTTGCTTACACAATTATCCAGGTAAAAAGACTATGTCAGGTGTTGAGATTTCTTTGAATTTTCTAAGAGTTTTCATTATTTACGCCTTTGTCAGATTAATTTTAAAGGCAACTCTTGACTGTTAGCTTGGTGTGAAGAGATCCACTCAGGCAGCTCATGTCTCCTAAGTGCCCTCAGACAGCAGTGACGGGACACTTCACATGACGCTAGCATGTTGGCTCTGTCCGCATGGCGGAATGCATTCCCTGCTGTTAGTTATCTGAATTTTTCTCCTGAATTACAAATATATGGATTTGGCTCCCCTGATGCTGGGCTTCTGCTGAGACCTGTTCCAGTACATTCACGTATGCTTTGCTCCCCTTCATTGTTAAGAAATTAATTCAAGAAGTTTTTTGCTGTTAAACATAAGGAATAAGCATCACAATTGCCTCATCTCATCACTGAGGAAAGCTGGTTTAAAGTATCTGAGTGAAATAAGAGGAAAACCCCAAATACTTCACCTAACCCAGTTTCCCTTTCCCCTCCTCCAGGCAGAGCAAGGAAAAGAACAGTTGTAATTTGTGTAAACTCAGCCTTAGAAAATTTCAATTCATTACACACAAAAATATTTATGAAGCAGTTTGGAACCAAAGGGGTAGTATGGTAGACGAGTGTCTTACAGAGCCTGTGTGGGGAAGCAAAAGGCAAGGGTGTAGTTCACAGGCAGAAGCGAGCTGTGACATTGTCAGTGCAGCGTGTAAGTGTGGCTCCTCACAGGCGGCCATTGATTGTGAGACCTCATCTTGCTCTGAAGATTTCCCGGTGGCTGTCATGCATTGCTTCTCAAAAGCCTTGCACTGTGATAAGGTTTAAGGAGACAGATTGTTGCAACAATAGCCACTTCTAAGGAATGTTATTATGTCACTGCAGATGATGTTTTTAAGAGGTGATTCAGAATGATAGTTTCGTGATTACGGAAAGGAGTTCCTTCTCAAACTGCAAAAGGAAAGATGAAAATAGTCATGAAGCCTCCAGAACTGAAATTGGGCACCTTTTATGATGGATATTTACTTTAATTCAATGCAACACATATTTATGGGGCATAGACTGTATCAAATACTTAATAAAACCCATTCAGTTTGGAGCTCACACCTAAGCTGCGCTGTAATTGGATTTTCTTAATATTCATTAAAAACACAAAACAATATTATTTTACTTTTTTTTGGTATTTGCATTTGTTGCTTATAGTTTGTGGGGTGAAGCAAAGTGGTGTGAAGTTGAAGAAGGGCACTATGAATTAAGCCACACAAATGCCT
Organism: Homo sapiens; assembly: GCF_000001405.40. Classification (NCBI taxonomy): domain Eukaryota; kingdom Metazoa; phylum Chordata; class Mammalia; order Primates; family Hominidae; genus Homo; species Homo sapiens. The sequence continues at coordinate 25,164,782 of NC_000013.11, read as the reverse complement.
CTAAAAAATAGTAAATGTAACAATGGTTAACATTCATTGAATACTTACTATGTGTCAGGCACTGCTAGGAGATTTAGAAATAATTACTTAGTCCTCTTAACAGCCATGTGGGGTAGGTAATATTATCTCCCCAGTAAGACAGCTTTAATTCATCCTTTTTGTTTCTATCCCTTTCCATCTCTGTCTGTCTGTCTCTCTCTCTCTTTTCCCCTAGTCTCTAGGACAGGGATATAAACTCTTTAGTGATTTTCAGTAATAGAGAGCTAAGCACTGCTTAGTGTCATTGTCAGCTCACTTCTAATAGAAAGAGCTAACCCATGTCCACGCAGCTGAAAATTAGTTTTGTGTCTGAGATGATGGTGCTCACAATCATATACAGGGAACCCTGCCACTGTGCTATGCTGAGTAGGCAAACATTGGCCTTCCCTTGGAGGGATCCTCTTCTCTTAGGATTAATGTGGGAAGTACAGACAGAAATCTCTTCTGTTGTCATGGCGATACTTCTTCCCTGACAGGGTATCATTCATTCAAAGCATATTTGTTTCATTTGTTTTTATTCCTACCTTAAGCCATCTTGGTGGGTTCTGGGTGGTCTATGCATATGTGTGTGTGTTTTAATTGCAGTAAGAATATTGAATATGAGATCTACCCTCTTTAATTTTTTTTTTTTTTTTTTTTGAGATGGAGTCTTACTCTGTCACCCAGGCTGGAGTGCAGTGGCTTGATCTCGGCTCACTATAACCTCCACCTCCCAGGTTCAAGTGATTCTCCTGCCTCAGCCTCCCAAGTAGCTGAGACTACAGGCGTGCACCACCATGCCCGTTAGTTTTTGTATTTTTAGTAGAGACAGGGTTTCACCATGTTGGCCAGGCTGGTCTCAAACTCCTGACCTCAAATGATCTGCCCACCTCTACCTCCAAAGTGTTGGGATTACAGGCAATGAGCCACCACGCCCGGGTTACCTTCTTTAATTTTTAAGTACACAATACAGTATTGTTAACTATAGCCACAGTGTTGTACAGCAAATCTCTCTCACCTATGCATCCTGCGTAACTGAAACTCTGTGCCCATTGAACAGCAGCTCCTCATTTCCTCCCCCATCAGCCCCTGGCAGCCATCATTCTACTCTCTGCTTCTGTGAGTCTGGCTATTTTAGATCCCTTATAGAAGTGGAAACGCGCAGTATTTGTCCTTCTGTGACTGGCTTATTTCATTGAGCATAACGACCCCCAAGTTTAGCCATGTTGTTGCTTATGGCAGGATTTCCTTCTTTTTTCAGGCTGAATAATATTTCCTTATATGTATATGCTGCATTTTTAAAAACCCTTTCATCTACTGACAGACGTTTAGATTATTTCCACATCTTGGCTATTATGAGTAATGCTACAACGAACGAGGGAGTGAAAATATCTCTTTAAGATCCTGATTTCAGTTTTTTTGAATAAATACCCAGAAGTGGAATGACTGGGTCATTCATATGGTAATTCTAATTAAACATAGAATTATTTTTAATTTTTTGAGAAACTTCTGTGCTGCTTTCCACAGTGGTTGCATCTGTTTACATACTTACCAATGGTGCACAAGGGTTCCAATTTCTCCACATCTTTGCCAACTTGTTATCTGTGTTTGTTTAAATGACAGCTGTATGAGTTGTCCCTTGCCTCCATGCAATTCTGAACTTCAGAAATAAGCACTTGGCTCCTTTAATAGCTGTCCGTCCTATGTTGTGTCTACAGCCACTGAATCCTGTCCTACATTTTCTGATTCATTAACTCATTCAACTAATAGCTATTGAACACCATCAATAAGTCAGCCACCATGAAGATGAGTATTTTATATTGAATTCTACTAACATATCCTGTATGTTTACTATGTTGCCAGAGAGGATGCTGTGTGCTTTTTTTACATTGTTATCTTTACTCTTCACAAGAACCATGTAAGGTAGGTATTGGTAAAATGGGTAATTTTGGAAATGCTTCAATAATCGAGTAGAATAACTTTTGCTCTATGTGAGAAGATACGTTTTAAATAAGATATGGCTTAGGTTTCTGGTTACCTGAGACATACTATACCTTCTCAGATACTCTCAGACCTGAATCATTTAACAAACTAAGGCAGAAATACTAAAAATATCTGGTTCAATAACATAGGGGCATGGAGTAGACATGCAGAAAATGCTTGTTCACTTGCCTTGAAATGGCTCCAGGTGGCCTGAAGGAATCAATGAAACTTCTCAAGTATCTACATTACAACCACTGGTCCCCACTACACATTTATTTCTAAATAAAGGAGGAGAAACTCTAGCAAAGTAATATTTAACATTTTCATTGCTTCCAGGATAAATCTTATTGAATATGGAGGATCTGATAGTGGTAGGTCTATCAGGAATATCAGGGAAAATGCTTTTGATGTTGTTGGCAAAGTCAATTCCTATCATTTGTACTTGACACCAGCTACCTAGCAGGCTCATTGTGAACTTCAGGTTTCGCCCACGTTATTTATATAAAGTATCTCAGTGTAATATAGGGAGTTGCTGGTTATTTGAAAATAGTAACAAAAATAACCCAAACGAGAAACTCCATTTCCATAATTAGCTTTCCTGAAAGTCAGGCATGTCTTTGAGGACAGGTTTTGGCAGTATTATTTTTGTGCACAGGAGGAAAATTGTTAGTAGGTTTATAGATGTTATTTTTATAATAGAATGTTAAACCCCTGAAAAACATCAAAAATTGTCTCCTAGAACTAATTCTATGTTTTAAAAACTTGTTTTAAAAAGGATTCTAAATAGCAATAGGGTCTTTCCTCCTTTCTCCACTCCAATGGTTTAATGGGATAGAGGAATCAATGTTTATATTTTTAAACCTGTAAATATTTTATTTTGGGTATTTTGTATATTTGTTGATATAATTCCATTTTGTGCATATGTACCATTGTGCATGTTGCTGTTTTTGATAGTCACTCTTTTAATGAATGTAAGAAGCTTGGGCTAATAGCACTTTTCTTGTTCCATTCAAACATCTGAAAATGAAATTACAACACTGCCATTTTACTGTTGTGTTTAATTCAGTCAATAAATTTTGTTGCTCCTTTGCATTTAAAGTGAATTCTGTTGGTTGTTATTTCTCCAGGATCAATTTTATTTCCGGTCTTTTCAATTTTTATAAATTATACTAATGATGGTGATGATGAGGAGGTGATGTGTGTGTGACTATCTCGTGGAAAGACCAATGGGAGGCCCATATTTCTCTCCACACTTCGTAAACAAGTGAAAAATTCCTTGTTTGGTTTGGGCAGCTGTCTTTTGAAAAGTTCATTTGTTATTCCGACTCTGATTTGAATTCTGAGTCTTTTACTCAGAAAATCTCCATTCCTTATCATCTCTCATGAGGCCGGCTAATCCGTGCTGACTGTCAGGTAGTGGCAACATAAGGGCCACTGGAGTCTTTCTAAAGAGTTGCTTTCTGGTTTTTGTTTATTTTGGTTCTGGTGGTATGTTTTCATTTTCTATGTGTAACAGGTAGGGAAGCCTCTCAAGGAAAGGAGGCCGGAAACCACAAGATGTAGCTACTGATCCCTGGAGGCCAACAGCTATCCATTCCTTGGTCCAAGAATGAGCTGAGAACCATAAGGGGAGGTGGATGCATCCACAGTAGGGTGGCGAGGACTGTTTCCTAGACCTTTTTTGGTAGCTGATGGTCAAGCACAGAAAATCAGTCAGGATAAAGAGATTTGAGCAACACCTTTGGCCACATATTATAAACCTGGACCAAACAGTTAGAGAATCCACGTTCTTTTGAAAAGCAAATGAAACATTTGTGAATGTTGATTACATCCTAGACCATGAAGTAAGTCATGACACATTTCAAAAAATAGTTCCTCACAGAATGTGTTCTCTTACCATAACACAGCTGCAGTAGAAATTAGTATTAAAAAGATAATTAAAATCACTCCATACATTTGGACATTTGAAAAATGCACCTTTCAATAGCTCATGGATCAGAGAATAAATGAGTAAGGATATTAAAAAACAATTAGATGTGCATAATTATGAAAAGGATCTATATTAAGACATGAAATATAACCAGATCTGTACTTAGGAGAATTTTATAGCTTCAAATAGGTTATAAAAGATAAGGAGCTGAGGATTAACAAGCTGAGAATCCATTTTAATTAAATGTAAGAAGTTAAGAAAAGAATAAAAGAATAAACACATAGGAATTTTAATTAAGAACTGGCCAGGTGGCTCACACCTGTAATCCCATCACTTTTGGAGGCTGAGGCAGGTGGATCACTTCAGGTCAGGATTTCGAGACCAACCTGACCCACATGGTAAAACCCCATCTCTACTAAAAATCCCAATTAGTTGGGCATGGTGGCTGAGGCCTGTAAATCCCAGCTACTTGGGAGGCTGAGGCAAGAGAGTCGCTTGAACCCAGGAGGTGGAGGTTGCAGTGAGCTGAGATCGGGCCATTGCACTCCAGCCTGGGTAACAAGAGTGAAACTCCGTCTCAAAAAAAAAAAAAAAGAAAAAGGAAAGAAAAGAGAATTAATATTAATAAGAGCAGAAAGCAATAATACAGAAAACAAAGATACCCTAAAGTAGATCAATAAAGATAAAAATTTTTTGAAAACCATCTAACAATATTTTTAAAGAAAAAAAAGAAAAGATAAAAAGTATGGTTCAAAATTAGATGGGCATAACTACAGTTGCAGTAGAGATAAAAAGTATAATGAAAGAATGTTATAAATATTATGGCAATAATTTTTTTTTGAGACAGGGTCTAGCTCTGTTGCCCAGTCTGGAGCACAGTGGCATGATCATGGCTCACTGCAGCCTGGACCCCTTGGGCTTAAGCGAGTCTCCTGCCTCAGCCTCCCAATTAGCTGGGACTGCAGGCCCACACAACCATGCCCAGCTAATTATTTTATTTTTTGTAGAGGTGGGTTTTCACCATGTTGTCCAGGCTGGTCTCAAACTCCTGGGATCAAGCAATTTCCTGCCTCGGCCTCCCAAAGTGCTAGGATTACAGGTACGAACCACCATGTCTGGCATATTATGACAATAGATTTTTAAAACTAAGGTAGAATATACAAATTCGTGTGCGTGTGTGTGTGTGTGTATAAAACATAGGAATATATGCGTATATATATATTATATATATGAGACTATATATATTATATATGAGACTATATATAATATATATGAGACTATATAATATATATGAGAATATATATAATATATATGAGACTATACATAATATATATTATATATGAGGATATATATAATACATATTATATGAGAATATATTATATATTATATATGAGAATATATATGATATACTATATATTATATATGAGAATAAAATATATATTATATATGAGAATATATAACATATATTATATATGAGAATATATAACATATATTATATATGAGAATATATAACATATATTATATATGAGAATATATAACATATTATATATGAGCATATATAACATATAATATATATGCTCATATATAACATAATATATATGCTCATATATAACAATATATATGCTCATATATAATATATTATATATGCTCATACATAATATATTATATATGAGCATACATAATATATATGAGCATACATAATATATTATATATGAGCATATATAATATATTATATGAGAATATATAATATATAACCAAAAGTGACTTGAGAAGAAATAGATAACCTAAAGAGTCCTGGAACTATGAGAGACAGTGAATTGGTAGTTAAACTCTTTCTCTCCCCCTCCAGACAAAACAAAACAAAGCAAAGCAGTAAAACCAGATAGCAGAACCAATGTTTCAGCAAAATCTAGTGATCAGGCAATTCCAAATTTATAGAAATTTATAGAATTTATAGAAATGTATATAATTATTAAAAATTATAGACACATCTCTATTGTGAAATTCAACATTTCTATATAAACTATTAGAAAAAATTGAATCTAGTAGTCTGTAAAATCAACCATACATCATGATTACGTTGAGTTTATTCCAGGAATACAAATATGGATTCCTGTTAAAATGAAATCCCTATAAATATTATTTACTTCTTTAAGAGATTGAAGGAGAAACATATGATATCTCAAAGTGATAGATTCACATGACTGAAGCAGTTCTTAGTGTCCTCTAACAATTCCAGAATTTGGATACCTAATTCCTGTCGTATTCCTGAAGAGTACTTAAGTTCTTCAGGACAGTGGGTTTCTTTAAACTTTAAACACTTTGTCTAGCAACATTATTTTAAGCAATTGCTCACATTTCATTCAATTTAAGGTACTATAGATGCGCTCTTCTTTCATGTGTCGCAAAAAAAGGCTGCCAATTGTAAGATGCACTCAATTTCAGAGACGTAAAATTGTGAAAATGTGGATCTTAGAATGGATGAAATATTGATGTATTTGTTAAAAGTTTTAACAATAGTATTTTTCCTCTTCCCTTAGAGAAAGGAAGGTTTTCTGTTTTTTATTTCTTTTTGAAAAAGACAATTATCTACAGATACCAAATGTCCAGACATTTGGACGCAATTAATATTTAGTGAAGAATGTGTGAGACAGACACAATCAAGAACTCAGACTTTAGGAAAATTGTATATTCCTTTTTGTGTAGAATTTTACATACTTGTTGTGAAATGAGCATGGAAAAAACTCACTTGTACTCAGGGTTATTTTACAAACTTCTCACTTTGAAGAAAGTGAAGGCCTGCATGCCTGACATTTTTACCTCTTATCTTTCTTCATCAAGAAAATCTCCCAAGTTGGCAGGAAGAATACAGTGATCATTATTTTATCTTTCCCCGTCAGCTGCTGGCACCTCAGTGTTTCCCAGAAGACACCAATTTCTCACAGATATATGTCTGGTACTTCTTTGCAGATGGTAATGTGTTTCTTAACAAGCTTCTAATTCTTTCTTTTGCCCATGGGACTGCATTTCAGAAGACTCGCATCACATCTTGTTTTCTCAGTCTTTCAGAAATGCACCACCAGGTCTGATGCAAGCCTACAACCAATAATAGTGGCTGCCTGGTAGATGTCAGGTGGATTTCTTCTCTCCTATGTGGAGTGGCCCATCCATTGGTAAGTCTAAGCCCAACATTTGGTTCAAGGAGTGATGGTCCACCAAGATTGATATCCCAACCTGTAGGTCTTTAAATAGCAATAAAAGATGACACTGTACTTGGCTGCACTCTTGCAGATGATCTGTGGTGCCACCCGCCCAAGGACTTGCACCTTTTAATTGATCATTTCTTTTCAGATTTTTGGTTGTAATCTTTCCTTCTCATTAACATCATTATTTTTTATTCTCTTAACTGCCTTTCTTCATACTGACCTTTAGTCCAACATTATCTTCCCAATAATTCATTTATTTTTCCTTGGGGGAAAATCCATACAATTCTTGCTTTTGGGGGAAATTTGTTCTGAGAATCATGTTGTGAAGAACTGGTGTTCTTTGGGATTTTTGTAGAATAAGTAATTTGTCTGGTCTTTGTTCCTCTTCCTGGGAGATAACCTCTAAATCCTTGGAAATTCCTGAGTGATAAACTTGTCTTCATTATTCATGGGGGGCTCCTGGACCACACCTGAGTTTATGCTAATGAGATGACTTAGGATTGGGGCTAGTCACACCAGAAATACCAACCCTGTGATTAAAGGGTTGGGGCTCTGAGCCATGGCTTCCTGACTCCTGGATTCCAGAATGGGGAAGAGGGCCGGAGATTGAATTCAAGTACATGGCCAGTGATTCATGGAATTAAACCCTAATAGAATCTCTGGACGCTGGGGCTTCTTGGATGAGCTTCTTGGTTGGTGAACACATTGATGTGCCAAGAGGGTGACATGTCCCAATTGCAAGGACAGAGAGCATGAAGCTCTGTGTTTGGCACCCTCCCAGACTTTGCCCCATGTGTTTCTGCATTTGACTGGCCCTGAGTTGTGTCCTTTATAATAATTGTAACAGTAAGTTTAGTGCTTTCCTAAGTTCTCTGAGTGGTTATAATGAGTTATCAAACCTAAGGGGGTCATGGGAACCCCCAAATTGTGCAAGTGACCTGGACCTCTGAATATGTGGCTGCCATCTGAAATGAGGACATTCTTGTTCCCTTCACCTCATGGAATCTATGCTAACCTGAGTGGCCAACATCAGAAACGAATTGCAGTATTGCCGAATACAGTGAAAAGAAAGGCTTAACTTTATCAGCTCCACATCAAGTATTTAAAAAAATCATTTTCATTATATTTTCTATAAATAAAGAAGTAAAAATTGATAGTATGTTCTTATAGCTTGTATGTCCAATTGCTCTGCCAGCTACACTTGTTTCCCAGCTATTTCATGAAACTTTGTCTCCCTGAAGAGATCTTTTTCCCCTCCTGGCATATGGCTTTCACTGGGTACTCCTCAGAGGTGTGCTTTGAGGAACTGATCTCAGCCTTTAGGGCAGCCTGGCAGGGCCTGGATGGGCTGGCCAGCATGCTGGCTTGGCATTCCTCTGAGACTGGCTGGAAAGGAGGTGGAGGACCCAACACTGTCCCATGGTTCCCCCAGGACTGAGCACGGATGAGGAACACTGGGACTCCCTGCAGCATTAGGAGGGGCAACCAAGGTGACCCAGCACCTGGAGATGGACTTCAGCCACCTGCTCCTTATTTAGTGGACAAGCAGGTGGAGCTGCTGCTGGAGTTTATGTTGGAAATGTCCAAGGAGCAGATCTCCATGGCTCAATGTGTAGCCTTTTTTGGGGTGGGAGTGCCAGGTAGGCCAGGCCCCAATCTCTGCCTTCCCGTTCACCAGGCTTGTCTGTTTCTGGCTGATGGGCACTTTGAGTGGAGTCTCTGTCCTCAAATGACTGTTCTAAAGCAAGTAAGATAAACATGAAAAAGGGAGAGCTTTTTCTTTGCAAAATGTTTGATGCCAAAAAGTCCAACTGGAGTCAAAATCTATTTGCCACTATTGTAAGACCTTTCATCATGAAAGAAAAGAAAGTGTTGTTAGATTCTTTAAATCTAATTTCAAGTGTTATAAATGTTTGGAAGATTTGCAAAATGGTTTCCAACTTATCACCCGTTCGTGTGAACACGTTTTCTCCTGGATGGCGACTATGGAGATTTAGAAAAAAAATGCAGAGCCACTTTTGGCTCAAAACCCAAGAGACAAGCTACGCCCAAGACAGCAAGCCCACATTTCTCAGTAAAGTCCTCAAAAAGATTTTATTGAAAAATTTTAAGAAAGTTAATATTAAATAGTTCCCTGGATACTTATTTTTCTTGACATAATTATGATATGAAGAAAATGTAATGCGGTTTACCAAGTCCCATACGGTTGTCCTCAGATCCCCACTGTGCTGTATAAATATTGTCATTTTCTATGAGCGCCATGACAGGAAAAGCTTGGGAGGGCCCTGCCCTTCTCAATGTCGTGAGGTCTCCAAGCTCATGTGAGATTCACTCACCTTTTAGGGAAACTCCAGACTGCAGTCAGTCATTTCAGTTATTCTCCCCGTTTTACATCAGAAGAAAATGACTTTCTATTTCTCCCTCTCCCAGTAGCTGTTAAATAAGAGCAGCAATAGCACCAATGAATAACATAATGAATCTCAGTGGATTCTAGTATGAAATTCAATTACAAACTTAAATATACACATTTGATAAATTTTTCATTTTAAAATATCAGAAAGCAATAGAAATGATAACCTGGTCCTTTAAATTTAAATGCAGTCCTTCAAATGGTGGATGTCTGAGTCCATTTTCTGTTGCTTAAAACAGAATATCAGAAACTGGGTCATTTATAAAGAAAAGAAATTTATTTCCTACAGTTATGGAGGCTGAGAAGTCAAAGGTCAAGGGGCCACATCTGGTGAGGGCCTTGCTGGTGGGGATTCTCTGTGGAGTCCTGAGGTGGCACAGGGCCTCACATGGCCAGGGGCCTGATTGTGCCCACGTGCTAGCTCAGGTCTCTCTTCCTCTTCTTATAAAGCCATCAGTCCCACTCCCACGGTAACCCATCAATCCATTAACCCATCGATCCATGAATCCATGAATGGACTAAGCCATCATGAGGGCTCTGCCAATCACCTCTGAGTACTGCCATGTTGGGGATGAAGTTTCAACATGAGTTTTGGAGGGGACAAATATTCAAACCACAGGAGTGGGCAATTCAGTTGAGCAAAACTGTGGGTTCAGAGGAGCTCTGGAGCATATACTTCACCACAAACCCCGAGCCACCTTGACACAAGTGAGTGGGCCTTTTCTTCTCTGTGCCAGCCAGCTTTTAGCTTTTAGACTGAGCATCTTTTTCTATATTTACTGGCCGTTTGGGTTTCTTTTTCTGAGCACCACCTGCTCATAGTTTTCACTTTGTTTCCTCATCTCCCTAAAGCCTCTGCTCTCAACCTGCCCAGAAAACAGGACAATACAAGTGTTTCCCTAAACAGGTGTTTCCTTAGTAGCAAGTCTGATGCCAGCTTTAAAAATAATTTCTCCGCCCTTGCTACCTGGGTAATTACATAAAAGAGAAAACAGTGAAGGCAAATGGAATGGAAAGAAGGAGGAATTCTGCTGCAGACACTAGGGCAGCTCTGCCCAGGTCTCCAGGGAGGCTCAGGTGCTGGTGCTAATAATAACTTGAAGGAAACAAAAACATTTCACCCCAAAATATCCTTTGGCATATTTTGAGATGGCCGTTCAGAGGACCAGTGAACAGAACTAGCCTTGCAAAGCTGCCTTTTGTGAGGCAGATTTGCATCTGTAGAGAAAACCCGGCTTGAGGCCATCCTGGTTTCTCTGAGTCCTTCCCTTGTCTGCATCTAAGAACAATGAACTGAGAGGCTGACAGTTGAACACTGCATGTTCTCACTCATGTGTAGAAGCCAAAAAAGTTGATCTCATAGAAGTAAGAAGTAGAACAGAGGATACTAGAGGCTGGGCAGCCTAGGGGGAAGGGAGGACAGGAAAAGGTTTGTTAAAGGATACAGAATTATAGCCAAACAGGAGGAATAGCTCTAGTGTTCTGTAGCACTGTAGGGTTACTATAGTTCACAATAATACGTCAGATAGTTTCAAATAGCTAGAAGGATGATGCTGAATGTTTCCAACACAAAGAAATGATTAATGTCTGAGATGATGGATATGCTAACTGCCCTTTTCTGATTGCCGTACATTATATGTATTGATATATCACTGTGTGCCCCGTGAATATAATTATTGGTTGTCAATTTAAAAAATAAGAAATAAATAAAAGGTGAATCTAAAGAAATAAAAATAGAAGTCTAAAAACGTTTACCATTTGTTCTCTCTGAAGGCTGCTTTCACCTATGTAACAAGACCACCTTTGCTGGCCAGGCCTCCTCTTCGCCCTGCTCCCATAACCTGCTTTGCCACAATTCAAGCCCCCATTCTTTCTATAACCTCAGGATGGTATATAAGCTTCTGAACCCCTCTGGAGGTGGGGGCTATGGCTCTCTGGTTCTCCCCTGTGTGTATTTAATAAATCTGTGTTCCTTTTGTGAGTTGATTTTTCAGTGAACCTTCAGAGGGTGAAGGGGAAGCTTTCCTTTCGCCCCTACAGACTCATCTCTGCGACCTTCTCTTGGCTGGAACTCCCTCTCCAGGTGTGTCTGCAAGCTGCCCTCATCCCACTTTGTGCCTGGAAAGGGGACACACAGGCCCTGCTCCCTGGACTGAAAGCAGGTCAGGCTCTCAGGTGAAATCTCTGCTTCAGGTGAAATCTCTGCTCCAGGCGCCCACAGGGTCTGGCAGAGGGTAGATCTCCCCAGAAACCGCATCCTTTCTCACGCTTCCTCTTGCCTTTCCTCACCCTTTCCAGATGCTCCTAGGAGCCCTCCTGGAATAAAACACAGGCCCAGGGGTCCCACCTGGCCATGCTTTTGGGGAACCCAGCCTGACATGGAAGGGGAAGATGGATTTTTCCTGAGGTTGAGATTTCCCGAGTAAGATTTGGAATTGGAGGACACGGAGAGAGGGAGTGGTGAGGACAAGGGAATCAATATGAGTACACGAGAATGAGAGAGGGGCAGTCTAGCTGAAAAGCAGCGATGTGGGCGGAGAAAGGAGAGCCAAAAGGAAAGTAGGAGAGGCACACATTCTGTGTCTCTTACGGGGAGGAATAAAATTGCCCAGAAACTGTGGTTTCCCGAGCCCAAGGAGGTGGCCGGAAAGACCTCTGATGGAGCCTGAGACGTTTGTGGCTACGTCCTTGGTCATCTGTGGGTGGGGCACTAGTTTCGACCCCCGGGGACCTGGTTTCTGAAGGTTGCACACCAGGTAGGGTGCCTGCTCCACTTGTCCCTGACAGTATGTGGTCCTGCTGCTGTACGGACATTCTCCTGGCAGTTTTTGTTTCATCTGCTCTGACTTCCTCGCTCTGCTCACCTAGGGATCTAGTGCAGTGAATGTGGCTTATCTGATAACAGGTAGACCACATTCTAAGACCTGGTAAGTGATGACAGAGTTCCCTTTTTATGTGAGTTAATTGAATAAGATAATGAGTGCAAAAGGCTTCGCAAAACACCAGGCACACAGTAAGTGCTCAATACATGTTAGCTATTATCATACCTTTCGCACCAGGTGGAGATGACAGTGATGAATTAAGGGTGATTAATCACACTCCTAGAGATTTAAAACCTAATAAGTCGGAGGTTTCCAGCAGGCTCATGCATATGACCTCTTGATTTTCACAATAACCCAGTGAGATGGGTAGGGCAGAATTGTTGGAACTAGAATTCCAGGAGTTTTGAGCTGAAAAGGGCCTCAGACATTATGTCTCCCAACTCTTTTATTTTACAAATGAAGAAACTCAAGTCCAAGGAGGAGAAATGACTTTTCTCAAGATTCCACGGGGAGTGAGGGGCGATTCTAAAGTCAGTTATGTGTCTGCTTCTCTTTTCTAGCAAGGGGTGGAATGCAGAAGGGCCAGACTGGAGGGGAGAAACCTGTTCTCAAGCTTTTGCTGCACCTCCAGGCCTTGTGAATTAAGGAAGGTAGAGAGGAGGAGGGGAAGACACAGATTTGAGAGAGATTAGAAGCTGGTAACAGTACTTGGTGAAGAACTTGGTATGAAAGAAGAGAGAGAGAGAGAGAGAGAGAGAGAGAGAAATGGCAGACGACTCCAAAGTTTCTAATTTGGGTAAAGGGTAGAAGGTGATTAATAGAAACAGGAAAAATTTTGAATGAAAAGCAAATATTGGAAGGAAAATTGGTTAATTAGGACATGTTGGGTTGTGAGCCTTCCTTACATGAGATGAAAGAGTAATGGAATCGTCTGATTTGGAGGTCATAAGGATTCACAGTTCTGTTCCTGGGGAAGCAATAATATGTATATATGTTTTAAAAAATCTTCTGTGGACAGAAATGTCTATGCCCGTCATTCTGACAAAGTGAGCTGGATTATTCAACAGTAAACAATTCCATTTTCAGTGGAAAAACAGAAGGAATGTGAGTCACTTCAGAATATTGTTTACCATTCTGAAGGAATGGATGAGGAATAAAAAGAGAGTGCCTCTCCTTCTAGAAATTTCCTTTCAGCTGGATCATGTCTTCAGGTGACCTTAAATTTCTGTTTCACTGAATGGAAATAATCAAAGTAAGATTTATCTCCAATAAGTCAAGGGGTAGGTCAAGGCAGTAGCTGAAATCACACACTTGTTGTGAGTATCCTGGTATAATGGATGGTCTTTTTTTCTTTTTGGTAGAAACAGGATCTCCCTGTGTTGCCCAGGCTGCTCTTGAACTCCTGGCCTCAAGTGAACCTCCTGCCTCGTCCTCCCAAAGTGCTGGGATGACAGTGTGAGCCACCGCACCCGGCCTATAACGGACAGTCTTGATTCGCCTTCGCAGCATTGAGCCTCCGCCTTTTGGTATCTCTTGGCCCCCAGTCCCTGCAGGGAGATCCTGCCTGAGAGAAAAGCGGTGGCAAACAGAGTGGAGAGCTGGAAAGAGAGCCAGGGAGTGGGAAGCAGATCCTGATGCCCACGCTCACCTGACATGAATGTGACCAAGCTCTGCTCTTGAACTTTTTGACTATCTGAGCCAATTAATTCCCTTTCCTACTATAGGTGATTTGAAGTGTAATTTCCAACACTTGTAACAACAACAGAAATCCTTACTAAAGCACTTAGGAGCATTAACCTTTAAAATGTGATCCTTGAACTTCAGTCCTTGGATTCTGTGTTTGTGGGTAGGTGGTGATACAGTAGATGGGTTAGTAGCTCTTATTCCAGCCCTCCCTAGAGTGCAGAAGTTGGAAAGTGGGAAACTACATTCCCACCCCCTTTGAAGCTGGGACTCTGGACAAGGTTTAGATTCTGCCAGTAAGATGAGCTTGTGCGAGACCTTGATTAGAAACAGGGTCACCTGGAGACAGCGAACCTCAGGTGAGATTTGATCTGGGATGGAGTTACACAGGAGAAGAGAAGAGTGGGGTGTGGGGCTCCCGTTTTGCCGGCAGAGATCCTGGTGGAGGCAGATCGCTTTTGCGCCAGTAGCTGGTGGTGGCTTTTGATTTGGAAGCTTCCTCGCTGGGCAGAGGCAGACCAGCTCTACTGTAGGGCTGCAGGCTCCCAACCGTTGTGTGAGCTATCTGTTCTCTGAGCAAAGCCCCCTCTACTTAAACTGCTGTACTGTATTGTGCAGTTTGTTACTAAGAGCCTTGAACAGTGATATGCAAAGTACATGTTTCTAGGGAAACAAACTGTGGACTTTGTCACATTTTCAACAAGTTTTTTCATCCAAAAAAACTGGTTGGGTTCAGGGATGGAAAGGGGTGGAAGGGCCACTGAAAAGGAGCATAAGATCCATGAGGGAGCCCTCACGGATGCTGAGGATAAATCAGCAGAACCAATTGTGAGAGAGGAGTGAAATGCTAAAAGTAGGCCACTGCACTTGGCAGATTCCGGAGCTCTCCAATTAGGATGCGGAGGGGCAGCATCCTAATTGCCGTGAATGATGGGAGAGTAGAGCGAGGACAGGAGATGTTTGAACAAAACATGTTCTGAAGCAAAGAAAAGAAAAGAATGAGAGATTGATTTTCTGGAAGAAGAAAAGTTGTTTTTTCCGCCCTCCCTTCCTCCCTTTCTTTCTTCTATTTTATTTTTATTTATTTTAGAGATAGGATCTCACTCTGTCATCCAGGCTGGAGTGTAGTGGCACAAACATAGCTCACTGCAGCCTCAGCTTCCTGGGCTCAAGAGACCCTCCCACTTCAGCCTCCTGAATAGCTAGGAGGCACACAGGCGTGTGCCACCATGCCCAGCAAATTTTTGTTTTTATTTTTTAGAGGCATGGTCTCACTATGTTTCCCAGCCTGGTCTAGAACTCCTGGGCTCAAAGCAATCCGCCTGCCTTGGCCTCCCAAAGTGCTGAGATTATGGGTGTGAACCACCACGCTGGGCCTTTTTCTTCTTCTGACAGTGAGAGACATATGTAAGTTCATGTGCTGAAGATCAAGAGCCATGCGGCAGGAGAGACTGAAGCTACACAAAGAAAAGGGAGTAACTGATAAAGCTAGGTGTAAGAGGAGGGCAGGCAGGCGGGGCAGGAGCAGAGGTGGCAGGCTTTCCTTGGACAGGACGCCTTTTCTGATATTGCAACAGTGGCGGAGGTGCAGATAGATGAGAAGTCAGAAGAGAGAAGCTGGGGGCTATGTCCCTGATGGCTTCTCTTTTCTCAGTGGCATAAGAGGCAGGCCATCTGTGGAGGGTGTGAGGACAAGGTCTGCCTGTAGCCTGGAGAAGGAATGCAGAGGCTGCTTTGGAGAACGGAACAGGGCACTGGGTTAGTCAGGACTTCCCAATAGCAGGTGACAGAAAACCCTGCTCAGACTGACTGAAACAAAGAGGGCAGTCACTGGTTCATGGAAAGGCCAAGGGCAGGGCTGGTTTCAGCGAGGTATGTATCTAGGAATTCAAACAGTGCTATCAGATCTTGGTTTCTTTTCCTCTCTGTTTCATTGGTTCCAATTCTCAGGGGCCACTGCTTAGTCCCTGGCTCATCCTCTTAGGATCCAGCACAAGGAAAGAAAAAGGAGGTTTCCTCCTGGAGGTCAAGTGCAAATTTTGGCATTGACCTGGATTCCACTGATTGGGGTCTTAATCTCATCTTCGAACCAATTTTCGTGGCCAGGGATTTGTCTGACTGTGATTGGTCAGCCTCTGGGACATGTGATCACCTCTGATCCAATCATTGCTGGGTGCTGAAGAGCCACATGTGGGTCACCTGTTCCATCCCTTAGCACAGGGCAGGAGCCACACTCAAATTAAATTTCCCCCAAGTGGAAAGAAGATGAGGAAATCCACATAGGACAAGCAAGAGCGATCAATGTGAACGACAGGCATCGCTTCAGGTCCAGGAGGGCTCACGTTCTTAAAGTGGAAAAGGGAAGCCAGAAAGTGGGAGGGACTTAAGGTGACTGCCAAAGTCTGAAACAGCACCGTGGGGACTGAGAAGAGATAGTTTACCCATGAATACAAGATTATAAGCACCACTCCACCCCTAGGTTAGATAGCACAAATACATAGATGAGTCAATCAGCACAATTCTGAGAGTGTTTTTTGTTTGTTTGTTTTGTTTTGTTTTTAAGCAGCACTTGGTAGCCAGCCCTACAGTGTGAAAGCAGAAATGTCCATAGACATATACCTAATGTAGACAGAGTTATAACTAGAATGGAAAGTGCTCTAAATCAGTCACAATGTACTGATTTGTGGGAAATTCCTGGGGCATGCACAGATCATGCAAGTTGACAAGTTATGGCTAGGGAGCAAGTGTGGGTCTTCAGCTTCTCCTATAGGTGAATTTACTCTTGGGAAAAACTCAGCGGGATAAACACGGTGCATTGCTGTGAGGACTGTGAGTTGTGTTGTGTGCCTTCTTGGATTTGATGTACTCATGTTAATCACATGTAACTAAGCCAGTACTTAAAATAGATGGGCCACCAGTGAATTAGCATGTGATTTGCACAAAATCTGCTTTCAGTTTTAATTTTATGTTGCTCCCCTTAGGGTATTCTTAATAGAAGCAATAATCTTTTTTGATTCCTGATTCCCTCCCTACCCCCAGTCTCAGTTTTTCTCATTCACTCTTTATAGTAATCAAAATATTTTCCACAAATCTACAGTTGAGTCAGAAAAAACGTTGAGCCTGATGGTGAGATGGGACAGTAAGGGCTCCAATAATCCCTATAGGACAACTTTTGAGAATATGACCTTCAAATACAGAGATGGAGTTAATTATGTATCACAGGAATTTAAAAGCAAGAGATTTGCTTATATATTTTAAGCAAATATTTGTATATTTTCCAAGTAATATAGGTTGCACCATTTTTCTTATAATAGAAATTTCACAACAACTTCCTAATACACCTCTTTGCTTCCAACTCTTCTGTGTATCTATTCTATGTGGCTGGGAGAGTCATCTTTCTCCAGAACAGCTCTGACAAGGCTTTGCCTTGATCAAACAGCCTTATTGCTTTGAGAATAAAGGTTGCATCTTTATGGTCTTCTAGATCCTTTAAAATCTGTCCTCTAACTTCCCTTTTATTATTTTAATTTTTCTTTTTTTTTTTTTTTTTTTTTTTTTTTGAGACGGAGTCTCGCTCTGTCGCCCAGGCTGGAGTGCAGTGGCGCAATCTCGGCTCACTGCAAGCTCCGCTTCCCGGGTTCACGCCATTCTCCTGCCTCAGCCTCCCGAGTAGCTGGGACTACAGGTGCCCGCCACCACGCCTGGCTAATTTTTTGTATTTTTAGTAGAGACGGGGTTTCACCGTGTTAGCCAGGATGGTCTCGATCTCCTGACCTCATGATCCACCCGCCTCTGCCTCCCAAAGTGCTGGGATTACAGGCGTGAGCCACCGCGCCCGGCCTTTAATTTTTTATATTTAAATATTAAATGTTCCAATACACTGAAAAGTTGACAGAAAGAATAAGAGACATCCAAGTGCCCACAACCAAGATTAGACTGTTAATTGGTTTGCCATATTTATTTCCTATTTTTGTTTAAAGAAAGTCTTACAGATAATCTTAGAGATGGGGGGAAAATCCCAACCAAGATGTTTGGTGGAGTTTCATATTAAAATATTTGATAGTTTTCCTAATCTCACACACCACTCAGCACAACACTCCTGATACAAGGTGTGTGGGGATTTTTTCCCAGACACCAAACAATTCTAGAGTGGACACCAGCTGGGTATCCTGTAATTCAATTCAACTCAGTTCTGACACTATCTCCTTGGAGATAGCCTCAGATGCCACAGGTTAAAGGCTCAGTTCCATAAGACTGCTGCCACCCTCCCCGCCCCCCCCACCCCCGTTTCAGATGCCAATCATAAGGCTCATCTGTGACCCGTGCTTCTGTACAAGCAGCTATAAATTGGGGTTCCCATGGCTCCTCCTCGTATTAGACTAATTTGGTAAAGTGGCTCACAGAACTTAGGAAATACTTTACTTACCATTGCCTATTTATTATGAAGGCTATTACAAAGGGTACACATGAACAGCCAGATGGAGAGATGCATAGGGTAAAGTATGGGAGAAGGGCCCTGAAGCTTCCATGCCCTTTCTTGGGGCACCATCCTCCAGGAACTTCCATGTGTTCTGCAACCCAGAAGCTGCCCAAACCCAGTCCTTTAGGGGTTTTTATGGAACTGTCATTATGTGGACATGACTGATTGACTCATTGGCCATTGGTGATCAACTTAACCTTTAGCCCCTCTCCCCTCCCTGGAGATTGGGGGATGGGGCTGAAAGTCTCAACCCTCTAATCATGCCTTGGTCTTTCCTTTGACCAGTCCCCACCCTGAAGCTATCTACAGGCCCTTAGCTACCAGTCATCTCATTAGCGTAGCGTACAAAAGACATTCTTTTTTTCTTTTTTTTTTTTTGAGACAGAGTTATCGCTTTTGTTGCCCAGGCTGGTGTGCAAGGGCAGGATCTTGGCTCACCACAACCTCCACCTCCCAGGTTCAAGTGATTCTCCTGCCTCAGCCTCCCGAGTAGCTGAGATTACAGGCATGTGCCACCACACCCAGCTAATTTTGTTTTTTTAGTAGAGACAGGATTTCTCCATGTTGGTCAGGTTGGTCTTGAACTCCCGACCTCAGGTGATCAGCCTGTCTCGGCCTCCCAAAGTGCTGGGATTACAGGCATGAGCCACCACGCCCGGCCAAAAGCCACTCTTGTCACTGGAAATTCCAAAGGTTTTAGGAGCTTTTATCAGGAAGTAGGGACCAAGTATATATTTCATAATATCACAGATCTGGTGGAGGGTCTCTGCGGCTCTCCATCCCCATCTGGCATTCACAATGTGGCTGCCACCAGATTCCTCTCTTTGCTGCCCTAGAGAGAATCGCTGTCCTGAAGTTATGTATCCTTTTTATCCATGTTTATATATTTTTGTTAATCATATGTGGATGTGTACATATGTAAAAATATGTATATATTTTTGTTATATAATCTCCTTCACTGACCTATTTTCTTACTGTTATAATTTTTGCAAAGGTGGTTTCACTTTTTATTTAATGTTTTTGAGATTTATCTATACAGGTCTAATTTATTTATTTTAACCTGCCATATTATATCCCAATGTATGGATATTTCAAAATTTATAGAGCTATTCTCGCTCTCTCTATTTTTTTTTTTTTTTTTGAGCCAGGATCTTGCTCTACTGCCCAGGCTGGAGTGCAGTGGCATTATCACGGCTCACTGCAGCCTCAACCTCCCAAGGCTCAGGTGATGCTCCTGCCTCAGCCCCGCTGGTAGCTAGGACTATGCACCACCATGCTCAGCTAATTTTTATATATTTTTAAATTAGAGATGGGGTTTTGTCATATTGTGCATGCTGGGAGCCATTCTTCTACTGATGAAAATCTAGTCTGTAATAAAACAATGCTGTACAAACGTCTTTATGCATGTTTCCTTACGCCTGTAATATGAGTTTCTTTCGGGTAGTGTTTTTTCAAAACTGTGTTCTATTTACATATTTCAAAAATGATATAGATAAGCGCAGAAAGTAATGAAACAGAAAACAAAATTTACTGTTATTTAACAAATCCTTTGAGAACTTGCTGTCATGAGACACAATAGAAAATTTTCCAAGTCTCACAGTCAAGAAATGCTCTACTTCTGAAAAATTTTGTTTTCTGTGAACCTTGCGATAATTGGGGTGCACTTTTTGCTTTGGCTGCTAAGAAGCTTGGCACCAAATTTGTAGCTCACTCTGGGAACCGTAGCTCTGCATGGCTTGAATTTTGTGTGATAGTCTCTCCCTGGCTTAATTCTTTGTCATCTCAACTATTCTTATGTGTGTGCATTTTATGTATGTGTGTGTGCTTCCTAGAATCATTTGTGGAGTACAGCATAAGTGTATCAGTGAGTAAATAAACAGATTAGTACAGCAAGACTACACAGGGTAGAATGGGCAGATCAAATAAGCTGTACCCATTACAGAATTCTGCCTTTAAATTAATTTCTGTCAGGACACATTTCTCTTTCATAAATAATGTAGTTTATAATTTTATAACTTTGGCATTTCTCCCAGGGAACTAAGCCCAACCCCATACTATATAACCATTTCAAAGATTAGATTGTCATGCTTTCTTGTCTTGATCAGAGTGTTAATATGTAAATCAAAAGGACAATTTATGAGCTTGCTAATATTCAGTGGTTAGAGGCAGGAACAACAAAAGCTGGAAAACTCTAACATTATCTAAAAGAAATCCATTAGTCAATGGCTCCTTCTCTTTGGAAAAAAAAAAAAAGATTAGACTTGTGAACGCCGTAATCTGCCTGCAAAAAGATTATATGTAAATCATATGCAAATTATCTCCACTGTGCTGACAGTGACTAAAAGCATTTATTGTATCTCACATGTTCGGCTCACAAGAAATATGGTGAGTAACTCATTCTTTAAGAGTACAGTATTTTGGGATCTAAGCCATTCTCTGGCCTCAAATGAACAGGACTTTACGCATCTTGCCGTGATGAACCTTTACGGTTACGTATTGGGGTCTTTTTCCTCCTCATTTTAATTACATCTTCTGATATTCAGCCACTTCATTTCATTATAAATGTCATATTTTTTCCTTCATTATGATGGAAGCTATAGATCCTACAATAATGTAAAAGGTATTTTAAGTGCCTGCTTTTTTCTCTGTGCCCCACTGTTCTGCCTTGGCTCTATTTGTACACACAGATTGGCTTGGAAGTTGTTAATGACTTGGCAGGTCAAAATAGTTTCTGGCAAAAAATAATAATAATAGTAATAATTTAAAGAAACAACCAGTCACACCAGAAATTTTTTGTCTCGACTGACCTAACCAGTCATGACAATTGCTGTCATTTTCTGGTTTAATGAACAGTGAAGTAAAAATTAAATGAATGTAAAAGCCCTACTTAAATTATTTTAACGTGGATGGTTTTCTTACCCCTCCCAAGGCTGATTTTGCTCAGTTGGATTCTATCTTAGGTGTTTTCAAAGTGCACTGGTTGTGGACAAATTGGCTCATTGGGTGAATAGGGTTTGAAGGTTGTTGAGTCTTTAAGTGCTGGTTTGTTTGTTTAAATTTCCAGCTGAATCTTGTGCCACATCCTAGAATGATTTTTTTTTCTTTGTTTGTTGCCTGAATAACATTAGAGGAAGATTAAAAATACAAGAAAAATCATCTGAGATCTTACCCTCTTGATAACAATTCTTATTGTCCTTTTCAAAGGATTTGTCCACAAATGTATTTTTTACATGGTTACCTCCAACCGCTTATTCCCCTACTTAAGAAAAAAATGTTCTTGTATTATATATTCTGGACACAGATGAAACCAAATGATCCGTTTGGTCTACTTCAGGGTTTTCCACCTCAGCACTGTCAGCCCGCGGGGCTGCATGGTTTTTGCTGTGGGGCCGTCCTGTTCATCGCAGGATGATCTGCGGCACTCCTGGCCTCTGCCCACCAATGCCAGTAGCACCCTTACTCCGGCTGTGATGGCCAAAAATGTCTACCAACATTGCCAAATGTCTCCTGGGGGTGGGAGAAGTGGCAAAATTGCCCCAGTTGAGGACCACTGGTCTATTTTTTTCTTATCTGAGGAAAATAAATAATAAGAATGAAATCCCATGGTCTAGGCAGGAAGGCAGAATGTGGGTCCAAGTGGCAAGGCAGCTGGCCCCTGAGGTCAGCATCCCAGCCTCCTTGGGCCGATGCTTACCATGAAGCCAGCCGCGTGGGCTCAGAAACGCCAGACCCAGCTCTGCCAACGTTAGAAACAAATCACAACTCTCTGCTGGGAATGTGTGTTGTGCCAGGCTCTGGGTCTTAACCATAATCTTCTGAGGAAGATAATATTATCTGTGTTCTGTAGATGGGGAAATTGAGGCCCAGAGAGGGTAAGTAACTTATGCACCATTAAGTGGGGAAATCCCAGATTCAAATTCCGAGCTGCAGGATGGTAAAGCTTATATTCTACCTCCTATCACTACGCAGAGATGGGTGATGTGTGATCCAGGCCCCCGGGTGGAAGCAGGGTAGGGCCCTGCGGAGGTAAGCTGCCCACCCATTTCTGGGAAGGAAGAAGTCTAGAAGGTTTCTATTATGCCAGGAAACCATGCCTTTTGTTCAATTCCTGAAAGGATGTCAAGGGCTTTGTACTCTGGTTCGCTTCATTTCATGGCTGATGAAGGAGTGGAGGTGGGCATCTCCGATATTCTTGTTAAACTGCACCAAGGTAAGTTGAGACAGTAACATCTTTCATCTGCATAAGGCCCAGGAGAAACACATGTGGAGGATGGAGAAGGATAAAGCCTTGGAGTCAGAAGTTCTTAAATCCCCCTGGCTGTGCAAACTGGAGCATCCCAGAGAAACAGTAAAGGAATGAAACTTGACATTGTTCACACTGGGGTTGACTTGTCTTGTTTCCTTCCCCAAGGACAGGGGAGAGGAGAACCCCTGAGAGAGATGATTAGGCCAAAGTTGTGGAGCTTCAGAACCACACCAGCTGTCAGGCCAGGCAGGCATTTGCTGACCCCAGCCCTGTGTTTTTCAGTATGGGGTTTGAAGCTGAAGGTGTGGACTGGACTGCTCAGAGCATCAAGCAAGATATTTAGATTCTGTCTTGTGGGGAGATAAGGAGAAGGTGTGCGGTTGACAGGCAAGGAACATGTTGGAAGAGAGAAGTAGGTGTTTAATGGGGAATTTTGTTGTTTCCACTGTGGGTTAGGTGTTGTGAGTCCTCTCTATGGAATCCTCATGAAATCTTGAATAAAGTATGGATTTCCCATCATTGCATCATGGAGTTGGTTAGCCACAGATGGGAGTTGGGTCCAGATGCTGAGCCTGCTCAGGGTGGGCACAGGAGAAAACAGAGGCTGCTCATGTGGGGTTGTTTTGATGATCACAAGAGTGGGAACAGAGTCACCAGGGGCTTCCTAAGCACCAGACACTCCAGGCTCACCAGCAACCAGTCCTCATCACAACTTATGAGGTAGGTGACTGCTTCCGCCATGTTACAGTTACGGGAATTGAAGCTTAGAGAAGTTACGCAACTTTCCCAAGATCAAGCGGGTAGTAAGTAGCAGAGCAGAGATTGAAGTCCATCTGTGATGGGCTGTAAGCTGGCACTCTGACCTACTCCATCAAACTGCCTACTGAGAAAGGGCAGACTCTCAAATATCTCTGTTCTTAGGTTTCTTCGCTGGACAGAAGTGAATACTCTATTGAGGTAGAGGAGTGAGGGTCCTCACAGGGGGTCCACACCAGCCGGGTCCTATCAGCCTCACTTTGTGGGAGATAGGGCAGGTTTTGGGAGAGACAGGCATTGCCACCATCCACCCACGTCTCATGGAGTTTCTTGTTGCAATTTCTTTGTTGTTGTTTTTTTTTTTTTTTTTTTTGAGACGGAGTCTCGCTCTGTCCCCAGGCTGGAGTGCAGTGGCGTGGTCTCGGCTCACTGCAAGCTCTGCCTCCTGGGTTCATGCCATTCTCCTGCCTCAGTCTCCTGAGTAGCTGGGACTACAGGTGCCTGCCACCACGCCCGGCTAATTTTTTGTATTTTTAGTAGAGATGGGGTTTCACTGTGTTAGCCAGGATGGTCTTGATCTCCTGACCTCGTGATCCACCCGCCTCGGCCTCCCAAAGTGCTGGGATCACAGGCGCCTTGTTGCAATTTCTGTAGTGCCTTCTCAGCCTCTCTACTCCAAGGTCCCAGCAAACACATAATTGTGCTCAGGCCTGATAATCTCAGGGAGGTATGTAATTCTTTCAAAGAGAAAAAAGCAGGGTTTAGTGACTGCCTCCAGGGGTCATCTGTCTGGGAGCTACTACGTCAGCAAGCCCGTCACTTTAGCCCATCCCCAGCCTTGTGGCCAGTCTTGCCTTTGCTGCCCATGCCTTGGTGTGCAAAGGGACTTCTCCAGCAGCTGATTTTGTTCTCTGAGAGCTGTGGGTGGCATATGGTCGAATATCAACCATTGGCACCAAGGAAAAGCTAGTAAGGATGCTGCCATGCTTGGAAGAGATCAGAAGTCAGTGATGTCCCTGTCAGCTACTATTTGGAGGCTGAAAGGAATATATCGAGGTGAAGCAAAGAAGAATCAGGCACTCTTTCCTAGTTGGGCTTGGGGACACAGGATCAGGGACAGAAGCAGTGCATAGGGCCGGGCCATGAACCTGGTAGACCAGAGTCAAACTGGAGAAGCCAAGTGCAGCAAGCTGGGGAGCACTTGTCAAATGTCAGGAGGCTCAGAGCCCACAGAACTGTGACCATGCTCACCACCTAACTGGAGCACTGGTGACATATGGACTCCAACAAAGAAAGCTCACGAAGAAGATCAATGAAAACCTTTTTGAATTCTGAGAGGGAGAGAGTCTTCATATTCATTTGTGTGTGTGTGTGTGTGTGTGTGTGTGTATCTGCAGACTATATAGATATTAGAAGACTAGACCTGGTGCGGTGACTAGGCCAGGCACAGTGGCTCACGCCTATAATCCCAGCTCTTTGGGAGGCCAAGGCAGGTGGATCACCTGAGGTCAGGAGATTGAGACCAGCCTGGCAAGCATGGTGAAACCCCGTCTCTGCTAAAAATACAAAAATTAGCCGGGCATGGTGGTGCGTACCTGTAATCCCAGCTGCTCGGGGGGCTGAGGCAGGAGAATTTCTTGGGCCCGGGAGGTGGAATTTGCAGTGAGCCGAGATCGCACCATTGCACTTCAGCCTGGGTGACAAGAGTGAGACTCTGTCTCAAAAAAAAAAAAAAAAAAAAGGGCTATACCTGTATATAATCTTATATGTGGCTATCACTTTTCTAGGTGCTTGGGATAGAACAATGAATAATGTAAACAAAACACCCTGCTCATATGGAAATTCCATTACATCTACAGATCTACATTACATCTACAAGTATATGTATGTGTATGAATGTGCATATGTATGTATTTGTCAAATCATGTCCACTTGAACCCATACTGTGGCTAAAAAAGTATTAATAAACTGCTATTCTTTCTTTAAAGAATAGATGACAAATATGAAATCTAGAACATTTTCATTAGCTTTGCAAATTATGTTGCAAAACACAAAAACACTTTATTCTTGTAATTAGATCAGATATTCTCTACTATTATTTTGTTTATACCACTAATTAATTTAACAACATTTTTATGAAGAGCTTATGTTGGGGAAGGTAAATGTCAGTTCATTATCTGCTCCAATGCTCGTGACTTAGACATTAGTTTTGAATAACAAGTTTTACTATAGTCATTTTCAGCAGAATTTGCCAAGTTCGAACTAGAGTTTATTGAAAGTACCATGGTAAGGTGGGTGGATCACTTGAGGTCAGGAGTTCAAGACCAGCTTGGCCGACATGGTGAAACCCCATCTCTACTAAAAACACAGAGATTGGCCCAGTGTGGTGGTGGGCGCCTGTAATCCCAGCTGCCCGGGAGGCTGAGGTGAAAGAGTTGCTTGAACCCGGGAGGCAGAGGTTGCAGTGAACTGAGATCGCGCCGTTGCACTACAGCCTGGGCAACAGGGCAAGACCCTCTCTCAAAAATAAAAATAAAAATACAGAAAGTACCATGGATTACCTTAAGGTATTGACAGTCTTTAAACAGGATAAAATATGTACAGAAATGACCCATCCACTCAGGCAGAACTTTCTCATGGGTGTTAATCTATTTTCCTATTTCAAAACTTGGGAAATCATCCACTGCAGTTGAAAATAAAAACTGTGTGTCATTTAACAGCAAAACTTCTTTATTCCTATCTTTTTGTTGTTGTTGTTGTTATTTTTGACTTGGAGTCTTGCTCTATCACCCAGGCTGCAATGCAATGGCGCAATCTCTACTCACTGCAACCTCCGCCTTCCAGATTCAAGCGATTCTCCTGCCTCAGCCTCCCAAGTACCTGAGGTTACAGGCATGTGCCACCACGCCTGGCTAATTTTTGTATTTTTTGTAGAGGTAGGGTTTCACTATGCTGACCAGACTGGTCTCTAACTCCCGACCTCAAGTGATCCACCCGCTTCGGCCTCTCAAAATGCTGGGATTACAGGCATGAGCCATCGCGCCCGGCTTTTATTCCTATCTTGTTTCCAAGAAGCAACAGCGCTGGGCTATACTAATCCATTACTATAATATACTGCATTTTTCAAGACCCTTTGCAAATCTCACTAACGGGTTTAATGAACCAGAACTTGATCGTGCAGATATTACCAATCAGCCAGATCTTGCTCTAAAATTGCCAGTGGGACAGGTAATAAACTTGTATGGAAATGTCTGCTGGGGGGCCTTCAGCAAGCTCCCTGGGCTTGAGTGTTGTTTTTTGCCCTCAGCAAGATTTGCTGGTGCAGCAATGGTGCATCCCCTGTTTTTATGCCCAAAAAGCAGCATTGTGTAAGTTCAGCCTCCGTGCTGTTGGCAATTTTCACAAATTGTTTACAGTGCTCTAATTTTTACACTCTCTTTAAAGGATCTTTGTGTATGCTGATTGCAGAAGGTAATATTTCTGGCATCAGTAACCATGGTAATGAATCATTCTCCTCTCCGAATTGGTGCCAGCTGCACTAGTGTCTAGATAGTAGCACCCTGGTGTTTTGCTAATGAGCGACTTTTCATTTGCTGTAGGAGGACATTTCTACTTCACATCTTTGCTTGTGTCTTGTTAAAGGCTCTTCCTTGAGACCAACATCTGAAAAAATAAATGCCATTTGGTAAAATCTTAATCTCAAAAGAAAAACATTCCTAGTTCCATAAAGCAGAGCAGGCTGAATGAAATCCTTTGAAGATTCTATGGGGAGGCCATTCCCCTGCCTGCCGCGGTCCCTTTCCTATGCCCCCAGGATCGATCTTGTCTCTTTCAGTAACGCGCAGAGAGCTTGCCATCAGCATTCTCCTTTGACTGCTAGGGAAAGGAGTTTCAATATTTTAAAGATTTATGGTATGAATAATTTAAGAGAAATAAAGAAAGCTTCTAAACTCTCTTTGAATTATGTAATGGGAGCTTTGAAATATGTTAGCATTTTGCCTTATCAGATTTAATTTTTTTGTGTGGGAAGGCTGAAGTGGAAATGTAAGCCACTGCTGCCCTTTATCCCTTGCTAATGATGAGACCAGGAGAGACAGAGGGCTCCTTACCCTCGCAGGAGATAAGGGCCTGCAGTGACGGATGTTCTTTCCAGCTGTGCGCTATTTCCACAAACAATTGGCAGGAGACCCTCCGCCGCTTTTTAAACATTTGAATCTCAAACCACTGCTACTTCCAGCCTGGGTGGCATTTAAAAGAGAGTGAAGGGAAATTGATATCCAGAATCACTGCGGAGTTTTCTTTTTTCCTAGTCATTTTGATACGGACCCCCGATCATATGACTTTCTGGTGTGGCCACTGACTTTTATGCCAAACACTGACTGGCAGTCACAGGTCATCAGGACATTCACAACATGGCGACATTCACAACAAGGCAAATGTATGGTGCTTTCCGTGCGGGCTTACACACTTCACATGTGTTCACTTACCTTATTCTTACAATGACTCTGTGATGTCGCTATTATTATTTCTATTTTAAAAATGAGAAAACTAAGATCCAGAAAGGTTAGGTAACTGGTCCAAGGCTACCTAGGTGGTAAATTCAGGGCCAGCATTCATATCCAGGAGGGCTAAGTAAAGAGATTCATTTTTCTCCTTCCAGAAATGATAATCTGAGTCTGATTTTCCCCTTGAATATTTCCCAGTAGATAAAAGGATCACGAGAATATAAAATATACTTACATGATTCTCTCAAAGTGGACTAAAATAATCACTGCCATTAAATGGAGATTTGTTTTTTGAACCTAGTTACTTGTAGCCAAAAATAGTAAATCTTTCATTGTCACGGCTGTATTCCAGAGTTGAATTGACAAGTGCAAAATATGGAGGCTTTGGTTTTTTCAACAGTCAGTCACAGTCAGCGGCCTTATTGCTTCTGTCCTTTAAGAGAGCACAACTATATGCTCTTAAAAAGTGAATTTTAGTGTTGCGTTGATGAGTCACAAATGCTTACACTTCTGAGAAGCAGAGCACAGGGAAGAACATCTTTATTGGCACCAGTAAGGGTGGGGAACAGAACAGCCTTCCTGGCAATGGAGCATTTTTGCACACATTTATCCCACATCAGAACCTGCGAATGTCTTGGAAGGGATCCATTAATATAAATTCAAAAGGACAGATGGTGAATGAAGGTGAGAGAATGCTACTGTAGAAAAGGAGATGAATTCACTTATTAAGAAATCAGCTACTTGATATAACATGGCAAGTTTCCACGGAATACTACAATTTTCAATGAGAAATGGGATTTCCCGACAGCTTGCTTTGAAGGAAAGATTTGTCCTTGGATCACCATGAACCACAATGATTGTACAAAAGCCTTCTTCATCGAGTCTAGGATACTCAGGCTAACTCCCCTGTTCTCACTTCCACAGTCATTCCTCTGGGGCATTGCTTCCCACCTGCTCTGCATTTTGCTCCTCCTCAAGAACACACAATGTGATAAGCATGGATCAGCAATCCAGCTGATTATTTCAGGCACAGTGCTGGGTTCAGGGGGACACTCATGACTAGAAGACATGCATTCTTTATTTTTTGTTTTTTTTTTTTTGAGGCGGAGTTTCACTCTAGTTGCCCAGGCTGGAGCGCAATGGTTTGATCTTGGCTCACCACAACCTCCGCCTCCTGGGTTCAAGCGATTCTCCTGCCTCAGCCTCCTGAGTAGCTAGGATTACAGGAATGCTCCACCACGCCTGGCTAATTTTGTGTTTTTAGTAGAGACAGAATTTCTCCATGTTGGTCAGGCTGGTCTCGAACTCCTGACCTCAGGTGATCCGCTCGCCTTAGTCTCCCAAAGTGCTAGGATTACAGACGTGAGCCACCGTGCCCGGCCGAAGACATGCATTCTTGTGGAGCTGATAGTTTATAGGAGGAGACACATGGGAGAAAGACATCATTTTGTGATGGAGGCAGAGTGTGAACAAATGTAGCTGCCAGCAATAAGACCTCAGAATGTGGTGGGTACTGTGGCAAGCCAGAGAGAGCAAATGGGATTATATAGATTTTTGTGTAAAAATTTCTGATTTTTAAAACACCTACAGTGAAGCAAAACACACCGTAGGCTGAATTCAGCCCCTGGGCTGCCAGTTTGCATGCTCTAGTGAAAGGTGACAGGACAGGAGACCAGAGGAGGGGACAGCCTAGGACACACCTGTCTCTGCCTCTTATTTCTGTTTAGGACTGTAGAGTTAGGATAATAAAATCAAATAAACAAACCAAAGCTGACACTCTAAGCATCTTAGTTCCTTTG
The DNA here is from genome assembly GCF_000001405.40 of Homo sapiens. NCBI lineage: Eukaryota > Metazoa > Chordata > Mammalia > Primates > Hominidae > Homo > Homo sapiens. The sequence continues at coordinate 25,134,944 of NC_000013.11, read as the reverse complement.
TGCTGCATGGACTGGGTAATTTATATAAAAAAGAAATTAATTAATTAATTTTAAAATTATTATTATTATTATTATTTAAGACAGGGTCTTGCTCTGTCCCCCAGGCTGGAGTGAGAAATTTATTTTGTTCTGTGGTTTTAATGCATCCCTTAAAGTTGATGTGTTGGAAACTTAATCCCCAATGCAACAGTGTTGAGAGGTGAGACCTCTAAGAGGTGATTAGGTAATGAGGGCTCCACCTTCATGAATGGATTAATGTTGTTATTGTGGGAGTGAGCTTCTGAAAAAAGGGTAAGTTTGACCTCCTCTCCTCTGTCTTTTGCCTTCACTTACCCTCTCGCCTTCCACCATGGGTTGACACATAGCATGAGGGCTCTTGCCAGATGTGAGACACTTGAACTTGGACTTCCCAGCCTCCAGATCTATAAGAAATAAACCTCTTTTGTTTAGAAATTATCCAGTCTCTGTTATTTTGTTATAGCAACACAAAATGGACTAAGACATTTGGCTTATGATTCTGGAGACTGGGAAGTCCAAGGGCATGGTGCTGACATCTGCTCAGCATCTGGTGAGGGCCTTCTTTGCATCTTTGTAACATGGCAGAAGGAATTGCATGACAAGAGAGCAAGTGAGAGACTGAACTTGTAGCCTCAAGTCCCATTGTAACTGGCATGAATCCATCCATGAGAGTGTAGCCCTTACACCCTAAACACCTCCCATTAGGCCCCACCTCCCAACACTGTTGCATTGGAGATTAAGCTTCTAACACATGCTTTCTTGGGGGACATATTCAAACCATAGCACCAAGGAAAACAAAAAGAACTAAATGCAAATACAAACAGATTAAGATCCTGCAAGGCACAAGAGCATGGTGATAAAGGATGGCACTGCCTGGGTTTGAATCCTGGTCTGGTACTTGCTAGCTGTGTGGGCTTTTAGGGGAAGCCACTTCACGTCAGTGCCTCGATTTTCTCATCTGTGGAATGAAGAGACTATTCATAACCCCCTTATGGGTTGTGAAGATTGAATGAGTTGATACAGGTAAAGTGCTTGGAAGAGTGTCTGGCACCATCAAAGTCTTAGCTACTATTGGTTTTATTAAGGCAGATGATTTCAGGTTGTAAGGAGAGGTCCCAGAAAAAGCAGTGAGCAGTTTATTCAGTACAAGATGTGCTCATGCCCTGGGCAGTCCTCTGTAGCAGCACCCTCTTGAGCTTCTTTGCATTGTGCCTACTCTGTCTCCTCCGACTCTTGTCTCCATCCTAGGCTGTATCTTTTTTCCAGGTCTAGACTTCTGAGATAGGCTGTAAGGTGTACCTTCTTTCCAGTTGTAGATCAGCACTTCTGAAACTGTTATGTGCTTATGAACCATCTGGAGATTTTACTGAATGCATATCCTAATTCTGGAAATCTGGGGTGTAACCTGAGATTCAACACTTCTAACAAGCACCTAGTTCTTGCCAACTTTGAGGAACCAGGAGCCAAAAAACCTGCTGCCTCGACATCTTCTTCCAAAGTAAGTTTTACACCAAATATTGCTTCTAGAGTCTTCATTCTCCTTCAGCACCTGAGGTCCAGTCCATATACGGTCCCCTCCCACTTCACAGCTCACTCGCATGGCAGTGATGAAAGATGGACCCTGCACCTACAAAATATTCTGGCCCATGATATCAGCTCCATCTGTCTGCTCAGCTTCTCTATGACTCAGGAACACACCTCCTCCCATGGGAGTGTTCTGGTAAGCATCTAATATGAACAGAGTTTTCAAAATTGTTTTCTAATTTCACAACACTATAGATACACTGTGAGGGGAGCAGTTTTTCCCCAGAATAAACACAACAAACAGAACCTTCTGTTGCAGCCTATTTTACTTGCCTGTTGACTCCTCTGTCTTTCTTTTGAGAAAATGATCTCGGAAAGGCCAGGATGTCGTGTTCACTGTTGGACTCCCGCCACCCCTCTCTGCTAGACCCCTGCATGTAGTCTATAATATATGAGGAGGAAGTGAATGCATTTACACACTGTGTGAGTGATTTGGCCACATTCCACACCACACTTTTGTTCCAAAATGCCCAAGTCACAGATAGCTCATTAATGTATGAGGATGCCACAGTTCTCTTGGCTCAGATGTCCCCCAAAACCTGGGAAAATGGAACCAAAGGGCCTTTCTTTATGTTGGCACCAATTAACTGGCTTATAAGCATCCCAGCTGCAGAGTAGCAGAAGAAAGTATTCTTAAAAGAAAGAATAACCTAAAGTTGGAAAAATGACAATAGCTGGAAGCATGATAGAGTTATACAGTCTTTCCAAGTTGCCATGTAAGTAGTCCCTGGTGCCATTTATACTTTGTATTTGGCCACCCTTAGAGGCCACCCTCAGTGGAGTTTTGCTCTGTCCTTAACCTGGCCCACACAGCCCCAAGAGTTAGCTATCACACCACTGACTCTCTTGTATCTGTATCACTTATTTATTCATTGATTCACATTCATTTCATCCTGCTCACTGGCTGACAGGCCAGAACAGAAGGAACAGTACAGCTTATTTGAGTTAGAACAAGAGGAAAGGATGGGAATTCAATAAAGCACAGATGATGTGTGTGTGTTGGGTGTCGGGGAGTTTGGGAAGGACAGAACTGAGGTCTGTATAAACCCCACTCCCCAGCCAGCCCTTGGGGCTGGTGCCTCTGAAAGACCAGCGTGTAGGTGTAGCCCTTTGTCATGTATTAAGGGACTGTTAACGGAGGGTATCAACAAAGGGTCAGAGACAGCTTTAGACAGGGAGTGCAGGAGCAGTGAAGCCAGGAATAAAAGCATCACCAACAAAAGTTGGACCAAGTCCCAGGGCCTGGGTAAAGTCTCACAGGACTCAGTATGGCTATGATGTCCCAAATCTGTCACAAACCTATGCTACTGACAGCTCTGCATCTGTGAGTGATTTTCGTGACAAGATTGACAGTGCAGGGGCTTGAAGAGAATCTGTTGCAAATGAAATGCAACTGGATTAAGACTGACTGACAAAGATCGTATAAAACCCAAAACTCGAGGAGGCCTTGGACTTTGGGGGGAAAATGGAGAGAAAAAAAACACATAAAGATGGTGAAGGTTAGAATGCAGAGTGTGACCCAGAAATCATAAAAGACTCTGTGCCCAATATACTACATACCTAGCAAAGAATCTGGACTATTTTAGTGGGGGATACAAAAGGTTTTGTGGGGAATAATAGAAGTCTTATTCACAGAACATTCTGCAGTTGTATAGTATCTTAAGTTTACAACACTATTTTATATAGATTGTCTTTTTTTCTGCTCACTGAGACCTCAGGAGAAACACAGGAAAAAAATTATTCTAAGTTAACTCATGAGAAATCAAAGTTTTTCTCACATTATAATACATAGATCATCCACATCAGAAGCATTTATTTAAAAATTGGGTTTCTGATCTCTGCTCCTGGAACAGGAAGTAAGAACTTCTAGGATGAAGCTCAGAAATTTGCTTTTTAAAAAATCTTACTCTTTATTTTTATCTCTAGTGAGGTATAATTAACAAATAAAAAGTATAACTTAAGGTACACAATGTAATGTTTTGATATACATCTACATGGTGAAATAATCACCACAAAGAAACTTGCATTTTTAACAAACTCCTCAGGAGACTTATAAAGGCATTCAAGTTTGAGAATATGGGCCCTAGAGATTAAAGAAATTGCCCAGATTCACACCCTCCCCCACTCACTCTCACACTTACTCACACTCACGTGTGGAGCTAAGACTGGAATTCAGCTCTTCTAGTCTAGTGTCCTTCCCACGAAAACCCTGTCCCACTAAGTTGACATGGTTACCCATCACCAACAAGTCTGTACCACGGAGTTTCTAAGATGCTTATCAGGAACTCAGATTCTATCATTTTCTTTTCTTTTTTTTCCTTCCTTCCTTCCTTCCTTCCTTCCTTCCTTCCTTCCTTCCTTCCTTCCTTCCTTCCTCCCTCCCTCCCTCCCTCTCTCTCTGTTTCACTCTTTCTCTCTTTCTTTCTTTCTTTTTTGTGACAGGGTCTCGTGCTTTCACCCAGACTGGAGTGCAGTGTCAAGATCATAGCTCACTGCAACCTCGAATGCCTCAGCCTCCTGAGTGGCTGGGATTACAGATGTGCACCACTACGCCTGGCTAACTTTTGTATTTTCTGTAGAGATGGGGTCTTGCCATGTTGCCCAGGTTGTTCTGAAACTCCTTATCTGAAGTGATCCTCCAGCCTTGGCCTCCCGAAGTGTTGGGATTATAGGCGTGAGACACCACACCTGGCCTAAATTCTCTCATTTTCTTTGGGGAGCAGGATTCAGATGATTTTTTTACTCATATGTAAAAGGTGAGTATCTCCTAATACAAATCTGTTTATTCGGGATGCTCCTTGTGGACTTTGTCATTTGATGCCTCAGAACCTGCTCACCTGTTGTCTTTCACCTCAGAGTGAAAGGGCCTGGCCTAACATAGATGTTAAGCTATAAGTTTGTGGTGAAACTCTTGTTTTCCTTATGAAAACTGTGTATTTATTATAAGTTGGGATGAAGGTCCGTCTCACTGGGGATGTTCCATGTTTTTGTGTAGGAAGTATCATAATGCAAGCCCCATAGCTCCCTGGATTTCTAATAGGTGACTTAGGAAGCAGCAGCCTAGCCTTCGCTCTTCCCTTATCCAACTTGTTCCAAATTATTATGTCAGTAGTGCCTGTGTATCTCAGATTTGTTCCCCAAATTGACCCCAACTTTTTTTTTTTTTTGAGACAGAGTCTCACTCTGTTGCCAAGGCTGGGGTGCAGTGGTGTGATCTTGGCTCACAGCAACCTCCGCCTCCCTGGTTCAAGTGATTCTTCTGCCTCTGCCTCCTGAGTAGCTGGGATTACAGGTGTGTGCCACCATGCCTGGCTAATTTTTGTATTTTTAGTAGAGACAGGGTTTCACCATGTTGGCCAGGCTGGTCTCGAACTCCTGACCTCGTGATCTCCCCACTTCAGCCTCCCAAAGTGCTGGGATTACAGATGTGAGCCACCATGCCACCTGGCCAACCCCAACTTTTTATTCCATGTAATTACCTGATCACCTCTCACAAGGACAGTAGCCTTTTAGCTAGACTCACCACCACCAGAATTTCTAGAATTTCTGCTGTAGAAATTTCTTGAATTTCTGCTCCTTTACATTGCTATCCAAACAGTTTTTCTAAAAATAAATCCTAATTGCGCCATTTTCTTTAAAAACTGTAGTTGATGTCTAGCTTTTATAGAACAAGTCCACATTTCTCACTAAAATCTTAACCTTTTAAATATCACTTTCCACTTCTCCCCATCTCATATTTTATGTCTCATTATAGCAAACTTCTCACCAAGGTATAAACTAGCCCTCACAGCGCCTCACAGCCCTGCACATGCTATTCGTGTGACCTGGAAATGCCTGTCCTGCCATTATTCAGCTGCCGTTTGTCTTCCAGGAAGCCTTCCTGAACTAGACTGCAAATCATCTCTCCAACCTCTTGGACCCCGAGCATGTAAATTCTACTTGGTTAATTTGCCAATGCTTTTAATCTGTGATACATGCTCATTTAATCTTTTATTCACAGATACTTATTCAGAATCTACAGTGTGCAAGCAGTGCCTGTGTTTTGATTACAATCCCTTCCATGAAAATATTAATAAAACCAGACATTGCCTCAACTCCACAAATGCAGAATAGTCTGCAGTCACCCATAGTAGTGTGGAAACAGGATTCCAGGTGCACTTCTCTGATCCTGCTGGTCTTTCTTCCTCTTTCTCTTCCTTGCCAACCCCTGCCTGACCATCACCTTTATTTTTCAGCTCAGGGAATTGGGGAAAGTTGACCCAGGACCCAGGGAGCCTAGGTCCTGTTCTCTCTCCTGCTTATCTTCTTGATATTCTTGAAAATATTATCTCTGGCCGGGCGCGGTGGCTCACGCCTATAATCCCAGCACTTTGGGAGGCTGAGGTGGGCGGATCATGAGGTCAGGAGATCAAGACCATCCTAGCTAACACGGTGAAACCCCGTCTCTACTAAAAATACAAAAAAAAAAATTAGTTGGGCGTGGTGGCAGGCGCCTGTAGTCCCAGCTACTTGGGAGGCTGAGGCAGGAGAATGGCGTGAACCCCGATGGCGGAGCTTGCAGTGAGCCAAGTGAGCCACTGCACTCCAGCCTGGGAGACAGAGTGAGATTATCTCAAAAAAAAAAAAAAAAAAAAAGAATATTTCTCTGAGATAGTATTCTTGATATGCATTGGCTGACGTGATGACAGTGCTTTTAGATGGCAGGTACCTTCAGAGGACTTCTGGCCCCTTGCCTCCCCACTTTCTTTTTTTTTTTTTGAGACAGAGTTTCGCTCTTATTGCCCAGGCTGGAGTGCAATGGCATGATCTCAGCTCACCACAACCTCTGCCTCCCGGGTTCAAGCAATGCTCCTGCCTCAGCCTCCCAAGTAGCTGAGATTACAGGCGCACACCACCACACCCGGCTAATTTTTGTATTTTTAGTACAGATGGGGTTTTGCCATGTTGGTCAGGCTGGTTTCAAACTCCTGACCTCATGATCCGCCCGCCTAGGCCTCCCAAAGTGCTGGGATTACAGGCATGAGCCACCATGCCTGGCCGCCTCCCCACCTTCTGAAGACATCTTCTGAGTGCTGCCTCAGATGGGTGCTGGTGACATGGAGGATTCAAGGGGCTGTTTCCTTGGTCAGCCAGGAATGCTGGGACCAAGGCTTTGAAAGATATGGAGGATTCAGGGGTGCTGTCAAAGAACTCCAATCCTAAACAGTTCCCTGGAAGAACACCTCGGGGCTTAGAGAGTAGGCCAGGCTCTCACCTTCGGATGCAGAACAAGAGACATCTACCATGTGCACTGAGTTCCAGGAGTCTGACTGGGCTTTGACGGTATCTTCACAGGTGATTGCAACTGTCTTCTATCTAATGGTGGCCAAGTTTTAAATTTGTTTTTCTGAAGAAACATGTTCAGACTTAACTTTTATTATTATTTTGTTTATTTTCCTTATTGATACATAATGATTTTACATATTTATGGAGCCCATGTAATATCTTGATACACTATGTATCAAAATATGTATGTTCATACAATATATAATGATCAAATCAAGGAAATTGAGATAGCCTTCAACTCAAACATTTATCATTGCTTTCTGTTGGGAACATTCCGAATATTATTTTCTAGCTGGTTAAAAATATACAATAAATTATTGTTTACTATATTCACCTAACTGTGCTATCAAACATTAAAACTTACTTCTTTTATCTAACTATATATTTGTATCCGTACACCTTCATCCCCCCACTCCCCTCCCCTTCCCACCTTCTGGTAACTGTCATTCTATTCTCTACCTCCATGAGATTAGCTGTTTTTTTAGCTCCCACAAGTGAGAACATATGGTATTTGTCTTTCTGCGCCTGGCTTATTTCACTTCACATAATGTCCTCCAGTTCCATCCATGTTGCTGCAAATGACAGGATTTCATTCTTTTCTTGGCAGAATAATATTCCATTGTGTGTTTATATACCACATTTTCCTTATCCATTCACCTGTTTATGAACATTGGGTTGAGTCTGTGTTTTGACTATTGTGAATGGTGCTGCCATAAACATGGGAGGGCAGATATCTCTTCGATATGTGGATTTCCTTTCTTTTGGATAAATACCCAGAAGTGGGATTGCTGGATTATAGGGTAGTTCTATTTTTAGTTTTTTAAGAAAACTCCGTACTGTTTTCCACAATGGCTGTACTAATTTACATTTCCACCAACATTGCATGAGAGTTTGCCTTTCTTGGCTTGTTTGCCAGTATCTGTTATTTTTTGTCTTTTTGATTATAGCCTTTTTTACTGGGGTGAGATGGTATCTCATTGTGGTTTTGATTTACATATCCCTTATGACTAGCGATGTTGAGCATATTTTCATATATCTGTTGGTCATTTGCATATTTTCTTTTGAGAAATGTCTCTTTAGATCATTTGCCTCTTTTCATTGTATTATTTGGGTTTTTATTTTCTGTTGAGTCGCCTGATTTCCTCATATATTCTGTCAGATGGATAGTTTGCAAATATTTTCTCCCATTCTGTGGGCTGTCTTTTCACTCTGTTGATTGTTTCCTTTGGTGTGCAGAAGCTTTTTAGCTTAATTCCATTTGTCTATTTTGCTTTGTTGCCTGTGCTTTTGAGGTCTTACTAAAAAAATCTTTGCCCAGACCAGTGTCCTGGCGTGTTTACCCAATGTTTTCCTGTAGTAGTTTCATAATTTTAAGTCTTACATTTAAGTCTTTAATTCATTTTGATTTGATTTTTGTATATGGCAAGAGATAGGGGTCTAGTTTCATTTTTCTGCATATGGATATCAATATCCAGTTTTCCCAGTACTATTTATTACTAAGACTGTCCTTTCGCTAATGTACATTCTTGGCGCCTTTGTCAAAAATGAGTGGGCTGTAAATACATGGACTTATTTCTGGTTTCTCTATCCTGTTCCATTAGTCTAGGTGTTTGTTTTTATGCCAGTACCATGCTGTTCTGGTTACTGTAGCTTAGTAGTACAATTGGAAGTCAGATATTGTGATGCCACCAGCTTTGTTCTTTTTGCTCAGGATTGCTTTGGCTGTTTGGAGTCTTTTGCGGTTCCATATTAATTCTAGAATTTTTTTTTTCTATTTCTGTAAAGAATGCTCTTGGATTTTTTGTTTTTTTGAGACAGAGTCTTGCTTTGTCACCTAGGCTGGAGTGCAGCAGCACCATCTCAGCTCACTGCAACCTCCGCCTCCTGGGTTCAAGTGATTCTCCTGCCTCCTGAGTAGCTGGGACTACAGGCATGTGCCACCACGCCTGGCCACTTTTTGTATTTTTAGTAGAGACACGGTTTCACCATGTTGGCCAGGCTGGTCTCGAACTCCTGACCTCAGGTGATCTGCCTCCCTTGGCCTCCCAAAGTGCTGGGATTACAGGCATAAGCCACTGCACCTGGCCAATTATTGCTACTTTCATAGAGATTGTATTGAATCTGTAGATCGCTTTGGGTAGCATGGACATTTTAACAATATTGGTTCTTCCAATCCATGAACATGAGATATCTTTCCTTTTTATGTGTGTCCTCTTCAACTTCTTTCACCAGTATTTCACAGTTCTAATTGTAGAGATATTATACTTCTTGGGAAATATCTCTAGAATTAAAATTGAAATTTCTTTGGAAATTTCACTACTTATTCTTAGGTATTTTAATTTTTTGTAGCTATTATAAATGGGATTGCTTTCTTGATTTATTTTTCAGGCTGTGTGCTATTGGCATATCGACATGCTACTGGTTTTTACATGTTGATTTAGAATGCTGCAACTTTATTGAATTTGTTTGTCAGTTCTAACAGTTTTTTGGTAGAGTCTTTAGGGTTTTCTAAATATAAAATCATGTCATCAGCAAACAAGAACAATTTGACTTGTTCCTTTCCAATTTGGACGACTTTTATTTCTTTCTCTTGCCTAATTGTTCTGGCTAGGAATTTCAGTACTATGTTGAAAAAAAGTGGTGAAAATAAGCATTCTTGTCTTGTTCTAGATCTTAGAGGAAAAATTTTAATTATTCCCTGTTTACTATGATGTTAGCTGTGTGTTTGTCACGTATGGCCTTTATTGTTTTGAGATATGTTCCTTCTATATCCAGTTTGTCGAGGATTTTTATCATGAAGCAAGTTGAATTTTATCAAATGCTTTTCCAGTACCTATTAAAATAATCATATGTTTTGTCCTTGATTCTATTACTGTATTGTATCACATTGATTGATTTGTATATGTTGAATCATCCTTGCATTCCTGAGATGAATCCCACTTGATTCTGGTGAATAATCTTTTTAGTGTGTTGTTGAATTTTGTTTGCTAGTATTTTGTTGAGGATTTTTGCTTCTATGTTCATCAGTGATATTGGCCTGTAGTTTTTTTTGTTGTTGTTTTTGTGTTCTTGTCTGGTTTTGGTATTAGTAATGTTGGCTTCATTGAATGAGTTCAGAGGTATTCCCTCCTCTACAATTTTAGGAATGGTTTGAGTAGAATTGGCATTAATTCTTCTTTGAATGTTTGGTAGAATTTAGCAATGAAGACATCAGGTCCTGGGCTTTGATGGGAGACTGTTTGTTACAGCTTCAACTCTCATTACTCATTATTGTTCTGTTGAAGTTTCTGTTTCTTCATGGTTCAATCTTGGTAGGCTGTGTGTGTCTAGAAATTTATCCATTTTTTCTAGGTTTTTCAATTTTTTGGTATAAAGTTGTTCATAAGAGTCTCTAGTGAGTATTTGTATTTCTGTGGTATCTGTTGTAATGACTCCTTGTTTGTCTCTGACCTTATTTATTTGGATTTTCTCTCTACTTTTCTTAGTATAGCTAAACATTTATTGATTTTTGTTTTTACAAAAATCCAAGTTTTTGTTTTCTTGGTCTTTTGTGTTTTTTAGTCTCAAGTTCATTTATTTATGCTCTAATCTTTATTTTTTCTTTCTTTCTAATTTTATGTTTGGTTTGTTCTTGCTTTCCTAATTCCTTGAGGTGCATCATTAGGTTTATTTGAAGTCTTTCTACTTTTTTGATATAGGCATTTATTGCTATAAACTTCTCTTTTAATATTGCTTTTGCTGTATCTCATAGGTTTTGGTATGTTGTAATTCCACTTTCATTTGTTTTAAGAAATTTTAACATTTTCTTCTTGATTTCTTAATTGACCTAATGGTCATTCAAGAGCATATTGTTTAATTTCCATTTATTTATTTATTTATTTATTTATTCATTCATTCATTCATTCATTCATTTATTGACACAGGGCCTCACTCTGTCATCCAGGCTAGAGTGTGATGGTGTGATCATGGCTCACTGCAGCTTTGACCTCCTGGGCTCTAGCGACCCTCCTACCTCAGCCTCCCGTGTAGCTGGGACTACAGGCAGGAGTCACCATATCCAGCTAATTTTTGTATTTTTTGTAGAGAGGGGGTTTTGTCATGTTGCTCAGGCTGGTCTGAAACTCCTTAGCTCAAGCAACTCTTTTGCCTCAGCCTCACAAAGAACTGGGATTACAGGCATGAGCCACTGTGCCCAGCCAATTTCCATGTATTTGTAAAATTTCCAAAGTTTGTCTTGTTATTAATTTTTAGTTTTATTCCATTGTGGTCAAAAAGATACTTGATATGATTTTGATTTTTTTGAATTTGTTGAGAACTTGTTTTGTGGCCTAACATATGGTCCATCCTGGAGAATATTCCATGTGATGAGAAGAATGTGTATTTTGCAGAAGTTGGATGAAATATTCTGTAAATGTCAGGTCCATTGGTTTAGAGCGTCAGTTAATTCTAATTTTTCTTTGTTGATTTTCTGTCTGAATGATCTAAAGTGGCACGTTGAAGTATCCAACTCTTACTGTATTGAGGTCTGTCTTTCTTTTAGATCTATTAATATTTGTATTACATATTTTCGTGACCCAGTGTTGGGTGCATAAATATTTATAATTGTCATGTCATCTTGCTGAATTAACCCTTTTGTTATTACATAGTTAACTTTTTTGTCTCTTTTTACAGTTTTTGACTTGAAGTCTATTTTATCTGATAAAAGCGTAGCTACTCCTTCTTTTTCGTGGTTTCTATTTACAGGAAATATCTTTTCCCATCTCTTCACTGTCAGTCTATGTGTGTCTTTATAGGTGAAGTGCATTTCTTGTAGGCAGCATATAGTTGAGTTTTAAAAAAAATTCAGCCACTCAATGTCTTTCAATTGGAGAATTTAGTTTATTTACATTTAATGTTATTATTTATAAAAATTTACTACTGCCTTTTTGTTATTTATTGTCTGACTGTTTTATAATATCTCTTTTTTCCTTCCATTCTAAATATCTTCCTTTGTGGAGAGTGATTTTTTTTCTGGTAGTATGTTTTAATTCTTTGCCTTTTATTTTTATCGTACTATTATAGGTTTTGCTTTGTGATTACCATGAAGCTTACTCAAAACATCTTATAGTTATAACAAGTTATTTTGAACTGATGACAACTTAACTTTGACTGCAAAGAAGAGAAAAGAAACAAACAAGTAAGGAAAAACTGAAAAACTCTGCACTTTAACTCCATCTTTCCTCCTACATTTAAGCTTTTATTGTCTCAATTTACATCTTTTTATTTTGCCTAATTCTCAACACATTGTGGTAGTTACCATTATGTTTAATGGATTTTTTTTAGTTTTTATACTAAAGATATGAATTTCTTTATTACAATCACAGTATTAGAGTATTCTGAATTTGTCTGTGTACTTACTTTTACCAGTGAGTTTTATACATGTCTGTCTGTTGCAAATTAGTATCCTTTTCTTTCAGATTGAAGAACTTCCTTAGCATTCTTGTAAGACATGTCTGGTGGTGATGAATTCCATTAGCTTTTGTTGTCCAGGAAAGTCTTTAACTGCTTTATGTTTGAAGGATAGCTTTGCTGGTTACAGTTCTTGGTTGGCAGTTTTTTCCTTCAGCCCTTTGAATATGTTATCTCACTTCCTTCTGGCCTGTAATGCTCTCATTGTGAAGTCTGTGGCCAGATGTACTGGGGCTCCTTTAGAAGTCATTTGCTTCTTTTCCCTTGTTGCTTTTAGGATCCTCTCTTTGTCTTTGACCGTTGGGAGTTTGATTATTATATGCTTTGGGGTAGTCTTATTTTGGTTAAACCTGCTCGGTAACCTTTGACCTTCTTGTACCTGGATATTCATATGTTTGTCTAGGTTTGGAAAGTTCTCTGTTGTTATTTCTTTAAATCAAATTTCTACCCCTCTTTAAGGGCCAATGACTCTTAGATTTGCTCTTTTGAGATTGTTCTCTAGATCTTGTAAGTGTTCTGTTTCTTTTAAAAATCAGTTCCCTTTTCCCTCCTCTGACTGTGTATTTTCAAATAGCCTATCTTTGAGCTCATGGATTTTTTTCTTCTTTTTGATCAGTTTTACTGTTAAGACGCTATTGCACTTTTCAGCTCATCAATTGAATTTCTCAGCTCCAGGGCTTCTGTTTGATTTTTAAAAATTATTTCAATCTCTTTGTTAAATACTCATACATTTTTTGATTGCTTCTCTGTGTTATTTGAAATTCATTGAGCTTCCTCATAAAAACTGTTTTGAATTCCCTGAGAGGTCACACATCTTCATCTCTGCGAGGTTGGTCACTGGTGCCTTATTTAATCCAAGAAGACACCCTAAGCTCAGGTATGTTGTAATTTTTCTTGCAGACTGCTAAACACCTAGCTCTGATATACCTGGGTAAGATTAGGGAGAATTCCCTGGCTTTCCAGGCAAAGTCCCTCATTCACTTCCTTCTCTTTCTCCCAAGCAGAAGGATTCTCTCCCCATTCTGTAAGTCTGGAGTTGGGGGTGGGATGACAAGAGCACTCCCATGTTCACTGCAGCTGGCACCATGCTGAATCACACTTGAAGCCCATGACCTCCCAGACCAGTGCAGTATCAGGGCTTGTCAAGGCCTGAGACAGCTACTGCCTGACTTCCGCTGATGTTTATTCAAGGCACAAGGCAACTTTAGTCAGCCAGGAGTGAAGTTGGCCAGGACAGAGGTCTGGCTCACTGTTGTAGCAGATTCCCTACTGGCCCAGTGAGGCTTTAGACACATTGCCCAGGAGCAACAGCTTAAAACTGGGGGCTTCAGGGTTTTCCCCAGTGCTGTCTTTTATTGTGGCAGGGCTGGTAGTAAGTTCCAAGGCAAAATCTTCTGTAACCTTCTCTCTCCTTCTTCTGAGCAGAAGTCTCTTTCCACACTGTTCTGCTTGGAGTTGAGAGTGGTGTGATGTGAGCACTCCCATGGCTGCTGCAGCTGGTGTCAGGCTGGGTTGCACCCCAAGCCCACGACCTCTCAGACTAGTTCAGCACTAGGGCTTACCAAAGGACCACGGTCACTAAGGCCTAGCAGCCACTTTAATTGGCCAGTGATGAAGCAGGCTGGAAATTGGGTTCCTCCCACTGGGGTGGTGGATTCCTCTGTGGCCTGGGGCCGATCTAAATGTTCCATTTGTGAGCACTGGCCTGGAATCAAGGGCATAGAAGTCTGCCCAGTGCTATGTTCCACTGTTGTGGGGCCAGCAGTGAGCTCTGAAGCAAAGTGCCGCACTCACCTCCCTCTCCCTTTCCCAAGCACAAAGATTCTCTCTCCACATTGAGCTGCCTGGTCCTGCGGGAGGAACAGTGCAGGCAATGCGGGATTGTCCTTCCTACTCCTTCAATGCCTCTTTTCTTGTTACTATGATAAACCGGGTCCTGTGATCGCTTACCTGATATTTTAGCTCTTGTGAAGGTGTTTTCTTGTGTGTGTTTGCACTCAATTCAATGTCCTGCAGGGGAGGGTGGGGGCATGATCACTGCATGGTTCTATTCAGACATCTTGCTCTGCCTTGGATTTCAGCTGAGTTTTATTGATCCCTCTATTCCCAAAGCCTGTGTTCAATAAATGAAAGTTCACAGAATAAGGGAATGGTGAATTTATTACAAGAGCTTTAAGGGGTTTCTTTGTTTTCTTCCTTTGCTTTTTAAATAATGCATGAACAGGGCAGATTTTCTTAGGAAACCATTGCCCAAGGGGTGATTCACATGCTTGGTGCAGGAGCCACAGGTCCCTGAGTTGCAGCCTAGACACCCTAGGTTTCTCTCCTTTCTCTGTGTTGACCCTGGGCAGGATCAGGAGATTCAGCTGTCATGAGGTCATTAGGAGCATGCCACAAGGAACCCTGGGACAAGGCTTCAAGGGTCAAGCAACCCTTTCCCATTTTGGAGAGTCAGGAGAGACAGGGTGTTAGCTGCAGCCAAAAGGACAAGACCAACTTTACCACTTTCTTCTTTCAGGAGGAAGAATTCACTGAGTGAATTAGTCCCATTGAGCCTCAGCTTGCTCCTCTGTAAAATGGGACAATAATTCCTTTATAATTGTAGAGTATGGGGAGGAGTACTCTAAGCCAGTGCTCTGGGACTATGGCCTCTTATTTCTTGTCAGTAAGAATTTTTGTATTTTTGCCTGATAGTGCCAGGCGCACAGCCAATACTTTGTTTGTGGTGTAATTTATTTATATTCCTATTTCTCCCACCAAAATCAACTCTTCTCTGGCTTTGAAATCTCAGTGTGTAACACACAGTAATGATTCAGTAAATATTTGTTGGATGAATAAATGAATATGAAAAGAAATATAGAAAGGTCCTGGGAAAGGTGGTGCACACCTGTAATTCCAGCACTTTGGGAGGCTGAGGTGGGAGGATTGCTTGAGCCCATGAGTTCAAGGGCACAGTGAGCTGTGATTGCACCACTGTTCTCCAGCCTGGGTGACAGAGCAAGATCCTGTCTCAGAAGAGACAGCCAGCCAGACACACAAAGGAACACACACACACACACACACACACACACACACACACACACACAGGGAGAGAGAGAGAGAGAGAGAATTACATTAACCACAATACCACCTTCAACAGGACCCATAATATATTTGTGATTTGTTGTGAGGTTTTCAAATCTTATTCAAGTGTTGAATTAATTGCTGGTGCCAAAATTCGGAGTCACTTTAAAAAAGGTAAAAATTCAGCATGTGAAATTTGTTTTTTGACCTAGAGAGAGAGAGGTGTGCTGAGAAGGCCCCAGGGGAGCAGCCCTCAGCAGGAGGGTGGGTGGTGTCTCCTTTTGTCTGAAAAGGCAGGTGTGGTTCTCAAAGGAGAAGCTGTCCACCATCAGGGAATGGTGTGGAGGTAGGAGAAGAGAAGTGATTGCAGCCTGAGCCAATTCTGAGCGAGCTCGTGGGCGTCGGAGTTTGGCCCTGTATGGGAGGCAGGAGGAGTCCCCGGAGGGAGAGCGTTGGCAGTGCCCGTGGTCCATGGGTCTAGAAGCTGCTGCTCGTCATAGTGTGCTGGCTTCGTCACAGGCAGGGTGCTACCCGCTACCAGGCTCACTCTCATGGTGGTTCTGGGGATGATGTGCACTCACTATGTGAGTTGGGGGAGACACTCTCTTACCGGGATCTGGGATTCACTTGCTGAGCTGCTTTTTATTCATCTTTAAAGTTGTTTCAAAATTTGCAGGGAGAGCTTGCCAGGAGGAAACATGGAAAAAAATAAAAATAAAGCAAAAGCTTACTCAGAAGTTAGGTGAGCCACCATGGAATTTACCACATTACCTTAGGTTAATAAATAAACATAAAATTCTTACCAACGTGAAATAAGAGGCCACAGGAGCATGCAGAACATCATGATCTTGCAGAAAGAGATGAGGCTGTCGGCAGATGTTCCAGCCAAGCACTTCCTGCTTTGACATCTCGGTAAAATGCAGGGTTATCTGCAAAGCGGGTCTGAGGGGAATCAGCGTTTCCATTCTTAACATCTCAAATACCAACTGCAAAGAGGAACTTGAGAGTTCTTAATTGCAAAACTATGTCACATAAGAAGGTAGCAATGTAAAAAACCTCCGCATGGTAGAACTTAAAGGAACAGTAGTGAAAAATCTATCCAACCCGCTCATTTTCAGATGAGGAGGCAGAGGCATGGAAAGGCCCCACAGTGACAGAGCCCATTGGTTGCAGAATTGGGATTGCTGTCCCCACTCTGGGCCTCTTTCTGCAACACTGTTGCTTCTCCTGAACAAGTTGAGTAGCAAAATAACAATTTTATGATTTATAAATATATCTAGACATTCCCATAAACCTCCAACTTCATGGGTTCCTAGCTGGGAGTCTCTCTGTAACAAAAGGCAAACTAACAAGAGAAAAACAAACGGAAGTTTAACAATATGTGTATCTCCTGGATACCTGGGTGATGACCCAGAACAATGAGGAATTCTCTAGAGTAGACCCCAAAGAGTTTAAATGTCATGCTTAAATGCCATCTTTGTTTCTTTGAAGCAAAGAAAGAAGGGTGCCTATGCCTGGTGGATCTGGAAAGGCTTTCTAAGTTTTTCCTACGAGGTGCACTTCATAAATTGTGTTGAAATGTGATCACCAGCATTCAGAGGGACGAGGTCCTTCCTGAAAGGATTCAGGTGGACCTGGAACTGTGCCACTGGGAGAGCTCCCCTGAGTGCTTACCTGAGAATGGAAAACTGTCCTGAGAAGCAAAGTACTGTGGACTTGGGACCAAGGAGCAGCCTCGGGCAGTGCAAAGGCACATGCCCTAGGGGAAAGGAGCTGTGCTTGGCCTTGCCTTAGAGAGAGCAGGAGCAGGTTTATCAGCCAGCAGCTGCACTAAAGAAAAGGACAGAGTGGCTCCGGCAAATCTTTCCAGAGTGTGAGGGGACCGGGGGCAGCACTGGGGCGGGGGGTTTGCGGTGGATCTGAAACAGCCATGGTGTCACACGCGAGGGCCCCGCCCGGTCTACTCCCGTATGCTGAGGCCGCCCAGGCATTCAGGTGGCACTGATTGCATCAGACACAGAGCCCAGGAGCCTGACCCAGTCACGAAAGCACAAGGCCAGCCCGGGAGGACAGGAAAGAGCCGAGCACAGAGCTCTGGGCTCTCATGAAGACTGAGAAGCAGCAGTCGGTGAAAAGGCCGTGCTGGGATTCCCAGGGGCATCAGCAAAACAGGGGCGCAAACATTTTAAAACATTTTTAAAAAACTCACCAAAGTTCTGATTTTGCAATGAAAATATGGAAGAAGCCTCTTCCAGCTTCAGCGCACATGCCCTGCTTGTCTATTTTTGTGGCACCACAGCGTCGTCAGTGCTTAGGGCCTCTAAATCCTTACGATGTGGCTGAGAATGAGGCTCGATGAGGGCTCCGGAAAGAGAAGACAAAGAAAGCAAAACCTCATTAGGCTTTTGGACATCCAGGAAAGAATGTGCATTGAATTTTCCTTTTGGTGCCAAGTGAAACTGAAGATGCCCCCATTTTTGCCAAAACTCACCCTCCCGGCGTTTTCACACCAGCCTTCTCTTCTCTAGCCCGGTCTCCCATCCCGAGGACTGAGAAGGCAGGGTTAGGCCCCACCATTTGCCTCATGATCGCGTTTCTGTGGCTCATTCTCCACCAAAATCCATTACTCCTGGTGCATCTTTTCTGGTCTCATGCCTCACAGCTTTAATTCACCTTCATAAAGATTGTTCCAGCTGGGCACAGTGGCTATGCCTGTAACCCCAGCACTTTCGGAGGTCGAATCTATAGGATGGTTTGAGGCCAGGAGTTCAAGACCAGCCTGGGCAACATAGTGATGTTACCGGAAAGGAGTCCCGATCCGGACACCAAGAGAGAGTTCTTCGATCTCCCACAAGAAAGAATTCAGGGCAAGTCCACAGTGCAAAGCAAAAGTAAGTTTATTAAGGAAGTAAAGTGGTGAAAGAATAGCTACTCATAGACAGAGCAGGGCGTTCTCGAAAGTAGGAGGGGAAACACGTCCTCCCTAGGTATATACAGGATAAATCCTGTTTACATATGGGATAAAAAGAAAGATTGTGGGGAGATGTACTCTGCTACAAGGGTTTATGATAAAGGGTTAATTTTCTTAATTACTTTATTTTGCAAGAATTGATGTTATCTTTAAAGCAAAATTAAGAATGCTTCTGTTCTCAAGATACTGGGATATCAGGACACTCCCAAGTCTGGGTCTGTTTAGTAAACATTATCAACCTGTTCCCTTAACGGTAAACACCTAGAGGCTAAGAATACCTAACTTTCTGGGAATGCAGCCCAGCAGGTCCCAGCCTCATTTTTCCTAGCCCTCACTGAAGATGGAGTCGCTCTGGTTTGAACGCCCCTAACAGGGAGACCTAGCTAGAAACCTATGAAGGGTGGAGGAGAAAATTATTTTCACTCCCCTACACAGGCACTCTCATTCTCCTAGTTATCTAGGTTTATGTCAATGGAACATTTTTGAGTCTTTCTTCTCTGGCAAGTTAACATTTTTGTCAGTTATTTGGTCCTGTAAATCTTCCTTTCCCAGTGGCCTCTGAAATCTATATTTTCATTTCTCAAAACAAAATTCCTCTAGAATTCATGTCCTTATGTTATTTTATGTTTGGCAAGTAACGATATCAATTGATACATGTTTTGGGGGATAAATGATGGAAGAAAGTTCGTTTGCAAACCCTCATCAGAGGAGGAGTAACTGGGAGGCAGGGACAATGTGTGAATCATCCCCAGGATGTAGCAGGTCCTCTATACAGTCTGACTGAATGCTAATTAGAAGGAAAAGACAGGAGAAGACACCCACCTGGCCTTTCTTCCAGTCTCTGCTCTTACTAATCTAGCCTATTCAGTGTTCACAGATATTCACATTTCCATGTTCAAAATGTTCAGTCTCCTGTTAAATAAATCCTTTCTGTGTCATCCAAGGATTCACATATTTGACTGCAAGGCAGAAGAGAGGGCGGGGTGTGTGTGTGTGTGTGTGTGTGTGTGTGTGTGTGTGTGTTGGGGGGTGTCTCTGAGTTCGTGTGTGTGTGTGTGTGTGTGTTGGGGGGTGTCTCTGAGTTTGTGTGTGTGAGTGTGTGTGTGTGTGTGTGTGTTGGGGGAGTGTCTCTGAGTTCGTGTGTGTGTGTGTGTGCGCGCGCACATGCGCGTACCTGTGGTGGGTGCTTAGAAGATGAGACTAGACTGTGAGGAGGTGCAGGAGGACAGCAGACAGCCCCGCCATCTCACCATTTCCCCCTTGGTATTCCTCTGGGTCACTGAAGCTTTCTGAATCTTGAGAAGGGTGACTTGATAGATCAGGGAGCATTTCCATGTATTTCCAGGGCAAGTTTGCACCCAGGCGACCTCCTGTATTGGGAATTCCACCCAGTATTTACCTTTGGCGGAAGATCTGCCTTCAGCAACTGCCCAAGGTTTACAAAGTGGGTTGGGACCACTCCCTGGGCCTCTGAGGACACCACCTCCTGTGGGGTTACTGAGTTGAGAGAGCCCAAACAGAAGAGAGGGCTGACCAGGGCCAACCCTTGGAGTGGGCATGGAGCCTTTGTCCAGTGAGCTCTCAGGAAGTGGGCTCTGAAACTGCACAGAGGGAGGAAGAGGAAGCAGCGCTGATTATTATTAGTTTATTTTTGGACAACAACCCTATCAAGCACCCTGACATCATGAAACTGGACAGGGAAGACACCCAGCCCTCTGGTGATCAGACGCCATCCTGGCTGGGGTCCTGGGGCCCCAGCCGGCTCCCTCTAGCTGAGGGTGGGCGGGTGGCCTCGTGCTTCTGCCACTGTGCTTGAAAACATGCAGAGGCAGGCCTGGGGCCCCAGGAGAGGATACTGTGGGCTCCGCACCTATTTCTGTTTTCAATGGCGGAAGGAAAGAGGGAGACAAGTTAGGGTTTTGATATCTAAGACGGGTTCCACTCATTAGCTATTGTAGTCACTTATAATACAGATCAGGAAGGATGCCTTGCCTCCTAGATCAAGCCTTCATTATTTCAGCCCATTTCAGGGAGCCTTTTCCTCCTGTAACCACATCCACACCCGCAAATGCAGCAGGGCTGGCTTTGTCAGTCAGTGAGGTGAATCAGCTGGAGGTGATCTGAATTTTAAAACCATCTGCTCACTGCTGCTGAGCCTGGACTCTCCAGAAGATGGCAGCAGTGGGACACTGTCACCCAGGAGTCAGGCTTTGGCGGGACTAATTCCTCTTACTGGAGCCTGTATTACTTTGCACTACCAGTAAAAATATTCACTGTATGTAGAACAGTAACAACAGGATGAGTCTTTTGTTCAATATGATTGAATCGTATGGTGGAGAAACAGAAAAAAAACACTTTTCCTGTGGTCTCTAATTCAAGTGCTGGGTGTTATGTCCCAATTTCCAGAAAATACATCTTGCATATGCTGTTGGAAATCTTTGCTTCAATAATGAATAAGATCTGCTGCTTGAAAACTTGCTTTTGCTACAAGAGCTGTGAAACTGCAATTTGGGTTTTCTCATGTCTACTGTAGACTCTCAGTAAAGAGGAAAAGTTCTTAATATTTTTTCTCAGAAAGGACACTTGTTTTTTTTGTTGTTGGTGTTGTTGTTTTTTTTTTTTTTTTTTTTTTTTTTTGCAGAGCCTCGCTCTGTCATCCAGGCTGGTGTGTAGTGGCATGATCTCAGCTCACTGAAACCTCGGCCTCCCGAGTTCAAGCAATTCTCCTGCCTCAGCCTCCCAAGTAGCTGGGATTACAGGTGCGCGACACCATGCCCGGCTAATTTTTGTATTTTTAGTAGAGATACGGTTTCACCATGTTGCCCAGGATGGTCTCGAACTCCTGACCTCGTGATCTGCCTGCCTTGGCCTCCCAAAGTGCTGGGATTACAGGCGTGAGTCCCTGCGCCTGGCCAACACTTGTCTTTTTCTTAGACGGGGGAAGCTTTAACTCGGTTGTTTTAGTGATAGTTTAAGAGTTAATTTTACTCCTAGAAAGATGTCATTCAGTAGGATTGCATATGCTCTTCTCATTAATATAAATAGACCGAAGTCTATTTATATTAATGAGAATATATTTCGTATAGTAATTACTATACAAAAATGCAAAGCTTATTAAATAAATGCCTGTATTAGAATGTCTGTATATGTAAATATATATATTTATAGTTTAATATATTGTTTATACTTTAAGAATAAATTATATATACTATAAACATCTGATATATAAATATGGATCACAGATCTCACATAGTTGGAAAGTTCTTTCAACTTAATTTCATTTTATATTAAGACTGCAGACAACTGTTATATTAGAGGTCTGTATCGTAGCCAAGTGATATTTTTAAAAGCAAGCCAGTCTATGGCTGGCTGTTTCTAGCTGGCAAAGCCTGAAGCTAATTCTGAAGCACAGGGCACCTTATGTTAGCAGATTGTCGTGAGTAATGGAAATTGCACTTGGGATGAATGCCAGTTCATCTGGATTACCTGAAATTCCTTAGAGGCCATGGTGGAAAGGATCAGCTGTTCTCTGAGAGTGGGATACACTCTTACTCTCAATAATCCTCTGTCATTTTTACATTTGCTTTGACTCAGCTGCAGAGAATCTAAATCACAGCCCCACCAGCAAAACTACTCTAGGCAGACAGCATCTCCAAATGGCATACAGGAGGGATGACAAAGGGACTAGAAGCTCTCACCAAAGTCACAGTCTGCCTTTCCTCAGTTTCTTGTTTGTAAAATAAGAACTGGAGGGACATGGCATCTACGAGCCCTTTCAGTATTAACATTTCAGTCTTATTCTGGAGGTATTTGGAGAGAATTAATGATGTATCACCACCTCCTTCATTACTTCTGTCTAACTCTGCCAGAAGTAAGGGAAAGCATCCTCTCTTTGTTTCAGCACATTCACACAGGCTGGCTAATGAGATCCCACACTGAAAAAGCCTGGGACTTACACGGACTCTCTGAAATCTAAGTCCTCATTTGTAACATACAGCTTTTTAATACTAGCTTCATAAGTCCCAGATCCCTGCAAAGGTAAATATTTTATTTTCTGTAACTATGTTCAGAGTAGCAGTTCTCTGAATCTGTGTATTGCTCCTGGCAGGAAGCAAATGTCAGCTCATTCCTGTGTAATTGACATGTGACATCTTAGTTTCCAGACTTAGCTAAAGTACTTACTAATAGATTTTAGATGACAGATAGGACCTTTCTTTTCTGTCACCCTTCAGTGGGAAAATCAGAAAGATAGAAAGAACTCTGATGCTTTTTTTTTTTTTTTTTTTGCTGGTCTTATAGTAATTTTGGAAGGAGAAAGATCAAATTTTTGGAAAGAGAATGATCAAAATAATATTAAGAAAAAAATAGTAGTTCTGAAAATATTAAGAAAAAATATATATGGATATATATATATATATATATATATATATACACACACACACACACACACACATGGATGATGTTTTACTTGTCTGTTTAGTGAACACAAGTTTGTTGAATTGATTTGGAAGGTAGTGATTTTTAAATCATATTTATCAAATTTCATTAAACTGAGAATTACATATAAAAGCACCAGATCAATGCATGGGGCACAGTCACTCAGCAAATGTTAATACCATTTTTTACAACATGTACTTGAAGGGTGATTATTTGTAATAATCTCAGGAACATCTAGATTATTTGCATGATAACAGCTCATATGAAGAGATTATGATAAGCAGATTGTTGGCTGGTTTCACTCAGGGTTTTCTTAGACTAGGGTCGGCTGAGACTGAATACCTTTGAAGATGAATCATCCTGTTAGTAAGAAAATGAACTTGGCTCGGGTAGCCCATTGCATCCTTTCTGGTCTGTTTTCCCTTAAGTTCAGGTACAAAATCTCTTCTCTCTAGAAGTAGAATGTGTTTTACCCCTGCAAGGGATGGGCCCACCTGTCTTTGTAGTTGGGAAAACTTGCTAGTGGTTGCTACAGTTTCACAAGAAGCTCTGCACAAACAGAGACTTACCTCCTGGCTTGATAGCTGTGTCTTCTCTTGATAGTTCCCAAACAGTAGAGGCTCAGCCTTTGGGATGGGGCTAACGAGAGAGCAGAGGAGCTCTATTCATTCTCAGGTGCCTGCAGATGTGAACCAGACAGGGAGCAGTGCTGAGCACCAGGATCCTAAGACAGGTGCTCATTGATTATGACAGATGCAAATTCAATAAACATTTGACAAAAGCACAGTATCTTTTTTAAAGAAAAACAAATGCCTTTTCATTTGTAAGATTGCTCTGACAAAGTAAATGTCAGTGTAATGCAAGTTATAGCTTATTCTATTCTCTATCACCATAGTTACTTTTAGTGAGTCATCTTAACTCTTCAGAGCATCAACATTGAAGGGCTTTATTTTCCCATTAACAACCATTAGCTGCACTCTGTTAAACACCACCACTCCATTCTCTCAGAGAGGAATCTTGCTTAATGACATATCAGTCCAATCATATAAACCTTAGTATTTTCAGTTATTAGAACATTCTCATTCTAAAAATAACTACTCCTGTTCATTTTTTTAAAGAAAGACATTCATTTTTTAATTGAGGTGTATATTGAAAACTATAAAACCTTGTTGAAAGAATATAAAGACATAAATAAAGGAAATACATTCATGTTCATGGATTGGAAGACTTCATATTATTAAGATAGTAATACTCCCCAAATTGATCTACAGATTTAACATGGCCTCTGTTAAAATCCAGGCTGCCTTTCTTTTGCAGAACTTGACAAGCTGTTCTAAAATTCATATGGAAATTTATAAAACTAACAATAGCCAAACAATCTTGAAAAAGAAGAATAAAGATGGAGAACATTTACCTCCCAATTTTAAAATATATGTCAAAGCTCCAGAAATCAAGATACTACAGGGTTGACATGAGGATAGACATAGATTAATGGAATTGAATTCAGAGTCTGGAAGTGAAGCCTTACATTTATGATCAGTTGATTTTTGACAAGGTTGCCAACATCAGTCAACGTGGAAAGAATAGTCTTTTCAACAAATGGTAGTGGGACAACTGGATATCCACACACACACACAAAATAAAGTTTGATCTTTATCTCACACCATATACAAAAACCAACTCAAAATGGGTCATAGACCTACATGTAAGAACTAGAAGTCTTAGAAGAAAACTCTTACAAGAAAACTTTTTTGCTTTTTTGTGCCATCTCTAAGAAACCATTGCCTAATTCAAAGTAAAATAATATCTACCTTGAATTAGGCAATGATTTCTTATATATGACACAAAAAAGCACAAACTTCAAAAGAGAAAAACAGATGAATTGGGTTTCATCAAAAGCAAAAATGTTTGTGCTTTAAAGAATACCATCAAAAAAGTGAAAAGATAATAAATAGAATGGTAAAAATATTTGCAAATTATATCTGATAAGAGATTTGTGCCAAAATATATAGACTCTTTTACAACTCAACAATAAAATTTCAGTAGATATTTCTAAAAAAATGTACGAATGAACAATAAATACATGAAAAGATACTCAACATCATTAAGTCATTAAGGAAATCCAAATCAAAATCGTAACGAAGCACCACTTCTCACACACTGGAGTAATTAATATAAAAAAGAGACAATAACAAGTGTTGATGAGAATATGGAGAAACTACAGTCCCTGCACATTGCTAGTGGGATTTTCAAATGGTGCAGCCATTTGTCAATTCCTCAAATAGCTAAACATATAGTTACCATGTAACCCAGCCATTCTACTCCTAGAGCATTGAAAACATGTATCTATACAATAACCTGTATATAAATGTTCATAGCAGCATTGTTCCAGATAGTCAAAAAGTGGAAACAACCCAATTGTTCATCAACTGATGAATGGGTTTTTAAAATGCGGTGTATCTACACAATGGAACATTCTTCAGCATAAGGAGGACTGAAGTACTGATTCTTGCTACGACATGCATAAATCTTGAAAACGTCATGCTAGGTGAAAGAGGCGCGTCACAAAAGGCCTCAACAAAGTGAAGAGAAAACCCACAGAATGGGAGAAAATATTTGCAAACTATCCATCTGATAAGTGATTCATAACCAGACTATGTAAGGAGTTCAAACAACTCTATATGAAAAAAAGTCATAATCTGATTTTTTAAATGGGCAAAAGATCTGAATAAGCATTTCTCAAAAGAGACATACAAATGGCAAATAGGTATACGAAAAGGTACACAACATCACTGATCATCAGAGAAATGCAGGTGAAAACTGCAATGATATATCATCTCACCCCAGTTAAAACGGCTTTTATCCAAAAGACAGGCAGTAACAAATGCTTGCAAGTATGTGGAGTAAAGGGAATCTTCATACACTGTTCGTGGGAATGTAAATTAGTACAGCCACTATGGAGAACAATATGGAGGTTTCTTAAAAAACTAAAAATAGAGCCAACTTATGATCCAGCAATCCCATTGCTGGGTATATACCCAAAAGATTAGTATATTGAAGAAGTACCTGCCCTCCCATGTTTACTGCAGCACTATTCACAGTAGCCAAGATTTGGAAGCAACCTAAGTGTCCATCAACAGACAAAAGGATAAAGAAAATGTGGTATATATACACAATGGAGTGCTATTCAGCCATAAAAAAGAATGAGATTTTGTCATTTGCAAAAACATGGACGGAACTGGAGGTCATTATGTTAAGTGAAATAAGCCAGGCACAGAAAGACAAACTTCACATGTTCTCATTTATTTGTGGGAGCTAAAAATTAAAACAATTGAACTCATGGAGATAGAGAGTAGAATGATGGATAGCAGAGGCTGGGAAGGGTAGTGGAGGGGGGAGTGGTGATTGTTAATCGGTACAAAACTTATAATAAGGTAGAATCAATAAAACCTAGTATTTGACAGCAGAACAGGGTAACTACAGTCAGCAGTAATTTATTGTATATTTAAAAATAACTAAAAGAGTACAATGGGATTGTTTGTAAAACAAAGAAAAGATAAATGCTTGAGGTGATGGATACCCCATTTACTCTGATGTAATTATTATACATTTACTTCTGTATCAAAATATCTTATGTACCCCATACATATATACACCTACTACATACCCACAAAAATAAAAAAATTAAAAACCCAAGCAAACAAACAAAGGCCTCATATTTTGATTCCATTTACAGATGGTCTAGAATAGGCAAATCTATAGAGACAGAAAGTAGATGAGTGATTGCCAGGGCCTGAGGGGCGGGGGAGGAGTGGCAGCTAATGAGTATGGGGTTTCTTTCTGCAGCGACAAAAGGGTTCAGGAATTAGATTGTGATGGTGGTTGCACAACTCTTGGAATAGATTACAAATTACTGAATTGTATACTTTTTGAAAAGAGTGAAGTTTATGGCACAGTATGTGATTATATCTCAATAGAGCTGTTATAAAAATGTATACACCTATGTAATCAATCGATTTGTTCATTTCTAAGCTTCAACCTCATGTTCAATTCCTATCTCTACTCCAATACCCCCACTAGACTTATGTTTTCTCCTTCTACCCTGTTCCATGTTCTTTGCTGTGAGGGGAGGGAGAAGAGAGGGAACAAAAGATGGCTGCCTTCTCCCTTGACTGTCCCTTGCAGTTGGCCGTGTGCTCTTTGATTGGCCATGACTTTTGTTCTAGCTCATTGTCTGTACAGGCTTAATATAGACAGGTAGTGGCCACAAAAGTTTCTACCAAGTAGGAGTTCATCTCTTCCAAAGTTTTCTAAACATTGAGGGTCCTTGAGAAGCTTAGTCACATTTTTGGGTGGTTAACCACTTAGTGGCATCAGCCACTATTCCTCTAATGTATGTGACTCTGGGGTCCTACATATTCCCCAGTCCCTAGTGGGACCCCCTAATCTCATAGCCCCCAGACAGTAACAGGTTGTGAAGATAAGGGAGAGGTCTAAAACACAGTCCCTGCCACCCAGGTGCTTTCAATCTTCTTGAGGAAATTGTATTGGATATTGTTAGTTGCCAACCCAGCATCAATTTCCCAGCCCCCGCTTCCTCGTTCTAAACAGAACCCTGATTTTGTTCCAGTATGCACCCTATTATCAGCCCTAGGGTCGCCCTCATTAGACTAAACCAATCTTTGTGTTCTCACTGCCAGTGATAGATTTAGACAAAACTGTGACTAAATTTGGGCCAATGACACATAAGAAGTGGTTTGCTAGAGGTTCTGGGGACATCCTTCCTCACTCTCCGGGGAGATCTAGTAGTAATTCTCCAGGCAAAAATGAAGACGGTTGTAGCCTGGACTGCAATGGTCTCCCTGGTCCTCCACAGTGTGGATCCAGCTGAAGCTGAAACCCACACTGTGTACAGTAGAGGAGTGAGACAGACAGCGGAGCTGTCAGAGCTGGGACTGAGCAGTTGGGTCAACCAACCACGAATCTCTAGACTTCCCTTTAGTGTAGTCATACATTTCTTTAAACCAGTTTGAGTTGGATTTTCTGAAAATTTCAATCAAAAGCTTAATTAGCAGTGTCCTCACCCATGGAGGCAATTAATTAGGAATGCTGTCTACGGAGTGTAACTTTCTCCTTACTAAGAAAGTTTCCTGTGTTTATCTCAATACCATTCTGACACTAGGGCAGGAACTTTGTTTAGCAACTCTCAGGGGAATGTGTTGCTTCAGCTTCTCTTCCACCTTCTTTAATTTTTAAAAGTTGATCTATAACTGTGCAGGTTGGTGAGTTTTCGCACATGAATAAACTCATTTACCAACCACCCAGGTGAAGGTATAGAAAGTTACCGGCACCCCAAATGGTTCCTTCTTGCCTCTTTCCAGTCAATGCCCCCACCACTGGCAAAGTCGACCACCTGTTCTTTTTCTACCATCACGATTAGCGTTGTCTGTCCTTGATCTTCATATAAAATGGGTCAGTCAGCATGTGCCCTGTCAGGTCCCTTTCCTTTTGTTTATCACAATGTCTGCGAGTCATCCATGCAGCACATTCTTCAGTAGTTTGCTCTTTCTCGTTGCAGTGTAGTGCTCCTTTCTTTAATATTTCCGTATGTATTCATTTTTCTGTTCTTTAGTTGATAGACATTTAGATTTTCTAGTTTGGGGGTATTATGAATAAAGGTGCTGTGAGCATTCTTGTACATGTTTTTCTGTTAAGGCCTCACTTCTGTTGAATATATACCTATGAATGAAAATCTTGGGATGTATGTACATTCCATTTTTGTAGAATGCCAGTTTTCCAAAGTAACCGTTTACATCCCACTGGCAATATATGCAAGTTTCGGTTGTTTCATGTCCTCTCCATCACTTGGTATTGTTAGTCTTAATTTTAGCCATCCTGGTGGGGGTGTAGTAATAGCTCACTGTTTTGTTTTGTTTTTTTCTTTTTCTTTTCTTTTCTTTTCTTTTTTTTTTTTGAGATGGAGTCTCACTCTGTCACCCAAGCCGGAGTGCAGTAGCATGATCTCTGCTCATTGCAACCTCCACCTCCCAGGTTCAAGTGATTCTCCTGCCTCAGCCTCCCGAGTAGCTGGGATTACAGGAACCCGGTACCACACCTGGCTAATTTTTCTATTTTTAGTAGAGACGGGGTTTTGCCATGTTGGCCAGGCTGGTCTTGAACTCCTGACCTCAAGTGACCCACCTGCCTAGCCTCCCAAAGTGCCGGGATTACAGGTGTGAGTGACCGGGCCCGGCCTCATTGTGGTTTTAATTTGTACTGTACAGGTAGTGAATCCTGCTGAACATCTTTTTAAATACTTACTGGCTATTTGGGTATTTTAATTTGTTCATTGTCCATTTGAGTCTTTTTCTCATTTAGTAAAAAATAATAGATAAATTCAAGTTGCACTGGGTGGTGGTGTTTTGTCGGAGTTCTTTGAATATTCAGAATGAGTCCTTTGCCAGACATGGGGATGGCAAATGTCTTCTCCCAGTCCGTGGCTTGCTTTTTTACTTTCAATGTTGTCTTTTATTGAACAAAAGTTCTTAATTTTAATAAAGACCAATTTATCAATCTTTTCTATTATTGCTACTGCTTTTGTGTCCTGTTTTAAAAATGTGGCCTACGCGTGGCTTTTAAAGTATTCTATATTTTTTCTAGAAGTTTATTGTCTTATCTTACACTTTTGAGTCAATGGTCTATCTCAGATTATGTTTTGTGTATGCTGTGAGGTGGAGGTCAAGGTCATTGGATGTCCAATTGAGCCAGTGTCTTACTTTATTGTAAATCAAATGACTCTATGTGTGTCTGTTCCGGATACTCTAATTTGCTTATTATTCTATTTGTTTATCCTTGCGCAAATACCATAGTCTTAATTATTGCTGTAGCTTCACAGTAGATCTTGATATCTAGCAGTGTCAATCTCCAACTCTGTTTTTTTTTCAAGATTGTTTGGCTATTTTAGGTTCTTTGTATTTTTCTTTTATTTTCTTTTCTTTTTTTGAGATGGATTCTTGCTATGCTGCCCAGGCTGGAGTACAGTGGCACCATCTCTGCTCACTGCAACCTCCACCTCCCAGGTTCAAGCGATTCTCCTGCCTCAGCCTCCTGTGTAGCTGGGATTACAGGCACCCACTACCACACCCGGCAAATTTTTGTATTTTTAGTAGAGACGGGGTTTCACCAGGTTGACCAGGCTGGTCTCAAACTCCTGACCTCAGGTGATCTGCCCGCCTCGGCCTTCCAAAATGCTGGGATTACAGGCATGAGCCACTGTGCCCAGCCGGTTCTTTGTATTTTCAGATAAATTTTACATTTGGTTTGTTCATTGAAAATCCTGCTGAGATTTTATTTGGGATTTCATTGAATCTGTAGAAAAATTTGAAAGGAACTGCCATCTTATCATAGTGAGTTTTCCAGTCCATGAACATGGCATATCCCTCCATTTATTTAGGTTAAGATTTCTTGCTACAGTGTTTTGTAACTTTCAATGTAGCAATTTTGCACATCTCTTGTTAGATGCATTCCTAGATACTTGATGAAATGGGGGTTGTTTATGCTGTCAGAAATCATATTTTTTTCTGCACAATCCATTCATTTCTTTATTTTAAAAAATTAAAGAGCTTTATTGATATGTTATATATTGCACTTATTTAAGTGTAAAATTTGATAGGTTTTGACAAATGTATACACCATCAAACCATCACCACAATTAAGATAACAAACATATCGTTTTGAGAGGCCGAGGTGGGCAGATCACCTGAGGTCAGTTCAAGACCAACTTAGCCAACATGATGAAATCCCATCTCTACTAAAAATACAAAAATTAACCAGTCGTGGTGCCGGGCACCTGTAGTCCCAGCCACTCAGGAGGCTGAGGCAGGAGAATCGCTTGAACCCAGGAGGTGGAGGTTGCAGTGAGCTGAGATTACACCACTGCATTCCAGCCTGGGCGACAGAGCGAGACTCTGTCTCAAAATAAATAAACAAACAAACAAACATATCACTTTCAAAAGTTTTCTCCTGCCCCTGTGGTATCCTCCCTTGTGGCTGCTCTCTGCCTGACCTGACCTTCCCACCCTCCAGCAACCACTGATCTCCTTTCTAACATTATAGATTAGTTTGAACTTTTCTAGAATTTTTATGTATTCTCTTCCTTGGCTTGGTTTTTTTTCCCACTCAGCATAATTATTCTAAGATTTCTCTGTGTTTTTGTACATATCACTAGTTCAGTCTTTTCATAGCCTGGTAGTGTTCTATTGTATAACTATATCACAATTTGTTTAGCCTTTCGATGGGCCCTTGGGTTGTTTTCAGTTTCGGGATATTACAAATGAAGCTGCTGTGAACATTTGTACAAGTCTTTGTATAAACATATGGTTTTTTTTCTCTTGGGTAAAATACTAAGAGCAAAATACCTGGATCTTCTGGTAGGTATAGGTTTAACTTTTTAAGAAAGTGCTAAACTATTTTCCAAGAGGATTGTATTGATATTGGTTTTTAAATTTTATATTTAAATTGGTTTGTGTGAGTATGTAGAAATACAATTGATTTCCAGTATATTGACCTTGAATCCAGTGACCTACTAAGTTTACTCATCCTTTCAATTTATTAATAGATTCTTTGGGCTTTTCTATGTATGCACTCATGTCATTTATGAATAATGACAGCTTACTTTTTCTTTCCTATCTTTATGCTTTAATTTGTCTTTCTTGCCTATTGTACTGGTTAGGTTTTTTAGTCCAATGTTGAATAGAAATGTTGATCATGGGTTTTCTTTTCTTGTTCCTTGACAGGGAACACATTCAATATTTCACCATTAGAACAACATGATGTTATTCTAGATGTTTTATAAATATACTTTATTCCTAGTTTACTGAGCTTATCTATTCCTAGTTTACTGAGCTTTTGCATTTTATGACTAGACCTCAAATTTTATAAAAGTTTTTTAATATTACCGAGATGACCATTGGGTTTTCTCTTTTATTCGATTAATATGATAAATTACATTGATTGATTTTTAAATGTTAACTAACTTTGCATTTCTGGAATAAACCCCAGTAATGTTTCATGTTGACAGCATTCCTAGGAAAAGAAGGTTTCCACATAAAAAAACTTTATTATCATCTTTTTTTTTTTTTTTTTGAGATAGAGTTTTGCTCTTGTTGCCCAGGCTGGAGTGCAATGGTGCGATCTCGGCTGACTGCAACCTCCGCCTCTCGGGTTCAAGCGATTCTCCTGCCTCAGCCTCCCAAGTAGCTGGGATTTCAGGTGCGCACCACTGCACCTGGCTCATTTTTTTTTATTTTTAGTAGAGACAGGGTTTCACCATGGCCAGGCTGGTCTTGAACTTCTGACCTCAGGTGATCTGGCTGCCTCGACCTTCTAGAGTGCTGGGATTACAGGCGTGAGCCACCGCGCCCGGCCAAGAAAGTTTATTATCGTCTCAAGGAGAAAACTCTTCTTTAAAACTTTTCTTTGGGGAAGGATATGTCTACATGGTTCTGCCTGCTTACATGCCTTTTTAGTGACAATAAACTGAGGACAATCCTGCTTTCTCCTGTGGACTCACAGTTACCATTGTCACTGACATTTGTTCCATTTTTGTATATATATATTTTTTGGTAGAGACAGGGTTTCGCCATGTTGGCCAGGCTGATCTCGAACTCCTGGGCTCAAGGGATCTGCCTGCCTCAGCCTCTCAAAGTGCTAGGATTATTGGCGTGAGCCATCTCGCCTGGCCTGCTGATGCTATTATTGTTGAGTACTTATGTTGCTTTTTTCCTGTTTCTTGATATTTGAGTACCAAGTATTACTTCTTGCTGCTTTTAGTGCATTTATTTCTGTTCTCTCTCAATTTGATTTTCTAGTAAGAAGGAAATAACTATCCGTGTTAGATTTATATATATTAACATATATATATACACATTTAAATTTATATAAAATAAGAGTAGCTTGTTTGTGAGTGAGGGCATTTTGGATGTTCCAGGAAGAAGAAAATGTGTGCTCTTTGTATTACTAATTGCGGCTGGCTAAAGGCCCTGTTTGCGTATATGTTTTCCATTCTGTATTAGGTAGTTGATGCAGCGGACTGAATCTTTATGTTCCCTAGAAGCTCCTATGCTGAGTCCTAACCCCCAATACGATGATAAGAGGTGGCGTCTTTGGGTAGTCATCAGGTCATGAGAGTGAAATCCTCGGGGAAAAGATTAATACCCTTATAGAAGAGGCCCAGTAGGGCTGATTCCTCCTATGTGGGGATACAGCGAAAAGACAGACTCTATGAACCAGAAAGCAGATCCTTACCAGGCACCAGATACTGAATCTGCTGGCACCTTGATCTTGGACTTCCCGATCTCTAGAACAGTGAGAAATAAATTTCTGTTGTTTACAAGCCACGCAGTTTATGGTATTTTGTTATAACAGCCTGAAGGGACTAAAAGAGTTGAGATTGCTGGATAAGTAAATATTATGATATTTTAATGTATCACTGATCAGGCAGTTGGACTTAATTCAAGTTTGAATAATTGACTGTAATAACATTCAAGTCAAATACAGTAATGTACATATTTTATATAAAACATTGTAATTTTATGTAAAATAAAATATACCTAGGCTGGGTGTGATGATTCACACCTGTAATCCTAGTGCTTTGGGAGGCTTGAGGCAGAAGGATTGCTTAAGGCCAGGAGTTCAAGAACAGCCTAGGCAACATAGCAAGGCTCCTGTCTCTACAAACTAACTAAATAAAATAAATTAGCCAGGCATGGTGGTGTGTGCTTTTACTCCTAGCTACTTGGGAGGCTGAGGTGGGAAGATTGCTTGAGCCTAGGAATTCAAGACTACAGTGAGCTATGATCCCACCTCTGTACTCCAATATGGAAGACAAAACAAGACCGTATCTCTCTCTCTCTCTCTCTCTATATATATATATATGTGTGTGTGTATACGTATATATATACACACACACACACACACACACATGCACACTCCCTCTGTCCTGTGGCTCCTCTCTCAAGGAATTGCAATGTTCTTCACCCAGTGGATGGGGAAAGTGACATTGGAGAGCCCATCAGTTTCTTAACTGCCTTGCCTTGAAAGACATGCATCACTCCCACTAACATCCCCTGGGTAAGGGCTAGTGACATGCCCTGTCCTGATGCAGAAAGGAGCTGGGACACACAGCCTCTAAACAAGCAGCTGCTTCTCAGAGGCAACACTACTCCATGGAACGCATTGTCAAATCTGGTGAAACATCTGCCTTTAGTCAAATTCCCTTGGCCTCGGACTCCTCTTCTCTTCTTGACTATCCTCAAAATCCCACTCATCTTTGAAAGCTCGGCTCACAAGCCATCTTATGCACAAGGTCTTCCCAGATCTCTCTGCTGGGTACATTGTGCTTCCCCCTATACTTTGCTCATCCCTCCATATGGCCAGGAGCTACTTGTGGACGTGTGTGTCGTCCAGGATAGGGGGCACTTCTCAAGAGTGTGGACTGGAGATCATTTCTTTCTGTTTGTCCCACATCATCTAGAATAGCATTGCACACTCACACCAATATTCCCTCAGCTATTCTGAGAAGTGTTATGAGAATTTAAGCACTTGATTGTTAAGTATATGAAATTCCTCAGGACATATGATGTTGACCAATCAACAAGCATTTAATTGTCTGTTATGCAAACCCAGTTTCTGTATTTAGGAAGCTTATAATCTAATTTGGCAGGAAGTCAATAGAAGGTTAAATTGTAAGATTGCTGGCCAGGCATGGTGGCTCACGCCTGTAATCCCAGCACTTTGGGAGGCCAAGGCGGGCAGGTCACAAGGTCAGGAGTTCAAGACCATCCTGGCTAACACGGTGCAAACCCATCTCTACTAAAAATACAAAAAAAAAAAAAAATTAGCCAGGTGTAGTGGCAGGCGCCTGTAGTCCTAGCTACTTGGGAGGCTGAGACAGGAGAATGGCTTGAGCCCAGGAGGTGGAGCTTGCAGAGAGACGAGATCACGCCACCACAGGGAGAGACTCCGTCTCAAAAAAAAAAAAAAAAAAAAAAAACAGAAAGATTGCTAAACCGAGAATAACCCATTTTTAAAAATAAGGCCGGGCGTGGTGGCTCACACCTGTAATCCCAGCACTTTGGAAGGCAAAGGTGGGTGGATCCCTTGAGCTCAGGAGTTTGAAACCAGCCTGGGCAACATGGCAAACACTGTCTCTACAAAAAATACAAAAAATTAGCCTGGTGTGTTGACGCACGCCTGTAGTCCCAGCTACTTGTGAAGCTGAGGTGGGAGAATTGCTTGAGCCCAGGAGGCAGAGATTGCAGTGAGCCAACATCGCACCTCTGCACTCCAGTGTGGGTGACAGTGAGACCTGTCTCTAAATAAAGTAAATAAAACAAAAAAGAAGAAGACACTATTTAAACTATTGGGGTACTTATGACAAGACCTTCAGCAAACTTGTATTTAACAACCTGGAAACTGGCAACATCTGAGGACTGAAGCCCTGCTGTATGGACCACGTATACATCAGACATTGTCAGTGAGTAAATAATATACCTCAAAACATCTTTATATTTTTTTCAAATATGAACATTCTAATTTTATGAGTTATGAAAATCATTTAACTTTAACCATAAGGGATTTCTCCATAATTTACCTACAGGCCCCCAAAATGGGGATGAATAAACAGCATGTATTTTTTATATATATATAATATATGTATATATATATACATATGTGTGTGTGTGTATAACATACATGTGTGTATATTATATATATGCACACACATTATTTATATGTTTGTGTGTATGTGTGTGTATAGCTATACCCACATTACATAGTGACCATCTCTCTATAATACATAGTTTATTGCAAAGTAATATGGTATAATTATATTTCTATGTAGTGCAATGTCACAGCCTCTACTCATCTTAAAGGAGAATGCTCAAATGGGCTGTCCTTTTATACAATTCACTAGGTGTAACATTAATTATAAATATTTATATTAATTAATATTACCAATAAAGGAGCTACAAGTAGTGATAAATTATATTGGGAGGAGGAGGAGGGATGGTGGGAAGAGGTAGATGAAACATATCCTTATTTGTTACAGCAGGAAGTCAATAGTTAAATTACAAAATTGATAAACCAAGAAATAACTATGTACAATTATTATTGAAGAAAATCAACTACCAGAAACACTAAAACCAAATGATTAAAAGTGATTATCTCTGTGATCAGAACCATGTTTAGCCTCCTGTTCAATTAGATTTTTAAAACTATGTATTTATTTTTTATTTAAAAATAATGCAGTATAAATTAATAATTGTCTTACAATTTTGAACAAATGTTACTGAATTTATAATTACTATTTTGTCATTGCATATTTTCATTTATGAATATTAAAAATAAACACTATTATGTAAAGACCTAAAATTTTGGTGAAAAAGTGATTTTCATATTTGAAATATAGTGGGAGATAGAATAATAGAAAATGTAAAGAAAGACTATTAGTAAAATTGATGATTTTTCTTTTTTTCACTGTTTAAGAAATTTTTATTAAAGCAAGAATTTTATAATCCAAACCATGTTTCC
The DNA here is from genome assembly GCF_000001405.40 of Homo sapiens. Classification (NCBI taxonomy): domain Eukaryota; kingdom Metazoa; phylum Chordata; class Mammalia; order Primates; family Hominidae; genus Homo; species Homo sapiens. Next base: position 25,098,508 of record NC_000013.11, on the reverse strand, counting down.
TTGCTCAGTTATCAATTCTGTTACTTAAAACAGAATGGACATTTTGAGCTATTCCACAGTAAAGAATTAAAAAATTAAAGGAATGCTTTAAATTTTTGTACTTTGCTGAAAATTCTTTTCCCAGGGTCTACAAAACATTAACTGGTTTTTGTATTTTACGATTTTTTGTTTTTAAATCAAAATTAAGTAATCTTTTTTTTGTTTTTAAATCAATAAGTAATCTAGGACTAGCATTATATTTGCTAGACCTTGCATTTGCTCGGTACATAAGGTTCAAAGTTTCCTTTCCATTTTTTATTTTAGATTTTGCATTTTTTATTTTAGATTTTGCAATTTTTTTTCCCATAGTTTCTCGATGTTTAGATATTTTTCTTCGGTGAAGCACAAATTTCTTTTCGTGGTCTCTGATCAATTTTAAACAGTTGGAACACCGGTAGCACTGTTAACTGCTTTCTGGGTAGCCTCTTTAGCTTGGTGGGCTTGTAGTACAGCTACAGCTTCATCAACCTTAGAACGGAGTGACTCTGGAGACTCGAGCATATAAAGAAGTTCTGAATTATCAATCTCCAACAACATGCCAGTGATTTTCCCAGCAAGAGTAGGGTGCATGGCTTGAATAAGAGGAAAGAGCCGTTCACCTAACATTTGCTTTTGCTTTTGAGGAGGGGCAGATGCCAACCTGGAGGCAGTCAAAGTTTCCTGACCTTGTACATGAACAGCAAGCTGTTGCATTGTAACTTGTGGCTGTGCATTACGATGTTGCTGAGGATTGCGAACTCCCGCAGCATATTTATACCGTGGAACCGTGCGCACAGCAGGGGTAGCTGCAGCAGCAGCAGCAGCTGCAGGACGTGGACCCACTGTCTGTGTTGATGTGTTAGCAACACGCTGCGTTGACATGACTCGTGGAACCTGTGAAGAAGCTGGTCTCATAGTACTAAATGGTACTCTAGGAGCACCTGGGCGGATAGCACTGGGCTTATTTTGGAATGGATGAGGTCTGGCACCCTGAGCAGTCCAGCGAGGACTTGGTCTTAGTCGAGCAATTTGGCTAGGAGGATAGTATGCAGCATGGTTCTGAGTCTGTGGGACAGCTGTCATGAAGTAACCTGAAGGAGGTGCTCGCTGGTTGGGCACAGCTCGTACACTTGCCATTCTCTGCATATACTCGTTAGTGAGGTAAGCCTGGCGCTCTTCTTTGCGCTGAGCTAAAGCTACATACAATGGCTTTGTGGCCACAATTCTACCGTTCATTTCTGTAACTGCTTTAGTGGCTTCTTCTGGGGAGGAGAAACATACAAAACCAAACCCTTTGCTGCGACCACCTTCCATCATAACCTTTGCACTAGTGATTGTACCAAATGGAGAAAACGCTTTCCGGAGACGTTCATCATCAATACCATCATCAAGATTTTTCACATAAAGATTAACAACCTGGTATCTGGTGATCCTATCTTGCTTCATCTGTTCAAATGTGCGCTTAAGTTCCGTCTGCCGTTCCACTTTTTTCTGAGCTCGACCAACGTAAATTTGTTTTCCATTGAGCTCCTTTCCATTCATCTCATCTACAGCTTTCTGTGCATCTTCATGCCTTTCAAAGCTTACAAATCCAAATCCTTTGGATTTTCCACTTTCATCGGTCATTACTTTCACACTTAAGGCGGGCCCGAACTTGCCAAAGAGATCCTTAAGGCGCTCATCATCCATGTCTTCTCCAAAATTCTTGATGTAAACATTGGGGAACTCTTTTGCCCTAGCTCCAAGTTCAGCTTCTCGTTCTTTACGAGACTTAAATTGTCCAACAAATACTTTGCGACCATTTAGGAGCATTCCGTTCATTTTTTTAATAGCTCTTTCAGCTGCTTCGTGTGTCTCAAAGTGTACAAATCCATAACCCTTGGAACCATTTTCATCACAAACCACGTTACACGAAAGGATGTTACCAAAAGCAGAAACTGTATCATACAGTGCTTTATTATTAATGGACTTATCCAGATTTTTAACGAATATGTTGCCCACTCCACTTTTTCGAAGTGATGGATCACGCTGAGACCACATGATGCGTACTGGCTTGCCCTTTATAACATCAAAATTCATGGTGTCCAGAGCATGCTCCGCGTCCTTCGTATGCTGGAAGTTCACATACGCGTAGTTGGAGGAGCCGCTGGTGATCAAGTCCCTGCAGATCCGGATGGAGAGGATGGGCCCTGCCGGGCTGAACTTCTCGTAGAGCATCGCCTCAGTCACGTCGGGGTGGAGGTCCCCCACGTAGAGCGAGGCCGTTGGGTAGCTGGGGGTGCTGGGGTTCATTCTCGGCACGGCTGCCCGCAGGCACACAAGCCGCGACCTTTCCGTTACAGGAGTAGAGCGCGTGCCGGGGCCGGGGGCGTAGCCGGAGGGAGGGGAGCGGGGGCAAGCGCAGAGGGACAAAAATCAGCCGAAATCGAAAACTACTCAACGGCCGCAGAACGGGGTCGATCCGCTGCCGCTGGCTGCCGGCTGCCGGCGGGGAGCCAGGGTAGCGGTGTCGGGTCCGGGCAGCAGGAAGGCCTTGGTCTCTTAGTTCCTTCTTGGAGCTGCTGCGGGGCCGCTGGCGGGCGGCTCGGGCTCAGCTGCTTCACCGGGTTATTTTGTAAAAGAGCATTAATGATTTTTCTAAAATGATTTTTATAATCCAAATTTAAAATGCCTGGGAAAAAAATAAATGAAAGAATTTTTTTCTCCTTTCTCCTTTAGTATGTTTTTATATATGTTCTACTTTACACAAATATATTTTTATAAAATATTTTCTACTTTTTACCTCGTCTCTACTAAAATTACAAAAAATTAGCTGGGCTTGATGTGCTCACCTGTAATCCCAGCTACTCGGGAGGCCTAGGCACGAGAATCGCTTGAACCCGGGAGGTGGAGGTTGCAGTGAGCAGAGATCGCGCCACTGCCCTCTAGTCTGGGTGACAGAGCGAGACTATCTCAAACAAACAAACAAACAAACAAAAAACCCCGAAAAACCGACTTTTTATATTATATAACAATATAAAACATAATAAATATGTAATTTTATTTTTCATTTATTTATTTTTATTTTACTTATTTATTTTTGAGACGGAGTTTTGCTCTGTCACCCAGGCTGGAGTGCAGTGGTGCGATCTCGGCTCACTGCAACCTCCACCTCCCAGGTTCAAGCGATTCTCCTGCCTCAGCTTCTAAAGTAGCTGGGATTACAGGCACCCACCACCAAGCCTGGCTAATTTTTTGTATTTTTAGTAGAGACGGGGTTTCACCATCTTGGCCAGGCTGATCTTGAACTCCTGACCTCGTGATCCACCCACCTCGGCCTCCCAAAGTGCTGGGATTACAGGCGTAAGCCACCGTGCCCGACCAATAAATATGTAATGTTAATATAGTATTATATGATATAGTCTTTTGAGGTCAGGTTGGGATTCATTATTAAGTATACGTTTTATGATTATAAGTACACAATCTTGTGACCTAATATAGCTACACATCTAAGTAAGTGATGATCTGAAATAATTCTATTTAAGAAAATCCTTTAAGAAAGGTCCAGTCCCACAAAAAATATCAGTTTGGGGGAGGATCTGTTCATTCTGTTCATGTTACAAATAATTTATTTTAGGGTTTTTTGTTTGTTTGTTTGTTTAGATAGAGTCTCGTTCTGTCACCCAGGCTGTAGTGCAGTGGTGCGATCTTGGTTCACCGCAACCTCCACCTCCCGGGTTCAAGGGATTCTAGCGCCTCAGCCTCCCGAATAGCTGGGATTACAGGCAGGCACTACCACGCCTGGCTAATTTTTGTATTGTTTTTAGTAGAAACGGGGTTTCGCCTTGTTGGCTAGGCTGGTCTAGAATTCCTGACCTCAGGTGATCCGCCCACCTACGCCTGCCAAAGCTCTGGGATTACAGGCGTGAGCCGCCGCGCCTAGCCTAGAGTAGAGGGTTTCTTTAAATAGTGGTTGCCACTAATATAAAATTCAATTAAAAGTTTAAAAATGAAGTTGATACACAGCTTTTTAGGAGCACGTCCATCATTTCAACAATGTGGTCTTGTAAAAACCAAGTGCTAGGAAGGGTGTGGTTACTCAACAATATGAGATCGATTTTCTGCCTCATTAACAAAAGCAAAATGCTCTTCCAGAGAAAGGCATCTTCGCAGAACCATTTCGGTGTGTTCATGGGCAGGAAAGCAGATTCCCCACAGATACAGCCCACGGAATATACACTTGGGTGGAAGAAAACCGGGATGAATGTATCAAAATTCCAGGCTTCTTGGAGACCTATGATTTAATTTGTAACTTCATTTTCAGATTTCCCAGAAGTTTTGAGGATTGCAATCCCAAGCCCAGTGATGGTAGAGCATTTAAAACAAGCCTAGACCATACAGGAGAAGGTTATTTCCACTGGACAACTAATCTGCCGATTGTATTATGGTTTAGAGAAAATCCTGATGCAGTTAGCAAACAAATTGATTTGTGTGGAAAAATTTTGTCTGGAAGGAAAAGGAACTGAATAGATAGAAGGGATTTATTTATTATTATTATTATTTTTATTTTGAAGACAGGGCCTCACTCTGTTGCCCAGGCTGGAGTGCAGTGGCCGCAGCTCACTGCAGCCTTCACCTCCCAGGCTTAAGAGATCCTCCCACCTCAGCCTCCCAAGTAGCTGGGACTAGAGGCACATGCCACCACACCCAGCTAATTTTTGTATTTTTGGTAGAGATGGGGTTTTGCCATATTGCCCAGGCTGGTCTGGAACTCCTGAGCTCTCCAACTCCTGAGCTTAAGCAATCCACCCACCTCGGCTTCCCAAAGTGCTGGGATTGCAGGCGTGAGCCACCACACCTGGCCAGAGAAATTTCTTCTTTCCCAGATTCTTCTAAGTTTATATCGGCATATTATATGGTTTAATCACAGCTCTCAGTCACCATGGTTTCCAGAGTAACAGGGAATGGAAATCCCCATGTCTAATTCCTACACTTTCCCTCTTCCCTTTTGTGGAGCTTCCTTTTCATTTCATGATTTTTAGCAATTATAAGTTTGACTGCTTCTCTTCTGGAGAGTTGGTAATCTGTAGAAAACATCTAGTCTTTGGTTTGTCGTCAGATAATACTGAAGGTAGTCTTATGCACAAATAAGGCAGAATAAAGTCGATTCTTATGTTTAAAAAAGAATTAAAAGTGGAAAGCCTCAAATATGGGCTGTCAGGCTACCCTGTTGACATATTATTGTGGACAATGGTGTCAGATTGTACAGTGGGGTTGTAAATGTTGCACCTACACATATTGTCCAAATAGAAACATACAAAATGACACTTCTGTACTTGTCCAAATAGAGAAGTACAAAAATACACACTTTTGGGCAAAGAACATGAATAGACACTTCTCAAAAGAAGACATACATGTGACCAATGAACATGAAAAAAAGCTCAACATCACTGATCACTATAGAAATGCAAATCAAAACCAGAATGAGGTACCATCTCACATCAGTCAGACTGACTATTACTAAAAATCAAAAAACAACAGATGCTGGTGAGGTTGTGGAGAAAAACAAACACTTTTACACTGTTGGTGGGAGTGTAAATTAGTTCAACCATTGTGGAAGACAGTGTGGTGATTCCTCAAAGATCTAGAGGCAGAAATACCATTTGACCCAGCAATCCCATTACTGGGTATATACCCAAAGGAATATAATCATTCTATTAAAAGATACATGCATGCATATGTTCATTGCAGCACTGTTCACAATAGCAAAGACATGGAATCAACATAAATCCCCATCAATGATAGACTGGATAAAGAAAATGTGATACATATATACCATGGAATACTATACAGCCATAGAAAGAAACGAGATCATGTTCTTTATGGGGACATGGATGAAGGTGGAGACCATTATCCTTAGCAAACTAACGCAGGAACAGAAAACCAAATACCACATGCTCTCACTTGTAAGTGGTAGCTAAATGACGAGAACACATGAACATACAGGGGGAGAACAACACACACTGGAGTCTGCTGGAGGGTGCAGGGGGAGGAGGGAGAGCATCAGGAAGAATTGCTAATGGATGCTGGCTTAATACCTGGGTGATGGGATGATCTTTGCGGCAAACTACTATGACACACGTTTACCTATGTAACAAGCCTGCACATCCTGCACATGTACCCCTGAACTTGAAATAAAAGTTGGAAATTAAAAAAATGTTTTTAAAAAAATACACACTTTCAAGACTGTGAAAATCAGCATAGGTAGGAACCCAACAGACAATGAATAGAAAGAAAATCATAATTAAGACCATTTTCATTGGTCAGAGTCTGTGAGTCTGGTGAAGAGGTGAAGAAGGAGCATGTCTAATCTCATCTCATTAACCAAGCTGGCCAACAAAGACACACGCCTGCTCTTGGTCCATTCTGTCTGGATGAGGCTAGCAAATGTTCACCTTACAACATGGGTGTTAACGGGCATGAGGAACTCATTCTAAGATAGGGAGTATTTCTCAGATAACACACTAATATTCACCACTCTGGGTTTTTCTTTTAAACATGTATTTTTTCTTGCTTTTCATGTATTTTTATGTTTTTAAATTTTTGAACAGGGGATACAGTTACAGTTCCTTGGTGGCTGTGGAGCTCTGTGGAACTCTGAGGGTGGTGAAAATGGCAGGGGTTGTGTGCACTGGCTTTCCAAGATTGAGCTTAGGATGAGTGGGGCAGGCCAACTAAGCATTTTTGGCCACTTCATTTTTTTGTTTGTTTGTTTGTTTCACTCTGTTGCCCAGGCTGAAGTGCAATGGCATGATCTCAGCTCACTGCAACCTCCACCTCCTGGGTTCAAGCGATTCTCCTGCCTCAGCCTCCTGAGTAGCTGGGATCACAGGCACCCACCACGCCCAGCTAATTTTTGTATTTTTAGTAGAGACGGGGTTTCGCCATGTTGGCCAGCTGGTCTCAAACTCCTGACCTCAGGTGATCTGCCCGCCTCAGCCTCCCAAAGTGTTGGCATTACAAGTGTGAGCCACTGCACTTGGCCTTGGCCACTTCATTGATATTACTCTACCAGTATTGTCTCATAAAGATCATTATCTTTTCTGTAGCCAATGACTTAAGTCATGTACAGTAGTTAATAATGGAAATCTCATCGAGTGTTGTGTGGGACAGGATTTTCATTTGCCCAAAACCAGAGTTCTTCTTGATCATTGAACCAGCAGACATTATTTTCCCACTTTTATTTTTTGGCCTCTGGTGCCTAATTCTGTGCATCTTTAGTAATTGTTTTAAGATTATCTTTCAGGAACCTTTTTAGCTGGGCCATGACGGAGATTTGTCAATAGGCCCTTTAAGGGCAGCATCCTTTGCTGCGTGACCAGCAATGTGATTTCCTCTAGCTTCCATGGAGCCTAGTTTCTTTTTTAAAAAATTAATTTTTATTTCAACATATTCAGGAGGTACAAGTGCAGGTTTCTTACATGCACATATTGTGTAGTGGTAAAGTCCGGACCTTTAAGTGTACCCATCACCAGACTGGCGAACACTGTACCCAATAGGTAATTTTTCAACCTTGACCTCCCTCCCACCCTTCCACCTTTTGGAGTCTCCAGTGTCCATTATTCCCACTGAGTGTAGTTTTGTATTGTTTTGTTTTGTTTTGAGACCAAATCTCCCTCAGTCACCCAAGCTGGAGTACAGTGGCATGATCTCAGCTCACTGCAACCTCTGCCTCCCAGGTTTAAGTGATTCTCCTGCCTCAGCCTCCTGAGTACCTGGGATTACAGGCATCCGCCACCACGCCCAGCTAATTTTTGTATTTTTTAGTAGAGATGGGGTTTCACCATGTTGGCCAGGCTGGTCTCAAACTCCTGACCTCAGGTGATCCACCCAGCCTCGGCCTCCTAAAGTGCTGGGATTACAGACATGAGTCACCGCACCCGGCCCAGAGTCTAGTTCTGAATGGCCCCGAGCTTTGACAATGGCTAGGGCAGCAGGTAGCTGTGTTGTATTTAATAATTTTTGTACATAAGACCCATTCTTTATTTTGTCTCTGTTGGAAGCGAGGAAGTCTCCTTGCTTCCACAGCATTCTAAAATCACAGGCAACTCCAAGAGCATCCCTGCTGTCTGTACAAGCCTTAGCAGTCTTTCCTCAGCAAGGAGACTGCCTTGGGGAGGTCAAAGAGCTTTGCCTGCCAGGCTGAAGTGGCTACAGACAAACCAGCCACTTCCACGACTTCAAAGGCAGTAGTGATTGCATGGCCTGCGTAATACCGACCAGAGCTGATCTTTAAATGTGAGCCATCTGTAAACCAGGACAGCTCAGCATTGTCCAGGGGAGCCTCTTGCAGACCCTACCGAGGGGATAAGAGGTCTCAGAGTCAGGCAGGTGTGCGGAGTCTGGCCTGAAGGAGAGGGCAGGAGAGTTGCATGAGTAAGGTTACTACAGGTGCGAGAGTGGGAGGAGCAGGAGCTGCAGGGGCCGCAGGGAGTGAGGGAGTAGGCAGGAAGCTGCCAGGCCTGGTGCAGGTGTGAGAGCATCCACAGCTCGAGGCTCACATACACTTGGGGGTCCCACAGCTATCCCTCAGTTGCCTTGACTAACAGGGCTGCAGCGGGGACTGCTCTCAGACAGAAGGGACTCCACCGGCAATGGGATCGAGTTGTTGACTACAGTGTCCCAGAAGGTGGCATTGGCCTCCATGCTTGTGGCTTAAGATCCCCAAAGCGCTGCCTTCCTTTTCATACACAAAGAGGGAAAAGGGGAATTTCTAATTAGGATGAACCAGAGCTGGAAGATTTGCCAACTTCTCCTTTAGTTTGTTGGAAACTTGCTCTTCAGATCCTGTCCCAGTAATGGGGGCAGGTTTGGTAACTTATGTAGAGCATATAGCAATTGGACCAGGAAAGAAAAGCCAGGGACTCAGCTACGACAGTAACCAGCAAATCTGAGAAACCGCAGAGTTGGCATTTGGCTTTTGCTGAGGAAATTGCAAAACATCTTGAGCTCAGGATCTAAATGAATCTAAAATCCATTCTCTGAAATTGAACAGCCCAAATATTTCACCCAAGTTTTTACTAACTGCAGTTTTTGTTTGTTTTAAGAAAGGGTCTCCCTCTGTCACCCAGGCTGGAGGGCAGAGGTTCAATCACTGCTCACTGCAGCCTCAGCCCCCTGGGCTCAAGTGATTCTCCCACCTTAGCCTCTCAAGTAGCTGGGACTACAAGTGCACCACCACACCTGGCTAATTTTTAAATTGTTAAATTATAGAGACAGGCTCTCGCTATGTTAACCAGGCTGTTTTTGAACTTCTGGCCTCAAGCAGTCCTCCCACCTTGGCCTCCCAAAGTGCTCGGGTTGCAGGCATGAGCCACCACACCTGGCCAAGCTTCAGGTTTCTTGAGAGGCTTTTTGTCCTTTGGCAGCCAGATGCTTTGACAGATGTGCAGTCTTTCTCACAGGCTACCTTTGAAGGCGAGCAAAGAAGGACGTCATCTGCATATGGTGGTAAAGTCGAGCCTAGGGGAAAACCCACATCCTCCAAGTCCGCCTTTCATATTTGAGAAAAATAGGAAGGGCTTTCAGTAAAATCCTGGGGCCTTCCTGTCCTGGTGAATTGTTGGCCTTCCCAGGTAAAAGGAAAAAGCTCTCAGCTGGCCGGATCCAGCATAACACTGCACATGCACTTCACGGATCAACGATGGTGAAAGTTCTGCTGTCAGTGAGTGCTGGGTTTAGTACAGTGTGGTGGCTGAAACCACTGTATGCCTTGGAACAACAATGGGTTTGTTCCTCAGAGGCCCTGAGCAAACCTCTACCCACAGTTGTTTGGTTTTTTTATTAGGTAGAATTTTTTATTCGGTAGAATTGGGGTATTACCAGGACCAGTTCATAGAAAAACGAGCCCTTTTTTTGGATTCTTCTATAATAGGTTTGGAACCATCTGGTTGAGTGGATATTGTTTAATGTTAGGCAGGGGTTTGGATGGATCAATCTGGATTTTCAGAGGAAGGGTGCTATGAATTGTGCCAACGTCAGTTATTTTGCCCATAAAGAGCCAGGCATTTGGTCCAGCAGTGAAGGGGTGACATTAGTTTTGTTTTCTGAACAATATAACACATGAGAGAAGTCAGGGAGGCAGAAGACTGCCAGGCTGAGTCAGTACAGTTTGGTGTGTCAAATTCTAAAACAGTTTTCCCCTTTCAGGAAAAAAAAAAATAGTGTAGTAATCTTTTCAGAAAATCACATCTAAAGAGGTGGACAGGGGCAGAATGAACAAGCACAATGGGATGGGTGTCCTGGAGAGGGATGGGTGTCCTGGAGAGGGATGGGTGTCCTGGAGAGGGCCAAGGCAGAATGGAATGGGCTGCTAAACAAAGCAGGTAAAGCCTCCTGGGAAAGCCCCACCGTTTGTCTTCCTATTACTCCCAGGCAGGAGCTGACTGAGGCTGGTGGGGTGAAGGACTGATAGTGTTAGTCCTGTATCTCATTCCCACCTTGAAGGATCATTTCATGCAGATGAAGAAGTAAGAACTGCAAAAAGTCCCTATGAGTTCTTGAAGCCCCTTCATTGAGAGCGGTCTCTAAGTGTAGGTGGTGGAGGAGGAGGAGTTGAGAAAGAGATTCCATTTTTCTTTTGCACCCATCTCTTTTCCAGTGGCCTGGCTTCTTACAGAAATGGCCCAGCTCAGGGGGTCTCCACCTAGTGTTACGTCTGGGAGCCTCTACCTGTTGTAATTGGAGGTTAGGAATTTTAGTCATTTTGATCATTAAAGAAATGCAAATCAAAACCACAGTGAGATATCTCACACCAGTCAGAATGGCTATTACTAAAAAGTCAAAAAATAGCAGGTGCTGGCAAGGTTGTGGAGAAAAGGGAATGCTTAGACACTGTTGGTGGGAGTGTAAATTAGTCCAACCATTGTGGAAAGCAGTGTGAAGATTCCTCAAAGAGCTAAAAATAGAACTACCATTCAACCCAGCCATCCCATTACTGGGTATATACCCAAAGGAATATAAGTCGTTCTACCATAAAGACATATGTATGCATATGTTCACTGTAGCACTATTCACAATAGCAAAGACATGGAATCAAGCTAAATGTCCATCAATGGCAGACTGGATAAAGAAACTGCAGCACACATACACCACGAAATATCATGTAACCATAAAAAAGAACAAGATCATATCTTTTGCAGGAACATGGATGGAGCTGGATGCCATCATCCTTAGCAAACTAAAGCAGGAACAGAAAACCAAATACCACATGTTCTCACTTGTAAGTGGGAGATAAATGATAAGAACACATGGACACAAGAGGGGAGCGACAGATACTGGATCCTTCTTGAGGCGGGAGGGTGGCAGAGGGAGAGGATCAGAAAAAATAACTATTGGGTACTAGGCTTAGTACCTGGTGACAAAATAATCTGTACAACCAACCCCTGTGACGTGAGTTTACTATATAACAAACCTGCACATGTACCCTGAACCTAAAATAAAAGTTTTAAAACAAAAGAACTTTAGTGGTTTTATTTTTATTAACGTCCTGAAGTGTGTGGGCAAGCTGATTTGTCAAATTAGCTCTACCAGAAGTGAGCATAGTTTTCTATTTTATGTGGGCTCTTTCCCCTTTTTTTGTGTGTGTGACAGGGTCTCACTCTGTTGCTCAGGCTGGATTACAGTGGCCTGATCACAGCTTACTGGAGCCTCCAACTCCCAGGCTCCAGTGACCCTCCAACTTCAGCCTCCCGAGTAGCTGGGACTACAGGTGTGCACCACCATATCCAGCTAATTTTGAAATTTTTTTTGTAGAGATGGGGTCTCACTATGTTGCCCAGGCTGGTTTCAAATCCTGGTCTTAAGCAATCCTCTCATCTTAGCCTCTCAAAGTGCTGGAATTACAGGCATGAGCCACTGTGCCCAGTCCTACATGGGCTTTTTCAACAAGCTGGGGAAATTCTTGAGAAAAGGCTTTCACAACATAAAATGAAAGACTACTTGAGTAGAATCTACATCTACAGGTAATTCAGAATTTTTAAAAAATGCAACCTGAGGCTGACTATAGTAATTATAAACTGGCTCATTATGATCTTGGGTACAGGCCTGATTTTATTTCAGCCTAAGGTTTTAGGAAAAGCCTCCAGAATAGCCTTGTGAAGGTTCTTTTTTTGCCATGCTTTGGGTTTTTTCACAGTCTTCGGATGTATATTTATCTAAATCCTTCTCAGGGCCATGTCAACGAGCCTAGGCCATCCAGCATTGGGCCTGACCTTCACCAACAGGCATGTGAACCTCTGGCCTAGATGAGAATTCCTGGTTAATCCACTTGAATTACCACGTTGAATTCATCAGCAAGCTGGTCAGGGTCCTCAGAGACTTTGGGAATTCTTTGCAGCGACTTGTAGTTCAGCCTTGCACCAAGGAACATGAGAAACGTGGGGGTTAGAGGAATCATTAGTGAGCTTAACTTTAGAAGGACAGGTTTTAACAGGATCAGGTTCAGGGTAGTAGGAGCTGAGGAATCTAGAGGGAAAGGCATTTCAGCCAAAGGAGGATGGAGACAGGGGACAGAGGAGAGAGAAGGGAGGTCCCCTTCAGGGAGGAAAAAGTCTGGGCCTCCAAGGCTTTGTCATCTTTCCCTAACTGTTTTTCTCAGTTAATTTGGGGACAGTGTCTTGCAGGGAGGCAATGTTAGAATCCTGAATGTGCTTAGAACCTTTTAGGTGCCAGTTGAAGTAGGCCTCCCATTTGGATTGTTTAATTTTAGGACCAGAGTCTTCTAATTTTGTCCTAAGAAAGACAAGTTTGGAGGAACTCAAAAGACCCTTATGATGGTTACTGAAGCTCCAAATTAGTTTTGGTGTACTCTTTCCATTGGGAGGATAATTTTTTGACATATGGCCTGCAGCGTTCTCAGAAGGGGAACCGTTATTGTCTCCTTTGGAATTTTGGGATCCCATTCTGCTTCTTATTAATCTCTTGAGAACAAAAGAAAAATCTGTAAGCCCTGTCAGGGAATTTTAGGGGTTTGTTTTAGTGTGCCTGGCCCAGGGTTTTGTTTGACATGGCTGGAGCCTGTACACTAATCGCCCCACCTGTGACCAAGTTTTCTCTAGATGCATACATCTTTTCTTGAAACTGGCAGGCCCCCTAGTGGTAATCTTCTCTGTCTGTGTCCCGGTTTATCCTGACGCGAGAGACTTCTCTTTGGAGACTGATATCCCTGGCAGAATGGTGGCAAATGCCCTAATGGCTTTTAAAGGGTCAACTGTGCCCACCTTTTTAGAAAGTAAATTTTGTTCTCAAAAGATGTTTGGAAACAGAAGGAAAAAATCAAGCAGCAAACAAAACTGTAAATGTATGCAAATACTCAGAAACCAAAAGTGCATTACCAGAACCAGAAAGACAAACTGTCTTTGTACCAGAAAAGATTTGGCAGAAAAGACAAAAAGTCTTTAATATTCCCAGAAGCAAGAGCCTTTACTAAGGTCCCTTAACCCAGCCAGATCCTGAATAAGGTCAACAGACAACTGCTACCAAGGAAGGGAGCTTGACCTGAGAGAAGTTGTATCTGGATAGGAAAAATAAAAAGGCAATCTGTGGAGGTGGAGTGCACAAAAGGCCCAATTGTGTGTACCTCGCCTTGTCCCAAAGGTCGCTGATCCCTTCCAAAGGTAATTGTTTCATCCCACTTCTGACACCAGATTACGTCAACCCAAAGAAAAGACATTAGAGAAAACTATCCCGAAATATATTGAATTTATTCTGGAATGGAAAAAGGGAATTATAATCTGGGATTCATGGAATGGCAAACCACAAGTGAGAGAAGGGTAAAGGAAAGCTTTTACTGGCAAAAAGAGAGGTTCAACATAAGCTATTTAGAAGCAGAATTCATTGGTTCCAGTGGCTCAAAGTCAGAACTGTCATCAGTTTATTGATGGAGATGCTGTTACTGGGCAAGTGTTCTTTTCAGAGCATCTTATATGGATTGTTGCAGTCCTAAAGAATATCTGGTGATGCATCTTGTCATAGAAATACATGTATACGGGTGAAATGTGCAAGCTTTGCAAGGCAGAAGATGTGCAAAGGATGTGAAAGGATTTCTTGTCAGATTTTTAGAAAGTCCTTTGAAACAGTTCTTATCTCAGACATGCTAGCATGAACCCCCTCCTTTCTGCATTCCCAGCCCTAGTTTGTCAGGGTCTGACAAGAGTGATTTCATCCTGGTATCTGCAATTCTCACAGCTTGTATAGATGTAGTTTTGCAACTGTGCAAATATTTCTGCAGAGTAAATATCTAGGAATAGAAAGCTAGATCAAAAAGTAAACACATTTGAAATTCTAATAAATGTTGTCAACAGCCCTCCTTAGAGCTGGTACTAATTTACACTTCTAAGAGCTGTGTATGATAGAACCTATTTTCCCACAGCCTCGCCAGAAATACTTTATCATATTTTTCAGTTTTCCTACCTGAGAAGTGAGTAGTAATTTCTCAGTGTTGTTTTAATTTGCTTTTCTCTTATTATGAGAAAAGTTGAGCATCTTTTCTTATGCTTAAAGTCTTTTGTATTTCTTTTTCTGCTAATTGTCTGTTCTGGTCATGTTTCTATTGGATTGTTGGTTTTTTTCTTATGGATTTCTGGGAGCACATTATTTTATTCACAGTTCATCTTTTGACGTTATTTATAATGTTATTTTTGTCATATAGGTTTTAAATTTTTTTGTAATAACTTCTGGATTTTGTGTTATGCAGTTGGCTGTCAGTATCTGTGAGTTCTGCACCCAAACCATGGATTGAAAATGTTAAGAAAAAAAGAATAAAAAATAACAATACAATAATAAATATAATACAAATTTTTAAAAATAGGACCACTATTTACATAGTATTTACATTGTATTAGGTGTTATAAGTAATCCTTATAAGCAGAAGGATGATTTAAAGTATACAGGAGAATGTGCATAGGTTATATGCAAATAATACACCATTTTATATAACAGACTTGAGCATTCATGGGCTTTGATATCTGAGGGAGGTCTTGGAATAAATCCCCCAAGTATACAGAAGAACAACTGTAATTAGAAAGGCTTTTACTGCTTGCTATAGTTTGAATGTATCCCTCCAAGTTTATGTGTTGGAAACTTAATCCCCAATGCAATGGTGTTGAGAGGTGGGACCTTTAAGATGTGATTAGGCCATGATGACTCTGCCCTCATGAATGAATTAATGCTGTTTTGGGGATTGAATTCTTGATAAATAGATGAGTTCAGCCTCCTTCTCCTCTTGCTGTCTCATGTGTGCTCTTGGGCCCTTCTGTCCTTCCACCATGGGATGACACAGTAAGAAAGCCCTAGCCAGATGCAGCTCCCTGATCCCAGACTTCTCAGCTTTCAGAAGCATAAGCCAAATACATTTCTGTCTATTATAAATTACTCAGTCTCAGGCATTCTGTTATAACAGCACAAAACAAAGACACCACTCTAAAATTACAAAAAATTATCTGGTGTTTACTTCTAATACTTTTGATTCCATTTTTGACATTTAAATCTTTGATTTGTTTTGACATTTTCCTGTTGAATAAGATACAAATTCAATTGTATTTTTATTTCTAGAATGCTACCTGTTTTCCCTAAACCATTTATTAGTCTATCTTTCCCCCCACTGATTTCAGATGTAATTTTTGTTGAAAATTTTGTGAGTATTTGGATATATTTCCAGGCTTTTTGTTTGATAACATGTCTTTCCTTCAATTCATAATTATTGCAATTTTTTTTAACATTTACTCTTCTTTTTCAGAGTTTTTCTAACTATTCTTGTTTGTTTCATTTTCAACGTGAATGTTAAAACTGGTTTGTTTAATAATGCAAGAACAACAGCAGCAACAAAACAATAAAATATCTGTTGGTATTTGATTTGTGAATGAGCTAAGGAAGAATTGCCATCTTTGGGATGTTGAAACTTCCTGTACAAGTATATGAATGTCTTTGCATTTGTTTATGTCTTTTTATGTTGATTTTGATGTTCTTTATATAGCTCCTGTGATTTCTCACTTATTAATTCCAATGAATTTTTTTGTTGCTGCTATTGTGGTAAGTGGGCTCTGTATCAGTAGGAGTTCCCATAGGAAATAAATGACTCTATTTAAATTGGTTAACTAGAGGAGATACAGGGGATATTAGCATTGTGAACCAAGTACAGAAAAACCAAAGGGACAGAGTGGTACCTTTGGGCTAGTAATAGAGGTCCTAGGTCCCTCATTTTCACACATAGGCATGAAGGGTTTGAAGGAGTAGTTGCTGAAATCCAGAGACAGCACTCTTATTGGAGAGGCCATCTCATGGGAGCTATAACCTTGTCCTAGCTCACTGTAATCCCTCCAGACAGAATAGGAGTAAAAGAGGAAATAAGTATGCTCCCCAACTCTCCTCCATTCCTTAGATATCCTACTAGAAATTCCCAGTGGCCAAAGGCAACCAGAGGCAAGAGGGCAAGAGAGTCCGTTGATAAAACCAACACTGTCAAGCCTTGCTGGGGGGAGAGCAGGAGGGAGTACGGTGAGAGTGAATCTGGAGGCAAACAGAGGACACCGAATGCTGTGTCCTTTCTCCCACTGAAACTTCTACTGGCTGTTATTTTTTATATTTGTAAGGTACTGATTTTTACTTTTTTTTTTTTTTTTTTTGCATTTTTGAGGCACAACTTTCATTCAGTTAAATTCACAGATTTTAAGAGTATAGTACAATTGGCCTGGCACGGTGGCTCACGCTTGTAATCCCAGCACTTTGAAAGCCCGAGGCGGGCAGATCACAAGGTCAGGAGCTCGAGACCATCCTGGCTAACACGGTGAAACCCCGTCTCTACTAAAAATACAAAAAATTAGCCGGGCGTGGTGGCGGGCGCCTGTAGTCCCAGCTACTCGGGTGGCTGAGGCAGGAGAATGGCGTGAACCCGGGAAGCGGAGCTTGCAGTGAGCCGAGACTGCGTCACTGCACTCCAGCCTGGGGGACAGAGCGAGACTCCGTCTCAAAAAAAAAAAAAAAAAAAAAAAGGAAAAGAAAAAGAGTATAGTACAATAAGTTTGGCAAATACATACAAATATGCAAGGTCCTACCAACATCAAAATTCCTCTGTGCTCCCCTATAGCCAATCTTTTCTCTCCAACTCAGGCCTAAGACAACTGATCTTTTTTTCACGATAATTTGCCTTTTCCAGAATTTTGTGTAAATGGAATAATATGTTGTCTTCCGTGTCTGGCTTCTTTCACTTTGTGTGATATTTTAGTTTCATCCATGTTGCAGGTATCAACAGTTCATTCCGTCTTTTTGCTGAGCAGTATTCCGTTGTCCGGATACACAACAACTGGTTCATCTTTTCACTAGTTTATAAATATTTGGGTTATTTCCAGCTTGGAGCCATGAAGAATAATGTTGCTATGAACTTTGGCCCCCAATGTCTTTGCGTGGAAATAGATATATATGTATGTATGTATTCTTGGTTATATAACTAGGAGTGGAATTGCTGAGTCACATGTGGTGTGTGTTTCATGTGATAAGAAACTTGCAACTTCTTTTTCAAAATGGATATGGAAAACAGTGTAACTAACCACTGGCAATTATGAGTGTTCCAATTATTCTACCTTCATGTAGATAACAATCAATGCTTGGTGTTGTCAGGCTTTTCAAATTTCTGCCATCCCAGTGTCTCTCCTTGTATACTGGTCTCTCCTTGTTGTTTTAATTTGCATTTCTTTGGTTTGTTTGACAGTGATGTTGAGCATCTTTTAAATGACTTATTGGCTATTTACATATATTCTTTTGTGAAGTGTCTGTTTAAATCTTTTGTCCATTTTTTGATTGAATTGTTTGTCTTCTTATTAGTAAGTTTTTTTTATATGCAGGACACAAGGCCTTTGTTGGATACGTGTTTTACAAATTTTTTTTTTCCAATTTTGTTTTCTGAAGAGGGTCCTTTGAAGAACAAATATTTTTCATTTTAATGAAATTTAATTTGCTAATATTTTTCTTTTGTCTAACCTAATATCACAAGTCAATCCTTCTATTTTTCTCCTGCTTGAAGTTTTAAGATTTTAGCTCTTAAATGTAGGTCTATGATCCATTTTGAGTTAATTTTGGTATACAATAAAAGAAAAGGGTCCGGACCCTTTCCCCCAACAATATGGAAACTATTCTAGTGCTGTTTATTGAAAACATCATCCTTTCATCACTTAATTAGTTTGGCACTTTGATAAAGATCAGTTGACTATACATATGTCAGTCTACTTCTGGACTGGACTCTGTCCCACCGGTTGGTGTGCCTTTCCTTATCCCCATACCACACTCTCTTGGTTACTGCAGTGTTATAGTCAGTCTTCATATCAGGTAGTTTAAGTCCTTTGACTTTTCTCTTCTTTTATTTATTTATTTATTTATTTTTATTTTTTTTTTTTTTGAGACGGAGTCTCGCTGTGTCACCCAGGTTGGAGTGCAGTGGTGCGAACTCAGCTCACTGCAATCTCCACCTTCCTGGTTCAAGCGATTCTCCCACCTCAGCCTCCCAAGTAGCTGGGACTACAGGTGTGCGCTACTACACCCAGCTATTTTTTTTGTATTATTAGTAGAGACGGGGGTTCACCATATTGGCCAGGCTGGTCTCGAACTCCTGACCTCATGATCCGCCCGCTTCAGCCTCCCAAAGTGCTGGGATTATAGGAGTGAGCCACTGTGCCTGGCCGACTTTTCTCTTCTTTTTAAAATTGTTCAGCTACTTTAGATCCATCTCATCTTTATATCAATTTTATAATACACTTGTCAATTTCTAAAAGAAAATGCTTGCTGTAATTCCGATTAAAATTACATTGAATCTATTGATACAGTAACAATATTGAGTCTTCCAATTCATGAACATTACCTATCTGTCCATTTATTTAGGCTTTTTAAAATTTATTTTAACAGCATTATTTATCAGGGTATAGATCTTCCACACCTTTTGCTAAATTTATTCATAATTTTTTATGTTATTGTGAACATATTTGTATTTTAAATGTCCTTTTTAATTGCTTGCTGTTTATATATAGAAATAAAAGTGATGATTGCATATTGATCTTTTATCCTGTGATCTTGCTTTGATCACTTATTAGTTTCAGTAGACTTTGTATATTCCCTTAGGATTGTTTTATATATGTACTTATATTGACTGCAAATAAAGACAGTTTTATTTCTTCTTTTACAAACTCTATGCCTTTTTTTTTGTCTTATTGAACTATCTTTATAAGAGTGAATATCTTTGTCTTGTTTCTGTTCTAAGGTTGAAAGCACTTGGTTTTTCACAATTTAGTACGATGTTAGCTCTGAGTTTTTTATAGATGTCTTTTTTCAGGTTGCAGAAATTTCATTCTATTCTGAACTTGCTCAAAGTTTTATCATGAATAGGTGTTGAAGTTTGTCACATAGTTTATTCTGCATCTGTCGAGACGATCACGTTTTTTCTCCTCTATTCTATTCATATGGTGAATTACGTTAATTGGTTTTCATACATTAAAGCAATATTGCATTTCTTACATACACACCATTTGATCATGATACATGATTCTTTTATTATATTACTAGATTTCCTAATATTTTCTTAAACATTTTTGCATGTATGTCCATGAGGTATATCGGTCTATGGTTTTCTTGTTATGTCTTTGTCAGGTATTAAATGAGGGTAATGCAGGCCTAATAATATGAATAGAGCAGTATTCCAACTCCTTTTTCCTGACATAGTTTGGGAGAGATTTTAACTTAATGTTAAAACTTAAATGTTTGGGCCAGGCGTGGTGGCTTACGCCTGTAATCCCGGCACTTTGGGAGGCTGAGGCGGGCGGATCACGAGGTCAGGAGTTTGAGACCAGTCTGGCCAATATAGTGAAACCCCGTCTCTACTAAAAGTACAAAAAAAAATTAGCCGGGCATGGTGGTGTGCGCCTGTAATCCCAGCTACTTGGGAGGCTGAGGCAGGAGAATTCCGTGAACCTGGGGGGCGGAGGTTGCAGTGAGCTGAGATCGCGCCACTGCACTCCAGCCTGGGTTGTCACCCAGATGGAATGAGACTCCATCTTAAATTTAAAAAAGAAAAAAAAAACAAAACTTAAATGTTTGATAGAATTCACCATGAAGTCATCTGGGACTGGTGTTATCTCTGTAGGAAGGTTTTTAATTAAAAAATAATTTTTATATGTTATAGGACATTTTAGGTCTTCTGTTTTTCTTGAGTCTGTTTTTGACATCTATTTCATCTAAATCCTCAAATTTTTTGTCATAATGTTGTTCACAATTTTTTTATTATTCTTTTAATGACTACAAGAACCATATTGATAATTCTCTTCCATTTCTGATATTGATAATTTGTGCATTTTTAATTGACCAGTTCAGCTACAGATTTATCAAATTAGTTGATATTTTCAGAGGGCAAGTTTTTTATTTCACTGATTTTCTCTTTAGTTTGTCCATTTTCTAGTTCATTGATTTCCACTGATATCCTTATTATTTCTTTCCTTGTAGTTACTTTCGGTTTGTATTATTATGAAGTTTCCATTTATCTCTAGCACTACTTCTTTCATAAAATCTTTGTGTCTGTGATCATGTAGCTACTCCAGCTTTCTCATGCTTTCTTATGTGTCCATGGTATGTCTTTCTCCATTCTTTTACTTTCAACTCATTTGCATCTTTGCATTTAAACAGCATCTTTTGTAGACAACACATAGGTGGGTCTTGCTCTTGTGTTTCAGCTGCCAATCTCTGTCTTTTGGTTGAAGCGTTTAGTCCATTTATATTAAATTATTGATATGATTTCTGTTAAGTCAGACTTTTTACTCTTCGTTCATTATTTGTCATATCTTAAAAAAAAATCACTCTAGCCAGGTGCAATGGCTCACGCCTGTAATCCCAACACTTTGGGAGGCCGAGGCAGGTGGATCACTTGAGGTCAGGAGTTCGAGACCAGCCTGACCAACATGGTAAAACCCCGTCTCTACTAAAAATACAAAAATTAGCTGGGTGTGGTGGTGCACACCTGCAGTCCCAGCTACTCAGGAGGCTGAAGCAGGAGAATTGCTTGAATCTGGGAGACAGAGGTTGCAGTGAGCCGAGATCACACCACTGCCCTCCAGCCTGGGCAACAGAGCGAGATTCTGTCTCCAAAAAAAAACAAAACACTTTAGTTCTTTTTTCCTGCCTTTCATGTGTTAAACAGATATATTTTAGTGTACTATTTAATTAACGTATTGGCTTTTTAGTTAATTTATTTTCATTAGTTTTTTGGCAGTTGTCCTAGGATTACAATATGCATTTTTAACTGATCAGACTTTACTTAAAGTGAATGTGGAATTACTTCTGTTAATACACAGGAATCTTGCAACAGTGTAGTTCTATTTACTACCATGCCTTTGTGCTACTGTTGTCATACATATTACTCCTGTACAGTTTATTAACCTGACAACACAGTGTTCTAATTTACGTTTTATCTAGTTGCGTGTATGTGTGTAAAGTCTTACCTACACACATTTACCTACATTTTTGGTGCTCTTCATTTCTTCCTATATATCTGAGTTACCACCTGGTATCATTCTCCTTTAGCCTGAGGACTTCCTTTGGAATTTGTAATAGTACAGTTGATCCTTGAACAACACAGCCTTGAACTGTGGAGACCCACTTATATGTAGATTTTCTTCCACCTCTCCGACTCCTGAGACAGCAAGACCAGCCCCTCCTTCTCCTCCTCAGACTATTCGAGGTGAAGACAATGAAGATGGAGACCTTTATGATGATCCATGTCTACTCAGTGAATAGTAAATACATTTTCTCTTCTTTAGGATTTTCTTAATAACATTTTCCCTAGCTTACTTTATTGTAAGAGTACAGTATATAACACATACAATGTATAAAATATGTGTTCATCAATCGTTTATGTTATCAGTAAGGTTTCCAGTCAAAAGTAAGCTATTAGGAGTTAAGTTTCTAGGGAGTCAAAAGTTATACACTTATTTTCAACTGCTGTGGGGCAGGGGTTGGTGTCCCTAACCCCTGTGTTGTTCAATTATCAATTGTACAAGTCTCTTATACCACATTTTCTGTTTTATTTTATCTGAAAATGTCCTTAATTTACCTATATACTTGAAGTATAGTCTTCTAGGATTTAAAATTCTTTTGAGACAGGGTCTCACTCTGTTGCCCAGGCTTGAATGCAGTGGTGTGACCATGGCTCACTACAGCCTCAACCTCCTGGGTTCAAGCAATCCTCTCACCTCAGTCTCTGAAGTAGCTGGGACTGCAGGTGTGCACCACCACACCTGGCTATTTTTTGTATTTTTTGTAGAGACAGGGTTTCACCATGTTGCCTATCCAGGTCTCAAACTCCTGAGCTCCAGTGATCCTTCCACCTTGGCCTCTCAAAATGCTAGGGTTACAGGTGTGAACCACTGTGCCTGGCCTAAAATTCTTTTTTGACATGTTTTTTCTTTCAGCAGTTTGAATATAAACACCGGTGTCTTCTGGCATCCATTGTCTGATGGGAAGTCAGTCGTCATTTCCTTTCTCCATTCCATGTAATTTTTATTTTGTTGCTTTCAACATTTTTTCTTTATTTCTGACTTTTTGTAGCTTAGATATGATGTATCCAAATGTGTTTTTATTGAGTTTTGTTGATTTTTATGAATCAAATTTGAGATCTCTTTTTATTATTATTTCTTCAAATATTCTCTCTCTCTTTCTCTTTCCTCTCTGTGATTCCAGTTTACGGGTATGTTAGACTGCTTGATATTGCTCCTCGGGTCTCTTGGCATTGCTCATTTTTTTCAATATTTTATTCTTTATTTTTCAGTTGAATAATTTCTATAGCTCTATCTTCAAGTTCACTGGCTGATTTTTCTGTCACCTACATTCTGCCATTGAGCTCACATGGTGGTCTTTTATTTCAGTTATTGTAAACCCTTCTCAAGCTTTTGTCTATCTTTGGTCATTTTTCAGGGCTTGCAAATTGTTGCCTTTTAATAACTTTGCTCTGTTTTCGTCATTGTCTGTGGAAAGAATTGTCATCCTCTTCATACCTGCATCACCAAAAATGTCTCCCTGCTTTTTTTTTTTTTTTTTGACAGAGTCTCGCTGTGATGACTAGGCTGGAGTGCAATGGCGCAATCTTGGCTCACTGCAACCTCTGCTTCCCAGGTTCAAGCTATTCTCCTGCCTCAGTCTCCCAAGTAGCTGTGACTACAGGCACCTGCCACCACACCCGGCTAATTTTTGTATTTTTAGTAGAGACAGGGTTTCACCATATTGGCCAGGCTGGTCTCAAACTCCCAATCTTAAGTGATCTGCCTGCTCAGCGTCCCAAAGTGCTGGGATTACAGATGTGAGCCACCGTGCCCAGCCTCCCTCTTTGTATAGTAATTGTTTACATTGTTATTTCCTGAATTTCCTTGTTTCTAATAGCTTAAAAATTGATTCTCTTGGGATATAATTATATCATCTTCCAACTGTGATATTTTTACCATCTGCTATAGTTTGAATGTGTCCCCCACAGTTCATGCGTTGGAAACTTGATCCCTAATGTGGCAGTGTTGGGCAGTGAGGCCTAATGGGAGGTGTTTGGGTCATGGAGCACTGCCCTTATGAATGAATTAATGATGTTGTCACAGGAGTGGGTTCATTACTATAGGTTGGGTTCCTTATAAAAGGATGAGTTCAACCTTTTCTTGCCCTCTCTTTTGCCCTCCTTTGTCCTTTTACCTTTTGCTATGGGATGACACAGCAAGAAGGCCCCCACCAATGCAGGTCTCTTGATCTTGGACTTTCCAGCCTCAAGAACCGTGAAAAATAATTTTTTATTGTTTATACGCTATCTAATCTGTGGTATTCTGTTCTAACAGTACAAAAGGGACTAATACATCATCTTTACAATGTATATATATCTGATTTCTTTCTCTTGTCTAAATGCACTAAGATTTCCAGTAATAACAGTGGTAAGTATGGGCATCCATGATTTATTCTGAAATTGGTTAGGATATCACTAGTGTGTCTCCGGAAATCCTGGTGCTATTGTTTAAGCTAAGATAGAAATATCCTTTATCATATTAAGAAAATATCTATGGCCAGGCGCGGTGGCTCACACCTGTAATCCCAGCACTTTGGGAGGCTGAGGCAGGTGGATCATGAGGTCAGGAGATCGAGACCATCCTGGCTAACATGATGAAACCTCGTCTCTACTAAAAATACAAAAAATTAGCCAGGCGCGGTGGCAGGCGCCTGTAGTCCCAGCGACTTGGGAGGCTGAGGCAGGAGAATGGCGTGAACCCGGGAGGCAGAGCTTGCAGTGAGCACTGCACTCCAGCCTGGGTGACAGAGCAAGACTCCGACTCAAAAAAAAGAAATATCTATTTATGTTTTATTATTTTTAAAATAAGAAATAGTGGTTATTTCAAAATCATTTTCAGAATTCATTAAGGTAAATATATGATAAATTAGTGTATTACATTAAAATATTTCTAACATTCAACCTTCAATGCTGAAATAAAGCCCAACCAGTTGTGTTATGTTACTCTTTTAATGTGGTGCTAGATTTTTCTAGTAGGTTCTTATTTTCAAAATTTAAAGTCAGTATTTATAAGTGAGAAGTGTGTCTGACTTTTCTCTTTTGTGCATTATTTTCAGGTTTTGACATCATGTTTTCTGATTTGTTTATTATTTTCCCCTTTCTTCTTTTATTCCTTCCTCTTTTTGAGGGGGGGTTAGTTAATGGTTTGTCTATTTTGTTGGTTTATTTAAAAGTATCAACTTCTGGCTTTATGTATTATTAGTTTTAGAGTTTTTCTACTTTGAAATTCATTTACTTCTTTATTACTGCCCTAGTCAAAAAAAACACTTTAGTTTCTATTTTTAATCCTTAGGGCTTGTCGCGTTCTGTTTTTTTTCTTTTTTTGGTTGTTGTTATTGTTTTGTTTTGTTTTTTTGTTTGTTTTTGCTTTCCTTTTCTCGCTCTCTCTTAAACATTTGAGTACTTTCTTTCTTTCCCTTGTTTAGATTTATATTATTATTAAAGTTAGAATTTTATTCTGGATTCTGCTTCAGTTCAATCCTGTAGACTCCAATATGTAGCATTCTCATTTTGTTGGTTTCTCAGAATTCTGCAATTATGGATTCTATTTCTTTTTTAATGGAGAATGATTTAAGAGAGTTTTAAAAATGTCTAGTTAAAAGAGTATTTTTAAATGTCTGGTTTTCCTACTCATTACTAGTTTATTGATATTGTGATCAGAAAATCATATTTGTCTTTTTTCCTACATTTTGGGACTTACTGGATTTTTTTGTGGTCTAATAAGTGGTTATTTTTATTGCCATTTCATGAACATTTGAAGAAAGACTTATGTCTTCAGATTACAGAGTTTACAGAAATATTCTGTATACTTACATTTATTTTTTTCTACATGATCTGCCATGGGCTGAAAGAAGTGAATTGAAGTCTGCTATGAGTGGTGTTATTTCTTCCTTACCTTCTTGTAATGCCTGTAATTTCAGCTTTATGAATATTATTGGTACTTAAGTATTCATAACTGTTATATCTAAATTGTGAATTACACTCCTTGGAGTATCATAAATTGCTTTTTTTTGGTTCCTATGTAATACATTTCATTTGAATTTCATCACATCTCATATCGAGTTTGTGACCTTGATTTTTGTTTGTATTTTCCTGGAATATCTATGCTAATTCTCTTATTTTTCAAACTTTCTGAATCACACATTTTAGGTACGTCTTTTATAGATAGCATGGAATTGAGATATGCTTTTTCATCTAATTTAACACTCTTTTAAAAAGTGAGTCAGCCCATTTGCATTGACTGATGTGCCCAATATGTTGCTTCTTAGGCTGATTGTATCATTTTGATTTATTTTCTATTTTTACAGTTTTTTAAAATCTTTCACTAAGTCATTTGTTTTTCTTATTTTGTACTTTCTGTGATGTTCTTATAAAATTCAGAAAGGTTTATATTTCTGGTCTAGAAAATATCTTCATAATTATCACTTTATATAATACCCTATTCCCTGTATTTCTTCATATGGTATATACTAGTTCCCTGCTATGAGAAATTTTTCATTAATAATATTATCTGATCAGGCATAGTAGCTCATGCCTGTAATCCCAGCACTTTGGGAGGTCAAGGTGGGAGGATCACTCGAGGTCAGGAGTTTGAGACCAGCCTGGGCAACATAGCAAGAACCTGTTACTATCAAAAAAAAAAAAAATTTTTTTTGCTGGGTGTGGTGGCATGCACCTGTAGTCCCAGCTACAGCTACAGTGAGCTGTGATTATGCCACTCTACTCCAGCCTGGGCAACACAGCAAGACTCGGTTTCAAAAATAATATTAATGTTATTATTATTATCCACCAATCAAATTTTTAGTTAGTAATATTCTCTCCCTTACTGTTTACTTTTATACTGTTAATTATCTGCTGGAAATGAGACCTGTTTATATGACTTTGCCAACTGTGATTTTTCCAAATGTGTCAATTGCTTCTATAAATTTTCTGAATTTATGGTGTTTAGTCACATTTTTTGTTTGCTCCCTGCAATATTTTATTTTATTTATTTTGAGATGAAGTTTCACTCTTGCTGCCCAGGCTGGAGTGCAATGGCACAATTTTGGCTCACTGCAATCTCTGTCTCCTGGGTTCAAGCGATTCTCCTGGCTCAGCCTCCTGAGTAGTCGGGATTACAGGCATGCAGCACCGTGCCCAGCTAATTTTTGTATTTTCAGTAGAGACGGGTTTCACCATGTTGGTAAGGCTGGTCTCAAACTCCTGACCTCAGGTGATCCACCTGCCATGGCCTCCCAAAATGCTGGGATTACAGGCGTGAACAACCGCACCCAGCCCCTCCATACATTATTTTAATTTAATGGTAAATAATTCACATTTTTCATTTGTTGGTAAGTTCTGGTGCTCTGTTTCACATGATTTAAATAGCTTCTTTGTGTTGAAACTGCGTGTCTTTTCCTTTTTGTTTTCTTAAACCTCACTCATAATTGAATACACTGCATTGTCCTTGGCTAGGCACTTGAAGGACTGGACATATACTAAGTTGTACAGAAATGTTCATATCAGACGCCCAAGATTTTTTTTTTTTTTTTTTTTTTTTTTTGAGACAGAGTCTCGCTCTGTCGCCCAGGCTGGAGTGCAGTGGCGGGATCTCGGCTCACTGCAAGCTCCGCCTCCCGGGTTCACGCCATTCTCCTGCCTCAGCCTCCCAAGTAGCTGGGACTACAGGCGCCCGCCACTACGCCCGGCTAATTTTTTGTATTTTTAGTAGAGACGGGGTTTCACCGTTGTAGCCGGGATGGTCTCGATCTCCTGACCTCGTGATCCGCCCGCCTCGGCCTCCCAAAGTGCTGGGATTACAGGCGTGAGCCACCGCGCCCGGCCGACGCCCAAGATTTTGTAAAGCATCCTGTGAAGGAAACATGCCCACTACAATCCTAGTTACTTGCACTCTCAGTAGCTACACATTTTCAACAAACTCAGTGATTTTTCTCATAATTTCCTCTGAACAATCTTTCTTTTTTGTGAAGGCAACAGAGCACAGAGAGGGTGGCAATATTCGCTTCTACCTACAACTATAAAATGGAGCTAAAACTATGATTTCCACCTCCCTTTGTCATCTCTGGTGACATCCTGGAGCTTCTATGCCCTCCTCCTGGCCACCCAGTCTCCTTAGATTTTACCTTTACTTGGCACTCGCTAGTTGGTGCTGTGGTGGAGCTATCATGTTCCGGGTCACAATGTTCAAATAGCTACACTATTTCCGGAAGACACATTCCTTTCTCTTTTTTTAGGGTAAAATGTTTCAGTTTTTCTCAGGGTGCAGCTGCCTTCATTTGCAATTCATCCACAGAAACACTTCCTTACTTCCACAGTCTGTCAACATCAGCTAAACTTATAGAAGCTTTACCTTGTAATTGGGATTTTGTTTCCCTCTACAATGACAATTTGAAGCAGATGGCCTTAGTTATCAACAATGGGGCGCTGAGCCCATCAATTAGTGTTTAGCGATTCTAGCCTAGAATATTGTCAGTCTATTGATATGTTACTGGAAGAAGATCGTTTATATCTTAATTCTACAGAAGAAATAAGATCACGGTAAACGTGAGAAATGTAAATTTTAAAATATGAATATTCTTTCAATGGAGAAAATATTAATGAATAATGATATGGCAAAGCCTGCTGAAATACATCAATCATCCATTTAAAGATGATTACTACTAGGCAGTGAAATGGAGCAAACTTCCAGTACACTCATAGCATGGATGAATCTCAAAGCATCACACTCAGCGGAAGCCAGACACCAGGGAGTCCCTCCGCAGGGTTCCCTGTGTGTAAAGCGCTGCGGCCACAGCGCTCACCTATGAAACAGGAACCAAAGCCCCCGGTTGCCGGGTGAGGAGGAAGGACTGGAAAGGGGTGGGGGAGAAAACTTTCTGAGCTGAAGGGAATGTTCTCTATGAAGGTAGTTAATTAGCCGGGTCTATACCTTTTTTAAAGCTTATGAAACTATACTTTTAAGATTTGCATGTTTTACTGTATACAATTATATCACAATTTTTTTTTGAAAGAAGATGATTTATTCATTACTTCAGTTCCCTTAAGGCTTTATCAGGGAGTTTCAAGTTAACTAGGAAGTGCTTTGGTAAGAGCACAATTATCCTCTGAGAGACGCTTTTTATCTAATGTGTCTTATCAGTACTAATCCGTGGAGAGGTCACGGAAAATGTTTAAGTGTGGAGGTGCACCAGCCGGTTTCAGCGAGGTGTGTGCACCTGGCCGGCGTCAGTGAACCTCCAGAGCCGTGGTTTTTGCGTACTTGAGCCAAGGAACCCACAAGTCCGGCCGGGCTGCGGTGAGCCCGGAGCTGCTGTTTTGAGCCCTGGGAGTGTGTTAGTTCATCTGGTCCTTAGAACCTGTGATATGGGTGCTGCTATTATTCCCACCTTCCTGATGGGGAATGAGATGCACAAGGCTTGGTAGATTGCTCAAGGCCACAGTGGCGGGCAGGTGGCAGAGGCCACGAGCGCTGCCTAACCACGCCTGCCCACGCAGGTGGCTAGCCCGGGCCGCGGCGGGCACAGCACTGTGCGTTTCTTCACCTCCGGAGGGTGGGCCCTGGGCTGAAGAACCCCGGCCTGCATCCGAATGGACTCTCATGCAGACACGGATGTTCTGTCCGCTCCTGGAGTTGTCTTCGCAGGAAGTAGTGGCCCCTCTTTGTGTGGGGCTCCGCAGAGGGCGAGGAGTGAAGTTTCCTTCTGGAAAGTTTGCAAAACCCCTCGGGGGTCTCCTCACAACCTCCCTGCCCCTGTTTCCACGGCTGCCGGACGGTTCCCTTCAAAGTACAAACGTGTGCCGCTGCCCCCACCCCGAATGCGTCCCCTTCAAAGAGTTCCTGAGCTGAGAGGCGGAACTGGAGCACGCGGACTTCGGGGCCGTGCCTCCGCAGCTCACCCCGCGCGCAACTGCGGGAGCCATGCTTTCAATTCCTGGAAACTGGTGCTTCGACATCTACAAACCGGCCAGTCGCTGTTCCTGGTAAACCGTGGCCCACCCAAAACCATCCGCAGACTTTTTTTTTTTTTTTTTCAGTAGTCAGGGAATCGCTGTTTCGCCCAGTCTGGAGTGTAGTGGCACAATCACAGCTCACTGCAGCCTTGAACTCCTGCTTGTGTGCCTGTGTGTGCGCGTGTCTGTGTGCGTGTGACGTGTGTGTGCGCGTGTGCATGTGTGTGTCCGTGTGCGTGTGTGCCCGTGTGTCCACGTGCATGCATGCATGTCCGTGTGTGTGCGTTCGTGCGTGTGTGCCTGTGTGTGTGTGTCTTCTCACTGCTTATCTAATTAATCCATACTCTGCCATTTTTTTCAATTTGGAGTGAAATTGAGAGGAATCTTATCTAGTGTTAAAATCCGGATCATTTTAGATCCCCAAATAAAAAGATTCAGTGACCTCTTTCCGAGGGTGCACTGACAACAAAATAGTGAGTCAAACTGAAAATTTGGAATGCTCTATTTGAAAGTGGTACTGTCAGGTAAATCTAGAATAGGGGCTACCAAACAAAAGGGCATCTAATGCAGACCATTTTCCATTTTTCCGTCTAAGAATGTCTGCTACTTTTGTTATTTGTACTTATAATGATAACAGTGTTGATAGCAACTGATATGCCTATGGATGGTTATACATGTCAAGCCCTGTTCTGAGCCCTGAGAGTGTGTTAGTTCATCTGGTCCTTAGAACCTGTGAAATGGGTACTGTTATTATTCCCACCTTCTTAATGAGGAATGAGATGCACAGGGCTTGGTAGATTGCTCAAGGCCACAGTGGCGGGCAGGTGGCAGAGGCCACCAGCGCTGCCTACCCATCCGTCCCTCCTGCACTTCCTGCACCTTGGAGGGTCCTCCCTCTGCCCAGCTTCTACCTGCTAAATCCAATCTCGCCTTTCATGGAGTTATTCAAATATTTCTTCCCCAAGGAATTTAGTGGAAATAAATGCTTCATTCTCTGCATTTTCTTAACATTTACCTGTACCTACCTCTTTCTCTTTTCACAGATTCATTCAATACACATCTATTAAGTGCCTCATGTATTCCAGACCTGTGACCCCCGGGTAGTTCCTGCCTTCAAGTAGCTCACAGTCTAGGGAGGTGACAGCTGAGCCAACAGGACATTCTCCATTGGAATTTGTGTGGCGCTGGAGCTCTGCACAAGATGCTGTGGATGCGCAGGAGGTCCCAGGCTGTGGGTGTCTAGAGGTTTCCTGGAGGTGGTGTTGCTTTAGCTGAGTTCCAAGCTTAGCCAAGCCAACCAGTTGGGAGCAAAAGGGTTTTCTTGGCAGAAGGTTTGCAACCCCCAAACAGGGAACTTTGGGAAACTGCAGTGAGTTCAGCCTAGTGAGGTTCAGGGTGAGATTCTAAGCTGGTAATCATTGCACATTCTGGCACCTGTGGCTGGTACTGGGACTGGCTGCCACTTGGCTTCACTGACCTCATGGAGCTTTACTCAGGACAAAAGTCTCCAGAAAGCAGGAAGCCAAGCCACCTGGTCCTCTTCTTGGCTGAGAACCAGACAGGGAGGAGCCTGGGGACAATTTAGGGAAACAGGCTGACCGGATATTTCTGGTCCAGGTGGTGAGGAGGGCCTGTCTGGGTGTCTTTTGTTACTCAGTTCCCTCTGGAGTCTGTGCACTGTAATGTTAATCCATCCCCTCCTACTCTCTGGACTCAGAGTGCCTGAGGCTGACTACATCAAGGAATGCCGTGTTTGCAAAAACCAGCGGCTTAATCTCAGCTTCCCTCTCCACCAGCACCTTTGGTTCCCTCCCAGGTGCAGCTTCTCCCATCTTAGCCAGGGTAGGGTGGGGGGCACCATGAGAGCAATAGCCACTCTGCTTATTCTCCTCCAACACCTGAGCATCAGGGGGCTTCAGAACTGCAGGGCTCAGCGGGGAAATGGCAGCAACGGTGGAGGTGGTGGCAGCAGGGGCCACAGCAACATTCACTCTTGTTTCAGAGCGCTAGGTCAAATCTGAGGGGATTTGATCTGGAAATCCAAATCACAACATTTAAGAGTGTTGACATTTTCTCCAGCTAACATCCTCCCGCTCTCTACAACATTATTGCATTCTGACCATTTTCTCTAAAGATAGGTCACATGTGATGACTTAATAGTGGAATTGGATCTGGCATTAAGCTACACTGATTTTCAACCTGGTTCTGGGACACAGAGCAGTCTCAGCGTGCTTTATGTTCTGAGAACTTTGCGTGTATATTTTAGTTTCTTATTTTTATTTAAACGAGTAACAATAGATAGAAAACAGAAGCGCACATCTCTCACTTGCTCAACCTCTTACTCTGAACACCTTCTAAAATCATGGGGAAACTCACAGACAGATAGTAACTTCCTCATTTCAGATTGATGAATATTAAAAAGCAAGTCCTATATTTTGAATGGCATAATTCATTCAGTAAATATTGTTTGAGCATCTATCAAGTGTTGTAGGA
This sequence comes from Homo sapiens, assembly GCF_000001405.40. Lineage (NCBI taxonomy): Eukaryota > Metazoa > Chordata > Mammalia > Primates > Hominidae > Homo > Homo sapiens. The sequence goes on along the minus strand of NC_000013.11, from coordinate 25,066,443 downwards.
GCTGGGAATATAACAGGGAATAAAATAGACAAAGACCTTGTCTTTGTGGTGCTTACATTCTAGTGGGAGGGAAAAGGCAATGAACAAACAAGTAAATAGACAGTAAGTCAAACGGTGATACATGGGATGGAAAATATAAATATCAACATATAGTGGTGTGTGTGTGTGTGTGTGTGTGTGTGTGTGTTGAGCCTGTGTTGCTATTTTACATTGGTTAATCAGAGTTCCCCCCTACTTGAGTGACAATGGGGAAGTGGCCTGAAGGAAGCAAGAGATGAGCCAGGCAGCTGTGCGGAGAGAGTTCCAGCAGGAGAACCCACAAGTGCACAGGCTGTGAGGCCAGAGATGAGCCGTTGAATGGATTAAAAGCATCAAGATTTCTAGTTAAATAGTATAAATCAATGTATTTGCTATGGACTAAATGTTTGCTTCCTCCCTCAATGTATATGTCGAAACCTAACCCCCAATGTGACAGTATCAGGAGGGAGGGGGTCTTTGGGAGATGATGAGATCATGAAAGTGGAGACCTCATGAATGGGATTAGCGGCCTTATAAGTAGCTAACTAGAGAGGAATTTTTTCTCTTCCACTGTATTAGTCCGTTCTCACACTGCTATAAAGAACTGCCCCAGACTGGGTAATTTATAAAGGAAGGAGCTTTAATTGACTTGCAGTTCCACAGGGCTGAGGAAGCCTCAGGAAACTTACAATCATGGCAGAAGGAGAAGCAAACATGTCCTTCTTCACATCGTGGTCGGAAGGAGAAGTGCCAAGCAAAAGGAGGAAAAACCCTTATAAAACCATCAGATCTCGTGAGAACTCACTATCACGAGAACAGCATGAGGGTAACCACCCCCATGATTAAATTACCTCCCATTGGGTCCCTCCCACAACACGTGGGGATTGTGGGAACTACAATTCAAGATGAGATTTGGATGGAGACGGAGCCAGACCATATCATCCACCATGTGAAGACACAGCTAGAAGGTGCCGTCTTTGAATCAGGAAGTCAGCCCTCACCAGACACCAAATCTGCTGGCACCTTAATCTTGGACTTCCCAGCTTCCAGAACTATGAGAAATAAATTTCTGTTGTTTATAAGCCATTTAGTCTAAGGTATTTTGTTAAAGTAGTGTGAACAAACTAAGATACTACTTAATTTTATTTTTCTATTGCTTTGTGTTTCTTCAGGCCATAAGTGCCTTTTAACTAGTTATGTACCTGTCAAGATGTGAGGGTGAACTTCTCACGTTTGATTTGCCAACTTCCAGAGGGAATCTCATGACACACCCACAGGGAACAGCAGGAAAGCCTCTTCCGTTTTCATGCTTTCTGAGTGAGGGTCTCAGGTGATTGTGAAAGTACTCCAAGGAAAGCTTTTGAGAGCTTCCTCTTGTCACGCTGGCCAAGGAACGTTCAGCATCCATGAACTGGAATTGCAGAGTTTAAAGTGGGTGTTCATTTTTCAAAAGTTGAAGTCAACTAGTTGCTGACACTGGACTGCATGTTTACGGGTGAACCTGGGATTTTTCTCACTGGTGCTGTAGCTGGCATTCTTTATATCCACTCAAATCTCTTATCTGAAAATACTCGTATCCTTTCAGCTGTGTGTAATGTAAAACTACATCCTTGCATTACACATTCTGGACAGGCAGTTTAGTATTTATGGAAGAATTTAAGCAACTTCAGCATCAGCAAATAAAAGAGAAAAACAGACAGACATATGCAGACTCACATACATGATCAGTCCATGAGGAGAACAGGCCTCTTCCAGAGGGGGAGGTTCCCAATGCTTATAGTTAAAGTGAATTTCAAAAGAAACAATGACCAGACCTAGAGTGCATGCTGCTAAATTGTTTACACAATTGACATCTAACAGCAAGGTAGCCTGAGGGCACAATCTTTTTACAATGTTGTGTCCACAATTGAAAGACTATTTTAAGGGCAGGTCAAATGCTAAGAAAGATAGAACAAATCTTAAATTTGAAAAGTCAAGAGTCAAAGGAGGCTTCCATAAAGGACTGGCTAAAAAGGTGATGTTTAATTTCAAAAGGTGATGCTAAAAGGGAGGATTCTGAAGTTCTACAAAATCTATAAAATTCTATAAATTGGAAGTGACAAGCACAATCCTGAAGCATTTCACATTCTTGAGTTGGCTTTTCTCTTTGGTGTTTCTATGGCATCTCCCTTGCTCAGAGACTTTTCCTTGCATTCTAGCTGTAAGATACTTTTCTCAGTCTGTCTCTACCATTACACCATTAATTCCTCCAGCACAGAAAGCACATTGTTTTGTTTCTTCTGTGCCTGAAACAGAGCCTAGCGTATGGTTTAAGCTAAATCAGTGCTTATGGAGCAAATGAATGAACAAAGGGCCATGAGCAAAAGCATGGAATGAGGTTCCGCCCTGTGACGCTAAGGAGAGAGGCCATTTCTCTTACTGTCTCCTGTCTCCAAAGAAAAGGAGGAAGTAAAAACTGAAGAATAACACACTGATCAGTGCCACTGGTCAGGCCTGTAGGGTAAAGATTAACCCCCACCCTAATCGCTTGTGCTATCTATAGATCACAGACAATGATATGGAGAAATACTTGCCTTGCTTACCCCCACCTAGTCATGTACCCCATGCCTGCTCAATCTATCACCACCCTGTCATGTAGACCCCTTAGAGTTGTGAACCCTTAAAAGGGCCAGGAACTCTTTCTTCAGGGAGCTCGGTTCTTGAGACGCAAGTCTGCCAACTCTCCCAGCCAAATAAAGCCATTTCCTTCTTTAACCTGGTGTCTGAGGAGTTTTGTCCATGGCTCGTCCTGCTACAACACCTTAGTATCCTTGCAAGGCAAGCAAAAACCAAAGTACTGTTTATGCAATGATTTTAAATTAGATGCCTCTGATTGTTCATGAGAACGTGCACAGGTTGAAAACAGAAGATGTTCAAAAAGATTGAAATAAGCTGACGGATAATGGTTCCAAATGGATTATTTGAAGGAATCTAGGAATTGAAAAGGTCAGTGATGTCACTGAGATAATGTATATCTAGAAAACTGAACCAAGGTGATGGTGTCAGGCATGTGGACAGTCTTCAACAACAATCTTTCCTCCTTCTTTTGTTATTAAAGAGCAGATAGTTCTGGGTGAATTGGGCTGTTCTTAGCAGTGCAAAGATCTGCTATTTTACACCAGAGAAGGAGCTGCTTTCTCAGAGGCTGCCTCTTTGGAGTGTTTGGCAGCCGGCTGCTGCCTTCATAACACCAGGAGAACTAACTGAGTCAGGTAGATAACAGGGTTGCATGAAGAGCCACACAGAGAAAACTGAGGTGGGCTCAGGGGGCCTCCATGTTCCTCCACATCAATCTCCTGAGGTCACTTGTTTTTTTCTCCTCAAGATTCTTTGAATCTGCCTGAAAACGCTTCCTCTGCTTGACCTCAGCCACTGAGGGGGTTAAAAAAAAAAAGGGCATTAAGGTCCCAATTCCTGGATTACTCACAGTTTTGCTTGTTTTACCACTTTCAGCCACACAGCAGCCAAGATGATAGTCCTCACATGAGCACAGTTTTCACCATGTCACCAGCTTCTTGAGGATGACAGTGGGCGGTAAGCCATCTCATCTTCTCTGCCTTAATTTAGAGACATCCCCTAAACAGGTACTATTACCTCTTCCCACTCTTCTGGGGGTCCCCATTCTCCTTCTTCCCCTCATGCACTCTCTCCTGTTTTCTTGTCCAAGTCTCTCCCCATCTTCAATGCCCTTCTCACCACGTACGCCCTCTAGTGAATTGCAGAAAGAAATCTACCATTCTTCAGCGACCTCTCAACCTTAGAAGCCGTTTTCTTTATATCAAAATTCCAATTTACAAAGTAAGTAAAGGCTGCCTTTTTAAAAAAAAAAAAATTACAATTGGGTTCCTTGCTTTTTAAAAGAATTTGCCACAGTATTCTTAAAGTTGTGTCTTTTGAAACCACAGTTGAACCAAAATTTAATTTCCGGGAATTCGATTAACACATACTTTATCTTTCCCCTATATGTTGATGCCCTCATCGGCAATTCTTTTTTTTTTTTGAGACGGAGTTTCACTCTTGTTACCCAGGCCGGAGTGCAATGGTGCGATCTTGGCTCACTGCAACCTCTGCCTCCAGGGTCCAAGCAATTCTCCTGCCTCAGCCTCCGAGTAGCTGGGATTACAGGCATGTGCCACCATGCCCAGCTAATTTTTGTATTTTTAGTAGAGACGGGGTTTCACCATGTTGGCCAGGATAGTCTCAATCTCTTGACCTCAGGTGATCCACCTGCCTTGGCCTCCCAAAGTGCTGGGATTACAGGCGTGAGTCACTGTGCCTGGACAGCAATTCTTTTTTTTAAATTCCCCAGGAGCCTAGCATCTTGCCTTATACATAGTTACTAGATAAATAGTTGCTGAATGAATGAATGAACAAGAGTCAAAATGAGGAATAACAATTTGTTACCATTTCTTCAATAACAACAGAGCTATATGCACAATTGGCCACAATGAATGCTTTAGGGAAAAATCTAACACTTAAGGGCCTACTAAGGAGTGAATTTACTGGGACACCTCACTTTCAACATCATTTCTCCACTCTCCGCATCTACCTGGTGGATTGAGGATGGGCTTTGTGTGCACCAGCACATCATGATGGGATTCTGTGTTAGGATGACCAGGTTTGGCATTGATGGTTACTAACTGCCAGATATTGTCAGTTTTGTTTACACATCTGTTTCTCTGGGGCCCACAATGAAAATGAGAGGAAGTAACTTTAATTAGGGTCCCAAGGTGAAATGCTTGTTTTTGTGTGTGTGTGTGTGTGTGTGTGTGTGTGTGTTTTTTTTTTTGAGATAGTGTCTCGCTCTGTCGCCCAAGCTGGAGTGCAGTGGCGCGATCTCAGCTCACTGCAACCTCTGCTTTCCGGGTTCACGCCATTCTCCTGCCTCAGCCTCCCGAGTAGCTGGGACTATAGGCGCCTGCCACCATTCCCGGCTGATTTTTTATATTTTTAGTAGAGACGAGGTTTTACCATGTTAGCCAGGATGGTCTCGATCTCCTGACCTCGTGATCCACCCGCCTCAGCCTCCCAAAGTGCTGGGATTACAGGCATGAGAAACGCTTGTTTGATGCTTAGAAGGATTTAGTGCAGTAGATGGGAGTGAATCCTTACTACCCCTCAATTTCCTTTCATTTAATTCAAGGAGGAATAAGGCACTAGAGCAATTCATGGAAACAATATTATATTAGAAAACTTGGAGAGATTTTGAAGTATGTATTTTTGTCTGTACAGCTTAGAATTAAGAATTTCGCACATAATTAGCCTAATATTTTTGGAGTGTATTAGCTTGGGACTCAGGATGGGAACACAATGCATTTCTGTGTATTTCAAAGGCAGAAGAAATTGTTAACCAAATTAGTTGACCATAAATGAACACAGAAGCTGAGAAATGAGTTGGCTAGGGTGATGTTGAGTTAAATCTGATGGATAGCAATATCTAATCAAGTGGAGCATCCACGAGATTCTTGAATATCCAGACCAGTGAACACAGATTTTACTACATGTGCTGCGTGTTGGTACAAGGCACCATCTGTGTTCCGCCAGCCTGTGTGAGCTATTTACTTGAGAAGTAGCTGACACCTTTGCGTGTGACTGAATGCTCAGTCGCCTTTTCTGGAGACCCAGGCACTCCTGATTCGTGGGGCCGCCAGTCTTCCCCACCCTCACCTCTTCTTCCATGTCAGCCTCTTCCTAACTCTGTGTGTGAAGGTCCAGGTCAAATTGAGAAGTGCTACCAAAATGCCATCTCAGGCAAATTTATGGCTAATATCGGAAATGTTTCTCAGTGCACACCCAAAGTGAGTCCTGAGCAGAGATGGGAGAAACAAGGACCCAGGAAACACACAAGAAAGTCACACACAGGAATGGACAGAGGATGCAGAGAGGCTGGCCAACAAGTTGGCCACCAAGCATAGATTGCACTGACAGAGGGTGGAGTGCTGAATGACATGCAACCAGAGGGAATGTAGACACTTGTTTAATTCTACCTCTCAAATAACTTTACTAACTCTTCAGACATGATTAGAGCACTAAGGTTACTGTACCCTGGACCTCAAGGTCTTTGGCTTTTTGCATAAGTAGAGATTACCACCAGGCAAAATGGGAATTTTTCTCAGGCAAGGGTTAGGCTTGTGGCTCAAGCACAGGGGAGTCGTGTACAGGAAACGGACCCTGGTGCTATCTCGCCAAGGGGCTTGGCGCTTGTCATTTTAAGGAAGTTGAGGTGGGCAAAGGGAGTGGTACCCACGCATGTTTAGGCGGGGTTTCCTCTGCAGCTGCATAGTGGGGCGTCATGCCCTAACCTGTGTTCCATGTAGAGAAAATGGCAGATAAGCCTTTCTTTGGGTGGAGATTTTAGTATTACCATGAAATTATAATGAGGCAAAAGTCAGTGAAAGGTCAGCACTGGAGTCCACCTTGTGGCCAGCTGGATCTTGCCAGGTTCTTATTAGGAAGGTCAGAGTCTTGCTTCCACAACCTTGGCAGATATTCCTCAGGGACATAAATGGCAAAGTTCTTCCTTTTACGCTTAGGAATTCAGCCCGATCAGCTGAGTTTCTGCTCTGTGATTTGGGTCAGCTTATTAAAGGAGGCAAGAAGGTACAGGAAGAAAGATACCTGGATGTGTGAGGCCTAGTGGGAGCCTAATCACCGTGTCTCTTGTCTGCCAGGACTGAGTCTCTTCCCTATACTGTCTCACTAAGGGAAAACAGAACCATACACCACCAATATGGGGTTAAAATTTTTTTAACTGGGAGGCCATTAGGCTGGAGCAGCTCTAGCCCTTTAAATTCCTATGGAAGCAACCCCCAGCATAAATGGTACCAACATAAACAGTAAAATGAATGTAGAGGCTTAGCCAATCAGAAGCCACCAACTAACCTCGCATTTCCATTCTAACCAATCAAATACATTTTCTTTGTCTTCTATCTGCATGAGCTACAAAAGTTCACTGCATGTGCTGCTGCAGTGGAGCTGTTAGAACCTCCTCTGGTCTGGAGTGCTGCCTGATTCATGCATCAGGCTTTACTCCAAGTCTGTTAAATTTATTTTCCTTAAAGTTTTTAACAATAGATTGCTTTTTTCTTCAATCATAGTAAACTAAGCATGATAAATGTCTAAAAAGTACACAAACAAATATATACACTATAAAAAATAATTATAATTGTTTGCAGCCCCAGAAACTTCAAGGCCTCCCTGCCTCATCACAACACCATCCTTCTCCCTTAAACACAGTATACTTTTTTTACAAACTATACTATGTCTTTTCATTTTAAATGTGCTAAATATTAATTTTTGCATGATTTGTGTATGTCACTTTCAGAGTTAGTACTAAAAGTTTCTTGATATAAACTGATACATATGAATTTACATAGATGTAAATATAGGAATGCCTGCCAATCTTTTCTATTTTCATTTCCCCTCTGTCTTATTTTCTTCATCTGCCTATTTTCAATTCTCTTCTTTTGCTATTGGATTTTATGTATTTATATATGCCATCTAAAATTCTTTCTGGACCAAACTATGATATAAATAAAACAATAAGCATAAAGATATGCTGACAACTAGCATTAGCATTTCCAAAAATTTCAAGTAAAAATGGATTCCAATATGTGTAGCAGAAGATAACACACTTTAAGCAACATCTCCCCATAAAGAAGGTATGGATCCTTAGAGAAGTGAACCGCAGGTGTGGCATCCAACCTAGAAAAGAAGGCAGCAAGTTAAATTCTTCCCCAATCTAAGGGGAACTTTAAAAAGGCTTGTTTTTAGGTCTGCAGATATTATTTAAGTACATTTTTCACTCTGGGCACTTTCTTCCTCCAAACTCTTCTTTTTCCCTTCTTTTCATTGCCCTACCATTGCATTTTTCCTATTCCCCTATGCATCTTATGTCCAGCTGTTGTTATGCATTTTATAGAGTTTTTTGATATTGAGGGATTGCTCTAATAACTGCCTTTGAAACCTTGTAATATTTTGATGATTGCTTCTTCTAGATTCTTACTCAGAAAGACCTATTTCTAGGCATTGGAACCTGACAATGTCTGGTATAAAGACATCTGCTTGTCTTCCATGTTCTTGCATTTGGAAAGTGGGCAACAGGGTGAGTTACTACGAGGGATGCGGTCTTCAAGGGGTGTCCTGCTGAGAGACTGGCCAGGGCCCTCCAGGAAGCAGTTTGCCAGGGAGGACCTGGGGTAGTCTCTATGCCCTGCTGGCCAGTGGGCAGCCCTGGCTGGGATCCCCAGCCCAGCATAATCAGGAGGCTCCCAGTGGGGAGGAAAGTGGCTCTGTGCAGCTCTTCTCTTCTCTGTCACTCATTGCTGTGGCTCCGGAGTGATTTCGAGACACATTCTTGGAGCTAGAAGACATACATACCTCCCTCTTATTTTTGTATAAGACAAAAATAATGTGCTTACTATTCTGTTATTAAAGAATCAGCGAACAATGAGAATTCATAATGGTTTGTTGCTGTTAAAAATAGCAGATGCCCTGAAGGAGGCCAGGGCTATAAGAAATACCACCGTGTCGCAAAAGAGGCATTTAAATCCTAGTCCCTGTAACACAGTGGTTTATGCCTACAGTCCCAAAACTTTGGGAGGCCAATGTGAGAGGATTGATTGAAGCCAGGAGTTCAAGACCAGCTTGGGCTGCATAGTGAGATTCCATCTCTACAAAAAAATGTTTTTAATTAGCCATGTGCAGTGGTGCATGCCTGTAGTCCCAGCTACCCAAGAGGCTGAGGCTGTAGTGAACCATGATCACGCCACTGCATTTCAGCCTGGATGACAGAATGAAATCTTGTCTCTAAAAAGTCAATAGTAAATAATAATTAAAAAAAAAACAAAACCGTAGTCCCATTGTGCAACATGCTGTATGTTGGTGGCAAGGAAAGAGACCTCCCGGGATCCTCTTTGGATCTGCAGATGCTCTAGTGGTAGGTACGACAGTGAGCTGATGTACATAGAGGGCCAGCAGATGCCTCTGCAGACCTTAGCCTTCCCTTGCACCCTACCTCCCTTTGCAGGGAAAGAATTATGAGCAGGCAGTAAGCGTTAGAAAGCAAAGTTAGTGCTCATAGGCCCAGTGTGGTGGCTCATGCCTATAATCCCAGTAATTTTGGAGGCCGAGGCGGGAGCATTGCTTGAGCTCAGGAGTTTCAGGCTAGCCTGGCCAACATGGTGAAACTCCATCTCTACTAAAATACAAAAAATTAGCTGGGATTGGTGGCGTGTGCCTGTAATCCCTGCTACTCAGGAGGCTGAGGCATGAGAATCACTTGAACCTGGGAGCAGACTCTCTCTCTCAAAAATAAATAAATAGGCCGGGCATGGTGGCTCATGCCTGTAATCCCAGCACTTTGGGAGGCCGAGGTGGGTGGATCACAAGGTCAAGAGATTGAGACCATCCTGGCCAACACAGTGAAACACCGTCTCTACTAACAATACAACAAATTAGCTGGGTGTGGTGGTGTGCGCCTATAGTCCCAGCTACTCCGGAGGTTGAGGCGGGAGAATCGCTTGAACCCAGGAGGCAGAGGATGCAGAGAGCTGAGATCACGCCACTGCACTCCAGCCTGGCGACAAAAGGAGACTCTGTCTCAATAAATAAATAAATAAATAAATAAATAAATAAATAAATAAGAAAGCAAAGTTAGTGCTCATAATCCAGCAACTAACACTTCCAAAGGACACTGCCACAGGGCAGGTCTGCTCTCCAGAATGCCCCAGGACTTGGGTGGGAAATTATTGTAACCGCTAGCCCTGTGCTTTTGAAGTTCTCTCATTTAGCATTCCCAGCAACCTCGGAGGTGGGGATGATCACCCATGCTACAGCTGGGGAGCCCAGAGGCAGAGAAGAAGCACCTTGCCCAGCGAATGCATCTGGAGCCCAGGCTGACATCAGCATCCACACACTGACCATTCGGCCACTGTGTGGGGCCCTCTGAGCCTCCTGTGCACACAACGCATGCTGCAACTTTCCCTGCCTACTCTAAAAACTGCTAAAACCCCACATAACCCAGTTGCTTTGTTTGATGAGGACACTGAAACCTAGAAAAGCACCCATATAGCTAAGGTCACACAGCTGGACTTAAATCCAGTCAGAAAACCTGGACTTAGTCTCAGTTGCTTCCTCAGGGAGGTCAGGGTATCTCTACACCTTCTGGGCTTCAAGAACCTGACTTTCTAAATGGCTGTATTTTTCTTTATAGGGATGATGACTACCTGAATCCTCATTTGTCTGTGCTCTGTCCCACGCTACAAGGCAAGCTCCCCGAGGGCAGGGACCTGGGCTGTTTAGTTGTTGGTTGTCTCCCTGGAACCTGGAAGACAGGGACCAGCAAGGATTTGTGGAATGAGTGGATTTCTAAAGTCTGTGTCTAACTACCTGTAAGTAGTGAGTGGTAATGAGTACAGAGCACGTCTTTTAGGTAACAAGTGTATGTCTTGACAGAGACTTTGAAGAGCAAATCCCACAGGGAAAGCATCGTGGCAGGTTGTTTGCAGAGTACGGGGTAGAAGAATCTTTGCACCACTTCAAATCACCCTTCTCAGATCACCACCTGTGAACTGTTAAGTAGAAGACTGGATCTGAATTCATAATGTAATTTAGGATGATTCTACTGCTGGGAACTTCAGAAAGGAAACAGAAACTTCTGGAGGACCACTTGTTATGACCCAGGAAAACAGCTCAGTGCCAGTGGCGCATGCCTGTAGTCCCAGATACTCAAGAGGCCGAGGGTACAGTGAGCCATGATCACACCAACCGTCCTCCCCGGCAGACTACTCTTGTCCCCTGTGTGGACTTCCTTAGGCCTGTCATTTTTTTTCTTTTTCTTTTTCTTTTTCTTTTTTGTTTTTCCGTAAGTTATTGGGGTACAGGTGGTATTTGGTTACACCAGTAAGCTGTTTAGTGGTGATTTGTGAGATTTTGATGCACCCATCACCCGAGCAGTATATACTGCACCATATTTATAGTCTTTTATCCCTCGTTCTCCTCCCACTCTTCCCCACAAATCCCCAAAGTCCATTGTGTCATTCTTATGCCTTTGCGTCCTCATAGCTTACCTCCCACATATCAGTGAGAATACACGATGTTTGGTTTTCCATTCCTGAGTTACTTCACTTAGAACAATAGTCTGCAATCTCATTCAGGTCACTGAAAATGCGTTAATTCATTCCTTTTTATGCCTGTGTAGTGTAGTATTCCATCGTGTATATATATATACGCCACAGTTTCTTTATCCACTCGTTGATTGGTGGGCATTTGGGTTGGTTCCATGATTTTGCAATTGTGAATTTTGTTGCTATAAACATGCGTGAGTAAGTATCTTTTTCGAATAATGACTTCTTTTCCTCTGGGTAGATACCCAGTAGTGGGATTGCTGGATCAAGTGATAGCCTTACTTTTAGGAATCTCCACACTCTTTTCCATAGCAGCTGTACTAGTTTACTTTCCCACCAACAGTGTAAAAGTGTTCCCTGATCACCGCATCCATGCCAATATCTACTGTTTTTTTATTTTCTGATTATGGCCATTCTTGCAGGAGTGAGGTAGTATCGCATTGTGGTTTTGATTTGCATTTCCCTGATCATTAGTAAGGTTGAGCATTTTTTACATATGTTTGTTGGCCATTTGTATATCTTCTTTTAAGAATTGTCTATTCGTGTCCTTAGCCCACTTTTTGATGAGATTGTTTTGTTTTTTTTTTTTTCTTAATCATCTGTTTGAGTTTGTTGTAGATTCTGGATATTAGTCCTTTGTCAGATGTATAGATTGTGAAGATTTTCTCCCACTCGGTAGGTTGTCTGTTTACTCTGCTGACTATTCCTCTTGCCATGCAAAAGCTCTTTAGTTTAATTAGGTCCCAGCCATTTATCTTTGTTTTTATTGCATTTGCTTTTGGGTTCTTGGTCATGAAATCCTTGCCTATGTCAATGTCTAAAAGGGTTTTTTCAATGGCATCTTCTAGAATTTTTATAATTTCTATAATTTCAGGTCTTAGGTTTAAGTCCTTAATCCATCTTGTGTTGATTATTGTATAAAGTGAAAGATGAGGATCCAGTTTCATTCTCCTACATGTGGCTTGCCAATTATCCCAGCACCATTTGTTGAAAAGGGTGTCCTTTCCCCATTTTGTTTTGTTTGCTTTGCCAAAGATCAGTTGGCTATAAGTATTTGGGCTTATTTCTGGGTTCTCTATTCTGTTCCATTGGTCTACATGCCTATTTTTGTACCAGTATCATGTTGTTTTGCTGACTATGGCCTTACAATATAGTTTGAAATCAGGTAGTGTGATGCCTCAAGGTTTGTTCTTTTTGCTTAGTCTTGCTTTAGCTATGTGGGTTCTTTTTTGGTTCCATATGAATTTTAGAATTTTGTTTTCTAATTCTATGAAGAATGATGGTGGTATTTTGATGGGGATTGCATTGAATTTGTACATTGCTATTGGCAGTATGGTCATTTTCAACAGTATTGATTCTACCCATCCATGAGCATGGGATGTGTTTCCATTTGTTCGTGTCCTCTATGATTTCTTTCAGCAGCGTTTTGTAGTTTTCTTTGCAGAGTTCTTTCAACTTTTTTGTTAGGTATATTCCTAAGTTTTTTGTTTTGTTTTGTTTTGTTTTCAGCTATTGCAAAAGGGGTTGAGTTCTTGATTTGATTCACCACTTGGTCGCTGTTGGTGTATAAAAGAGCTACTTACTTGTGTACATTAATCTTATATCCAGAAACTTTGCTGAATTCTTTTATCAGTTCTAGGGGCTTTCTGGAGGAGTCTTTGGGGTTTTCAAGGTAAACGATCCTATTGCCTGCAAACAGGGACAGTTTGACTTCCTCTTTACAGATTTGGATGTCCTTTATTTCTTTCTCTTGTCTGATTGATCTGGCTAGGACTTCCAGTACTATGTTGAAGAGGAGTGGTAAGAGTGGGCATCCTTGTTTTGTTTCATTTCTCAGAGAGAATGCTTTCAACTTTTCCCCATTCAGTATTATGTTGGCTGTGGGTTTGTCATAGACGGCTTTTATTGCATTAAGGTATGTCCCTTGTATGACGATTTTGCTGAGAGTTTTAAGCATAAAGGGATGCTGCATTTTGTTGAATGCTTTTTCTACATCTATTAAGATGATCATGTATTTTTGGTTTTAATTCTGTTTATGTGATGTATCACATTTATTGACTTGCATATGTTAAACCATCCCTGCATCCCTGGTATGAAACCCACTTGATCATGGTGGATTATCTTTTTGATTGTTGTTGGATTCAGTTAGCTAGTATTTTGTTAAGGATTTTACCATCTATGTTCATCAAGGATATTCATCTGTAGTTTTCTTTTTTGTTTATGTCCTTCCCTGGTTTTGATATTAGGGTAACAGTGGCTTCATAGAATGAATTAGGGAGGGTTCCTTTTTTCTCTGTTTTATGGAATAGTGTCAAAAGAATTGTACCAATTCTTTGAATGGCTGGTAGAATTCTGCTGTGAATCCATCTGGCCCTGGACATTTTTTTTATTGGTAATGTTTAAATTACCATTTAAATCTTGCTGCTTGTTATTGTTTTGTGCAGTGTATCTAATTCTTCCTGATTTAAGGTAGGAGGGTTGTATTTTTCCAGGAATTTATCCATCTCTTCTAGGTTTCTAGTTTATGTGTGTAAAGGTAATCATAGTAGCCTTGAATGATCTTTTGTATCTCAGTGGTGTGAGCTGTAATATCTCCTGTTTTGCTTCTGAGTGAGGTTATTTGGATTTTCTCTCTTCTTTTCTTGGTTGATCTTGCTAATGGTCTATCAATTTTATTTATCTTTTCAAAGAACCAGCTTTTGTTTAATTTATCTTTCATATTTTTTTATTTCAGTTTCCTTTAATTCTGCTCTGATCTTGGTTATCTCCTTTCTTCTACTGGGTTTGGTTTTGGTTTGTTCTTGTTTCTCTAGTTCCTTGAGGTGCGACCTTAAAACGTCAGTTTGTGCTCTTTCAGTCTTTTTGATATAGGTGTTTAGGGCTATGAACTTTCTTCTTAGCACCGCCTTTGCTGTATCCCAGAGGCTTTAGCAGGTTTTGTCATTACTGTCATTCAGTTTGAGGAACTTTTTTTTTTTTTTTTTTTTGATGGAGTCTCGCTCTGTCGCCAGGCTGGTGTGCAGTGGCGCGATCTCGGCTCATTGCAACCTCTGTCTCCTGGGTTCAAGCATTCAAGTGATTCTCCTGCCTCGGCCTTCCGAGTAGCTGGGATTACAGGCATGTGCCACCACACCCAGCTAATTTTTGTATTTTTAGTAGAGATGGGGTTTCACCATGTTGGCCAGGATGATCTCGATCTCTTGACCTCATGATCCACCCGCCTCAGCCTCCCAAAGTGCTGGGATTACAGGAATGAGCCACCATGCCTGGCCAATAATTTTTTAATTTCTATGTTGATTTCATTTTTGACCCAATGTTCATTCAGGAGCAAGTTATTTAATTTCCTTGTATTTGCATGGTTTTGAAGGTTCCTTTTGGAGTTGATTTCCAATTTTATTCTACTGTTGTCTGAGAGAGTGCTTGATATAATTTCAATTTTCTTAAATTTATTGAGGCTTGTTTTATGGCCTATCACATGATCTGTCTTGGAGAAAGTTCCATGCACTATTGAACAGAATGCGTATTCTGTGGTTGTTGGATGAAATGTTCTGTATATAACTGCTAAGTCCATTTGTTCCAAGATATAGTTTAAATCCATTGTTTCCTTGTTGACTTTCTGTCTTGATGATCTGTGTAGTGCTGTCAGTAGTGTCCCCCACTATTATTATGTTGCTGTCTATCTCATTTCTTAGGTCTATTAGTAACTGCTTTATAAATTTGGGAGCTCCAGTGTTAGGTGCATATATGTTTAGGATTGTGATATTTTCCTGTTGGACAAGGCCTTTTAGCCTTATACAATGTCTTTTTTTGTCTCATTTAACTGCTATTGCTTTAAAGTTTGTTTTCTGATATAAGAATAACTACCCCTGCTCACTTTTGGTGTTCATTTGCGTGAAATGCCTTTTCCCACCCCTTTAGTTCAAGTGTATGTGAGTCCTTATGTGTTAGTTTTGTTTGTTGAAGGCAGCAGGTAGTTGGTTGGTGAGTTTGTATCCATTCTAAAGTTCTATATCTTTTAAGTGGAATATTTAGGCCATTTACATTTAATGTTAGTATTGAAATGTGAGGTATTGTTGCATTCATCATGTTCTTTGTTTACTGTGTACTTTGGTTTTCTTGTTTTTGCTTTTTAACTTGTATTTTTGTTTTATAGGTCTGGAGTGATTTATGCTTTAAAGAGGTTCTGTTTGGATGTGTTTCCAGGATTTGTTTCAAGATTTAGAGCTTTGAAATTTTAGTAGTTCTTGTAGTGGTGGCTTGGTAATGGCAAATTCTCTCAGCCTTTGTTTGTCTGAAAAAGACTGTATCTTTCCTTCATAAATGATGTTTATTTTCGCTGGTTAGAAAATTCTTGGCTGATAAATTGTTTTGATTAAGGAAGCTGAAGATAGGGTCCCATTCCCTTCTAGCTTGTAAGGTTTCTGCTGAGAAATTTGCTATTAATCTGATGATAGGTTTTCTTTTATAGATTACCTGGTGCTTTGTCTCACAGCTCTTAAGATTCTGTCCTTTGCCTTAACTTTGGATAACCTGATGACAATGTGCCTAGGTGATGATATTTTGTGATGAATTTCCCTGGTGTTCTTTGGCTTCTTGTGTTTGGATGTCTAGAAGTCTAGCAAGGCTGTGGAAATTTTCCTCGGTTATTCCCCCAAATATGCTTTCGAAGCTTTCAGAATTTTCTTCTTCTTCAGAAACACTGATTATTCTTAGGTTTGCTTGTTTAACATAATCCCAGACTTCTTGGAGGCTTTGTTTATATTTTCTTGTTCTTTTTTTTTTTTTTTTTTTGGTCTTTGTTTGATTGGGTAAATTTGAAGACCTTGTCTTCAAGCTCTGAATTTCTTTCTTCTACTTGTTCAATTCTATTGCTGAGACCTTCCAGAGCATTTCTCATTTCTAAAAGTGTGTCCAAAGTTTCCAGAATTTTTTATTGTTTTTTCTTTAAGGTATCTATTTCCTTGAATATTTCTCCCTTCACTTCTTATATTGTTTTTTAAAATTTCTTTCCATTGGGCTTCACCTTTCTCTGGTAACTCCCTGATTAGCTTAATAACTAACCTCTTGAATTCTTTTTCAGGTAAATCAGGGATTTCTTCTTGGTTTCAATCCATTGCTGGTGAACTAGTGTGATTTCTGACTGCTGTTAAAGAGACTTGTTTTGTCATATTACTAGGGTTGGGTTTCTGGTTCTTTCTCATTTGGATAGGGTCAGAGGGAAGGTCTAGGGCTGAAGGCTGTTTTTCAGATTACTGTCACACAGGGTGTTCTCTTGATGTAGTACTCTCCCCCTTTTCCTGTGGATGTGGCTTTCCGTGAGCTGAACTGCTGTGATTGTTGTCCCTCTTCTGGGTCCAGCAACCCAGCAAGTCTACCAGGCTCCAAGCTGGTACTGGGGGTTGTCTGCACAGAGTCCTGTGATGTGAGCCGTCTATGGGTCTCTCAGCCATGGATACGAGCACCTATTCTGGTGGAGGTGGTGGGGTGGGGGAGGGGGTAGCTGCAGTGGACTCCATGAGGATCCTTAGCTTTGGTGATTTAATGTTCTATTTTTGTGCTGGTTTTGCTGGTTGGCCTCCTGCCAGGAGGTGGCACTTTCCAGAGAGCATCAGTGGTGGTAGTATGGAGCAGAACTGGTGGTGGGCAGAGTCCTAGAACTCCCAAGATTATATGCCCTTTGTCTTCAGCTACCAGGGTGGGTAGGGAAGAACCATCAGATGGGGGCAGAGCTAGGTGTGTCTGAGCTCAGACTCTCCTTGGGTGGGTCTTGCTGTGGCTGTTGTGGGGGATGGATGGGATTCTCAGGTCACTGGAGTTGTGTGCCTAGGAGGATTATGGCTGCCTTTGCTGAATCATGCAGATTGTCAGGGAAGTGGGAGAAAGCCAGCAGACACAGTCCTCACCCAGCTCCCATGCGAACTGAAGGGCTGGTCTCACTTCTACCGTGCACCCCCTTTAACAGCCCCCAGTCTGTTTCCAGGCTGTGTGCAAGAGGGGCTTGAAAACTCGCCCCAGGCTACCTGCCTCCCAGCTGCGAAAGAAAAGGGCTTGGTTCTTCCCCTGCCTGTGGAGTCTGCACACCAGATTTGTGCCCTCCCTGAGTTCTGGCCAGGAGGCTTCTCGCTCCGCTCAAATTGTTGTAAAGTTCAGCTAGAGATTTCCGTCTCCCTGTGGCTTCTTACCCCCTGCTCTTCTGACCGCCCTTCCTATGAATTCCTGTGGTGCCAGGCAGGAATGGGTTGCTTGGGGACCCAGCGAGCCCCCAGGGCCTTTCTGCTGCTTCCTCTACCCCTGTATTTCACCCTGCTCTCTAAATTGACTAAGCTACAGGTAAGGTCGGAAACTTCTGCAAACGGACCTTCAGTTTCTCCAGTGGGGGTGTGTGTTTGGGTGAGGAGGGTCTCCCTTTCCCACTTCTGCTGTTGGGGCACTCACAGTATTTGGTGTGTCTCCCAGGTCCTGCAGTAGCAGTCTGCTTCCTTCAGAGGGTCTTGGGTCCTCTCAGGATTGCTGGTTTGTTCTTGCAGTTGATCTGGAGCTTAAATTCACAATGCGAATATCTGCATGCTTCTCTGTCTGGAGCTATCGGCCTGTCATTTTTCTTACACTGTTTCCTTTTATTTTCTGCAAATGGGGTTCCAGTAGCAACTTGACTATTTATACATCAGAAAGACTGGGTTATTTGGGTTATGATATAATGAAGGGCTGCACTACATTAAAAAGCAAAGGACTAATCAATTATGATAAAATTCAATAAATTAATGCAAAAATCAGTGCAGCTAGCAAAGACTGCATATATATATTTTTAACTGCTTTCTTTATGGATGAGGAGCACATAGTTCAAATCATGGTTAAAAATCCTTGGTTAAAAAAAAATGTCCCCATCTAAGTCTAATACTATAATTAGGACAAAGGGGCTTAGTCAGGACTTCCTCAAAATTTCTTGTGCTCAATTCAGGCATTAAGAAATGGTGTGTGTCGTATGTTCACTGCAGCACTATTCACAATAACAAAAACATAGAACCAACCTAAATGCCCATCGATGGTAGACTGGAGAAAGAAAATGTGGTACATATGCACCTTGGAATACTACGCAGCCATAACAAGGAAGGAGATGATGTCCTTTGCAGGCACATACAGCTGGAGGCCATTATCCTTAGCAAACTAACCGCAGGAAGAGAAAACCAGATACTGCATATTCTCGCTTATAAGTGGGAACTAAATGATGAGAACACATGGACACATAGAGGGGAACAAGACACACTGGGACCTACTGGAGGGTGGAGGGTGGGAGGAGGGAGAGCATCAGGAAAAATAACTCGAGGACTAGGTTTAGTACCTGGGTGATGATATAACGTGTACAACAAACTCCTTAACACGAGTTTACGTATATAACAAACCTGCACATGTACCCCTGAATCTAAAATAAAAGTTAAAGAAAAAATAAATGTGTGTGTGTGTGCGTGTCCTCACGCGCGCTTGCTGCCTGAGAGTTGAGGAAGAAATTGTGAACAGGAACCCTATGTTTGCTTATTTGTCTATATCACCGCTCTTTCTCCCACCCTATTCTCCTCCTAGTGATCCCTCCCAAACCCTGTCTGCCCCAGATCTTTTCCTCTCACCCACAAGCCTGGAAGATTCAAAGGCGATGGGAAGCGACCCCGCCTTCTTATGAATATGCGACAGCAAGGGACTGGGAGAAGCAGGAGAGAAAATCCCTGCAAGGAATCCACCCCAGGTCTGCCTGCCCCGGCTCAGCCCCGGCCCTCCCACCCTCCCACCCTCCCACCCTCCCCACGTCCTTTCAAGAACAGCAAACAATAGACCAGCCCAGCCCTGGAAGCCGCGCTGGCCACGGAGGGTGACGCAGAACTGCTCATCTCCAGGGAAAGGCGACATCCCGAGAGCCCTCCAGAGCAGATCTGAGCTCTGCTGGGCGGGGAAGCGGAGACTGATTCGCCGCGGTCGCGGGCCCAGCGGCTGGGAGGTCCCGCGCTGGCCGAGCAAATGAGGAGGGCGCAGGGCACGGGGGCGGTGCGCGCCCAGGACAGTTTCCCGTCGGCTTCTCCCGGACTGTCCTACCACTTCCATCTCGGAGCGGGATGCTCGGATCCCCGCAAGGCCTCCTGCGGACGTGGGAGAGTTGCTGAGACAGGCAAGCGGGGTTTCGCTACTGGTTGCCACCCCTCCCGCCCTTTTGGGGAAGGTAGAGCTAAGCAGCATTTGGCCGAAATCCTGTGTCCGTGGAACATTTATTATTATTATTATTTTTCCTGAAACGCAGGTGAGAGTTGATGAGGCTCAGCGTCTCCAGATAAAAGAAGGGACAGAGCTGTCGGTGCGGTGAGGTTTGAAAAGTTGCGGCGGCCCCGGCAGCTGCAGGGGGCGAGCGCGGAGCAAAGCCCGGGCCGCACCAGACGGGCCCTGAGTCTCCAGGGCTCCTCGTCCCCATGCGCCAGCGTGTCTGATGCTTCACTGGACCCGGGTCTCTTTCTCAATGTCATCTCACAGCCTCTGTCCCTTGGGTAGGGAATCAGGCTTCTGAGCTATCATCTGCTTAGTACCGTCGTCCTCTGCTTTGGAAAATATTTGAATTGTGGTCTGATAGAAGACATGAAAAAGTTAGAATACTACTAGATTCCAAAGGGAAAAAAAAAGTTTCTTCGTTTACAAGTAGCATCTACTGATGGGAATTTCTTAATTGTTATCATTTAAGAAAATACAGAACCAGGTTTGGATCCATGAAAACGAATTGGTCTTCAGCCTTTCAAACACTGGCCAAAAAAATTTGCAAAAGAAAAACACAGGCATCAGGTAGCAGGCACAGTATTAAAAATTCAGACAGTTTTACTGTCGGATCTTAAAATATATTAGAAGTGTGTGACTTTCATAAAGGACGAGAGAGAATCAACTTCATGCTATTTCGATAGGTATTTTCTAGATATGCCAGATAATTTTGTCTTATTATCTCACAGATTACTTGTTTCAGCCATACACCATGGGGAAAAAAATGGCAAGGGGTTTGAATGATCGTTTCCAGAGCAGTTTTTCGTAGCTACAGTAGTACTTCCATTTTACAAATTCTCTGTGTTAGTCATTCACTCATATATTTCATTCACCAAACATTTATTAAGGCTCTTCTATGTGCTGTGTACAGTGCTAGACTTGGGAGAAGAGGGATAAGTGGTGAGAGGGACATACAAAATTGAATTAGAAAAATTCACAGTTTAGGCAACTGGAAATGCTAGGAAGCAGTTGTAAACCACTATGATACATTCTTGTCGTGAGACGCCACCAGGGCAGCCCCTGCTAATGGCCGGGAGAGGTACACTGACCACAGCTGAGTTTCGGGGTTCATCTGCGTGGTGGCCTTTGCTCTTTCAAGGCAGCCACTATTGGTTCCATTTACAACAGGAGGAGACCAACACTAAAAGTGCAGTGATGAGCCTCATGTCTCACAGTTAGTCAGGCTCCTAATCCAAAAGCCACTGCTATGACCTGCGCTTCCGGACATTCTGCCATTTGATCCCTACAACCTCACTACCTGAAGGACTATATTTTGATCATTCTTAATGGTGAGTGCAAATTTCTAAATAATAATAAGGCAATTTTATTTTTGGTTGAGATGTTTCTAAAGTCACATATTTCTAAAGTTAGATATCAATTGCATTTCTGAAGAATATGTGTTTTTCCTACTGGAATGTTGCTGTTGTCCATAACCTTTTTTTCCCCAGGGTTTCTGAGAAGTTGTTGAGAAAATTAAAATTTTGTTATTTATGATTTTAAGACATTTAGAGGCACTTGTATTTTAAAGTATGCTATAAGTATGCTATAAGTTGCTATATAGTATTAGATTTGTTTGAAGCAAACCCACCAGTTATTATTGAAACTTTTATTAACTTTTTAAATGTTGGTCAGATTTGTTAGTTTCCACTTGTAGTTACATTAGAGAGGTGATAGGAGAAATCTCCATCTAGAAAGTTGTCCTAGAAAGTTCAGGTATGGACCTGGCTGGTCCTGCATGGAGATTTAGGTATGTGTGCCCCAATGCTGAAAACCTCTTCGAACTGATTTTATTAGTGATTTCACTGTTAAAATTTAATTTTTTCAAATAGATTACAGAATCCCTGAAGGCAAGAACCAGGTCTTTTGTGTCTTTAGAATCCTCTTCCTAATACAAAATACAACACTTTTCATAAATGTTAACTGGCAGAAAAAACAAAAATAAGCTTTACCAGGCTGATGAAAACCACAGTAGAAATAATCCTTTAATATATACTATTCGGAGTCACAGAAGTTTTATTTATTGGCTGATTTTTTTTTTCATGACTGCTATACTGTAAAATGCTAGGGAGTATCTATTTTACAGGTAGAAAAACTGAGCTATGGTGATTTATATACAAAGCATTTTCCACTGCATTATCTTAATTGAACCTCACAACAACCATTCAAGAATTCAAATGCAATTTTCTCTTTCTTTTTTTTTTTTGGAGATGGAGTCTCGCTCTTGTTGCCCAGGCTGGAGTGCAGTGGCGCGATCTCGGCTCACTGCAAGCTCCGCCTCCCGGGTTCACGCCATTCTCCTGCCTCAGCCTCCCAAGTAGCTGGGACTACAGGCGCCTGCCACCGCGCCTGGCTAATTTTTTATATTTTTAGTAGAGATGGGGTTTCACCGTGTTAGCCATGATGGTCTCGATCTCCTGACCTTGTGATCCGCCCGCGTGGCCTCCCAAGAGAAACTCTTTTAAAAGACAAAGAAAGAGGCAGAGCAGGTGAAAGGAGGAGCTGGAGAGGGGCTCCACGAAGCAAAAGAAAGTGAGGGTAAGAAAAAAGAGTCAAGTGAAGTGGATCGAAAACCAGTCAGTGTTAAAAAATGGGATTCAGGGGACGAGAGAGAATGTCTCTGCTAGGGCTGCCATCACAAAATACCACAGCCCGGGGGCTTAAGCAACAGACACTGATTGTCTCCTGGTGCTGGGGGCTGGGAGCATGAGACCAGTGAGTCTGCAGGGATGGTTCCTTCTGAGGCCTGGCTCTTTGGCTTGCAGACAGCCACCTGCTCAGTGAGTCCTCACATGGTCGTCCCTCTGTCTGTATTGTCTGTGACCTAATCTCCCCTTATAAGGACACCGGTCATATTGGATTAGTGCTCACCTATATAACCTCATCATACCTTAATTACCTCTATCATGACCCTATCTCCAAATATAGTCTGATTCTGAGGCCCTGGGGTTAGGACTTCACCATGTGAATTTTGAGCCCATAACAGAATAAAAAAGGTGACACTGGTCTATGACTTTGAAGACAAGACCTGTTGACCTGTTTCAATTGCTTCGTTATTCCCATTAGTACTCTCTCCTAGCACAAATAAATGGTTGAGTGAGTTGTGGCCATTTATTTTTACATTAGTATATTCTGTTGGTTGTTTAAAAAAAAAAATCCAGAACTGAATTCTATATTTATCTTGCTTTGTACTTTATTTTCACTCTCACCTCTGCAGGGCCAGCTTCAAACCCCGTCAAGTTTTGAAGAGGGCAGATGAAGCTGATGACAGCTCCAGTTCCAGCTATGGGTGACCTGTCTGTCTGCCTTTTTTGAGCTGTGGAGTGATCAGAGTCATATTCGCTGCCTGTGCAGTACCACAGGCCTGATGAAAATGAAATGGCAACACCACACAGATGGCGAAGCGTAGGTCTCACAAGCGTCCTGGCCACGAAGGTAAGTCAGGGCAACCTTCTACCTGCATGGCATTATACATGCTTATTTCCAACAAGATACCTGTGAGTATCTCAGGCTGTTTGTAAAGGGCAGACAGTAGAATTTGAAGGTTTTCTCTGAGGCATTGAGCAACTAACAAGGTTATAATTGGAATGTGTGGAAAAGACTCAAATTATTAAAATATGTGGTCATAAAATAACAGGGTCCGGAGCGAAGCCTGCAGGTCTTGTAGTCAGTGCCTTGACCTTGGCTGGACTACACAGCACTACTTTGCAATAGGAATCAATACTGTTTCAAGTCGGCCAGAGAAGAAAGTTCTAGTGTCTTCTGCCACAGATGTTTTGGTATTCTTCAATCATCAGAGTTTCAAAGTACTTGGGTTTGTGTCCTTAACTTCCTTCATTACTTCATATTCTGCCTTCAAAGGGAGGGAGAGTAGTTGTCTACTTTATTCATTTAATGTCTTCTCATTTGCTGAAAGAGGCTTATTTGTTCGTTTGTTTGAGAGAGACGGAGTCTCACTCTATTGCCCAGGCTGGTGTGCATGGTGGAGTCTCAGCTCACTATAACCTCTGCCTTCCAGGTTCAAATGATTCTCCTGCCTCAGCCTACTGAGTTGCTGGGATTATATGTGCCTGCTACCACACCTGGCTAATTTTTTGTATTTTTAGTGCAGACGGGATTTCACCATGTTGACCAGGCTGGTCTCAAACTCCTGGCCTCAAGTGATCTGCCTGCCTCAGCCTCCCAAAGTGCTGGGATTACAAGCATGAGCCACCACACCCAGCCTGCTGAAAGAGTTTTAAGAGGTCTCTTCTTGGCCTTTATCTGTAAGTTGAATAGAAACAGTGTGCATTGTTCTAGAAGCCTGTTTCTATCACAGCCCTGCAGCACCTGCCCTTCCCATGGTGAGGGGTGGAGTTGCGGTCTGTGTCCTCCTCTCATTTCTCCCAGTCATTCCCCCTTGAGGACCAACCTCTTTACTTCTAAGTGTGAGGCCCTGGACTAAATTCTGCAGTATCCCTGCTGAAGAGCAGGGCTCCAATACTCCCGGCCGGTGGCGCTTTCCCAAGGAACAGAGAAAGCGTTCAGAATGCACTGCTTGAACAAGATCCAGTAGCTTTCCTTGATAGGTGCTTTCAGAAACAGGTTCTTGTGTGGAACAGCTACTGGTATCCCAGCCAAAAAACGCTGCCTATTTCTCAGAGCTGTGCATACAGGGATCGGTGCCAGCACTTGGAGTTTGAAAAGTCAGCTTTGAAAGTGAGTGCAAGTCCCTGCAAGGTATACCGAATGGTCTGTTTCTCCTTATTTGAGCCAGACATCTGTGTAACTGGCCGGCTGTGCACATCACATGGCACAGAGTCGGGAGGTGAGCTGGTCTCTTCAGTTGGTGCTTTTGCTCACCACAGACACACTCCCCTGAAATTAAGGAACAGAACAAGCAAACACAAATGTATAAAGATGAGGAAAAATGATTGTTCTGGCTGTTGATGACTTCCTCAGGTGTGGCATAGTGAAATGCCCTTTCTTCCCCTCTGCTACTGAAGATGGTAATGACATTGAGTGGCTTGGAAGTTCAAGCCACTCAACAAATATTGATCAGTCACTCCCTGTATACTCAGTGCTGATGGGGGCACAAGATGTGTCACGACCTTTCTTCCTGAGTAGTTTATAATCCGGCTGAGGGTGAGCGGCCATGCACCAGGGAATCACTGGAAAGGTTGTGTTGTGGCACAGCCACCTAGGAATGCCTGTTGCTGGGGCTCAGTGGCCAGAGACCCAGATCCTCCCCTGCTGTGGCTTCTTTCCGTATGCCTGTCTTCTGCACATTCTCATCACCCCAACCCCAATCCAGGCTCTGTCCCACTTTTCAGCCGAGGGTCTTCCTCCAGTCCAATGAGTATGGCTCAAGAAATCCTAGCTCTGGTTGTGTCTACCCCAGTGTGAGTCTGGCTGTGGGGTTTCAAGCCTTATCTTCCTGGAGGAATTTCATCAGGGTCTGAAGGAAATAAAAGGGACTGGGCTGCAGGAGAGGAAGAGAAGGCTGTCTTTCTTCATTATTGATAGTAGTCGTAAATCATTGGAAAGTCCTAAAAGACTGCCTGAGTGTTCATTTCCAGGACAGAAGGATACACAGGCAACATAAGAATATAAGACTGTGTTGAGGGCAACATCAGGGCAGAGGAGAAAAACACTGGTCACAACCCTAGACAGTGACTAAAGAGAGGAAAACAGCCAGCGGTCCATATGCTGAGACGGATGGAAGAAGAGACACCCAGGGACGAGGAAGCCAGCCTGGGGACCAAGTGTCCCTGGATTACCTTCAAGTGCCCTGCTCCTCACCCATGGAGCTCAGCTCCCCTCTTCATGATATCAGCAGTGATATGGAGCTGGAGGGGTCCCCAGAAAGAAGTGCAGCTGTCGCTCATTCCATCCTTCCTGGCATTTCAAGTTGGAATGACAAATTCAGTTCCAGGGTGTCAGGTTTGCAGGTGTTTTTAGCATACCAAGGTCTCACATGTACACATTAGGTGTTTGGGCTGGTTTGGGGACCTAGTCATCATATACCCTGTTTCTAAGGAAAATACATGCCAAATTCCAAACAAGTGAAATATATTTTTGTTGCACAAAGCCTTTGTAACACGAAGATTAGAGCATCTGAGAATTTTATTTGGATGGCGAGGCACAGAATAAAATGGGCCAGAGGAGCATCAGGGGACCTGGGTGCAAGTCTTGCACAAATGCACAAATGCTTATCAAGCCAAATTCCCAAATATTTAGATGTGTTGTCTGCAGGAAGAGGGTTTTGATCAGTTTCTAAGGCCCTCTCTGTTCTTTCTAAAAACCAGCCTAAAATGGAACATGTCTTCTCTAAGAATCCCAAATGCCTCTCAAGTATCAACCCCTTTTATCCATGCATCCTCTCTGTTACTATGAGGCTGCGAGAATAATGGTATTTTCTCCTTTTTATACAAGAGGTAGGGAAGGTCTCACTGAGAAAACTTTTAGAGGGGAGGATTTCTCCACTCTAATTTATTCTCTTTGGTTTGTTCCTTTGTGAAACAGCGTTGTCTTCAGCTTCGATGTCTTAGC
Organism: Homo sapiens; assembly: GCF_000001405.40. NCBI lineage: Eukaryota > Metazoa > Chordata > Mammalia > Primates > Hominidae > Homo > Homo sapiens. The sequence goes on along the minus strand of NC_000013.11, from coordinate 25,040,446 downwards.
CTTGAGAGAGCAGCAGGGCCATTCAGCAGTCATTTAGCCACAGGAATGTCCGTCACTGAAGGCTGTTTCTGCTGTTGTATTCTGTCTCAGACCTAGATGCCTGCAGTTTCCTCGGATTGAAAACATGGAGGGATCTCCTGGTGCAGTGAGTCCAGCATATCCAGAGTGAAGCACAGTCACTGGTCATTTTACACTACATGGAAAATCTCAACAAGTTTCAAATTTTGATATTTTGGGTTTGTATTTTAAATGAAGTAGGGGATTGAAAACTCTGCTGAGCCTCTTAGTAAAATGAAAAACTAATTAATTAATTAATTTTTGAGACAGTCTCACCCTGTTGCCCAGGCTGGAGTACGGTGGCGCGATCTCGGCTCACTGCAACCTCCACCTCCTGGGTTCAAGCAATTCCTTTGCCTCCCCGACCCGAGTAGCTGGGATTACAGGCGCCCACCACCACGCCTGGCTATTTTTTGTATTTTTAGTAGAGACAGGGTTTTGCCATGTTAGCCAAGCTGGTCTCAAACTCCTGACCTAAGGTGATCCGCCCGCCTTGGCCTCCCAAAATGCTGGGATTACAGGCATGAGCCACCGCGCCTGGCCTAATTTATGATGAAAGTAGGTCTGTTAGTTTATAAAATGATAGTCATCTTGGGGTCTTAATTAGCAGACTTCCTTTCAGTGGTTGTGTCTCTAGATAGCAAATGTGGCATTTTAGAAAATACTTCCGTGTCTAGCTATTAGAATATGTCTATTATCAGGAAATGAGTAGCCACACTACTTGCAAAATGTTCATATTTAGAGGGATAAAAGATAGCTTGAATAATATGAAAATCAACACTTCCCCTGATGGTGGAAATATGTTCTTTGGAGAAAAGTTCAAGCATTTTTAAAGTTAAGTATTATGTTTATTACTGTTAGCTCTGGGACTCTGCCCAAACAAATCATTTTTCCAACCATGTTAATTCCACTGAATTAAACTTTATTTTTTTTCTTCTCTAAAAGACCTGATTTGCCCGTAAGAATTTGGTTATGCAATTATATGTTGACCAATTAGAAGGTAAAGCCCTGGATTCTAAAAGTTTTGTGTTTTATTTGCCCGTTTTTTTTTTTTTGAGACAGATTCTCACTCTGTCACCCAAGCTGGAGTGCAGTGGCACGATCTTGGCTCACTGCAGCCTCTGCCTCCCAGATTCAAGCGATTCTCCTGCCTCAACCTCTTTAGTAGCTGGGACTACAGGCGTGCACCACCACGTATGGCTTTTTTTTTTTTTTTTTTTAGTAGAGATGGGGTTTCAGCATGGTGGCCCGGCTGGTCTCGAACTCCTGACCTCAGGTGATCCTCTCGCCTCAGCCTCCCAAAGTGTTGGGATTACAGGTGTGAGCCACTGTGCCTGGCCTTATTTACCATTTTTAAGTGTACACTTCAGTGGCATTCAGCACATTCACATTGTTTTGCAACCTTCACCACCATCTATCTGCAGAACTCTTTTCATCTTGCAAAACTGGAATTTTGTATCCATTAAACAATAACTCCCCACTCGCCCTCCCAGGCTCCTGGCAACTGCCGTTCTACTTCCTGTCTCTGAATTTGCCTACTCTAGGTACCTCTTATATGTGGATTCTACAGTATTGTCCTTTTGTGTCTGGCTTATTTCACATAACTTATTGTCCTTAAGTTCCATCTATGTTGTGGCATATGTCAGAATTTTGTTCCTTTTTAAGGCTGAGTAATATTCCATAATGTGTATGTATTATATTTTGTTTATTCATTCACCTGTTGATGGAAATTTGGGTTGTTGCCACCGTTTTCATTCTTTTCAATGGCTGCATGGTATTCTGTTCTATGGTGATAACATATGACATAAACCAGTTCTCTGTAGATAGGCTTTCAGTTTTTTCCATGCTTCTGTGAATAACTGTAAACTTAAACCATTTCACACATATACAAGCATGTTTGTCAATCAAATGTATTGATATTGATTTGTTGAAAAGGAATGTTTTGGGCATATTAAATATTGGGATGTTGATGAATTGCCTTCTGTGGAGATTATACCAATTTATGTCTCCTGTAGACGGAACCTGTCTCCCAAGCCTTCACCAACACAGCGTGTGAACAAATTCCTTCATCTTTGCTCATCTCATGATGGAAAATGGTGTCTCAGTGTGGTTTTAGTTTACATTTCTCCTATTTTAAGTGATCTCTGAATGTTTCAGGGCCATTGTATTTCTTTTACTGCAACTATCTGTTCATTTCCTTTGTTCACTTTTCAGTTAGGCTCTTGGTTTTTTCCCCTCCTTCTTCTTTATATTGGCTGTTGTTACAAAATGTGCTTTTATTTGTTTGTGCAGCCTGTGGGAGTCTTTGGGGTTCTGCTGTGAAACAGGAGATTGTCTGAGAATTAGTAAAACCTACTTTTCAAAACCGTTGATCGAGTACTGGCTTGGTGACAGTAGGTTTTATTCAGGGGAGAGTCCAGTGCGGTAGGAGGCCTTACTGAAGTGGTTCATATTCAGAAGGAATAATATCCTTGTGAGAATTTTATAACAATCTGTATTCTCATAATTGTTTTAACGTTAAGATTTACTTATCTTTTAAAAGTTGAATATGTAAACTCCAGATAACAAATAACTTAGTAATAGCATATTGTTAAATTTCATTTTGCTAAGCCCATACAGCTAACTGCATACTGGAAAACTCAAACTCAACATGTCCCACTCTGAATTCGTTCCTTTGACCCACAGAGTAACTTCCCAGTCCCTTAATTTTCTGTCTTGCTTTTCAGGTATCTCTCCACTCTCCTCCGCATCCAGTACATCACCGCCATGGGCTGAATGTTTGTGTCCCGGCAAATTTCTGTGTTGAAATCTAAGCCCCAAGATGATGGTATCAGAGATGAGGGCTTTGGCAGGTGGTTAAGCCGTGAAGACAGAGGCCTGATGAAAGGGGTTGGTGCCTTTAGAAAAGAGGCCTCAGATAGCTGTCCCGTCCCTTCTACCATGTGGGAATGAAGAGAGACAGTATCACCTGTGAACCAGAAGGTGGCGCTCACCAGACATTGAATCTGCTGATGCAGTGTTCTCGGATGTGAACCAGAAAATCTGAGACGGGTCTTAGTTAATTTGGAAAGTTTATTTTGCCAAGGTTGAGGACGTGCTTGTGACACAGCCTCAGGAAATCCTGATGACATGTGCCCAAGGTGGTCAGGGCACAGCTTGGTTTTATACATTTAGGGAGACATGAGGCATCAATTAATATATGTAAGAAACACTGGTTCGGTCTGGAAAGGCGGGAAAACTTGAAGCAAAGGCAGGAAGGCTGGAAGCAGGGAGGGAGCTTCCAGGCCACAGATAGGTGATACACAAATGGTTACATCCTTTTGAATTTCTCATTAGCCTTTCCAAAGGTGGCAAATCAGATATGCATCTATCTCAGTGAGTAGAGGAATGGCTTTGAATAGAATGGGAGGCAGGTTTGCCCTAAGCAGTTCCCGGCTTGAGTTTTCCTTAGTGATTTTGGAGTCCCAAGATATTTTCCTTTCACATGGACTTCCCAGCCTTTAGAACTGTCAGAGATAAATGTCTGTTGTTTATAAGCCACCCAGTTTATGGCATTTTGTTATAGCAGCCCAAACCAAATAAGAAGACCGCCAGCCAGTTCTACCTAAACAGTCCCTCCATGTGTCCACCATCCTGAGTCCCCATTACCACGCCTTGTCCAGACCCCAGCATTTCTGTGACTTGATGCAATATAAGTTTACTGCCTAAATAACAGGTACAGGACTTTGTGTGGACAAATGTGCTCTTTTCTCCTGGGGTAATATCTACGTACAAATGACTGGGTCACGTGGTAGGTATTTTTAACTTTTTAAAAAACTACCAAACTGTTTTCCATAGTCTTTGCACCATTTCACTTTCCCACCAGCAATGAATGAGTGTTCCAGTAACTCTGCATTCTCAACAGCACTTGTTATCATCAGCACTTGTTATCATCACCTTAAAGAGTTTCAGCCATTCTAAAGGTGTGTAGTGGTTTTCTCCCCACCTTTTAATTTTCTTAATAGTGCCCTTCAAAAAACAGAAGTTTTTAATTTTGATGAAATCTAGTTTACCAATTGTTTTCTTTTATGGATTGTGCTTTTTGTTGTTACATGTATGAAATCTTTGCCTAACCCGAGAGTGCAATATTTTTTTTCCATGTGTTCTTACAGAAGTCTTATATATCTATGTTTTACATTTAGGTCTACGATCAATTTCAGTTAATTTTCATATAGGGCCTAAGATATGGATTCAGGTTCATTTTCTGGCACATGAACATCCATCTGTTCCAGCACCATTTGGTGAAAAAATGATACTTTTCCATTGAATTACTTTTGCATTTTTATTGAAAATAAGACAAAATTCCAAATACCATAATCCTGAATGCTAAAATCCCAAAAGATCAAAGATCCTAAAGTATAAATCCCTAAAGTCTAAAATTCTGAAAATCACAATCACAGGATAGGGTTTTTTTTCCTTTTCTTCTATTTTTTTCACTATTTTAAATAGCAAAACAATTCACTATGCTATATATTTCATCGTTGCATCATTTCCAAAACTTGACGTATAGGTTGTGCAGAGACGTTTAGAGAGTCCTAATTTGTTTCATGCATTTTTTTGCAAATGTGACTCCATGAAAGTTCATTATCTCAATGTTGATTTTGTGTATAAACATTGTGTATGTACATGAAAACATTGAAACCTCCTCAGTGATGTCCTTTTTGTACACCTGCATTTGTAAAAGACAACATTTTTTGAGATCTCAGCTCTTTGGGTGACTGCATATGTAGTGGTAATCCATTGTGGTTTTTGATCAATCTTGTCAAAAGACTTCGGTTTTTTATCACAGTATTTCAGATGAGCACATATACAAAGCTGGTTGCACACAATTACCAATCATAGTGATATGTGTTTACACATTTTCCTTTTGACCTACTTCTTTAGGAATACAGTTTATCTGCTCATAAATGCTATATCTGTGCCAGGTATAGTCGTATACCTGAGTATTTATTCTTGCAAAAACATGTACGCTAGTATTGCTTCTTTTATTGTGTAAAGCGGCCTATGAAGTGTTCTGTTGTGTTTTTATATGTTTCTCAAATAAATCCCCCCCTCCCTTTTTTTTTGAGATGCAGTCTCATGTTGTTGCCAAGGCTGGAATGTAGTGGTGTGATTTGGGCTCACTGCAAACTCCGCCTCCCGGATTCAAGCGATTATCCTGCCTCAGCCTCCCGAATAGCTGGGATTACAGGCATGCACCACCAGGCCGGGCTAATTTTTGTATTTTTAGTAAAGATGGAGTTTCACCATGTTGGCCAGGCTGGTCTTGAACTCCTGACCTCAGGTGATCCACCTGCCTCAGCCTCCCAAAGTGCTGGGATTACAGGAGTGAGCCACTGTGCCCACACCCACTCCCCTTAAAATGTAAGTAAATATCTTCAGGAATTTTTAAAATTATTTTTTCCAGAATTATATTTTCAGGATTTTGGATTTTAGGGATTTTTGATCTTTCAGAATTTTAAGAGCTGGGATTGTGTCTTTCAAGACTGCTTCTTCAGGGACTATGACGGGCTTCCCTCTAGACAGCATGGGCTAGGAAGCATGTTCTGGAATGTGACATTTAAGCTGAGAACTGAATTGTACAAAAAACCTAGCCACGCCAATTACCCTAAGTGAATTAATGCAAAAATAGAAATCCAAATACCACATGTTTTCACTTATAAGTGGGAGGCAAGCATTGGGTGCACAGGGACATAAAGATGGGAAAATAGACACTGGGGATTCCAAAAGGCAGGAGGAAGGGAGAGGGTTGAAAACTTACCTATTGGGCACTGTGTTCACTATCTGGGTGATGGGATCAGTTGAAGCCCAAACCTCACTGTCATGCAATAAATCCTTGTAACAAACCACTCACGTAGCTCCTGAATCCAAAAGAAAAAAAAAACCAAAAAACAATATTAACTTTTACCCGAAAACCACCTAGCCACAGAAACCAGGGGGCAGTGGTGGAGAGGAGGCCCCAGGAGGATTCTAGGTGAGGTGGCTGGACATGCAGAAGCCCTGCTGGGGAAGGAAGAGGTTTTGTGTTTAGGAAGTGAAAGCCCAGGTAGCTGAGCTGTGGCGAGCCGGGAAGAATGAAGGGATGAGACAGCAGAGACACAGGCTTCGGTTCTGGGGGTCCTGCTGCTGCCCCACCTCCTCAATGGTCCTCCTGGCCCCTCTCTGCTAAGCAGGAAGCAATGGCATCTTTTTTTTTTTTTCTTTTTTTGAGACGGAGTCTGGCTCTGTCGCCCAGGCTGGAATGCAGTGGCGCAATCTCGGCTCACTGCAAGCTCCGCCTCCTGGGTTCACACCATTCTCCTGCCTCAGCCTCCCGAGTAGCTGGGACTACAGGCGCCCGCCACCACGCCCGGCTAATTTTTTGTATTTTTAGTAGAGACGGGGTTTCACCGTGTTGGCCAGGATGGTCTCGATCTCCTGACCTCGTGATCCGCCTGCCTTGGCTTCCCAAAGTGCTGCGATTACAGGCATGAGCCACCGCGCCCGGCCACAATGGCATCTTTTACCCATGAAGTTGTCGGCACAGTTGGGAAATAGCAGGCAGTTCCAGCGGAGTTTCTCAAGGCTTGGATTTGGCTAGGAAGTTAGGCGGTAGTGGGGACAGACTCAGAGGTTTTAGGAATGACCACCCTGTTTCCAGTATGTAGGAAAATGACTTCTTGAGACAGAAAACTCTGAAATTCTTTTTTTTTTTTTTTTTTCAGATGGAGTTTCGCTCTTGTCACCCAGGCTGGAGTGCAATGGTGTGATCTCGGCTCACTGCATCCTCCGTCTGCTGGGTTCAAGCGATTCTCCTGCCTCAGCCTCTCAAGTAGCTGGAATTACAGGTGCCCGCCACCATGCCCAGCTAATTTTTGTATTTTTAGTAGAGACGGGGTTTCGCCACGTTGGCCAGGCTAGTCTCGAACTCCTGGCCTCAGGTGATCCACCCACCTCAGCCTCCCAAAGTGCTGGGATTACAGGCATGAGCCACCACACCCGGCTGAAATTCTTTTTGTTTTATTTTTGTCAAACTTGGTGGCAGAGTGTGCAAAAGAACAGAATGAGGTTTTGGAAATGTTGGATTTGTAGTATTTTTGTGATGTCCGGTTGAAGATGTGAGGCAGCCAGTTACAATTGTGGATCTGCAGCCTGTGGGAGAGCCCTGGGTTATTGGTGTGAATTCAGGACTTGGTGGTGGGTTCCTTTCCTGTGGTTGCTGTAACAAAGGACCACAGCACAGCGGCTTGAGCAACAGATGCCTTCTCCTTCATGGCTCCGGAGGCAGAAAGCCTGCGGGCGAGGTGTCATCAGGCTTCTCCTAGGGCTGTGAGGGGCCTGCTCCAGGCCTCCATCCTCACTTCCGGCAGCCTTGGGCACTCCTGGGCTTCTAGGTGGCCACCTTCTCCCTGGGTCATTATGTCGTCTTCCTCTGTGTGGTTCTGCCTCTGCATCCAAATTTCCCTGCTCTGTAAGGACCCTGGATTATGCCCCACCCCAATCACCTAAAGCTTACCTGCATCCTCTGCAGATACCTTTTTTCTAAATGGGCCACATGGATAGGTACTGCGGGCTAGGACTTCAATGTCTTTTGGGGGACACAATTCTACCTCTAGCAGATGGTGATGCAGCTGTAAGCCTGGGTGACATCACCTGGAGAGAGTTAGGGGTAAGAGCAGAAGAGGCCACGTGCCCAGCCTGGAAGAACTGTGTGAGTTCATAATAACAGTGGCCAAGGAGGGGAGAGAGGAGAGAGGCGAGGGGAGCAGGCAACAGGGAAACACAGAGGCGGCAGCCCAGAGCTCGGAGGAGGAGAGGCTGTGAAGGAGGGTGAGGTATAGTCTCAAATGCTGCTGAAAGGTTAAGTATGTTGCAGTAATTTGAAGGCTAAAACATGCCATTGGATTTCATAGTCAGGCATCACCTGTGCCCTGTGCCTGAACTGCTGTGGTGTAGATGAGCCTGGCTGAGGAAGCAGCCAGCCAGAGGGGAAGGAGTGGAGCCAGGCTCCGGGCCTGCTTAAGGGTTGGAAGAGGGTAGACCAGCTGCCAGAAGGCGCATGGGCTCGGGCAGGGAGAGGCTTTTAAAAACGGGAGGGATCTTAGAAGAAAGAGGATCCAGTGGGTTGGAGAAAGTAAAGGGGTCAGCACGGCAGGTCCGGGAGTTGAAGGAGCAGCGGTGAGGGCTGACTGAGCAAGCGATCTGCGATCTGCTGGGAGAGGCTCCGGCGCTGATCCCATAGATTCGCAGCGATTTCGGAAGATGAGTCCGGGGTGTGGCTGTGGGAAGGATGGTCAGACATATTTTTCCTCTATTGTATTAATGTCTTATGTGAAGATGGAGTAACCTCTTGGCTACCTAATATATATATACATATATATATATATATATATCTATCACATCTTCTCACACATTTAATTGTAAAAATGCTCCTACTTAATCCTAATCCAGCCACCTTCTGTGCAATTCCAAATGTGCTCACCTTCTCCCCAGTGGGTAACAATCCAAAATCACATACAGGTTCTGTACTGTGAAGTGACACAATTTAGCCCCTCTGAGTTCAGGTTTTCTAGGTAGTGTCAATTCCTCCATTAGCTTGGATTTGATCAGGTTTGTGACTTCTCACCATTCTGCAGATTATGGCATAAATGATAAAAGTAGCTTCTCCTGCCTACCCGATACAGTGAAATGGAATAAAAATCAAACCAAAAACGGGGAAAGAAGTGCCTACATTGATAACTGGTACAGATTATATAATAGCATATCTCGCTGAGCAAGCTTAGCAGGATGAATGATAGAAACAATGGGTCTCATGAGCATTCTCTTTGTTGCCTCACTTCTCTGGATGTAGAATAAATTGTTGGAACCACCTTCAGAAAAGGCACCAAGGGAGGATTTCCTACTGGTGCTTGTGGTGGTGATGGCAGGCAGGTGTTTGAGGAGATGCTAGTGAATGGCTTTGATCCTGGCACTTGTGGTGGTGATGGCAGGCAGGTGTTTGAGGAGATGCTAGTGAATGGCTTTGATCCTGGCACTTCAATGTTGGGGCTTGGTTTAGGGTCTACCATAATGCTGGACGGTCACAGGTCTCTGTACAACAGGCTAGGGACTTTTTTTGACAGTACAACTTCCCTAAAACTGTAACTAATTTCTTCACAGTTGTATTTAGGATCTTGTATCCAATGCCAGAAATCTTGTCTTGTTCTCAATTTGCTAAAGGAATAGACATGGTCCACACAACCTTTAGGCCTTTTGTTTGTTTGTTCTTTTTTCGCATTTTGTCAAGAGGATCTTTCTATGACTCTAACTCAGCCACATAGAGTTTGCCTCTGGAATAGTTAGGAGTCTTTCTTTAATCTTCCCTTGAGTGTCACCCTTGTCCTTTCATTGCATTTCAGACCAGCGCATTTAGCAATAGAAAAAGGCACCTTCATTTTTGTTTGTAAGATCCAGCATGGTGGCGTGGACCTGTAGTCCCAGCTACTCGGGAGACTGAGGTGGAGAGGATTGCTTGACCCCAAAGGGTAAAGGCTGTAGTAAGCCATGATCATGCCACTGCACTCCAGAATGGGCAACAGAGCTAGACCCTGTCTCAAAAAAAAAATTATTGCCATAATATTTGTAACATTCTTTCATTACATTTTTAATCTCTACTGTAACTGTTGTTGTGCCCATCTAATTTTGAACCATATTTGTATCTTTCTATTATTTTCTTTAAAAATATTGTTGGATGTTTTTCAAAAAAATGATTCATCTTTGTTGATCTACTTTAGGGTATCTTTGTTTTCCGCTTTATTGCTTTCTGCTCTTATTCATATTAATTCTTAATTAAACTTTCTACATATTTATCCTGTTATTCTTTTCTTAACTTCTTACATTTAATTAAAATGGATTCTCAGCTTATTGATCTTCAGCTCCTTATCTTTTATAATCTAATCATTTGAAGCTATAAAATTTTTCCTAAGTACAGATTGGGTTATATTTCATGTCTTAATATAGATCCTTTTCATAATTATGCACATCTAATTGCTTTCTAATATCCTTACTCATTTATTCTCTGATCCATGAGCTATTAAAAGGTGTATTTTTTCAAAAGTCCAAATGTATGGAGTGATTTTAATTATCTTTTTATTACTAATTTCTAGTGTAGTTGTGTTGTGGTAAGAGAACACATTCTGTGAGGAACTATTTTTTGAAATGTGTCATGACTTACTTCATGGTCTAGGATGTAATCAACATTCACAAATGTTTCATTTGCTTTTGAAAAGAACATGGATTCTCTAGTTGTTATAATATGTGGCCAAATGTGTTGCTCAAATCTTTATTCTGACTGATTTTCTGCCTGCTTGATGTATCAGTTACCAAAAAATATCTAGGAAACAGTCCTTCCCCCCTTGCTGTGGATGCGTCCACCTCCCCTTGTGGTTCTCAGCCCATTCTTGGACCGCGGAATGGAAAGCTGTCGGCCTCCAGGGATCAGTAGCTACATCTGATGGTTTCTGGCCTCCTTTCCTTGAGAGGCTTCCCTACCTGTTACACATAGAAAATGAAAACATACCACCAAAAACAAAATAAACAAAAACCAGAAAGCAACTCTTTAGAAAGACTCCAGTGGCCCTAATGTTGCCGCTACCCGACAGTCAGCACGGATTAGCCGGCCTCATGAGAGATGATAAGGAATGGAGATTTTCTGAGTAAAAGCCTCAGAATTCAGATCAGAGTCAGAATAACAAAAGAGCTTTTCAAAAGACAGCTGCCCAAACCAAACAAGGAATTTTTCACTTGTTTACAAAGTGTGGAGAGAAATATGGGCCTCCCATTGGTCTTTCCACGAGACAGTCACACACACATCACCTTCTCATCATCACCATCATTAGTATAATTTATAAAAATTGAAAAGACCGGAAATAAAATTGATCCTGGAGAAATAACAACCAACAGAATTCACTTTAAATGCAAAGGAGCAACAAAATTTATTGACTGAATTAAACACAACAGTAAAATGGCAGTGTTGTAGTTTCATTTTCAGATGTTTGAATGGAACAAGAAAAGTGCTATTAGCCCAAGCTTCTTACATTCATTAAAAGAGTGACTATCAAAAACAGCAACATGCACAATGGTACATATGCACAAAATGGAATTATATCAACAAATATACAAAATACCCAAAATAAAATATTTACAGGTTTAAAAATATAAACATTGATTCCTCTATCCCATTAAACCATTGGAGTGGAGAAAGGAGGAAAGACCCTATTGCTATTTAGAATCCCTTTTTAAAACAAGTTTTTAAAACATAGAATTAGTTCTAGGAGATAAATTCTGATGTTTTCAGGGGTTTAACATTCTATTATAAAAATAATATCTATAAACCTACTAACAAATTTCCTCCTGTGCACAAAAATAATACTGCCAAAACCTGTCCTCGAAGACATGCCTGACTTTCAGGAAAACTAATTATGGAAATGGAGTTTCTCGTTTGGGTTATCTTTGTTACTATTTTCAAATAACCAGCAACTCCCTATATTACACTGAGATACTTTATATAAATAACGTGGGCGAAACCTGAAGTTCACAATGAGCCTGCTAGGTAGCTGGTGTCAAGTACAAATGATAGGAATTGACTTTGCCAACAACATCAAAAGCATTTTCCCTGATATTCCTGATACACCTACCACTATCAGATCCTCCATGTTCAGTAAAATTCATCCTGGAAGCTATAAAAATATTAAATATTATTTTGCTACAGTTTCTCCTCCTTTATTTAGAAATAAATGTGTAGTGGGGACCAGTGGTTGTAATGTAGATATTTGAGAAGGTTCATTGATTCCTTCAGGCCACCTGGAGCCATTTCAAGGCAAGTGAACAAGCATTTTCTGCATGTCTACTCCATGCCCCTATGCTATTGAACCAGATATTTTTAGTATTTCTGCTTTAGTTTATTAAATGATTCAGGTCTGACGGTATCTGAGAAAGTATAATATGTCTCAAGTAACCAAGACCCTGGGTTGTATCTTATTTAAAACATATCTTCTCACAGAGAGCGGGAAGTTATTCTATTCAATCACTGAAGAATTTCCAAAATTACCCATTTTACCAACACCTACCTTACATGGTTCTTGTGAACAGTAAAGATAACAATGTAAAAAAAGCACACAGCATCCTCTCTGGCACCATAGTAAACATACAGGATATGTTAGTAGAATTCAATATAAAATACTCATCTTCATGGTGGCTGACTTATTGATGGTGTTCAATAGCTATTGGTTGAATGAGTTAATGAATCAGAAAATGTAGGACAGGATTCAGTGGCTGTAGACACAACATACGATGGACAGCTTTTAAAGGAGCCAGGTGCTTATTTCTGAAGTTCAGAATTGCATGGAGGCAAGGGACAACTCATACAGCTGTCATTTAAACAAACACAGATAACAAGTTGGCAAAGATGTGGAGAAATTGGAACCCTTGTGCACCATTGGTAAGTACGTAAACAGATGCAACCACTGTGGAAAGCAGCACAGAAGTTTCTCAAAAAATTAAAAATAATTCTGTGTTTAATTAGAATTACCATATGAATGACCCAGTCATTCCACTTCTGGGTATTTATTGAAAAAAACTGAAATCAGGATCTTAAAGAGATATTTTCACTTTGTTCGTTGTAGCATTACTCATAATAGCCAAGGTGTGGAAATAATCTAAACGTCTGTCAGTGGATGAAAGGGTTTTTAAAAATGCAGCATATACATATAAGGAAATATTATTCAGCCTGAAAAAAGAAGGAAATCCTGCCATAAGCAACAACATGGCTAAACTTGGGGGTCGTTATGCTCAATGAAATAAGCCAGTCACAGAAGGACAAATACTGCGCGTTTCCACTTCTATAAGGGATCTAAAATAGCCAGACTCACAGAAGCAGAGAGTAGAATGATGGCTGCCAGGGGCTGATGGGGGAGGAAATGAGGAGCTGCTGTTCAATGGGCACAGAGTTTCAGTTACGCAGGATGCATAGGTGAGAGAGATTTGCTGTACAACACTGTGGCTATAGTTAACAATACTGTATTGTGTACTTAAAAATTAAATAACGTAGGCCAAGTGTGGTGGCTCATGCCTGTAATCCCAATGCTTTGTAGGTGGCGGTGGGCAGATCACTTGAGGTCAGGAGTTTGAGACCAGCCTGGCCAACATGGTAAAACCCTGTCTCTACTAAAAATACAAAAATTAGCTGGTCTTGGTGGTGCACACCTGTAGTTCCAGCTACTTGAGAGGCTGAGGCAGGAGAATCACTTGAACCCAGGAGGTGGAGGTTGCAGTGAGTCAATACCATGCCAGGGCACTCCAGCCTGGGTGACAGAGTGAGACTCCATCTCAAAAAAAAAAAAAAATCAAAGAGGGTAGATCTCATATTCAATATTCTTACTGCAATTAAAACACACACACACACACACACACACAGCACCCAGAACTCACCTAGACTGGGCTTAAGGTAGGAAAAAAAAACAAATGAAACAAACACGCTTGGAATGGCTGAAATCCTATCAGGGAAGTAGTATCGCCATGACAACAGAAGAGATTTCTGTCTGTACTTCCCACATTAATCCTAAGAGAAGAGGATCCCTCCAAGGGAAGGCCAATGTTTGCCTACTCAGCATAGCACAGTGGCAGGGTTCCCTGTATATGATTGTGAGCACCATCATCTCAGACACAAAACTAATTTTCAGCTGCGTGGACATGGGTTAGCTCTTTCTATTAGAAGTGAGCTGACAATGACACTAAACGGTACTTAGCTCTTCTATTACTGAAAATCACTAAAGAGTTTATATCCCTGTCCTAGAGACTAGGGGAAAAGAGAGAGAGAGAGACAGACAGACAGAGATGGAAAGGGATAGAAACAAAAAGGATGAATTAAAGCTGTCTTACTGGGGAGATAATATTACCTACCCCATATGGCTGTTAAGAGGACTAAGTAATTATTTCTAAATCTCCTAGCAGCGCCTGATACATAGTAAGTATTCAATGAATGTTAACCATTGTTATATTTACTATTTTTTTTAGAGGCATTTGTGTGGCTTAATTCATAGTGCCTTTCTTCAACCTCACACCCCTCTGCTCCACCCCACAAACTATAAGCAACAAATGCAAATACCAAAAAAAGGTGAAATACATTTTTTTCTGTTTTTAATGAATATTAAGAAAATCCAATTACAGCACAGCTTAGGTGTGAGCTCCAAACTGAATGGGTTTTATTAAGTATTTGATACAGTCTATGCCCCATAAATATGTGTTGCATTGAATTAAAGTAAATATCCATCATAAAGGGTGCCCAATTTCAGTTCTGGAGGCTTCATGACTATTTTCATCTTTCCTTTTGCAGTTTGAGAAGGAACTCCTTTCCGTAATCACGAAACTATCATTCTGAATCACCTCTTAAAAACATCATCTGCAGTGACATAATAACATTCCTTAGAAGAGGCTATTGTTGCAACAATCTGTCTCCTTAAACCTTATCACAGTACAAGGCTTTTGAGAAGCAATGCATGACAGCCACCGGGAAATCTTCAGAGTAAGATGAGGTCTCACAATCAATGGCCGCCTGTGAGGAGCCACACTTACACGCTGCACTGACAATGTCACAGCTCGCTTCTGCCTGTGAACGACACCCTTGCCTTTTGCTTCCCCACACAGGCTCTGTAAGACACTCGTCTACCATACTACCCCTTTGGCCCCAAACTGTTTCATAAATATTTTTGTGTGTAATGAATTGAAATTTTCTAAGACTGAGTTTACACAAATAAGAACCATGTTGTTCATTCCTTTTACCAGCCAGGAAAGCTGTATAGTGGCACCTTTTCACCAAGGATTCCATATTCCCCAAAGCATCCTTAAAATTCTAGTTTCCATTTTCTCCCTGCATACACTCCATTTCTCGCACTTAAATATGAGCTCCTGTCCTGGGCTTACCCTGCTAGACACCAGGTGACCATATTCCTGAGCTGCTTCTGTGGTCTAAGAAGAAAGGCAATCCTCTAGTCCATTGAAGATCCCCGATTCTCACCTCTAAACATATGAGTATCTTTTAGGAATACGGCTTCATAATCCATCCAGGTTTTTTTTTTTTTTCGAGATGGAGTCTTGCTGTGTTGCCCAGGCTGGAGTGCAGTAGTGCAATCTCGGCTCACTGCAATCTCCACCTCCCAGGTTCAAGTGATTCTCCTGCCTCATCCTCCCAAGTAACTGATATTACAGGAGTGCACTACCATGCCGGGCTAATTTTTTGTATTTTTAGTAGAGAAGGGGTTTCAGCATGTTGGTCAGGCTGGTCTCGAACTCCTGATCTCAAATGATCCGCCTGCCTCAGCCTCCCAAAGTGCTGGGATTACAGGCGTGAACCAGCACACCTAGCCATAATCCATCCAGATTTAGTAAACATGGTAAAAATGTAAGAACTAAAACAATTTTGAAATGTGAGCACAATAGCCAGGCTGCCAGAGAACAGAATTTATTTGCAATTAAATGCTGATGTCATCTTCCAGCATCTGTTAACTTCTCTCCTAGCGACTCAGAGAAAGCAGAGTTCTTCCAAATTAAGGACTCTCAGAAAAGTACTTACTTTGAGGAACTCTTAGATCTTTTAAAATGGAAAGCAATGTGGCGAAGATATCCTATATGTCATGAAAAAGTAGCCATGTAAAAGGGAATGTAGATTCATTTTCAAATGCGTATCAATTAATTCATTTGATTTATTCTCAAAGACAGTGGATTGTGATGATAATAGAACAGCTAAAGTCAATAGGTGCACTTAAAGCTTTTGCTGCAAATCTGATAATGGGAAAAGTGTGTGGTTTAATGTGGGGGTCTCGGGTGGTTGGCATTTTGTTATCTGAGTATCCTTTTGTGTCTTACTAGTAGCCTACTATCGCTGTAGACTCTCCCACAGCTTTCACGGATACTGCGACTGAACATAATTTGGGAAGATAAATCATATGGAAAGTAACCTTTCAGCCCTGTGTGTATGGAGCAGTCTCGGAATTGATTTAATTGATGCACTGTGCTGACCATTCCCAGGTCTTCTTGGGGCAGGGTCTGTTGCTCACAGCCAGCTCCAGGACACCTGATGGAACTCCCAAGGGAAGGAACACCTTCACGGGGGTGGGAGGTGGGGGGCGGCGCCATCTTCCCTGAGTCCCGTCTGTGCCCCTGTGAGGAGCCCCTCACCCCTGGATGGCCATGGAGCTAAGAAAACCTCTTGATTTTCCTAGAGAACTCCAAAGCCGGAGAACAAATGAATATACTGTGGTCCATCCAACGTAGATGAGAGAAATTTAACAAGAAGGAAACAGTTGCCACGTTAACTGTAAACACTGCTGTAAATGGTATCTGTTCAAAGTGCGCAGATAGGCGTTGGTACAAGAACCGGGATTTCACTGCTGACTCTTTATTGACTGATGACTGCAGAGCAAAATTGTGTATCTGCTTTTTAATTTCATCTTTCTAATAATGCATCTGTCTTTATGAAATTTACAAAATAGGGGTTCATGATACTTTGAAGATTTTTAAAAGCAGTGTTTTACCAAAGACAGAGACGTACTGCCCTAGGGAGGAATCCAGGTCCCTGAAAGACCTTGAGGACAGACGAGAGCCCAGGAGTGCCCACCAGGAACTATGTAACAGACAAAAGTCAACTTCTATATTAAAAATATCATAGTAATAAGTACTATTGGCTGGCGCGGTGGCTCACACCTGTAGTCTCAGCACTTTGGGAGGCCGAGGTGGGCAGATCACCTGAGGGCAGGAGTTCAAGACCAGCCTGGCCAACATGGTGAAACCCCATCTCTACTAAAAATACAAAAATTAGCTGGGCGTGGTGGTGAGCCCCTGTAATCCCAGCTACTCCGGTGACTGAGGCAAGAGAATTGCTTGAACCCAGGAGGTGGAGGTTGCAGTGAGGCGAGATTATGCCACTGCACTCCAGCCTGGGTGACAGAGCGAGACTCCATCTCAAAAATAAATAAATGAATAAATAATAAGTACTGTTTATGTGCATATATATATGTGTATATATATATATATGTATGTGTGTATATATATATATGTATGTGTGTGTGTGTGTATATATATATATATATATATATATATATATATATATATATATATGTACAGCAAGCATACAAAATGATGCCATGGGAAAAAGGGGAGTGTGGCTGAGAAGGGGCTTCTCCTGTACTGGTTTTTGGTTAATGGGTTCTGTATTTGCCAATGTATATTGTGTTTTTTCTAATATGTTTTTGCATGTCTCTAATATTGTGTTAAATTTATAAGTTAAATTAAATACATAACTAAAAAGAAGGTATTACTAAAAATCATTAATGTAATGAATGGATAATGGCTGATATATAATGTAAATATTTTTTCAAATATTTTGCATTAGTAAAAAAATGGACTGAATTTCTGTAGTCATATTAATATTCTGCTTCAATCCCAAATTGTTTGAAATGCATTATATGCAATTCAATCTGTATTAGTTCACTATTAATATAGCATGTAAAGTACTGAATACATGATGAAGATTCTAATCTTATTCTATTATTTTTTTAATCCTAGGTTTTCTCAAAAGCTAGTTGTTATCTTTAAAGCCTCTACATGCTTTCAAAGAAAAATTACACATTACTTGATTTGTGGCACAGTAGTCTCAATTCAGTTTCCTCATGAAGACGCGCACAGTGATGTCTTTTCTGTGTGCATCCCATTCATCATTTGAATTCTCAATCTTTTCACCATCTTCTCTTGTAAACCGCTGTTATCTCATGGCTCAGTAATGAAATTGATACTGGTGTCAGAGAAGCTGTGCTTAGTTTAAGATTTCTGTAACTGAAACAACAAAATGGTGTAATTTAACACTTTCTCTGAGTGATCTGGCCTAGGCACTCTCCTCTCTACCTATGCATGTACATGTAAGCATCCATACATAGAAGCGCACACACATATCTGCATTTATAGACCAGTGTGGAGAAAATGCTACAGACAGAACCATCGAAAACCAGACAGATGGGATTTTGAATAAAAGTGCAAATGCTGTAGTTTGGAAGACTGAGCCAACAGCCACAGGGAACTGTCTACCCATATACTCCTGGCCTGACATAAGGACAATTAACAGAAGAAGAAATGATAGTAATTTTCTCTGTTTACTCCCTACACTTAGAAAAAGAAAAATATTTAGTTGAGCCATTTCTGAGGACATCAGAAACAAAGGTTCCGGTAGGGCCCAATTCCCACCTGGGATGGCCAGTGAGTTTGATTTTACAACACTGTGCAACTGTGTATGGGGAAGATGGGGCTGGATGGGTCCTACATCCGTGCCTGGTGAGTAAGGACTGCAGAGTGGCAGCAGGTAAGAAACCTGTTTCCATCAGAGGGTACGGCCAGTGCCCACGGTGAGGGGTCACAGGAGCACTGGATGCTCTTCCCTCCTCAGGGAGCCGGACGAGGCTTGCAGCCGTCCTCTTCCAAGAAGACTCCGGGAACTGGCGAATTCATGAAGCTCCTGCAGTCTAGTCAGTCCAACCGGGAGGGATGGGGAGACTCAAAGACCAACACACTCACCCCTCTGACCACGCCTCAGGCCACTGAGGCCATTCTCGTGTTTCCCCAAGCCCAGAGTGCTTTCAGACACCACCACCACCAGCTCCTCTACTCTTTCCCCCAGAGTGTGTCACTCTGTCCCCTCTCTATGGAATGCAGAGCTAGTGTGACATTTCTCTTCCACTCGAATTTGTCAATGCTTCTGACTCTGGGTACCCTGAGAAGAGAGACTTTTTCATCTACCCCGTGCCTGCAAGCCCAGCATAGAGTTTGGTAGATACTTGTCATTCAGTATATCCAACAACATGCTTTTTGAAAGCCATTCAATCACAGGCATAGTGTTAGAGTGAGCTATTGAATGGGCGAATGGATACATACATGACCATCATCTTAGACCTCTTCTTGTAAATGACCTCATGTGACAGAGGACAAAAGCTATGACACTGCTTTTTTTGAAGCCCATGCCTCAAACATGCACCTGACCCCACCTTTGCCACTGCACAGTGACCTCTGGTCACTCTGTCTTGGCCACGTAAGACATTGACACACAGCTCAGAATGCACCGTCCACCTCTGCTCACACCTGCCCCCTGGGTGAGTTCAATGTCTACATGAGTGACATTGTGGCCACTCAGTCTCCTCCTCACCTTTCATGTCCCATTTATCTTGGGTGTTTAGATTTGGTATAAATAAGAACTCACTTTATCAAAGCAGCCTTACCAGTCTCCCAGTAAAAACATAAAAAGAAAAAAGAATGATTGTGCTGCTTATTTTAACAGAAGCAGAATGATGGCCTTCACAGCACAGCCTCACAGTGGTCATAATTATCCCAAAATACATTAACTTTTTCAAACCCTCCTGCATTCTATGGCTTCAACCTTATTTTTGTACCTTTTGGATTAGTAAAACATTTTCTTTGGCTCTTGGAAGAAGTCAACCTCTCAGGAAACAATTGAATTAAACTTCATGTTTGTTTAAAGAGTCCTTGAGTAGTACCCCACCTCTGTCTTTCCTCAAAATGTCTCCGATGAAAGAATAAACAGAGAATGTTCTGCATTGCGTAGTATCCAAATGAGCAGGAAAATGTTTATTTAGCAAGTTCCATATTCTGAAAATGTTACCGTCCCAATAACACCTTAAGACTCGTTGAGTATTTCAGACCATTTCGCAGCTTTACAGCATTCAGTACACTTCTGGCTTCATATTGCTAATTCTTATATAACAGTTATCGGGAGAGTCTCCAACTAACTACCTTCATTACCGAATTAGAAGGAAGGGTTTTTTGTTTTTTAATGTTTTTACTTTAGAAAATGTACTTGAACAGATGAAGTTCAATCAGCTAATAGCCACTATTTATTGAGCATCTGGTATGTGCCAGGCATTGTGCTAAATTTTTTTTTTTTTTTTTGAGCAACAAGGCTGTTTATTTCACCTGGGTGCAGGCGGGCCAAGTCCGAAAAGAGAGTCAGCAAAGGGTGATGGGATTATCATTAGTTCTTATAGGTTTTGGGATAGGCGGTGGAGTTAGGAGCAATGTTTTGCGGGCAGGAGGTGGATCTCACAAAGTACATTCTCAAGGGTGGGGAGAATTACAAATTACAAAGAACCTTCTCAAGGGTGAGGGAGATTACAAAGAACTTTCTTAAGGGTGGGTGAGATTACAAAGTACATCAGTTAGGGTGGGGCAGAAATAAATCACAATGGTGGAATGTCATCAGTTAAGGCTATTTTCACTTCTTTTGTGGATCTGGGATGTGAGGAGCGCCTCTGCCCGGCCGCCCCGTCTGGGAAGTGAGGAGCGCCTCTGCCCGGCTGCCCCGTCTGGGATGTGGGGAGCACCTCTGCCCGGCCACCCCGTCTGGGAGGTCTACCACGGGGGCCAGACGCAGTGTTGGGGCTGGACGTGGTGGCTCACGCCTGTAATCCCAGCACTCTCGGAGGCCGAGGCGGGTTGATCACTTGAGGCTAGGGGTTCAAGACCAGCCTGGCCAACATGGTGAAACATATGAAAAATACAACAAACCAACCAACCAACCCAGCAACAACAAAACAGGTCTACCCTGGAGTCATACTCTAATTTTTTCTGTTTTCCTCCCTTTCCCATCCTTTATCCCACTTTCTTTTTCTTCCTCTTCCTTCTCCTTCTTGTCAAAGACATAGAGGATTGAGTTATTATCATTGATCCATACAAAGTCCCTCTCTCATTTATTTTCTTTCATTCTCACCCCCCATTTCTATTCCCCGTCTTCCCATGTGCAATCTTCCTAATATGTTTGATATGCATCTTTTTGTTTGTATGTATTTTTAGAAAATGTTAAATACAAAAAAATTTTTAAAAAGCCCTGCAAAGGCAGGAAAGCTGAACTGGTTGCTGAGCCCCTTCTGGTTGGCCACGCAGTACCCATGCCTGTAGCCCCTGGACTCCTAGTGTGGGCTAAGGTGGAGTGGACCCTCTGGCTTGGTCACTGCGCAATGGGGCACCTGGAAACCATCCAAAAGAGAAGACCTACCAGCCCGTGCCCTAGGTGCAGCTGCCACCTGCACGTCAGGCACCAGCAGCAATGGCCAGACCATCCCTGATTCTCCATGCCCTCCCCATCCCCGCCCCAACAGCAAGGACTCCCTGACAGGACGCTGCGGTAGTGGCTGTCAGGAAGTCGGCTGGGCAGGTGCATAAGGATAAAGATAGACTCTCAGCCCCATCCCGATGGCCACAACGTGCTCATCCCCTGGCGGCTCCTCAGCCCTATCCTAGTGGCCACGGAGTGGCATGCAGGCAGCAGCCTTGGGAACCCCGATTGCCCCTCCTCACATGTGCCCATCACACGACTTGGGCGACGGGGAGGTGAAGTCAGGCTGTGGCCCCAGTGGCGCCACGAGGCCGATAACCGGCGCTCAGCCTCATCCCCGTGGCTGCACAGTGCCAAGCGCCAGGTCCTGCTCTCTGGGCGCGGGTCAGGAGCAGCTGGCAAGGGCAGCGCAGCCTGTGAGGCCCTTGGGCGTGGCCGGCCGCAGCTCCGGTAAGCCACATCAGCCCATGGGCGCTGCAGCTGCAGCCGC
The DNA here is from genome assembly GCF_000001405.40 of Homo sapiens. NCBI lineage: Eukaryota > Metazoa > Chordata > Mammalia > Primates > Hominidae > Homo > Homo sapiens. The sequence goes on along the minus strand of NC_000013.11, from coordinate 25,018,736 downwards.
CACCAGCACATGGAGCAGGGGTCGCCGAGGATTGGGAATCCCCGACCAGGCGGGCGCCTCCAGCCGCGCGGACCCCTGGGCCAGCCCGGCCGCGGCAAGTCAGGCAGTCTGCGGCAGGAGCGCCGGGCATGGGCTTCGGCCCAGGGTGTAGGAGGCGCGCACCCTCTGGCCGGATGGGCGGCGCACTCTGGGCCCAGGAGGCCATCCCAGGGGAGCCCCGCCAGCCCCCGCCGGAGCCCGAGCTGCAGCTGCCACCTGCAAGCGGTGGGCTGACTGCAGCGGTGGCAACCCCGGATCCCGTCCTTCCGCCTCGCGCCCATCAGCGCGGACCCCGGGGGCGACGCAGTGGCGAAGTCGGGCTGTGGGCCCAGCGGCGGCACCAGGTGGAGAAGCACCACTCAACCCCATCCCTGGGCTGCAGAGGGCCCAGCGCGGGGGTCTCTGAGCATCGGGAGCCGTTGGAAGAGGAGAAGAGGGCGCGGGCCACAGTCAAACAGGCCCTGGGGCAGGGCGCGCCTTGCGGCTCCAGGGAGCCCTGCCAGCCCGCGGCACCTGCGCAGCAACCGCCGCCTGTACTGGGCGCCGCGAGAGCTGCTAAGGCGGTTTCTCTGCCTCGGGCCTGTTGGGCGGGGCCGGCTAAGGTGCGCGTGCTCGCTGGTTCTAACGGTTCTGTTGGGCGTTTCTGCTGAGAGGCGGGAGGCGCTGAGAGTCTGTGCCAAGGTCCACGGACTGACTGAATTGCTTGTTGTTGCCCTTCGGAGGCGGCGATCCCCGAAGGCGAGCTGAAATACGGCTGGAGCGTTCCCAGGCTACAATTTGCAGCCGACGAGTGGTGGCCCACCCTCAGGGAGCACTTGTGATCGGATGGCTTCTCATTTCCCCAGTACCATATTAAATCATCTCATCTGAGGAGGATCCACAGAGCTGTCTTCTGTGGTAATCTGGAGAAACTGAACTACCTTTGTCTGAGTAGTTGTCGACCTTGTTTTCACATTAACTGGCTGTTTTGTTAATGTGGAATCAGAGTCATAGCTTGGAGGCTTCATATCTCCCTGATTCAATTCTCTCCCATATTTCAACTTGTGGTATTTGGCTCTTTTCTGTTTAAGAGCATACTCCAACATTTTGATCTTCCTCACAAGATCCTTCTTCAAATTTTCTTGGTCCTTCCTTTCTCCCTGTAGGAAGGCAATCTGGGCCTTGCAGGACGGAGTCTTGGTCGCAGACTGAGCCTGTACCTCACCCGTCTCCCACCGACTCTTGGTACTGGCCACGGCCATGCTGGGCAGCTCTATGGAGGCCTGGCGGGCTAGCTTGGGGGTCCGGCCAGCGGTCCTTTCACAGCTGGGGAGTGGAGCCTGGGCCTGAGGTCTCCTGTGCGCCTCTCCGCGCCTGCGCCCGCGCCGTGTGCTAAATTTTTTGACATCATTATAGTGTTTCTTCTAATAAGTACATTATTAAGTAAGCTTTAAAAAAAGGCTTCAATTCGTCCAATTTTCTAAAATTTCCTAAGTTAAAAGGAGATTTCCAGCCTATGCAGAATGTTATCCGAGTATTTTAACACAAAATCTTTTCCAGTTTTTATTTTCAATGAACTGTTTTCTAATGCTACATAAATAAGAAGAGACGTGTTATCAGAAAAAAAAGTCCACAAAGCACTGGCATTCTTTTTTTTTTTTTGAGACGCAGTTTCGCTCTTGTTGCCCAGGCTGGAGTGCAATGGCACAATCTCTGTTCACTGCAACCTCCACCTCTCGGGTTCAAGCAAGTCTCCTGCCTCAATCTCCCAAGTAGCTGGAATTATAGGCATGCACTACCATACCCAGCTAATTTTTTTTTTTTTTTGTATTTAGTAGAGACAGGGTTTCACCATGTTGGTCAGGCTGGTCTCGAACTCCTGACCTCAGGTGATCCACCTGTCTCGGCCTCCCAAAGTGCTGGGATTACAGATGTGAGCCACCGCGCCTGGCCGGCATTCTTAATTTCTTTTTCTTTTTTTTTTTTTTTTCTGAGACGGAGTCTCGCTGTCGCCCAGGTTGGAGTGCAGTGGCGGGATCTCGGCTCACTGCAGGCTCTGCCCCCCGGGGTTCCTGCCTCAGCCTCCCGAGTAGTAGCTGGGACTACAGGCACCCGCCACCTCGCCGGGCTAATTTTTTGTATTTTCAGTAGAGACGGGGTTTCACCATGTTAGCCAGCATGGTCTCGATCTCCTGACCTCGTGATCCGCCCGCCTCGGCCTCCCAAAGTGATGGGATTCCAGGCGTGAGCCACCACGCCCAGCCGGCATTCTTAATTTCTATTACTAATTTCCTTTTTGGTGCACAGCGGTTTGGTTTTATTAGGTATATGTATTTTTAGTTACTTTATTCCTTGGAGTGGAATGATTTATTTTGGAGACATGAGGCCCAGAAGAAAATATTAGAAAAATGGAAAGCAGAAAAATGTAGAAAAGTTTAGATTATTATTATTATGCACAAAGAAAGAAAAAGGGAGGTTGCTTTGAAACTATCTTTAACAATATGAAGGAAAATTTTAGGAGGTCCCTGAGTACAGAGAAGACAGACCAGAGGAAGTGGAGTTGACTTACAGAAAAGTAATTTCTTTGGTTTTTTTTTTTTTTTTGAGATGGAGTCTCACTCTGTCGCCCAGGCTGGAGTGCAGTGGCACGATCTTGGCTCACTGCAACCTCCACCTCTCAGGTTCAAGCAATTCTCCAGCCTTAGCATCCCGAGTAGCTGGGATTATAGGCACCTGCCACCACGCCTGGCTAATTTTTGTATTTTTAGTAGAGACAGGGTTTCACCATACTGGTCAGATACACTGGTAACCTATGCAAGTAGATGACCATTGATCTGATGCAAGTTCAGGGGTGTATCTAATCATTATAAGAACCAGTGTATCTAATCATTATAAGAACATCAGTGATACAAATGTGGTGTGATATTTTAATTTGTTGTTAATATTAAAATACAGTATTCACTTTTAAATATAGGTAAACATTCTACCTGAAACTTGAAGTGAAAAACCTCCTTTAAGTGTTTAGAGATTGGAATTCTATCAGTCAGTCAAAGTATGAATTCATACTTCTTATTGCAAGACTGTGGTGAGTACAGAAGTCATTAATCTTATGTAAAAGAAAGCATGTTTTAGGATACATAACCTTTTTTGAGTCCACAAATGTACATGGAAATTTAGATGATAATACATGGCAGAACAAAAAAGATTAGTAGGCCAGGCATGGTAGCTCATGCCTGTAATCCCAGGACTTTGGGAAGCTGAGGCAGGAGGATCGCTTGAGGCCAGGAGTTTGAGACCAGCCTTGGGAAACATAGTAAGACCCCTGTCTCTCCAAAAAAATATTTAATGTACCCAAGTGTGGTGATGTGAGCCTGTAGTCGCAGCTACTTGGAAGGCTGAAGCAGGAGGATCACTGGAGTCCGGGAGGTTGAGGCTACAGTGAGCTGTGATTGTGCCACTGCACTCCAGCCTGTGTGACAACGTGAGATTATGTCTCAAAAAAAAAAAAATTACAAGGAAGAAAAATTCCCAAATCATTCTACAACAAGGCATGTTATACGTCATCTTTGATTCAGATATAATAAAGACTAAAGGGAGACAAAAGGGAGAAACATAGGATATTTATATTAAAATGAGCTAGTCAAACACCTTGCTTCTCTAACAATCGCAGGTGAAAGTGGGCTCTATTTATTTATATGTAAGGTAGGCAGCTAACAGAGGAGAAATCTTACTGACAGTGGAGAAATTATTGTATCTTCCCCGTCATGTCAAACTTAGAACATTTAACTGAAACAACTTTAATGATAAAAACATGTTAATGTGGCAGGTTGAATGCAAGAATGGCTCGAATTCTCTACCCCTGCACATATTCAGGGCCCTTGCAATATGACTTTGGAGCCCCTCCCACCGAGAGGTGGAGTCTATTTCCTCACACTTAGAATCTGGGCAGCGTTGTGATTTACTTTACCTAACAGAATGCAGCAGAAGTGACCGTCCTGAACTCAGTTCTCAAGAGGCCTTGCAAGCTTCCATTCCCACCCTTAGAACCCTCTCATGCCATGACGGCAAGCTCAATTCTCTACTGGAAGTTGACAGACTGCATGAAGCAGAGACAGGTGGTCTAAGCTGATAACAGCCTGTACCAGGCAGCCCTCCACCCATCTGGCAAGTGGCTGCAGCCACAGGAGCTGAGTCAGCCCGGCTGAGACCCTACAGGTCTGGCCCAGGTCAGTAGCACCACCCAACTGACCTACAGAGTGGTGAAGAATAGATGTTTATTGTTAAATACAACTGAAGGTTTATAGTTACTGGTTCCATAGTGTTATTATGACAATAAATAACTGATACAGTTAATTATTACATTTTAATAACAATATCAGGTTTATTTTTTTATTCCAGAAATCCATGTTATGATGGTAATATTTGGCTTTGTCCTCAGTAACTTTTCCACTTTTAGCCATTTAGAATTCAGCCAAAGTATGGATTTGGTGCATCTCTATGAGGTAAGAATTGTTTCTTCTTGGCCGGGCGCGGTGGCTCAGGCCTGTAATCCCAGCACCTCGGGAGGCCGAGGTGGGCGGATCACGAGGTCAGGAGATGGAGACCATCCTGGCTAACACGGTGAAACCCTGTCTTTACTAAAAATACAAAAAATTAGCCGGGTGTGGTGGCGGGCGCCTGTAGTCCCAGCTACTCCGGAGGCTGAGACAGGAGAATGGCATGAACCCGGGAGGCGGAGCTTGCAGTGAGCCGAGATCGCGCCACTGCACTCCAGCCTAGGTGACAGAGCAAGACTCCGTCTCATAAAAGAAAAAAAAGAATTGTTTTTTTCCAACTTAAACATAATTTTTAAAAAGCACACCCAAGTTCTAGTCTATCTCACTCCAGAGCTGTGTTCTTAACCACTAAGCTCTGAGGCAACTCACACCTGTAATCCCAGCACTTTAAGAGACTGAGAAGGGAGGATCACTTGAACCCAGGAGTTCAAGACCAGCCTGAACAACATAGTGAAGCCTTGTCTCTACAAAAAAATTAAAAATTAGCCAGGCATAGTGTTGTATGCCTGTAGTCCCAACTACTCAGGAGGCTGAGGTGGGGCAATTGCTTGAGCCCAGGAGTTCGAGGTTGTAGTAAGCTATGATCACACCACTGCACTTCAGCCTGGGTGACAGAGCAAGATGCTATCTTTAAAAAACAAACAAACAAAACAACCCCAGCTACATCTGAAATGAGCTCCAGCGAGAATGGAGAAGTCACTCTATGGCATGATAGACAATTTATTTCTGAGTAGAAAATGAAGAAAGCTGCTTCCATTTGAAAACTGTTACCTGTGCATAATTTGGGCTGGGCATGGTGGCTTCATGCCTGTAATCCCAGCGCTTTGGGAGGCTGAGGCAGGAGGATCACTTGAGGTCAGAAGTTTGAGACAAGCATGGCCAACATGGTGAAACCCCTGAAAATACAAAAATCAGCTGGGTATGGTGGCTCGCATCTGTAATCTTAGCTACCCGGGAGTGATTCAGTAGAATCACTTGAACCTGGGAGGTGGAAGTTGCAGTGAGTCAGGATTGTGCCACTGCACTTGTGCCGGGGCGACAGAGCAAGACTCCATCTCAAAAAATAATAATTTGATGATTTTCTGGGAAAAGAGTCTGATAGCAGGAAGTATTATAATCCCATCACATACTGACACACAAATACTCAGTAAAAGCTTATTGAATTGAATTAATGAAACATGTATCAGTGAAATATATTTTGCAGCTTAAAGAAAAATCTCTTACTTTTTTATTTTATTTTATTTTTGAGATAGAGTCGCTCTGTCACCCTGAGCAGAGTGCAGTGGCACAATCATGGCTCACTGCAACCTTGAACTCCTAAATTCAAGTAATCTTCCCACCTCAGCCTCCCAAGTAGATGGGACTACAGGTGCAAGCCACCACACCCAGCTGATTTTTATTTTTTGTAGAGACAGAGTCTTGTTATGTTGCCCAGGCTGGTCTGGAACTCCTGGGCTCAAGCGATTCTCCTGCCTTGGCCTTCCAAAGTGCTGGGATTACAGGAGTGAGCCACAACACCCGGCTTCTTAAAATTATGATTTTACAATACGGTCCTTTCTGTTACTCTCCTGATGTAGTTACTCTAAAATTAGGCAAGAGCAATAATGTGACCACATGGGTCTTAGTGTACCATCCTCCTCAGATTCAACTAAACTGCCATTTGAGAAACTGTTAGGGAATGAAGCAGTGTGTGTGTGTGTGTGTGTGTGTGGTTTTTTGTTTGTTTGTTTGTTTGTTTTGTTTTGTTTTTGAGATGGAGTCTCGCTTTGCCGTACAGGTTGGAGTGCAATGGCATGATCTCGGCTCACTGCAAATTCCACCTCCCAGGTTGAAACAATTCTCCTGCCTCAGCCTCTTGAGTAGCTGGGATTACAGGCACACGCCACCACGCCTGGCTAATTTTTGTATTTTTAGTAGAGACGGGGTTTCACCATGTTGGCCAGTCTGGTCTCGAAGTCCTCACCTCGTGATCTGCCCACCTTGGCCTCCCAAAGCGCTGGGATTACAGGTGTAAGCCACCACGCCCGTCTGAAGCAGTGTGTTTGTAAGAAAGGCACAAAGGAAGCCAACTAGCCTGTAAGTAAAGATGCCAGTGATAGAAAGCAAATGGATGGGGTAGATAAGATCAGTGGTTCCCAAGGTCGTTTTAGGACCAGCAACATCAGCATCACCTGGGAACTTGTTAAAGGCAGATTCTCAGGCCTTGCCCTGGCCTGCAGAATCAGAACTTGAGTCAGGCTCAGCTATCTGGGCTCTAACACACAATCTTTTTTTTTTTTTTTTTGAGACATACTCCTGCTCTGTTGCCCAGGTTGGAGTGCAGTGATGTGATCTCAGCTCACTGTAGCCTCCACCTCCTGGGCTCAAGTGATCTTCCCGCCTCAGCCTCCCAAGTAGCTGGGACCTACAGGGGCATGCCTCCATGCCCAGCTAATTTTTGTATTTTTTGGAGAGATGAGGTATTGCCATATTGCCCAAGCTGGTCTTGAACCCCTGAGCTCAACTGATCTGCCCGCCTTTGCCTTTCAAAGTGCTGGGATTATAGGCATGAGCCGCCACGTCCAGCCTCTAACATACCCTCTCTGATACTGATCCTGCTGAAGCCTGAGCACCACCAGGCGAGAGAACAGTGTCATTCCAAAGGAGGGTTTCCTTCTTCCTACGCTTTAACTTTGGGTCTTACTCTCAGTCCAGAAAGGTGGAACCAGGTAGCTTTTACCTTCCTAGTTCTCTGCTCCCAGAGGTTCCTGCAGAAGTTGGAATTTCCTTGTTCTGTGGCTCAGTTTGTTAAAAATGAAAGTGTGTGGGAGAAAAAGGTTAGGAGAAGGTAGCTAGTGATTGCCCGTGGCCTGCCCGTGGCTGTGGCCTCCTGCCACCACCTCACTTTCCTCTGGTTTCCGGGGTGGGTCAGCAGCCTCCCCTCTCCTTCAGCGGAATCCTCTGGGCTGCTCTGAGGTCGAAGCACCTTGTATGTTATGTGAAAAATATTTCCAAGCAAAGTGCTTTGCCTCCAGCTGCGAAATTGATTAGTGGTTTAAAATCCCCAAACAGTGTCTACCATCAGCTGGAGTTGCTATTTTAAACCTGGACAAAAAAGAGTGTGTGAGAGGGGAAGGGATTGTGTATTATGTACAGGAAAAAAAAACAGTTTTAAAATATTCTTTTCCTCCGAATTGGGAAATGGCACACACAGGGGAAGAAATGTATGAGGAAATGCAATATTATTTTACTTCCTATATTAGAATTTTTTGTTCGAATAGCCTAAAATTTAAAATTTAGTTAATTGTAACAAAGCTCCTTCTGAAATTGGAATCAAGAAATTTAGCTTATGGGGATTTAAAGGACTGTGGAATTAGATGAAAAAGAAGATGAAATTCAGCGCCTGCAGACTCTGGGGAAGGTGTGTTCCTTGTTGACCGCTTGCCTGGGTGAACTGTCTGGTTACATTCAGGAACACTCTATGCAATACCACATGGAAATCAAAAGTGATTTTTACAATAGACCTGACAGATTCAAATTATTCCTCACATCTGGATTGTTTTCCCCTCCAAGTTCGTTGTTCTCCATAAAAATGAGTTTCAAACGTCCAGTTAAAACCTGCCAATCACAACCAGCTCCTGAATGACTGCTGGGTAAATAATGAAATGAAGGCAGAAATAAAGATGTTCTTCGAAACCAATGAGAACAAAGACGCAACATACCAGTATCTCTGGGACACATTCAAAGCAGGGTATAGAGGGAAATTTATAGTACTAAATGCACACAAGAGAAAGCAGGAAAGATCTAAAATTGACACCCTAACATCACAATTAATAGAACTAGAGAAGCAAGAGCAAACAAATTCAAAAGCTAGCAGAAGGCAAGAAATAACTAAGATCAGAGCAGAACGGAAAGAGATAGAGACACGAAAAACCCTTCAAAAAATCAATGAATCAAGGAGCTGGTTTTTTGAAAAGATCACAAAATAGACTGTTAGCAAGACAAATAGAGAAGACAAGAGAGAAGAATCAAATAGATACAATAAAAAATGATAAAGGGGATATCAGCACCGATCCCACAGAAATATAAACTACCATCAGAGAATACTATAAACACCTCTATGCAAATAAACTAGAAAATCTAGAAGAAATGGATAAATTCCCGGACACATACACCCTCCCAAGACTAAACCAGGAAGAAGTTGAATCTCTGAATAGACCAATAACAGGTTCTGAAATTGAGGCAATAATTAATGGCCTACCAACCAAAAAAAGTCCAGGACCAGAAGGATTCACAGCCGAATTCTACCAGAGGTACAAAGAGGAGCTGGTACCATTCCTTCTGAAACTATTCCAATCAACAGAAAAAGAGGGAATCCTCCCTAACTCATTTTATGAGGCCAGCATCATCCTGATACCAAAGCCTGGCAGAGACACAAGAAAAAGAGAGAATTTTAGACCAATATCCCTGATGAACATCCATGTGAAAATCCTCAATAAAATACTGGCAAACTGAATCCAGCAGCACATCAAAAAGCTTATAAACCATGATCAAGTTGGCTTCATCCCTAGGATGCAAGGCTGGTTCAACATATGCAAATCAATAAACGTAATCCATCACATAAACAGAACCAACAACAAAAACCACATGATTATCTCAATAGATGCAGAAAAGGCCTTCGACAAAATTCAACAGCCCTTCATGCTAAAAACTCTCAATAAACTAGATATTGATGAAACATATCTCAAAATAATAAGAGGTATTTATGACAAACCCACAGCCAACATCATACGGAATGGGCAAACCTGGAAGCTTTCCCTTTGAAAACCGGAACACGACAAGAATGCCCTCTCTCACCCCTCCTGTTCAACATAGTGTTGGAAGTTCTGGCCAGGGCAATCAGGCAAAAGAAAGAAATAAAGGGTATTCAATTAGGAAAAGAGGAAGTCAAATTGTCCCTGTTTGCAGATGACATGATTGTATATTTAGAAAACTCCATCGTCTCAGCCCGAAATCTCCTTAAGCTGATAAGCAACTTCAGCAAAGTCTCAGGATACAAAATCAATGTGCAAAAATCACAAGCATTCCTATACACCAATAACAGACAGAGAGCCAAATCATGAGTGAACTCCCATTCACAATTGCTACAAAGTGAATAAAATATCTAGGAATCCAGCTTACAAGTGATGTGAAGGACCTCTTCAAGGAGAACTACAAACCACTGCTCAACAAAATAAAAGAGGACACAAACAAATGGAAGAACATTCTATGCTCATGGGTAGGAAGAATCAATATTGTGAAAATGGCCATACTGCCCAAGGTAATTTATAGATTCAATGCCATCCTCATCAAGCTACCAGTGACTTTCTTCACAGAATTGGAAAAAACTACTCTAAAGTTCATATGGAACCAAAAAAGAGACCGCATAGCCAAGACAATCCTAAGCAAAAAGAACAAAGCTGGATGCATCATGCTACCTGACTTCAAACTACACTACAAGGCTACAGTAACTGAAACAGCATGGTACTGGTACCAAAACATATATATAGACCAATGGAACAGAACAGAGGCCTCAGAAATAACACCACACATCTACAGCCATCTGATCTTTGACAAACCTGACAAAAACAAGCAATGGGGAAAGGATTCCCTATTTAATAAATGGTGCTGGGAAAACTGGCTAGCCATATGAGGAAGCTGAAACTGGATCCCTTCCTTAAACCTTATACAAAAATTAACTCAAGATGGATTAAAGACTTAAATGTAAGACCTAAAACCATAAAAACCCTAGAAGAAAACCTAGGCAATGCGATTCAGGACACAGGCATGGGCAAAGACTTCATGACTAAAACACCAAAAGCAATGGCAAGAAAAGCTAAAATAGACAAATGGGATCTAATTAAACTAAAGAGCTTCTGCACAGCAAAAGAAACTATCATCAGAGTGAACAGGCAACCTACAGAATGGGAGAAAAGTTTTGCAATCTACCCATCTGACAAAGGGCTAATATCCAGAATCTACCAATAACTTAAACAAATTTACAAGAAAAAAATCAAATGACCCAATCAAAAAGTGGGCAAAGGATATGAACAGACACCTCTCAAAAGAAGATATTTATGCAGCCAACAGACACATGAAAAAATGCTCATCACTGAAAAAATGATGATGAAAAAATGCTCATCATCAGAGAAATGCAAATGAAAACCACAATGAGATACCATCTCACGCCAGTTAGAATGGTGATCATTAAAAAGTCAGGAAACAACAGATGCTGGAGAGGATGTGAAGAAAGAGGAATGCTTTTACACTGTTGGTGGGAGTGTAAATTAGTTCAACCATTTTGGAAGAAGTGTGGTGATTCCTCAAGGATCTAGAACTAGAAATACCATTTGACCCAGCCATCGCATTACTGGGTATATACTCAAAGGATTATAAATCATGATACTATAAAGACACATGCACATGTATGTTTATTGCGGCACTATTCACAATAGCAAATACTTGGAACCAACCTAAATGTCCATCAGTGATAGACTGGATTAAGAAAATGTGGCAGGTATACACCAAGGAATACTATGCAGCCATAAAAAAGGATGAGTTCATGTCTTTTGCAGGGACATGGATGAAGCTGGAAACCATCATTCTCAGTAAACTATCACAAGGACAGAAAACCAAACACTGTATGTTCTCATTCATAAGTGGGAATTGAACAATGAGAACACAAGGACACAGGGTGGGGAACATCACTCACTACGGCCTGTTGGGAGGTGGAGGGCAGGATAGCATTAGGAGGAATACCTAATGTAAATGATGAGTCGATGGGTGCAGTAAGCCAACATGGCACATGTATACCTGTGTAACAAACCTGCATGTTGTGCACATGTACCCTAGAACTTAAAGTATAATAGTAAAAAAAAAAAATCAGCTTAAGATGTTACAAAAAAAAAAACCTGCCAATCATTCATTGCCTGAGGACACTAAGCCTGCAGAAAAGTTTAGCCATGGATCATTCCATTAATGTTGCCATAAGTTGTATTTTTTATTGATACTTAATATACATATTTATGGGATACATGTGATGTTTTGATACATACATACAATGTGTAGAGCAAATCAGGGCAACTGGGGTATCCATCACCTCGAAACTTTATCATTTCTTTGTTTTTTTTTTCTGTTTTGTTTTTGTTTTTTTGAGACACAGTCTTGCTCTGTCACCCAGGCTGGAGTGCTGTGGTGCGATCTTGGCTCACTGCAACCTCTGCCTCCCGGGTTCAAGCAATTCTCCTGCTTCAGCCTCCTGAGTAGCTGGGACTACAAGTGCATGCCACCAGACCCAGCTCATTTTTGTATTTTTAGTAGAGACGGGGTTTCACTATGTTGGCCTGGCTGATCTCGAACTCCTGACCTCGTGATCTGCCCACCCCAGGCTCCCAAAGTGCTGGGATTACAGGCGTGAGCCACCGCGCCCGGCCTATTTGTCATTTCTTTGTGTTAAGAACATTCCAAATCTTCTCTTCTAGCTATCTTGAAATATGCAATATTGATAAGTACAATCATCCTACTGTACTGACAAACACTAGATCTTATTTCTTCTAACTGTATGTTTGAACCCATTAACCAACCTCGCTTTATCCCTCCTCTCCCCCTACCCTTCCCAGCCCCTGGTAACCATCACTCTAACCTCTTCTCTATGAGATCAACGTCTTTAGCTCCCAAATACAAGTGAGAACATGCAATGTTTGTGTGTGCCTGGTTTATTTCACTTCACACAATGATCTCCCGCTCCATGCATGCTGCTGAAAATCACATGATTTCATTCTTTTCATGGCTGACTAGTATTCCATTGTGAATATATATAACATTTTCTTTATCCATTCATTCATTGATGGATACTTACGTTGATTCCACATGTTGGCTATGGCAAATAGGGCTGTAATAAACATGGGAATGCATATATATCTTTGATATACTTACTAGCTTTTGGGGGGTATATATGCCTAGAAGTGGGATTGCTGGATCAAATTACCCATAACTTTATTTACCCTGCAAACATTTATTGAGCACTTACTTTGTGGTAGACTAACACAGAATATAAAAGTAAAAAGATACTTAGTCTATAGGATGGAGACAAATGTGATAAATGATTAATTAAATAAGATGTAGTGAGTGCTTTGGTGAATCTTGCTCAACCTGGGCATAGAGGAGGGGGCAGTGAAGAAACCCCCCTGAAGAGGAGACTCCCAAGCTAGGTGAAGAAGAGGGAGAGGGGGTTTAAAGCAGGAGGAGGGGACTCTGCAAAGACAGACCAGTCTGAAAACACGAAGGACTGAGAAGTCCTCCTGACTGGCAGGCCACACCTGGAGAGCGGCTGTGGAATGGAGCTGGGAAGAGCATTCAGCTGTTGCTAGCATCGTCTGCCAAGGTCAAACTCTAGAAGATAACTCCATTGGGAGTTTGCAGATGGCCTGGACATGTTGGATGGAGGGCAGACAGACCAGACAGAGAATACAGGAGAAGCAAACTGAATATTTTCATTTGTATCTCAATTAATTACATCATAAACTGTCATCCTCCCAAACCACATCTGACACTTCCCCAACCAAAATAGGCCAGAATTCCTGCAGGATAAAATTCACTGTTATAAGATCAGTGACTATTTGCAGAATGCAACAAACAAATCAACAAAAGACTTCTTTTGAAATTTCCAATATTATTAAAGAAAAAAACAGAAACAATGTTTTTAGTTGTGAGGTATATGTGTTTAAAAAATGTTTAATGCTACCCTAATATTCTGAAACAGAAGGATGCTGCCATCTGGTGCTCAGCCACTGTTTTGGGAGCAAGTTATGAGGAACAGAAAACTACTATTCTTTTGGCCCAGATGTTTTATTTTCAGCTAATGCATAAATTCTTACACAGTGCAGGGGGAAAAAATCAAAGTTCGTGATAGAAAAATACATAAAATTTGAAAAAACAAATACAGATATCATGGGTGGAAAAGCTGCAAGGATCGCATTGGAAGCAAGTGTGCGCTGCCTTCACAAGCTCGGGGACAGGACTGAGAACGGGAGAAATGTCTCTCATGCCCCCTGCTGTCTACTGGCCTGACCTGCAGCATCCAGAGATTTTTCAATCATTTTAGAGAAAATCCTGTCGATTTTTCCTTTAACCCAGAACAATTTACATCACAGTGAATTTTAATTCATCATCCTTATTTACGAAAGCTTCCTCCTCCTTTTTTATTATTATAACAATAAATATTTAAGCGCGGTAGGCAGAGGCCTGGTGCTTGCTGATGGCTGTGTGCATGGAATTCACTCTGGCTGCAATGTGGGGGCTAATTAAGGATGCCAAGAGGAGCTCGAGGACGTGATGAGGTGCCTGCTACCCGTGAATAAACGCGGGAGGTCTTCTGAAATAATTACTGAGAGGACAGGGACCAAGGCTGCGTGTGTATACACTGCAGTAGAGTGTGGGAAAGAGAAGACCAGTGCTGAGCAGAGACCATAGCCAAAGAGGAAAACCGTGAGGACAGGAGGAGAACCAGAGGTGGGCACTTGGCGGGAAGCCCTTGTGTACACTGGACCATGGGAGGAAGAAGAACCTGACTGGACCCGGAATTCAGTGTTGCTCCATCTAGTTTAGATGTAAGACACACAGTAGAGTAAGCATCTCTCAGTAAACAAACGAGAGGCCATTAAGAAAAGAAAAGAAATCCCATTTTAGAGAAGCAATCAAATAATGTGGTCAAACTAGTGAAGAAAATGGTTTACCTATATCTGCTCTTCCAGTTGTACTAGCAGCTTCTAAAATTTGATGTTCAAAATTCTTTTTTTTCTTTTTCTTTTTCTTTTTTTTTTGCGACGGAGTCTCGCTCTGTGGCCCAGGCTGGAGTGCAGTGGCGCGATCTCGGCTCACTGCAAGCTCCGCCTCCCGAGTTCACGCCATTCTCCTGCCTCAGCCTCCTGAGTAGCTGGGACTACAGGCGCCCATCACCACGCCCGGCTATTTTTGTTTTTGTTTTTGTTTTTGTTTTTTGTATTTTTAGTAGAGACGGGGTTTCACCGTGTTAGCAAGGATACTTTCGATCTCCTGACCTCGTGATCCGCCCGCCTCGGCCTCCCAAAGTGCTAGGATTACAGGCATGAGCCACTGTGCCCGGCCTAAGATTCTTTTAGATCTAAGAACACGAAAAAACTTAAAACCCACACCACAGACTTTGAGGAACTATGTTTCCCGCATGTGGTTTTGGTGGGAAGAGGAAATAGAACCACCACAACTCAATGAATCTATTTATTCACCTGTTCCTTGGAAGCCCAATCTCCTCCACCTCCTTAGCCTTGAGACCAAACCCCCAGCACCGTGCCCGCTGCACATGAGATCTCAGTAAATGTTTGTTTATAGGATTTGAAGTGACCAAGGTAAAATGACGCAAGGAGGTCTCACAGACCCAGAACAACGACCACTATTGTATCATGAAATACTCCACAACTCTTTTGTCAGTAGGTTGGATATTTTTGTGAAGCAACTCCTCATGTGCTGATATTTATCCACCCTTCTACCATATTTCCTCAAGAGTACCTTATTGTCAGTCTCCACCCACTCCCTCTTCCCCTCAATGAAAAAGTATTCCTGGGCCGGGCGCAGTGGCCCATGCCTGTAATTCTAGCCCTTTGGGAGGCCGAAGCAGGCAGATCACCTGAGGTCAGGAGTTCGAGAGTAGCCTGGCCAATATAGTAAAACTCCATCTCTACTAAAAATACAAAAATTAGCCAGGTGTGGTGGTGGGCACCTGTAGTCCCAGCTACTCAGGAGGCTGAGGCAGGAGAATTGCTTGAACCTGGGAGGTGGAGGCTGCAGTGAGCTGAGATCATGCCACTGCATTCCAGCTGGGCCACAGAGCAAGACTCCGCCTCAAACAAACAAACAAAAAAAGTATTTCCAGCAGAAAGCCACCTGTTCATTCTTTCCTACACTGAATTATTATAATCACAAAGGCAGTGCTTTTCAGAGCACAATTAGTGTGGCTGCTCAAAAACATCATAAGGCATAACAGCTAACAAAACTTATCTTACTAATAAAAATCACAAGATAATTCAATTGTATTCAAAGGAAGAAGAAACACTATTTTTTTTTTTTTAGGCAGAGTTTTGTTCTTGTTGCCCAGGCTGGAGTGCAATGGCACCATCTCAGCTCACCACAACCTCTGCCTCCCAGGTTCAAGCAATTCTCCTGCCTCAGCCTCCTGAGTAGCTGGGATTACAGGCATATGCCACCATGCTTAGCTAATTTTTTGTATTTTTAGTAGAGATGCATTTTGGTCAGGCTGGTCTCGAACTCCTGACCTCAGGTGATCCATCCACCTCGGCCTCCCAAAGTGCTGGAATTACAGGCTGGAGCCACCGTGCTTGGCCAGAAACACTTTTTATTGACTAACACCCCTGGTTTGACTTAAGTGAAGTGGGAAGAATGGAAGAAGTGGGAAGAATGGAAGCAGGTTTAAGTCCACAGCTTCCCGTGCTTCGTGCTTTCACGGTCCAGGGATAATATTTTCAAAACACAGCGTCTCTGCCCTTTTGAGATGCAGCAGACGAACACGACAGTCACGCCTTACTTTCTCCCAAGAATTAAAAGAATGTGAACTATGCCTGGTAAAACAATCTTCGGCTATACCCACTGAATGAACCCAGGAACACGGTGTGTCATCGGGAGAGGGCAGCACACTCCCCCTGGCTACGTCCAGAAGCTGGTTTTCCTTTGAGTCTGCTGAAGAGCTTCCCGAGGCCTCACTCCACCCTAAAAAGCCCAGAGTTACAAGTGTGGGTGGCCGTGAACTGTAACCGGGTGGCTCCCCAAAAATCAAGGCTGACTCCTCATGCAAATTTCAGGACCACCCTGGATATTAAAACAAACAAACAAACAAAAACCATATAGCGAGTTCTCTTTTCTGGGACCTGGAGTGGTCCTGGCTCCCACCCGCGTAGAAATGATTCCTCAATGTGAAAACTCCAAGAAGCCTTACGGGCAGGTGGCTTTCTTGGTTCTGCAGAAGTAAAATCCTTGAAGCGACTTATTCAGGGGTATCTAAATTTTTGTTTTTATTTTTCTAAGTATTAGATGTGGCTGGTATTTCTGGGCATAGTTCCATAAACGTCATCTTTAGGATAACTTGACAAATCCTGACCTGGCCAGATGCAGTGCACACACCTATAGTCCCGGCTACTCAGTTGGCAAGAGGCTGAGGCAGAATGTCTCTAAAGTCCAGGGTTCGAAACAGCCTGGGCAACATAGTGACGCCTCATCTGAAAAATAGTTCATGAAAAAAAATACTGACATGAGGGGTAAAAAACCACATTCAGGAAAAGCCTGATCTTGCAGTTGGTGTGTAATCGCATATTTCCCAGTGAAGATTGCATTTTATTTTGCCTAAGCTGGGGATCAGCAGTGGAGCATGTGCAGAAGTCAGCAGAGTGGAGGAAACACCCAAAGCCACATGCGGCCGGTGGCTGGCCTGTATTGAGAGGAAAATGACAGACCATGGGTTCCATCTAGTGTCCTATTTCTTGGGAAAACCAAACAAACAGCAAACAGAAAGCCTGAGCAAATAGCCTTGAGAACTGCAGGCTGGCAAGAGATTGCAGACATGTTACCTCCAGAAAGTTCTATCCCAAGAGGGAGCCTTAAAAAATAAAAGTCTTCCTAAGCAGAAAAGACACTTTGGCAGGGAGTTTTGGAGCAGGAAGTTTTCCCAAATGATTTACCTAGGGTGGTCCATAGTTGGGTTAGTTTTTGTGTTAGGAAATCTTTTCTCGAGCCTCCTGGCTGGGGACAGGGAATTTTTCTGGGAATTGACAAGACTCTGTAAAAACAAAGTATGTATCTATTCTCTGACCTGACCGTAAACTATATGAGCTCAGACAACAGACTTTTTTTTTTTTTTTTTTTTTTTGACGGAGTCTCGCTTTGTCACCCAGGCTGGAGTGCAGTGGCGCAATCTTGGCTCATTGCAAGCTCTGCCTCCGGGGTTCACGCCATTCTCCTGCCTCAGCCTCCCAAGTAGTTGGGACTACAGGCGCCCACCACCATGCCAGTTAATTTTTTGTATTTTTAGTGGAGATGGGGTTTCACCTTGTTAGCCAGGATGGTCTCGATCTCCTGACCTCGTGATCTGCCTGCCTCGGCTTCCCAAAGTGCTGGGATTACAGGTGTGAGCCACTACTCCCGGCCAACAGATTTTTGTTTCCTGCTGTCACCCCAGGGTCCAGCAAAATGTGTGGCAGAGTGTCTGCACAGGAAACATTTATTACAATACACATGCAGATTAAAGTATTGACGAATCATATCATACACCTGACAAGACTGAAAATTGCCCAAGTGAGCCACATGTCAGCTGAAGGCACTCTATGTGCTGACATTAAATTCACATTAACTGGCCAGGCACAGTGGCTCACCTCACACCTGTAATCCCAGCCCTTTGGAAAGTTGAGGTGAGTGGATTACTTAAGCTCAGGAGTTCAAGACCACCCTGGCCAACATGATGAAAACCCGTCTCTGCTAAAAGTACAAAAAAATTAGCTAGACATGGTGCGGACCTGTATTCCCAGGAAATCTGGAGGCTGAGGCAGGAAAATTGCTTGAACCCGGAGGTGGAGGTTGCAGTGAGCCGAGATCACATCACTGCACTCCAGCCTGGGCCACAGAGCAAAACTCTATCTAAAAAAAAAAAAAAAAAAATCACATTAACTTAACTCCCTCCCGTTCTCCCACTCCCCACACATCTTGCTGGGAGCTCAGCCCCTTTTAGAGATTTCAGTGAGTTGCTCTTGGTGACCCTGCAGACGTTCCCTTTTCACTCAGAGTCATTCTGTGTGTGCTGAACCCAGAATAGAACCCAGGCATTTTCCCCAGATTTCCCAAACACTATTAAGGTGGCAATGTGTTTTAGACATTAACTGAAGACTTGGGGGTTAATATTGGGGTTGTGTTATCATACAAATAGCAAGTATCCTAAGACCCCTGGAGATTCAGGCCTTGGTTTCCTTCTCTTCTTTCTCTCAACTCTCCTGAGCCAGCTCATGCAGCCTCCTGTAGACCAATGACTGAGAGCTCTGCCTGCAGTCCCTTCTCTGGCTCTCCATTTGTGCGCTCAGCTGCTCCCCTTACATCTCCATGTGGATGTTGCACAAGCTTCTCAGTCTTTCTTACTTGACAAAACCTGAAACAGTAGAAAGGAAGCTCCTGCTGCAACGTGCTCAGACCCCAGGAGGCTGCTGCACTGCATGTTGTTGCGATAAGACAAGGATTTTACTAAGCAGTGATGGGGGCGACTCTCTTTTCAACGTATTCTGTCATTTCTTGGCTTCTGCTTGGTTCACTTCATACACGTCGTTTCACAGCATTTCCCAAGCATATTTCTCTACTGCCAAGCTATTCTTCTCTGAACTTATAGAGGGGTGATAATGTTGGTTAGGTTTCTTGTTGTCTTTGTTAATACGAAAACACAACTCACATACTGGAGGAGTTGCCAATAATGATCATGGCCACCAGTGCATGGGACACCTTCTTAAGCTGCAGATAATTCTTGTGCTGGGTACACTAGCATGGTGGGCCCATGAGGGTTCTGTATTCTCTTCCAGGCTTTTCTTCTCTATTCTTGTCATGCAATTTTATGATGCTCCGGACACATTTCAAGTGCATCTTAGCCACCTTTTGAGAGTATTACCAGCTCCTGCCCCTTTGTCTAAGAGAGGAAACTACTTTGCCACTGACAGCCATTTATCACGTGATCTGGAGTTCTCCAGAAGTGTTTAAACATGTGATGTGAACTAGAGTAACTACGTATTATCCGGTTCATATTACCAATGGCTTATGTGTTCATGTTAGAATTAGGTCTTGGGTAAAAACTAGAAATAAATTGTAAAAACGCACTGATGTTTTTTATAGCGCCAGTGTAGATCAACCTGTGATCTTTCAAAATAAGAACTGACTTAAAGAACTGCCTAACATTGATGGTGAAATTACTTCTCCCTCAAAGTTTAGGTGGTTTTCTGTTTGTATGTTTGCTTTTTGCATGCTCTAATGTTTAAGGTTTATGAGGGCAAAAGTTTTAAAGGTTTGAAAATGATAAATGCCAGTATTTCAAATATGGTAATCTGGTACTATTTTTAAAGTAATTTATGTTAGGTAAATTGGGATGACTTCAGCTGCAATAAACAGAAGCCCCTGACTTAAGTGGCTTAAATAATAAGACAACTTATTATTAAGGGTGGCCCAACTGCTGATTGAGACAGCCGCTCAAAGGTTTCACTGCAGGGACCCAGCTTTTCCCATCGCTCTGTTTCACCGTCCTGAGCGTTGGCCTTGCCTCCACCCAGGCTGGCTCCTCTTGTGCTCACGTGTTGCTACAGCGGTTCCAGGTATCACATCCAGGTACAGAAACATCCAAAAGAAGGAGGCCACCGCTCCTGGTCTCCTTAATAGGAAATCAATCTCTTCTACAGGCTTTTCTGCAGAACTCCCCTCTAATCTCATTGGCCAGAAAGAAGTCACATGCCCACTTCTAAGCTAATCACAGATGCAGAAAGAGAACCGTCATAATTGGCTTAAACCAAAAAAAGGGACATAAAATGATATGGCTCCGATGATTAGAAGAACACCAGGGTCCTTGGTCTCACGCTGATTTAGAGAAAATGACACAGACACACGTGGAGTGGTTTTAAGGAGCAGAGAGCTGGTTAGGCAAGAAAGAAGGAAGGAAGAAGAGAACAGATCACCCATACAGAGACAGGGAGGGGGGAATTCAAACAAAGAGAAACCCCGTGTGCAGCGGAAAAGTGGTTGCTTATATTGGGATGTTGGAGGAGGCGGTGTCCGGTTTGCACAGGGCCCAGGGGATTGGTTTGACCAGGTGCGTCGTTTACGTAGCCCACAAAGAACCTGGCCCTCCCACCTTAGTCCTTTAATATGCAAATGTGGGTCGCCATGATGTTCTGAACACATGGTGTTATCTGGAGTTGGCCATGACACTTGGCACACATCGTGACAAGAGGAAAAAGGTGGGAATCGCCATATTAGGTGGACTGTTTCTAATGGCCTGCATTTGCATATCAAAGCTTGCCAGCTTGGCCCTTCAAGTCGTTTTTCTGTTAGAAAAGAAATGGTTTGGGGGTTGCTTTTATTAAAAGAAAAAGCCTTACCAAGAACTTCGTTTACCATCTCTATCTGCCTAAAAATTATTTCTTAATAACTCCTGTATTATTTCCCCCAAGATAAGCAAACCTAACTACTGTTAGGGGGTGTTGAACGATGATTCTTTTGGCTACTTCCCACTGAAAAGGGGCGTCATGTGGAGGAACAGCAGCTGGGCCTTCTCCTGAGGTTGATCTAATGGTTCTTGGAAGAACGGCGTGTCCATGTTTGGCTCTGCTCGCAGCACCATTTGGAGTTTGATTGCTTCTAGGCGAAAAGAGATACATTTTACAAGAAGATTTAAAATATAGGGTTAGAATATGAGCATTAAGATTACCACCGTTAGTGGGGGTCCTATAGACCTTAACTGACAATAGAGTTTGGTACCTGTTAGTTACACCAATGGATTGCAATACCGATTTGTCTGCACTAGATGTCGCTGTACATTACCAGAAACGTTAATATAAAAGTAACATTTTCCTTGAAAAATACATCCATTTCCCTCTTGACTTGCCATTAGAGAAGAACTTGCCTTAGGCCATTTTTATAACTTTCAATATGATTGGGAGAAATACATTGGGTGGCTAAAATAACTTTAGCATTAATCTTGACAATTCCTTTTCTTTATTAAATTTTTTCATGACTTTCACAGACCCTCTTACAACATACTTAAACTTTATGACTTGTCTTAAACATCCTTCATTTAAACAACCAGCCATTTCCTTCAAGGACAAGTATTTACAAAACAAAATCCTTTCTTATATAAAATTTCTTTCTTTATAACCTTTTTAAAATAACTTACAGTGCATTATATTACCAACCTTTAGTAAAAAGTCCTATTAAACTTAATGATAGCAAAACTTTTATGCTTACTTCTTATCTGTAACTATTACTCCTGCTGTAATCAAAACAACCTTGACTAAATTTCTCCTGCAATTATTAATCCTGTTATAAGGATGATAATCAGCCAAAATATTACAGCAATTAGAATTTTACAACCAGAATTCCACACTGTATAGTCCAATTGCAAATAGTGGCATGACTCTAACAATTTCCACAAGAGTGGGGTAGTAAATAATTTTCGTTTAAAACTTTACTTGCCAAGATATAACATTTCCCTTCGAGGATTTACAAGGTTACAAATGGAATCCCATGTATAATCAAAATTTCCCTGCAAATATGCATTAAAAAGAAGTTCTAATATTTGGGGGCAAATTTTGAGAGGAAAGGGCAGAAATGACAAAAAGCATCTGTTGATGTAAAGGTTGGGCTAAGATGAGGAGCCCTCACTCAGTTACTTACCTTTTATGATTTTTAGTGTAATATCTTCTATTTCTTCCTCTGGGCTGTCAGGGGTTGCTCCCTTGGCTCTTCAGGCTTTGGCTTGAGTGTGATGTATCCAGGAGTTGATTCTTGTAACTTTTACTGCCCAGAGGGTTGAAAGAAGAACAGTGTAGGGCCCTTCCCAGCTTGGCTTAGGGAAGGAAAGAGATGAGAGTTTTCACTAATGCCTAAATTCCTGGATTATATAAAGGTGGTTTTATTTCCTGGAGTTGGGCTTCTCCTAGCTGTGTTAATTCCTGTTGGAAATGAGCTAGAGAGGTTACATTCTTTTTTTTTTTTTTTTTTTTTTTTGAGATGGAGTCTTGCTCTGTCGCCCAGGCTGGAGTGCAGTGGCGCCATCTCGGCTCACTGCAAGCTCCGCCTCCCGGGTTCACGCCATTCTCCTGCCTCAGCCTCCTGAGTAGCTGGGACTGCAGGCGCCCGCCACCATGCCCGGCTAATTTTTTGTATTTTTTAGTAGAGACGGGGTTTCACCGTGTCAGCCAGGATGGTCTCGAGTTCCTGACCTCCTGATCCGCCCACCTCGGCCTCCCAAAGTGCTGGGATTACAGGCGTGAGCCACCGCGCCCGGCCGAGAGGTTACATTCTTAACCAATTTAGAGGTTCTCTGCCTGAAAACAATCTCTGAGCACATTGATAAGTTGTATCCTTTCCCAAGTGAAAAGCTTGGCGAAGGATTTTAAGGACTTTCATTGGCTGGAGGCTGGCAAATAGAGTTTGCCATCCTGACTGTAGGCATCTGAGGGCTGAAAAGTATGCGCTTGAGAAGTGCCCTATTCTATTTCTGCAGCAGAATACTGAGGTTTAATTTCTTTTATGGAGCCCTCCTAGACTAGAAAGGCTTGAAGTGTATTAGTGCCTTGAGGCTTCCTTGCCTTTGACTTAGCTGCCTGATCAGCTAATCTATTTCCTTCAGCTACCTCATCCGTTCCCTTTTGATGTTCCCTACAATACTTACCTGCTATCTCTCATGGTAGAAAAACTGAGGTTAATAATCTGCTAATTTCCTGGTGATATTTTATAAAAAACTCCATTAGTGGTAAGAAAATGCCTTTCCTTTTAAATGGCAGCATGAGCATGGAAAATCAGGAAAGCATACTTGGAGTCAGTATAGATGTTATCTACGTTTCCCTTGCTTAATTTAAGTGCTCTTGTAAGAGCTATTAGCTCAGCTAACTGAGCGCTCGTGTTTGGGGAGAGTGACTATGTACTTCTTTGCTTTACCGGCCGTTTGCTAGCTAAGAGCTCCCCCTAGAGGACAGTGATCTTGCCATATTATGTGGGATGTAAACAGTTATTTCCTAGGCTTAACTTGAAGGCTTTTCTGACTAGTAGAGCTATCATGATAATGGCTTGGAAGCATGTGTAAATAGGTCCTCCTAACTACAACTAAGGTTGAGAAAAATATTGGATTAGAGTTTTTCCTGAGATGCTACTTATGGTCATGCTATAGGAAGAGGGGAGGCCTAGATGAGAGAGGAGAAGAGAGAGAGAGACTGGCTCAAATGTTTAGAAGGAGGTCTACTTTAATTTTCTTCCTCCCTTCCTTTGTGCTGTTAACATATATTTTTACTTCCACATATTATAAACTTCACAAATTTTTGTTAGTTTTGCTTTAAATAGAAATAAGATATTTATTCAAATGAGAAAATAAAATGATTTTATATTTGTACCAGAATTACTATTTCTGGAGTTCTTTATTCCTTTGTGTAGGTCAGACTATCCATCTCTTATACTCCTTCTGCCTCAACAATTTCCTTTACTATTTCTTTTGGT
This sequence comes from Homo sapiens, assembly GCF_000001405.40. Lineage (NCBI taxonomy): Eukaryota > Metazoa > Chordata > Mammalia > Primates > Hominidae > Homo > Homo sapiens. The sequence goes on along the minus strand of NC_000013.11, from coordinate 24,994,875 downwards.
TCAAGTTTGTTAATGATAAAATCTCTATTTTCTCTGAAAATAACCTTCTCTTTCCCCTTCATTTTGGAGGACAGTTTTACTAGCTACAGAATTTAGAATTTCTTTCAGCAAATTGCCTTTGGCTTTTCTGAGAAGTCATGGTCATCCTCTATTTGGTTTCCCTTTGATAACTTTATAACATGTTTTTCACCTTTGGCTGATTTTAATTTTTTTTGTTTTATTCTTGAAATTCAGTAAATTGATTATGATGTATTTTGGGTGTGTGTGTGTTTAGCCTGCTTTGGGTTGGTTGTGCTTCTTGAATCTTGATGTTTGGAAAATGTTCTGCCTTTATTCAACCACTTTTTCTGTTCCTTTCTCTATTCGCAATTCCAAAGCAACTTATAATGCATGTAAGACTGCTTGATATTGCCTCATAGGTAACTGAGGCTCTCTTTATTTTTTTGTTCAGCCTTTTCTTTGTGCTTTAGTTTGGATAGTTTCCATTGCTATGTCTTCAAGTTTTTATTTTTTATTCTGCAGTGTGTAATCTACTGCTAAGCTTATTCAGTGAAGTTTTCATTTTATATATTGTATGATTCAGCTCTACAAGTTTTGTTTCTTTTATTATGGTTTCCATTTCTCTCCCTATCATATTATCTTTAATACCTTAAACATATTTACAATTGCTGTTTTAAAGTTCTTGCATGCTAATTCCATCAATCCCTGTCATTTCTGGGTCTGCTTCCACTGACTTACTTTTATCCTGATTATGGATCATAGTTTCCTGCTTTGAACAGCATTTTTGACTGGATGTTGGACATTGTGATTATTACATTCTTAAGTGTCTGGATTTTATTTTCTTCCATTAAATTTTTTGGTTTTTTTTGAAGGCAGTTAAATTAGTTATGGAGCCCTTTGATGCTTTAGAGGCTTGTTTTTTCTTTAACATTTAAGATAAACTTTGTTAAAATAATATTAAAAGTCTGGAATAGTTCTTGCTTTAGTGCTAGTTTTGTCCTGCTTTCAAGGTATGGCCCTTGCGGGGTCTCTGCGGAATATCTCAAGTATTCATCAAGGTCTTTCCACTCTGATTGGCTATGGATGGCACAGGCTTGGTGGAAGAGAAAACCTGGAGTTTGATTTTGGACATGTGAAGTCTAAAATATCTATTAGATAACAAAATGGGGTTACTGAATGGGTAGTTAGAAGTTTGAATTTGGGATTTGAGAAGGAAGTGTGGGTGGGCTGCACATATACATTTGGGGGTTATCAACATAGAGTTGATATTTAAAACCATGAGACTAGATGAGATTATCAGTGGAGTATAGACAGAGAAAAGAAAAAAAATTTGAACAGATCCGTGGGACATTCAAATATTAAGAGATTGGGGAGAAAAGGAGGAAGTCAGCCAAAATAAAAAAAGAGTGACCTATGAGGTAGCAGGAAACTCAGAGTGTGGTACCCTGGAAACCAGGTAAAGAAATGTCCCAAGGGGAGGAAGCCACCTACAATGCCACCTGCTGCTGGTAGATCAACTGGGATGAGGAACAAGAAGGGACCAGTAGATTTTAGCAACATGAAGGTCGTGGGTGACCAACGTCAATTGAATGGTGAGAGTGAAAGCCTGAATGTAGTGGATTTAAGAGAGGATGGGAGAAGAGGAACTGGAGGCAGTGGGCACAGATGCTTTTATCAAGAACTCCTACTGCAAGGGAATGTAATGACATTAAGTGAAATCTGTGGTCAAGGGAAAGTTCCGCTTTTTAGGACAGCCTGTTGTGTGTGCTGGTGTGAATGATCCTGCAGAGAGTGGAAAATGGATGATGTAGGGAATAGGAGAGAATTGCTGGAGTGGTGTTCTTGAGTAAGCAAGAGTGGGTGTATTCGATGGTGCAAATAAGATGGGCTTTAGACAGGTGTGAACAGTAAAGCTGTGGGAAGGCAGAGCGTGTGGGTGCGTATTGCTGGAAGGAGAGGTGTGGTGAGAGCACAGAAGAGGTCATTTCTTGTTCCAGTTTCTCAGGGAAGTAGAAATCAAGGTCACAGTTGGGAATGAGGATGGGAGAGATGTAACCTAAATCCCTAAGATTCATGCTCTGCCTGATGTGTTCTTGTCCTGGTTCATTTTTCACCTTCTGTTACCGTGCAGCTGTTTCTTCCTAAATGTCTCTAGGGATTTGGGAAAAGTGAAGTAGTGGGTGTAGGGCAGGCTGCAGGAGCAGTGTGCGTATGTGTTTGTGTTTGTGTGCAAGAGAGACATAGTGATCCATCCAAAGAGGCCTAAATCTCAGTAATACCAAAAAAACAACAATAAGATAACTTAGAATGTTAAAATTCTACAACTTTCAGTGAACACCTGTCACAAAAAAGAGCGGGAGCAAGGAAGTCTTATTTCCGACAAATACCAGGTGTTCTTTTATTGTTACTACCTTTTTGTTTGACTTTTCTCTTTCCCAGTACAGCATTCAGCATTCACATGGCCTAACTCAGCTCACATAGGGCTTCTGAGCCTTCTATTGAGGCACTTTTTAGATGTATTGCTTATTAAAGGAGGGGGAATAGGGAAAATGAAATAACCTTAAAGAGTTTTCATACCTAAATGGGTTATATTAACTCTATACCAAAAAAGTGTATGTAAATTTTCTTTTGGTAAAAATTATTTGGAGTCAAACACCACTTTTACCTTTAAAATGTTATATTGGGAATCTGCTAGAGGATGTTGAAACATCAGGATTTTACATTTAAGAATTTTATGATTTAGGAATGAGAGTTCAGGAATGACTTTCCAAATTGCACTTACTTTAGGCCAAGCACAGACATTTGTCAAATCTAATTGAGCTCTCCTTCTCTATGAGAACTACCTTACTTAAATAAAAAAGATAATAATTCAGGTAGTTTTCATTTTTTTATATTTGTGTAAGATATACATAACAACATTTCCCATCTTAACTATTTTTAAATGTACAGTTCAGTGGCATTAAGTACATTCACGTTGTGTGAAACTATCCCCAACATCCGTCTCTGGAGTGTTTTTCATCTTGCAAGACTGATACTTTGTACCCACTAAACACCAACTCTCCATTCCTCTCTCCTCCCAACCCCTGGCAACCACCTATCTACTTTCTGTCTCTGTGAATTTGACTACCATAGCTTTCTCCCATACATGGAATCATGCATATTTGTCCTTTTGTGTCTTGCTTATTTCACATAGTGTGATATCCTCCAGTAGAATGACCTTTTAATTACTGATTCTTCTCATGAGTAGATGGGGTTTCAATGGCATGGGCCACTTTACAGTGCATTACTTACGTGGGACATTTAGATCAAGAGAGCTGTTCATGAGGACATTGTTGGAGGGTGACTTAGGTGATTGGGGAGTTATTCTCTTCACCCTGGGAATAAATCAATCAGCCTGGCTTTAGTTCATTGGAATAGATCTCAGAGGAGTTTATTGGAAAAAATCAAGTTGCAAAGGGAAAGTAAAAAACTGTACTCACGTTTTGGAGACTGTTCATATATTTAAAATAAGATAGGCTGGGCGTGGTGGCTCATGCCTGTAATCCCAGCACTTTGGGAGGCTGAGGCAGGCGGATCACTTGAGGTCAGGAGTTTGAGACCAGCATGACCAACATGGTGAAACCCCGTCTCTACTAAAAATACAAAAATTAGCCGGGCCTGGTGGCACACGCCTGTAATCCCAGCTACTGCGGAGGCTGAGACATGAGAATCACTTGAATCCAGGAGGCGGAGGTTGTAGATTGCACCACTGCACTCCAGCCCAGGCAACAGAGTGAGACTCTATCTCAAAACAAAACAAAACAAAAGGAAATAGAAAATTAAAGCAACAATGAGATCCTATTATATATCTATTAAGATGGCTAAAATCCACTGTCTCCACTATGAACACCAACAGGAACAGCAACAGGAACTCTCATTTCTGGTGGGTATGCAATATGGAACAAGCACTTTCAAAGACAGTCTGGTGGCTTCTTATACAACTGAATATATTCATACCATACAATCCACCAATTATGGTACTTGGTATTTACCCAAAGAATTGGAAACTTATGTCCATACAAAAGTCCATCTGCACACAGATGTTTGGAGCAGCTTCATTCATAATTGCCAAAACTTGGAAGGTGAATAAACTGCGGTATATTCAGATGATGGAATATTAATCAGCACTAAAAGGAAATAAGCTATAATGCCATGAAAAGGAGGCATTGAATAACATTAAATATGTATTATTAAGGGAAAGAAATCAAGAACAAGATCATGTCCTTTGCAGGAACATGGATGGAGCTGGAGGCCATTATCCTAAGCTAACTAACACCGTAACAGAAAACCAGATACCAGATATTCTCACTTGTAAGTGGGAGCTAAATGATGAGAACACATGGATACATAGAGGGGAATAACGCACACTGGGGCCTATCAGAGAGTGGAGGGTAGGAGGAGGGAGAGGATCAGGAAAAATAATGAATGGGCACTAGGCTTAATATACCTGGATGATGAAATAATCTGTACAACAAACCCCCATGATACAAGTTTACCTATGTGACAAACCTGCATTTGTACCCAGGAACTTAAAATAAACATTAAAAAAAGAGGCAATTAGGATACAGACATGTAGAGAGGGAAGTCTGCAAGCCAAGGAGAGAGGCTGCAGGAGAATCCAAACCTGTCACTTTGATCCTGGACTTCCGGGCTCCAGGACTACGCAGCAATAACCTTCTGCTGTTTATGCCCTCAGTGTGTGTAACTTCCTTATAGTAACCCCAGCAAACGCATACATCATCCAGACTAGGTAGGCCATTTTTCTAAAATATTATTAAACTATGTCAAATATTTAAACACTGTTTTGTAAAATACAAGCTGAAGCGTTTGAACAACGTTTCCTCATTTGCACATTTATGCGCCAGTGAATTGCTGGTTGACATATTCACAGGTTTAAGCATATGGCATCTGGTTCATTTCATATATGGTTGGTTTCATCACACTGAATTCTGTTGTCACTTACATTAAGTCCCCAAAAGACCTTTTCATGAAATGTTAAGGAGAGATCATGAAATAATGAAATCAGATAAATAAACAATTGAATCTGGTGAATCCAACCAGAATTAAAAGTTGTCGTATTAGGGTCGAGTTGTACTATTTTGAGTGATAGTAACATATTATAGAATGAGACATAAACAAGATGCATTCCTAATTATATGTGTCTGTGCGCGTGTGTGTGTGTGTGTGTTGATGTACAAAATCTGGACAAAAAAAAAGTTTTCTTAAAGAACTATTTGAAGGCAAATAGTTCTTCAGTTAAATAGTTCTTCAAATAGTTAAGAAACTATTTAATAAATAGTTCTTCTTTAAATAGTTCTTCAAACAGTTAAGAAACTATTTTAAGTTTCTTAAAGAACTATCGGAAAGTGGATAAGAACAGGCAGAAACTGGAAGAGTGTCCATCTGTAAGGGATGAGCGTTTTCAGGTTTTCCGCTGCGGCTGATGTGGAAAGTAGTCTCTCTCACTGCCTTGAGGGCTCAGCGGATGGAGGCGGGATTCCTAAATGGCTGGAAAATGAGCGGGGGGAAAACGCCAGGTTGAAAGGAGCAAGGGTGGGGCGCGGTGGCTCACGCCTGTAATCCCAGCACTTTGCCAGGCCGAGGCCAGGGATCGTGAGGTCAGGAGATCGAGACCATCCTGGCTAACACGGCTAACACGGTGAAAACCCGTCTGTTCTAAAAATACAAAAATAAAATTAGCCGGGCGTGGTGGCCGGCGCCTGTAGTCCCAGCTACTCAGAAGCTGAGACGGGAGAATGGCGTGAACCCGGGAGGCGGAGGTTGCAGCGAGCCGAGACTGCGCCACTGCACTCCAGCCTGGGCGACAGAGAGAGACTCCATCCCCCGCCAAAAAAAAAAAAAAAAACGAGCAAGGGAGCGCTTCCGGGAACGTTGTCTGCAGGCACTCAGAATGGTCCAGCGTTTGACCTACTATCGTAGGCTTTCCTACAATACAGCCTCTAACAAAACTAGGCTGCTCCGAACCCCTGATAACGGAGTTGTGTACTTTTATACCAAGAAGGTTGGGAAAGCACCAAAATCTGCATGTAGCGTGTGCCCAGGCAGACTTTGAGGGGTTCGTGCTGTAAGACCTAAAGTTCTTAGGAGATTGTCCAAAACAAAGAAACATGTCCGCAGGGCCTGTAGTGGTTCCATGCGTACTAAATGTGTTCGTGACGGGATCAAGCGTGCTTTCCTTATCGAGGAGCAGAAAATCGTTGTGAAAGTGTTGAAGGCACAAGCACAGAGACAGAAAGCTAAATTAAAAAAACGAAACTTTTTTGAATGATAAAAATGAAAAGACTTAAAAAAAAAAAAAGAAAGGAGCAAGGGAGGGGAGCCCTAAAACCTGTGTATAAATTCCCCCAGGTCTTCAACTGACCTCTCAGCTGTGCCTGAGTGGGAGAGAGTCCAGGGAAACTTCCAGAAGGAGCCAGCTGGAGTGCTGAGGAGGACAAGGGGGGAACCAGAAAATAAGATGTAGTAAATCTCAAAAGGTTGACATTTCGGGGAGCACGTTTTCTGACCACAGTGAAATTAAACTAGAAATCGACATCTTGAAAATCTCCAAAAAGCTATAGTGGGCATTATTGGGCAATTGATGAGCTTTGATTATGGGCTGAGGATTAAGGTAATAATATTGTATCAGTGTTAAGTCTCCGGATTTTGATAATTACACTGTGGTCATGTACAAGATGGTCTTTGTTTTTGAGCATTCAGAGGTAAAATAGCACAGTCTGTAGGGGGAGGGACAGGGAGAGAGAAGGGAGGAGGAGGAAGAGAGAGGAGTGAAAAAGCAAATGGCATAAAATGTTAAACAATGGTTGAATCTGGATAAACAGTATATAGTACAATATAGGTACTGTATTTGCAACTTCTGTGAAATTTTAAAATTATATCAAAATCTACCCTTTAAAAAAAAAGAAAAAAAGAAAACCTAACTTGCATCCTATTTTGCTTCTATTTACTTCTGGAATTGTCGGTATAGGAGATAAGAGGCAAGACGTTCCATAGCGCCCCACCCTGACACCCAGCTGGGAGGGGCTGTGAATGGTACCGTGGGGATCATGGCCAAACAGCAGACAGGAGACAGGTGCTTTGTCACCTAGCGCAGAGGGCAGACCAGGTCCCCACAGCTCCAGCCCCCTCCTGAGCACCATCTCACCATTACTGGGTTATTAAGTGTACGGCAGCAAGGTCCTTGTGCTAAACTGCAAAGCACATCACAGAGCCCAGAGGCAAGGATTAGTGTCTGCTAGACAAATAACCAGCTGCGATTATCATCTTGTTCAAAGTTTAGAAACATCTAGATAGGAAAGGTGAGAGAGCAATTGTCTCTGAATAATGAGTTTTTGTATGGTGGCAGAAGTTGGGGGCGTTCAGAGGAGGTTGAAGAGGGGAGGGAAAGTTGCCACCCACGAAGAACCCTTTAGAGAGCAATATTGACTTCATGATCTGCCCCTGTCTTAGCATTTCCTGCACATCCCCCATGCACCACACTCCTCAGACAGGTTCTCTTCTGTCTTTGAAGCAGGCATTAACTCTGTGCACGCTGGTGGTCCTGAAGTGCCTCTCTGCCATCTTCCTGTGTTTGGGAGAATTCCCCCTCCTGTGTCTCAGTGGGAGGCAGGGACTGACTCCCACAGCAGAAGATAAAAATGCCAGGGACTTGCTTCCTTAGCCTTCCTTGCAGTGTAAGGTGGGATGTGAGGCAGCCAATCAGAGGCATTTGCCCAGAGTCCCAGGGACCCCCAAGGACCTCTCTCGGGCAGCTGGCACAGTGACAGGCCATGGAGACCCTGGGTCAGCCGTGCAGGTGTAGCGCCCAGCAACTAGGACCCTCAGCGACTGCAGCAGCAGCATCCCCGAGGACCGGTCACGGGCATGGTTCCCACACACCCAGCCACTCTGCGACTTGCCAGACATCACGTGTACAATCCAGTGGCATTAAATACTTTTCCAATGTTGTGCAGTCATCACCACTATCTAGTTCTAGAACTTCATCACCCAAATGGAAACCCCGTACCCAAGAAGCAGCCGCTTTCACTCCCCCCTTCCCCACACGGTCCCTTGCAACCACTAGTGCATTCTGTCTCCATGGATTTGCTTTTTCTGGATGTTTGATATGAATGGAATCATACATTATGTGGTCTGATTTTCTCTTTGAATGTTTTCAAGGCATGTTGTAGCGTGTATCAGAGCTTCAGTCCTTTCTACGGCCAAACAATATCCCATTGCTTGGATATATTATATTTTGTTTACCCATTCATTTGTTGACGGACAGTGGGTTGTGTCCAGGTTTTGGCGATTGTGAATAGAGCTGCTATGAATATTCATGTACTAGTTTTTGTTTGGAGATCTACTTTCCATTCTTTCAAGTATAGACCTAGGAATGGAATTGCTGGGTCATGTAGTGATTCTATGTTTAACTTGAGGAGGAGCTGCCAAGCTATTTTTCCCAGTATCCTTTTAATACATTATTTTCTCCTTCATATAAACAGAGTTTATTTCTGTTGTTTGCAACTAGGAACCCTGACTGATATCTTATTCTCACCTTACTGATGGGAAACCTGAGGCTCAGGATGACTGAGTGGTTTGTCCAAAGCTCCTGGCTGGATCCAGGCTACAAATCCCTTACCAGTTTGCTGCTGAGACTCTAGGACAGTGAGATTCCCTTTGCATCTTAACTCCTGCATAAATAATACGGTGTGGTGGTTCCCAACAGGGGTCCCTGGAGGCCAAGGGCGCCATGAATTATTAACCAGGGTCTGGGAGCTATTTTGAATATTTCACTAAGTGTAATGGAAAACCTCCACTTTCACACAATGAAGCTGTTCAGGCTATCTAAAATGCCAAGTTTCTTTGCTTTTGGCAGAAATTAAATCAACTCATGGTGATAATAAGGGTTATTGCCTGCTGATCAGAGACTCTGGCTGGCAGTTATGTATATCTTTGATTAATTTTAAAAACGGGAAAATGAATATGTTATTACTTGATAAATGCAGTGTTTGGTGAATGAAACTCTTCTTCTTTTTTTTTTTTTTTTTTTTTTTGAGATAGAGTCTCGCTCTGTCGCCCAGGCTGGAGTGCAGTGGCGCAATCTCGGCTCACTGCAAACTCCGCCTCCCAGGTTCACGCCATTCTCCTGCCTCAGCCTCCCGAGTAGCTGGGACTACAGGCGCCCACCACCACGCCTGGCTAATTTTTTTGTATTTTTAGTAGAGATGGGGTTTCACTGTTTAGCCAGGATGGTCTCGATCTCCTGACCTTGTGATCTGCCCGCCTCGGCCTCCCAAAGTGCTGGGATTACAAGTGTGAGCCACCGTGCCCGGCCATCTTTTAAAACATGGGGTCCACAGGGAGATAAATCAGACATGAGTATCTTGGTGATAAGAAAGTCATCAAAGCCTTGAGAACATGTCCTTGTCTGTCTCCTGGGGCTCTGGGTCTGAGAGTCTTGATTCTGCCGCTGACAGCTCAAATCTTGTGCAAGTGACCATGGGTGTCCCCTTCTCTGCCACAGAGGGGCAGACTTACCATTGCTAAGCTTCCTTGCGGCTGTGGTGTCTTGTAATTCTAACCCACCTATGAAGGGAGGCAGCGATGAAGAGGGGAGATAATTCATTTTTTCTAGATGGCTGTGGGGCGGTTTCCCAGGGAAGCCAGAAGCTGAGCTGCCCGCAGGACACAGCAGTGACCAGAGATGGGAGGTCCTGCACACACCCCAGACTCTCTCTCCAGATCCCTTCTCCTGCTGTATCTTCTGGCTTGCAGACGGCCACTTTCCTTCACCCCTGACCTCTGCCCTCACCCATGTCCCACCAGGCCATTGCCAGGCCCTTTCTGTCTCTGGAGTTCTGTCCTCTGGATCAACATCTCTCTGTCCCCAGGCTGTCTCCCACAAGGTCCCCAGCCGGCCTCTGAGCCTCAGGCTGGGCTCCTGAGCATTCACCATATGCTTCCCTGGCCGGCATCACAGAACCCCGATATCTTTGTTTTGTCTTTGCTAACAGTGGTGTGGTCACATCACACCTTACTTGGTGTAAGGTAAGCTAGTAAGGTAAGGTGTCATGAAGCAGCTGTGACACCTGCCCTCCCAGCACACCTCTCACCATCCTTCCTAAAGCCTGTACCAGCAGCAGGGAGCCACATACGGCCTCCCAGATGGCTAGGCTGTTCCCGACCTCCAAGCCTTTGGGTCATCCCTAATTGCTTTCTTGACATTTAGCTTGAAAGAGTGACAAAGTGACATTTTAACTCCTGGTGATACATATTGGTCCTGACGACAAATACAGTCAGCCCCAGTGGGCTTCTGTGTGATTTTGAACCCACCCCTCCACCTCTCTGGGTGCTGAATACGCTCATCACCTAAAAGAACATTTACCGTCTACCTAACCATGAGCTATGGACATAATTAACGTTTGTAAAGAGCCTAATAACGTTCAAAGGAATGGTGCCCAGCAGTGAGTAAACAGCTCCATGAAGTGCCAGCTCTGGAGGGCAGTCTTGCATGTCATGAATACCAATGTCTTTGACTGATGAACCCACAAACAGGCATTCATCAGTCAAAGACAATGGTCTGTGAACTCTTGCAGTTCATGCCTTGTGTGGGCATCAGACCTGAGATTTACTGTTTAATGGGTCTATTTAATATCTATCCAGAGATAGCGTCAGATCCCACAGGGGGAGGGCTCAGTCTCCAAGGGTGCCCCTCAGCCCTCAGACACCAGTCACAGGGCCAGGCCTCCAGAGCTTCTGACCCATTGGCTTCAAGTTGGGATTCCTACAACTCCCACTTTGTGTTTGATTAATTTGCTGGAGCGACTCACAGAACTCAGGGAAACATGTTTACCAGTTTATTTTAAAGAATGTCGCAAAGGATGCAGATAAAGAGATGCACAGGACGAGGTATGGGGGAAGGTGCCGGGAGCTTCAGTGCCCTCCCTGGGTGCGCCACCCTCCAGGAACCTCCATGGGTTCAGGTATCTGGAAGCTCTCAGAGCCTGTCCTCGTGGGTTTTTATGGAGGCTCCAATGCAAGGGCATGCTTGACAACCATGCGGAAATGTGACTGGACAGAAAGCGGATGACCTAAACCCAGCAAGGCCGGCCTGCTCAGACTTTTCTTGGCCTCTCTAAGCAGCATTCCTTCTCCTAGGGTATGGGGACCTTCTGTGGAATGAGGGTTTTTTGATCCACAAATAGATTAGCATCCCACTGTGGGCAGGTGAAAGAAAAACAGAAGTTCAGAGAGAGAGATTCTGTTTCCTGAGTCCTAAAGCACCCCAGCATTCTAACAAGCAATGTAGGCATTGGGAGCCAGGAGCCTGGACAAAATCCAATACGCATATCCTAACACCACAGGCCTTCTGCAATGCGACATTTTTCCAGACACTTCCCAGACCTCACAATCCCTTCCGTCTTCCTTTCATTGTTGACTTCTTGGGCCTGATGCTACCAGTTTTTGCACACACTGTGCCATTTAATTCTTACATCAGCCCAGTGTCCCAACCTGCAGGTGTGGCTCAGGGAGCTTAGCAGGTGCTCGGGACACTGTATTTGAACTTGAACTTCCCGACTCCAAAGTCCAAACTCTTCACTACTTTGCTAGTCTTCTTGTGTTCGTCTTGAAAATGTGCTCGAGGCAACCCTATTAAACAGCGTTTCTCAGGTCTGTTGCCCACACATGGCACAAACTGCCAGAGCTCACAGGCCCTCTCCTGGCCTGGAGTGAGTCCCCAGCAAACCCTAGATAGAGCCTGCTGGGGGTGCAGGCATGGAAAAGGCCAGGCAGCGGGGTGCTCTGTCCCAGGATGGAACAGCACAGCCGAACCACGTTAGAGCCAGTCAGCCCCAAGGCATGAGGCAGGGAGGCTGGGCTTGTTTAACTTTCTCTCTTCCAAGGTTCTGTGGTGCCTGTCTGTAGGGGACAGAGAAGCTCTGTGAGCTCATTGTCCGTGTCCTATTAAAAGATCCTGCAGACGGTGCTGCCTGGGCATGGGGGTGATTAAGGCACAGTGACAGCAGGTTGGCCTGCTGCCCTGGCCAGGGAGCGGTGCTTTGCCAGGCATTGTTTCCTTCATCAAACGGGGCGAACAGGTGGCTGGGCCCAAAGTGCTTCCCTCTGACAGGGGTGCGGCTTCACTCCCATCATCTAGGTCTGAATTAATCCCAGAGCAGCCTTCTCCAGGTGGGCTGGGCAGGAGACAGGTGCATGGGCGGAGGGAGCAGGGGAGGGAAGGAGTGAGAGGAAGGATAAGAGGAAGGAAGGGAAAGAGGCAAAGAGGAAGTGCCCTTGCACTGCCCAAGGCCAGTGCTTTGCAGGGTGGGGAAATGAGAGAGGAAGTCATTGAAGATGTTACTCTTATCCAGGCTTCCCTTGGGACCATCAGGATTTCCTTTGCCTGGGTCCCGATGACCTGTGACTGGCTAAGGGGGAACTGCGAAATCCCTCGCAGAACCACGTGCAGCTGCCTCATCAGAGCAGGGAATGTGGACCTGCTGGGCACAGGCAGCCAACGGTGGCCACTTCCTTGCTCCTCCTCCTCCCCACTGAGTAGCAAATTCTTGGGGAATCCAGAAGACATTTTTACCTGCGAGTGCCAAGTGCCTGGGAGCATTTGAGATCTGCTCTTCCTCTCGTCCCAGCTGTCACTGCCCTTCTGTCCTCCAGTGCCGAGGTCATGGGCTGGCAGAGCATGTGGTCTGGACCCTCTGCACATGGACAGGCCCTCCTCAGCTGACTTAGCCTGAATTGGGAGGCAGCAGGCTGGGACACCCCTCTGAGTCTCGGCCATGGATTATGGGACAGCTCACAGGCTCTCAGCTCAGCTGTCCGACAGTGTGCCTCTCCAGGGGTTGCCGAAACACTCGGGGGCATCCAGGTCACATGAAGGCTGAGCATCTCCTGGGGACACTAAACTTGAAGGCCCCCCCTCAGCCTAAACACACCGTGAGCCCCCAGTTTACTAGCTATGGTCACTGTCACAGGTAGGCACAGGGGGAGTCATCTGGGAGGGGGGCATGGTCCCTCTGTCTTGGGCACTGTATTAGATTCCTAGAGCTGAGCAACAAGAACAAAACTCAATCTAAAAAAATAAAAATAATAAAGTAAAAACCAACATCTCCACAGTCCCCCCAGTCCCCGGTAACCACCATTCTACTCTCTGCTTCTATGAATTTGACTTTTTTAGATTCCACAAATAAGTGAGTCATGCAGTATTTGTCTTTCTATGCCTGGCTTATTTCACTTAGCATAATGTTCTCCAGGTTCATCCATATTATCACGTGACAGGATATCCTCTAAGGCTGAATTGTATGCCTTTATTTATAGATAGCACATATTCTTTATCCATTCATCCACTGATGACATTTAGATTGACTCCATAGCTTGGGTATTATGAATAATGCTGCAGTGAACACGGGAGTGCAGTTTTCATTTCCTTTGGATATATACCCAGAAGTGGACTCTCCAAATCATATGATAGTTCTATTTTTGGTTTTTTGAGGAATCTCAGTGCTGTTTTCCACAATAACTACTAATTTACATTCACACCAACAGTGTACAAGGGGGATCCCTTTTCTCTTCATCCTCACCAACTCTTCTTTTGTCTTTTTGTTAATGACTATCCTAACAGGTGTGAGGATATCTCTTTGTGGTTTTTATTTGCTTTTCCCTGATGATTAATGATGTTTAGCATTTTCTCATATACTTCTTGGCCATTTGTGTGTCTTCCGTTGGGAAATATCTTTTCAGGTTCTTGGCCCATTTTCTAGAGAAGTAACTTGTTCTCTTGCTATTGTGTTGTCTGGGTTCCTTTTTTAAAAAAAAAACTGTTAGCCTATTATCGAATGTATGCTTCGTAGATATTTTCTCCCATTCTGTAGGTTGTCTCTTTACTCCATAAATGTTTCCTTTGCTGTGCAAAAGCATTTTAGTTTGATACAGTATCATTTGTCTACTTTTTCTTTTGTTGCCTATGCTTTTCAGTCATATCCAAAAATATCTTGGCCTAGACCAATGTCAAGAAGATTTTCACCTGTGTTTTCTTCTAGCAGTTTTCCAATTTCAGGTTTCACAGTTAAGCATTTACTTTGAGTTGATTTTTGTATATTGGGTGAGATAGGTTGCAATTTCATTCTTCTGAAAGTGGATATTCAGTTTCCCCAGTATCGTTTATTGAAGAGACTGTCCTTTCCCCATCTTGGATTCTTGGCACCTTTGTCGAACATCAGCTGACTATAAATGCATGGATTTTTTCAGGGCTTTCTATTCTGTTCCATTGGTCTATATGTCTGTTTTTGTTCCGGTAAAATTTAAGGTTGTTCTTAAACTTTGTGAGAACCTTTTAGAGTAAGGGAGCCAACAGAGATGCTATTTCAAAAATTATACTGGAATTTTTATAGTGTAATGATACGAAGAAGTTGACATTGGTGGGGTTAAAATGGGGAAAAAAAGTCATTTGTAAATCCACCCAATTTAAGTTCAATTAGGTTTTCTCTCATTCAGGTTTAGGCTTTAAATAATCATCTTAGCATATTTCACAAATTTTGACAAACATAAATAATTACATTTTTAGTGGGCTCTAAATCAATTTTTATATCAAATTCCAGGAAAACGTAACACTGTAAACTGACTTATATAATTCAGTAAAATCAAGTTTTAGTCTTATTGACTAGTTTCAAGCCCGTTAGTTAATATACAGGTTCTGTGTTTAGCTGTATATTAGTTAATATACAGGTTCTGTGTTTAGCTGTATATTAGTTAATATACAGGTTCTGTGTTTAGCTCTACAGGTTGGAATATTGTGTATAAACTGGCAATTTACAATACCATAGTTAAGAATATAGAGGTTGAATCATTTGAAATTGCCAGCTTTTAACCATCTTTTGCTTTAAAAACAGCCATTTCACATTGCCCAACCTAAAATGTTATTATTAAAGAGTTAGCATCAGTTTTCTATTAACTAAGGCTAATTCCTTGCTTGAAGGAAAACATTCATTTCAAATTTGACTTTTTTCTTTTTTGCTGAGAGGGGGTTTACATTATTCTGTGTTCACATAGTATTTTGTTGATTTTGTTAAAGGTTGTTTAGAGGGCCAATATTCAGCTGGTATGTACCAAAGCAGCCTTTTTTTTATGTGTTCATTCATATTAGTCTTGCTCTCTTCTGGTTGGTTGCTGCCTGCAGGTTACCAGTAGTATCATGATAGTAAAAATGTTTTATATTGATTTACAGGAGTTCTTTAAAGAATCTGAATGCCAATTTTTCTTAGTATTGCAATTATATTCTCCCCACATGTTGCCTTTTAAATTTGATTGTGATTTATTTTGTTATACAAAAGTTTGTAAATTTTTGTTTTGTTTTGAGACATGATCTCGCTCTGTCACTCAGGCTGGAGTGCAGTGCACGATCTGGGCTCATTGCAGCCTGAACCTCCCAGGGCTCAAGCGATCCTCCCATCTCAGCCCCTCTGAGTAAGTGGGACTACAGGTGAGCATCACCATGTCTGGCTAATTTTTGTATTTTTTATAGAGACAGGGTCTCACTGTGTTGCCCAGACTGGTCTCGAACTCCTGGACTCAAGTGATCCACCCACCTCAGCTTCCCAAAGTGCTGGGATTACAGGCATGAGCCATCATGCCCGGAGAGAAGTTTGTAATACTGAATATAGTAAAATTTGTTTATCTATGTGTGTGCATGTATTTCATGCTTTTCTGTCATGTTTATGAAATTCACCACTATACTGATGTAGTAAAGATATTCCACATTTCTTCAAAAATATTCAAGTTCCATTTTTAATATTTGGGTCTTTAATCTAGTTGGAAGTTTGGGGAAGTGTTTTTTTCATATAGATAGCCAATTGTCTTAACACCATCAAATGCATGCTATTTTGTTCTCCATTAATTTGTAATCCCTCTCAGTAATATACCAAGTTTCTATAAATATTCAAAACTGTTCCTAAGTTCTCTCTACCACACTTTTGTAATTATTGTAGCTTTATAATATGCTTTGATAAAGACAGAATTGTCTTGCTCTTCTTGGAACTTAATTATTACATTCAATTTTAAAATCATTTTGTGAAGTGCCATAATAAAACACTTTTAGGATTTTTATTGGAACTACATTGAATTTATAGATTAACTTGAGAGAACTGACAACTTTGCGATATTGAGTTGTACATGTGAATCATCTTGTTCATTCTTTAATAATATTTTACACTTTTTTTCATTATGTCTTTGCACATCTTTTCAAAAATTCATTCCTACACAAATTGTGACTGAAAATGGAATCTCTTTTTTTCTATTACATTTGGGTTGTTTCCAATTTTTATTGTGATAAATTATGTTTTTTGTTTTTTGTTTCGAGATAAGGTCTCACTCTGTCACCCAGGCTGGAGTGCAGTGGCATGATCTCAGTTCATTGCAACCTCCACTTCCTGGGTTCAAGCAATTCTCATGCCTGAGCCTCCAGAGTAGCTGGGATTACAGGCGTCCACCACCACACCCAGCTAATTTTGTATTTTTAATAGCGATGGGATTTTGCCATGATGTCCATGCTGGTCTCAAACTCCTGACCTCAAGTGATGTGCCTGCCTCTGCCTCCCAAAGTGCTGGGATTACAGTCATGAGCCACCGCACCTAGCCCAATAATACTGCTTTTAAAAATACACGTTTCTTGATGCATATATGGCCACATTTTTGTTGAGTTAATACCTCAGACTAAAATTGTTCTTAGGGTAATGAATCTTGAACTTTACTTGATAATGTCACCTGTTTTCTAAAACAGTTGTACCAATTTTTACTGCACTGGTATTGTACACTTCAAGCATTCCATATCTTCCCCAATACTTGCAATTCTGGGTATTTTTATTTTTAGCCTTTGGGTGTTTGTGTGATGGCATCTTATGGTGGTGATCATTTGCATTTCCATAATTACGAATAAGATTGAGGAAGTTTTCTTAAGATTATTAAGTATTTGGATATCCTTTTTTGTAAAGTAACTTTTTAATTTTCTTAACCATTTTTCTCCTGGATTATTCATCTTTTTTCTCCTGATTGTAGGAGTTCTTTATGTATTCTGATTTCAATTCTGTTATTGGTCATAAATGTATTCAAGAAAGCTTTTCTGCTCTGTGATTTGCCGTTTCTCTCTCTCAGGAGTATCTTTTGGTTAACAGAAGTTCTTAGTTGTCTTACCATCATAGGTATCATGCTTTCCCTTTATAAAGTTTGTGTTTTTGTGTCCCGATTAAGACAATTTTCCTTGAGTTTAAAGGACACTTTACTACTGTATTTTCTTCTAGAAGGTCCATTCCTTTTAAAATTGATTTATGTGTGTGGTGTAAGGAAGGCATCAGGTTTCATCTTTTTCCATGTATGGCTATCCAGTTATTCCAGCACACTGGTTCAGAAGATTTTCATTTCTTTACTACCCTGAAGAACATGAATCTGTTTCTGACCTTTCTATTCTGTTCATTGATTTTTCATCTGTGTGCCAATAGCACAACTATCTTACTATAGCTTTCTAATACGTCCTCATCATCTTTTTCTTTTTGTTCACAATTGTTTGGGTATTTTAGGTCATCTATATTTCCATATAAATTTGGGAATCAACTAGTCAAATTACACACACTGGATAGAAATTTGTTTGGAATTGCATTGAATTTATAGACTGGGGAGAATTGAATCTTTACAATATTGACTCATCCAACCCATGAAGAGAGGCATTCTCTCATTTAGTTAGGTCCTCTTCAATTTCTCTTTACAATGCTTTCTCATTTTCTGTATAGAAAGCTTGCATATTTTTGGTGAGATTCATTCTTAGATGTTTTTGTGGTTATTTAAATGATATCCCTTTAAAAATGTTTATTTTCTAAATGTTTTTTATTGTTTTAAATGCAGTTCATTTTATTCATTAATCTTGCAATTAGCAACTTTCATAAACTCACTTTTTTTTTTTTTTGAGGTAGGGTCTCATTCTGTCACCCAGGCTGGAGTGCAGTGGCATGATCACGGCTCAGTACAGCCTCAACCTCCCTGAGCTCAGGTGATCCACCTATATCAGCCTCTTGAGTAGCTAGCACTGCAGGCAGATGCCACCATGCCCAGCTAATTTTTTGATTTTTTTGTAGAGATGGGGTTTTGCTATGTTGCCCAGGTTGCTCTCAAACTCCTGCCTCAAGTGATCTGCCAGCCTCAGCCTCCGCCTCCCAAAGTGCTAGGACTGCAGGCCTGAGCCACCATGCCCAGCCTAAACTCACTTATTAGTTCTACTAATTTATCTATAGATTCTTTTGGATTTTATGGTACATGATTACATCATATGAAAATAATAAATTGTATTTTTTCCATTTCAGTCATTTCTCTCCCCTAGCACTGGCTAGAACCTTCAGTACAGTGTAGAATTAGAAATGGCAATAGCAGCCATCAACATACAGTTCCATTCTCAAAGGAAAAGCATTCAACATCTCTCCAATTGCTTTACGATTCTCTGTGTGTGTGTGTGTGTGTGTGTGTGTGTGTGTGTGTGTGTGTGTATTAGCTACCATTTATTGATTAAGAAATTCCTTGGCTGGGTGCCATGGCTTACACCTGTAATCCCAGCACTTTGGGAGGCCCAGTGGGGGCATATCACTTGAGGCCAGGAGTTTAAGACCAGCCTAGGCAACATAGTGAAACCCTGTCTCTACTAAAAAATACAAAAATTTGCCAGGTGTGGTGGCACATGCCTGTAATGCCAGCTACTCTGGCTGAGGCACGAGAATCACTTGAACCCAGGAGGCAGAGGTTGCAGTGAGCCAAGATCACACCACTGCTCTCCAGCCTGGATGACAGAGTGAGACTCTGTCTCAAAAAACAAAACAAAAAAAAAAAAAAAAAAAGAAAGAAAAAAGAAATTCTTTAGCTTGCTAAGAGTTTTTTTTTTAAAAAATCATGAATGGATGTTGAATTCTTAAAGATTTTTCTGAATTTTGAAATGATAATTTTTCTACTTTATCCTATACATAAATGTGGTTAATTACATTGAGTAAGTGGTAAACCAACATATTTCTGGAATAAACGTAATTTAGTTGTGCTGTATTATTTTGTTAAATACTTATTAAATTATTTTATTATTAAATTGCCAGATTCTGTTTGTTAATATTTTGTTTAGGATTTTCAAATTCATGTCATCTGGGCGATTGGTTATAATTTTCCTTTCTGATAGTTTTTTCAAATCTTGGCTTCGTAAAATGAGTTAGATTTCATTTTCTCTGTTTTTCTTCTCTGGGTAAATTTATGCATGCTGATTTTTTTCCTTCTTAAGTGTAAAGTGAAATTCACCAGTGAAGGCACATTGGCCTAGAGCTTTCTCTGGAGAGAAGTCTTTAAATTATGACTCAATTCTATATATAGAATGTTTTTATAATTTTATTTCTTTTGCCCATTTTGGTAGATTATAGTTTTCCCAGTATTTGTCCATTTAATCTGACTTTGCAAATGTCTTGACATCATATTGTTCACAATATCATTTTACCATTTTAATGTCTACAGAGGTGTTCCCTTTTTTATTCCTGACATTGCTTTCTTGGTGCCTTCTCCCCTTTTTTTCTTTTCATTAGTCTCACCAGGGATTTATCAGTTTTACTAGTCCTTTAAAAGTACCAAATTTTTGGCCTTATTGGTGGTCTCTATTTTTTATTTCATCAATTACTATGATATTTAGTATTTTCTTCTGTACTCCTTGGGTTAATTTGTTCTTTTCCTGACTTCTTGACATGGATAATTCTTAGAGTGTCGACCACTCTTTTCTATTTACCATTTAAGGCTACAAGTTTTCCTCTAAGAATTGCTTTAGCTTCATCCCATAAATTTTTATTTGTAGTGTTTTTATTTTACTTAGTTCAAACTATGTTCCAACTTTGTGCTTGTTTTTTTTTTGACCCATGAGTTATGTAGAGGTATACTTCCTTATTTCCAAACATATGAGAATTTTGTATTTATCTTTAAATTTTTTATTTCTGATTATATTGTGTTGTGGACACAGAACATACTATGTATTTTTTTCTTTTTTAGTTCTTTGAAATTTGTTTAGATTTGCTTTATGGCCCAGAATTTGGTCAATATTGTCAAATGTTTTGTGTACATTTGAAAAGAACATGTATTATGCATTGTTGAGAACAGCGTTCTATGTACATCTATTTTATTTAACTCTTCTATTTTCCTACTGACATTCTGTTTTCGTTCGATTGAATTTTAATAATATAATTCTTTCCTTCTCACCCTCTGTCATTACCTTGGAAGTCATATACTCCTTTTCTATGTTTTTATTAATTACTGTAAAGATTTCAACCTGCATCCTTGATTTAGCTATTAATTTTTGTTTATGTTGAGCCTGCATCTAGAAATCTTCCTAAACTCTCTCATTAGATTAAGGAGTTATTCTATAGATTTACTTACTACACTGACTTTCTACACTGGTTAGGCTCTGCAGTATAGTGTTAAATGGAAGCAGTGAAGAGAGGGCATTTTTGTTTAATGCCAGGCTTTAAAGAAAACGCTGTCAATATTATGTCATTAATATGATGTTCCTGGTAGGTATTTTGGTAGATTCTCTTTGTTGAGTTAAGGAAGTTTCCTAGTTGTTGTTAATTTTTAAAGTCACAGGTGCAGGCTGAATGTTAGTGAATGCTTTTTCCTACATTAATTGAGATAATTGTAAGGTATGTCTTCTTTAATCAATGAATATGATAAATTGCATTAACATAGATTTCTGATATAGGATGATTCTTGTATTTTCTATTATTTGTTTTTTAATGGGCAAAAGACTTTTTTCTTTTTGAGCTTAGATTTTTGGTATAATTTAACTTTTAGATTTGGAAGTACATATGCAGGTTTATTGGTAATATTGTGTGATGCTGAGGTTTGGGGTGTGAGTGATCGCATCACCCAGGTACTGAGCACAGGACCCAATAGTTAGTTTTTCATCCTGTGCCCTTTTCTGCTGTGCCCCCTCTAGAACTCCCCAGGGTCCATTATTGCCACCTTGATGTCCATGAGCACCCATTGTTTAGCTTTCACTTATGAGTGAGAACATATGGTATTTGGTTTTTTGTTCCTGCATTAATTTGCTCAGGATAATGACTTCCAGCTGCATCCATGATGCTGCAAAGGAAATGATTTCTTTTTTTTTTTTTTTTTTTGAGATGGAGTTTCACTCTTCTTGCCCAGGCTGGAGTCCAGTGGTGCAATCTTGGCTCACTGCAACCTCCACCTCCCAGGTTCAAGTGATTCTCCTGCCTCATCCTCCCAAGTAGCTGGGATTACAAGCGCCTGCCACAACGCCCAGCTAATTTTTGTATTTTTAGTAGAGATGGGGTTTCACCAAGTTGGCCAGGCTGCTCTCGAACTCCTGACCTCAGGTGATCTACCCACCTCAGCCTCCTAAAGTGCTGGGATTACAGGAATGAGCCACCGCGCCCAGCCTGTTTTTTTTGTTTGTTTGTTTGTTTGTTTTTTGAGATGGAGTCTTGCTCTGTCACCCACGCTGGAATGCAGTGGTGCAATCTCGGTCACTGCAACCTCCGCCTCCTGGGTTCAAGCAATTCTCCTGCCTCAGCCTTCTGAGTCACTGGGATTACAGGTATGTGCCGCCACGCCTGGCTAATTTTTGTATTTTTAGTAAAGACGGAGTTTCACTATGTTGGCCAGGCTGGTCTTGAACCCCTGACCTCAAGTGATCTGCCTGCCTTGGCCTCCCAAAGTGCTGGGATTACAGATGTGAGCCACTGCACCTGGCCCATGGCTCTATTTTGAAGTATGTTCCTTTGATTCCTCGTTTCTTGAGTGTTTTTTTTTTATCAAGAAAGATGTTGGATTTTATCAAAAGCTTTTTTTTCTGCATCTGTTGAGATGATCATGTGGTTTCTGTTTAATTCTGTTTGTGTGGTGAATCACATTTATTGGTTTGCATATGCTGAACCTTGTATCCTTGGAATGAAGCTTACTTGATCATGAACTTTTTGATGTGCTGTTGGATTTGGTTCGCCAGTATTTTGTTAAGGATTTTTGTGGCTGTCTTCATCATTGAGATTACCTTTTAGTTTTCTTTTTTTTATTGTGTCTTTGCCAGGTTTTGGTTTCAGGGTGATGCAGGATTCATGGAATGAATTAGGGAAGAGTCCCTCCTCAATTTTTTAGAATAGTTTCAGTAGAACTGGTACCAGTTCTTCTTTGTATAGTTGATAGAATTCAGCTGTGAATACATCTGATCTGGGCCTTCTTGGTTCGTAGGTGTTTTTTTTTTCGAGATTGAGTCTTACTCTGTTGTCCAGGCTGGAGTGCAGTGGCATGATCTCGGCTCATTGCAACCTCTGCCTCCTGGGTTCAAGCAATTCTTCTGCCTCAGCCTCCCGAGTAGCTAGGATTACAGGCACCTGCCACCACACCAGGCTAATTTTTGTATTTTTAGTAGCAATGGGTTTTCACCATATTGGCCAGGCTGGTCTCAAACTCCTGACCTCGTGATCCGCCCACCCACCTCAGCTTCCCAAAATGCTGGGAGTTCTTTAGGTTTCTATTAGGTCCAATTGATCAAGTGTTGAATTTAAGTCCAGAATTTCTTTGTTAGTTTTCCGTCTTTATGATCTGTGTAATGTTATCAGTGGGGTGTTGAAGTCCCCTGACTATTGTGTGGCTAAGTCTTTTCATAGGTCTAGAAGTATCTGTTTTATTAACCTGGGTGAGCCAATGTTGGGTGCATATATATTTAGGATAGTTAAGGCTTCTTGTTGAATTGAACTCCGTATCATTATGTAATGCTCTTCTTTGTCCTTTTTTACTATTGTTGGTTTAAAGCTTGTTTTATCTGTTTTAGGAATAGTGACCCCTGCTCTTTTTTGTGTTTTGTTTGTGTGACAGATCTTTCTTCAACCCTTTACTTTGAACCTATTGGTGTTGTTACATGTGAGATGGGTCTCTTGAAGACAGCAGACAGATGGGTTTTGTTTTTTTAATCCAACTTGCCACTCTGTGACTTTATTTATTTATTTATTTATTTATTTATTTATTTATTTCAGAATCTCACTCTGTCATCAGGCTAGAGTGCAGTGGCATGATATTGGCTCACTGCAACCTCTGACTCCCAGGTTCAAGTGATTCTCCTGCCTCAGCCTCCTGAGTAGCTGGGATTATAGGCATGTGCCATCACGCCTGGCTAATTTTTATATTTTTAGTAGAGACAGGGTTTCACCACATTGGCCAGGATGGTCTCGATCTCCTGACCTTGTGATCTGCCTGCTTTGGCCTCCCAAAGTGCTGGGATTACAGGAATAGCCACCGCACCCAGCCCACTCTGTGACTTTTAAGTGGTGTGTTTACATTCAAGGTTACTATTGACATGTGAGCTTTTCACCCTATCATGAAATTGTTAGCTGGTTTTTTTGTACTTTCTATTGTATGGTTGTTTTATAGGGTCTGTGAGCTGTGTACTTAAGTGTGTTTTTATGATAGCAGGTATCATTCTTTCATTTCCATGTTTAGAACTCCCTTAGGCATCTCTTGTAAGACTGGTCTAGTGGTAATGAACTCTCTTGGCATTTGCTTCTCTAGAAAAATGTTTTTATGCTCCCTCTCCCTCTCCCTCTCTTTCCACGGTCTCCCTCTCCCTCTCCCTCTCTTTCCACGGTCTCCCTCTCATGCCGAGCCGAAGCTGGACTGTGCTGCTGCCATCTCGGCTCACTGCAACCTCCCTGCCTGATTCTCCTGCCTCAGCCTGCCCAGTGCCTGCGATTGCAGGCGCGCGCCGCCACGCCTGACGGGTTTTCGTATTTTTTTGGTGGAGACGGGGTTTCGCTGTGTTGGCCGGGCTGGTCTCCAGCTCCTAACCGCGAGTGATCCGCCAGCCTCGGCCTCCCGAGGTGCTGGGATTGCAGATGGAGTCTCGTTAACTCAGTGCTCAATGGTGCCCAGGCTGGAGTGCAGTGGCGTGATCTCGGCTACAACCTCCACCTCCCAGCCGCCTGCCTTGGCCCCCCAAAGTGCCGAGATTGCAGCCTCTGCCCGGCCGCTACCCCGTCTGGGAAGTGAGGTGCGTCTCTGCCTGGCCACCCATTGTCTGGGATGTGAGGAGCCCCTCTGCCTGGCTGCCCAGTCTGGAAAGTGAGGAGCGTCTCTGCCCGGCCGCCATCCCATCTAGGAAGTGAGGAGCGCCTCTTCCCGGCCGCCATCCCATCTAGGAAGTGAGGAGCGTCTCTGCCCGGCCGCCCATCGTCTGAGATGTGGGGAGCGCCTCTGCCCCGCTGCCCCGTCTGAGAAGTGAGGAGACCCTCCGCCCGGCAGCCGCCCCATCTGAGAAGTGAGGAGCCCCTCCGCCCGGCTGCCACCCCGTCTGGGAAGTGAGGAGCGTCTCCGCCCGGCAGCCACCCCGTCCGGAAGGGAGGTGGGGGGGTCAGCCCCCCGCCAGGCGAGACGCCCCGTCCGGGAGGGAGGTGGGGGGGTCAGCCCCCCGCCCGGCCAGCCGCCCCGTCCGGGAGGGAGGTAGGGGGGGGTCAGCCCCCTGCCCGGCCAGCCGCCCCGTCCGGGAGGTGAGGGGCGCCTCTGCCCGGCCACCCCTACTGGAAAGTGAGGAGCCCCTCTGCCCGGCCACCACCCCGTCTGGGAGGTGTACCCAACAGCTCATTGAGAACGGGCCATGATGACAGTGGCGGTTTTGTGGAATAGAAAAGGGGGAAAGGTGGGGAAAAGATTGAGAAATCGGATGGTTGCTGTGTCTGTGTAGAAAGAAGTAGACATGGGAGACTTTTCATTTTGTTCTGTACTAAGAAAAATTCTTCTGCCTTTGGATCCTGTTGATCTGTGACCTTACCCCCAACCCTGTGCTCTCTGAAACATGTGCTGTGTCCACTCAGGGTTAAATGGATTAAGGGCGGTGCAAGATGTGCTTTGTTAAACAGATGCTTGAAGGCAGCATACTCGTTAAGAGTCATCACCATTCCCTAATCTCAAGTACCCAGGGACACACACACTCTGCCTAGGAAAACCAGAGACCTTTGTTCACTTGTTTATCTGCTGACCTTCCCTCCACTATTGTCCTATGACCCTGCCAAATCCCCCTCTGCGAGAAACACCCAAGAATGATCAATAAAAAAAAATAAATAAAAAATAAATTTAAAAAAAAAAAAAAGAAAAATGTTTTTATTTCTCCTTCACTCATGAAGCTTAGTTTGGCAGGATATGAATCTGTTGATTATAATTTATTTTCTTTAACAATTCTGAAAATAGATCCCTCAATCTCTCCTGGCTTCTAAGGTTTCTGCTGAGAAGTCTGCTGTTATCCTGATGGGGCTACCTTTGTATGTGATCTGGCCTTTTTCTCCAGTGCCTTTAGGGCTTTTTCTTTGACAGTGACCTTGGACAGTCTGGTGAGTATATGCCTTGGTAATGTTCATTTTTTATAGTATCTCACAGGTGCTGTCTGGCTTTATTGTACTTAGATGTCTATCTAGCAAGATTCAATAAATTTTCTTGAATTATTCCATCAAATATGTTTTCCAGGCTGTTTTCTTTTTCTGTTTCTCTCTAGGGCATGCCAGTAATTCGTAGGTTTGATCACTTTACATAATCTCATATTTCTGACTTTCTTCACTTTTAAAAAATCTTTTTTCTTTATCTTTGTCTGACTGGATTAGTTCAAAAGACCAGTCTTCAAGCTCTGAAATTATGTTTTCTACTTTGTCCAGTCTATTGATAAAGCTTTCAGTTGTATTTTGAAGTTCCTTAAGTGAGTTTTTTTAATTCTAGAAGTTCTGATTGATTTCTTATTAAGATGTTTATCTCTTCCTTCATTTCCTGGATTGATGTAGAAGTTTCTTTTTGTTGATTTCAACCTTGAATCTCATTGAGCTTCCTTGCAACCCAAGCTTTGAAATGTTTATTGTCATCTCTGAGTTTTCATTTTGGCACGAAGCATTGCCAGAGAGCTAGTGTGATCCTTTGGTAGTGTCACTACATTCAGATTTCTCATGGTGCCAGAATTCTTGCGTGGGTCCCTCTCATCTGGAGATGCTAGCACTTCTAATTTGTGTAATTATTTTTGTTTGGGTAGGATTTTTTCTTTTTCTTTCCTTTTCTATAATATTATTGTTATTTTTTTTCTTCTTTCCCTTTCCCTCCTCTCTAGGGGGTGTGGCTGTAGAGCATGCTGGGTAGGGTCTTTTGGCTTTGCTTCTGTAGCCCTATGCACTTCTGCCAGCAGGTTTTATATTGGGTGTGTGGTTTGACCTACAAGCCAGTAGATGGCGCCATGGGTAAGAGCTGGCTGTTGCCAGTGCTGCTGGCTGTGTACTTGATCCTTGTTTATTGGGAGGAGCTCTCTGCTGCCCCAGGAATGGGCTGATTTCCTGAGTACACATTAATCTGAGCTCCCTCAGCCCTAGGGGTAGGGGGATTGGGGGCACAAGATGGGTGGAGCCAGATAGGGAAGATTCCCCCAGTGTTGTCCTGCTCCCAGTCCAGGTTTGGGACAATGCCGGCAGCGTTTCCCTGTGTCTTTCCCCCACAAAGTCTCCAAGTCTTTCCTCAAATGATCGTCAAGGTTTGGGAGAAACAATCTCTTCCTCTGCCCGGGTTGCGTGGATCTCCAGTGGAAAGGTGAGACAGAGGGATGCTGTCTGCCTCTCTCACATACTGAGGCTTCACTCACTTTTATCAGTCAAATGCTGTCCTGAGGGCTGCTTGCCTGCAATGTCCTCCCCAGGATCTGGGATGTCCTTCATCATTCTGGGGAATTGCCATTTTCTTTCTTGAATTAAAGCTCACAGAGTTGGTCTTTATGTACTTGCTTGCTATTTCCAAATGACTGAGGCATGCTAAAAGCCTGTAATCTGCCATCTTGGAAAAAAATCCTTGCATCCTTAAGAGAAATGGCACTTGGTGTTGATACATGGTGTTTCTACGTTGCTGAATTCACTTTGAAAATATATGTATATTTTAAAATCTACATTTATATGTGAGACTGGTGTAAAAATATCCTACTGTATTTGTGCAATTTTGGAATCAGTTATATTAATGTACTCAATGAGTTGGGAATTTTTCTTTTTTACTATTATCCAAAAAAATTATAAAAGACATAATTGTTGCTTTCTTACAGATTTAGTAAAAACCTCATCGTGTCCTTTTATGGAGAGATGGTGAGAGATATTTTTACTGTAAATGTAATTTGCGTATTTTTCACCTGTGAGGCAGAGGTTGCAATGAGCCAAGATTGTGCCACTGCACTCCAGCCTGCGTGACACAAGACCCTGTCTCAAAAAAAAGAAAAATCAACTTAAAATGCACTCCTTGAATATTTCTGAGTGTATTTTTATACCACGTATGTTCCTTGAAATACTTTTCTTTTCTAGGAAGAACCGGAACTATGGTTTGTGCCTGCCTTATTGCCTCCAAAATATTTTTAACTGCAGAGGTATGAAAGATGTTCTACAAAATTTGTCTTATGATGATTGAGTTTGCTAGTTCTGAAACATCGCTGGTAGGACGTTAAGATGATTATTTGATTCATGGTGCTTAGTAAAACTGTAATTAGAGAAGCAGTTTTTAGAAAGTCTGTTTTTGATACTTTCTTGTTTAATGTGCACTAGTTAGTAGCTGACTGCAGAATCTCTTTGGGCCAGGACTAGAGTGAGGTCAATGAGGTGCAACATTTAAGGGAATGCTAAAAATTGTAATAATTAAAATAAATAATTTTAACGCAATATTTTAATAAAAATTAATGCAAAATATCTATGCTGTATACAATATCAACATTTTAAATAAAGACAAGACCTGATGGGGCAGGATTAAGGTGAGGGGAGTAAAGCCATGTTACACAGAAAAAAAATTCAGTAATCAAGATACTTCCCTCACTTCACCTGGCTCTGCTCTTACTCCTGCCAGTACCATGACTTCTTCCTTCCTCGTGAGAATAGTATCAAGCTTAATTAGATAAATTCTCCAAAGAGCCTTGCCCATCCTCACAACTCTTAGGTAGATAAAAAGCAACATTTCACAACTCAAAACAAAGCCTCTCCTGAATGTAAATATCTTTGCTTAGTCAATACATGTGGAGTCTGTGACCTCTAGAAATTTCTGATAAGACAAGGTGGGCTGTTTCCACTTAAAGCAGAGTTCTCAATCATTTTTCTTTCTGCCATTTTCTTGCTGAGATGCTACCATTTCCAGCAGCTCTGCTCGAGTTGTTTGGCCTGCAGTCTAGGGAAGAGGTGGTGGTTGTGCACAATGCCCAGCACTCCCATTCCACCACCTTTGCTTTCTCTAATTTGAGATACAAAGATTTTGAAAATGGGTGTTCTAGGATGGTGTTTTTCAAGCTATGGATCATGATTTATCAGTGAGTTGTAAAATAAAGTTACTGGGTTGTAACTGACATCTTTTAAAAATAAAATGGAATAGAGCAGAATAGAAAATATCAAAAGGTTTAAATATTGGGGGGTGTGTGTGTGTGTGTGTGTGTGTGTGTGTGTGTGTGTGTGTGTGTGTCTCCTAGGTTTATTAATGTGGATTGCAGCTTAAAAAACAAAAGGTTTGAAAGTCATTGACAGCCATTGATCCGGAGCCCTAGACTGAGATCCAGGGACCTGTATTCCAGACCTGTGCTGCTTCTAACTGGCTGCAGCATCTCCTTGGCAGGTTGCTTGGTTTTCTTTTGGTTTCAGTGTTGTCATTTGTAATATGGAAAGAAGGGTTGGACCAGATGCTTTCTAAGGTCTTTCCAGCTCTAAAATTTTATGAATGTATGAATCCTTGAATGAGAGAAGTCCTAATTTTGTTATTTTCGGTAGCTTCTGCCCAAAGATCACTCGGCCGGGCACGGGTGGCTCACGCCTGTAATCCCAGCACTTTGGGAGGCTGAGGCAGGTGGATCTCTTGACGTCAGGAGTTTGAGAGCAGCCTGGCCAACATGGTGAAACCCCTATCTCTACTAAAAATACAAAAAATTAGCTGGGCATGGTGGTACACACCTGTAGTCTCAGCTACTCAGAAGGCTGAGGCAGTAGAATCACTTGAACCCAGGAGGCAGAGGTTGCAGTGAGCTTAGATCCTGCCACTGTACTCCAGTCTGGGTTACAGAGCAAGACTCTACCAAAAAACAAACAAACAAACAAACAAAATCACTGACTTTAGGAAAGAAGGTAGGCGTAGAAACCCTAAGGGTACCTAATATAGGAAAGGAAAGAGTGCAGATGAACCATGGTTGGATTGTACCCTTTTTTGCAGGAAAGCCTGTATTATTTTGGAGAAAGGCAAACAGATAAAACCCACAGCAGTAAATTTCAGGGACTAGAAACTCCTTCTCAGGTAAGTTTTCTTTTTAAAAATGGGAGTTTTTTTTTTAGGGGAGTGGGTTAAGATTGCCACCTGTTATTTGGTTTCACTTTAGACTCTTCTCCTTTGGTGATCAGGCAGCAGCAGTTGGGTGCCCTGCAACAGGCCTTGGTCCCTCCCTGAGTCTGAGGGTCACGCTTTAGGTGCTGCCCACATGCTGGGGACTCTGGCTTCTCCTCAGAGAATCCTGCTTTCTATTCTATACTGGTTATTGTTTATGGAGCTCAGGAGTTGATTATTTTCCCAAAGTAGGAAGGTCCAGTACCCAAGGCTCCAGGACCCTGAAGTGTATCTAAAATCACCAGCCTTTGATTTCAATGTAAAAAAGATCCAAGTCTTTCACAAACCCTTACTAGGGCAATTCAACCCTTGCAGAACATTACAAAGACTGTTTTTGGATGACTCCTGGTGTGTGTGTGTGTGTGTGTGTGTGTGTGTGTGTGTGTGTCTTTTCTGTGTGTTGTGGGGGAGGTGTATTTTAAAAGAGAAAATAAAAGGAGAAATAAACTTTTCAAAACCCCTTCTGTATCCCAGACAGTATTGCACTTTTACATATATCATTTAATACCCATAACACCTATATGAAATATACACTGTTACTCTGTTTTTTCTTTTAGAAACATTTTGTTATAGAGAATTTTAATCATATACAAAAGTCCAGAGAATCATACAATATATCCACATATAGTCGTCACATTGCTGCAACAGTCATTTCAGCCGGCAGCCAGCCACATTTCATCCGTTCTTTCCCACTCCACTCACACCCCTCAACCCCACTCTCCACTCTTGCTTTCCCTAAATCTGAGTTATTTTAAAGGAAATTTCAGTCATCAGATCATTTTATCCCACAGCATTTTATGACATTTAAGTACTCTTAAAACAACAACAAAAAACCTTAACACTTTTTATCATATCTAAAAATATTATACCTTAAAAATCCTTCATATCAAATTTGTACTCCATGTTTGTTTCCAAAATTGTCTTAAAATCTTTGAAAATTTAGTTTGTTTAATCAGAATTCAAACAAAGTCCACACATTTCATTTGGTTGCTGTGTCTCCTAAGTCTCTTTTAAGAATCTGAGTTTATAGATTTCTCACCATTTTTTATTACTTGTAATTTGTTTATTGCAGAAACCAGGATGTTTATCCTATAGCATTTACAACATTCTAGACTTTGCTGAACTATTCTAAGAGTTCTATATTCACTATCTCATTTAATATTCTCAGTAACTCTATGAGTAGGCACTACTATGATTCTCATCTTATAAATTAGAAAATTGAGGTTCATAGAAAGTAACTTTTGAACCAAGGACTGAAATCTAGATGTCAGTCTCTGAAGCCCTTTTTGTGCACAGCTTCTCATTTATATTGCCTTTTCTATATTGCCCCTGAAACTGAAGTGAGAGTGGGTTGGGAATTCCGAAATGGATTTGGATGTGGCTGTAAATGAGTTTTTCTTTAAGTGGTGGGAGCTGAGTAAGTACTCTTGGCCCCGTTAGAAGAACACTCTAACTACTGGCCCTAAACCTTTAGTTTGGGCCAGAAGAACTCAGCCTTATCCACTGATACTTTTCTCCCACACCCAAGCCCAAAACAAAACAAAACAAAACAAAGATATTCATAGACCCTAAGCTAAAAGTGATAAGTGAATTTACTGAAGTGCAGCCCTAATCATGCCATTTCCATGCTCAAAATCCATACTATGTCCCCACTGCCAATGGCAATAAACTAAACGTTTCAACCTGGCACTCAAGAGCCACAGTTTGACTTTTCCAACCTTCTCTTCCACTATGTGCATGCACACATCCCATACTCCAACACATTTAGACTGTGTGCTCTTTCCCAGCCTATGGACACTTGATACCCTCATGCCGTTGCTCATGCCCCTTTTCCTAGAGTCCCTTTCCCTTCTCAGCCTGAAGTAGTCTCTTGCTTTTTCAATTCTTAGAGCCCTTTGTGTTTCTTTTAGGGACTATGTCACTTTGCATCATTCTCTAGTTATTTGAAGTGGTGACTTCTGTATCCCCTTTAAAGGCAAAGCCCATGGCTTACCCATCTTTCCACCCTTTTCTCATAATATCTTGTTGTTTGTAGTGAGTGCCTCCTATGTGTTGGTTGTATTAATTTCTACTACAAGTCCATGTTGTTTTAAGTTGTAGGAGAAGGAAGCGTGGGAGCACAAGCAGCTTGAGGGCCCTGGTGGTTTACAGCCCTTAGGGAAAGGTGGAGAATCTAGTGGCAGAAGCTAAGGGGATGCTAGGTGGAGCTCCTTCAACAACTCTCCCCCACACATCTCCTCATCCCCATTTCTTCTGCAGTCGTGCATAGTTTCCCTAACTTTAGTCCAGAACTAGCACACCAAAGCTGCAACTGAATCTCTTCTGATTCACTAAAAAAGCAACAAAGGGATTCAGCTGCACGTTTGAGAGCTGTGTTGGCAAGACCTCAGGACAGAGTGCCCTCTGTGTCTGGTGGTGATTCTCAGACACCATCACATTCTGATCCTGCATTGTGGGCCATTCTACTGACTACATCTACTCCTAAGTGGAGGACTTTCATGAGCCTATCTCATGACTGGCCCTTTCTAAAGGGAAGTATGGCAGTTAGTTACTTTAATGAGCATTTCCCAATGGGTAAGGAACAGTCTGTGAACCTATGAGTTTTGTTTTGTTTTGTTTTGTTTTGTTTTTAATTTTTGAGACAGAGTCTCGCTCTGTCGCCCAGACTAGAATGCAGTGGTGCAATCTCAGCTCACTGCAACCTCGACCTCTTGGGTTCAAGTGATTCTCCTGCCTCAGCCTCCCAAGTGGCTGGGATTATAGGTGCCCATCACCACGCATGGCCTATTTTTGTACTTTTAGTAGAGACAAGGTTTCACCCTGTTGGCAAGGCTGGTCTCAAACTCCTGACGCCAGGTGATCTGCCCACCTCGGCCTCCCGAAGTGCTGGGATTACAGGCGGGAGCCACCATGATGGCCAACTTTTGAATTCTGAACCAGTTGATTGAGTACCAGAGCTCTTCAATACCTTGAAGAAAGATTCAGGGGAGAACCGTTGTGAACAGCTTGCCCCAGGGAAAGGACAAGGCTGAGAGAATTCCAGGGCTTCCTTGAGAAAACAGAATTGAGGAAATGCAAAGTGAAGAATTCTAGCATCAGGAACAAGAGAAGAATGATGGGAAACCTGCTACTGAGGTATGGAGGTATTCCTCTGGAGTTTTCACTTATACCATTCTCTCATGCCCAGGAAGCTGCTCTTCACCAAACCACAAGCCTTCCTCTAACTCAGTCACAACTAAGCTTCTATCCGGACACTGATGATGCTGTAACTGTTTTGTTGTGCTTCTGATTAGTTGCCCTCTCAACCATAAGCAGCCTATAAACAGGGCCTGGCTCCATCCTTGTTACTTCCCCATTGCACTGAATTCAGTATTTTTCCCTCAAGGTAGATAGTTGTGGGGCAGCATCCCTAAAAATGTCCAGTTATATAATGGCATCCAGTAAATGTTTTCTTAATTACTTACCTCCATTAACAAGCTTTATGCAAAAAAAAAAAAAAAAGGAATGCTGACTTTAGACTTCATCTCCACTTAAAGGAAGATTTCTGTTGCTTTTCACAATAGATATGTTGGATATTTTGCACAAGTGAAACATCTGTACAACTGGAATCTCCCTCCAAGACGGATACTCTTTATAAAAAGATTCATTATTTATTCAATTCGTGGTTAAGTGCTTTATGTGTAATTGAAGAATTGGGCAGGAGGGCCAATGTCCCCACTCTGGGAGAGTTTTGCTCATAGTTATATATACAGATGAGCCTAACTCATACCTGTCTTTTTACATATTGTCACACAGGAACTCCTCCTTATTTATGCCGCTCCTCCTGCAATTGCCCATTGATTGCCAGCCCTTAGATGTTCTTCACTTTTTCTTTTCCATCACCAACTTGGGGGACTTCATCCCCTTCCCATCTCTCCTGTTCTCATTGCTCCTCCGGTCTCAACCCAGGTGGACTTTTCCGGGCAGAGGGAGCCTCTGATGAGGGAGGAGGAGGACCCATGTGCCCTCAAGCCTGCTTATTTCTCAGAACCACCTCTAGTTCAGAGTTTGCCTTGGTGGAGGTGTCTCCGTATCGTATCATTTTCTCACCTTCTTTTAGAGGCATATTTTTTTCTCATCACCCTGGGCTCTCCCTTTCCCCTCTCTCCTCCATCTGTAACCCTCTCACTCCCAGCTTACACTCAGGGGAGGCGGGAAAGCAGGATGTGTCTGTGTGGAAGGAATGGGGCCTCACCACTCCCACTGCCAGAGAGGTAGCAGGGAGGTGATGCTTCGGAACCCCTAAAGCAAACCTCTTCTAGCAGCCAGCTTGTGGACCTGAGATGGTGCCAGTGCTGGGTGCTATAGGTGCCATGGGGCCAGGATGCTGGTGTCCACACAGACAGCCTAGTATTTTTAGCCTTCTGAGTTTAGTTCTACATTTCACTGATTTCTGGTAGACATCAATAGAAAGAAGTTCTGCACCTGGAATGGGAAAGAGGGAACTGAGGCAAGAAACTGTGATTTCTAATGACAAATGAATATCATGGTGTTAGTGAAAACAAAACTAAATGAAAAGAAAACAAACAGCATATGAGATGAGCAATCAAAGATAATTAATACACTAGTTTATTAAAATATTTGTTTTAATTTTCTACCTTTAGCTTTGTACATATTTGAATTAAAATTAATGTAGAGTTGAGAGGAAAGCAATAAAACAATTAATTGGCTGAGAAACCAAGTCTTTGAGGAAATGCTGAGGGAAGTGGGTCATTTGAATTGAAAAAAAGGAACAAAAGAGCCTTTGTCTATAAATATATACTGAACACCACGGGAATTTTTGGATAAAACTATCCTATATTTTTATAGAGATTGCATCAGGAACTGGCCTTAAAGTAGGGCCAAAGTAGTTAAACTCCAGTATTTATTATTAAGAATCATTATGATTAGAAGTCTGAAGAAAGCAACATATTAGCAAGAAAGGTTGCAAGTCACCTTCCCAGAATTGTCTTTTTCTTTCTTTTTTTTTTTTTTTTTTTTTGGAGACAGAGTCTTGTTCTGTCACCCAGGCTGGAGTGCAGTAGTGTGATCTCGGCTCACTGCAACTTCCACCTCCCGGGTTCAAGCAATTCTCCTGTCTCAGCCTCCTGAGTAGCTAGGATTACAAGCATGTGCCACCACGTCTGGCTGATTTTTGTATTTTTAGTAGAGATGTGGTTTCACCATCTTGGCCAGGCTGGTTTAGGATTCCTGACCTCAAGTAATCCTCCACCCACCTCAGCCTCCCAAAGTGCTAGGCGTGAGCCACCATGCCCGGCCTACCTTCCCTAAATATTTTTTCTGGAAAGATAAAGTGATGGGATTCTAAGTCTTTGAAGCCGAACTATATATATATATTTTTTCTCTTCTCTAGTCTTATAAAATCTGCTTTAAGAGACAGAACTAGGCTTGAAGCCTTGTCTTTCAAAGACAAAATCCATGCAAGACCAAATAAGTAACTATTGATACATTGTTAGCTTGGATAATTTTTTCTCTTTTTAATCCATGATGTTAATTGGTGAGACATATTGATGTTCACGCTAACCAACCTAACTTTTTAATTTCATTTAGGTGTTGGAACAGGCGATGTATGTGATCTAAAATTCCAAATAGTAATGGAGAAAAAGGTTGTCTTTTCCAGTACTTCATTAGGAAATTGTTCAGTAAGAGAAAACATGTGAACTGAAAAACTCTGATGTTCTTTTTAAGGTTGAATGTCAAACCAGCAATGTTCACCTCCCTAAACTATCACTCACCTAAAGAGATTCCATAACGCTTTCTGGTTACCATCCAACTTGGTGTCACTGGGTTTGGATGCAAACCAGAGATAAATTAACCTGTTTGTTCAAAACAGTTTCTTCAGGGTGCTTTCCAGAATTTATTTCTGGTCAGTGTTGCTTTGCCTTTCACACTTCCACAAACACTGAGCATGTTCCCAGGAATGTATTAAGGATTTTAATTTACATATCTGGTCATTTTTAAACATATTCTCTTCTTCTCAGTCATTTGATCTTTTATTATATAACACTGATTCTAAAAGTTTAGTGTGCATGAAAACCACTGAGGAGCTTGTAAAGATTTACATTCCTAGGTTGTACCCCCAAAGTATGATTCGGGAAATCTGGATTGGGGCCCAGGAATCTATAGACTTAGCAATGTCCCAAGTGATTCTAAGTCAGACGTTCTGTGGGATGACCCTGTGAGAAACAATGCAAGGGTGAATGAACTGGGGAGGAACCTCTTTATCCAAAGCAAAAGGGACCTGGTAGTCAATGTTTTGCTACAATGAAGAAATGCCTAAAACTATATACCTTTTCTGAAACAGTAAGAAAGCATCCTTCATGGTCTAATAACCATAAACTTTTAGAATTCCTACCCAGGCCTTTGTCTCAAATTCTCCTATTACTAACCCTATTCCCTGCCACCCCCTCCCCACTCTGCCCCCGGCTTTTTTGGCCTCTCCCAACTGAGGACATTCACCCAGGCCTGACCCTTGGCTTTCTGTTCTTAGCAAATGCTTTATTCTTAAAGGATGACCCATTCCCCTTACTTCAACCATTATTTGTTCATTTACTGAACAGCTATTTATGAGCACCCACTGAGTTTTAGATGCAGGAGCTACAACATGAACAGTTTCCACTCCAACTCAAATGCATTCGCCAGTCTGAATTATCAAGGAGCTTTCTCTCTGCTTCTGCAAATGGCACCAGCATTCTTCCACTCACGCCTTGGGCTCTGATTCTCTTTGCCTCGGCCCCCTAAATCCAGTTAGTCATCCATCTCTGTTGATTATGCCTTTGACAGTTTTCTACGTTCTCCTTCCTTTCTGTTCTCACTGCCACTAATTGTCCAGAATCTCCTTTGCTCAGCGTAGATTTCTGCAGTGGTCTCCTTACCCTTTCTTTCTCCTTCTATAATGCAATGTATAGAATCCTGAAATATGCATCCTGAAATATTCCTCTCATTGTGAAAAATTGTAGCTAGAGCAGAAGACACACTGTGTGCCCGTGGTCAGAGCCAGTTAACACCTTTGGCTCAACATCTTTATCTGTAAAATAAATATCACATCCAAGTGTAATGGGAATTCAATTAGATAATATATATAAAGTTTCTTTGTGAACTATAAATCACTAAATAAGTGTTATATGTGATAATTATCAGGCCTCTTTTTCACATAGGAAATGCCCCACCATATTTTTCAACAACTTCTTTCTTATTTCTTTGGCTCGAGCTCTGAAGATATAATAGCCCTAATGTAATACCTGAGCTTTTTTCCATCAGTAGCTTGACCAGCAGACTTCATTCCAAATAAACTGGGTCATCCCTTTTGGCTCTTGGAACACAACTCTAATTTAGTTATTTGGTTATAACTAACCAAATAACTTATTTCTTTCTTTCCTTCCTTTCTTCCTTTACTTTTTTTTTTTTTTTCTTGAGCCAGGGTCTTATTCTGTCACCCAGGCTGTAGCGCAGTGGCATGATCATGGCTCACTGTAGCCTCAACCTCTTGAGCTCAAGCAATCCCCCAATTTTTTTTTATGTTTTGAAGAGGCTGGGACTTGCTATGTTGCCCAGGCTGGTCTCAGACTCCTGGGCTCAAGCAACCTGTCCACCTCAGCCTCGCAATGTGCTGGGATTATAAACATGAGCCACACTGCCTGATATTGTTTGTTGTTGTTTTTCCAATTTTTTTTCTTTTCTTTTTGTTTTTTGAGACAGAGTTTTGCTCTTGTTGCCCAGGCTGGAGTGCATTGGCACAATCTCGGCTCACCACAACCTCTGCCTCCTGGGTGCAAGCGATTCTCCTGCCTCAGCCTCCCAAGTAGCTGGGATTACAGGCATACACTACCACGCCTGGCTAATTTTGTATTTTTAGTGGAGATGGGGTTTCTCCGTGTTGGTCAGGCTTGTGGGCAAAAGAAAGAGAGATCAGACTGTTACTGTTTCTACATAGAAAGAAGTAGACATAAGAGACTCCATTTTGTTCTGTACTAAGAAAAATTCTTCTGCCTTGAGATGCTGTGCTGGCAGAAACATGTGCTGTGTTGACTCAAGGTTTAATGGATTTAGGGCTATGCAGGATGTGCTTTGTTAAACAAATGCTTGAAGGCAGCATACTTGTTAAAAGTCATCACCACTCCCTAATCTCAAGTACCCAGGGACACAAAACACTGAGGAAGGCTGCAGGAACCTCTGCCTAGGAAAGCCAGGTATTGTCCAAGGTTTCTCCCCAGGTGATAGTCTGAAATATGGCTTCCTGGGAAGGGAAAGATCTGATCGTCCTGCAGCCCGACACCCATAAATGGTCTGTGCTGAGGAGGATTAGTGAAAGAGGAAGGCCTCTTTGCAGTTGAGATAAGAGGAAGGCATCTGTCTCCTGCTCCTCCCTGGGCAATGGAATGTCTCAGTGTAAAACCCGATCGTATATTCCATCTACTGAGATAGGAGAAAACTGCCTTAGGGCTGGAGGTGAGACATGCTGGTGGCAATACTGCTCTTTAATGCACCAAGATGTTTGTGTATGTGCACATCAAAGCACAACACCTTTTTCTTAACCTTGTTTATGATACAGAGACATTTGTTCACATGTTTTCCTGCTGACCCTCTCCCCACTATTACCCTATTGTCCTGCCACATCCCCCTCTCTGAGATGGTAGAGATAATGATCAATAAATACTGAGGGAACTCAGAAACTGGTGCCAGCGTGAGTCCTCCCTTTGCTGAGCGCTGGTCCCCTGGGCCCACTTTTCTTTCTCTATACTTTGTCTCTATGTCTCTTTCTTTTCTCAGTCTCTCATCCCACCCAAGGAGAAACACCCACAGGTGTGGAGGGGCAGGCCACCCCTTCAAGGCTGGTCTCAAACTCCCGACCTCAGGTGATCTGCCCACCTCAGCCTCACAAAGTGCTAGGATTACAGGCATGAGCCACCATTCCTGGCCCATTTTTCTAATTTCTACTTTGCATTATTGCTGGTCTTTTTCCCTCCGTTTGGACTAGAGTCTATTTTCAGAGCTCTTCTTCGTTTATCTAAACTGCTTCATGCCCAATTCAATTTCTACCTCCTTAATGAAATTTTTGCATTCTGTACCTTCTGTTAACTAGCCCCTAATAGTGCATAACAGCACACCCAGTCTTTATCATACAGATTAAGTTATGTACCATTCTACTATTGTTTCTTATGTGTACAGCTCCCAAAAGGGGCCAACTGAGTCTGCACCTCCTTTTGTGTTTTCCACAGGGCCTAGCATAGACCTTTCTTACTGTGGGTGCCTTTATTTATATGAGAGTGAGTCAAAGAAATAGTATCTTGAGCTATCTTTGGTCACTCCATCCAGCAGCCTGCATTGGTCAAGTTCAAAGATCCCATTGACAAACACAAGAGTTCTGATAAAACATGATGAGCAGGGGGACCCCACCCTCCCTCTCCCTTGGGAGGGGCATGCAGGCCCAACCCCCAAGTGTTACAGACCCCCGTTGTTATTTTTAAATTTAGAAAATAAAAAACCATGATGAGTTACGCATTGCTTTTTGAATGTCAATGCTAGCTTTAAAATTGAGCTTCTTAATATATTCTCAAAAAAGGCCCTAACACATGAAAATCAAATGACACACATTAAATGATAATATTTAATTGATTAAAGTCTAATAGAAAATTCAATACTTTTGAAAAGTGCCTCATGACCAGGCACAGTGGCTCATGCCTGTAATCCCAGCACTTTGGGAGGCCGAGGCAGGTGGATCACGAGGTCAAGAGATCGAGACCATCCTGGCCAACATGGTGAAACCCTGTCTCTACTAAAAATACAAAAATTAGTTGGGTGTGGTGGCACATGCCTGTAGTCCCAGCTACTTGGGAGGCGGAGGCTGGAGAATCAATTGAACCCAGGAGGCGGAAGTTGTAGTGAGCCGAGATCATGCCACTGCACTCCAGCCTGGTGACAGAGTGAGACTCTGTCTCAAAAAAAAAAAAAAAAAAAGAAAAGTGGTTCATGATAACACTCAAACATGTTGGCCTTTAAAAGACATAAACAACAGGCCGGGTGCAGTGGCTCATGCCTGTAATCCAGCACTTTGGGAGGCCCAGGCAGGCAGATCACTTGAAGCCAGGAGTTTGAGACCAGCCTGGCTAATATAGTGAAACCCCATCTCTACTAAAAATTCAAAAATTAGCTGGGTATGATGGCATGTGCCTATAGTCCCAGCTACTCGGGAGGCTGAGGCACAAGAATCACTTGAACCTGGGAGACAGAGGTTGCCGTGAGCCGAGATCACGCCACTGCACTCCAGCCTGGGTGACAGTGAGACTCTGTCTCAAAAAACAAAAAACAAACGAAAACACACACACACACACACACACAATAGTATTGCAACTAGAAAAGATTATTAATAATTATTTATGCATGTAGTGATTGGGCTGTGAGACCAAAAGTACTTGATAAATATAGGAAGTCATGATAAGTGAAAAGGACCTTTTGTTATCGTTATCTAGGTTTGTAGTTCTCAATTCCATGTGTTCATTCACAGATACTGCATGACATTGAAACAGCCGGTGTATTAACTAATGTATATGACAGTCCACCTCTGTATGATGATGTGAAAGTGCAATTTTTCTCTTCAGTGAGTAATCACAAAATAGCCTCTGCCATTGTTCTTGTCTGGTCTAATGATTTTATTTAAGATTTGCTTTACTACAATTCCAAACAAGGGAGGGGGAGGGGGAAGAAAACAATAAATTAGATCTATAACAAATTTTTTGAAAGAAAATATGTAATTTGAATAATTTTTGTTCATTTGTTTTTTTCTAAATTGTAAATTTTCTAAATTTTTCTAAATTTACATGTATTCTCAAATACAAAAAATACAAAATAAACACAAAAAAAGTAAAAGCCAAGATGCTAAAAAAAAAAAAACCCAAAGGTACGTTTTACTGCATAGCAATGATTACATTTTGTTTTGCATCTTTTTTAAAAAATTAAGAAGTTGAGACAGGGTCTCACTCTGTCACCCAGGCTGGAGTGCAGTGGCATGATCATAGCTAACTGTAGCTTCAACCTCCTGGGCTCAAGCAATCCTCCCACCTCAGCCTCCTTAGTAGCTGGGAGCACTGACTGGAAAGA
The DNA here is from genome assembly GCF_000001405.40 of Homo sapiens. Classification (NCBI taxonomy): domain Eukaryota; kingdom Metazoa; phylum Chordata; class Mammalia; order Primates; family Hominidae; genus Homo; species Homo sapiens. Next base: position 24,954,276 of record NC_000013.11, on the reverse strand, counting down.
GAGTTAGGTTTGGGCGACTCAGTTGGGTGAAACACAGAGAAGGCAGCACAATACAACACAAGAAATAACCAAAGCAGTTTTTTATTAATTCCAGAGAGAAGAGGGCAGCACACTTCGCAGGGGCAACTGGAAGAGGGAGCCATCCAGGAGACCTGTGCTTGACTGATGGGTGGGAGCAATAGCGAGAGACAGGGAGGGACCTGAGAGTGGAAGCCTTTATTGGGATGTAAGGTGCGACCTGAGTAGGTTTCCTGCAGGGAGGTCTAATTTGGTTTAACGCAAGCAGCCATGAGTCTCTGCTGTGGCTGAGAGGTGGTCACTAATATATCCACGTGGTCCCTGCAGAGTATGGGGGTCTGTTGGGTGAGTCAAGTAGGTTATATCTAGCTGTCCCATAATGAAGGGGTCACCAGGAGAAGATTGTATAAGGCAGATATCAGGATCAGTCACATGGAGAAACTGGGAGGAGGTGAACTGGAAACTGCTGAGGGTGACTGAACCCCGCTTCTGATATCAGAAAAGTCCTGACATCAGAAAGTCCAGTTTATATTTAAAAGGGATGCTGAGGCAACAAAAAAATTATAAGAATTCACTACAATCTAGTTGGGTATATATAGGCATAGGTCCTTAGTAGAGTCTGTTTGGCACTATCTAAACCAGATTCAAATAGCAGCATTTAAATTAAATACCTATCATGGAAAAAATACTATTCCTTGAAAATTTTGATAGAAACAGTAAGAGAATGCAATAGCATTTTCTTAAAGCTTCCTCCTTTGTGTCTTGAGTGTATTGTTATAGATTGCAGAGTGCTACATATTTAATGGTTATAATTGTTTGATAAATATAAAAAGGAATAAAGGAAGGAACTTTAATTTCTTTGGAATGATTAGTTCTTGGTATCAGTTTTACTTTGAAATTTTTTTTAGAACCTTCCTAAGTACTGTGACAATTGTTCATTTTTCTTCTGGTTCAACACATCTTTTATTCAAAATAACAGGTATGAATATAATATAAACCCATAGAAACAGCCTAATCTTCAATGTCTATATACAAGGCATAATGGCAAGTCTTTTGCTGGTTGTCATAAACTTAATTTATAGAAAGCAAAAAATCCTTGAGCCACCATTGTTCATTGCCTTACTCCTCTTACTCTGGTTATTTTAAAAATACCTTTGTTCTTGAGACCCACTGTTGCAGTATCCTCAAGGTCCATGCCATAGAACTGTGTTATGAGTTCAAAAGTATTACAATCAGATCTTAAGTGTGGTAGTAAATTCCTCTTGGAGAAGTTCAATATGAGTCTGCTCAGCACCTTCAGTATGTCAGGTCCCTGTCAGTAGGTGCTGATTTACCAATGACGAACCACCACCAAATTTTGTGCTAAAGTAAGGCAGGACCTAGGGAGGCTTCAGCTAGATGAAAAGCTGACTGACACACTTATATCTAGGAGAAGTTACAAGACACAGTATTAAGGAATACAGCTAAAAAATATCATTAAGTAATAGTCTATTTAAATAGCCATTCAAATGTGGCTTTCTAATAACTGAATTGGGAAACCTTTCTGAAAAATTATTAATTGGGTTTGGAGATTATTGTTCCAAAAAAACCTTCTACCATATTTGGAAACTCATTTCTCAGTCTAGAAGTTCTCCACTATAAGTAGCATTTGTTTTGTGATGGTGAAAAATTGGGATTTTTTTTTGGTATCAACCATACTCTTCAATACAAAAGGACAAAATATTTTTTAAATGATTTAGGTCAGAATTGAAGAAGTGGCTATGATTATATGTGGCATGAATTGATAGTTATTGTTACATCCAGTCCTAATCTTTTCTTCAAATGTGAACTGGATCGAATAACTCCTTAAGTCCAGCAAGGCAACAGGAAATTAAACCTCTGGTCTACACACTTGCAATGCAAAACATTTAATGGATTTTGATAGAGTGAACTTTGGATTTGACGGAAATTTTTACAAGTTTTTTTTTTTTTGGATGCATACAAACAATAAGCTTTTTCTTCTAACATGAGCAAAGTCCCTCAAAAAGTGAGACCTGGATGTAACTTCACTTGATGCTGCTCCTCGAAAGTGGTTCTTGCTAAAGGATACAGTCTTTTTCCTTTAAAACACTATGTTCATTTTGGAGAAGTGATAAGCTAGATCACTTTTATTCTTACTTTTATATAAATTTCTAAAGATTTCTGTAACATTTACATTTACATACAACTTGGTAAAGCTGTTTTTGTTAGTTATAAGATTGTTGTTTAGCCAAAAATGCTAACTTGTATCATTTAGAACACTAGGCATAAATGGGTTAACCAATTTATGCCTAGTGTTCCATTATTGGAACGCTCAGCATGTGGGAGTTATGTCCTACTGCTCAAGGTCATTTCCAAGGTCTGATTGTAAAAATTCAAAAAATTGCAACTTCACACATAAATTGAAAGAGATATAGTATTTTATTCCTGGGTTTTCATTCATGTCTATCCTGACTGATTTCTGTCACAGAGAGAAATTTAGATATTTTATTAAACTTGGAAGTCATTAATGCCATATAAAGCAATGCTAAGAGAGTCAGCATGTGTTACTGATGTGTTGCTGAAGATTAAAGTATTTTTAAGTCTCACCAAAAAGGTGGAAGGAGCCAACCGAGACACAAAAAAGGAGCTGGGGTTCTATTCATGGTGAGTTTCTTTTTTTTGTTTCTTCCAGCTCTAACGTGGGTACCCAACTGCGTGGCTTTTCGGTGAGCCCCAATATAAAATGTAATAATTTTTTTTCTATTCTTAGGCTTTATCTACCAAGAAATGAATTGGATAATCCACATAAACAAAAAGCTTGGAAAATTTATCCACCAGAATTTGCCGTGGAGATACTTTTTGGTAAGAAATGACTTCCAGTGATGTTGTAGCTGGATCCGATTAAGTACAGCTCCCCCTTCCCCTTCTGGGAAAGAATTATGTTCTTTCCAACCTTGCCACATATTCATATATCCTAAATCTTCCTTGATGATATATTTATATATGTTTATATATGTTCTTCATAAGTCTACTAAATATATATAGATAAAATGTCAGTGTTTTTTTTTTCTTTTTTGAAGGCACATACTTCACAATTTCCATCTTGTATTTACATAAATTTGGAACACAGTATGCAGGAACATCAGACATCATTTTGAAGAACTTTGAAATAGAACTTTCATAGCAAAAACTTGAGATATTTAAAAATTGTAATTCCCCAACCCCCACTTACTTACATATTTTTGGTCAAGTATTTATTCCCTGCTTTGGTTCACATTTGTAATTTCAGATTTATTAGAAAGCTAATTTATATTTTTTCTTCCACTTCATTTACAAACTGTCTGTTAACAGACTGGCAACAAAGACTAAGTTTTAAATCCAGAAGAGAGAAGTGTTTCACACAAGCAGTCCCCCAACTCCCAACACACAGTCTCTCATTCTGAGCACTAACTAGGTAGCTTACTTGACAAGCTTCCTTTAATCACACACAGACATGGGGGTTGGGGTAAGAAGATTGTGGTAAATATGAAGATAAGTAATCTTTGGTAACTTCTGCTTTTGTTTAAAATTGTAAGTGAAGTCAAAAGAAATATTTGTTCTTAGAGTAATCTAGGTGTATTATTTTGAAATTCACTACTCCTGCTCACAATTCACCTAAGCTTGGGAGGACTCTGAAGGGAGGTTATCTTTTCATTATAAACACTGGTTAGCCTTATGTCTACAGGAAATCATTATTTCCTCTTTGGTGCTGGGTGCTACTTTTTTTTTAACAAATTTTTTATTTGTATTTTTTATTTCTTGAGACAGCATCTCACTCTGGTTGTCAAGACTGGAGTGCAGTGGTGTGATCTTGGTTCACTGCAGCCTCAACCTCCCAGGCTCAGTTGATTCTCCCACCTCAGCCTCCCGAGTAGCTGGGACTATAGGCGCATGCCAGCACACCCGGCTAATTTTTTGTATTTTTAGTAGAGACAAGGTTTTGCCGTTGTTGCCCAGGCTGAGCTCAAATTCCTGAACTCAAGCAATCTGCCTGCCTCAGTCTCCCAAAGTGCTGGTATTAAGGCATGAGCCACCACGCCCAGTCCGTGGGTGTTACTTTATTCAAAATACCTTTATTGCCACTGTATCTTCAGGCCATGATTGTCCTTGAAAACATTCTATCTTGGCCTTATTGAAATTATTCTTATTTGAATGATTTTCCTTTTATTGTCAAGGCCCTCAACAATCTAGACCAAGATGAGTTCATCAGGAAACGAAAGGTAGCAACTAATAAGACAAGTGTCACTGCTAAAACACGGTATACTCATTCCTGAAAAACCTGGCACTCTACAGAAAGGACTAAAAAAAGAAGCGGTCCATGAAAATACAGTTTGAGAGTCCAGGGCAATCCTGTCCGGCATAGCAACTTTCTAACCAACACACTAACCGCTCGGGCCACCCACATCAGCAGCTCGATGTCGGGAGTTTGCCATAGAGCTTTTTAATTTTTGAGTGGAAATAGAAAAATACTTGCTCTAAGGGCTGTGGGTACCAGAATGGCACAGATGAGAGTAGAGCCCTGAGCCATGGTGGGCACGGAAGGCAGCAACCTGCCAGGAGCCAAGAGCCCCACTAGGCTGGTGAGCCACCTCGCTGCAGGTGATTTTTTCTCCTCTAAATATTCCAAAAACGTTCCGACTGCCCATGCAGCAGCCCAGCTAAGGCCTTTCTCCTTTACTCCCCCTGACCTGGCTCCCGCTTTGAGGAAAAGATCATAGATCGTGCTTTCAAATTCCTTTCATGTTAATATTACGCCCTGCCATTCATATGACAGAAATGTGTAGGCACAACATAGGTTACACTGTTTCCTTTAAAATTCACACAGCAATAATCTACAGAGGGCAGATTATGTCCTGGCTTTAGGTGAATAGGGAGGAAAATACTTAGCTGGCTTAGTGAAGATTAAGATCTGTCTTTTTCAGTACTAGAAATACAGGAAGGAAGGAAACCCCCTTTTTTATTTTAAGAATGTCCCTTTTTGAAATAAGGAGATTACCATGAAGGTTTCTCTTCCCCAGACCTCCAAGACCCACCAAAATTTCTGGAAATTATGAGTTGTCACACTATTCTGCTTTCGCTTATTCAAAGAAAACTCATTTACGGCCTCTTTGGGTGTTGCTTTCTTAGAATGCAAAATGAATGATTCTTTGAATAACTCAAGAAACTTAGATCAGAGTGATACTCATGTCTTAAAATTTTAGCTTTAATTTTAAATATAGGGGGTATGTGTGCAAGTTTGTTACATCAGTATATTGCACCCCGGTAGTGAGCATAGTACCCAATAGGTAGTTTTTCAACCTGCACCCCTCTCCCTCCATCCCCCTCTAGTAGTCCACAGTTGTCTATTGTTCCCATCCTTATGTCCAAGGGTACCTGTTTTTTAGCTCTCATAAGTGAGAATATGTGGTATTTGGTTTTCTGTTCCTGCATTAATTTGCTTAGGATAATGACCTCCAGCTCCATCTATGTTGCTGCAAAAGACATGATTTCATTCATTTTTATGGCTGTGTAGAATTCCATCGTGTATATGTACCACATTTTCTTTATCCAATCCACCACTGATGGGCACCTAGGTTGATTCCATATCTTTACTATTGTGAATAGCACAGCAATGAACATATCAGTGTGTGTGTCTTTTGGTAGAATGGTCTTTTTTCCATTGGGTATATATCCAATAATGGGGTTGCTGGGTCAGATGGTAGCTCGTTTTAAGTTCTTTGAGAAATCTCCAGACTGCTTTCCACAGTGACTGAACTAATTTACACTCCCACCAACGATGTATAAACGTTCCCTTTTCTCTGCAGCCTTGCCAGCATCTGTTGTTTTTGACTTTTTATTAATAGCCATTCTGACTAGTGTGAGAGGGTATCTCATTATGGTTTTGATTTGCACTTCTCTGACAATTCGTGAAGTGAAGCATTTTTCCAGATGCTCATTGGTCACTTGTATGTCTTCTTTTGAGAAGTATGTGTCATGTTCTTTCCACATTTTTAATGGGGCTATTTGGTTTCTGCATGTGGATTTGTGTAAGTTCCTTATAGATTCTGGATATTAGACCTTTGTTGAATGCATAGTTTGCAAATGTTTCCTCCTGTTCTGTGGGTTATCTGTTTGCTCTGTCGATCATTTCTCTTGCTGTGCCAAAGCACTTTAGCTTTATTAGGTCCCACTTGTCAATCTTTGTTGTTATTGCAATTGCTTTTGGGGACTTAGTTAAAAATTCTTTCCCAAGGCCAATGTCAAGAAGGGTATTTCTGAGGTTTTCTTCTAGGATTTTTATCACTTGAGGTCTTACATTTAAATCTTTAATCTATCTCCAGTTAATTATTGTATATGATGAAAGGTATGAGTCGAGTATCATTATTCTGCATATTGCTAACCAGTACCGCAACACCATTTATTGAATAGGGAGTCCTTCCCCTATTGCTTGTTTTTGTCAGCCTTGCAATATCAGATGACTGTAAGTGTAAGGCTTTATTCTGGGTTTTCTATTCTGTTCCATGGGCCTATATGTCTGCTTTTGTGCCAGTACCATGCTGTTTTGGATACTATAGCCTTATAGTTTGAAGCCTCTGGCTTTGCCCTTTTGCTTAGATTTGCTTAGGCTATTGAGGCCCTCTTTTGGTTTCATATGAATTTTAGAATACTTTTTTCTAATTCTGTGAAGAATGACATTGGTAGTTTGATAGAAATAGCACTGAATCTGTCAATTGTTTTGGGCAGTATGGTCATTTGAATGATACTGATTCTTCCAATCCATGAGCATGGAATGCTTTTCCATTTAATTGTGTTATCTCTGATTTCCTTCTGCAGTGTTTTGTAGTTCTTGTAGGGATCTTTCACATCCTTTGTTAGCTGTATTCCTAGTTATTTCATTTTCTTTGTCGCTACCATAAATGGGATTCTGTTCTTGATTTAACTCTCAGCCTGGACATTATTGGTGTATAGAAATGATGTTGATTTTTATACATTGGTTTCTTATCCTGAAACTTTGCTAAAGTTGTTTATCAGTTCTAGTAGCCTTTTGGCAGAGTCTTTGGTTTTCTGGGTATAGAATCATATCATCAGCAAAGAGAGGTAGTTTGACTCCTTCTTTTCCTATTTGGATGCCTATTCTTCCTTTCTCCTGTCTGAGTTCTCTAGGTAGGACTTCCAGTGCTATGTTGAATAGGAGTGGTGAGAGTGGGCATCATTGTCTTCCTCCATTTCTCATGGGAATTGTTTCCAACTTTTGCCCATTCAGTAGGTTGGTGGCTGTGAATTTGTCATAGATGGCTCTTATTATTTTGAGGTATGTTCCCTTGATGCCTAGTCTGTTGAGGTTTTTAATGTGAAGGGATGTTGGATTTTATCAAAATCTGTTTCTGCATCTATTGAGATGATGATATGGTTTTTGCTTTTAGTTCTGTTTATGTGGTGAATCACATTTATTGATTTGCATATGTTGAACCAGCCTTGCATCCCTGGACTGAAGCCTTCTTGATTGTGGTGTATTAACTTACTGATGTGCTGCTGGATTCTGTTTCCTAGTATTTGGTTAAGAATTTCTGTGTCTATGTTAATCAGAGTAATTGGCCTGAAGTTTTCTTTTTGTGTGTTTCTATGCCAGATTTTGGTATTAGGCTGATGCTGGCTTCATAGACTGAGTTAGGGAGGAGCCCCTCATCCTCAGTTCTTTGGAATAGTTTCAATAGAACTAGTACCAGTTCTTTGTACATCTGGTAGAATTCAGCTGTTGCTTCATCTGGTCCAGGGCTTTTCCTTGTTGGTAGATTTTATATTAATGATTTGATTTTGGAACTCGGTATTTGTCTATTTAAGGTTTCAATCTCTTTCTAATTCAATCTTGGGAGATTATATGTTTCCAAGAATTTATCCATTTCCTCTAGATTATCTAATTTGTGTGCCTAGAGTTGTTTGTAGTATTCTCTGAGGATCTTTTGTATTTCTGTGGGATTGTTTGTAATGTCATCTTTGTCATTTATGATTGTACTTATTTGCTTCTTCTCTTTTTTTCTTTGTTCAGCTGTCAGTCTATCCATCTTGTTTATTTTTTGAAAAACTAATTATTGGTTTCATTGATCTTTTGTGTGGATTTTTGCATCTAGTCTAAAAAAAAACAGCACTTCAAAAAGCACTTCATTCAGTGCTTCTTTAATTTTAGTTATTTCTCTTCTGCCAGCTTTGGAGTTAGTTTATTCTTTTTTCTAGTTCTCTTAAGTGCAAAGTAGGAATGTTAATTTGAGATATTTCTAACTTCTTGATGAAGGCATTTAGTGCTATAAACTTTCCTCTTAACACTGCTTTAGCTTCATCCCAGAGATTCTGGTATGTTGTGTCCCCATTTTCATTAATTGCAAAGAATTTTTTTATTTCTGCCTTAATTTAGATTTTCACCCAGGAGTTATTCAGGAGCAAATTATGTAATTTCCATGTACTTATGTAGTTTTGAGAGATCTTCTTGATACTGATTTCTATTTTTGTCTCACTGTGGTCAGAGTGTGTGCTTGGTATGATTTCAAACTTTTTGAATTTATTGAGGTTTGCTTTCTGGCCAATCACGTGGTTGATCTTAGAATATGTTCTCTGTGCACATGAGAATGTATCTTCTGTGTTTGTTGGACAAAGTGTTCTGTAGATGTCTATCAGGTCCAATTGGTCAACTGTCAAGTGCAAGTACGGAGTTTGTTAGTTTTCTGCCTCAATGATCTGTCTATTGCTGTCAGTGGGTTGTTGAAGTCTCCTGCTGTTATTGTGCGTCTAAATCTTTTTGTAGGCCAAGAAAAACTTGTTTTATGAATTTGGGTGCTCCAGTGTTGGGTGTGTACATATTTAGGCTAAGTCTTCTGGTTGAATTGTGCCCTTTATCATTCTATAAGGAATGCCCTTCTTTGTCCTTAGTTTTTATTAGTTAAAAATATGTTTTATTTGGCCAGGTGCAGTGGCTCATGCCTGTAATCCCAGCACTTTGGGAGGCTGAGGCGGGTGGATCATGAGGTCAGGAGTTCGAGGCCAGCCTGACCAACATGGTGAAATGCTGTCTGTACTAAAAATACAAAAATTAGCCAGGTGTGGTAGTGCAACCCTGTAATCCCACTTACTTGGGAGGCTGAGGCAGGAGAATTTCTTGAACCCGGGAGGCAGAGGTTGCAGTGAGCCAAGACTGCGCCACTGCACTCCAGACTGGACAAGAGAGTGAGACTCCATATTAAAAAAAAAAAAATCAACCACTTAGAATAGTACACATATTAAGTAGATCCTACATCTAGAATGGGTTAAGCAACCATTTATAAGCATCTTTATGAGAAATGATCACCTCTGGGTTTTTCTGGTAATATTTGAAATAAACATGGAACCAAACTGTATTTCCCTCAACACATAACTGTCCAAATTGAATGTGCAAGTAGAGGTTTATGTAAAAGCCCTGACAGAACTGTACTCAGTCTTTTGAATTAGGTGCATAAGGCTACTGACCACTCTCTATTTTACCAAGGGAAAGAGCAGTGACTTCTCTATTTCAGTACAATTATGGGCAGAAATGACATGATGTAAAATAGAGGTTCTTCCAAACAAGTTAAGATATAGGGTATAAGAGAAGACAGAAAGGCAAAATTCCCAAGAAATCAGAATGACTTCACGCTGGTCTTGTACTACAAGAAACCCTGAAATGAACTGTAGTCCTCAAACACCTGTGCTTGGCTCAGGCCCTCCAAGACACTTCAGTATGCTTCCAACTGGCTCATCATCAAATTCCTGCTATATTCGTAGGCCAAAAAGAGTGCTCCATTGTCAGGGAATGCTCGAATCATAGTAGGTTTCAGTCCAGAATATAAGGCCATTATTCCTAGAAGACAAAAGGGCAATCAAAGACTGTAACAATCCCTCCTTTGGGGACACCCACGCAGCTGCATAGCACAGGTATATTTACACATGCAAATCCAGGCAAGAGTGCTAAAAACCAACAAGTCATGGATGGATGCGTTCCCAGCTTTCCCTAAATAGACCAACAGAAACAAGAACAAGTATCAGGTCTCCTGGTGAAACTGACTGATGCTCAGGTAACATACCCCAATTCCATGCTTGGTTAACTCTTAGTATATGGATGGGGCAGAGTTGAGGCCTGAGACAGCCAGACAGAGGCAACCATGGAGACAGAGGTGGCCACAGCTTTGCAGCTTCACCTGGGCAGTGGCAAGAGCACCAACCTTGAGGTTGGAGACTGGTTTATAGTATTAGTACTGCCCAGGGTGGTCATGAAGATTGAATTAGATAAGGGAGGTATAAGTACTTTGTAAAACTTCACGTTATACAAATTTAAGGGAGGATTACTATGAGTAATAGACAAGGTATCTGTGCTCTATTTGGGACACAAAGTTTCTGTGTTACTGTTCTCTTTCTTTTTACAATCAAAACAGAGAAGTTCATATCTCAGATTTTAAGATGTATACTAGATGCTGGAAAAACAGGTGTTTACTCACCTTCATTTTTCACAACATTTATAAAGGTTCTGATAAATCCTGCCTGTTTTCCAGACATGGAAAGAACTTGAATTCTTTATTTGATACAATCCACTGGATATACCGCAAGCCAGAGGCAAATCCCGCCAACTCCCTCCACCACTTAACATCAAAGGGACAGGGCCTAGAGAAAAAAAAATAGCAAATGGTATTTTATCTCAAGAACAGCTGACGTGACATTCCCAGAGTTCAATGTAGTAATGGCTGCAGGTAGGTGAAAATAAAAATGCTAATGCTGCGGAAGAGTTCTTTGTGGAAACTGTCAAAGCTGTTGTTCCCAGGCTCTAAGAACACAAGGTTTTGTTTGGTAGCCCAGGTCTACCCCTGGGTCTTGCCAAGTACAAGAAGCTCTAGTGAGGGTTGTATTTCATTTGGTCACTGAGGTGTGGAGGGCTGGCCCACACGAACCAGCAGGCCTCCAGCTGAGTGGCAACCCTTTACGGTGGGGGGAAGACAGGCCAAACGCAATCTACATCTTTTTTCAACTTTCTCACTCTTAAGTATTTTAATAGCCCCGATTCTTCCTTTACCATTAAAAGCCAAAATTGTTTTTATTAAACATAGCAGATAAGTCTGGGAGCTTGTCTAACCCCAGAATAGATTCAACATGCTGAGGGAGATGGTAAGAATAGGTAAATGCATTTGCATTAAGTGGAGTGTGATGGTGTTTGCTCCCTGCAGGTATGGTTTCTGTGGATTCTCTGCTCTTTGTGCTCTCCTCCCCACATTGGTGGCTCCATCTGGCACAGGGAAGCTTCTGGATGTCAGAAGGTAACATGTTGGCAGGCAGTTGATAGCACCCCACCCTCCAGGCTTGATAATTTCCTTAGGACAGGGACTGAAGCAGTACATCCCAAACTTTCTTACTGGAATAAAGTTTGCTAATTTTTCTGTCTTCTTGGGCAATCGTATCCAGTCCCAAGCCTTTTAAAAAAACAAGCTATACCCATCCTGGTGGAATTCCTGCCTATAAAAGGGGACACCTTCAGACCTCCAGGCACCTCCAGAAAACACTGCTGTGCGCAAGGAACAAAATTCAGTTGTGTGGGACATGCAGCTGCAATCGGGTTTCAAACTCCCATTGCTGATGATCAAGTTAAAATACGAATGTGCTGGATTAAATGCTTTATTCAGCTTATCTGCATCTAGGTTATCTAAACTACGCAGCCACTTAAACCATTCTGTCACCTCTTCTCTTGGAATACTTAATTATTTTAATGTAATTCAGATCTCATTTTATCCTAGCCCAGCAGCACCTGGGAGAGAATGACCCTGAATTAATCATAGTAAAATCATATTAAATTATATTCCACTGATTCAGAATTGGAGATAATTTGGCAATTAAAGGGAGAAGTGTGTCATTCCTCTCCTGGAAGAAATGAACAGTAATGATGGGATCACAGAGATCGTACATACAAGGGCCCAATACACACACGCCCACCAGCAAACGGCTTACATACCAGGCTCCCAACCATACTGTTTCAATTTCTATCTTTCAAACTAACTGTAAATTACAAACGTGGTACCCAAATACCTGTATGCGCATAAATAGGAAAAGGTAAACTCTTTTTTTTTTTTTTTTTTTTTTTTTTAGGTGGATTCTCACTCTGTCACCCAGGCTGGAGTGTAGTGGCACAATCTTTGCTCACTTCAACCTCTGCCTTCTGCGTTCGAGCAATTCTCCTGCCTCAGCCTCCCGAGTAACTGGGATTACAGGCATGTACCACCACATCTGGCTAATTTTTGTATTTTTAGTAGAGACGAGGTTTCACCATATTGGCCAGGCTGGTCTTGAACTCCTGACCTCAAGTGGTCCACCTGCCTCGGCCTTCCAAAGTGCTGAGATTACAGGCTTGAGCAACCTTGCCCAGCCAAAAGTAAACTTTTTAATTCTATCACAATATGTTCTAGATCTTTGACAGACTGAAAGACATAAAATGTCAAATGGTGAGACTCTGTCACGTGGATAAACACCCTCCTACTGCAGATACAGAACTGAGCCCAAGAGCATTCACGTGCTGGTGAGAGGTGGCCAGGGGCAGGCAGATGGTTGCACCATTCTCAGGGTCAGCATCTTCCCCAGTGTGGCACGGGGGAGGGGAGGGGGCCCGGGGCCTGGGAGGCTGTAGCCTAAAGGCATGCGGTGGGCGAGAGACTACTGGGCAGGCCCCTGCCAGCCTTCAGTTCCCTGAGCATCTGGTGCCAGGACGCTCCTTGTGGGCTCTGCCCTGGGAGAAGTGCCCTTGCCCAGTGCTCCTTATCAGTGTCTGTGATGCGCTGTCTCCAGTCCTCCTCATTAGCATACCTTGGCCGACCTTTGGCTCATGGAAAAACACTTTGCTCTTCTCTGAACAATTTCTTTTTCACAGCTGAGCAAATGACTGATGAGGTGACCACACTCATGACCATACCCACCCGTTGGTGGTGGGTGGGGGTGGACTGGATGAGGACAGCATTGGGCAACACTCCTTCTGGCCTCCCCACTGCAGGGAGCCGCAAGTACTATGAGAGTCCTGTGGGACGCCAGGGTAGTCCAGGGTTTCCCTTTGGGCAATCAGCCTTCCAACCTCTCCTCCTACTTCTGGCCTCTGGAGAACTAAATTACTACCATGAACTTCCCATTCTACCTGTGCCTCAGCCCAAGGGTCCTGCTCTTCCTGCATGTTCAAGCTGATCTTTCTAGGGAGTAGCCTGCACTGTGCCAGCACTACCCCCTTGTCACAGGCAGCACCTCCCTGTGCCGGGGGAGCCTCAGTCTGCCCTTGGGCTCAGGCCCCTAGGCTCAAGTTAGCTGACATTCCCAGGAAATCCTACAACTTCTCCTTTCCTTTCATGGCTCTGAGACACAGTCCATTATCAGTCTCATTGTAAAAGACACTTCTAAAGAGTGTCCTCCTTTCTTTCCCAACACTGGCAGGGACAGTAAGTGGTGTTTCCTGGGAGATGCTACGGTGTTATTTTTGCACTACAAGGGCTCTGAAGACTGCCAGGCTTGAAGTGAAGAACCACGTCACCTGCCTATCCCAGCCAGGTGACAGTGGACAAGGGGCTTCACCTCTGAGCTGTTTTCCAGCTGTACTGGGCACATTCCTCCTCTCACCCTGACTCACAAGGTGTTAGCAATAATGGACACTCCTCTATCTTCTGCCACACTCTGAACAATACTTCACTTCCATCAAATGGATTCATCCCAAAGGTAATGCCCATCGCTTCTGGAGGGAGAAAGGTAATGTTTTCATACCACTTTCATTTGATCTCATTTAGAAGGTACTTGAGTAATAGAGAAGACTGGGTTTTCTCTGGGATTATACGTAGGCATTTCTTAATGACTGGGACATGTTCTGAAAAATGTGTCATTACACAATTTCATCACTGTGCTATCATAGAACACACACACCCGACCCTAGATGGCATAGCCTACTCCACACCTAGGCTGTACGGTATGGCCTGTTGCTGAAGTCTACACACCTGTACAGCATGTTACTGTACTGGATACTGTAGGCAACTGTAACACAGTGGTATTTGTGTATCTAAATGTATATAAACACAGAAAAGGTATAGTAAAAGATGGTATAATCTCATGGGACCACTATCAGATAAACCATCCATCACCAACAGAAGCATGGTTATGAGACACAGGACTGTACCTGCAGCCGCCACCATGAGGTCAATGGCAGCCTGGATAGTGGAACCCACTCTTCTGCTGGTCTCATGGAAGGCAGCTCTCTGGAGCTTATGACAGGCACCACATATCCCTGGGGGGAGGCAAGAGTTCACCATTAGTCCAAGTCTGCAGCCTCCCATTGTCTAGGCCTGCAGCCAAATTACTGAACCTAAACTTCTGGGAGCCATGAACTGGGCTCTACGTTGTTCCAAAGGAAATGGGCTCAAGGTATCAGTGCGGCTTAGCAATTGTCCCCTAAAAAGCTCACAGATCAAAAACCTCCACTGTGTATCAATGCTACAGCCACCAGCAGCACTTCAAGTGACCTTTCTGAAAACTGAAAAAATGAACACCAAATAAGTAAGCCAACCACAGATGTACTAACCCACATCAGGCTTGCTTTTTTAGAGGCCTGTGCTGAGCCATCAACTGAACAGGCTCAGTTCTAAATTGAGACAGCAGCCTGTGCTGGGTGCCTAAGGGGATGTCTTTGAGATACAGTTGGTCTGGAAAGAAGCATCCAGGCAGCCAAGGGTGGGAGCTGTACCCCGGGATCACAAACACCTTGGGGAATGCCTGCTCTACCTGCAGTTTGGCCCCTTTGCCTCTACAGCTGGGAGTCTTCATCTGTACAAGGTGAATAATAAAAATATTATAAAACAAAGGCAGTCACAAATAGCCCCAACACCATGCCATGGGGGCTACAAAGTCCGGCAGAGTCAAAGGAATGAGACAAGACAATAGTACATAAAGTGGGTCCAGGGCACTCAGGGCTGTGAAGGCCCTGAGCTCTGGGAGCCCACACTATTTATTGGTGATAAAACAAAGAAGCAGGGGGTGAGGATGTGCTGGTCAAAAGGAAGTGGTCGCATCAAGTGTTTAATTTATAGCTGTGTCGGTTTAGCATTTCCTTTGAAGCATATGGAACATGTTCTGCTACTCGAGATAATGTTGAATATGTCCTTATAACTCAAGATACAATCAATTTATGATCCTGGGAGAGCAAGAAGCAAGGAGCCAGCAAGTCTGGGCACATTCCAGAGGCCACGAGGGGTTTTATGTCCTGAGTCGTGGATTCCATCCAAGCCATGAGGGGTTTTATGCCCTGGGCTTAGGTTGTAGTGCAGCGGGGCAGCCTTCCACCCTTAAGCACAGAGGCTGGTGTTGCACAGGCCACAAGAGGTTTTAAACTCTGGACCCAGGACATGTTCCAAGACTCTTTATATTATGTCAGATAGCAAGTGTTGCCTCAGCTTTTCTCCCAACAATTGGACTGATGGGATGCTCCACTGTGCACAAGCATCATGGGTTCTTAGAACAAGGCCCTGCACAAGCACCAAATATGTTCCTGTCACCACAGTCCACTAGCCCTTCAACTATAATCGTGCACAGGAGTCGCCTGGGGGCCTTGCTAAATAAAAATGCAGCTTCTGATTCAATAGTCTCAAACAGGACCAGAGATTCTGCCTGTCTTGATGAGTTCTCGAGTGAGGCAGACAATGCCAGTTCACAGACTCACACTTTGAGATACAGCACCTGGGCCATTGTATTCTAATGTGCTTGATAACCTGGAGCACCTATTAAATATCCAAGTTGTCAGGACTTTCTTCTGGAAATCTTGATTCAGTATGTTTTGTTTGGAGCCTTAGATGTTTGGGAAAACTAGAATTTCTTTCTTTCCCTTTAGACAAAAGTCAACTACTGCTGAGGCATGGGCTTAATAAATGTTGACTAAAATATCCAACTCAACAACCAATCCTGTATAATTTTCAAACTGTGTCAGTAACTTGCCAGGTCCAACCTGCAGACCCTGGCCACATGACGGGTGAAGAAATGCACTCAGACACAGGTATCCCATGAAACAGCAGGCTAGGGGACCGGCAGCTCCCAGACACCAAGGAGGGTGCTGTAAAGAGTCAGCAGCCACAGCCCTGACAGGCTGGGGCTCCAGGCATTTATTCAGTACAGATTTAATGACAAAGGTCTCAAGTAAATACGACTAGAGGGTAATTAACATCGCTGACCTCCGGAGTAGAGAGCAGTCATGCACCTGCAAATGATCAAAGGTCTTAGGACCACATGAGTAAACAAGCTATTTAGATAAAATCCTCTACATTCCTATGTATCTATGCCCTAAGCTTTTAAGAGAGTTCAGCTGTCTTCAGCCAAAACTTTTACTGAAGCTACGCAAACCTCCCAGCCTTCCAAGAAGTTTTGTGTCTATTTCCTACATCTTAATTTTTATAATTTCTCCCACAACCCTGACAGATCCCCTACAAAAGACCATGTTTCTTCTCAGCTTGCTCAGTCCAGCTGAGCCAGCTTTCCACTGGACTCCTGAATGTGAGAAGGACACAGGCTCCCAGGACTATCCAGAAGCATGCCTCATCACCATAAAGCTCTGAAACACCGGCTGGGTGCAGAGGCTCACACCCGTAATCCCAACACATTCAGAGGCTGAGGTGAGAGGATCACTTGAGGCCAGGAACTCAAGACCAGCCTAGGCAGCATAGCAAGACCCCATCTCTACAAAAAGTATACCCCAAAATTAGCTGGGTGTGGTGGCACATGCCTGTAGTCTCAATTAATTGGGAGGCTGAGGCGGGACTATCCCTTGAGCCCAGGAGTTTGAGGCTGCAGTGAGGTATGATCGCACCACCACACTCCAGCCTGGGAGACAGATTGAGACCATCTCTAAAACAACAACAACAGGCCAGGTGCAGTGGTTCATGCCTGTAATCCCAGCAATTTGGGAGGCTGAGGCGGGTGGATCACCTGAGGTCAGGAGTTCAAGAACAGCCTGGGCAACCTGGTAAAATCCCATCTCTACTAAAAATACAAAAAAATTAGCAGGGCATGGTGGCAGGCGCCTGTAATCCCAGCTACTCGGGAGGCTGAGGGAGGAGAATTGCTTGCACCCAGGAGGCGGAGATTGCAGTGAGGTGAGATCATGTCATTGCACTCCAGTCTGGGCAACAAGAGCAAAAGTTTGTCTCAAAATATAAAAAATATAAAAAATACAACAAAAAAATGAGACACAGAAAACAAATATTTTGTTTCATTTTATTATTGCTTGTTAGTTGATTAAAGTAATTCTGCTTCCACTTACTTTATTTTTGAAGACACTAATTGCTACACTGAATAAAACCTTAATGAAGTTTCATTATAAGTATCTATTATCATTTGATTATTTTCTACATAGAAGCATGCAAAAAGTTTAAAATTCAGTTTCATTTGACTTAGCCTTGACTGTAATGGAGGACTCTATGAAGAGGGGACACAGTGCTTATGGGCTGGAGTCCCAGCAACTGCTTGGTGGCAGAGTCCCAGTCGTTCCCCAGTTCAAGCCGTGGGCAGATAGATGGGTACTGTCCTTCAGTTCTTCTTACCCATTCACTTGCTTGCTTTATTGCCTCAAAAGCCCAGGGAATATTCCTAGATTAAAAAAAAAAAGTTTCAGATTTCAGAATATAACATGTGAAATGTAATGTGGTACTAAACCCATCACATTATATCAGACAAAATGATTCTGCCAAAAATTAAGATATTTAATAAAAGCAGTTTTCCTTGGCATCTTACGGAAGTTCTTCTGCCCGTCTCACCTCGAGCTTATGCACTGCATTGTCAAGTGCCCTGTGCCCGCCACCTCCTGGCTTCCACGTGCCTCCAGGCATCCCTGCTGCCTGCAGCACAGCTCACGTTCCAGCCTCTCTACAGTTGTTTATGGTTGTCCCCTTTCCACGCTTCTCAGTCTAAATCCTATCCATTCTTCACGCACAAACTCAAGTACTATTTCACAAATGAGGCTTCTGTTTCTCTCTCCTTCCCACTATACTGACTTGATTAGGTACCTTCAGAATATCTGAGAGTCCCCCATGAAACTGGCATACATTCAGTTGTGTCACGTAAACCAGGAACAACTTGGTAGAATAAGCATATCGAGTCAAGTCTGTGTCCACTAAATGGTGTCAAATATTTGAGACTGTTGAATATTCAAGTCTATTCAACACTCAGAAAAATTCTGAGGTTGTTCATTAATATTAATTAGCTACTTCCTCATTGTTCTGTCATCTGCTAGAACTTGTTAGTGAACAAGTGGCAACATACACCAAAGTTCTTCAGAAAATTCTATGGGGAAACTTAATATTTTGAAAATTCTCTCCCTGTTCCTGATTTTTCCCTGTGAACTGGGAAAGGGCCGTCAGTATAGCGTGGTGGTTAAGAGCTGGGTTTGAGTCCTGACTCTGCAATCACATGATATTGGCCATGTGATACTGTGTGGCTTTCATTCAACACTGGGAATCTCAGTTTCCTCAATTATGAGAATAACGAGGTCCTATGGGTTTGTGGTGGAAATTAACAAAGCTTACAAACTTAACATGCTTACTAGTCCCTAGTGCACAGTAGGCACTCAATAAATGTTCACTGAATGTCATGATAGAATGAACATACTAAATAAGAAGCATGCCCAAAGTGGTTAAAAGACCAATGTTTCCTAGTAAATATTCATCTACTGATAGTTACTAACTGCTGAAAACAACAAAACTGGCTTTGAATATTTTCACTGATTGAGCCGGCCTCCTTTAGCCCAGTGGCCTCTACACTTTTTGGTTCACATTCCACTAGCAAGAAAATCTTGTGCCTACACCCCCATATAATGTGCTCTCGCATCAATGTTACGTACATCCTGAAATAGAAAATATAGAACAAAGTTTCAAATATGCAATAAACAGGAAATGAAAAATATTTAATTACATGTGTGCACTAAGGAAAAAAAGTCAATCCATTATGCCTCAGGAAAAACAACATTTAAATAAGTTATTTGTATCTATAATTTTCATCCTTAAAAAGTCTTAAGGTAGTTTGTGATAATCTTTCTCAAATTTCTAAGACTTCTATAAATAACAGTTTCTAGTTACATAAACATTTAAAAAATCAACTGTTTTTAAAGGATATGGCTACGAATGCACTATAATTGATTAACCCTAGAGGTTATTTCTAAATTTTCATTATTATAAACAACGCTGTGATGACTATCCTCATGTACACATCCTTGTGCACTTGTTCAATTATTTTCTTAGTAGTGGAAAGGGAGGTTCAAAGGTTATTCATTATTTATTTTAATTCATAATTTTTAAAAATTTTGGGGTTTTTTTGTAGATATGGGTTCTTGCTATGTTGACCAGGCTGGTCTTGAACTCCTGGCCTCAAGTGAGTCTTCCACCTCAGCCTCCCAAAGTGCTGGTTTACAGGCATGAGCCACTATCCCCAGCTTACAATTTTATTTAGTTTTTAATAAATAGTAAATTCACATTGTAGAATATCTAAAAAATAAAATAATGACATGTTAACTTCTTCCCCACTGTTGTCCCCAGTTCCTTTCTGCAGAGGCACCTGCTGTCACTTGCTCCTCACGAATTCTGCTAGAGCTACACTATGTGTAGACATATGGCAGCGTGCTCCTCAGCCTCTTCCGTGCTGGTTTGTCCACTGAATTTATCTTGGCGATTTTTCCTCGTGATTACATGTAGAGCTGCCTCATTATCTACAGTAGCTGGGATGCACATTTCACATGTTTATGTACACTGACTTCCAAAAGGTTGCACTTACAGTATGTGAGTTTCTAAAAAGGAGAGACCATGTTGGCAGTTCTCCACACAGAAGACAAACTGAGAAGGGAGAGCGGGCACGAATTACTCATCTGTCCACAGAGATGGTGAGACAGCTCAGTGTGGGAAGCTGTATAAGGGAAGTATATACAATTCTACCTGAATTGGAAGTAAACAGGGACATTGCATTTCTGGTATTCAGCTGGAGTTGAACACGCTTCACAGATGAGGCTCACTATGGCCAAGTCCCAGGGCTGAGGTCCAGGGAGGGGCAGGCTGAGTCAGCCCATCAATTCATCAACAGAGGGAACAGGAGAGGACAGGGGCAGGCCAGCCTGGAACCTAGAGCCTTTGGATTTCTATTTTTACTTCTTACAACGAGGTGGTTTAAAAAAAGAGGAGGGGGCCAGGCACGGTGGTTCATGCCTGTATTCCCGGCCCTTTGGGAGGCCGAGACAGGCGGATGACATGAGGTCAGGAGTTTAAGACCAGCCTGGCCAACATGGCAAAAATCCTGTCTCTACTAAAAGTACAAAAATTAGCCAGGCGTGGTGGCAGGCACCTATAATCCCAGCCACTCAGGAGGCTGAGGCAGGAGAATTGCTTGAACTCAGGAGGCGGAAGTTGCAGTGAGCTGAGATCGCACCACTGCACTCCAGCCTGGGCAACAGAGTGAGACTCCATCTAAAAAAAAAAAAAGAAGAAGAGGTTAGACTTAACTGTTTCCAAGATTTCATCCAGTTGTGAAATCCTGTTATCTGAACTGCCAGGCCTACAAGTTCAATTCAAAAGATGGAATGTAGCTTCCTGCAGTCTTTAAATGAACAAAACAAACAGCACAAGCTACACTGCGAAGATGAGTCTGCACTACATATCTTTCTTTTTGCCCCCAGGAACCTGGCTTACCAGTATATCACCCCAGCGTTGACACACTGGTGAGTGACGACAGTGCGCTTTTTGCAAATCCTGTGCACTATGACTTTTTTCCTTCAAGAATAGATTTGACTGGTCTGAAATTCTATTTTCATATTTGGCTGTGCTCTAGTAATATCCTGCCTCACTGGACATGTGGAATTGTCCTGCGGTTCAGGGAACAGGGAGAGAACAGGGCTGGTCCTCCTCTGCCTCTGGGGGCCCAGCCTCCCAACCGGCCAAGTCACAGTCTCTCCTGATGAGCTTCCAGTAGCTCACTCTCTCCTGCTGCTAATCTCTGTTTCCTCTTCTAACCATGACCCTGTTGTTCCCTGAATGCGCGATGTTTTATCACACTGTAGTTTATGACATTTGGAAATACCTGAGGATTTAATGAAAAGGAAAACTTTCCGCCATTTTCCTTAATGTCAGTTTGTAGCTTTTTCTTCTGCTGCCGAGGTAAGTACTTCACTTTCAAACAGAAGATACAATTTGCAAAGATTCCCATCACCATCCTGTAGGAAACAAAGTTTTTAAGGACCCTCTCTTAAGTCAATATGACAGTGAATTTAGAATTGTTATACATACAAACTGGAAAAATTAGGCATTACCTTAAGAAACATTGTAATCATGTTGTAAATTGAACACATTGTAAAAATTGAATATCATAGCTTGCAACATGTGTGTTGGTTTAAGAATGATTTCTAGCTTTTGTGGCTGATATTACAACACCCAAAATCCCTTTGTACAGGCTTATAATATACATCTTAATAAAAACATGACAGATTTTAGTTACAGATTGTGTGACTCAAGAACATAGAAGCATTTATTTCTAAATTAAAAATTAACATTATGTGATAGTGAAACATGGGTTTTTGTATATAATTCTATGCATTCAAAAAGACTCATTATGTGGGTTTCTGTTAAGACATTCTGGAGAAAAACCGAACAATTGGTAATAAAAATATACAACTATGTTTAAATGGAATATGTATATGTGTATATACACATATATATTCTGCATTTGGGTGTTTTTGGGAGGGAGATGGAGTCTCACTCTGACACCCAGGCTGGAGTACAGTGGTGTGATCTCAGCTGGTTGCAACCTCCGCCTCCCGGTTCAAGTGATTCTCCTGCCTCAGCCTCCAGCGTAGCTGGGATTACAGGCGCCCACCACCATGCCTGGCTAATTTTTTTCTATTTTTACTAGAAATGGGTTTTTGTCATGTTGCCCAGGCTGGTATTTGTCCATTTTTAGAAACAAGGAGTCACGTCTAACAGCCTCCCTCAAAGAAAGCTGCCCTTTGGAGATAGCGGTTCCCGAGTCCCGTGTCGGTTTGGGGGTCGCTGTTCCGGGTCCCTTGTCAGTTTGGGGATCGCGGGTCCGGGTTCAGTGTTAGTTTGGGGATTGCGGTTCTGCGTGCTTTATCAGTTTGGCGAAAACTCGCACTCGGAGAGCGCAGCGTCCCTAGCAGGGACCGTCGCCAGAAGGCGCCCAGAATTGGGTCCCTCCAGGTGGGGAGCGGGACCCGGCCTCAGGCGGGGTTTGTCTTTTCAGCCTGAGGGGGTTCAGGGCTTTGTTTCAGTTTCATGTTTCAGGAGGGATTTAGCCAATGAGGATAAATCCAAAGCTCGGCTTTGGGAGAGGTGGGTGGATGGTGCTGTCCTTTAACTGAGAAATGCAAGGGATTCGCAAGGGCGGGAAAGAAGAAAATTTCGGGAAAGTTCGTGGAAACAGGAGAGTGAGATAATAAATTTACTTTAAGACTTCCTGAGTTTGAAATTCGTGATAGTGTTTGTAACTAGTTAGAAATATATTTTTGTAACTAGTTAGAAATACATTTATCTGCCACTCAAGAGAGGCGAGGGCTGGAGATACAGATCTGAGATTCACTGAAATGGGAATAAAGCAATGGGGAAGATCCAGATTTTTAGGGTACTGAATAAAATGAGAATAGAAAGGATAGAGTAGAGAATACAGTGGAAAAGGTATGGCTTTGAATCCTGACTCCACAATTTATTACCAAGGGGATTGGGGACACCGTAATTTACCAAGTTTCATAATTACAACCTACTCTATAGTGTTGTCTAAGAAACAACAAGAGATTTTGGGGGAGGAGAGAGACTCTGGTTTCCAGAGTTACCACATTATAATGCTCAAAATGTCCAATCTTCAACAAAAAATTATGAGGCATGCAAAAAAAAAAAAAAGAAACATGAAAAAATGGCCAAATCAAAGGAAAAAGTAAATGAACAGAAACTGTCCCTGAGCCGAGGAAGTGCAGATACAGGAATTATAAGAGAAATACTTTAAATGACCTGTCTTAAACATGAACAAAAAGTGAAAAGAAACATAGAAAAAGATCGGAAAGAAACAACCAGGAGAACAAGGTCTCAAAAACAAATAGGGAATATGCAAAAGAATAATCAAATGGTCAACAAACATGAAAAAAGCTCAACATCACTAATCATCAGAGAAGTGCAAATCAAAACTGCAATGAGATACCATCAGAACAGTTATTATTAAAAAGTCAAGGAACAACATATGCTGGCAAGGGTGCAGAGAAAAGGAAATGCTTATACACTGTTGGTGGGGATGTAAATTAGCTCAACCACTGTGGAAAGCAGTTTGGAGATTTCTCAAAGAGCTGAAAACAGAACTGCCATTCGACCCAGCTATCCCATTACTGGGTACACATCCAAAAGAAAAGAACTCATTCTACCAAAAAGACACATGCACTAGTATGTTCATCACAGCACTATTCACAATAGCAAAGACATGGAATCAACTCAGGTGCCCATCAACAATGGATTGGATAAAGAAAATGTGGTACATATGCACCATGGGATACTATGAAGCCATAAAAAGAATGAAATCATGTCCTTTGCAGCAACATGGATGCAACTGGAGGCCATTGTTCTAAGCGAATTAATAAAGGAACAGAAAAACCAAATACTGCATGTTCAAATTTGTAAATGGGAGCTAAACTCTGGGTACTCATGGACCATAAAGATGGCAACAATAGACACTGGGGACTACTAGACAGGGAGGGAGGGAAAAGGGCAAGGGTTGAAAAAACTATTGGTACAATGCTCAGTATCTGGGTGAGGGGATCAGTCATACCCCAAACCTCAGCAACACAAATTATACCTAGGTAACAAACCTGCACATGTACCCTCTGAATCTAAAATAAAATTTGAAATTATTTAAAAAAATAAAGATTATTAATAGATAGAAATTATAAAAGGAACCAAACAGAAATTATGGAACTGAAAAGAACCAAAAAAATTGTATAGTTAAAAAGTACAATAGCATGAAGCATGATGGCTCATGCCTGTAAACCTACCATCTTGGGAGGCCAAGGCGGGAGGATCACTTGAGGCTAAGAGTTTGCCTTGGCAACATAGCGAGACCCCATCTTTACAAAAAAATTAAAAAATTAACTGGGCATGGTGGTGCATGTCTGTGGCTGTAGCTACTCAGGAGGCTAAGGCAGGAGGATCACTTGAGCCCAGGAGTTCACAGCTGTAGTGAGCTATGATTGCACTCCTGCACTCTAGCCTGGGTAACAGAGCAACACCTTGTCTCATTAAAAAAAAAAAAAAAAAAAAAAAATTCACAAGTGACGCTCAACAGATTTGAGCAGGTTAAAGAAGGAATGAGCAAACTTGAAAACAATTGAAATTATTAAGTCTAAGGAGCAGAAAGTAAAAGAATGAAGAACAAAGTCCAAAAGATTTGTGGACACCATCAAGTGTACCAGCATATGCATGATGGGAGTCCCAGAAAGAAATAAGAGGGTAAAAAGGGCAGGAAGAGTGACTGAAGAAACAGTGGCCCCAAAGTCCCAATTTGATAAAAGACATAATGTAACACTTCTAATAAGCTCAATGAACTTCAAGTATGATAAACTCAAAGAGTTCACAATAGCATTATATTATAATCAAACTGTTGAAAGCCAAAGACAGAGAAGCTTAAAAGCAGCTTGAGAGAAATTATCAGTACATACAAAGGACCTTCCATAAGATTAACAGCCAATTTATTACCATGGAGGCCAGAAGGCAGTGGGATGATATAAAGTGCTGAAAGAAAACAAACAAACTGGCAACCATGAATTCTGTATCTGTCAAAACTATCCTGTAGAAATGATGGAGATGACAGGCGCAGTAACTCATTCCTGTAATCCCAACACTTTGGGAAGCTGAGGCAGGTGGATTGCTTGAGCTCAGGAGTTCAAGAACAGCCTAGGCAACATGGCAAAACCCCATCTCTACAAAAAACAAAAATTAGCTGGATGTGGTGGCACATGCCTGTGGTCCCAGCTTCCTGGGAGGCTGAGGCAGGAGGAACACTTGAGCCCTGGAGGTTGAGGCTACAGTGAGTTGTGATTATGCCACTGCCCTCCAGCCCAGGTGATAGAGTCACCCCATCTAAAAAAAATGTGTAATAAAAACCTACAGAATGCTTGAAAAACCATCAAACTACTATGTAATTGTTGTTATTTTTAAAGAAAGCAAAAATACAGGTGTGAAAACTATTATGGTATTGCTCTGCAGTTATCACATCAAAGATTCAAGCTAGAAATCCTTTACAGTCTATTCAACATCATTGGTCAGGCATTCTAGAATATAGTGGATGTGATCATCCCTTTGTTGTACAGACCCATTAGGTTTCCAGGATCTTTTGTTGTAAGTCCAATACACCAGCAATAGATTTAACTATATCAAAATGCCAAGATTAAAAAAAGTCTCTTTGCACCCAACATTGTTGTTAGAATCTTCTTTACTGGCCAGGTGTGGTGGCTCACGCATGTAATCCCAGCACTTTGGGAGGCCGAGGTGGGCAGATCACCTGAGGTCAGGAATTCGAGACCAGCCTGACCAACATGGAGAAATCCTATCTCTACTAAAAATACAAAATTAGCCAGGCATAGTGGTGTGTGCCTGTAGTCCTAGCTACTCAGGAGGCTGAGGCAGGAGAATCACTTGAACTCGGGAGGTGGAGGCTGCAGTGAGCCAAGATCACGCCACTGGACACCAGCCTGGGCAACAAGAGTGAAACTCCGTCTCAAAAATAAGAAACTTCTTTACTGAAGTAATTCTAGAAATCTGTTTCAGGCCTTGGTGAAGAACTCCTTCACTCTTCCTGCAGGTAAAGGAGGGTGTGGTTTTTCTTGGGTTTGTCTAGAGGCCAGACACATGCATCTCCCCAACCTGCTGGAGTTCCCCTTTCTAGCCCGGATCACCTGGGCTTGGGGATCTGCCAGGTCTGTCCTGCAGACTCTGGCTGAGCAACAGATGAAAGGAGTACTCAGACACAGGTATGCAGTGTTTAAGAGCAGCTAGAGGACTGCTGGGCACTAGTGGCTGAAGAGTGAGTAGTCTTGAACAGCTGGAGCTGCCTGTTTTTATTCAGTACAGACATAATGCTGAAAGCCTGGAGAAAACACAATCTGCAGGTAATTAACATTATTGTTCCCCCTTCAGGGAAGGGGTCACGTGTGTGAATGATCAACGGTCAGCTCCTGGTCAACATAAGTAAACAAGCCTGTTGTTAGTATTCGATTTAACCTTCTGAGGTCTTACTGACTGGGATGTTAGTATATATCCAAGATATTTCCAAGGAGAGGACATCTGTACCTTTTCAGGTGCTATGATTAAGCCTGTTAACTGTGTATTCTTTTTGACAGAGGCATATAAATTCAAAAGTATTGGCTCCGTTGGGGCTGCCAGTAAGATGTCATCCATATAATGGATTATCTTGCAATTAGGAAATTCTTTTCTACTGGGGAGCAAAGCCTTATTTACACGATACTGACACATGGTAGGACTGTTCAGCATTCCTTGGGGAAGTACTTTCCAGTGAAATCAGGGAGCTGGGCCTTCATTATTGATAGCTGGTATTGTAAACGTAAATTTTTCTCTGTCCTGTTTTGCAAGGAGAATAGTATGAAAGCAGTCTTTTAAGTCAATAATGACTCAAAACTCGAGGAATCACTGCGGGGGGAAGGGAGCCCCTGTGGAAGGGGCCCCATAGGTTGCAAATTAGCATTGATAGCCTGTAAGTCATGCAGAACTCTCCATTTACCAGACTTTATGGGAATGACAAAAAATGGGTGAATTCCAAGGGCTGTCTGCTGGTTCTATATGGCTGGCTTTTAATTGTTCCTCAATTAATTCATGGGTTTGTTGTAATTTCTCTCCCTTTAAAGGTCACCGTTCTACCCAAATTGGATCTTGAGACAGCCATGTCAGGGGTAGGGGAGGACTTACAACAGTGGCCACTATTAGAAAGGGCTCTGCATAGTGACCCCCCCATTGGGCTAATAAGGTCCCATTCCCAAAGATGAACAGGGATGGGCATGATTAGAGGTTGTATAGTTGCTTTTCTTCCCTCCAAATCGTGACTTTAGAGGGCGTGCACTCTGCTTGGCTGTGTGCACTTCTCCAGTGCCGACAATTTTCTGTTTCTGAGTGACCCATATGTTTTACCCAGCCAATTGATTCTGGTTGGTTTGTCATTCACACAACTCATCATATTCTGCCATCCAGAGGAGGTATTGACTGGCCTCTAAAGTTGTTTGAGCTAGCACTGACCTGTCCCATGGGATCATAAGGAAGTTGTCTGCTATGGCCTCAATTAATCCTTTTGTAGATGGGCTAGCAGCTCTGTTTTCTCTAATGCTTTTTCTTATCTCTTTATAGGTGTTGAAAGTGATGGGCTCATATACCTGATTGCCGTGTTGATCTTGCATCACAGGGCAGGCCAAGAGCTCCCCTTCTAATGCCACTTGCCTAAGACAGGGTCCCGTAACTGTAGTGTATCCCTTGTCTTTTTTTCCAATTTATTGGAGGAGGGGGCTCAGGGAAACTCTGTCTCCTCTGTGGCACCTTTACCTAGTAACAGTGGGGCTGAGGGAGGAGGAGGCGGTCAGGTAGGTGGATGGTTCCTCTTCCCTTTCCTTTTTAGGCTCTTTTGTGTAGAGTGGGGCCAAAGCAGCCCTGATTAAGGCCCATAACGTTAAAGATGTTACTGGGACCCGTTTCCCTTGTGCATGATGTTATTTAAGATTTCCCCTCACTTGCTCCCAGAGTTCTTGGTCTAACGTGCCTTCTTCTGGGAACCATGG
Source organism: Homo sapiens (assembly GCF_000001405.40). Classification (NCBI taxonomy): domain Eukaryota; kingdom Metazoa; phylum Chordata; class Mammalia; order Primates; family Hominidae; genus Homo; species Homo sapiens. The sequence goes on along the minus strand of NC_000013.11, from coordinate 24,926,387 downwards.
GTTATTGAAAACAACAGTTTGCATTAGGCCCCTTAACTGAGCCTCCGAGACCCAGGCTCTGCTAGCTTTAAGCAGCTGTTTCAATACTTACATATAGTGTTGCTGTTGAGCTGATAACTGTTGTCCCATGATGAAACCCTAGGTTGAAAATTCCCTCAAACTTGGAAATCCTGAGTGGGCACCAATTACTTACTTCCCGCACAGTCTCTTCACCTCATTTTTGGGGGTTCCATCGTGATCTGTTGCAGCATTCCTCACACAGGGCACCAGTTGCTGGGTCTGTCCCACAGACCCTGGCTGGACGATGGATGAAACGAGTACTCAGACGCAGATATGCAGTGTAAGAGCAGCTAGGGGACTGCTTGGCACTAGCGGCCAAAGAGTGAGCAGGCAAACAGCTGGAGCTGCTTGCTTTTATTCAGTATAGACATAATGCTGAAAGCCTGGAGCAAAAACAATCTGTGGGTAATTAACATTATTGTTCCCCTTTCAGGGAACGGGTCACGCATGTGGATGATCAAAGGTCAGCTCCTGGTCAATGTAAGTAAACAAGCCTATTTACGATAAATTCCCCTATGCTTCCTGGTACCTACTCCTTGCCCTCTGCCTCAGGGTCAGAAAACAGCTGCCTTCAGCTTATTCTCCCTGGAGGCTATGCAGAGGCTTCCGACTTTTCAGAAGGTCTGCTCCTTTCCCTATAGTTTCTCCCACCACTCTGACTGATCTATAGGAATCATTCCTTGGCCAGGCTAGCCCTGATGTCCTCCCCCACTTTTTTTCTTTTTAAGAGTTGGCGGTTTCACTCTGTTGCCCTGGCTGTAGTCTCGTGGTGTGATCATAACCTTCAACTCCTGGGCTGAAGTGATCCTCCTGCCTCAGCCTCCCAAGTATGTAGGGCTACAGGTGCACACCATCATACCTGGCTAACGTTCAAACGTCTAGGCTCAAATTATCCGCTTCAGTCTCCCAAAGTGCTGGGATTACAGGTGTGAGCCACTGCACCTGACATGTCCTCTCTGGATAGAGTGGACACTTGCTACCATCAGACCAGCAATGAAAAGCTGTCAACTCTTTGTCACTCAGATCAACTTTGATTAAAAGAATTATTACCAGCCAAGCACAGTGGCTCATGCCTGTAATTCCAGCACTTTCAGAGGCCAAGGTGAGAGGACTGCTTGAGCCTACGAGTTAGAGACCAGCCTGGGCAACAGAGTGAGACCCCTGTCTCCAAAAAAATAAATAATGAAAAAGAATTATTTCCAAATAATTTGGGAATACAATAAGTATTATTCTGTGTCTGGCACAGCATTTGACAAGACCCACAGAGCTAGGCTTTGGTAGACAAGAGTTCACCAACAGTTAAATTCTTTATAAAGATGAAAACACCTCCTGTTCATTGACTTTTTACTATGTGGAGGTTTTTTGCTACTTTTTCATACATAGTCTTTCTTTTAATGTAATCTTCTTGACAGTCCTATGAAGGTCTCATTATTATCCACCCCTGTTTTGCAGATGAGAAGACTGGTTTCAGAAAAGTTGAGTGCTGAAGACTACAAAGCTGTTTGTAAGTTATCAAGCTAGGATTTGATCCCAGGTCTGCCTGATAAATCCTGGACTCTTAACCATGACATAGGAGTGCCCTCTTGACTCCTATGATGGCATAAAGAATTGTATCAGAACGGGTAATCTGGCATTAAAACCCCTGTGCCACAACCGTTAGTCTAATTTTTCTCTACAGCACCATCTGAAGATGCAACAAGGATAGGAACCACTGATAAGGTAGAACATTTTATTGTCTGGCAGAGTAGAAGATGGAAGTTCCTCCCCACTAGCCTTTCCACCTTGTAATGGATTTGAACCCTTGAAGCTTAGTGGGCAGTTTTGAGAATTACATGGGCTACAGGTGAAAACTTACACATTATAACCTTAATTTAACAGCCAGTTAAGACTTGAGTGTGGTAAAAGATTCATTTATTTATTCAATCAACAAACAATGTGGCACTACATACTATATTAAAATAAAAACATACGAATAAAATATAGGCACAAAAATAGAGGATATTGCGACTATCCTTAAAGATACACATTTTAGGAAGAATGATGAGACTTTTGGGCATGCTTTCAAGCCAAAGGGCTATCATAAATGAAAAGGAAGATTGTTTGGGTCCTTGTCTGGCATCTTAAGTAGCTGTGTGATCTCGGAAGTCTCGGGCTTTAGCTTCCTCACCCACAGTGAAAATTAAAAAGAAAAATTGGGCCGGGCGCGGTGGCTCACGCCTGTAATTCCAGCACTTTGGGAGGCCGAGGCGGGCGGATCACGAGGTCAGAAGATCAAGACCATCCTGGCTAACACGGTGAAACCCCTTCTCTACTAAAAATAAAAATAAAAAAATTAGCCAGGCGTGGTGGCGGGCGCCTGTAATCCCAGCTACTCGGGAGGCTGAGGCAGGAGAATGGCGTGAACCCGGCAGGCAGAGCTTGCAGTGAGCGGAGATCGCGCCATTGTACTCCAGCCTGGGCAACAGAGCGAGACTCCATCTCAAAAAATAAAAATTAAAAAAAGAAAAGAAAAATTGAAAAAAGAAGCAAAACCGAAATCTTGATTTAGAGAAGTAGACTCTTTTTGAAGTAGAAAGCAAAACAAATTTTGGAGGACCAAATTTCTGTGAAATAGTTTTGTCTTTAGCAGTCGTTTGTTTCAGTTATAACGGTTATAAATGGCACTTCATTTGATTTCTTTAAACATTTTACTTGGCCTGCTGTTTAATCAGACATGGAAGCCAGGTATGTAGTACTGTGGTAACTCACGGTGCTGTAACTTCCTAGATTAAAGGGCCGTGGCAGTTAAAACGAAACAAAACAAAAAAATTTCTTGAATTCTGCACTGTCAGTATTCAAACTAGTTTCAGAATCTAATGGACACACTCTGCCAAACCACCGATTAGCCATTTGAGGAGAGATGAAAGATGCCTATTTTTGGAGTGAATTCTCATAGGGTTATTTTCGTCTTACGAAATGGTGTAGCGGACTGCCCTTTTTCTCCTTTACTAAGTCACCTCAGCCAAAGCGGAAAACAAAGAAAAAAACCAAACCAAACCAAAAAAACGACAAAATAGACCGTACGCAAATAGAAAAAAAAAAAACAAAACCCAAAACACCTCCTTTAAGCGTCGGTTGGGCTCTATGTTAGCTTTGACTCTCCGTGCTCCCTGCTTTGCTGGGAACACGGAGATCCATCGCTCCGTTAGGCGTTCCCTTTAGTTTTCTAAGTGTGGGAGCCTGGGGCGACGTCCACCACGGAAGGTCTCTCCCGGAAACGGTTTTCCGCCCCGCCACGCCGCCCGCCTACGTCGACCACTGGCCCGCTGCTGGTCGGAAGGCGGCGCGCAGTCCATCCCCCGCCGGGCAACGCCCGTCGCTGTGGCGTCACTGGGAGTTGTAGTTTCACTGGGCTCAGCGGTGCCTGCGCTTTAGCGCAGACGCGCGGGTGAGATCCTCACTTCCCACAGGACCTCGGGACGGGGGCGGGGCTCCGACAGAGGCGGCGATTGTGGCGGCCCATTTGTAAATGCTGCGGAGATTGAGGTGTCGGTTCGTGCTGCTGAGCTGCCCAGGCTTCACGGAGCGGTAATTTGTGGGCGAAAAGAGCGGAGGAGCTCTTTGTCCGCCGCCCTGCGCCGGAGATGGACGGCGGTGGGCGGGCAGGACTCTGCTCGGACCTCGGGGTTGGCTCGGCGGGGCGAGGAGGGAGCGGGGCGCCGGGACGCGCTCAGGCCCACGGGCGCGCTGAGGCCCACGGCAGTTCAGTGGCTTCGTTCATTCGCGCTGCTTTGTTCTTCGCAGAGCTGGGGAAGCCGGCCTCTCTGGGGTGTCTGTCTCTCTGACCTGGCTGTGGCGGAACTTGAGTTCCTGTGGGCAGCGCGGCAGCCGCAGTCCGCTGGAGCAGGGTGGTGAAGTAGCGTTGCTGGCTGTCCTAAGGGCCGGTCTTGCCCCAGCTTTGTCAAGGGCTTCTCTCTTGAAGCTTCGTGTGGATTCATGGCTTTCAAGAACGTGTTGTATTTTAGGGGACTGCTAAATCACTTCCCAGACCAACTAGTTACTTCTCACGGTCTAAGAGTGGCTTTGAATTTGCTGTTTGTATCCACTCTCCTCCCTCACCGTGCAGAGAATTTATCTTTTTTTCAATACTGCTTTAAAGAATGTTTACATAGCACTTTCTGGAGATTTCAAGGCTGTCAGTTTGTTACATTTTTTAAAAGTTTTATTGAGGTATAATTGCTATACAATAAAAATGGCACATGTTTAAATGCATTCCATTTGATGAGTTTGACATACACGTGCACCCGTGTCCTTCAGATTTTGATATCTGTAAAGTCTGAGTCCACATACTAATCCTATCTCGGCATATATATTATCAATGCTCCCTTTACCAAGACCTCAGTATCAATAATAAGTAGCAGGTTCTGGTGACGCTTTTTTTATACTTCATGCTGACATTAAATATATTTTTAGAATCGCGGTCATGAAATTGAAGGTATAGAAGGTGTGTTTGGTGGGGAGTTGGAGGAGGAGATGCAAAAGTCTGGCTGCTGCATCCCAAGACTGCTTGCACTTGTCAGTCTAGTAGGGAATTTTTCTAGTTTTCCATATTATGAAATGACCTTGTAGTTTGTCTCCCTTCTGAATTTGGATTTCGAAAGATTTTCTGCTAAGGTCATTGAAATTAAGCAAAGTTACGTGGTTGATTTTGAAAAAAAAAAAGTCATTACTTTTTTAGATTGGTTTCCTACTGAAAAACAATTTGCTTAGAAAAAGTTTTTACAAATTATTCAGGAATAACAGATATCCAGTAAAGTGCGCTAATCTTAAGTGTACAGCCTAAGTGTATCCACCCCCTGTATTAACCTTCCCAGTTGTTGAAGTCAAAAATTTGGAGATGAATCTCTTAAGTTTAACGTTTTATTTGGGAAGAAAGAATGGCGGTTCCAGGCGTACAGACCAGGTGGTCTTCAGTATGTCCAAAGAACAAAGAGAAAGCTGGAGGTTTTATAAAAAAGAGAATTGTTATATCTGTCGCTCTTCGAGAAAGTTCATTGGTTCTCCTAAGGTTCTGGGGAGGCAGCAGGTCCTACCGAGTGGGCCATGGTGGAGGGCAAAATTAGTCCTACAATTGCAGCAAGTTACCTCAGCATCTATAGATCAAATTGGTCTCGGGTTACAACCGGCAGTTTCAGCATACTGACTTATAGAGAATTCCATTCTTGGAGCAAAGTTGTGTGTCCTGAGTGCCTTTCCCTCTTGACTTCTTGATTGTTTAGTTGGCTATAAGAATGACTCAATTTGTATGATCAACTTTCACACAGACAGGACAACTCCCATTTTCCTGGATAACGACCAATATGCCATTTATAACTATGGGTTTATTTTGCCTGTTCTTCAGCTTCATATACATGGAAACATGGGCCAGGTGCGGTGGCTCATGCCTGTAATCCCAGCATTTTGGGAGGCTAAGCCAGGTGGATCACTTGAGGTCAGGAGTTTGAGAACAACCTGACTAACATAGTGAAACCCCGTCTCTACTAAAAATACAAAAAAAAAAAAAAGCCAGGTATGGTGGTGCATGCTTGTAGTCCCAGCTACTCTGGAGGCTGAGGTGGGTGAATCGCTTGAACCCGGGAGGCTGAGGTTGCAGTGAGCCAAGATCACACCACTGCACTCTAGCCTGGGCAACAGAGTGAGACTCCATCTCAAAAAAAAAAAAAAAAAAAGGAATCATATTTGTCTGATGTTCACACATCATTATTTATTTTTGTTACTGCCTGTGGCAGCAATTTTTGTTTTTTTAAATGCCTGAATAGCTGTGGTTCTCAAAGTGTGATACAGTGAGAAAATGTACATCACATTGGCATTTTTGTTTTTGGTTATTAAATGGTTGGCAGGCAATCATCTTGTTCCAAGAAAATCTTCAGTTGCAATTAATGGTACAGTAAGCCTTTATACAACTCTTCTACAACTCAACCAGGGAGCGATGGCAAAAACACAGTATCATTATGTTCACTGTCTTCTATGTCTTTTAACAGTTCTATAAACTGGCAGTTGATAGCATTTGTACATACTGAACAATTGTAACAACTATATTCATGATACTATTCGTGGATTATGCTTCAGAAAACCAAACACAAGAATTTTCAATGTGTATTATACAGGGGAATGAATCAGCGAGGGAAACAGCAGTCTCTTGTTGTAAAATCCCATTAAATTCAGATTTTTTGCCTTATAGAATGACACCATCTGTCATGATAGAAACTGATTTTTAGGCTGGGCGCAGTGACTCACACCTGTAATACCAGCACTTTGGGAGGCCGAAGCAGGAGGATGGCTTGAGCCTAGGAGTTCAAGATCAGCCTGGGCAACATAGGGACACCCTGTTTCTACAAAAAAATTAAAAAATAAAAAATAAGCTGGGCATGGTGACACATACCTGTAGGCCCAGCTACTCTGGAGGCTGAGATGGGAGGATCACCTAAGCACTGGAGGTTGAAGCTGCCGTGAGCCGTGATTGTGCCAATGCACTTCAGCCTGGGTGACATTGTGAGACCCTGTCTCAGAAAAAAAGAAAAAAAGTAATGTTTTCATATCTAGCTAAAATTCTTCTGTCAGACATAAAATACTGGGCGCAGGGGCTCACGCCTGTAATCCCAGCACTTTGGGAAGCCAAGGTGGGAGAATGGCTTGAGCCCAGGAGTTTGAGACCAGCATGGGCAACACAGGGGGACCACTCTTTACAAAAAATTAAAAGATGAGCTGGGTGTTGTGGTATATGCCTATGGTCCTGGCTACTCCGGAGGCTTGAGGTGGGAGGATCACTGGGGCCTGGGTGGTAGAGGCTCCACTGAGCCGTGATCATGCCACTGCACTCCAGCCTGGGTGACAGTGAGACCCTGTCTCAAGGAAAAAAAAAAAGATTAAAAAATATCCATGTCACAGGTTCAGTATCAGGCTTTGAATTGATATCATCTCTTTGTAAATTTAGATAATCTGTGAGATAAAACACACCTAAATTGGTGATTGGTCAGTCTCTCATTGCATTACTCAGATAAAGCTAAAGACAAGTGCTTGTAATTTTTTATGGCTTTGAACCTGGATGGTAATAGAAGGGTCTATGGACAATTGTTTGGTCACTTCGTTGAAAATTTTTCACTTTTTAGAAAATATCTTTAACCTTTTAATTAAAATATCTTTTTAAATCTCACAGTGTTCTAACAAAATTTCCTCAACTCAGATAACCTATTTACCTCCTCTTCATCTGAAAATAATTTTCTTTTTTCTTTTCATTTCTATCTCTTTCTCTCCCCTCACCCTCCTTCTTTCCAGGCTTTTTTATAACTGGCCAAAGTTAAAAGGTCAGATTCTGTTCAAAATCATAAAACTTTTTTTTTGTTGGCTATTTAGTTCTGACACAGGTGACTAATTACAGTTGACTCTCGAACAACATGAGTTTCAACTTTGTGGGTTCGCTTATGCTTGGATTTTCTTCCACTTCTGTCACCCTCGAGACAGCAAAACCAACCCTTTCTCTTCCTAAGCCTAGTCCAATGTGAGGACTAGTGACACAAAGACCTTTACTATCCATTAAGTGGAAGTGGATCATCATAAAGGTCTCCCTGCATATCTTTCATATGTTTATGTTTTTTAGACACAAAACATAAATGAAGTCTGAATACCTTTATGATGATTCATTTCCACTTAACCAATAGTAAATATGTATATTTTTTATTATTTTCTTAACTTTTCTTCTCTAGCTTACACTATTGTAAAAATACCATATATAATACACATAACATACAAAATATGTGTTAACTGTTATTGATAAGGCCTCCAGTCAACAGTAGGCTATTAGCAGTTAAGTTTTGGAGAAGTCAAAGTTACACTTAGATTTTCGGTTGCATGGGGAGTTGGTCCCCCTAACCCTTACTGTGTTGTTCAAGGGTCAACTGCATATCAATTTGTTTTTTTATTATTGAGAATAAACTTATAAAAAATTGCTGTGTTTTTGCTGAAAATGTCTCAATATTAGTTATCTTAAAATTTTTTAAAACTTTTTCTGTTCGCTTTGCCACAGCAAATTGTGGTTGCCATTTGATGTGAAACTTGTGAGGTGCCTCCTTCCAGTCTTTTTTCCTTCACTGTTCTGGTCATAGTACTAGCTTCTGCATCTCCACTTGAGTCTTCCATAGTGTAGCTTTGTTTTAAATTTTAAAAATTGTTCATACATCTTTTTCAAACTAGAAAAATATGCCATAATTAAAATACTAAACATTTCAACTTAATTCCTGCTATGGCTTGACTGTCCGCTCCAAAACTCCTGTTGGAAACTTAATTCCCAATGCAACAGTGTTGAGCGGTGAGAAATTTAAGAGGTGATTAGGTCATGAGGGCTCCACCCTAATGAATGGATTAATGCTGTTATCTCAGAAGTGGGTTACTGATTTCAGGGGTGGCTTTGTTATAAAAGAGAGCCTCTCTCTCACAGGCTGTTTTGCCTTTCTACTCTTCCCCCATGGGACAACACTTGCCAGTTGCCAATGCCATGCTCTTGTTTTTCCCAGCTCCAGAACTGTGAGAAATAAATTTCTTTATAAATTACCTAGTCTCTTCTCTGGTATTCTTTATAGCAGCAGAAAATGGACCAAGATAATTACCAATTACAATTTAAATAGATCACTGTAACTTGTACTGTTTTCATAAACTATTCAGATAGACACATAACAGTGTTATATCCATGTGTTGAAAAAAATTATTCAAACAGAATCAGTCCATTGACACTGATGAGATTGCAGACATGTTTCTTTGCAATCTGGGGGGTGATGCACACTGACATGGGCTTCAGTACAGCAGCATCTTATGCCATGCAGTGGTTAAAGTGAAATGCAGTCCTACCGAGAGAATAAAAGTGTTTAAGAGAAAAATATTTTGTACTTATTCACTTTTTAAATTTAATTAACTTTAATTAAAGTGGAAAATTCAGTTCTTCAGTCACATTAGCCACATTTCAAGTGCTCAGTAGCCATGTGACTATATGGTTGCCATACTAAATGCATAGGTCCATGTAATTGTAATTTATTTATTTATTTTTGAGACAGAGTGGCTCTGTCCCCCAGGCAGGAGTGCAGTGGCGCGATCTCGGCTCACTGCAAGATCTGCTGCCTCCCAGGTTCACGCCATCCTTCTGCCTCAGCCTCCCCGAGTAGCTGGGACTACAGGTGCCCGCCACCACCCCCGGCTAATTTTTTGTATTTTTAGTAGAGACGGGGTTTCACTGTGTTAGCCAGGATGGTCTCGATCTCCTGACCTCGTGATCCTCCCGTCTTGGTCTCCCAAAGTGCTGGGATTATAGGCGTGAGCTACCGCACCGGGCCGTAAATGTATTTTTTTGTCTTTATTTCTGATAATACACACTACTGTGCACTTGGTCTTTGTAACTAGCAACATATCTTGGATATATTCACTACTTCCATATCAGTAAAGAGCTTACTTGTTCTTTTTAACAGTTGCATAATATGATTACCATGATTAGCTGATCTCCTGTTAATGGACATTTACTTTCAGTTTATTGCAAATGTGAGTTTATGCCAGTATAACTGTGGGACAAAATGCCTAGATGTGAAATTGTTGAGTCAAAGTTCCTCTGCATTTACAGTTGGCTGAATGTTGTCATATTGTCCTTCAAAATGTTGTACCAGTTTATTTGCTCAGTAAGTACTTCACAAAAGAGTTTCTTCAAGTTGAATGGTGAAAAACAAACAAAAGCAAAAAAGAGTTTCTGTTTTTCCTACTGGGTATTACTAGTTTTTAGTTTTTGCCAACCCAGGGTGGGAAAAAAATGGTAATGTTACTGTTTTCATTTCCATCTCTTCAGTGGAGTGAGAATGCGCATGTTTTAATGTTTTGGCATCTGTATTTCTTTTTCTGTTTATATTTTTTATATGTTTATGTTTTTTAGACACCGAGTATGAAATGACATACGTGTTTGCCTCCACATTGCCCTTTTTCATTTTCCTTTGATTATATATATATTTTGCTGTATTATATTGATAAAGTCTAGAATTGTGTCTGGAAAGTAGTGTGAGATGTTATTCCACTTCAGTACTAGACTCTTCCCATCTCCTCAAGAACATGACTGTAGCAATTCTCCCCTTTCTCCATCCTCATCAGCCTGCACAAACATGCTTTTATTTCTCCTATTGTAAAAAATACTCCTCTTCACCTTGCTTTTCTATGTAATTCCTTCCCTTTATAACAGAACTCCTGGTGTTAGCTGTGCCTACTGCCTTCAATTTCTTATTCTGTCATGCATCCTCTCCACTCAAGGTTTTGCTGTCCCTGCCCTCAGCTACTCTCATTGAAGTTCTCATGACCTTTGCTTTGCCAAATTCAGAGGTCAGTTCTCAGTTCTCCTTACCCTTCATCTGTTTCACAGCATTTAACATAGCTCTTTCCTCCTCGAAACACTTTCATCACTTAGCCTCAAGGACGCTACACTTTTTGCCTCTTATCTGTTTTTGTTGTTGTTGTTGTTGTTGTTTTCGAGATGGAGTCTTGCACTTGTTGCCCAGGCTGGAGTGCAATAACGCTATCTCGGCTCACTGCAACCCCCGCCTCCTGGGTTCAAGCAATTCTCCTGTCTCCTGAGTAGCTGGGATTACAGGCTCCCGCCACCACACCTAGCTAATTTTTTGTATTTTTAGTAGAGATGGGGTTTCACCATGTTGGCCAGACTGGTCTCGAACTCCTGACCTTAGGTGATCCACCCGCCTCGGCCTCCCAAAGTGCTGGGATTACAGGCGTGAGCCACTGCGCCCAGCCGCCTCCTCTCTTTTTGACTACCCTCAATCCCTCATTGATCTCATCCAGTGTCAAGGCTTTAAATACCATCTTTATGCTGAGGATGTCCAAATTTATGCTTCACAGCCTTGGCCTCTTCGGTGAGTTCCATTCTAGTGCACCCAGCTGCTGACCCAGTGTCTCTATGTGCATATTTCATAGGCATCTTAAAATGTCCTGAATTCAACTCTTGGTCTCTGATTCCCCAAAACCTGTTTCAATCCTCCATCTTCCGCATTTCAGTGAATGGCAAATCTGTTCTTCCAGGTGCTCAGCCAGGAAATTTTAAGAAATGAGGGAGAAGATCCTATTGATCTCTGGAGGTTGGTAGACAATAAAGGAGGGGCAGTAGATTGTATAGTTTGGTCATATGAGAGTCAGAATTGCTTTTTATTAATTTATTATTAATTAATTAATTAATTATTTTTTGAGAGAGAGTCTCACTCAGTTGCCTAGGCTGGAGTGCAGTGGTGTGATCTTGGCTCACTGCAGCCTTTGCCTCCCAGGTTCAGGCGATTCTCCCGCCTCAGCCTCCTGAGTAGCTGGGATTACAGGCGTGCACCCTGACGCCTGGCTAATTTTTTTATATTTTTATTAGAAACGGGGTTTCACCATCTTGGCCAGGCTGGTCTCGAACTCCTAACTTCAAGTGATCTGGCTGCCTTGGCCTCCCAAAATGCTGGGATTATGGCGTGAGTTACCACACCCGACTTATTTATTTATTTTTTGAGACAGGGTTTTGTTCTGTTGCCCAGGCTGGAGTTCAGTGACACAATCACGGCTTACAGCAGCCTCGACCTCCTGGGCTCAAGCAATCCTGCCACCTCAGAACTCCCAAGTAAAATTGCTTTTTATGGTCTAGAAAAGGAGTGTGTAGTCTGGAAGGAGCAAAAGAATAAGAATATATGTTTTGTCTCCAGGCTCAGTGATACTGGAGTATGGGCTCCATACAAACAGATGTTCTCAGGAAGGTGAGGGAGTCCTCAGAGAAGAGGTTGAGGATAATGGGGATTTTGCTGATGATGGACTGTTAGTGTTTTGGGGCTCGGATGTTTGGGAGATGGAACAGAATAAGGTGTAGGGATTACTGTGTAAGAAGTGAAGCCTGGCTCTGGATCTCAGGGCTTCCTGTGGTGAGTGATATAATAGGTTTAAATAGGTAGGTAATGGTGATGGGGTTTGAGAACTGGGGGTTTCTGGAGGAATGGGATGTCAGTGGGAGTGTCTTGCAGATGAAGGTTAGGAAGGCTGGGTGGCTGGGTCTTTACTTACCCTGCCCCTGATAGCTGCACAACTTGTACCTTCTCCATCCCTTGGTCCTTAATTTTACCTTCTAAATGAGGATGCTGTCCACCTTGTCTAAAGTTACAACCTCCTTTTCCCACGTGGCTTTTATTTTTCCCCTTTGCACTTATTGCTATTTAACATACTGTATAATGTGTGTGTGCGTGTGTGTGTGTGTCTTCCCCACTAGACTGTGATTTATGAACTGCTATGTACCCAGGGGCAAAAACAATATCTGGCACAGAGTAAGAACCCAATAAATGTTAGTTGAGTAAAATCAGACACAGACAGAGGCAAGGCTTATCTTCTCTGTTATGTCCTGTTTAAGTATATCTATCACACAGTGCAAAGTTACAGTAGGAATTTGGTTAATTTTAAAGTCTGATAATTCATACAGAGTTATGGCATGAGCCAATGTAATTTTCATTGGCTTATGCCATAAGAATTACATTTCTCCTACCTGCCAGACATGGTGCTTGGCAGTAGTGAATATATAGATATCTTCAAGGAACTTCACGGATTAGTAATGAACATGAAAGCAAAATGCCACTAATAATGAGATGAGTGCTAGAAGAGTGATGTCACTATTTTACCTCTAGGAATACAGATGAGGGGCTATCTGGTGGGTGAGGTGTTAGTAGGGAGACGAGAGAGGAAGGGACAGGTGAAACTGCCAGGTAAAGCCAGGAGTGCTGGTGTTGACTTTTGTGCTAGAACTAGGGAGAAAACAGGTTCACCAACTGGGCAAAGAAGCAATGTTAAACTAGGGCCAGAAGCAAGAAAGTGCTTAGTGTGGGTAATATCTGATAGTGGCTTTTTTTTTTTAAGTGAATAACTTAAAAGGTATTTTATCTTCCATTGTTTAGTTCAGCTAATCTAGCACTTGTATAAAATCATTAGTAATTGAATGGTTAAGTCAAGAAGGATCTTACGTTTTTGATCTACTCAATTTGGTTATTTTTAAGACTTAGAAAAATGTAGCTCAATGCCCAATTGCTTTGCTAGTTAAGGTCTTTTGTATATGAAATATTGAGGACATTTTTATGCTGGGTTGAGGTTTGGGCTCATTTTTGGTAGGACATCTAATGGCTTTACCTAATACATTTTGTTGGCTATTTTTGTCTACAGGTGTTGGAAATCAATAGCTCTTCTAGCCTTTGCATTGTTTAAATATAATAGTGTCATTGGACTAAGATGTTCCTGATGCCAACCTCTTCAGAGTTAAACAGTGGGCAGAACTTCCTAACCCAGTGGATGACCAATCCTTCTCGGGCTGGGGTCATATTAAATCGTGGATTTCCTATTTTGGAAGCAGACAAAGAGAAGCGAGCAGCTGTGGACATTTCTACCAGCTTTCCTATTAAAGGCACACATTTTTCTGATAGCTTCAGCTTTATAAATGAAGAAGATTCACTTCTTGAAGAACAGAAGTTGGAGTCAAACAACCCTTACAAACCACAGTCAGATAAATCTGAAACCCATACAGCCTTTCCTTGCATTAAAAAGGGACCACAGGTAGCGGCATGTCACAGTGCTCCTGGACACCAGGAAGAAAACAAAAATGACTTCATCCCAGATCTTGCGAGTGAATTCAAAGAAGGGGCTTATAAAGACCCACTTTTTAAAAAACTTGAACAGGTACAATAGGATTTGGCCTACTGTGAATTTATGTCATTGCAGGTTTCTGTTTATGTAATAAAGTCATTTGTTCTAGGTCTTCTTGTTTTTTCCCCTTCACTCTGAAATCCTCAGAATACCAGATTTTGCCCTTTGTCTAATGTGAAACATTTAAGTGTGTTTAATTAGCACTTATAATAACTTTAAGTTGTTACCTCATTTGGCGAAAAGTAAGAAATGGTTGATCAAGTATTAGGGGAAAAAATTGGATGATGTACTGATGCCCATCCTATTTTAACAATCAAAGGATTTATATGACTGTTTCGGTTTCTTAGTTGAGATAGTTGATAAGATTTCCTTCGTAAGGATATGAGTTTTAGATTTTCGGTGGCTGATTTAGTTACCTAGGGGTCCCTGTCTAAAACTTCTTACCAGGAAAGATAGGAGGAGGGAGATGGGAGGAATTAAGGGAACGAGGTGTCCATGAAGAATTGTAAAGTTGATTTAATAAAGTTAATTTTGTATTTAAAAAGCTGAAAGAAGTACAACAGAAGAAGCAGGAACAATTGAAGAGGCAACAGTTGGAGCAACTACAGAGACTCATGGAAGAACAAGAGAAGCTGCTCACCATGGTGTCTGGGCAGTGCACACTTCCAGGTATGCTTTGCCTACACAGGGCCTCAGTATAATGCACATTTCTTACCTGTAGTTGTTTGACACGTTATTTCTATCGTTCCTGTATCATGTGTTGTGAACTCCAGTTTCTTTAAAGGCTAGCCCGATAAATGTGAAATGGTAGAGTTGTAATACAACTGGAACAAGAAGGAGCTGCCGCATTCTGGTGTGCGCATGCCCTGCTTTAAGGCATTGATGTTTATTCATTAAAAAAAAAAAAAAAATGAGCTGGGTGTGGTGGTCCATGCCTGCAGTCCTAGCTACTCTGGAGACTGAGGTGGGAGGATTGCTTGAGCCCAGGAATTTGAGGCTGCAGCAGTGAGCTATAATGGCACCACTGCATTCCAGCCGGGCAACAGAGTGAGACCCTGTCCCCCCAAAAAAGGTCCAATAGAAGAAAAGTCAGATTTGGCCTAGAGCTGCTGCTGGTATCCAACCCCTGCCTGATGAATGAAAACTGTTGGGTGTCATGAAGGTAAATACATGTAGGAGCCACTCTGTTCAGCTGAAGAACCATACCAAAGATATTTTCTGTGGTAGGAGATGACAGTATTCTGTTGTGTGACCCATCAGTTAACGGAAAGCGTCACGTGCCAATCAGGAAAGAAAACTGGAAATGTGACCTGGAGCAGTGGTTTGAAAGTTTCTTGACCACACTCTGTAGTAGTAAAAATGTTTAAAATCGTGACTCATAATGACAAAGCAATTTCATGTCATCAGTCCTTATTGGTGTTCCTGGCATGTAGTGAGGACATTTTCTGTCTTGTTTATTCTAGTTCTATATCATTTTAAAAAATGCTACATCCGATAATAAAATTATTATAGATTGTGTCCCATAGTTTGAAAAAAACTGAGGTTGGAGCCATGTGTTTGCTTCTTTTAAGAAATATACTTTACTGACCCAGGAAAGCACCTGTTCTGCTCAGAGATTATGCTGGGCATTGAGAATACAAGGAAAAAAAGACTTGGCAAGTGAGTGAGGCTGGGTGCAGGGGTCAGGTGGGGTGTGGTCATGAGAAATTGTAGCACATAAACAATGGTTTAGGGAATTTGGATGTTTATCTTAGAGAATATAGAAAACATTTGTGTGCCTTAAAATAGTTGAATGGCTTAGGGTTTCTTTATGGAATACATACAAAGAATAATCAAGATCACTTAAATAACAGCTGTGATACTTTTAAAGGTAGAACCGCACTATGACAGAATGACAGGGAAGCTGATTTCAAAGTTATTTACATAAGAACTAGCCTCATGCAGTCATGGAGCAGTTTGCTTTGGAGCAGTAGTTTTCAAATATTTTGGTCTCAGGATCCCTTAGGATTCTTAAATATTTGAGAGCCCCAAAGAACTTTTGTTATATGGGCTGTATTTACCAATAACTTACTGCATTAGAAATTTAAACAGGCTAGACATAGTGGCTCACACCTGTAATCCCAGTACTTTGGGAGGCCAAGGCCGGCAGATCACCTGAGGTCCGGAGTTCAAGACCAGCCTGGCCAACATGGTGAAACCCTATCTGTTCTAAAAATATAAAAAATTAGCTGGGCGTGGTGGCACACGCCTGTAATCCCAGCTACTCAGGAGGCTGAGGCACGAGAATCACTTGAACCCAAGAGGTGGAGGTTGCAGTGAGCTGAGATCGCACCACTGCACTTCAGCCTTGGCGACAGAGCGAGACTGTCTCAAACAATCAATGGTTTTGTTAAACACCATTTCCTAATAAAGGGAAAAAATACTGTTGTCACTGTGGAGAAGTCTTTGTGGGGTGGGGGTCACTACTGGGGATAAAAGAGAAAATGTTGAAGGAAGTCATCAGCTTTGTTGCATTTCTTAATTGTAAGGTTTGAGTTTACTGCCTGATGATCAGAGCCAGAAGCACAGGTCTCCAGGAAATACCACCACTGGAGAGAGAGCCACATGCTGCTTCCCATCATATGTCTACCCGGACCCAACCCAGGAAGAAACATACCCGTCCAACATTTTATCCCATGAGCAAAGCAACTTCTGTAGAACTGCTCATGGAGATTTTGTCTTAACTTCAAAACGTGCGTCTCCTAATTTATTTTCTGAGGCACAGTATCAAGAAGCACCTGTGGAAAAAAATAATTTAAAAGAAGAAAACCGTAACCATCCTACAGGTGAGCTACTTATGTTTCTCTCTTCTGTGCTTATAGTGTTACTAAGTTGTCCTAAGATGAAGCCTTTCCATGTTTTTTCTTTAAAAATTATTTTTTCAGAGATGGAGTGTTGCCGTGTTGCTCAGGCTGGACTCAATCTCCTGGGCACAAGTAATCTTCCCCCATCAGCCTCTCAGGTAGCTGGGACTATAGGCACGTGCTACCCTGCCAGCTCTTTCTGTATGGTTATTTTTTTTTGTCCCCTGTGGCGTGTTTTTTTTTTTTGAGACAGTCTCGCTCTGTCACCCAGGCTGGAGAGCAGTGGCACAATCTCAGCTCACTGCAACCTCTGCCTCTCGGGTTCAAGTGATTCTTGTGTCTCAGCCTCCCAAGTAGCTGGGATTACAGGTATGTGCCACCATGCCCAGATAATTTTGTGTATTTTTAGTAGAGATGGGGTTTCAACATGTTGGCCAGGCTAGTCTCAAACTCCTGGCCTCAAGTGATCTGCCTGCCTTGGCCTCCCAAAGTACTGGGATTGCAGATCTGAGCTACTGCACCCAACCATAATGCCTTGTTCCTAATTTAGAGTTAATTCATCGGTGTGGAAAGCTCAAATATGTTTTTCTTCTTTTTTATACAACATGTTTCCATAGCCTTTTATTTTGGAAAATTTCAAACATCTAGAAAAGTTGAAAGACCACTGCAGTTATTACTGATATACCCACCACCTAGATTGAGCAGTTAATATTTTGCTGTATTTACTTTGTCAGTGTATGTATGTGTATATATATCTTTTACATGTATATCCTTATCTTTACTTCTATATGTGTATAATTTGCTGAACCATTTCACTGAAAATAATATGCAGGTATCTTGTTACTTCATTCCAAATATTTCAGTATGCATCAAGCAAAAATTAGGACATTCATCTGTATAACCACAGTGCTATTATTGTATCTAAAGAAATTAATGATAATTCCTTAATATTCAAGTCCATTTTGGGATTCCCCCAGTTATCCCAAAATATCTTTTAAAGGTGCTTTTTTTTTAAAGGATCCAATCAAATTAATGCATATCCAGTCAAGTTCATGTATTACGTTTGATTCTTACAACTCTTTAGCCTTTTTAATCTCTAGAAAACCCCACACTTTTTTCCTCATGACATTAACCTTTTGAAGAATGTCAAGTGTCTTTATTTTATTTTATTTTATTTTTGAGACAGGGTCTTCCTCTGTCACTTAGGTTGGAGTCCAGTGGCACCATCTTGGCTTACTGCAACCTCTGCTTGCTCTCAGCCTCCCAGGTAGCTGGGATTACAGGCATGTGCCACCACGCCTGGCTAATTTTTTTTTTTTTTTTTTTTTTTTTTTTTGTAGAGACGGGGTTTCGCCACGTTGGCCAGGCTGGGCTCGAATTCCTGGCCTCAAGTGATTCTCCCGCCTTGGCCTCCCAAAGTGCTGGGATTACAGGTGTGAGCCACCACACCCGGCCTCAAGTGTCTTAATTGGAGTTTTGTAGTTTCTCTTAATTATATTAAAGAATTCCTTGAGTGTTGTAAAATCTGTGATATACATTACTTTTAATTAAAAAAATGTTTTAGCATAGTAACTTGTAGAATTCTCATGTTTTAAGACATTAATATGCTTTTCTTGAGCTAAATTGTTCTTAATTTTTATCTCAGGAGAAAGTATCTTATGTTGGGAGAAAGTGACAGAACAGATTCAGGAAGCAAATGATAAGAACTTACAAAAACATGATGATTCCTCAGAAGTGGCTAATATTGAAGAAAGGTATTGTTCGTGTTGAAAGTGAGAAATGTGACTATTTAGTACAATAGCTAGCCTTTATTATTGAACACTTTCTTTGTTTGAAAGATCTATATTTTTCTGGTTTTTGCTTGACTATGCTTTTAAGGTTAAAGATACAACCTATTATGTACTGTCAACAACAAAAGAGGTTGAGGAGATATGTCAAGCTGCCTTGACATTGTATTCTCGAAGCTTTTTCACTTAAGAGAAACATCTGGATAAAATCAATTTTCTCTCAAATAGTTAAATCCTATTTTTGGAGAAGGGAAAAATTAAGTATTGACATCTCCCATTTGGTGTCACTTATCAATTATAATTGCATTATCAGTTTAGTTACAGAATTTTAAAATATGGCAAAGATTAAGTATTTTATATTTTAAGTAAGTTGATTATTTTAAAAATTTATTTCAAAATTTTTAATATAATATGGACAAAATGACTTTTCTGATTATTGTTCTCACATTAAGGGCCTTTCTTAATTAAAAAAATGCATATTTAGTGATCTATTTTTGAAATACATTTTAAAGTTATTTGATGAATATGTTACTCCATGTGTTAATCTGTGGTCGATAGATGGACTTCAGAAGGGTTCTTAGGACTCCAAAGTCATGTGAAGAGTGTTGTATGTTTCTTTATTTTAAGGTGTGGAGAGGGATTGTGGCTTTTGTTAGGTTCTCAAAGGGAGGCACTGATTTTGGGAAAAGTTAGTTCTCCATGTTGTCAAGGGTTTCTATACCAGGCACACTAAGTGTAAAATATTCACACATTATGATTTGCATGTTAAATAACTTTCTGTTTCTAATTAGGCCCATTAAAGCTGCTATTGGAGAAAGGAAACAGACCTTTGAAGATTACTTAGAAGAACAAATTCAGTTGGAAGAGCAAGAACTGAAGCAAAAACAGCTGAAGGTCAGCAATTGTGCTCTTCTGATTAAATCATTCTAAGGCTTTAGAGATTTATCTATAATTTGCCTTAAAAATAACTTTGAGATCACTTGGATATACCAAAATTAATTCAAATATTATTCTTTTATTTTAGGAAGCAGAAGGACCATTGCCAATCAAAGCAAAACCAAAACAACCATTTTTAAAACGAGGAGAAGGTTTAGCTAGATTTACTAATGCCAAATCTAAGTTTCAAAAAGGCAAAGAAAGTAAACTAGTGACTAACCAGAGCACTTCCGAGGACCAGCCGCTGTTTAAAATGGATAGACAGCAACTCCAGCGGAAAACCGCTCTTAAAAATAAAGAGCTGTGTGCAGACAACCCTATCCTTAAAAAGGACAGTAAAGCTAGAACCAAGAGTGGTTCTGTCACCCTCAGTCAGAAGCCGAAAATGCTGAAGTGTAGTAACAGGAAAAGTCTTTCTCCGTCAGGATTGAAAATACAGACGGGGAAGAAATGTGATGGGCAGTTTAGAGACCAGATCAAATTTGAAAACAAAGTCACATCTAATAATAAAGAAAATGTAACTGAGTGTCCAAAACCTTGCGATACTGGCTGCACAGGGTGGAATAAGACACAAGGTAAAGACAGACTTCCTCTTTCAACAGGGCCGGCCAGCCGGCTGGCTGCTAAGAGCCCCATAAGGGAGACCATGAAAGAGTCTGAATCTTCTCTTGACGTTTCTCTTCAGAAAAAGTTAGAGACTTGGGAACGAGAAAAGGAAAAGGAAAATTTGGAATTAGATGAATTTTTGTTTTTAGAACAAGCTGCTGATGAAATATCATTTTCTAGTAATTCCTCATTTGTACTGAAAATCTTAGAAAGGGATCAACAGATCTGCAAAGGTCACCGGATGTCTTCCACCCCTGTCAAAGCTGTGCCACAGAAGACAAATCCGGCAGATCCCATTAGTCATTGTAACCGCAGTGAGGATTTGGACCACACTGCACGTGAGAAGGAGAGTGAGTGTGAAGTCGCACCCAAACAACTTCATTCATTGTCCTCAGCTGATGAATTGAGGGAACAGCCTTGTAAAATCAGGAAAGCCGTCCAAAAGAGCACTTCTGAAAATCAGACTGAATGGAATGCACGTGACGATGAAGGTGTTCCAAATAGTGACAGTAGCACTGACTCTGAGGAACAGCTTGATGTTACCATAAAACCATCGACTGAGGATAGAGAGAGGGGCATCAGCAGCAGAGAGGATAGCCCACAAGTCTGTGATGATAAGGGGCCTTTTAAGGACACCAGGACCCAAGAAGATAAAAGGAGAGATGTTGATCTGGATTTGTCTGATAAAGATTACAGTAGCGATGAGTCTATCATGGAAAGCATAAAACATAAAGTGTCTGAGCCCTCGAGATCCTCATCCCTAAGTCTGAGTAAAATGGACTTTGATGATGAAAGAACTTGGACTGACCTTGAAGAGAATTTGTGTAACCATGATGTTGTTCTTGGGAATGAATCCACTTATGGGACGCCGCAGACATGCTACCCTAATAATGAAATAGGTATCCTGGACAAAACAATAAAAAGGAAGATTGCACCAGTCAAGAGGGGAGAAGACTTGAGCAAGTCCAGGAGGAGCAGAAGTCCTCCTACATCGGAGCTGATGATGAAATTCTTTCCTTCTTTGAAACCAAAACCAAAGTCAGATTCACACTTGGGAAATGAACTCAAGTTAAACATAAGTCAAGACCAACCACCTGGTGAGTCAGAGCATTATAAAATATGTATCAGAATGTTAGAAATTTAACATTAATCAGTATGCTGTCAGAATGCTTAAAATCCTAACTTTCCTTATTGCTCAATAGAATTAAGTCAAATTAATGGGTGATTTGTAAAAATTTGATTTATTTTATGGGTCTATATGAGGCTTTAAAATTAATTAGTTTTTAATAAAGTGAGATAACATCAAAGCTTCTACGTTTCCTTTCTTCCCCAGACCTGGTTCAAGTACCCCTTCCTAGAGGTACCAGTATTACCATTTCGTTTGTGTATTCTAAAGAGTCCGTGCATATAAAAGCATATGTGTCAGTTTGTATATAATTACCTTTCTATACAAATGAAAAGACTCTTTTTGTATACTGTCCTGCACCTTGCTTATGATAAATTTTGAAGATTGTTCTAACGCATGTACACACCTACCTCATTCCATTTAACGGATGTGTAGTATTTCTGTTGATGTAACGGACTTTTTAAACTCACCCTGAAAGATTCCTTTCCATTATATTATATTATAAACTAGCAGAGCATAGGTGCTTTAAAATAGAAATTAAAATAGAAATTATAACGTTAATTTTCAAAAATTCTGATTTTAAAAGTAATTTTTTTGTACAAAGTTTGGAAGCTTAAAAAGCATAGAAGCAAAAATATTTACAACTTAACTACCCAAAAGTAACTGCTATGCCATTTTGGGATATTTCATTCCAGTCATTTTTTCTATGTAGTTTTAATATGACAGAGTTGTATAACTTAGCTCATTTCTTTAGCCTTGTGGATCACATTTAGTTTCTAAAAAAGTACTAATTGATAAAAATGCTTGAAGGACAGAAGCACTGGCTATTTTACATTTTAAATAGCAAATTTGATAAAGGGAAAACAATTTGCATTTATTTGATTAATAGTAGGGGTAAACTTTGATTTTGGTGTTGATTAGCTCTTCAGATCTCTTGTGGATTACTTATTCTTAAGCTATTTATATATATTCGTCTTTGAAAAATTGATTTGAATGATTTCTTTTTATGTATCATGTTGATTCCTTGTCAGGTCGATACTCTTTTGAGGTAGATTAATTCTTCCATAAATTCCCACTGATTTCCTCAGGAAAGTTAGGTTTAATTTTTTTTCCTTTTCATGTTTGAAGCATTGTTTCTAATGCATTTTAATAGCACAGATGTTTGCCATATTCTTGGCTCTTAGTGTTACTAGCTAGCTAGTGTTTTTGCTGCAGTAATGCCTTTTTTGAAGTTCAGTATTTATGGCCTATTTCATAGGTGACAATGCTCGATCCCAGGTTTTGAGAGAGAAAATTATTGAATTGGAAACAGAAATAGAAAAGTTTAAAGCTGAGAACGCATCTTTAGCTAAACTTCGCATTGAACGAGAAAGTGCCTTGGAAAAACTCAGGTACGTTTGGGTCTGTAAGTTGGGAAAAAATATGCAGTGACTCAGTTATACCTTTAAGACCATCTATAAACAGTCTGAAACAATTTAAATCAGTCAAACAAATATAATTGAAAAGGAGGTGAAATCTGTATCATATAAGTTTTTTTTACTGAATAAAATGACCCAGGGTAGTCAATGATGTGTACAAAGGGGAATTTTTCTTAGTGGAGAGATCATAAATTAAAATTTGAAAAACAGTTTGGAGCTATGGTACCTTCAAGTGGTACTTTGGCTAGTTAGTGTATTGGTTTCTCTGGGCTGCTGTAACAAAGTACCAGCAACTGGGTGGCTTTAAACAATAGAAATGTATTTTCTTGTGATTCTGGAGGCTGTAAGTCCAAAGTCCGGGCATCAGCAAGGCGGGCCATGCTGGCTCCTCCAGCTTCTGGTGGTTTCAGGCACACGTTGGTATTTCTTGGATTGCAGCTACATCACTCCAGTCTCTGCCTCTGTGGTCACATGGCCATCTTCCCTCTGTGTGTGTCTTCACATGGCATTCTCCTCTGTGTGTGTTTGTCTTGGTGCCTCTTTTAAGGATAGGGTCATATTGGTTTAAGGGCCCACCCTACTCCAGTATAACGTCATCTTAACTGGCATCTTAATTGTATCTGCAAAGGCACTATTCACAGGGATTGGGACTTCAACATATTGTTTTAGAGGACACAACTCCACCTACAGCAGTCGATAGTATGACATATCGTCTCCTACCCTAGGTCATGATCTTACCTGACTTTATTGGTTAGCAAAACTTGAACTGAACTTACATGAGGCTATTTATATATGTTATATTTATTATTTCTCTCTATATAAATTTTACGTAGACATATTTTTTAATTGTACTTGTGAATAGTACTAAGTTCTGTTGCAGGAACATACTAGTACTTTTTATTCCAGGTGTTGCTCTGGGTCTTGTTGGGGATATTATATGTCACATACACACCGTATTTCTTTGTTTTTTGGTATTTGTTATTTTAATGTTTGAGGAGAAATTCATACAACTGTAGTTCCCATGGCTGCCTGCTGCGGGATGGGATCTAGGGGATGGTAGCTGCTATGCAAATGCTGAAATTCACCCAAATTTCCCAGCCTCTTTGTTCTTTAGCACTCCCCAGGATGCTGCAAGTCTTTCGTTAGTGTCCAGAGTTCCGAAGTGGTTGATTCTGACAGGTGCTGCTAGTTCAATAGCTGCTTTGGTGGAGGGACTGATTGTTGGAGCTTCCTACTCCACCATCTTCCTTAACATCTCTTCCGTATTTCTTTTCTAAAACCTGAAAAATATGAATTCTAAAGCACATCTGGCCCCTAAGTTCCAGATAAAGGTTTATAGACAGCTATTAATCCACTTAAAAAGGAAATTCGGTTACTATACTATAATCTGCAGTATGCTTAAAAATCAAATTCTGAAAATTTGTTACTTTTTAATGGAAACATCTTTGTTTTTCAGCTGATACATACTGTAAATGTATGCTTATCATAGTAGTTATGGGTAAAATGTGGAACTTATTCCAATCCGTTCTCCACCCAAGATCACTTTTAAAACGTCTCTGCTTCATTATTTCAAAACGGACATCTTTTTCTTTTAAAGAACATTTAAGTCATAAGATAATGGCTGGGTTTTTGTTTTTTTGTTGTTGTTTTTTGTTTTTTTTTAGCATTTTCCCTATTTCGGTTTTGCTTTGTTCTAAGCAAAATTCAGTCCTCGAATTTAGACATTGTGTTATCCTTCCCAATTGACAGATGAGGAAACTGATGCACTGAGAAGCAAGTTTTTTAAGTTTACCTCCTTAGTCAGTGACAGAGAGCCTCAGTGCCAGCCTAGGCAGTGTGGTTCAGTAGAGCCCTGGGCTCTACTGTATGGGCTCTTTAATCTGCTTTTTATTTTATTTTTATTTTTTTGAGACAGGGTCTGGCTTTATCACCCAGACTGGAGTACAATGGTACAATCTTGGCTCACTGCAACCTCTGCCTCCTGGGCTCAAACCATCCTCCACCTCAGCCTCCTGCGTAGCGGGGACTACAGGCACGCACCACCACGCCCAGCTAATTTTTGTATTTTTGGTAGATACGGGGTTTTGCCATGTTCCCCAGGCTGGTCTTGAACTCCTGGGCTCAAGTGATCCCCCTGCCTTGGCCTCCCAAAGTTCTGGGCTTACAGGCATGAGCTACGATGTCCAGCCTTGCTTTTCATTTCAACAACATAATAGACATCTTACCTATTAGCACGCCCTAGTCTTCTGTATCCTTGAAATGACTGTATTATATGAATGCCACTGTGACTAATCAGTTAATGGAAATTTAGCTTGTTTAGAATTTTCCACATTAGAAATTATTCTGCAGGGAATATCGTCATATGTATAAGACACTTTTTATTTAAAAATCTACTTCCTTGTGATAAATTTTAAGAATGTCCATTGCCCCAGTCAGCATCTGAGGCTTCTTCTCACCCCTTTCCCCATCACTGGAGTTGAGCGTTAGCAGTCTTTCAAATCTTGCCAACCTGATAATTATGCCATCTTTCACCTGCTAAAGTTTGTATTTATTTAATTATTGATAAAGTTGAGCATGCTTTTATATTTAGTGGTCATTTGTGTTTATTTTGTAACTTTCTTTGTGATCTTTGCTCATTTATCAGGATATTTAACTTTCTCAAATGTGCCACAAGTATTCCTCCCCCAGTGTTTGCTTTGACTATATGATTGTGTGCACACGGTCGACATTTTGAATAGTCAGTAAGAATGTCTTTTACCTTTTCTGTCTGCTCTCCCTCCAGTGAGGCAGGGAGAGACTTGTCCGGTCTCAAGGCTTTAAATGCTGTTACGCCCCAGATCCAGTTCTCTCGCCCACATCTCCTATCCCACTGCCTCGTTGTTCTCTCTACCTGGAGAGCTGATGAGTGTTTAAATTGATCATTTAGAAAAAGTGAGCTCCTGACGTTCCCTCCTGAACTTACTCTTCTCTTCTTCTTCCCTGTCTCAGCACATGAGTCTGCTCTTCCATTTGCCCAGTGGAAAATCTTGGAGTCATGCTTGAGTCTTCTCTTGCTCTCTCAGTCCATTTCTAACCCGACTGCTTCACTGCCTCAGAGCTGCCACTCTCCACCAGGACCCCATTGGCTTTCTCTGGTTATTAAATTCACTTCCTAGCAGGTCTCTCTGCTGCCCGCGTCTGTGCTCTTCACACACATCCAGAGCCAGCCTGCGTTTGGACGGTTCATCTGATCAAGGCCTCCTTCCTCTTTTTTTTTGAGATGGAGTTTCACTCTTGTTGCCCAGGCTGGTGTGCAATGGTGCGATCTCGGCTCACTGCAACCTCTACCTCCCAGGTGATTCTCTTGCCTCAGCCTCCCGAGTAGCTGGGATTACAGGCATTCGCCACCATGCCTGGCTAATTTTGTATTTTCAGTAAAGACGGGATTTCTCCATGTTGGTCAGGCTGGTCTCAAACTCCTGACCTCAGGTCCAGCTCCTGGCCTGATCTGCCCGCCTCGGCCTCCCAAAGTGCTGGAATTACAGGAGTGAGCCACCGTGCCTGGCCTGTCTCCTCCTTTTTTGACACCTTCTCCTGCTACCCATCCTTTGCTCACTGTGTTTTAGTCACACTGGCCTCCTGGCTGTTCTTTGAACACCTCAGGCACATTCTTGCCTCAGGGCCTTGGCACTTGCTGCTCCTTCTGCCTGTACTGCTGTGTGTGGACACCCTTGTGACTGGCTCTCTCATTTTCTTCAGGTTTCCTTCATGTTATCTCAGCAAGATAAGCCCTCACATACAACACAGTTTCACCCTCCCACTCTGATATTTTCTAAACTTCTTCCTTGCTTTATTTCTCTTTAATGCTTCTAATATTCCATGTACTTATTTATCTTTATTATCGTCTGTCTTCCAATAGAATGTAAGAAGCTGCATGGGAATACATTTTTTTTTTTTTGAGACAGAGTCTGTCTGTGTCGCCCAGGCTGAAATACAGTGGTGCGATCACAGCTCATTATAACCTTGAATTCCTGGGCTCAAGCCTGCCTCAGCCTCCCAGTGTTGGGATTATAGACTTGAGCCACTGTGCCCAGCTAGAATGTTTGTTTTTTTCACTGTGGTTTCCCCACTACTTCGTCGAATGCCTGATTCATCGTAGGCACCCAATGAATGCTTATTGGATGAATGCTTTAGTGAGTGGATTGGCTGTTATTTCAGGCCTATGGATTGAAGATGAATTCACTAGGACTAGCAGTTACTAGCCTGTCAGCAGGTTCTGCACATCACTGCACTGAGATGGTCTCCTTAGGTGATAACATAGTTTGGTCATTTTAGGAAAGAAATTGCAGACTTCGAACAACAGAAAGCAAAAGAATTAGCTCGAATAGAAGAGTTTAAAAAGGAGGAGATGAGGAAGCTACAAAAGGAACGTAAAGTTTTTGAAAAGTATACTACAGCTGCAAGAACTTTTCCAGATAAAAAGGAACGTGAAGAAATACAGGTATGCTAGTTCTTTATGTTATATTCATGTAAGTTAGTAAAGGTGACAATCTTGTAAGCATCTCAGAGTTATTTCTTATGTCAAAGCAAAACTGTGTATCAATCCATTATTCATTCATTCAGCAAATAATCTGTCTGAGACAGTGTATCAGGAATATCTTTGGTAGTCTGACTTTTAAAGAGTAGAAGATTTCAGTTCTTTTCTTACTAGTAAAGTCTTCCTAGAAAAGACCACGATAATGTCATGGATGAATTAACAAGCCTGGAGTTGGAAATTCACCAGCATTATGTTGTGTTAATCTTTTTGACCTACCACCCACCAAATATTGTTAGTTCTGTTCATTTATCATAATTTATGGCTGTAAATAACCAGGTGTTTAATTCTAAAACTTATAAACTGATAGGCCAGATTATCAGTCTTGTTCATTTCATAGTTAGAAGTGGACATGCTAAAACTATAAACCTTCTAGAAAAAAATAGGTGAATTTATTTACGACATTGGCATATACGAAGATTACTAAGAGAAGACACAACTAACTATAAAAGAAAAAATGGATATATTGGACTTCATCAAAGTTGAGACTTATCAAAAGAGAAATTTAAAATGGCTATCCATTGCTTCTAGTATAAAATGCACCTTCCACTGTCTGTATTTTAATTACTAGCATTTTTGAGTTCCATCCTTTGCTTTCTTCCTGTCTCATGCAGCCATCCTTGAGCAATCTCACCTGCACACGTACAGCTTGAGTTATTGAATAGCATGGTGTTCAGGGTCTTTAATTCTCCTTCTTTATTTTTGTGGGAAGAAACGTACCATTATGTTTTGGTTAATGCTTAGTTTATTAAATCTAATATGTTAGATGTTGACAATATTAAAACTTTTATTTCAAAAGGTAATATAAATATATTATCATTCAAAAGTTACAAAAAGATGGGTGGTGAAATTCCTCCCCAACCCTTGCTCCGGCCACCTATTCAGTTGTTTTTTGAAAATAATTTTTTATTATAGAAAGTTTCAAAAATACATAAAAGTAGCAAGAACAGAATGAATTCCCATATTTTACCAGTGATCATTTTGTCTAATTTCATCTCTCTCCCCGCTGTACTCTTTTTTTGCTTTTTAATCTGGAATTTAAAAAGTGAAATCCCAGACATCTCCTCATTTCACCTATACATAGTCAGTATGTTTCTCTGAGAAAGACACCTTTAAAAAATAAGACTATTGGCTGGGGGTGGTGGCTCACTCATGTAATCCCAACACTTTGGGAAGCCAAGGCAGGCAGATGGCTTGAGGTCAGGAGTTCGAGACCAGCCTGGCCAACATGGCAAATCTCCATCTCTACGAAAAATACAAAAAAATTAGCCGGGTGTCGTGGTGTGCCTGTAGTCCCAGGTACATGGGAGGCTGAGGCAGGAGAACCACTTGAACCCGGGAGGAGGAGGTTGCAGTAAGCCAAGATCATGCTACTGCACTCCAGCCTGGGTGACAGAGTGAGACTCCGTCCACGGGGCGGGGGACAATTATCATACCTTTGTCACACCTAACAAAATTTACAGTAATTCCTTAGTATCAAATAATACTTAGTCCATATTCAGATTTTCCAGTCGTTTGGTATCTTTTTACAGTTGATTTGTTTGCATTCTAATTCACCTCTCGAGGCAGCCAGTGTTATCAATCTCATATTTTCCCAGAGAAATTCTTAGAAAGTACATATATACATTCATGATGTTTTTTTAAACATTAATGATAGTTTACTGAAATCATTATGTATCTTAACAGAACATCTTTGTTCTTTGTTTTATTATTGTATAGAATTGTAATATGTGCCATAATTTACTCACCTAAGCACTATGTATTTCTGTTCTTTTTCTGTTTACAAGAATCCAAGAAGGGCTGTACTGAATAACTGCGCATATGTGACCTCTCACAATCATTCTCCCACTTATTCATTCAGCACATGGCTACTGAGTACCTGCTGTGTAGCAGGCATATACTGGCAATGCAGCAGTGAACAAAACAAATCAATCCCTGTCCTCATGTAGCTTATGTCCTGGAGTATATCTCTAGGATGGATTCCTACAAGTGAATTTTGAGGTTAAAGGTATGTACATTGATACAAATTGCCAGATTATCCCTCCATAAACATCATGCCAAATTTTAGTTCAGTTTTTTATTTTTATTTTTTGACACACTCTGTGGCCCAGACTGGAGTGCAGGGGCTCAATTTCAGCTCACTGCAACCTCCGTCTCCCAGATTCAAGCGATTCTCCTGCCTCAGCTCCCCAAGTAGCTGGGATTATAGGTGCCCACCACCATGGCTGGCTAATTAATTTTTAGTTCTACTAGCAATTCTTAGAGTGTTTTTTGTTCTCTACCTGATAGGTAAGAGGTTTAAAATTGATTTTAAACTTAATTGAATTTCTTTTAAACAATCTGAGTTATAGTTACAAATTTAGTATGGCTGTTTTTAGTGAACAAGACATATACTTGAACCAGTAGTTATAACAAATTCTGCTATCAGAAAACTTCACTAAATTAAAAACCATAGCCTAAAATACATGATGGGTTTGTCATTTCATTTTTCTTTCTGGATCTCCTAGGATTAGAGATAACCTTGCTGTGTTATGAAAATCTTACCAGATCCAAAGGGAAAAAATAAATAACCTCCTTAGACCACACAAGGTTGTGAGATTGATTGCTTTTTTTCCTTCTCTTTCTCATAGCTCTGATCCTGACTACTTCTTCCAAGGATTCAAACCAGAGCAAACACACTTCTTTTTGTTGTTGTACTTTGTTAGATGAATAACGTGGGTTTTCTTTTCTTGCAACTTGATGCCTTTCCCTCACAAGATGTGTCCTCTGATTCTCAGGCTCTGCAGTCCAGGCTGCTAGCTCTTATCCCTGTGTGGCTATTTCCATTTAAATTAATTAGAGGTAAATTGAAAATTCAGTTTCTCATTCCCATTAGCTACATTTCCAGGACTTAGTAGTAGCCACCTGTGGCTGGCTGGTGGCTGCCACACTGCACCATGCAGGACTGGGCACATCCTCACTGCTGGCAGCTCTGGGCTGTGCCCATTCAAGGGGCTTGTTGGGTGGCAAGGGGCTGGGCTGGTGAGTTGCCGTCCCTCTTCAGGAACTCATTCTTGAACTCTCGCCTTTGTTCGTTTATATGACTTCTGGTGTTGATTGAAGTTTGGACCCTGTTCGTACTTGGTTATCATGTGTAACCCTGGGTATTCATTATTTCTTGCTGGTTTTGGTGCAGTTCCTTTTCTTCCTTACACCATTTGGCTTATTCATAGTTCCCCGTATTTACCTTTCTTTTTACTTCTGTGCAAAAATATACTTTAAAAACAGATATATACTTAATAGAAAACAAACCTATGTTTATTGATACTCTATTAAATCATCAAAAAATTAAGGAGAGGGCATATTTAACCTTCCTTTACATTACAGTTATGTTGAAAAATATTAACTATTTTATTTTGGGTATTCATTCAGCAAATTTATTGAGAACCCCTTATGTACTAGACACTTGTAATCATTGAGGAATTGATGAGTTAGCAATTTCTGCCCTCCTGGAATTTATATTAATCATTACTGAGTCATAGCTTTTCACACACTCAGGTTACTCTAATTAATTATAAAATTTCCATTTTGATATTTAAGTGGTCCCAACTTGACCAGTGGGGGAGCCCCTTTAAGTCCATGGCTCCCTTGCCATTTAGTGCTGCCCTTGGCGTTTTGAGAGCACTGCTTTCTGGAACAACGGGTTATTTAAGACTGTTTGGTTTTGGCTTTCTTTCTTTATTTCCTTTCTTTCCTTCCTTTTTTTCTTTTCTTTTCTTTCTTTTCTTTCTTGACGGAGTCTCACGCTGTCACCCAGGCTGGAGTGCAGTGGCCGGCCCCTCCCGGCTTCACGCCATTCTCCTGCCTCAGCCTCCCCAGTAGCTGGGACTACAGGCACCCGCCACCACGCCCGGCTAATTTTTTTTTGTATTTTTAGTAGAGACGGGGTTTCACCGTGTTAGCCAGGATGGTCTTGATCTCCTGACCTTGTGATCCGCCCGTCTCAGCCTCCCAAAGTGCTGGGATTACAGGCGTGAGCCACCACACCCGGCCTTGGCTTTCTTTTTTAAACCTGCTCGGGGTCTGGCATCTACTGCGCTGCAAGGAGCCGGGCTCCTCCGGGGCTGCTCTGAGCGTAGAGCCTGTGGAGGTTGACAGAGCCGGCTGCGCCTTCCGCAGGTGCGGAGTCCCCTCGGCCTTCCCTGCCCTGGCTTCTGCGCTTTCTTCCCGTTTTCACGGCGCTGGCTCTCAGCCGTGCTCACCGGGACCTGGCAGCCGCCTCTGCCTGAGCCTTGCCCGCGGGACGTGGAGGCCTTGCCTCTGAGCTTTCGCGCTGCGCTGGAAGTCTGCGCCCCAGCCGCGGATCCCACCCGCCAGCCAGGCCTGCTGGCTTCACCCCGCAGGTCGTTTCCTCCTGCCAGTTTCCCCTCCCGGCTCCTCTCCCGTCTGTCTGGGTCTGGACCCTCACCAGTCCCCCAGCCTAGGGGCTCCCCTCTCTTCCTCTCCCCCATCCCCAGGGTCTCTGCTGGCTGGCTGCGGCCTCTCCCTCCCTTTGCACCCCGAGGGCGTGTCATCCTCCACCCACTCCATCCCCGTGTCCCGCCCACGGAGCCCACCCTCCGCCTCCGCCTTCTGTCTCCTCCGCGCGTTCTGCCCCCAGCCTTCCCATCCTTACCGCTGGCTGGCATTTCTTTAAACAAAACTCACTCAACCCCACAGCCCTATCTGTTTTTTCCTTTGCAGCAAAACTCCTTAAAAGCCTTGCCCATATTCACTGTGCCTGGATCTCCAAATCTCACCAGCTGTTTTCGCCACACGCCCTGCAGCGCGGCCTCCGGTCATTCTATGGCACTGACACGGCCCCTGTGGAGCCACTGTGAACCCCCAGGCCTCATCGCGGCCGTCTGCCAGTGTCCATCCTGGTGCCGTCTTCCCCTGTGCTTGGGCCAGAGGCCTCGAATCATTCTCGAGGCTTCTCTTGCTCTTCCATTCCTTGCTGTTCTGACAGAAAGTCCACTCAGATTCCAGTTGCCACCTCTGGGTTAATGACTTGCTGGCGGCTTGGCCTCCGCTCTTACCCCGTCCCTGTGGCGTCGCTCCACGTGACAACGGATCCCCTTCGCTCAGACACCTCCATATGCCTCTGCTTTCCTTCCTCCAAGAACCTCAGTCCCTATGTGACTGGGCCTTTTTTCCCCTTCCTGTCCCTGGCCAGTCCTCCTGCCATTTACTTGTCATCTGCGCTGGTCCCTTGTAGTGCTGGCACTGTGCCAGGCACCCTCCTGTTGCTTCCCACACGCGCTGCCTCCCCCAGCTCTGTTCAGTGACACCCAGCACGTGTCATCCTGCCTCCCCACACAGCCCCGCCACCTTACCTGCCCTGGCCACTCTCCCGTCACCCCCTCACCTGCCCCAGCCACTCTCCCATCACCCTCCCACTGTCCCCGGCAGAGTGAGCCTCATGAGATGGAGCTTTGTTCTTAGTATAATAAGGGCCTGTGACAGTGCCTGATAACAGATATTTTGTAAATATTAATTGCTCTTGAATTCTGAACCCATTTAGACTTGTATTTTACCATTTTCATATTAAATCCATATTCCTGCATGATAAAAGTGCTTACCAGAAATTTTTCTTTTATTGGTCATAATCCGTCTCACAAATGGGAAACCTGATATTCATGGAGGTTGTGGATCTTACCTTGTTTTAAGCATTCAAGTCAGAAAACTCGGATGTGAACCTTGATGTCACCCAATCCAAAGTCCACACCCTCTGTGGTGGGGCCCAGATGTCCTCTCCATCCTCACCAGGCTGCCGTGTGGCTGCCGCAGGGATTACTGAGGTGCAGGGGCATGGGCCGGGCCGCACCTGCTGCCTCACCACTGATGGGCTTCGGTGCCCTGCTCCTTCCTCGACTCTAGGTCAGTCGCTATCACTTGCAGCTGCACGTGATCTCGAATTGCTTCTAGACATTTCCAGCATATTCTTCCCTTATTTTAGTCTTTCTAAAACAACTCATTTTTCTGGAAATTTATTTCTTCTCATGAATTTCAGATAGTTTTCAGGGCAGGTAGTTTTGACTTTGGAATCTTTTATTCTTTAGCTCTAGTCTTCCTTCAGTTATTCATGAGTTCCTATTGCATTTCTTCTTTTTGGGATCTCCCCCCTGGATCCCTTTCAGTTAATAGCTCAGGTGAGGTCTTTCCTACCTCTTGGCAGTTTTCTGCTGTCAGCTCCCATGTGCTGTCTGCCTTCCTTTCTCCTGGCTTCTGGAATTAGTTTTGCTGATGGTCTGCGGTGAGACTCTGATCCCCTCCTCCCGCCGCTGAAAACCACGACATTCGTCTTAAATGTCGTCTGTTGACTAAGCCTTCCCTTTCTTGCTGGCTATTCTGTTTCATTGCTGGGTCTCTATTCTTCTATTGTTTTAATTCTGGTAATGTAGTAATGGTTTTTTCTTTTTGTTTTTTTTTTTTGAGAGACTTTAAAACAGCAAATAGCAGATTTACGGGAAGATTTGAAAAGAAAGGAAACCAAATGGTCAAGTACACACAGCCGTCTCAGAAGCCAGATACAAATGTTAGTCAGAGAGAACACAGACCTCCGGGAAGAAATAAAAGTGATGGAAAGATTCCGACTGGATGCCTGGAAGAGAGCAGAAGCCATAGAGAGCAGCCTCGAGGTGGAGAAGAAGGACAAGCTTGCGGTAGGCAGGGAGGCGGGTGGGTTGTGTCAGGCCAGGGGGAGCTTCAATATCTGAGCATTCAAATTCATAGAGTCAGAAAGTAGAATGGGAGCTGCCAGGGGCTGGGGGGGCAGTGGGGAGTGACTGTGAATGTGGACAGTTTCCATCTTGTAAGATGAAAAGTGTCCTGGAGCTGGATGGAGGGCGATGGTTGCACTACACCGCAGATATCCTTAATGCCACTGAAGTGTGCACCTAAACATGCTGAAGACGGTGAATTTTATGTGATATCTATTTTACCACAACTAAAATGATTTTTCAAGCATTGCTGTAAACGGGTACTTTGCAGACTCATTTCTCTAATTCCTATGGAGGAGGTTTGCCACAGTAGGCAGATCATCTCTGTTAAAACAGACCAGGGAGATTTTGGCCAAGAGTGGCACGCATATGACACTTTTTAATCAAGTAATTGGTCTTTCATTCATCTCTGTGAACAACCAGGGTGTGCCAGGCACTGCATTAGGTGCTTGGGGTACAGCAATAAACAGACAAAATTCCTTGCCCTTATGAAGCTTACATTCCAGTGGTGGAAGAAAGACTGTAATAAGCCAAATAATAAAACGTGTGGTGTGTGAGATGGTGACGAGACCTTCGGAGAAGCAGGGCTGTGGAGTGGCGTCGCCGTCTGGGTGGGACGGTCTGGGAAGCGCATGTAAGGAGTGGCCTGGGTGGCCGCCTGAGCCTGCAGAGGAGCCCCAGGCTGCAGCAGCACCTGAGTGGGCCTGAGACGGGGCAATCGGATTAGTGGGCGAGGAGCGGTGGGCCAGCCCTCGGGGTGGGCTGGGACAGTGGGTGGTGGATGGGATTCCTAACAGATGGCAGCATGCACATGGGCATTTTTTGAGTGAGTGGGAGTCTGGAGGGCTCTGAATGAAGGGTGGCCGGGCCTCTTATTTTAGCTCCGACTGCTGTAGACCGGGAACAGGTGGAAGGGAGCATGGGCAACACCAGGAATGCAGTAGGGCTTGGGGGGACTGGGTGGCAGTGGCGGGTGGAGAGAAGCAGACTGTGTTTGTTGTTGAGCTGTGTGTGTGATTGGTGGTGACAGCAAGGAAGGAGTCAGGAATGGCCTCAACTGTGCTTAGTTTTGTGTTTTGGTCTCATGAAGGTCCCACTGACTAGGAGCAACCGCAAGAAGGGAGCACATGGCCACCAGGAACTCAGGCTTGGACAGGGGAAGTTGAAATGCCTACGAGACACACAGGAGATCCGACTAGGCAGCTGCACACGACAGCACAGGCTCCAGTTGGGGACACACACCTGGGATCGTCTCAATGTGTGATACAGCACTGGGCAGGGAGAGGCCAGCAGGGCTGTGAGTAGGCAGGGAGGAGCAGATGAGCAGCTAGAGAGCAGGAGGCCAGGAGTCCGTGTGGTGTCCTGAGAGCAAGTGAAGAAAAGGCTGCAAGGAGGAGAGTGACCACCTGTGTCAGGTGTGGCAGTGACTCAGAGGAGGACTGAAATCGGCCATGGAGTTTACCAGGGAGAAGGAACTGTGGGCCTTGAGAAGGACTGTTTCTCTGGAGTGTTGAAGAGGAAAGCCTGATCGGCTGGGAGCGGATAACAGCTTTGTTTAATAGTTTTGCAGTAAATTAAGGACATGAGGGTAGTGGCCATAGGGGAATTTTTTTTTTAAGACGGTAAAATTAACAGGTGTTTGTATATTGGTTGGACTGACTCAGTGGAGAGGAAAATATTGACGCAGGAGGAAGTGGAAGAATTGCAGAAGCACCATACTTGGTGAAGTGAGAGGAGCTGGGTCCAGGCAGCGAATGGAGGGCAGGCTGTGGCCAGGCGATGGCCTTTGTGCCCAGAGGCGGGAGGTGCAGGCATAGCCCAGGCTCCTGTGAGGGCAGAGGCAGCAGGAGGGGAGGAGATGCAGAAAGCCAGAGGTCATCTCTGTGAACAAAAGCAGAGGCTGGGGGAATAGAGTGATTCGTGGCTGTACCTGGGCCAACCTGGGTCAGAGACTGAAAATTTAAAATAAGAATTGCACATATTTTTTTCTTATTCAGCTTGTGGTCATCCAAGTGAATGCCACCAAGTGAGCAGAGGGAGGGAAGCTGACAGTGTGTGTGACAAGAGTGCCTGCTGCATAGCATATTTTAGCTGCATGAGGACAGCGTGGGCCCAGAGGCTTTCAGGACATGGCAAGCACTGGGGGTCGAGGACCCGTAGGGCCATGTCAGCTGTGAGCGTGGTCAGGGGTGGGGAATTAACAGAATAAGCTGCAAAGACAGGAGCGTAATGAGAAAGTAGCATTCTTCTCCCCGCCGCTCCCAACCTTTTTAGTATGAAAGCTTCCCAAAATAGAGAATAGGTGAAAGAATAGTACAATTAACACCTGGATATCCACTTGGATTCAACCACTAGGAACATTTTGCCATAGTTATGTCTATGTTTCACTGAACCATTTGAAGGTACTTGTAGGAATCATGGCAATTCACCCCTAAATGCTTTAGCATTTTATTAAATTGCATTAACTTTTGAAGAGACCAGGCTGATTGCTTTGTAGAATGCCCTACCTTCTGGATCTTTGTAAGTAGAATGCTTTGAAATTAATAATTTTGTGGTTATTGATAATTGCAGATGTTGATAGTATTGATAATGACAAGTTCTAGGGTTGACCATTGGGGTGTGGAGCTGAGGTAGGACACCAAGAAGGATGGCACTGGAAGCATCACCTCCTGGCAGGGACGGACATGGCGGGGGCTGGGGCAAGTAGTATTGGGGCTTGATTTGGCCAGAAATGGAGGTGGGGTGCAGAGAGGACTCACCCCACCTCATCCTCATGGGGAGTGCTCAGTGGTGGTCTCGGAGAACTGGGCTCAGCTGGACTGTCCCAGTGGGAGTGGGAGTGGGGAGCACCCAGGAGAGGCTTTGTTCTCGAACACCATGAGCTGAAGGGCCTGTGTGCTCCTCCTCTGCTCTGTAATGGTCAGAGGAGATGGTTCAGGTAACCTTGCCTACTGTGTCCTAACTTGAATGAATGTTTGTCAAAAGGGGCGCGCGTGCGTGTGTGTGCACACGCGCAGTGATTCCTAGATAACAGCTTGTTTGCTTTGGCCTGTTGTATAAATGAAAACAATATGAATAAACAAAACCCACAGCATTCTTAGCACTAGCTGAGTTTTATTAGTTTCACTTAGTGTATTAATAGACTAACACTCATTTTAAATAAAAAATTATCTCTTATACTATAGAACACATCTGTTCGATTTCAAAACAGTCAGATTTCTTCAGGAACCCAGGTAGAAAAATACAAGAAAAATTATCTTCCAATGCAAGGTAAGAGGCTGCATGATCTTTTTATAAAACATTTCAGAATGTAAGGAATAAACAATTTATACCCAACTTAATAAAACATTTCTTAATAAATGTTTTTGAACATTTGAATGAATTTGAATTAATAAATGTAATTGAAGCTCCTGTGCATCATCTTATTCCGCCAGTTAATTTCTACCCTGATAATGGTCCATGCTTCGGTTTTAAATTATTTTACCTTGTTGCGTTCATAAATTGTTATACTGGTCGAGCATCCCAAATCTGAAACTTTTTGAGGGCAAGCATGATGCTCAAAGGAAACATTCATTGGAGCATTTTGAATGTGGATTAAGGATGCTCAACCAATAAGTATTTGCAAATATTCCAAAACTTGAAAAAAAAATGGAGATCTGCAATACTGCTCCCAAGCATTTCTGATAAGGGACACTCACCCTGTAGTATTGTTTCATATTCTGTGTGTCCTTCTGCAATTTTTTTCTTTCAATACTGTATGACTTACCAATCTTAACACATAAAACCTCCAGTTGATTGATTTTAATAGCTATGTAGATTGCATTGTATACTTCCACAGTTCAGCATTCCTGGTGATGGGCAATTAGGTTTGCATGATAATGAATAGGGCTGCAGAGCGTGTCTTGATCCTGTGGCTTCTCTAGGATATATATGAAGAGTAAGATGCCAGGCCATGTCAGCTGGAGGTTTTCCCTTTGCTCTGCAACATGGTTGTACCAGTTTTTTTTACTGTCAGCAGAGTATGCTCTTCATACTTGCAAACACTTGATCTGGCCAGACTTTAACATTTTGGCCAGTTGATGTAAAATGGTGGTTGATTCCGTGAGCTGGTAAGGCCCTGTGAGCATGTTTTCTTACATTTAGTCAGCATTTGAGGTTCCCCTTTTGTGAACTGCCTGTTCATTTCCTTTGTCCATTTAAAATTTTGGATGTGTGTGTGTGTGTTTCTCCTTATAAAATATTCCGCATAGTAATCCTTTGTCAGTTACAAGCACTGCTAATATTTTCTCCCAATCTGGGTTTGGCTTTTCAGTTTGTGTTTTTTTTAATGTATGTTTTTCCTTGTAATGTTGAATTTACTAGTCTTTTAAAATAGTTTTTGGTTTTCATGACTTTAATTCTTCTCAATCCTCAGGCCACAAGTACACCATTTTCTTCTATGCGCTTTTGCATTCACATCTTGAGTTTTTAATCTGGAATTTTAAAAAATTATTTTTGTGAAATAAATTTAGTAAAGATATATGCAGTTTGACAATTAGAAAGCAAATACTCGGGTTACCACCACCTACGTAAAGACATAGATGAGTGGCAGCCCGGAACTGCCCTCTGTGGAGCCCGTGGCTTTTCTTGATGGCACTCTCATTTTCTCATGCTCTGCTTTACTGCGCCTCACACAAACTGTGGTTTTTGGAGACAGAAGACTTGCAGCAACTCTGCACTGAGCAAGTCTGTTGGTGCCATTTTTCCAACAGCATGTGCTCACTTTGGTAGTATACCTTAGCAGTCCCCAACCTTTTTGGCATCAGGGACCAATTTTGTGGAAGACAATTTTTCCATGGACTGGGGTAAGGGGCATGGCTTTGGGATGATTCAGCACCACATTAAATTTATTGTGCACTTTAATTCTAATATTATTACATTGTAATGTATAATGAAATAATTATACAACTCACCATAATGTAGAATCAGGGGGAGCCCTGAGCTTGTTTTCCTGCAATTAGATGGTCCCATCTGGGGGTGATGGGAGACAGTGACAGATCATCAGGCATTAGATACTCTAAGGAGCGTGCAACCTGGATCCCTCGCATATGCAGTTCACAATAGGGTTCTTGCTCCTATGAGAATCTAATGCCACTGCTGATCTGACAGGAGGTGGAGCTCAGGTGGTAATGCGAGTGATGGGGAGCTGCTGTAAATACAGATGAAGCTTCGCTGGCTCGCCCACCCGCTGCTCATCTCCTGCTGTGTGGCCCAGTTCCTACAGGCCACAGACCAGTATACCGTGGGGTTTGGGGCCCCCTGGTATAAGTGGTATACTTATAATCTACATAAATTGCAAATCAGTATCTTCTCCTAGTTCATGGCTTGTCTTTTTGCTCTTTATAGTATCTTTTGATGAACCTAAATTCTTAAAGTAGTTCAATTTCAGTTTTTCCCTTTGGGCAGTGCTTCTTAATTCTTTCCCTATCTTGGGGTCATAAACATCCCTCCCCTAGTATCTACCCAGCTATTCCAGCACTGTGTATTCCCTAGCTTCCACTGTCCCCAGTTTTCCTGTTGTAGGTATTTTTAAGGTGGGTTCACACAGTCCTCTAGACAGTGTGCTTGCACCTGGAGCCTGTCTATGCCCACGGTCACCTCTCGTTATCCTGCCCAGTTGGTAGATACTTTGGGGGTTCAAGTTAATGTTAGTTCATAATCAGCCTGGGAAGAATTAAACTTGATATATAGTGGGTTTGAATCCTGGTTCTGCCTTTTATTAGTTGACAACCTTAGTAGGTTATTTAACCACTTAGCCTTGGTTTTCTTGCCATAAAATGGGAATAATATTCTAGTCTTTTCTCTAAAGGTGGTTATGAGAAATGATGTCACACAGCTTTAGTTATAGTTTAGTTTGCACACATAACCTGTGGGGGTGAAGCATGACATTCTTGTGTCATCCCAAACAGAGCAC
Organism: Homo sapiens; assembly: GCF_000001405.40. Classification (NCBI taxonomy): domain Eukaryota; kingdom Metazoa; phylum Chordata; class Mammalia; order Primates; family Hominidae; genus Homo; species Homo sapiens. The sequence goes on along the minus strand of NC_000013.11, from coordinate 24,886,632 downwards.
TCCTGCTATCCCCAGAGCCTTGTCTGCCATCTGCCCCTTTGCTCAAGCCTAAACCCCTGTGTACTCCCAGTACTTTTTCTGTTATCCTTCACCATCCACTCCCAGTAGTCCCTAGACTGATCCCTCTGATGTTATTTTCTGGATCTATTAGTTACATTGAATCATATGAAATTGCTGATGTGTGGCAGTTTGGGACCTATAAATCAGTGATTTCCCATGGTGTAATGGAACCATTCCTGTCTCACAGGCACAGCACAGCCGCCTCACACGCCCAGCAGCTTGTTGGCTGACCACCTGCCTCCGCTCTCCTCCTTCAGGCCATTCTCCCGTAACATCCAGCTCTGTTACACTTTTTAACATGGAGGTCAGATTCTGGCACTTGCTCGAGACCCTTCCAAGTTGAGTGTTTACAATATGATCCATTGGCACATAGGATGAAAATACTGGCACTTCAGTGTATTTTTAGAGAGAGATTCACCTCACTTTGTTGTTGGTGGGGGCGTGTTTATTTTGTAATGTATATGTTGCTGGTACAGTATGTGATTGGTGTGCTGGACATATTACAAAAAGTTTATACCATAGCCACAAGGGCATTTATGTTTTAACTAAATACCCAGTTATTTGGTGAAGCCAAATTCCACAGGTCTTAGATGCCTCTTTTATCTGCACCTTACACCTTGTGATTGTCTCTGAAATACATTTGGGTCTGTCAGGCTGTTTCATCACCTGTCTCTTCCCCAGGATTGTAAACTCTGAGACAAGATACTGTCTTTCTTGGACATCTAGGACTTAAGTACCTGTGTCGGAGAACTACAAATTAGTAAAGAAAAATATTAAGACATCCTTAACTAATGGATAAAGGACAGCAGTTCACAGGATATGAACTAAGGAAATGTGTGATCATACTAATAAAATTTTCAATTAAATATTAAATCTAACTCTTGACAATTTTATTCTAATAGGCAATCCACCTCGAAGATCCAAGTCTGCACCTCCTCGTGATTTAGGCAATTTGGATAAGGGACAAGTAAATCTCTGTTTTTATATATTCTTCAAACATACATTACTTAGGCTTGAAATCAATTTGTTAATAGACTTAACGTTTCTAAACCACGTGTAAAAAAGAGTTTTTACTTAACATTATAAATGTTATATTTTGTAAACACTAGTCCTAGAACCCTATATCAGAATCTGGCTTTGGAAGTAAGAGTAGGTTTTAGCTGCTTGAAATGTGTTGTGCTTACAGGCTGCCTCTCCCAGGGAGCCACTTGAACCACTGAACTTCCCAGATCCTGAATATAAAGAGGAGGAGGAAGACCAAGACATACAGGGAGAAATCAGTCATCCTGATGGAAAGGTTAAAAAATGTTTTTGAAATAATGAATTCTATAAAAAATAAACATGGGTTAAAATAGTTGAAACACATAGAATCTAAAATAAGGGCTCTTTGGACAAGATGCCTTTAGTTGCCATTTCTCGTTCAGAGATTCAGCAAAAGGCGGCATACAATCTCTGTATGATCTTTGTTCTTACTCCAAAGCCTTTGTAATCCTTGGCACTTCTTAAAAGCTTCTGTTCATTCTAGGTCTTCCTTTCTTGCAGCCTTTCTTATACTGATCCTGAGTCAGGGACCTCTCTCCTCATCTCCAGCTAGCACAGTTTTATTCTTATGCTTAGGAAAGTTTCTTAGTGGGAAAACTGCCTGGGGGTTCCAGCTAAAGGGAATGAGGAAGAAAGGGATATATACAGGTTAGAGGTGATGAGGGAATTTTTTCCTCAGGTTTATGGAAAATTTACTTTTCGAATACCTAATCTGGTCCATTTCTATTGAAATTATAGGGTTGGAGTGCTATCCTTGAGGAATGAGAGAAGGACAAAGAACAACAGGCAAAGCAGTAGTTAGACTTTCCTGTACAAAGTCTACTTTAGGGTAACAAATTGTTGATAAGGGAAGGTTTTCTTTTTTAGGTAAATTCCAGCTAATACATGGAAAAGGAATGAGAAAATTAGAAAATCACGAGTTTGCTACTCCTCACGAAATAAAGGATCTTTTGAGGGAATGTTTTACATTTTATTACAAAAAATTTCAAAGTAGGCAGTTGGGAGGAGAATTAGCCATACTTTCGTCAGGAGAAAATCTTAGGTGATAATCTTGTGTTGGTTTTTTAGGTGGAAAAGGTTTATAAGAATGGGTGCCGTGTTATACTGTTTCCCAATGGAACTCGAAAGGAAGTGAGTGCAGATGGGAAGACCATCACTGTCACTTTCTTTAATGGTGACGTGAAGCAGGTCATGCCAGACCAAAGAGTGGTATGTTTCCAGAGGTGTTCTCCTCCATAGTTTAACCATCTCTGGAGAAAAGGCAGACTGACTGTGTGTCTTTACAGATCTACTACTATGCAGCTGCCCAGACCACTCACACGACATACCCGGAGGGACTGGAAGTCTTACATTTCTCAAGTGGACAAATAGGTACAAACTTGCTCCACCCTCTCATTAAATTCTTCCCTTCCTTCAAAAAATATTTACTGTAACAACTTTTTAAACAGAAAAACATTACCCAGATGGAAGAAAAGAAATCACGTTTCCTGACCAGACTGTTAAAAACTTATTTCCTGATGGACAAGAAGAAAGCATTTTCCCAGATGGTACAATTGTCAGAGTACAACGGTATGGCAACATTATGTTCACAGAAAAACCACTCAGTGTGACACCTGTTCATCTGTGCTCAGAAGGTGCCCCAGCCTTGCGTTTCTGATGATATGTGACACCCATATTAGGGGGTTCAGTTTGAATGAATGTCCCACAGGCATGTCAGTCAACTTGATGTGAATTATTTTTCACATTCTCCTTTTTTGTTCCATTCTTTCAAAACAGATTTTTAAGTCTGATCATGCCCCTTCCCAGGAATAACTAACTCTCTTCCCCACCTGATACAGAGCAAACAAACACTCAGATGGTTTTTAAATTAGTGAAAGAAGGGTCCCTTTTAATATAACAACCAAAAGGAAGAACACAAGTTGAAAAAAGTTACTAAGCATTTTGTGATGAAAATATGAATGATTAAAACAATGCTAATCTGATAATTGGAACTATCACCATGAAGCAGAAACACTGTAGAAAGTTACAATTGTATAGGGATAACCAAGGGATGTCTCCAGAAGTAGCTGCCAGACTCAAAAGGCTACTTTTCAGTAGTTTTTCTGTTGTTTATTTTCTATTATTTTTTTTTTAAGAAATCATATTTTTTTTAAATTTTACAGTGATGGCAACAAACTCATAGAGTTTAATAATGGCCAAAGAGAACTACATACTGCCCAGTTCAAGAGACGGGAATACCCAGATGGCACTGTTAAAACCGTATATGCAAACGGTCATCAAGAAACGAAGTACAGATCCGGTCGGATAAGAGTTAAGGACAAGGAGGGTAATGTGCTAATGGACACGGAGCTGTGACGATCCTCATGTGATCATGAAGTAACAGTAACTGACTTTTTATGTTAAAAAATGTACATTTACTGTGGATTCTGTTTAATTTATTGTGTATGTGTGGGGAAAAGATTAGATTCTAAAATAAAAGTTTACCCTGTGGCATCTTCATTTTTATATTCTTTGAAATGCAATGATAGCTCTCATTTATAATTCACTACCCTGTCTTTCAATAGACTAAGGAAAGCATTTTGACTGTTTAGAAATTGTGTACAGGTTTTTACAGTAAGTGGGTGTGTTTATTGGTTAGAAATGGCTATAAAAAAAAACCAAGAAGTACAGGAAGTACATCACCTAGATGTCCCACAGACACATCAGCCGTAGAGCACTGGACTTGTACAGAAGGTGTACTCAAGGAGTAAACACGTGTCTCTGTAGCCAAAATATTACTATGTTCAGTTAGTACCAAAATTAGACCATTTGATCTTCTACAGAGGATCATTAATTATTATAACAGAATGGGAAGTTACAACAGTGGATGAATATAAATAGGTCACACACAACAGGTAGTAATCATGGTGAAGAGAAAGCAGTTATAACAAGGCTGACTTTGTAATGTAATGTCTCAAAATGGGATACTTGAGAGTGGAGGGGGGCATGAACGATGACTAGCCAGTGTTAACCCATGGACCACAGCTACCCTGATGTTACCACAGTGAGATTACTGTAGCCTCATGGAAGCAAGATGTCCCTGAAGGATGGGCAAGTCACTTACTTACTTACTTGTAAATTTATATAATAAATAATTACAGATTGGTCTAGATAGACCTTACCTGTCACATATACTATGAATCAGGTTTTGTTAATGAAATCTATCAATTCCAGGTGACTTAACTGAATATGAAAAATAAAACTTTTTGAAGAATATAAGTACAGATGTATCTATATATAGATGTATCTATATATCTATCTATATAGATGTATCTATATCTATCTATATAGATGTATCTATATATCTATATAGATGTATCTATCTATATAGATGTATCTATCTATATAGATGTATCTATCTATATAGATGTATCTATATATCTATATAGATGTATCTATATATATAGATGTATCTATATATCTATATAGATGTATCTATATATCTATATAGATGTATCTATATATCTATATAGATGTATCTATATATCTATATAGATGTATCTATATATCTAGATGTATCTATATATCTAGATGTATCTATATATCTATATAGATGTATCTATATATCTATATAGATGTATCTATATATCTATATAGATGTATCTATATATCTATATAGATGTATCTATATATCTATATAGATGTATCTATATATCTATATAGATGTATCTATATAGATAGATATCTAGATATATAGAGACGGGGTTTCACCATGTTGGCCAGGCTGGTCTCAAACTCCTGACCTCAAGTGATCTAGATAATCTAGATAGATATATCTGTATACCTAGATAATCTATATAGATATCTATAATCTAGATAGATATATATAGGTTATCTAGATATATCTATCTAGATATATCTCTAGATTATAGATAGCTATGTAATCTAGATAGATATATCTATATATCCTTACCTCTCCTGAGATATCTCTAGAATATACCTATATATAGATATCTACAGATACATAGATGATATATTCTAGAGATATCTCAGGAGAGGTAAGGATTTTTAAATGAGACAAAAAACACAAACCTTAAAGGAAAAGGTTGATAGGCCAGGCATGGTGGCTCACACCTGTAATCCCAGCACTTTGGGAGGCCAAAGTTGGCAGATCACTTGAGGTCAGGAGTTCGAGACCAGCCTGGCCAACATGATGAAACCCCGTCTCTACTAAAAATACAAAAGTTAGCCAGGTGTGGTGGTGCATGCCTGTAATCCCAGCTACTTGGGAGGTAGGACAATCGCTTGAACTCAGGAGGCAGAGGTTGCAGTGAGCTGAGACCATGCCACTGCACTCCAGCCTGAGTGGGACTCTGTCTCAAAGGAAAAAAAAAAAAATGTTGATAAATGAACGAACATTTCTGTCAAATGATGATATTACAAAACAGGGGAAAGGCAAGCCCCAAATTAGAAGACAAACAACTGATCAAGGATGACTAGAATACATTGTTTCTACAAATCAGTAAGAAAATTGCAAATAACTCAATAGAAAAATGGACAAACTATTTGAACAAGCAATAAACAAGTGACGGAATGGTCACTAGCTAATAAACCAGTGAATGCATATTCAATGAGATATGCACTGATGAGATACCTTTTCTTACTAATATCACAGTCTGGCAAAAGTCTGGCGACACCAAGTGCTGGCAAGGAACTCAGACAACTGGTGGTGGGATAAATTGGTAGAATTACTGTTTAGAAAGCAAAAAAGTAGTTGTGAAATAATTGTAAAAGTCAAAAAGCAACCCCATGGCCCAGCAAATTCCATCACTATGTATATGTACTAGAAAGCCGCTCATGTATACAAGGCTCCTAAAGAGGAACATTTATGAGAAAAAAACTGGTAATGGAATATCAGGATAAATTATGTACACAGATATAGCAGTAAAAGTGAATAGAGTTATACATACCAACATGGATTAAAGAGCAAATAAAATAGAAAATAAAAATTGTGTGACAGCAGATACATTAAAAAATACCATGTCATTTATGGATGCATTCATATGTAGTAAAACTATAAAGACATTTATATGAATGATAAACACCAAATCATAACAGTAGTGTTCACCTCTTAATATGCTTTGGCTGTGTTCCCACCCAAAATCTCGAATTGTAATCCCAATGTGTTGGAGGAGGGACCTCGTGGGAGGTGATCAGATCACGGGGGTGGTTTCCCCAGGCTGTTCTCATGCTAGTGAGTTCTCACAAGATCTGATGGTTTTATAAGGGGCGTTTCCCCCCTTTGCATTTCTCCCTCCTGCCACCTTGTGAAGAAGGTGACTTGCTTCCCCTTCCCCCATGTTTGTAGGTTTCCTGAGGCCTCCCCAGCCATGTGGAACTGAGTCAATTAAACCTCTTTCCTTTCTAAATTAACCAGTCGCAGGCAGTTCTTTATAGCAGTATAAGAAGAGACTAATACACTTCTACAGAAGGCAGGGGGAATGTGTTTGGGAGAAGCCTTTTTGTACTAATGTCTTAAGTTGAATCATTAGGTATAAAATGAACTAAATTTTTTTTCATGTGTCTTAGCTATTTCATTTTGAAATTGTGGTAAAATGAAACAAGCAAATGTTTGGAAGCGAACATTTATTTACTTTTTTTCCCCACACAATTCCTAACAGTTCAATTAAAAATGAGAGGTAAAGCACTAGTGCTGAACAAGTTAGGAAAATTAAGCCTGAAATAGTCTAAAGATAAGACATAGTCTAAACATAACAGAATTCTTCTAGGCTTCTATAGATGCTCTCACTGTATACCTGAAAAATAAAATGTGTTATTTTAAACCTTTGCTTAATGTAAATGTTCAATCTAGCTGAATCATTTCTTATGGACAAGATAAAAAGTTAGCTGGCTACCCATGTAAGTACGTGGTATGAGGATGGTGACTGCTCAGTAGTTCTATGTGCTTAGCAGATATTTATGTGCTTAAAATTATTTACAGTGGCCACTCTCTCCTGCTCTCCCTATGTACCCTGGTACTGTCAGAGTCATGACAGCCCATCCAGGCATCCTTACAGATAGGGGACCTCTTTGATACTAGTGCTGAATAGGTGAGAAGGGCCTATGAAGAAATCTGGTGGAGCGTTGCTGTCATTCCTTTGAGAAATCAAGGAAAATCCACGGGTGCTTTTCTGATCAATCTAGCATTCATCTCCACTAGTCCCATGCCTTATGCTATGAAGAGAATGAGAACTTACACTTAGGCACTTATTCATCTTTATCTGCAAGCCCCATTTCTACCAACGGCATATGAACTGGATGCTGTTCATCGTCATATAATGTCACTATCTGTTCTGGTGCTGGAGCCTAAAATTAAAAGATACAGTTGTCAAGAAAACAGTAATGTCTTTGCTGCCTTTTCCCTCTCATATCTGGCCATTCACACGGGTGTGAAAAGGTGTTCTCAGGGGCCTATTGATAATTTATGCTCTATGCTTCCAAAAGGCATCTGTAGTGGTTTCCTGCAAAATCCCATTCTTTCCATTCTTCTGCTCTCTTTAAATTCCTTCTCACAAGGTCTTCCTAAATGAAGCCAGTGGGCTTTGTCACCACCATCCCTTGTTACAGTTCATTTGCATTCCACACAAAGCATTATACCTTTATGCATAAACTGACTGTGATGGTTAATATTAGTTGTTAACTTGGCTGGATTGAGGGATGCCTCAATGGCTGGTGAAGCATTTCTAGGTGTGTCTGTGAGGGTGTTTTCAGAGGAGACTGATGCTAAATCAGTGGACAGAGAGGAAGACCCACTCTCTATGTGGGCAGGGGACATCCAGCTGGCTGGGAGACAGGCAGAAAGGGGGTTCTCTGCTCTCCTTTCCTTCCTAAGTGGGGGACACCTTTTCTCCTCTTGCCCTCAGACATCAGCCTCCAGATTCTTTGGTTTTTGGACTGTAGAACTTGCACCAGTGACCTCCCAGGGGCTCTTTGGCCTTGGACTAGCAGCTGCATTGTCAGCTTCCCTAGTTCTGAGGCCTCCAGACTGAGCCACGCTACCAGCTTCTCTGGTTCTCCAGCTTGCAGACAGCTATCATAGGACTTCACCTTTGACTGTGTGAGCCAATTCCCGTAATAAATCCTCTCATATATCCTATGGTTCTGCTTATCCTTATATACTGACAAAATTCTGAATATTAGAGAAGTGAAAAAATACCTATCTATAAGAAATACTTGCCCTTTTTTCACTGGGTTGAGAGAAACCCTGTATGAGCTATTCATACCACTCTGCACATGCAATAGCATATATACACAGGTTTTCAAAAAGCACTTTCCAGGAACCATGCTGACTGATTATGAGCTCATTTTTGTCATAGCCAGTGTGTCAGGAATCCCCAAATCATGGCACCAGGCAGGAATCACAAAGGAGGGAAGCAGGCTGAGCTGCACACCAGCAGTGAGGACTAGGTGAACTGAACATCACATGTTCCTATCTAAGGGGCTGTGGCTACACTTTCAGCTGACTGCCATTTCAGAGGGATGGGGAGACCCAGGATTCCTAGTTTTTAGAATATCTAATCAGGGCCAGAAATACAGACTTTTTGGGTAAAATTTCCAACTTTAAAACACTGTGTGCTAAATAAAACAAGGTACAGGCCAGATTCTGCCTGTGGGCTACTGTGACATGCTGAGCCTAAGAAGAAAACATTTACATTAAATGCAGTCTGGAGTTTTTTAGTTGACCTTTTGACACAGGTTCTACTACATCAAATAAGTAGTACAATTATGAGATTAGTACAATTAGCATAATTCAAGCCTTTCTATAATGAGCAGAACTACCATTCTTTCTTTCCCACTCTTCTTTTAGGATGCAGGTGAAATGCCACATTCCTGTTTTACTTATTCAATTAAATACTTGAGTGGCTTCTAAGTAGCAGCTCAAACACCCTTTCCTGTCCTCTCCAGATGCAAATAATCATTTCTTCTTACGCTTCCCCCACCCACAAAGTTAGCTATAGCTCTGTTATAGTACTTATTTCATTCAACCTCATACTTGTTTGCATATTTGTTTCCCCATTATAAGTTAATTATGGGATACTCATCTTGAGCATTTTATTAATTACATAAATGATATTTTATATCACCACAGGGGTAAGCAGTTTGTTAAATATAAACTAAGACATTTTAACAAGCCTCAAAATTAAGCTTTATATGTATATATAAAGCTATACATATAAACTATATCCTATATAGCTGTATATGCTTTAGTATACTCTCGCATGTAGACGCTGCATAGAAACAAACACTTTACAAAGTATCGACACAGAAATAGCTTTACAATAATTTTGGCTACTTGAGACACTTACCATGGACACAGCATAGAGTTGTTTTCCTTGAAGACAGTCTATCATAGCCCACAGTGCCTCCATGCTCCATTTGGGACAATATGGTATTCTTGTCTCCCCTAGATCCCTTAAGGGAGGTTTAAACCCTGCCAAGAGAACCTTTATGGCTCGAGCTGGATACCGCATAAGATGAGAAGGAATTTGGCACAGTCTGTCACAAAAGAAATTCTTACATTAAAATTCTCTTCCGGCTGAAACTATCCAATTCTTAGAAGAAAACATAGGGGAAACGCTTCATAACATTGGATTTTGCAGTGATTTTTTTGGATACGACACCAAAAGCATGAGAAAAATCAGATAAAATGAGAAAAATCAGATAAAATGGACTTCCTAAAAAAATTAACTTCTGTGTATCAAAGGACACAACGGAACAAAAAGGCAACCTACAGAATGGGAGAAAATACACATAAACACGGACATTACTCTAAAGATCTACAAATGACCAACAAGCACATGACAGGATGTTCCACGTCACTAATCATTAGGGAAATGCAAGTCAAATCCAAAGTGAGACTCCACCTCACACCTACTAGAATGGCTATTATAACACAACAAAATTACAAGTGCTGGTGAGGATATGCAGGAATTGGAACCTTTGCGCACTCTTAGTGAGAATGTAAAATGGCGCAGCCACTATGGGAAACAGCATGGAGGTTCCTCAAAAATTAAGCATAGACCATATGATCCAGCAGTTCCATTTCTGGGTATATACCCAAAATAATTGAAAGAAGGTACTCAAAGAGATAAATGTATACCCGTGTTCGCAGAAGCATTATTCACAAGACCCAAAAGCGGGGAGCAACCCAAGTTCCACCTTCCAGGGAAGGGATAAATAAGATGTAGTATATACTGTATGAGGGGGCTTCAAAAAGTTCATGGAAAAATGAAATTAAGATGAAAATAAAAAATGTAAACTTTATTTCTCAACATAAGTTCCATCAAGATCATGACACATTTGTAAGCTATGGTAACAACCCTTTATTCCATCCCTTAAGAACTGAGGGTCCTGGGAATATAACCATGTCAATGTGATCTTTCTTACATTATTAACTGGACAAAAATGGGCGCCCTTTAAATACTTTGTAAGATTAGGAAACAAAAAACAAGTTAGAAAGGGCCAAATCAGAACTGTAAAGTGGATGCCTAATGATTTAGGTAAAACTCTTGCAAAATTGCTCTTGTTTGATGAGAGGAATGAGCAGGAGCACTGTGGTGGTGAAGGACTCTCTGGTGAAGCTTTCCCAGGCGTTTTCCTGCTAAAGCTTCCGCTAACTTTCTCAAACACTCAAAAGAAGAAGATGTTGTCATTCTTTGGCTTTCCAGAAAGCCGGCAAGCAAAATGCCTTGAGCATCGTAAAAAAATTGTTGCCGTGACCTTTGCTCTTGGCTGGTCCACTTTTGACTGGACCACTTCCGCCTCTTGCTTTCACTATGCTCTGCCTTTAGGATCACACTGGGAAAGTCATGCTTCCTCTGCAATTACAGTTCTTTGAAGAAATGCTTCAGGGTCTTGATCTTGCTTGTCTACAGTTTCCATTGAAAGCTGTGCTCCTATCTGCAGCTGATCTGGGTCCAACAGGTTTGGCACCCATTGAGTGGAGAGTTTGCTCAGCTCTTTCAGTCAGCATTGTATAAGCTGAACCAACTGAAATGTCTTTGGTGGTGGCTATTATTTCTGCTGTTGTCAGTCCTCTTCAATTAGGGCATGAACAAGATTAATTTTTTTTTCCTCACAAATTGATGGGGAAGGACTACTGCTATGGGCTTCATCTTCAACATCATCTTATCCCTTCATAAAACAAGCTATCCATTTGTAAACTGCTTTCTTTGGGGCATTATTTCCATAAACATTTTATAAAGCAAAAATGATATCACCATTCCTCCACCCAAGCTTCACCATAAATTTAATGTTTGTTGTTGTTTCAATTTGAGCAGAATTCACGTTGCACTTATCCTTTTTAGTGCCTCAAACTAGATCCTGTTCAGACATGTTAGAACAAGTTAGTACAAATTTATTTTGGTGAAAAAATTTTGAAATCCATGCAGTTTTTTTCATAGTATGCATTTTCCATGAACTTTTTGAAGACCCCTCATATATATAAGGAATATTATTCAGCCTTAAGAGCAAATTCTGACACATGCTACAACATGAATGAATCTTTAAAAATTATGCTATTGAAATAAGCCAGACACAAAAGGACAAATACTGTATGAATTTACTTATATGAGGTACCCAGAACAGGCAAGTTCAGAGACAGTAGACTATGGGTTACTAGGGACTGGGTGAGAATGGACTGTGATCCTATTACTTAACAGGTGCAGGGTTTCTGTTTGGAATAACAAAATTGTTCTGCAAATGCAAAGTGGTGATAGTTGTATAACCTTGTGAATGTATTTAATGCCAATTAGTTACTATACCTAAAAATAACTAAAATGGGCCAGGTGTGGTGGCTGACACCTGTAATCCCAGCACTTTGGGAGGCTGAGGCGGGGGGATCACCTGAGGTCAGGAGTTTGAGACTAGCCTGGCCAACATGGCGAAACCCCATCTCTACTAAAAATACAAAAAAAATTAGCCGGGATGGTGGCGGGCACCTGTAATTCCAACTACTAGGGAGGCTGAGGCAGGAGAATCACTTGAACCTGGGAGGCGGAGGTTGCAGTGAGCCAAGATTGCGCCACTGCACTCCAGCCTGGGCAACAGAGCAAGACTCATCTAAAAAAAAAAAAAAAGCTACAATGGTAAATTTTATGTATACTTTAACACGAAAAAAATTCCTAATTTATAAACAGCCTTAGAATAACCCTTTTCTTTTAAAAGAGGCAAAAATATTCTCAATAAGAAAACTATTTAAAAAAAAAGAAATCTAATTCAACACCCCGACATTTATTTTTAACCTGTTTAATGTCAGCTTTGCAGTTGATCCATAATCAACAAATTGTACTAAGATAGATAAAGGATTAAATTCTTTAATGGCAACAATCTTCGCTCTATACCATAAGCCATCATCATATTCTGCAAGGCAAGGCATTTCTGGAAAGACAGAAAAAGGGAAAAAATCATATTGTCTTTCATTAAATTTTTTTAATCCAAAGGAAATCAGCATATCAAAGGGCTACTTGTACCCCATGTTTGTTGCAGCACTATTCACAATAGCCAAGATACGGAATCAACCCAGGTGTCCATCAACAGATGAATGGATAAAGAAAATGTGGTGATTATATACACAATGGAATACTATTTGGCCATAAAAAAGAATGGAATCCTGTTATTTGCAGCAACATGGATGGATCATTATATTAACTAAGATAAGACAAGCACAGAAAGACAAATATCGCATGTTCTCACTCATATGAGAGCTAAAGAAGTGGATCTCATGAAGATAACAAGGAGATTAATGGTTCAGTTACATGAGGCCATGAAAGGCAAATATACATGTGTTTGGGGTGGGGGGATGAAGAGAGGTTGGTTGATAGGTACAAACATATAGTTGGAAGGAATAAGTTCTAATATTTGAGAGCAGAGTAGGGTGCCTAGTTAACAACAATGGATTGTATATTTCAGATTAACTAGAAGTCTTGAAATGTTTCCAACACATAGAAATAACTGCTCGAGGTGATGAATACCCTAAATACTGTCTTGATAATTACACATTCTATGCAGGTAATATCACATGTACCCCATAAACATACACAATTATGTATCAAAAAATGTTTAATACAGAAAAGTACAAAGAAGAAAATGTAACAAATATAGGCTCACAATCCAGAATTAAATATTGAACAGTTGGTCTTATGTTGGCTTCTCTTTTTCTGTTCATATTTTATAAGCCTTTGTTCACTAATTCCTAAGGATTAAGCTTCAAAGAAAGGCATTTCTCCCATTCCCAGAGTTGCTAGTTCTTGTATTCCTAAGACTTATTAGCTCATATTGCCACTGCCCCAACTTCTGATACTCCCCTAGTCTCTTCTAGCGTGGGCCATCATCTTTGGCAAAGGATGTAAATATTTGCTGTTCCTGCCTTCCATTCTGTCCTTTCATTTGCTATGGGACTACCAGAATTGAATTTTTAAAAATTCAATTACATTGCTCTTATTTAAAATTCTTTAATGGTACACCTTAACTGCCTGTAATATCAAGTCCTTATTACAATGTACAGGCTTCTTCAGTTGTCTGTTCTCCCAAACAACTTCTACCACATTTCCTCAATGAGTCACCTAAACAGGATTACTTAAAACTTTGATCCCTCTATTTAGTTCATGGCTGTCCCCCTTCATCTAAAGTTTTCCTGAGCCCTTCTTTTTATGATGTTTATCATAAACATCGGGAACACATTCTGACAGTTTTTAGGGTATTCATCACCTTGAGCAGTTATCATTCTTCTTTCAAAGCCCAGCTCCAACATGACCAACAAAGCCCTAGTAACTGATCACTGTTTTCCCTGTGATCCTACGGCATTACACACACTCCTTTAAGAAGAGCTATTCTTTTCATACTCTACTTGGTTTACATGTCTCTTCTCTGCTTAGAGCACCTGTTCTTGAGTGCAGAACTGATGTTTGTATTCCTAACACGGTACCTGATACAAGCAAATACTCAGTAAAAAAAAAGTGTACCAATGAGTGCTAGGCTTGAGTTAAACGGTGGAAAAATTAGTACGGTATATACTTCCCTTCGTACATCCTTAGATTTCAGAGTGATGGCATGCGCCTCAGTTTCCCATCTTGTTCTACTTCCTTATGTCATATGCTTTCTGTGTAATTTCACAGAGAATTCTACTTGTGGGCAAGTGGCATTAAAATACTTGACTAATGAATAAAGATTTTTATTTCAAGCGATTTTAATTAAAGAGTTATAGACAATTTCTTGCATATATAAACTCATCAGGGCTAGGCACGGAGGCTCACGTCTGTAATCCCAGCACTTTGGGAGGCCGAGGTGGGCAGATCATCTGAGGTCAGGAGTTCGAGACCAGCCCGACCAACATGGAGAAATCCCGTCTCTACTAAAAATACAAAATTAGACAGGCGAGGTGATGCATGCCTGTCTACTTGGGAGGCTGAGGCAGAAGAATCGTTTGAACCCGGGAGGCAAAGGTTGCAGTGAGCCAAGATTGCACCATTGCACTCCAGCCTGGGCAACAAGAGTGAAACTCCGTCTTCAAAAAAAAAAAAAAAAAAAAAAAAAAGTCATCAATAAAACAAGAATCTCATCTGGGCCGGGCACGGTGGCTCACGCCTGTAATCCCAGCACTTCAGGAGGCCAAGGCGGGTGGATCACGAGGTCAGGAATTCGAGACCAGACCGGCCAAGATAGTGAAACCCTGTCTCTACTAAAAATACAAAAATTAGCTGGGCGTGGTGGCGCGTGCCTATAATCACAGCTATTCGGGATGCTGAGGCAAGAGAACTGCTTGAACCCAGGGGACAGAGGTTGCAGTGAGACGAGATTGCACCACTGCACTCCAGCCTGGGCAACAGAGCAAGACTCATCTCCAAAAAAAAAAAAAAAAAGGCTGGGCAAGTTGGCTCATGCCTATAAGCCCAGCATTTTGGTCAAGGTGGGCGGTTCACTTGAGGTCAGGAGCTTGACACCAGCCTGGCTAACATGGGGAAACCCCATCTCTACTAAAAATACAAAAATTGGCTGGGTGTGGTGGCACGCACCTGTAATCCCAACTACTTGGGAGGCTGAGGCAGGAGAATCGCTTAAACCTGGGAGCAGGAGGTTGCAGTGAGCCGAGATCACGTCACTGCACTCCAGCTTGGGCGACAAAACGAGACTCTGTCTCAAAAAACAAACAAACAAAACACTGACTACAGGTAAGACATTAAGCTGATGTGTGTTTTTCCTTTGCTAAAATATCAAGAATAAATACATCTCTATGCATTACATACCGCAATAACTAGATACATTTTCCTCAGAGGAGAATCACACATATTTAATAAAGATGGGAAGAATGGACTGAAAAGATAAAAGAGTAGAAATCTGACCTGTCTTGACAGAACAGGTCATACTTTGAGCCTCCACCTCAAGATTATAATTGTAGGTGGCTTGTAATTTAAATGATGACCATTAAGGTCTGAATGACAACTCTTGCAATTTCAGCTACTGATAACCTCAAACTTAGAAAATAATCTTTATGCAATTTTCCAACGCTGTCTTATTTGTGGAACGTGAAAGTGTTCTCCAAGGGAGTTTACTTAGCGTCTCTTAGTTCACCTTCCTTATCTAGAAAATGAGAAAGAAGTCATCTTCTGGGTATCTTGAGGATTACAGGAAATCATGCATGTAAAGTGAATATGAGGAAAATATCAGCATTAGAGATAGCCCAAGGTCATCAGCCCATTGAAACAAAATCCAAGTTTTATTAAGTATCCTGTTTCATTCAAATATAGTAAGTATACCTGTTCTAAAATCCGTCAGAGGAGGAAGCGCCTCTACCTTCTTATTAACCCTCTGCAGTGCTTCATCAAGGCTCTCGGATTCTGATTCCCCGCTGACTCCACTATCATCTGTGTCACTATGCTGGTTAGACTGGTTAGAAGTTTCTATAGAATCAAGGCAAATATACACCTAAGTGGGGAGAATGAAAGGAAAACTTTCAGATTCTGGAATGTCAAGAATTCACGTATGTGGACAAAATTACTGTAGCAGACAGCCTCCAGCGATGCTCCCAGAGACCCCTACACCTCCTGATATTCACCTCCTATTCCTTCCCACATCCTACCACACTTATCTTGTGATCAAGAGAACATGATTAGGCTGGGCATGGAGGCTCATGCCTATAATCCCAGCACTTTGGAAGGCTGAGGTGGGAGGATCGCTTGAGTTCATGAGTTCAAGACCAGCCTGAGCAACACAGTTAGACCTCATCTCTACTAAAAATCAAAAAAATTAGGCCGGGCGCGGTGGCTCACACCTGTAATCCCAGCACTTTTGGAGGCCGCGGCAGGGTGACTCACAAGGTCAGGAGATCGAGACCATCCTGGCTAACACGGTGAAACCTCGTCTCTAGTAAAAATACAAAAACAAAAATTAGCCGCGTGTGGTGGCAGCCGCCTGTAGTCCCAGCTACTCTGGAGGCTGAGGTGGGAGAATGGTGTGAACCCGGGAAGTGGAGCTTGCAGTGAGCTGAGATTGCACCACTGCACTCCAGCCTGGGCGACAGAGCGAGACTCCGTCTCAAAAAAAAAAAAAAAAAAAAAAAAATTAGCTGGGCATGGTAGTACATGCCTGTGGGCCCAGCTGCTCGGGAGCCTGAGGCAGGAGGAATGGTTGAGCCTGGGAAGTTAAGGCTTCAGTGAGCTATGTTTATGTCACTGCACTCTCCAGCCTGGATGACAAAACGTGACCCCTATCTCAAAAAACAAACAAACAAAAAACCACAACTGCAGTGACAGTGTGTGACTCCTGAGACTGGCTTACAAGGACATGTAGCTTCTGTCTTGGTAGAACTCTGCCAGGGATTTCATGCGCCAGGAAGCCATAGCCATGCTGCAAGCAGACAACTGGAGAGGCCACGGGCAGGAAACACAGCCTTCCAGGTGGTGCCATGTGAGTGAGTCTTTTCGAAAGTGGTTTCTGCAGCCCCTGCCAACATCATGATTGCAACCTCCTGAGAGCCTGAGCTAGAGTGCTTAACTCAGCAGCTCCCAGATTCCTGACCCTCATGTGTGTTTGTATTAAGCTGCTAAGTTTAGGGGTAAATTGTGATACAGCAATAAATAAGCAAAATTACCAAAACCAGCAATAGTTGTTTAGCAACTATATAGAGCATAACATGCTACTTACTCTGCTCTCTGATGAAATTAGAAAGCAAATCCTTCCCCTGCCTGTGAGAGAATGGCTTACTGTGTAAAAGGCTGAAGGAGCTGCTGAAGCTACTTATTTCTTCCTCTCTTTGTTAGCCAAGGACATGTAATTGAACTTTTAGTGCCTTTATTCACACATTCAATCAATATTCACCGGGTGCCTAGTATTTAACAGGCACTATTCTAGGTTCTGGGGATACCTCAATGAACAACATGGAGCTATACCCTAAGGGGAGGCAGACAAACATAGTAAGTGGAACACGGTGTCAGCCAGGTGGTTAAGTGGAAGAGTTCAGTGCAGGAAGAGGAAGGGAAGCGAGATGTTTAAGATTTCATAGGTAGAAACGGTTCCACCTTAAAAATCTAAATATCAGATGTAAGCATAACATTGAATAAAGCAGCACAACACCAGGAACCCAGTAGGTCCTTAAAAAACACTTGCCTTAAACATTGACAAATATCTGAAGAGGATATTATAGGGTGGGGCAAACTAGAGTTCACGAATTTGCAACATTTGAAATCAGGAAAATAGAGAAGTGAAGAGTCACTTATAGTGTTTAAGACCAAGACAGCTTGTTACATTTTTAATCACCAACTAATCATTTAGATCACATACTTCATTAGGTGAGACAACGTGCTTAACTTGAACAGCATAGAGTTCTCCTGGGGAAGGCAGAGATGAAGACAAATATGGTGGTAAAAGAGGAGTGTCTGTTTCAGCCGAAAGCAATTCCTAAAACACCACAGAAAAATTCAAATTTCAGAATAAGGACAAAAATCTATTACATTATAAAAATTCATGATGGTGCCAATTTACCTTTCAATTAGCAGAAAGCAAGTTTTTTTTTTTTTTTTTTTTTTTTGAGACGGAGTCTCGCTCTGTCGCCCAGGCTGGAGTGCAGTGGCGGGATCTCGGCTCACTGCAAGCTCCGCCTCCCGGGTTCACGCCATTCTCCTGCCTCAGCCTCCCAAGTAGCTGGGACTACAGGCGCCCGCCACTACGCCCGGCTAATTTTTTGTATTTTTAGTAGAGACGGGGTTTCACCGTTTTAGCCGGGATGGTCTCGATCTCCTGACCTCGTGATCCGCCCGCCTCGGCCTCCCAAAGTGCTGGGATTAGAGGCGTGAGCCACCGCGCCCGGCCCCAGCAAGCTCTCTTAAATACTGAATACCATAAAATGATTTTGTTACAGTAGGACCAAAATGTGATGATAATCAAAGATCTTTAGTATTCTTTTGTCCTCTAATTTCAAAAAGTATTTTGTGCAAAAAAATGCATGAATGTTTATTGATGTGCATATTATCTACACATATACATACAATTCTAGAAGAATAGTCAATAGTAACTGCCACTAATGAGGGCTGGGGTGTTTGAGGTGCAGAATGAGGAACAGATCCTTTTTCCTTTTATACATTTTTGCTGTATTTAAGAATAAGTACTTCTAATAAAAACTAAAATAATGCATGAAATGCTAAAAGAAAATTTAAGTTAAAATCATCAAAAAGGTGTGCTTTCTCTTAAGCCATATGAAAGCAAAGGAATACTACAGTTACATGATTCCCAGGAAGATCACGGCACCCAGCAATTGTTAAAAGCAAATGTGTATAAAAATGTGGTGCATGTTTTTCTGCAAATACAAGCAATATCTTTATAAAAAGTTCTTATTCTTCAAGAATATGGTAATTATCTTAAGTAAAACCATCATATTCAAATTTGTAGGTTAATTTATTACTATTTAACATTTCAAACTGGTAGACAAAAAAAAAGTTTGAACCTAGGAAAATTCAGCAAAAAGTGATCAGCCACTGTTGAAATTTGTTGAACTTAAGTAACAGGCAATTTACAATAAGGTTATGTTATTTTCATAAATTACAAAGGTTTATGTACTAAAACTCTTCCTACACCAAAAAGTCCAAGTGACAAAAGAAAAAAAACAGATAAATTGGACTTCATCAAAATTAAAAACTTTGGTACTTAAAAGGACACTATCAAAAAAGTGAAAAGAAAGCTGGATGTGGTGGTCCATGCCTTTAGTTCCAGCTACTCTGCAAAAAGGCAAGAGGGCTGCTTGAGCCCCGGAGTTCAAGACCAGCCTGGGCAATATAGCGAGACACTCTCAAATCCATTAATGTGAAAAGACAACCCACAGAATAAAAGAAAATATTTGCAATCATATATTTGATAAGGTACTTGCATGCATAAAGAACTGTTATAGCTCAACAATAAAAAGATAAATAACTCAAATAGATTTGAAGGGATTTCTCAAAATATATATATATATCCAATAGGCACATGAAAAGATGCTCAACAATACTAATCACCAGGACAAGCATATCAAGTCTACAGTGATATGCCACTTCATGCCTATCCTAAAATGGCTAGAAAAACAGAATACAAGTAGTAATCTGGTGAGGAGATGGAAAAAATGGGGTCCTTGCACACACACTACTGACATACATGTAAAATGATGCTGCCACTTTGGGAAACAGTCTTGGAGATCTTTAGAATGTTAAACATAGTTACCACAGACTCAGTAATTCCACTACTAGGTGTATACCCTAAAGAAGGGAAAACATGTCTACATAAAAACTTGTACCTGATCAGACAGCAGCATTACTCGCAACCACCATAAGGTGGAAACAACCCATGTGTCTATCAACAGATGAATGGGTAAACAAAATACATCCATACAATGGAATTTTATTCAGCAACAAAAAGAAGTGAAGCACTGATATATATACAACATGTATGAACCTTGAAAATGTTATGCTAAGTGAAAAGCCAGCGACAAAGGACCACATAGTGTATGATTCCATTTATATGACATGCACAGGATAAGCAAATCCATAGGGACAGAAGTGGCTGTCATGAAGCTAGGGAAGGAAGAATGCAGAATGACTGCTGCTGGTACAGGGCTTCTTTTGGGGGTGATGAAATGTTCTGGAAATAGTGGTGATGGTTACAAAACAGTGAACGATATTAAACAACACTGAACTGTATATTCAATAGGTAAATTCTATGATATATAAATAATAAAACTGTTATAAAAGAGAGCTTTCTGTCCTGTATCAGATCCTTTTTATTAATGAAGTGTCCAAAGTTTCCAAAATACTTGGATTGTTACTTACCTCAAACCTTATTTCCCATTGTTCCTCTTCATACTTTTTATCATGATCTGATCTTGGTTTCTGAAATAATATGGTATTGAGTAAAATCACCTTTAGCTATATTGTTTTAAGGTACTTTCCATATTTCATCCCCACAAAAACTGGGTGCATTTCCTTGTTGGTATTCATTTATTTATTTCAGATCAATTACAGGAAAATCTAATGTTCTGAATAATCTCACCATAAGTTTTCAACAATAAGAAACCTCAAATACATGTTAACACATGTCAAAGCTAATTCATTTATTATAAGAGTGGGAGTTCTTACCTTTCCCTTTAAAATGTTCACAGTGAATAGTACAACTAGAACAGAAAGACTAAGTAATCTTTATAAAACGTGTTTAATAACAGACGTAACTTCTTTTACACACACACACACCCCCACTCACCCACAACAACCACACCTCTGCTTTAAAGAAAAAGCTGGCAGTGAGGATTACAGGAACAAAGTTATAGCACGATTTCTATTTGAGAGAAGAAAGTAGTTTTCTTTATCCATAGAACAATGTTTGGTTGTGTACTACCACCAAAATGAATATTAAAGAGTCTAACAAGTAGACTGCAACTCTAGAAATAAAAATATCTTGTGATATAAAATATAATGATGCATAATCTACTCCTATAAAAGATTTATAGCAGCTTGAAATGTGAAACCATATCTTGTAACAGGCTATATTTTTTAAAGTACTAAACCACAGAAGCACCAGGCAAGGAATGAGCCACTTATGGAAGCTAAGCTCAAAATGTGACTCTGGGTTTCCTGTGAGAAGGCAAATGAGAGAAATTTTGTAATACACGGCTTTTGTGTCAAGTAAAAGGAAAAAATATTTTATCTGGAGCAAGAGCCCTCTGCTGGTACTGAATTCTATAAAGATTTTAGAATGTGCATCTCTAATTCAAACAACACTGAATAGCATGGGCATCGCACTAGGTTTGAAGGTACAGAAACATTAATTGAATCTTAATGTAATTAAAGTCTTTTACAGGACATTTATAATGCATGACACAGCCTATTCATCTTTCTCAGCAAAAATGTGTAAGTCCTCTAGACTCTCTTAATAGATCAGATATGTAGAATCATATTTAAGACACAGTGTAAGACAAAATGTGACATTTTAACTAGACTTTTCTACACTTTAGATTTTTATAGAAAAATAGTGCACTTACTTCTTTCAACATCTCCTCAGTATGTTCAGAAGTACAGTATTTATAGTATGCCATAAAATAAGAAAGTGACATTCCATCAAAATAGAGGTGAATAGACAATTTCTCCCATGGATTTTTAGGTAACTCCTATTTAAAGTTCAATAAAGATAATCATAAAAATAAACTCCACTTGATGACATTTTTATAGTCAGCAAATATCAAATTTAGCTTCTGACAATCATAGTATTAACTAGACAGTTTGGCTAGTGACTCATTTCATAGAATTTTCTTCCTGGTATTTTGACGCGCTATAAGGGAGTAATTCTACTACTTTGGTTTATGTAATATACACTTTCAAGTTCATAGAGTTTTCTAGTTATTTACCACAAAATAACTAGTTATATATAATTCCAATTCCCAAATACATCACCTTTAGATGATACTAATAAATTACACTACGTACAAAGAGAAAGAAAAGGTTACGTTCAGAGGTGAAGAAATAAAGTTTCATTTAAAAATCCAAAATTGGTGGGACTCGAAACAGTCTAAAAGCAGGAATCATGGTAACTTTAAAACTCTGAATAAAGTTCACTTACAGTTATTGGGTGCTGAATGTGTCCCTAACTGATAAGCTGACCTACAGCAATTCTCTTCATTTCCACTGATCCCACCTTTGTCCAAACTCACTGCTCCTCACTGTTTTACTGCTCCTCACTGAATTACTGTTGCTGCCTCCCAGCAGATCTTGTCCTATCTCTTCTTACCATTCCCTCTTCTGCCAATGCAGTCCCCTCCCTCCTAGCCCTGCTCCTGCCTCAGCACTCATCTCCCTGCACCCGTGTGGTCTGTCCTCTAACCATTTTAAGGTGTTGACTCAAATGTTACCTTTGCAGCGACGTCTTCCCAGATGCATGTTTAAAGTGGAACCTCCTCCCTGGCCATGCCATTCCTATCAGCCTCTCTCTTATCTAATCTAATACTCCTCATAGTTTATTTTCTCTTTCCCACCACTGAAATGGAAGCTCTAGAAAGGCAGGGATTTCCTACTGCTCAGCCCCCAGCTGTGTGTCCAGGCCTAGAGCAGAGGCTAGCACCTAAGAGGCCCTCTGTCAGCATCTCCCTTTGCGTACAAGGGAGAGGAGTGAGTCTGGGCAAGGCCTGCTGTCGGCTGGGTTGTGTGGCATGCACATTCGTGGTCTCTGAGACACCTGGCAGCCTTTGCTATACCACAAGCTATTCTTCTGTGTCAATTAAGCGAAGAAGCAGTGAAAGCTGTCTAGACAAACTAAAAATTTCAATCTCTACCATATTTCAGTGACTTGCCATGGAGACTAAGTAACTAGGGAGGGACTCTTAGTACTAACAAAAGCCACTTTCTTATGTAAGTGAGTGTGTGCCTCCTTTAGGTTTTTATCACTCTATCATCATCCTTTAATACAGAAATACTTTCCTTACCATATATCTTCCCATTCAGGCCCTGCAAACATAGCAGCTGCAGGTTGATCTTATTACCTCACTGCTCAGAAACCTCCACTGAGGCTCTCCCTACCAACCCCACCAACCGGCCCCTACCTCTCCTGAATGCTATTCACTACCACTACTCTTCACCAAACCTCCACTGTTCAAGTCAAACAGTTACACCATTTCCCTAAAATGTCTCTCTGTACCTTTGTGCATTTCATTTCCCCAGTCAGGAGAACATTACAAGGGCTACCTCAATTCTCACCATCTCTAAATTCCTATTACATTTACTCTTTTTACCAGTCACTTAGCTCTTGGCATGTTACTTTGTAGTGCAAATGTTTTAGGTTTTTGCCTTGTTTCACTAACCAGATAAGGGCTTTGAGGACACAGATCATGATAGACTCCCAGAATTACCTGGACCCGAGACAGTGCTGAGTGTTCAGCACCATCTTGGAAACTGCTACATATAATTATAAACATGTCCAACAATTTAATACTGCTCCCTGTAACAAAACAAGCTGTTAATAAAGAATCTTTCAAATTAGTGACTTTAATGGTTATGAAAGTTCTCAGGAACTTGTTCAAAAGCAGGCTTATTTAAAGCAGGCGCAGGAACCAAACTGGTAGTTTCTTTTATGCTAACAAGCAATTCACATAAGAAGGTATATACCATTGCTTATCATCAAAAATATCCCTCAAATTATGTTAATTATAATATTTTATGGCAAGTAATTTATAACAACTATATATACTTTAAATTACCATAATGTGAATGTCCACCTGTCTCTTTGAAAGCAGTTGTTGAAGAACTTCTATTGCATCTGGTTGCCAGACATTCCCAACCTATTTGAGATTAATAAACTCAGATTCTTTTATGCTTTCATAAAATCAGAGCAGGAAGCAAATTAAGATACACAAAAGTAGCCATAAACAAATAATATCAGATAGTAGTACAAAATACACAAGCAGTTCTCAGAGAATATCATAGGTACATGATAAAAATAATCTTTAAAAATGAATAATTTGAGTACTCATTTTATGCTTTAAAAATATAAACCTGTTCAGCCAGAGGTGAGAAAACACACACACACACACACCCTACATTTAAAAACAAAACATTACATTTAAGACTTTTTAAAAAAGACCAATATGCCAATGCAGTGCTTGTACAAGGCCTACAATATGTATTCATTAAGGAATAGCGGTTGTTGCGTCTTTATGCGTTGAGAGGTTCACATGGTGAGAAGTGAGGCTTCCTGCCAAAGCAATGTGAGTCAGCCATCTGAAGTGGACCCTCTGTCCCCAGTTGATCCTTCAGGTGACTACACTTATGGTGGACATCTTGACGGCAGTATCACAAGGGACCATGATATGGTTTGGCTGTGTCCCCACCCAAATCTTATCTTGAATTGTAATCCCCATGTGTCGAGAGAGGAACCTGGTGGGAGGTGACTGGATCATGGGGCAGTTTCCCCCATGCTGATTGTGAGTTCTCACAAGAACTGATGGTTTTGAAAGTGGCCGTTTCCCCTTCAATCTCTTTTTCTCCTGCAACCTTGTGAAGAAGGTATGTGCTTCTCTTTCGCCGTCCACCACAACTGTAAGTTTCCTAATGCCTCTTCAACCATGGAGAACTGTGAGTCAATTAACCCTCTTTTCTTCATAAATTACCCAGTCTTAGGTAGTATCTTTATAGCAGTGTGAAAATGGACTAATACAGACCCCTTGTCAAAACAAACCAGCTAAGCCACTCCTAATCCCTGAACCATAGAAACTGCATGAGATAATGAAAGTTTATTGTTGTTTTAGACCACTAAGTCTCAGCTTAATTTGTTATGCAGCAATACAGAATAAGACACTCTTTTATCTGATCTCCAGCTTCAAGTTTGTTGTAATTTCATTTGATAAAGAAATAAAACTTTTGCAATCTTATACCTTCCTACTTATGAACATGTCTCTTCATTTATTCAGATGTTTTACAGCCTTGAGTATAATTTTGTAACTGTCTTCATAAAGGCTGTTTAGCTGTCTTAGTAACTTATTTGTTGGTGTTTTATTACTTTTTTGTTGCAACTGAAATTTCATTTTACATTCTAAATATTTCTAAAAAATTATTAATAAAAACTAATATTTAAAATTAATCATTCCACAAATTATTATGTACTCACAGGTGTGGTATTATGGAGCTGACAAGGAATACAAAACTGGGGTATATCAGGATACAGCAAAATAGGGTAAAGATGGCACTGCGGAATCTTTTCAGTGAATCCATGATCTAAATATTGTACCTGAAACACGACAA
Source organism: Homo sapiens (assembly GCF_000001405.40). Taxonomy (NCBI): domain Eukaryota; kingdom Metazoa; phylum Chordata; class Mammalia; order Primates; family Hominidae; genus Homo; species Homo sapiens. Next base: position 24,861,253 of record NC_000013.11, on the reverse strand, counting down.
ATACAATTTATAGTTAAAATTTATTATTAAAAGCTAGGGGACAAAAGGAATTTCCTGTTATTAGAAAAAAAGACAGGCCGGGCTTGATGGCTCATGCCTATAATCCCAGCACTCTGGGAGGCAGAGGTGGGTGGATTGTTTGAGCCCAGGAGTTTGAGACCAGCCTTGGGAACACGGCAAGACCCCATCTCTAACAAAAATAAAAAAAATTAGCTGTCTGTGGTGGTATGCGCCTGTAGTCCCGGCTACTCAGGATGCTGAGGTGGGAGGACTGCCTAAGCCCGGGAGGTCAAGGCTGCAATGAGCTGTGACTGTGCCACTGCACTCCAAGCCTGGTGACAGAGGAAGAACTTGTTTCAAAAAAAAAAAAAAGACATCTGAAAAGTTTAAAATCTGGATTTCAAAAATTTCCAGGAAAAAAAGTAATACTGTATTTATTCCCTCATCCAATAGTGTATCAAACCTCATTGTAAAAAGGTTTTCTTACACTTAACCCATCAGACTTTTTTTTGAAAAAAAACTGGGTTTTATTGGATTTACAAATTCCTCAAGAGCAATCCCTTTTTGAAATGCTTTAATTTTGATAATTCAATTTCTAAATTGTCTTAAGGATAAGGAATGCCAATAAATTATTTCTTCTGTCCCAACATAATGAAATGAACATATCACTGTTTAATTGGATTTGCTTGGCAATTACCATTAAAAAATAAAATAGAATTAAACAAAAAATGTCTGAATACCTCACAGATAATTAGGATATGGTTTCACGAGACATTTATTTCTTAATGTGAATCACAGGATAAACTTTGAAAGATATCAGATTAAGAAATGAAAAATCCATTGTGTATACTAAAAATGTAAAGTGACCACATGAAAAAAATAAAAGGTGATGATTAAACTATCAAAGTTCTTTTAAGTAAGTTAAAATAAACAGATATTTGGACAGCATGAGAATTTTTATAAAAGTTCACCATCTTATTTATTTTGATTCTACAAATGTAAAGTTCATGAAGTATGATAACTTGATGAACACTGAATTTCATTTTACCTTTGTAAAGAAAAAAAGGTCAGGGGTTATCTGAGCAACTCGAATGTATGTCACTTTGCACATACATTCAAGTTGCTCAGATAACCCCTATAACTATCCAGATGTTTAAGTACTCACCCCAAATTTGAAACTATTTTACTTCTATGAAAACCATTAAAAATTTGTAGTTCAATAGAAAAAGTGTAAGACTTAGAATCAGAAGTTTAGGAATCAGATGCTTGGATATTAACTCTAGCATTACTACCCAGTGACCCTGGCAGGTCACTGAACCTAAATTTCAATTTTCTTATTAGTAAAATGGGAATAATAATCTATGTCTAGGATAACTGTAAACAAACTATAAAATATAAATGCATATATGTGAAGGAAGCTAAAAAACCTGAAGTGCTATGTAATCATTAGTTATCATCATCAAACAGAAAATAAACTCCTGTCCAGGTGGAAAAAAGACTTTTTCACTTAAGTTTTTCTCCCCTCACCCCTAATTAAAGTTTTCAAGTGCTGAATATATGATGAAGTACTTCATCAATTTCATTCCTTTACTTAGTAAATACAATGTATTAGAGGTATTTTCATCTATATTTTATATATATATATATTTCAAAGGATGTAGCTATTTTTGAAGATTTTGACTGAAACCTGAGTGTTAGTTACCTCATTATTCTGGAAAGGTAAATTAGTCGTTATCCTGAAAAACTAACAGGGCCATAAACAAATTTGCTAGCGAGATATTTAACATACTGGAAAACATATTGTTTTACTTAACACTATGTGTGGAAACAGGGCTACCAATTACAACTAAGAGGTCTATCCATTAACCAATGATCAAATCCCTCCCTATTTTTTGCTTATTCAGGTTACTAAATATATTTGCAAATAAAACGAAAAATTATTACAAATAAAAGTACAATATAACTGATCTTCCTACACAATTTTCATCAAAAGATGTTTTAATCCAACTTTCTCGTGTTCAAATGCACAAGACTATTTAATGCTATAGCATTTAGCTTTAGAATTGTCACAAAAGAATATCAGACTCACTCTGACAGCGCCACCTACAACCTCCATCACCTTGCCACGATACCACAGAGTATCGGATCCTCTTACTGCACATGCTTCTCCTTTTTTCCAGAAATAAGGCTCCAAAAGACCAAGGCATTTTAAATTACTTTGAATTTCATTTGTCATTTTTATTAGCTCAAATTCTGAAAAAAAGTATTAAAGATAGAAAGCATTAAGGAAAATTCCCTATCATTTGTCAATTTAATAACTTCATTTCTTCAGTAGTATAATTAAAAACCAGTCCCCCAAACAGAACTTTTGTAAAAATCTGTGTGTGTTTTAAAACATACTAGTAATAGCATATAAACAATATTATGATCTTTGATTATATTTTGAGAGTACAAACATCATAAGGAGCTCTAAACACATACCAGCTAGCTTAATATGAAAGTACTACCAATTCAAAATAGGGTCAGTTTGACAGCCCTAAGTAAAATAGGACACAGGTTATATACTACTTGTTGCTTAGATACAGTATGATGATGGCAATATAAATTAAAATTTCAATTTTGCTTTTATTGCTAATTGGCCCATTAGTTCCACAGTAAACATATATATATATATATATCCATAACTGATACCATAGAAGGTAAGCTCTGGAGTCAGTTACCATTCCCATCTTACTGCTTTAGTTGTGTGATCTTGGGTAGTTCCCTTACCTCCAATAAGCCTCAGTTTATCCTTCCATAATACCACCACCTATTCTGGGTGAAACAGCATCTTCTGGGAATAACAGTACCTGTCAGTATCATCAAGTGCTGCAGGAGGATTAAATGTAAAGCATCCAGCACACTGCCTGGCAGATAACAGGCTACTAGTTTGAACAATGACTATTTATACATGTCAAGCAAAGTTTCTGGGTTAAGTATTATTACTACAGGTCTCAAACGTTATTTTTTCTAGAACGGCCAATTGTACCGATTTTATTGTCTTTCAAATTAAAAAATATATTTAGGAGATCAACAAATGAGAGAAAAATTTCAGTAAATTCATAGCTACCATACCCTTATCCATAGGTACTAATTAGGAGCCAATGACACTAAGCCCTATGAGTGCTAGAGTTATCGACTATTCTGATGGGCCCAGGTTACAGTCAGGAAGCATTTGCAGCATTTGCACATAAGCCTAAAGATCTCATGAGGGACCTGAATATTCTCAAAAGTTCCTAAAGCTCCAGTTATTTGTTGTGATTTCTTTTCTCATTCTCAAGAAATATAAACTTCTGTATTTATTTTAGTTTTAGAAAATGAGACAGGGTCTTACTCTGTTGCCCAGGCTGGAGCAGTGGCATGAACGCAGCTCACTACAGCCTTGACCTCCTGGGCTCAAGCAATCCTCCTGCCTCAGTTTCCTGAGTAGCTGAGACCCAGGCATGCACCACCATGGCCAACTAATCTTTGCATGTTTTGTAGCGATGGGGTCTCACCATGTTGCCCAGCCTGGTCGCAAACTCCTGGGCTTAAGCAATCTTCCTGCCTTGACCTGAAGTGCTGAGATTACAGGCGTAAGCCACCGCACCCAGCCTGTATTCTTTTTTCATAGAGAGCCTCCAAACTTGTGTAAGTGACAGGTCTTACAAACTTGGAAACGCTCCACCCACACCCCCAGCATCTTAGTGCCAAGGTGAGGAAAATAAGGGAGACACAGTGGTGGAAAGCAGGTTAATTTATGCTAGTCCTGATCTAAGAGTCATTTTAGCAGCCTATAGAAACCGGGTTCATATTGCTTCTCTTCCATGCTGGGAGAGTACTGAGGATGTCTACATAATCACTGGTGGCCTAAGTTCTAAATTCTGCCAACCACGTGTCATTGTCACTCTTAGGTGTACAAAAAAAATGGGACTCCAGGATTTTTATATTCTCAAGGATCCCAAGGTTTACAGATGCACAAAAATATTGAAATCATGGAGGAAAGAGTAAAATCCTGAGTGGCAGCCCTCATATATCATGATGCTAAAAACCCAACTACTTCATCATATACCTAATTTCCCTTATTCTTACCAAACTTCATTACTTCTATTCTTCCAGCCAGGCTGAACCCCTTTGTCTGATCTATGTCTACCTCCCTAAAGTTCCTAACTCTAAAAAGGTCTACCAGTATTTTCTCCCTGTCCATATCTATCTATATTTCCAAAGCCATGGGGTTTGGAGCGTTTCTCAAAAAAGTCACCTTTCCTCATCTCTAGCCTAACTTTGCCTTTGCTTTGTGACCTTGCAACACTTTGAACACAGTGTCTCCCACAGAAACAATAGGGTACAGTGAATAAAACACACAATTTAAGAAGCCAAGATACACCTAAAGAAAAACAAGAAATCCAATGGATTTCAAGCGTTATAGGATACACAACAAAGTAACTTGTATACACACTAAAAGTAGTATAGGCTATCTTCAGGAAAAAAACTGGTATTGGTGTAGGGATAAATAGCACTAACACAGAACAGAAAGTTCAGAAACAACTCGTGCATATATGGAACCTTAATCTTTGACAAAGTTAGCATTGCAGATCAGTGGGGAATGTGTGGAGTATAAGCCGATGAGCTAGGACTACTAACTAAACCTATAAAAAAAATTGGATCTCTTCTTCTTACCTACTGAAAAATCAATTCTGGGATAGCTTAAAGACTTTATGTAAAAAACAAAACTATAAACATTTTTTTACAAGATCATATAATGAAATAGCTTTCTGACATCAGAGTAAGAAAGGATTTTTTTTTTTTTTTTTTTGAGACGGATTCTTGCTCTGTCACCCAGGCTGGAGTGCAGTGGCGCAATCTTGGCTCACGGCAACCTCTGCCTCCCAGGTTCAAACGATTCTTCTGCCTCAGCCTCCTGAGTAGCTGGGATTACAGATGCCTGCCACCACGCCCAGCTAATTTTTGTATTTTTAGTAGAGATGGGGTTTCACCACATTGGCCAGGCTGGTCTGAAACTCCTGACTTTGTGATCCACCCACCTAGGCCTCTCAAAAGTGCTGGGATTACAGGCATGAGCCACTGCGCCTGGCCCAAGAAAGGATTTAAAACGAGATACAAAACCAAAAAACAAAGAAGATTGATAAAATTACATTAAGACCTTCTGTTCATCCAGAAACTCCCAAAAGACACTGAAAAGACAAGTAAGAAACTAAGAGAAGATACCTGGAACACATAAAACCAAGAAGGGATAAGTGTTCAGGATATATTAAGAACTATGAATCAGAAAGCAATGACTTAATGGAAAGTGAGCGAAGACATGGATAGGCATTCCAAAAACACAGAAATACAAACGACTCAAATAGAAGAAATGATGTTTACGCCATAAGAAGTCAAGGAAATGCTAACTAAAGCCATAGTGAGAGACAATTTCACATCCACTAGGATAGGTAGAACTTAATCTGACCTTATTAAGTGTTAGCAAGGATGTGGGGTAACAAGACTCTTCATGCACTGGTAGTGATGAGTGTAAACTGTTATAAACAACTTTGAAAAACAATTTGACATTACCTAGAAATTATCCACCAATTTTTTTTTTTTTTAATGGAGTCTCACTCACTCTATTGTCCAGGCTGGAAAGCAGTGGCACGATCTGGGCTCACTGCAACCTCTGCCTCCCGGGTTCAAATGATTCTCCTGCCTCAGCCTCCTGAGTAGCTGGGATTACAGGTTCGTGCCACCATGTCCAGCTAATTTTTGTATTTTTAGTAGAGATGGGGTTTCACCATGTTGGCCAGGCTGGTCTCAAACTCCTGACCTTGTGATCCACCCACCTCGGTCTCCCAAAGTGCTGGGATGACAGGCATGAGCCACCGTGCCTGGCCAATGATTACCAATTCTGTTCACTAGATTATGTGCCCTAGAAAAATTCTGCTTGTGTAACAAGAGACAGGTACAAGAATGTTCATAGTAGGATTTTTTGTAATCACAGAAAATCTAGAAACACATGTGTCTATCAATAGAACAGATACCGAGACATAATCATTCATGGAAATGCTATTAATTCATTTAAAAAATGAATGAAATATAGTGAAATGCGCCAAGGTGGACAAATCTCGAACAGTTTGATGAAAAGTCACAAAAGAATATGTACATTATGGTTCTGGTTACATAAAGTTTGAAAGATGGAAAACCTAAAAAATTTGTTTAGTGACGCACACAGGAAATGATAATTAGCTAATTCAGAAAAGTGGCTGTATCTGGGGTGGCAAAACAGGAGACGTGATCAAGTGGGGCAACACAAGTCTGCTTAGGTTCTGGCGATGCTGCTTCTTATCATGGGCAATGTGTATGTGGCTACTCATCTTAATGTTGTTATTTAAATAATACATTTTATACTCTTTCACATAAATAACATTTTATAGTAACTTCAAAAAATTCATTTGAACTCTACTTTTAGTGATTTTTAATGTGATCAGCACATTGACCCATTGTGGGAGTCATCCTTTGGGATCCCATCTTCACATGAGGAATTCCTATTAGATTTCCCACTTTGAGTAAAGGGGCCTGGACCTTTATTTCCTTTTTCTTTAACTTCATGTAGTTATCACAGTTGCTCAAGGTTCTATAGTTATGAAGCAACTCTAGAGTGATTGCCTTCTTTGGCACATGCTTACCTCCCAGTGTGTGATTTCAGTTTGTTTTGGAGCTTGGTATGTTCTTTACTTTAATGCCAACTCAGTAAGTGTTCATTAAAAAAAAAAATTGGCATCTGATCTGACTTATTTGGGAGGGTTGTTCATCTGCCATAGTAGTGGAAATGGAAATTCCAAATTCCTTTCTTCTTATACTGAGAATAGCACTCACATAATATAATTATATAACACTGCTATGTTAGAATAATGAAAAACTGCATTAAATGATTTTTATGTTAGGCATTATTAAAAGCACTTTGCATGCATTGTGTGAAATCATTTAATCCTCCTAACAACCTTGTGAAAATAACGTTCAAAGAGGTTGCCCAAAGTATTTCAATCCCTGTCGTTCGTACTAGAGAACTAGAGCCTACATAACATAGAAGGTCTCACCTGATAGTTTAGGTACTACAAATATAGTTCCATCATCACCAACACAGCTGACTGTTGCCTCAAATACGTTCATGTTAGGAATAGCTGGTGGCTTATACCCTCTAGTGGTTCTTGGTTCTAGAATTTTCTCCTGAAATTCAGACACTTTCTGTTCACTGATTATGTCAGCAGTTTTCTTGTCAGGGTCAAAGTTAGTTTTAATACAGTTAGTAACTACTGAATCTTCCTGTTCCAGGGGGACTTCCAGAGACTTCTCAGATAATGAATGGCTGTTATCTAAGTTATTAATTCTGTAACATCCAAAAAAGAACACATCTAAACATAAGCAAATATAAAATTCTGGGTAAAACAACATAAAAAGAATCATTCAGATATACATGAAATTGAAAGAAAATATTTGCTCTAATTTGTTACATAAAAATTAGCATCAGTTAAAATTAAAACTACTTTAAATTATGAGACTGATGAGAAAAAGCAATAAAAATTTAAGTAAATGTTTTAAATTTCTATATTTACAGACTATGCTCTCTTAAAATTTCATATGTATATCTCAAGCATTGTACAATGAATTCAATGTTACTAGAAGATACAACACCTTTAAGATGATTTCAATTTAGTCCACACATAGAACAGACATCTGGCAAGCTATTAGCATCCAAAAATACAAAGAAAACATGAGTCTCTTAAAAAACAATAAGGTACTATCCGTATATATGAATATACCATATTCATATATTACCTAAGTGGTAATATGCTATATTTACTCAGTTTTTCTACTTTATATTATTCCCTTCCAATTAAAAAAAATAGGTATCCCTACTGTATAAAAAAATAAAATCTTAGGAGGAAATATTAATATTGATTGTGTTTTAGCGGAATTATAGCAAGTTTCTTTTTCTTCTCATCTCCTGTACTTTTAAAAGGAAATAAGGGCCGGGCATGGTGGCTCACGCCTATAATCCCAGCACTTTGGGAGACTGAGGCAGGAAGATCACCTGAGGTCAGGAGTTCGAGATCAGCCTGGCCAACATGATGAAACCCTGTCTCTACTACAAATAGAAAAATTAGCCAGGCATGGTGGCGCATGCCTATAATCCCAGCTACTTGGGAGGCTGAGGTGCGAGAATCGCTTGAACCCAGGAGCCAGAGATTGCAGTGAGCTGAGATCACAGCACTGCACTCAAGCCTGGGCAACAGAATGAGACTCTGTCTCAATCAATCAATCAATCAATCAATGGAAATAAAGCATTTATGAAAAAGCCACATAATTCCTCAAATACCCTGCTAGTCCCCCAACCCACCGCCGCCTTAAGATAGCTAGTAGTTTTAGTCTGTAAAAGCAGTAAAGAACATTACAACTGGTAGCAGACAATGTCAGTAGTATTAACTTGCCTAGCATTTTCCATTCTAACATTTCTTCTATCAAGGAATTGCCTTAGCCTAAAGGCAAAGCAATTAGCTGTATGCCAAAGCCCGGGCAATCCAGGCCACATCTCCCATATCTAGCCTCATGTCCCACTTTCTTTCTGACTTCTAATTCTCTTTCCATTTCATCAGGACTGGGATCCCTGTTCTAAAGAAGGTAAGATATAAGTTAAGGCAAACACATCTACGGAGATCTGGCCATATATGGTACAAAGTGGCTAATTGGGACTTGTGTCTCCAATTCCAACATACCTCTAAATCTCTAGAAAGAGAGAGAAAAGAGGCCGAGCGTGGTGGCTCACACCTGTAATCCCAGCACTTTGGGAGGCCAAGGCGGGCAGATCACGAGGTCAGGAGATCGAGGCCATCCTGGCTAACACGGTGAAACCCCGTCTCTACTAAAAATACAAAAAATTAGCCAGGCGAGGTGGCGGCCACCTGTAGTCCCAGCTACTCAGGAGGCTGAGGCAGGAGAATGGCGTGAACCTGGGAGGTGGAGCTTGCAGTGAGCCGAGATTGCGCCACTGCACTCCAGCCTGGGTGACAGAGCCAGACTCCGTCTCAGAAAAAAAAAAAAAAAAAAGAGAGAGAGAGAAAAGATTAAGCTAGAGCCACAACCATATCCTGATCCTGTCCCTGGACCAAAGGTGCTTAAACTCCAAACATAGAACCCGAAAGGATCTTTAAACGTAAATACTGTTCAATTATTTATTTGCTACTCATCCTGTTTCATATAAATACATTTACATTTCATATAAATACATCTAGTAGGTATATACCTACCAGAATTTCTAAAATAAAGCCTAAACATTTATGTCTAAGTAAAGGATACCAAAGGGCTCAGATCTGGTATCCACTACATTGTTCTCTTTTTCTTTGGTTTACAGTGTAAATGTCAAAGGAGAGGGGAAATTACAAAAGCAAGTATGTCAGTAAACAGGCTTAAGTGTGCAAGAACTGACATGCCTGAAAAATGAAATGAGCAATTCTGAAGGAATCTATTTCTGAGCTGGCTCCTCAGGGTCAGCTTATAAATCTTTAAGAGCAAACAAGATGCAATTCAGACTTGAAAGCACACATAAGATTTGCACACGCAACTGAGGCATCCATCACAAACTGATGTCAAAATTTTTTAAAAAAGTCTATACCTCCTTTCTCTCAAAGCCAAACCCTTTTTAATCAAATATTTAGAAACATCAACACGCTCTCCTTTTTCATCTCTGCAGAAAATTTTCACAGGTAATGGCCATGTTGTGTTGTTTTCCTGTAGTGATTTAAGAGCAGAGTAAATATGAAACACCAAAATGAAATCTTCATATAAACAATGTGCATTTCACAGGCAGTTCTTCTACATTTCTCTAAGCAAGAAATATTCCCAGCTGAGTCAAGTTATTTTGATATCTAAACACATCCAAAAATAGCACTGGGCCGAGTGCAGTGGCTCACGCCTGTAATCCCAGCACTTTGAGAGGCAGAAGTGGGCGGATCACTTGAGGTCGGGAGTTTGAGACCAGCCTGACCAACATGGGGAAACCCCGTCTTTACTGAAAATACAAAATTAGCCAGGCGTGGTGGCGCATGCCTGTAGTCCCAGCTACTCGGGAGGCTGAGACAGGAGAAGCTCTTGAACCTGGGAGTCGGAGATTGCGGTGAGCCGAGATCGCGCCACTGCACTCCAGCCTGGGCCACAAGAGCAAAACTCCATCTTAAAAAAAGCAAACAGCATGGAAGAGAGTGGAACAGAGAGTTATTTTGTGAAATGCATCAGGAAAACCTCAATGTCAAGGTGAAATTAAAGAAAAAAAATCAAACTGGAAACTTTTTTTCCAGTCACAGAATGGGGAGTTGGGAAGTGAGGAATACAACATCAGTTAACAAGTTTCTTTATTCTTTTGCATTCTCGTAAATTAGAGAATCAAAATATATTTTCCAAGGTGTGCCTTTTTTCTCCTACAAAAAGCAAAAGAACTACAAAACATATATTCTGCTTCATATGGAAAAAGGTATAAAACTGGAGAAAGCACATAAATAGTAATAAAATGAATTACAAAATTCTACTCAATGTAATAAAACATTTAAATTAGAAAAAAGAAAGCAAAGAATATTTTTGAAGTGGTCTGAAAAGATATATGCCTCTTATACTTTGAAATAAAACCGACAAAATTTGTAACAAAATCCAAATAGTTGGCTGCTATTTTCTCTACAAGAAAGAAAATAAATGGAATCGATGGAAACATTAATGAGATCATCAGCACATATCTCTTGTAACTTGTTACCTCACTATCCACCTGTAAGATTATAGTTGCTACAGCTCCAGTCAGGTACAATGAAAGACAGTCACAAGCTGTTGCTGTCCACTTGTCACTCCCACCAGCTGGTCTACAACAGAAAACAGTGGCAACTTGTTTTATAAAAATAGCATACAATATTGAAATATACAAAAAACACTATATTTACACACAGATACACTCATAGTTTGAACCAACTATATGTAGTAAAAAAAACAATTTAAACATGGATTCGTATTATTTTTACAATTTTTTCCCTCATTTTCCTATCTTTTTTTCATCCCTCTATTTTACTGAGGGCCCATATTACATATTAACTTATTTATGTGTATCTTTTCTGCAGCTACATTGAGGAGCTGTAAAAAACAGGTATATTTTAAATACTTTTTAAGTCATTATATACATTTCATGTATGTCAACTAGACTGTAAACTCCAAGAGAACAGGAATGATGATGTGTTATGTGCATCATCATATTCCCTGATGACTAGTATAGTGCCCTGTCACATAGAAGCCATTCCAGAAATATTTAATAGAAAGAAAAAAAGTCTCTTTGTAATGATGATTCCACTGCCCATCTTTGGAAGTTCTTTGGATTTCAAATCTAACTTGAATTGCTACCCATAAATAATAGAAATACCAGAAATTTTAATTACTGATTCAACAAAATTTTTTACATTATCTGATAGATGTGGTAATACAGTTTTAAATGACTAAAATTTAGCAGTACCATAGCCTAAGCTTTCAGCAAATACTGTCAGACAGTAATGCATAGTTTGAAAAAATGCTCAATAAATATCTGACAGATAAATGAAATGCAGAGTATCCAATTTCATCATCCATTTTAGTTTGCAGAGTTGAAACTGAGTGACTGCAGAGGTGTCCAATCTTTTGGCTTCCCTGGGCCACACTGGAAGAATTATTTTGGGCCACACATAAAATACACTAATGTAGCTGATGAGCTAAAAACAAAACAAAACAAAAAACTCAAAAAAATTTCATAATGTTTAAGAAAGTTTACAAATTTGTGTTGGGTTGCATTCAAAGCCATCCTGGGCTGCATGTGGCCTGTGGGCTGTGGGTTGGACAAGCTTGCCTTAGATGTCTCTAATCAGCAAATCTATCTCCAAGAATAAAGAATTGGTAACACAGAAGAGATTACAGATAACATAATGCAGGCTCTATAGGCTCTCTAAATATGGTTTCTAGTTCCAGAGTTTCATTGAGCTAGCCCATTAACTGAGTAAACAATTAATTCTGGTCAATTTTTTTAAGAGACAGGGCCTCATTATGTTGCCCAGGCTGGACTTGAACTCATGGGCTCAACGGATCCTCCCATCTTGGTCTCCTGAGTAGCTGGTGCTAAAGGTGTATGCCACCACACTCAGCTTCGCCTGGTCAATCTTTTCACAGTAACATGGCTTATATGGGTGAACTAACCAAATCAACTGGGCACATAACTTGGCCAAACAGGATTTCGTAAATGTGCTATACTACTTATTGTAAAGCCCAGAGAGAGTTCTTATGTGCTAAGAAGCTTAAATTGTTAGGAACTCTTGGAACCAGTTATGGTTTATTTATTACGATGGTATATAAATATAAGTCAATGTAACATCAAGGTTATCCATTGATTTATTATGGATATAAATATTAATTTAACATTTAAAAAATGTATGAATATAGAATTTCAGTTAGGGAAGATGAAAAAGTTCTTGAGATGAAATGGTGGTAAATGCTATACAACAATGTGATTTTTTTATTTATTTTTTTGAGACAGAGTCTCACTGTGTCACCCAGGCTGGAGTGCAGTGGCGCAATCTTGGCTCACTGCAACTTCTGCCTCCTAGGTTCAAGCAATTCTCCCTACCTCAGCCTCCCAAGTAGCTGGGATGACAGGTGCCTGCCACCACACCTGGCTAATTTTTGTATTTTTAGTAGAGACGAAGTTTCACCATGTTGGCCAGGCTGGTCTTAAACTCCTGACCTCAAGTGATCTGCCTGCCTCAGCCTCCCAAAGTGCTGGGTTTACAGGCGTGGGCCACCGCGTCCGGCCATGAATGTTCTTAATGTCATAGAACTGTACACTTAAGAATGGTAAAAGGGTAAACTGAGTGTAATATATATTTAATCAACCTAAGAACAATCTATTAAAAGGGATTTCTTAAAATGACAGTAAAACAGAGTGGTTAGAGTCCCGGTTCTGGGTTCAGACTGTGTTTATAATCCTAACTCAACAGTCAGCAGATATTTTATCCAGATAATAAAATACTTAACCTCTTAAATATTCAATTTCCTTACCTATAAATAGTATTTATATCTTTAAGGTTTGTTGTTAGGATTAAGTGAAATAGTGTCTTTAAGACAATTAATGCAGGTTCCAGAAGTTCTTAAAGGTTAGCTATTATTAGGCTTTTAAAATGATAATGGTATTCCATTCCAGTCCATAAGATACCATTTAAAGTATGTACACAAACACATTCTCTGTACTGTTAGGTACAATTAAGGGACTGATATAATTCTGTTCAATTATTCTGATTGAACTATTTAATGTCAAAGTGAAAACTAACATAGGATTTATATAGTATGTGAGCTGAGACTTCCATTCCAGGGCACTGAAAAGATTTAGTGTCCCATTGTCACCATCAGTGATCACAGACAATAGGAAGAGGTGCCTGTAAGATTAGAGAAATGGGTCATTAAGAAGAAGGTATCCTATCAGAACAAGGATCTTTAGGGAATAAAACAAATTTTAAAAAAAGAAGCTATCCTATTATAATATCAATTTTTAGGCCAGGCGTGGTGACTCACGCCATAATCCCAGCACCTTGGGAGGCCGAGGCAGACACATCACTTGAGGTCAGGAATTTGAGACCAGCCTAGCCAACATGGTGAAACCTCATCTCTACTAAAAATACAAAACTTAGCCGGGCATGGTGGTGCACGCCTGTAATTCCAGCTACTCGGGAGGCTGAGGTGGGAGAATCGCTTGAATCTGGGAGGCAAAGGTTGCGGTGAGCTGAGATGACGCCACTGCACTCCAGCCTGGGCAACAGAGGGAGACTCTGTCTCAAAAAAAAAAAAAATAAATAAATAAATAAAAAGATCAGGTTCCCAAAACAGATAAATCAAACCAATGTTAGATTTATATAGATAACTTTGGGTAAGGTACTTAATTTCTCATCATGAAGTTTCTTCAATTGTAATATGAAGATAATAATAGTTCCATGTCGGTATTATTGTGAGAACTAAACTAACACACGTAAAGCACATCATACAATGCCTGTCCTAGTAGACAATAAATGTTAAGGTATATTGTATAGTGTATCTGGAGTTCTCTCATGAGATCCTTGCAGATGAGATACAAATAAGCTAGATAAACCAGTATGGTTTATTTCTTAAAAAAAAAAATCACACACAGGTTCATTAAAGTTTTTATAATAATGCTGAAAGGGTCTTTCGAATCTTTTAGCTTTATTGGTAAACATATTTCTAATATTCCTATTTATAATCCATGTCTGAAAAGCCTACACATATATGTATACCTAAGTGTGTGCATGTGTATATGTCTTTTAGCCAAATAACATGCAATTGGCTTCAAGTCAGTGATCAAATTTGAGACAATCTAAAACAAGCTTATCCAACCTGCACACGGCCCAGGACAGCTTTGAATGTAGCCCAACACAAATTCATAAACTTTCTTAGAACATTATGAGATTTTTTTCAATTTTTTTTAGCTCATCAGCTATTATTACTGTCAGTGTATTTTATGTGTGGCCCAAGACAATAATTCTTCTTCCAATGTGGCCCAGAGAAACCAAAAGTTTGGATACCCTGGTCTAGAACTACAAGCTACCCCAAGTGATTTGGATAACTGTGGTAGCATATCAAAGCAATAACAAACGATCTGCCAGTAGACTTAATGATAGAGCTGTTTCCTATATGTACAATTTTATCTGGTATTCTATGGTGAATAGCAGCTAGGGTTTATTTAACAAAAGTTAACAACTGTTCTGAACCTCTGGGGGAGGGCCAGTTATTTTTGGCTTAGAGGCTAGATATCCAATTTTTGCCAATAAAAGAAACTCAAATTTTTATGTGGAATTTACTAGTTTTTTAAAGAGTTAATATGCCATAGTTCAAAAAACATTCTGCAGGCCAAGTGCATATTAGTTCGATTTAGCTCATAAACTGTAGACTACAACTCTGACAGAGGTATGCTTTCAAGTCTACAGATAATACAGCATTAGATGGGGCAGCCTAGACATGGAATAACAAAATCAAATATCTGAGTTTCAAAACCAATTAGAACAAATTTGGCAGGAAAAACTGCAAAATTCTGTATTTAGGTTAAAAAATCACTGTGTCAGGCTGGAGTGCAGTAGCACAATCATAGCTCACTGCAGGCTTGAACTCCTGGCCTCAAGTGATGTTCCTGCCTTAGTGTCCCAAAGTGCTGGGATTACAGGTGTGAGCCACCTCACCTGGCCCTTTCCCCTCCTTTCATCTGGATCTTTTCTTTCCTTTGCTCCACTGCCTGTCTTGCTCAAATTGAAGTCTATTCCCAGCAATTTCTTCTCAGTGTGGGGTTATGGAAAGGAGTTTCAGTTTACTTTCAAGAGGTTATACGGCTAAAAACGCTCCAGTATTGTGGGAGTTTGGCACATTTACAGATCTCTTTCTTGCATTCATATAAGAACTGCATCCTGCCTTATCCCTTAGTTTTGGCTGCTATTCTCAGATTAGCCTGCATGCGCCAGTGAAATACCGTTGCCGATTCCTATTCTCAAAGCTGTTGGAATCCTAGTCTGCCTTCCCTCCAAATCCTGCCACACAAATGTTGATACTGTAAAGGTCCTGGTTCATGGTGTACCCCACCTGCTAATATTTGAGGGCTCACAGAAGTAACTTGTCATCTGATTTTGTTGTAGATATTGGCTGTGTAGTCTTTAGTTTTACTATCCAAGTTGCTGTTTTTATAGTGGGATTCCAGTAGACTAAAACTGTTCTGTCATTTTCCCAGAATCCTCCACAAATTCACTTTTTGGTAATTTACATATTTTTAGCTTTCTATGCAATTCTAAACTTACACAATTTATTTCTGTGTTTGTTGTTCCTCAAAGTAAAATTTTTAATATTCAACGGTTTGAATTCTATCTAGGCACTTTCATACTCACCTATCTCTATTTCTTAATGCCACTAAATTTACGTGCTCCAAACTTCTCTCTTTCCCTCTTGAAGTCCAAAATTAACTAGATTTTAGGAAAATTTCAGAATATCTTAGCAAAATTAAAACTGACGAGAACGCATTTAAAAATATTTAAAATAATGAGAAAATTACTCAGCTAAAAACTACCTTATGTCAACCAGAGAACATTCCAAAGAGAGTCTTCCCATTGTCTTTAGATTTTCTTCAAGTTTTCTTAAACAGTCAACATTCACTACTAGTTCAACACCCACATCATACAGCAAGACCTAAGAAAATAATAACTTTAAGTCTACAGACAAACAACATTTCGAAATATTTTTTTGGCAAACTGAAAAACTCAATGAAAACTGTTTTAACTCCAGGGAAAAAAATACAAAATGCATTCATTCACCTTCACAATTACACTTTTAACTCTGTAATTTACCTCTACCAATGTGTCTGTAACCATTCTGATGATCTGGCCTCTTCGCCACTGATTTTTATCTTGGATCTTAACAGCACAGTGCATATCATTTTCCCATTTAACAGGTTCCCATTTTGAGTTTTCATAAGCAGCTATCATCTTTTCTTCTAAACTATAGAGATAAAAAATATTTAACTTTCCAAACCTTTTCTTATATAATTCTCTGGCTACATGTTTCCTACAATCTCCGCTTGCTCATTCCGCTCCAGCCAAGCTGGGCACCTTGTTCTTCCTTGAATGTACAAGTGTATTTCTTCCTCAGGTTTTTGAACTAGCTCTTCCTTCTGCCTGAGATAAACTTCCCTCAGACACTTATATGGCTTACCTCCCTCCTTCCTTCTTTGGGGCCTGTTTCAAAAGTCACTGTCTCTGAGGTCTTCTTTGACCATCCTAAAAGTGCCTTCCTCCCTAAATGCTTTAGTTTTTTCTATTTCCCTTATCACCATCTACCACACTAAAAATTTTATATGTTCACTCTCTCTCCCTCTACTAGAGTTTAAGCTACATGGTAACAAAGATTTGTCTATGTTTTATACCAGGGTATCCCTAACACTTATAATACTGGTTATCATATAGTAGGTGCTCAATAGGTATTTGTAGAATGAATAAATTCTAATGCAGTGAAAACAGCCAACAGATTTCCTATTTTCATACTTCTAACTAGCTGAGACTACTTAGTTAAAATAATTTTGCTAGTAAAATCTACATTTATGACTTCTAGATCTTTGAAACAGAATAAAGGATAAAATCATATGCAATATTTTCCTTATATATTATATATATATATTATACCTATTAAGTAAGTTTTCAGTTAACAACCACTGAACATAAATCTTCTCAGGAGATATTACATTACAGATATGCACAGGCAATTCCTTATTATAAAGTGACTGAAAATTCTCATTAGGTAGAGATTTTGCAGACACAGGATTTAAGTTGTGTACTTCATTTGAAATAATTTCTTCTGGAGAAGGATCCCAAACTTCAATATGCTTTTGAGAATTATCTTTGAGGATGTATCTGAAAAACAACAAAAGTTAATGAAAAGAACTGTATGCAAAATATTTGTTTGCATTTGCTCAGGTCTGTATCTTGACTGTGATGATACTTATATGACTATTTTGTCAAAATTCATTTAACTGTGGACCTAAAACAGGTGACTTTTTACTGTATATAAGTTATACTTCAATAACCCTCACTTTAAAAAGAAAGGAGAAGATTCAATCCAAAAAAAATTTTTTTTTTTTAAATGGAGTCTCGCTCTGTCACCCAGGCTGAAGTGCAGTGATGTGATCTTGGCTCACTGCAGCTTGCGCCTCCCAGGTTCAAGCAATTCTCCTGCCTCAGCCTCCCAAGTAGCTGGGATTATAGGCACCTGCCACCATGCCCCACTAATTTTTTGTATTTTTAGTAGAGATGGGGTTTCACCTTGTTGGCCAGGATGGTCTCAAACTCCTGACCTCATGATCCGCCTGCCTGAGCCTCCCAAAGTGCTGGGATTACAGGCGTGAGCCACTGTGCCCGGCCCAGTTCAACATTAATTTGAATGTTTATTCTCATTTCTTTTCCGCTCTCATTTGAGACCTATAGTGGAAAAGCTCCTGATTCTAGCTCCTCCAGCATGGGAGTGAGCAGGAAAGCATGTCCACAGATCATTAATACTAGTATGAGTCACTGCAGGCCTCTATGGGGTGTCACTACTTCTTTGGCTTATGCTGACAGGCATCACATGTGGGTGCTATCTGAATACTGGCTTTCTTTTTTCTTTTTTTTTTTTTAGACAGAGTCTTGCTCTGTCAGACACTCTGGAGTGCAGTGACACAATCTCAGCTCACTGCAACCTCCGCCTCCTGGGTTCAAGTGATTCTTCTGCCTCAGCCTCCCGAGTAGCTGGGACTATAGGCACGCACGCCACCACGCCCAGCTAATTTTTTTATTTTTAGTAGAGATGGGGTTACAACATATTGGACAGGCTGGTCTCAAACTCCTCTCAAGTGATCCGCCCATCTCAGCCTCCTCCAGGGCCACTCCCACTGCACAAGTCCCTGTTGTGCAAGAATTCTTTGTCTTGACCTCAAAACCCTCCCACCTGTCCTTGCCACCACTCTATTCTTCTGCTTCTGGGGTCACCCTAACCACTAGCCTGTCCTGGGTGAGTATTAGCACAATGGCTCAAGCCTGGTTATCATTCAAAGTATCCACTTGAATCCAGGAAAATCAACATTTCTACAAATGGAAATGTAAGCTACTCTACCACTATGCTTATTCTCCATCCTGCCATTTCTCTTCCCAATTCCTTTCTCAATCAGGCACAAGGGGCTTCCTAAGCAGAAATAAGACGGCAGTCTCCTTTCCTTAGAAGCACTCTCAAGGAGCCTTTCTCTTGGTTTCTGGGTTCCTTAGTAATGGAGGGAAAAGTCACTCTAGTCCTCATTAATGACTCCAGTTATTTTCTATTTTTTCTGGTCCAGGACAGGGAAAATTCTCAGGTCTACAGTCTAAGCTCATCTCCAATGGGGAATGATATGCCAGTTTCCCTTCTTGTGATTACAATGTTACATAAGAACATGAACTAACAATGAAAGTTTACATATCTACTTACCCTATTTCATAAGATGCTAGGCCCTCTTTAACTAGCTGGTCATTAATACTAGTAGTAGTCATTTCAGGAGCACCAAGAGAATCGAAAAGCTCAACTAAGAGCACATTATCTTCCAGAATTTCTGTAAAACCATTAAGAAAGTTTGGGGAAAGAAATATGTCACAAAATATAGTAAATGAGGCAATTTTTTTTTTTGGAGACAGAGTCTCACTCTGTCGCCCAGGCTGGAGTGCAGTGGCACGATCTCAGCTCACTGCAACCTCTGCCTCCTGGGTTCAAGTGATTCTCCTGCCTGAGCCTCCCGAGTAGCTGGGACTACAGACACTGTCGCGCCACCACGCCCGGCTAATTTTTTTTGTATTTTTAGTAGAGACGGGGTTTCACCATGTTGGCCAGGCTGGTCTTGAACTCCTGACCTCAAATGATCTGCCCACCTTGGCCTTCCAAAGTGCTGGGATTACAGGCCTGAGCCACCGCACCCAGCCTAAATGAGGCAATTTTTTTAAAAATTGGAAACTTAATTTCTTTCATTTGCACACATGACATTTCTTGTAGAATAATGTCATAGTTGCTAGGAGTTAGAGTAGCATTTTGCAGATATAAATGGTCAGTGTTGTCTGTAACATATACAAATTAGTGAACATTTTATTTTAGGTTACTGTGTGCCATTATATAAAGAAATCAGCTCAAAGCTTTTAGATTCAGAAAAATACATTCATTGAAGAAGTGTTTTGTTGTATTCTTAATTGTTTTATGGAACTCAACCAAGTTCCAGGAGGACCAAGGTGAATGAAAGTTAACTCAGGCCAGTGATCATCTGCAAAGGTTTAAGCTTTTATAAAAATGGCACAAAGTTTAAAACAACAAAAACTCAATCTAGAACCCTCAATTAACTAGAACTTTTTTCTGTCCCCATGTTTTTTAGGACAAACCATCTAACTTTTAATTCTGTTTATCAGATCTATTTCTTAAACTAGACTGGGAGTTAACTGAGTGTAAGTAAGGCTTGTGTCTCATGTGTCTATTTACTTATTTATGGTACTTTGCACAGGGAAATTGGTCAATAAGTATCTGAAATATGGTAGACAAATTTCTTTAGAAAACATCTCTAAAAAATGCACTGAGATCTGTATATGCCTACACCTTTCCAGCCGGTAGCTGCTAGTCAGAATGATTCTAAATAAAAAGCTAACCATTACCAACAGCAACATTCTATATTAACCAAGTTATAAGAGTTATAACAGTATACATTTAAAAGTTTTTAAAAAATTTTTTTCCATTAAGTTATAGGGGTACACGTGGTATTTGGTTAAACGAGTAAGTTCTTTAGCGGTGACTTGTGAGATTTTGGTGCACCCATCACCCAAACAGTATATACTGCACCGTATTTGTAGTCTTTTATCCTTCGCCCCCCTCCTACTTTACCCCCAAGTTCCTAAAGTCCATTCCTTTGCGTCCTCATAGCTTAGCTCCCACATATCAGTGAGAACATACGATGATTGGTTTTCCATTCCTGAGTTATTTCACTCAGAATAATAGTCTCCAATCTCATCCAAGTCACTGCAAATGCTGTTAATTCATTCCTTTTATGGCTGTGTAGTAGTCCATCATTCATATTCACACACACACACATATATATATGTATAAATCACAGTTTCTTTATCCACTCATTGATTGATGGGCATTTGGGTTGGTTCCACGATTTTGCAATTGTGAATTGTGCTGCTATAAACATGCGTGTGCAAGTGTCTTTTTCGAATAATGACTTCTTTTCCTCTGGGTAGATATCTAGCAGTGGGAAGGCTGGATCAAATGGTAGTTCTACTTTTAGTTCTTTAAGGAATCTCCACACTGTTTTCCATAGTAACTGTACTAGTTTACAATCCTGCCAGCAGTGTAGAAGTGTTCCCTGTTCACCCCACGCATGCATCTATTGTTTTTTGATTTTTTGACTATGGCCATTTCTGCAGGAGTGAGGAGGTGGCATCGCATTGTAGTTTTGATTTGCATTTCCCTGATGATTAGTGATGTTGAGCATTTTTTCATACCTTTGTTGGCCATTTGTATATCTTTTTTTGAGAACTGTCTATCCATGTCCTTAGCCCACTTTTTGGTATTTTTTTTTCTTACTGATTTGTTTGAGGTCATTGTAGATTCTGGGTATTAGTCCTTTGTCAGATGTACAGATTGTGAAGATTTTCTCCCACTCTGTGGGTTGTCTGTTTACTCTGCTGACTGTTCCTTTTGCCATGCAAAAGCTCTTTAGTTCAATTAGGTCCCAGCTATTTATGTTTGTTTTTACTGCATTTGCTTTTGGGTTCTTGGTCATGAAATCCTTGCCTAAGCCAATGTCTAGAAAGGTTTTTCCAACGGTATCTTCTAGAATTTTTATAGTTTACACTGTTAGATTTCAGTCTTTAATCAGTCTTGAGTTGATTTTTGTATAAGGTAAGAGATGCGGATCCAGTTTCATTCTCTTACCTGTGGCTAACCAATTATCCCAGCACCATTTGTTGAAAAGGGTGTCCTTTCCCCACTTTATGTTTTTGTTTGCCTTGTCAAAGATCAGTGGCTGTAAGTATTTGGGTTTATTTCTGGGTTCTCTATTCTGTTTCATTAGTCTATGTGCCTATTTTTGTACCAGTACCACACTGTTTTGGTGACTGGCCTTATAGTATAGTTTGAAATCAGGTATTGTAATGCCTCCAAATTTGTTCTTTTTGCTTAGTCTTGCTTTGGCTATGTGGCCTCTTTTTTGGTTCTATATGAATTTTAGAATTGTTTTTTCTAATTCTCTGAAGAATGATGGTGGTATTTTGATGGGGATTGCACTTAATTTGTAGATTGCTTTTGGCAGTATGGTCATTTTCACAATATTCATTCTACCCATCAATATGGGTACCATTGCAATATGATAGAATCAGATGGATTCTACCCATCCAATATTGATTCTACACATCCATGGGATGTGTTTCCATTTGTTCATGTCCTCTATGATTTCTTTCAGCAGTGTTTTGTAGTTTTCCTTCTAGAGGTCTTTTGACTTCTTGGTTAGTTATATTCCTAAGTATTTTATTTTTTTGCAGCTATTGTAAAAGGGGTTGAGTTCTTGATTTGATTCTCCACTTGGTCGCTGTTGGTGTACAGAAGAGCTACTGATTTGTGTACATTAATCTTGTATCCGGAAACTTCGCTGAATTATTTTATCAGTTCTAGGAGCCTTCTGGAGGAGTCCTTAGGGTTTTCAAGTTAAACAATCATATCATCAGCAAACAGTGACAGTTTAACTTTTTCTTTACTGATTTGGATGCCCTTTCTTTCCTTCTCTTGCTTGACTGCTCTGGCTAGGACTTCCACTACTATGTTGAAGAAGAGTGGTTAAGAGTGGGCATCCTTGTCTTGTTCCACTTCTCAGAGGGAATGCTTTCAACTTTTCCCCATTCAGAATTACGTTGGCTGTGGGTTTGTCATAGATGGCTTTTATTACATTAAGGTATGTCCCTTGTATGCCAAATTCCTGGGAGTTTTAAGCATAAAGGGATGCTGGATTTTGTTGAATGCTTTTTCTGCATCTATTGAGATCATGTGATTTTTTATTCTGTTTATGTGGTGTATCACATTTATTGACTTGCATATATTACATCCATCCCTGCATCCCTGGTATGAAACTCACTTGATCATGGATTACTTTTTTGATATGTTGTTGGATTCGGTTAGCTAGTATTTTGTTAAGGATTTTAACATCTATGTTCATGAAGGATATCAGTCTATAGTTTTCTTTTTTGGTTGTGTCTTTCCTGGCTTTGGTATTAGGGTGATGCTGGCTTCATAGAATGAATTAGGGAGGGTTCCTTCTTTCTCTACCTTGTGGAATAGTGTCAAAAGGATTAGTACCAATTCTTCGATTGTCTGGCAGAATTCTGCTGTGAATCCGTCTGGTCCTTTTTTTTGTTGGTAATTTTTAAATTACCATTTCAATTTTGCTGCTTGTTATTGGTCTGTTCAGGATATCTAATTCTTCCTGATTTAAGCTAGGAGGGTTGTATTTTTCCAGAATTTATCCAATCTCTTCTAGGTTTTCTAGTTTATGTGCATAGAAGTGTTCATAGCAGCCTTGAATGATCTTTTGTACTTCAGTGGTGTCAGCTGTAATATCTCCTGTTTCATTTCTTAGCGAGGTTATTTGGATTTTCTCTCATTTTCTTGGTTAATCGTGCTAAATCGTGCTAATGGCCTATCAATTTTATTTACCTTTTCAAAGAACCAGCTTTTTCTTTCATTTATCTTTTGTATTTTTTGTTTGTTTCAATTTCATTTAGTTCTGCTCTCATCTTGGTTATTTCACCAGGTTTGGGTTTGGCTTGTTCTTGTTTCTCTAGTCCTTGAGATGTGACCTTAGAGTGTCAGTTTATGCTGTTTCAGTCTTTTTGATGTGGGCATGTAGGGCTAGGAACTTTTCTTAGCACCCGCCTTTGCAGTGTGCCAGAGGTTTTGATAGGTTGTGTCATTATGTCGTTCAGTTTGAAGAAATTTTTAATTTCCATCTTGATTTTGTTTTTGACCCAATGCTCATTCAGGAGCAGGTTAATTTCCATGTATTTGCATGGTTTTGAAGGTTCCTTTTGAAGTTGATTTCCAGTTTTATTTCACTGTGGTCTGAGAGAGTGCTTGATATAATTTCAATTTTCTTAAATTTATTGAGGTCATATGGTCTTAGAAATTTCCATACGCTGTTGAATAGAATGGGTATTCTACGGTTGTTGGATGAAATGTTCTGTATATATCTGTTAAGTCCATTTGTTCCAAGGTATAGTTTAAATCCAGTTTCTTTGTTGACTGTCTTGATGACCTGTCTAGTAATGTCAGTGGAATATTGAAGTCCCCTACTATTATTGTGTTGCTGTCTATCTTATTTCTCAGGTCTATTAGTAATTGTTTTATAAATTTGGGAGCTCTAGTGTTAGGTGCACATATGTTTAAGACTGTGATACTTTCCTGTTGGACAAGGCCGTCTACCGTTATATAACGTTCCTCTCTCTCTCTTTTAACTGCTGTTGCTTTAAGTTTGTTTTGTCTGATATAAGAATAACTACCCTTGCTCGTTTTTGGTGTCCATCTGCATGAAATGCCTTTTTCCACCCCTTTAGTTCAAGTTTATGTGAGTCCTTATGTGTTATGTGAGTCTCCTGAAGGCAGGAGATGGTTGGTTGGTGAGTTCTTACCCATTCTGAGGTTCTGTATCTTTTAAGTGAGCATTTAGGCAATTTACATTCAATGTTAATATTGAAACGTGAGGTACCATTGCATTCATGGTGCTCTTTGTTGCCTGTGCACTTTGGTTTTGTTTTTGCTTTTTAACTTGTATTTTTGTTTTACAGGTCTGGTGTGATTTATGCTCTGAAGAGATTCTGTTTTGATGTATTTCCAGGATTTGTTTCAAGATTTAGAGCTCCAAAATTTTAGTAGTTCTTGTAGTGGTGGCTTGGTAATGGCGAATTCTCTCAGCCTTTGTTTGTCTGAAAAAGACTGTATCTTTCCTTCATATATGATGCTTAGTTTCACTGGACAGAAAATTCTTGGTTGATAAATTGTTTTGTTTGAGGAGGCTGAAGATAGGCCCCCAATCCCTTCCAGCTTGTAGGGTTTCTGCTGATAAATCTGCTGGTAATCTGATAGGTTTTCCTTTATAGGTTACCTGGTGCTTCTGTCTCACAGCTCTTAAGATCCTTTCGTCTTAACTTTGATAACCTGATGACAATGTGTCTGGGCAAAGATCTTTTTGCGATGAATTTCCCAGGTCTTCTTTGTGCTTCCTGTATTTGGATATCTAGGTCTCTAGCAAGGCCTGGGGAGTTTTCCTTGATTATTCCCCCAAATACATTTTCCAAGCTTTGTGCTTCTTGTATTTGGATGTCCAGGTCTCTAGCAAGGCTGGGGAAGTTTTCCTCAATTATTTCCCCAAATATGTTTTCCTGAGGAAGAAGAGAAGTCTATGGTTTGGTCGTTTAACGTAATCCCAGACTTCTTGGAGGCTTTGTTCATATTTTCTTTTTTCCTTGTCTTTGTTGGATTAGGTTAATTCGAAGACCTTGTTTTCGAGCTCTGAATTTCTTTCTTCTACTTGTTCAATTCCATTGCTGAGGCTTTCCAGAACATTTCGCATTTCTAAAAGTGTGTCCAAAGTTTCCTCAATTTTTGATTGTTTTAAGCTATTTCCTTGAATATTTCTCCCTTCACTTCTTATATTGTTTTTTGGATTTCCTTGCATTGGGCTTCGCCTTTCTCCCTGATTAGCTTAATAACTAATCTTCTGAATTATTTTTCAGGTAAATCCAGGACTACTTCTTGGTTTGGATCCACTGCTGGTGAACTAGTGTGATTTTGGGGGGGTATTGAAGAGCCTTGTTTTGTCGTATTACCAGGGTTGGTTTTCTGGTTATTTCTCATTTGGATAGGCTCTGTCAGAGGGAAGGTCTAGGGCTGAAGACTGTCGTTCAGATTTTTTTGTCTCATGGGGTGTTCCCCTGATGCAGTACTCTTCCCCTTTTCCTATGGATGTGGCTTCCTGTGAGCTGAACTACAGTGATTGTTGTCTCTTTCTGGGTCTAGCCACCCAGAGAGTCTACCTGGTTCTGCGCTGGTACTGGGGGTTGTCTGCACAGAGTCCTGTGATGTGAACCACCTATGGGTCTCTCAGCAGTGGATAGCAGTGCCTGTTCCCATCGAGGTGGCGATGGGGTGAAATGGGCTGTGAAGGTTCTTAGCTTTGGTGGTTTAATGCTCTATTTTTGTGCCAGTTGGCCTCCTGCCAGAGGTGGTAATTTCCAGAGAGCATCAGCTGTGGTAGTACGAGGAGGAACCGGCGATGGGCGGGGCCGTAGAACTCACAAGATAATATGCCCTTTCTCTTCAGCTACCAGGGGGGGTAGGGAAGGACCATCAGGTGGGGGCAGGGTTAGGTGTGTTTAAGCTCAGACTCTCCTTGGGTGGGTCTTGCTGAGGCTGCTGTGGGGGATGGGGGTGATATTCCCAGATCACTGGAGTTGTGTGCCTAGGAGAATTATGGCTGCCTCTGCTGAGTCATGCAGGTTGTCAGGGAAGTGGGGGAATGATGGCAGTCACAGGCCTCACCCAGCGCCCACGCAAACCAAAGGGCCAGTCTCATTCCCACTGTGTTCCCCCCATCAGCCCCAAGTCTGTGTCCAGGTGGAGAGCAATATGGATTTGAAAACCTGCCCCAGGCTATCTGCCTCCCAGCTGGGAAAGAAAAGGGCTTGGTTCTTCCCCTGCCTGTGGAGTCTGCACACCAGATTTGTACCCTCCCCTGAGTTCTGGCCAGGAGGCTTCTCACCCTGTTCAAATTGTTACCAAGTTCAGCTAGAGATTTCCTTCTCCCTGTGGAGTTTTACATCCTGCTCCTCTCCCACTGAATCCCTGTGGCACCAGGCAGGAATGGGCTGCTTGGGGGCCCAGTGAGCTCCCAGGGCCTTTCTGCTGCTTCTTCTACCCCTATATTTCGCTGGGATCTCTAAATTGACTCAGCTCCAGGTAAAGTTGGAAACTTCTCCCACAAACAGACCTTCAGCTTCTCCAGTGGAAGTGTGTTTTCAGGAGAGGAGGGTCTCCCTTTCCCACTTCTGCAGTTGGGGTACTCAGTTTTGGGGGCTCTCCCGGGTCCTCCAGGAGCAGTCCGCTTCCTGCAGAGGGTTTGTTGCTTTTTTGTTGTTCTTGTTGTTGTTGTTAATTTGAGATGAAGTCTCGCTCTCTCACCCAGGCTGGAGTGCAGTGGCACAATCTCGGCTCACTGCAACTTCTGCCTCCAAGGTTCAAGTGATTCTCCTGCCTCAGCCTCCAAGTAGCTGGGAGTAACAGGTGCGTGCCACCATACCCAGATAATATATATATTTTTTTATTTTTAGTAGAGATGGGGTTTCACCATGTTGGCCAGGCTGGTCTCAAACTCCTGACCTCAGGTGATCCACCCGCCTCTGACCTCCCAAAATACTGGGATTACAGGCATCAGCCACCACACCTGGCCTAAAAAGCTTTTTTACCAGGAGTTGAAAAAAAAAATTCCTGGCTACTTTTCAATGTTCCAGATAAATTATCTAGACACAAAAGGCTAAGCAACACTGAGCCTCAATAAACTTTGATCTCCCCTGCTTTTCCATCTCTTGTGTTAACTTTAGTTCTTTGGTTTTACACTTCTTATGCAAAAAGTTCTTTATTCCAATAGGGTCAACTTTCTCTGTGTTCTGTACCTTTATCATCTTCCCTGCTCTCCTCTTAATCAAATATAAATGTTCCTTGCTTTCTAAGGTAACACAGCACGTATTAATGGCAGGTTCCTGTTCTCAGCTGTGGTAGTTCACTTTATTATAAAGGTCTTGAACTCACAATTTTACTGCTGTGCAGGTGAATGGGAAAAGACAGTTTTGGTTGGGCAAGGCCTTCTGGCACTCTTTAAATAAAATAATCTAAGTTAATAACTATGCCACAGCTAGTGTTTAGATGTCACTGGTATTAAATAATTATGTGAGAAAGAAAGAAGAGGAATCAAGAAAGAAACCCAAGAAATCTTGATTGACTGTCCATGGGAAATTATTCTAGGAGGGGGCAAAAACCCCACGAAACATGATTCCTAAAGGAAGGCTGGAAAACAGTTATACAGGTTAAAGTTGGCTCAAAATCAGTGGAGACTGTTCAAGGACCAAGAGGTCTTTAATTCATTTGTTCATTTCAGAGAAGCTAGATAGAAAACTTCTATAGCCTAAGGATACAGTCTGTATAATCACATTCCTCTTAAATGACACTATTTCTTTAGAACAATTTCTTGTTCTGAAGTAAATAAATTATCAGAGATATACTATCATTTCTAGCTTATGACTTTGAGCAATTCATTTCTAGGCTCCAGTTTCCTCACAGTGAATAGTCCAATAGTCTTACGATAAAGGAAAGGCATGGACACAGTAAAAACTACCCCTGAAAGTCCTATACATCTATGCTAAGTAAACATGGTCTCATGTATCCTGCACTACTATTCATTAAGCCCAGCCCAGCCAGTATGTGTTACAACTTTGGAACTGATCAAAATATCAGATGAAAAACAGATTCCCAGTCAGGCAAAGTGGCTCACACCTGTAATCCCAGAACTTTGGGAGGCCGAGGAGGGAGGATCGCTTGAGCCCAAGAGTTCGAGACTGGCCTGAGCAACAAAGTAAGATCCCATCTCTACAAAAAAAATTTAAAAATTAGCTGGCCATGGTGGCATATGCCTGTGGTCCAAGCTACATGGTAGGCTAAGGCAGGAAGATCACTTGAGCCCTGGAGGTTGAGGCTGCAGTGAGCCATTGTTCACACCATTGTACTCCAGCTTGGGTGACAGAATGAAACCCTGTCTCAAAAAACAAAAAAACCAAACCAGATTCCCAATCCCCCTATCTAAAACCCTTGGGGCCAGGCATGTTTCAGAATTCAAAATTCGTCTAATTGAGAAAAGCTACTCAGCACCTATCGTGTATATGTATCTAATACCCCAGCAGAGTCTGGGGCAGCAGCCCACAAACATTATCTTGAAGTAAAATATGAATATTCACTATAAACGAGATAAAAACTATATACAGCCTCATGCCAATTCAGAACCAATTTTGCTGCTGAACTTTTGATTTTCAGAACTTGTTATGTTACAAAATCGTGGGCTAGTGGTCAGACTCTATTTTGGTCCCAATTGCTCTAAAAAAGGAATAACTTTTTTCAAATTATGCTGAGAACCCACAGTTGAATTTGTTTAAGCCAGTGAGACAAAAAACAGCAAGGAAAAGCTGTTTACCAATCATGTCCCACCTCCCCTCACTTTCCTGGAAATTAAACGTTAGCATCCACTATGTTAAGGACAAGGACAGAGCCCTAGCAAAAATGCAAACAAATAAAAGAAGCTAATTCCTGGCTTTAGGGCTTTCAAGGGGCCATGTCAAGGGTGACTTGATCTTTTATGGTGATTTTTGTCCTGATGACTTTAGAGTCCATAAAAGATATAATTCCATTGTACCTAATTCTCAACAAATCTTATCTCTCACCACCACTACTGATGGCACACTGAATTTATTCTAAAATTTGACAAATGTTATTCATATTATTATTTAAAATTATATGTGATTACATAACAAGTAAAAATGGAACTTACTGATAACTGAACATGTCATAAATTTATCTTGAGCCTTTTCTTCAAATTTTTCTTTAGCTTCTTTGGACCACTGCATTGTCCTTTTATATGGTTCAATATAGGCCAACTTACATTTAATTGCCTGTGTCAGACAAAATTCCACCATTAAGAAAAAAATTTAATTTCTACCTACTTTAGAATTCAAGTTTTATTAAGTGTGTACAAAACTAATCTTTATGTTTGAATTTCATACATATTAGAAATAATCAAATAATGTGTGAAGGTGTCTGTAAAAGTACTTTATAAACACAAATCATTGAAATCAGCACAGTATTTGGCTGAATGAACTGTTGTACATTCACATACTGGAATAACAAGCATTCATTACAGACACTTATGATACATTAATTACTTGTAAAAAGCAGGTTACAGGATGATTTATAGTCTGATTCTATAACTGCTGAAAGCACAGAAGATGTATCTGGAAGTACAGATATCAAAAATATTGAACAATGATTCTGAGTGATTCTCCCTTTTGCTCATTTGTTTTTTTTCTTTGAGACCGAGTCTTGCCCTGTCACCCAGGCTAGAGGGCAATGGCATGATCTTGGTTCACCGCAACCTCCGCCTCCCGGGTTCAAGCAATTCTCCTGCCTCAGCCTCCTGAGTAACTGGGATTACAGGCACACACCACCACGCCCAGCTAATTTTTTGTATCTTTTTAGTAGAGATGGGGTTTCATCATGTTAGCCAGGCTGGTCTCAAACTCCTGACCTCATGATCCCCCCGCCTCGGCCTCCCAAAGTTCTGGGATTACAGGCATGAGCCACTGCGCCCAACCTGCTCATTTGTATTTTAAAATTTTTTTCTATAATACTACACACTTCCTAAAATGAAAAACATGGCTTAAAAACAACTCAAACAACAGTATATAAATTAGAAAACAAGGCTCCTTCTTACCCTTCTTTCAGAATACTACTCCTCCCCAGAGATAAACAAGGTTCAGTTTTTTACATATTCTCCCAGGTTTCTCTATTGTACACACATATATACTTAAGTATAAATATGATCACAGTAGAAGTACTTCTGAGATAAGCATTTTTAACTTGATATATCATGAACGTGACTCTTACCACAATATATGATCTCAAAATGATATATTAAAAGCTGCCAACAAGTACTTAAGACACAACTATACCTGATTAATGTTTAATACGCTTATTTGCCATGATATACATATTATTTCCTCAATAGTAACCACAGCAACATTTATCTATAGTCCCTGTATCAGCAACTAGACAAAAAGGGACACTAACATTTCTATGATGACAATAGCTTCTAAAAATACTTCCATATTTGTGCTGATATTCTAGCCCTAGAATTCATAATAAATAAATTACCTTCTCTGGGGCATTCAGAAACTCATCCTTTATTTTACGCACGTCTTTGATTGTTATTTTTGCAGTATTACCAAAGTCCACATATTTAACTTCAACTTCCTGATGTCCAGGCAATCCTTGAAAAATTATGAAATTAGAAATTACAAACTTGGAAACAGAATTATCTAGAAAAATTTAGATTGGTTTATGGCCAACTAGATTAGAATACTTTTAGCTTCAATATACAAACTTAATACTTTTTAAAATGTAAAAAATATTTCAAATATGTGAACCCCGAAATCATCCATAGTGCAGACTTATAAGAATGAAAAACTAGTATGCTTTAAATATTCAAAGGATAGCCAAAATCAGGATAACAAAATTATATGGCAGGTGGTATGACTTAAAAGTTAAGAATCAGGCTTTGAGTCAGACTGACCAGTTTTGAACACTAGCTCCGTCACTAAAATTCTATGTGACCTAAAGCAAGCTAATTAATATCTCTAAGATATTACCCTGAGCAAGTTACTTTTTCTCTCTAAGCCTCATTACTTCATCTGTAAAACGGGTATACCAATATAATCTAACTTCATGAGATGTTTTTGGAGGATTCGCCTATTTAAAAAGCACAAGGTACAAAGTAAGCACTTAATACATGTTTACTGTGAGTCAACATAGGTGATAAAACAAGGCAAAAGATTCAACAAAGATTCATTCATATAACAGTATCTGTGAAATTTTGAAAAAATATTGTACTTGGGGCATATTGCAAAAAAACAAGTAGAGAGAGACCTCTGTACCAGTCTATTCTCTATACTTTAAAGAAATCTCTGGAAGTTTCAAACACAGAGAAGTTTTTAAAAAAGACGTATCACACACTAACCTTTTTGAAAATACTCAAAATACATAGTTTTCAAACTTAAAGACTAATACAGTATCTGTCATTTCAATATGCAAAAAAATCCAGTATTCTCTGCTCCTTGGGAGAAGTAGAAGCAAGTGGCACAGCACTAGCACTCATTCAAGATGACACTTCAAACATAGGCCCTATGGTAGGAGATATCCATGATAATTGAGAAGATAAGTGTTATTATAAAGCCAAAAGATGGGGGAACCTCTCCCAACTTCCACTGGAATCCCCTTGCTAGAAGGATGTTCTCAATTCTGCCAATGCCATTAGATTCTTACTCTTCCTAAAGTCTCTGAATGGAAATGTAGTTTTAAACAAATAGATGGATATGGAAAGTAATTTAAAGAATGTTATTGTTTTATCTAAATTATCACATGAGAACAGAGTCAGACATGGAAGGTCTCAAATTTCCCCATTTATGTTCTCTGGAGAAACTATGGGAAGATGGCTCCATGCGAAAAAGGGAATTAAACTCAAGAGGTAAACATGGCATCCAGAAAACAAGGGATCCAATACTGGAGGACAATGAAGTGTATAGCCAACTGAAATACATTTCCAGAATAAAAAATGTGTAGTAAGGCCTAGGGGGTAAGCAGCCCAATTGGAGAAGATAAAGGATGTTTTTGGCCACATGTGATGGCTCACACCTGTAATCTCAGTGCTTTGGGAGGCAGAGGCAGGAGGATCACTTGAGCCCAGGAGTTTGACCCCACCTCTACAAAAAAAATATATAAATTAGCCAGGCGTGGTGGCAAGTGCCTATAGCCCCGGCTAATCTGGGGGCTGAGGTGGGAGGACTGCTTAAGCCCAGGAAGCAGAGGTCGCAGTGAACCATGATCATGTTCCACTGCACTCCAGCCTGGATAACAGAGTAAGACCATCTCAAAAAGGATGTTTTCATGCTTAAAAAAAAAAAAAATCAAACTAACATTTATCATATGGAAAATGGTTTTGAACTATTAAAAATACACTCACAAATTAAAAGAAAATAAAGTGAAAAGTGAACATAATTATGAACTCACAATAGAATTTTAAAAAGTATACTTTATGGCTTTATTTACACAGAGTATGAATTTAATGAAAAATTGTGATACAACTATAGAAAAGAGAAAAAGGAGGACAAAAGGGCTATGGAGATCCAAAATTTGTCTGACAGAATAACAGGTAATATCTAAAACTGAAGTGTCAACTGAAGTATTACATATTAGAAGAAGGAACACAAGTAAACAACGAAACAGCTGAAAGAATGAAAAGTAATTGCCTTCAAGGAGGGAAGTGGAGTGTGTCTTTTAGCATTAACTTTTAAATTAGGCAGATAAAAAACAAAAGAGCTACTATTCACCAAACCAAGTATCATCTTCAAGAGGGAGTTCAACAGGACCACAGAAGATACAGGAAAATGGGCCAGACAAATCACACATACATTTCTATTAGCACCCCAAAAGTGGTGCTAATAGAAATGAAGAAGTAGAATGAGCACCATGCACACTCCATCTTCCCCAAATGTTACTACTCAAAGATTTCAGAGGCCTTATTGTTCACCAAATAGATAACATTTTCAAGCCAATAATCCTAATTTGAAAAGCAATTGCAAAGTCCTTAGTGTCATGAAAATGCTTTTGTTTGCTCCAAAGATATTTACGAAACTATACAGTGGTATCTTCATTGCAATCACTGGAATGTTTTTGTCTCAAAATTCATGTTGAAACTTAATCCCTAATGCAGCAGTACTTGGGAGGTGATTGAGTCATGAGGGTTCTGCCCTCATAAATGTGATTAGGTGCCCTTATAAAAGGGCTTGGTGAAGGGAGTTTGCCTTCCTTTTTCATACTTCTGGCATCAGAGGATACAGTGTCTCTCCCCTCTGGAGGATGCAGCAACAAGGCACCATCTTGGAAACAGAGACTAAGCCCTCAATAAGACAGTGCCTTGATCTTGGACTTTTTTAGACTCTAGAACCGAGAAGTAAATTTCTATTGTTTTTTTTTTTTTGTTTTTTTTTTTTTTTTGAGACGGAGTCTCGCTCTGTCGCCCAGGCTGGAGTGCAGTGGCGGGATCTCGGCTCACTGCAAGCTCCGCCTCCCGGGTTCACGCCATTCTCCTGCCTCAGCCTCCCAAGTAGCTGGGACTACAGGCGCCCGCCACTACGCCCGGCTAATTTTTTGTATTTTTAGTAGAGACGGGGTTTCACTCTATTGTTTATAAACTACCCAGTCTATAGTATTTTATTACAGCAGCACAAAACAGACTAAGACATTCATAAGAACCACATTTGAAAATCTGTAGTTAGTTCAAGTCACTAACCATTAACAAAATTAAAATCAGTGGTGACAAATGAAGGATAGAAAACTCAGGTTGCAAGAATAGTTTTGATACAAACAGAACTGATTATATATTAGGAATAATTTGTAAAGATCTTAGATTACCTTAATAATGGAAAAAACATTTTAAACAGTATCAAACTAAAGTAAAAAAAATTGCCCGGCACAGTGGCTCATGCCTGTAATCCCAACATCTTTGGAAGGCTGAGGCAGGCAGATCACTCGAGGTCAGGAGTCTGAGACCAGCCTGACCAACATGGCGAAATCCCATCTCTACTAAAAATACAAAAAAATTAGCCGGGCGTGGTGACTTCTCTTTTTTTTTTCTTGAAACAGAGTTTTGCTCTTGTTGCCCAGGCTGGAGTACAATGGCACAATCTCAGCTCACCGCAACCTCCGCCTCCCAGGTTCAAGTGATTCTCCTGCCTCAGCCTCCTGAGTAACTAGGACTACAGGCATGCACCACCATGCCCAGCTAATTTTTTATTTTTAGTAGAGACAGCGTTTCTCCATGTTGGTCAGGCTGGTCTCGAACTCCCGACCTCAGGTGATCTGCCTGCCTTGGCCTCCCAAAGTGCTGGGATTACAGGCGTGAGCCACCGCACCCGGCCTTTTTTTTCAGACAGTCTTGCTCTGTCGCCCAGGCTGGAGTGCAGTGGCGCAATCCCAGCTCACTGCAACCTCCACCTCCCAGGACCAAGTGATTCTCGTGCCTCAGCCTCCTGAATAGCTGGGCTTACAGGCACACACCACCATGCCTTGCTAACTTTTTATTTTTAGTAGAGACAGGGTTTTGTCATGTTGGCCAGGCTGGTCTCGAACTCTTGGCCTCAAGCGATCCACCCACCTCAGCCTCCCAAAGTACTGGGATTTACAGGCATGAGCCACCACACTGGCTTTTTACTCTTTCAATTAAAAAAGGACATATCTACAAACTAGAAAGCATATAAAAGAAACAACACAATGGGTTAAACTGCCTATGGTATATCTAATTTCATAACCCACAAAAGCTTAGTCTGTAATGTTCTGTCTTAGTCAATGCTGGGGAATAATAAACTTTATTATTTTTGTTGCTAATACCTCCATTTTCATAAATCTTCTGTCTTCAATCCCACTTTTTATTCTTCCCATTATTTCATAAGTTGAATCAATTACTTAAGGAGGATGTAGAAAAAGTAGAAAAAATATATCGAGAAAACTAGCAGTTCAGTCAATAATTCCCAGGAAAGAAGAATATATTAAAATTGAAGGGAAGCAGAGAGGACACAAAGGACTCACCTTTAATTTGTACCTTGACAATCAAAATAGCATGGGACAGACAAACAGTCAACATCAAACTAGAGTTCACCGGTTTTTGAATAATTAATTTCTGTTGCTTTGTTCTATCTATACAACTTTTCCAGCAAGATTCCCAATGGTTAAGTTCTAGTCAAGTCAAACAAAATATCAGAAGATAGATTCACCTTTCAACATTATCACTAGCTTTTCTAAAGACAGATGGCAGAGCAAATGATAAGATCAAATAACATTACTTCCAAGATTGAATTGGTACCAACTCAAATGATATTAGTTTTGAAGTATGACATCTCCCTGTAGAAACAGCATGCATTCTCCTACCGATAACTTTTGCTCGGTACCAAATTCCATCTTCAAATTTAGCTACACAGGCTTGATCTTGAACTGGACAGAGGATTTCCAGATTTTCTCCATCTTCACTTTTATAGAATTCCTCGATTGTCTTTAATAGAAATAAAATATCCAGGCCCTCTATCTAGTAAATAAAGGGATAAAGCACTGTCATTTCACAGAAACTTAAAATGTAAGTGTTGAATGAATTACAAGCACTGTCATTGAAATTATGAAACATTAAAACTTGAATTGAATGTAAATCTATCAATTGTGTTACGTAATTTATTTTACAAAATTTTATTGCAGAACCAGTATAGAAAATTAGTATAGACATAAAAATAAAGTCACATTCTGCTAGACAACTTAGTGTATATATTCTTCAAGATATTTTTCCATACATACACACACTCACTGTATATGTTTTTACCAAAACTAGACTTTACCACACATACAATCACTTACATTTTTCTATCATTTCTCACTTGTTCTATTTCAGTAACTGTTCCTACTAGTATTTCTAGCTCACATTTAGTTTTCCTTAACTGATCCAAACCCATTACAAACCAAGATTATATACTGCTTCTGATTGTTATCTCCATAACACTTTTATAATCTAGTACAGTCCTCTGCTTTTAATGAACATGTCTTGTTGAAGACAGCCAGCTTATTTTTCTGCAGAATGCCCCATACCTTATGGATTTATGTGGTTATATCCTCATGCTGCTATTTAGCTTATTCTTCCATAGAGTAAGGTCTATCTGCTGAATTTTCCAAAGGCTGAAAGTTACTCCTAAGGGTTTGATGGATCCAAGGCAAATCTTTTTGGCTAGACTGTGTCATAGGTGGCTTTTTCATACTCAAGTTGCAACACATCAAGGCCTAATACTTAATGACTACTAATATGCTAAGATTCATTTATCGATTGCAGTGATGATCCTGACCCCTCTCAATGTGTATAGTTCTGTTTATGCCCTTGTAATAACGAAGTCTTAAGAATTTATGTGGTGCTACTTTGGCATTATATGAATATCCAGTATCTTATCAACCATCCATCTTAATGTGAATTGATAATTCTTCCTTAAATCAATGATTCAGTAAGGTTTGTGGAATGATTGCATTCTTTAGTAATACAGACTTTTCTCTTATTAAATGGTGCTATCTATTATAATCAAAAAAGTTTCTAAAGTTTCCTATACTACCAAAAAAATCAAGGATTATAAGTTTATTTCTCCAAATACCAATTCTTAATGTTAAAAAATATTTTGAAATCTATTTCAATGGAAAAAATGAATTTTTTTCTTGTGAGTATAATGATGCAAGTGAAAATTTTCTGAATCCTTATCTTGTTATTTCATTTAAATTACTTTAAAACTACTTTTAACTTACCTTTCTAAGTAGATATTATGCAAATTCTTCCATTAACAGGTAAGCCAGAGTGAACATTTAAAAATTCAGCAGAGGAATGACGCCAACAAAATAGATTAGGAAGCTTTAAGTTCTTCTTCCAATACAGAAACATTGAAAAAATGAGAAAGTGTCTCAACCAACTTTATTAGATCAGATCTCTACAAAGCAATCCAAAGTTTACAGTAACCAAGAAGCCTAATGAAGTAAAAGCAATTTTCTAAATGGTAGGAAAGTTTTGTGGTATTTTTACTTGCCTCACCCTACCCTCTTCCCAGAATGACAATGGTCTTGGTCTTAAGCAGTGGCAGTCCAGTTCTCAGTTCCCTCCCCTGAACCAGAGGGAACAGACCAGAACTTATATGCAAATTACTGTGTATATGTATCCTAAGTCCGGGAGATACCTGCAAGACTGATGCAAAGAGCTAGTTTTTGTTTCATATAACTTGGAACACAGGCAGGAAGAACTGCAGGGACCACTTGTAAACGTGGCAAAGGGGAGTACCAAGCACAGATGCTTGGAAGGAAGAGTTTATGAGTAGAAACATACAATAGACCATCTAAGGCCAGGAGGAGAATCTGGGGTGAGAATCTTTACGAAATTAGGACATTCAAAAGCAGTCATATATATGGTAGAGTTTACAAAGCCACATGTCTGCCCTGACAAGATGCATGCCCAGAAAAGAAATAAAAAGACTTTAACTATGACCTCAGGCTGATTCCTAGGCTCAGCCTCTCTAAATGGTGAAGAAGTGCCCACCAAAGAGCTAGTCCACAAAGTCTAGGAAAGATGGCGCCTTCCTCTTTCTCTGTCTCTTCTTTGTTTCAGCTCCTGACATTCAAGGAACTCTGTCAATCATTAGCTGAGTACAAGCCAAAGAAACAACAGACTTCAGTGATCATACATGACAAGGAATGGTCTTTGAAACAGTTTGGAAAAGTACCAAAACAAATGAACTACTACAGCTTTTAAAACAACTCTCTTGGCCGGGCGTGGTGGCTCACACCTGTAATCCCAGCACTTTGGGAAGCTGAGGCGGGCAGATCATGAGGTCAGGAGTTCAAGACCAGCCTGGCCAACATGGTGAGACTCTGTCTTTACTAAAAATACAAAAATTACTCAGGTGTGGTGGCAGGCGCCTGTAATCCCAGCTATTCAGGAGGCTGAGGCAGGAGAATTGCTTGAACCTGGGAGGTGGAGGTTGCAGGGAGCTGACATCATGCCATTGCACTCCAGTGTGGGTGACAGAGCCAGACTCCGTTTTTTTTTCTTTTAAAAAAAGAACACAACTCTCTTAATCCCAAACAAGAGCTATGGGAGTTCATCACCACTATACCTGCCTTACAAGAAATTCTATGAGTTCTTAAAGTTGAAATGAAAGGACATTAACATGAAAACATACGAAAGTATGAAACTAACTGTAAAGATATGACACAAAGTGTCAAGAATTCCTGACCTCACTGAAAACCAGAAGTAAGCAGTAATCCTGAAAAGGGACTGAATAGGGCTTGCAGGTACTGACTGATATCAGAAGTTTCTGTGTCACAGCATCAGGGACCTCTGTCATTTCATTTTATATTCACGACCCTTTAGGTTTCGTTTCATATTGACACAGGAGTTAAAAAGAAATTACTGAGACTGGGTGCAGTGGCTGATGCCTAAAATCCCAGCACTTTGGGAGGCCAAGCGGGTGGATCACCTGAGGTCAGAAGTTCGAGACCAGCCAGGCCAACATGGCGAAACCCCATCTCTACTAAAAATACAACATTAGTCAGGTGTGGTGGTGCATGCAAGTAATCCCAGCTACTTGGGAGGCTGAGCCAGAAGAATTGCTTGAACCTGGGAGGTGCACGTTGCAGTCAGCCAAGATCATGCCACTGCACTCTAGCCAGGGGCACACAGTGAGACTCCATCTCAAAAAAAAAACAAAAACAAAAAAAAGAAATTACTTAGGCAGAGAGTGAGAATACAGGAAGGAGTCCTCGGCAAGGTTTTCCTTTTCAGTGAAAAGCAGCCCCCAAATCATTTTCTAACAAAGAGTAGCCTATAAAATTGAGCTGCAGACACAGATGCCGGCAGTTGCGCCAATCCTGTTCAAAATGGCGGCTCCATCCTCCCTTCTCGCCTTGCCAGCCACATGTACAGTAAGAAGCACACAGGATGGTGCCAGTCAAGTAGAAAGCCCATTTGCATAATAAGATTAGGGTGGGGTGGCCAGCCTTTCTGGCGTGCTATGTAAACATCAAACCTGACTGAACCAATCTGTGGGCCCTATGTAATCAGACACCACCTCCTTAAACCTGCCTACAAAATCCGGCACATCCACCTCCAGCCAGTCTTTCCCTTTCAGAAGCCCCTTTCTCTCACTAGAGACAGAGCTGTTCTCCTTTCTCTTTCTTCTGCATATTAAACCGCCACTCCTAAACTCCTCATGTGTGTCCGTGTCCTTAACTTTCTTCGTGCGAGATGACAAAGAAACGGCTTCATTATTTTCTGAAATTATTTTAATAATTATGCAGACATGTGCAACCAGAAAAAAAATGCAAA
This sequence comes from Homo sapiens, assembly GCF_000001405.40. Lineage (NCBI taxonomy): Eukaryota > Metazoa > Chordata > Mammalia > Primates > Hominidae > Homo > Homo sapiens. The sequence goes on along the minus strand of NC_000013.11, from coordinate 24,821,808 downwards.
TCAAAAATACTCAACTGTCTTAAATATGTTAAAAGGGTTAAGGGAAAACAAAGAACTAAAGAAAATTCGGAAAATGATGTATGAATAAAATGGGAATATCAGCAAGTGATACAAATTATAAAAAGGAAATTCTGGAGCTCAAAAGTATAATAACTAAGGAGAAAAAATTCAATAGAGGGGTTCAAAAGCAGCATTGAGTGGAAAGAAGAAAAATAATCAGTGAACTTGAAGATAGGAAAATTTAAATATCGAGTCTGAGAAGCAGAAAGAAAAAAGAATGGAGAGAAGTAAACAGAGCCTAAGGGGCTCAAGTGAACCAACAGAGACATTATGAAAGTCATAGAAGGAAGAGAGAGACAAAGAGGCAAAAAATTATTTTTAAAAATGGTAGAAGTCCCCAATTTAAAGAAAGACATGAACCTACAAATCCAAGAAGTCTAATGTTAGGAGTTGATTTGTATCTTCCCCCAAAGATATGTTGGAGAGCTATAATCTCCAGTATCTCAAATATGACCTAATTTCGATACAGGTTCTTTATAATCATGTTAAAATGAGGTCATTAGGATGGGCCCTAATTCAGTATGATCAATGTCTTTATAAAAACGGCAAAATTTGGGTACAGACAAATATACAAGGAGAACTCCATGTGAAGATGAAGGGAGAGATCAGGGTGATGCAGCAAAGGCAAAGGTGCACAAAAGATTGCCAGCAAGCCACCAAAATCTAAAGCAGAGAGGTGAAATGGATTTTCCCTCAAACCCCTCAGAAGAAATCAACTCTTCTGACAAACTGATCTCATACTTCTAGACTCCAAAACTGTTGACAATAAATTCTGTTGTTTAAGCTGCCCAATTAACAGTAATTTGTTACACCAGCTCCAGGGAACTAAGACACTATTAGACTCCAAATAGGATAAACCCAAAGAATCATACACCAAGACACATAATCAAACTCTAAAAAGGCAAAGCCAAAGAGAAAATCTGGGAAGCAGCAAAAGAGATGCAACATGTCATATACAAAGAGACTCAAGAAGATTATAAGTCAGTTTCTCATATTAGAAATCTTGGAGGCCAGGCTGGGCGTGGTGGCCTACGACTGTAATCCCAGCACTTTGGGGAGGCCAAGGGGGGTGATCACTTGAGGTCAGGAGCTTGAGATCAGCCTGGCCAACATAGCCAAAAGCTATCTCTACTAAAAATACAAAAATTAGCCGGGCGTGGTGGTGGGCACCTGTAGTCCCAGCTACTCAAGAGGCTGACGCAGAAGAATTGCTTGAACCCGGGAGGCAGAGGTTGCCGTGAGCCAAGATCGCACCACTGTACTCCAACCTGGGTGACAGAGCAAAACTCCATCTCAAAAATAAAAACAAAACAAAACAAAACAAAAAGGCCAGGTGCGGTGGCTCATGCCTGTAATCCCAGCACTTTGGGAGGCCAAGGCAGGCAGATCATCTGAGGTCAGGAGTTCTAGACCAGCCTGGCCAACATGGTGAAACCCCATCTCTACTAAAAATATAAAAATTAGCCAGGCATCGTGGTGCACACCTGAAATCCCAGCTACTAGGGAGGCTGGGGCAGGACAATCGCTTGAACCCAGGAGGCAGAGACTGCAGTGAGCAGAGATCGTGCCACTGCCTCCAGCCTGGGCAAGAGAGCAAGACTCTTGTCTCAAAAAAAAAAAAAAAAAAGAAAAAAGAAAAAAGAGACAAGAAAGAAATTTTGGAAGCCAGAAGGAAATGGGAAGACAGAGATATATATGATGTACTAAAGAAAAACACAACCTGTCAACTGAAAATTATACATTTGGCAAAACTAACCTTCAAAAACGTGAGAAAAATTAAGACAGTCCTAGGTAAACAAGGGCTGAGGGACTCTATTACCACTAGATCTGCCCTGTAAGAAATGCTAATGGAAGTCCTTCAGGTTGCAATGAGAGGACACTAGACAGTACCTCAAAGTCACATGAGGATATTAAGATCTCTGGTGAAGGTAAATACATGGGTAAATGGGAAAGTCAGTATTATTGCAATTTTGGTTTATAATTCTACTTTTTTATTTTCTACAGGATTTAAAAGACAAATGCATAAATAATTACAAATCTATGTTATTGAGCACACAGTATAGAGATTAATTTGTGACATCAAAAATACTGGAAAAAGAGAGCTGCAGAGAAGTAGTTTTTTGTGAAGTTAAAATTATGTTGGTATTAACTCATATTGGATTGTTATAACTTTAGGATGTTATATGTAATCTCCATGGTAATGATAAAAAATAATCTACAAGATAAACACAAAAAGGAAACAAGAAGGGAAGCAAAACCTGATACTATAATATTTGCATTTCCATGTTCATTACAGCAGACAATCCAAATGTCCACTGACAAATGAAGGGATTTTTAAAATGCAGTATATACATACAAAGAAGTATTATTCAGCCTTAAAATAGGAAATCCTATCAATGCTTACAACATGGATGAATCTTTAGGACATTATTATAAGTAAAATAAGCCAGTCACAGAAAGACAAATTCTGTCTGAGACCACTTATACAAGGTATCTAACATAGTAAAATTCATAAAAATGCAGAAGTAATATTGTGCTGGCCAGAGGTTGGAAGCAGGGAGAAATGTGCTGTTGTTTAACGAGTATAGTTTCAGTTTGCAAGATGAAAATGTTCTAGAAATCTATTGCATGGTAATACGAATATGGTTAACACTACTGAAGTTACACTAAAAAATGGTTAAGATAATAAATTCTGTGTGTTTTTTAACACAATTACAAAAGAGATTTTAAAAAATACATCATACTAAAAAGAAAAAAGCAACTAAACACAAAAGAGGGCTCTAATGGAGGAAAGAAGGAATAAAAGTGTGATAAGATACAGAAAACAGCAAATGGCAGAAGTCTTTCCTTATCAGTAATTACTTTAAATGTAAATGTATTAAACTCTCCAATTAAAAGACAAAGATTGGCAGAATTAATTAAAAAAAAACATGATCCAACTATATGCTGTCCACAAGAGATACACTTTATACCTTATGCTATACACAGGTTGAAAGTCAAAGGATGGAAGAAAATACTCCATGCAAATAGTAATCAAGAGAGATCTGAGATGGCTTTACTGGTGGTATCAGGCAAAACAGACTTTAAATAAAAAATTCTTACAAGAGAGAAAGGACATTATAAATTGATAAAAAGGCCAATTCACCAGTAAGATATAACAATTATAAGCAATTATGCAGTACACATCAAAGACCCAAATATATGAAGCAAACATTGACAGAATTGAAGGAAAAAATAGACAGTTCAATAATAAAAATAGAAGGCTTTAATATTCCACTTTCAATAGTGCATAAAACATCCAGACAGAGTATCAATAAGGAAACAGAAGACTTGAATAACACTGTAAACCAACAGGTCCTAACAGACATACACAAAACACTCTAGCCAATAGTAAAATATACCTTTTCTTTTTTTTTCCTACAAGGCCACTTAGAACATTCTCAGAATAGACCATATGTTAGGCTGCAAAATGTCTTAATACATTTCAAAAAATTGAAATCATAAAATGTATTTGTCTCTATGACAATGAAAGGAAACTGGAAATCAAAAACGAGAAAAACTGCAAAATTCAAATATGTAGAAACTAAACACCACAAACTACCAACAGGTCAAAGAAGAAATCCTAAGAGAAATTAGAAAATGCTTCAAGACAAAGGAATATGAAAACAAAACATACCAAACTCATGAGATGCAATAAAACAGTGCTAAGAGGGAAATTTATAGCTATATACACAATTTTAAAATATTGCAAATTAAGAACCTAACTATATACCATAAGACAACAGAAAAAGAGAAAATTACCCAAAAGTAGCAGAAGAAATAATAAAGATTAGAGCAAAAATAAATGAGACAGGATAAAGAAACAGAACATCAATAAAGCCAAAAGTTGATTATTTGAAAAGATCAGCAAAATTGACAAATCTTTAGCTAGAATAACTAGAAAAGAAAGAGAAGTCTGAAGTTAATAAAATCAGAAATAAAAGTGCAGACAATACTACCAATTTTAAGAAAAAAAAAATTTTTTTTTTTTTTGAGATGAAGTCTTGCTGTCACCCAGGCTGGAATGCAGTGGCACACTCTCAGCTCACTGCAACTTCTGCCTCCTGGGTTCAAGCAATTCTCCTGCCTCAGCCTCCCGAGTAGCTGGGACTACAGGTGCCCACCACCACAGCTGGCTAATTTTTGTATTTTTAGTACAGATGGGGTTTTGACATGTTGGCCAGGCTGGTCTCAAACTCCTGACCTCAAGTGATCCACCTGGCTCGGCCTTCCAAAGTACTGAGATAACAGGTGTGAGCCACCATGCCCGGCCAAGAAGTAAAAAATTGTAAGAGATTATTGAAGACAATTGTATGCCAACAAACTGGATAACCTACATGAAATGGACAAATTCCTAGAAACACACAACCTTCCAAGACTGACTCATGAATCAGAAAATCCGAGTAGACTTATAACTAGTAAAGAGGTTCAAACAGGATTCAAAAACCTCCTACACATGAAAAGCCCTGGACCAGATAGATTCACTGCTGAATTCTACCAAACATTTAAAGAAGAATTAACACCATTCCATCTCAAATTCTTCCAAAAAACAAAAAGATGGAGGAATACTAACTCTAAGAGGCTGCATTACCCTGATAACAAAGCTATATGAAGACACTATAAGAAAATTACAGATCAATATCCCTTGCAATACTGATGCAAATATCCTCAATGAAATACTAATAAACCAAATTCAGCATATTAAAAGATTTTGTTTTCTTCTAACTTGGTCTTCGGGTCTCTCTCTGGAGAGTGGCCAGGAACTCTAGCTCTGCCCCGACAAGGCTCTAGAGGAGGTGGTCACTGATGTTTACAGTAAATCAAAAGAGGATACTTCTTTATCTTGGTGAATGGGACAATGCCTTCTTGCCTGACCTGTGGCCAAGTGTATGTCTCACAGGAAACTTGTTTATACTAGCAGATGCCCTCGTGGTTCTTGTCCGACCTGTGTCCAGTTTATTCCTGCCAAGATAGCCACTCTCCAGGAGTGCTGACTGGGAGGAAAGTTAGGTATGTGTATGTCAGTCAGGTGAGACACAGAGGCAGCAAAACAAAACACATGAAATAAAAGCAGCATTTTGTTAATCACAGATAAGAGTGAATCTGTGGAACTCTGCCTTTATTAAGGTCCACAGGCATTACCTCTTAAGGCTTTCCAGCAGGGGTTGTGAACTGGCTAATTTAAAGAAAATATGTGTAAAGGGGGGAAATTATTTGCATGACTCTGGTGTTGATTCTGGTTTTATTGTGGTAAGCAGCTATGGGATATGTTGGGTCAGTGAGATGTAGAACAAGTGACCCACACTGCAAACAGCCACATGGGGAGGGAAAGTTTTAACTAGGCCAAAGATGAGGTGGTATAACTCAGTTTTAAACAACTTATGTTAGGCCTAAAAATGGATGCCAAGGCAACAATGATGTTAAACAAATTTATGATAAAAAGATTATACACCTTTATCTAGTGGGATTTATTTTTAAAATGCAAGGATAATGACATATGAAAATCAATGCAGCAGGCGCAGTGGCCCACGGCTGTACTCCCAGCACTTTGGGAGGGTAAGGTGAAAGGATCACTTCAGCTCAGGAGTTTGAGACCAGCCTGTGTAACATAGTGAGACCTCATTTCTAAAATAAAAAAATTGTAAAAATTAGCCTGGTGTGGTGGTGTGCACCTTTGGTCCCAGCAACTCAGAAGGCTGAGGCGGGAGGACTGCTTGAGTCTGGGAGGCAAATGTTGCCGTGAGCTGAGATCATGCTACTGCATTCCAGCCTGGGCAACTGAGGGAGACCCTGTCTCCAAACAAACCAACAAGGAAACAAAACAAAATCCAAAATCAATGTAATACACCACATTGACAGGATGAAGGAGAAAAGACCAAAACATGATCATCTCAATTGTTGCAAAAAAGAATTTGAAAAATTGAACACCCTTTCTTGACAAAAACACTCAATAAACAAGAGACAGAAGGAAACTTACTCAACATGGTAAAGGTCATTTGGGAAAAACTCACAGATAATATCATACTCAATGGTCAAAGACAAACGCTTTTCCCTTAAGACAGGAATAAGACAAGGAAGCCTGCTTCTTCATCTTGTATTCAACATGATATTGGAAATCCTAGCCAGAGGCATTAGGTAAAAAGACAAAAGGCATCCAAATCAGAAAGGAAAAAGTATAAATATCTCTGTTCATGGATGACATGATCTTCTATGTAAGAAAATCCCCCCAAATTATACACACACACACACACACACACACACACACACACACACACACACACCCCGTTAGGGCTACCAAATTAATTCAGCAAAGTTGCTAGACACAAAATTCACATGTAAAAATCAGTTGTGTTTTAATACATTAGTAAATGAGCAAATTGAAGAGGAAATTTAAAAAAGCAATTCCGTTTACAACAACATCTAAAAGAATTAAGAATAAACTTGAGCAAATGGGCCAAAAATTGTTATGCTGAAAACCACACAAAACTGTTGAAAGATATTAAATAAGATCTAACTAAATGAAAAAAATCCGGTGTTCATGGATAAGATGACTTAAAATTGTTAAGATGTCAATGCTATCCAAAGTGATTTACAATTCAATGTAATCCCTGTTAAAATCCCAATGACATTTCTCTGTTCATAGATGACATGATCTTATACATGAGAAAATGCCCCCAAATTACATACACACACCTTCTCTCTCTCTCACTTGTTAAAACAAATTAATTCAGCAAAGCTGCTAGACACAAAATTCACATGTAAAAATCAGTTGAGTTTCAATACATTAGCAAATGATAATATCATACTCAATATCATACTATATTTCTTGGGGAAACAGAAAAACCCATCCTAAAAGTCACATGGAATCTTAAGAGACACTGAATAACCAAAACAATCTTGAAAAAGAACAAAGTTGGAAGACTCACACGTTTTGATTTCAAAAGTTACAACACAACTACAGTAATCAAAACAGTGTGGTACTGACATAAGGACAGATACACAGACAAATGGAACAAAATAGAAAGTCCAGAAATAAACTTTCACTTTTAACAAGGGTGCCAAGACCATTCAATGGGGGAAAAGACAGTGTTTTCAACAAATAGTGCTGGAAAAACTGAATATCCAATTCAAAATAATGAAGCTGGGCCCTTACCTTATACTTTGTACAAAATTAACTCAAAATGAATCAAAGATCTAAACCTATAAAACTCTTAGAAGAAAGCATAGGGAAGAAGCATCATGATGTCAGATTTGATAATGTTATCTTGGATATGACACCAAAAGCACAAGCAACAAAAGAAACAATAATTAAATTGGCCTTCATAAAATTAAAAACTTTTGTGGAACAAAGGACACTATCAAGAAAGTGAAAAGACAACCCACAAAATGGGAGAAAATACAGCCAGCCTTGGAACACGCCTTTGAACTACGCAGTTCCAATTATGTGCAAATTTTTTTCCACCTCTGCCAGACCTGAGACAGCAAGACCAACTTCTGCTCTTCCTCAGCCTATTCAACATGAAGGTGATGGGCATGAAGACTTGTATAATGATCCACGTTCAGTTAATGAATAGTAAATATATTTTCTCTTTATGATTTTTAATAACACTTTTTCTCTAGCTTACTTTAAGAATGCAGTATTGAATACATATACAAAATATATGTTAGCTGTTTATATATTATTAAGGCTTCTAATCAACAGTAGGCTATTAGTAGTTAAGTTTTGTGGAAATCAAAAGATAAACGCAGACTGAGTGTCGAGGCTCATGCCTGTAATTTCAGCACTTTGGGAGGCTGAGGCAGGAGGACTGTTTGGGACCAGGAGTTCAAAACCAACCTGGGCAACACAGCAAGAACCTGTCTCTAAAAAAAAAAAAAAAAAAAAAAAAAAAAAAAAAAAAAAAAAAAAAAAAAAATTAGCGAGCTGTGCTGCATGCCTGCAGTTCTAGCTACTTGGGAGGCTGAGACAGGAAACCACTTCAGTCCAGGAGTTCCAGGCTGCAGTAAGCTATGATCTTGCCACTGCACTCCAGCCTAAGCAACAGTGCTGGACCTTGTCTCAAGAAAAGAAAAAAAAAAGTAGTTACACGCAAATATTTGACTACACGGGGGTTGGTATCCACCACTACCACTTGTTCAACGATCAACTGCATTTGTAAGTCATATATCTCATAAGAATTTAGTATCTAGAATACATGAAAACTCCTACAATCCAACAACAAAATAAACAACCCAATTACAAAAATGGACAAAGGTTTGGGCATGGTGAATCATGCTTGTAATACCAGCACTTTGGGAGGCCAAGGTGGGAGGATCACTCTAGCCCAGGAGTTCAAGGCCAGCCTGGATTACCTAGCAAGACCCTGTGTCTACAAAATAATAATTAGACAGGTGTGGTGGTATGTGCCTGTAGTACTAGCAATATGGGAGGCTGAGGCTAGAGGATCCCTTGAGCCTAGGAGATTGAGGCTGCAGTGAGCTTACAATCATGCCACTGCATTCTAGCCTGGGCAACAGAGTGAAGCCCTGTGTTTAAAAAATAAAAAACAAATAAAAAGTTTTAAACATTTAAAAAAATAAATGGATGACTGGAATGGCTATTTCTTCAAAGATATACAAATGGCCAATAAATAAGGACATGTAAAGATGTTCAGTATCACTGGCCATTAGGGAAATGCAGATCAAAATCACAAAGTGATACCATTTCACACTTATTAAGAATGCTATTGGCCGGGCGCGGTGGCTCACGCCTGTAATCCCAGCACTTAGGGAGGTCGAGGCGGGTGGATCACAAAGTCAGGAGATCAAGACCATCCTGGCTAACACAGTGAAACCCTGTCCCTGCTAAAAAATACAAAAAATTAGCCAGGCGTGGTGGCAGGCACCCGTAGTCCCAGCTACTTGGGAGGCTGAGGCATGAGAATGGCGTGAACCCAGGAGGCAGAGCTTGCAGTGAGCCAAGATCCTGCCACTACACTCCAGCCTGGGCGACAGAGCGAGACTGCGTCTCAAAAAAAAAAAAAAAGGGGGTGGGGCGGGGAGGGGAGGAGCCAAGATGGCTGAATAGGAACAGCTCCGGTCTACAGCTCCCAGTGTCAACAACGCAGAAGACAGGTGATTTCTGCATTTCCATCTGAGGTACCGGGTTCATCTCACTAGGGAGTGCCAGACAGTGGGCGCAGGTCAGTGGGTGCATGCACCATGCGTGAGCCGAAGCAGGGCGAGGCATTGCCTCACTCGGGAAGCGCAAGGGGTCAGGGAGTTCCCTTTCCTAGTCAAAGAAAGGGGTGACAGACGGCACCTGGAAAATTGGGTCACTCCCACCCGAATACTGCACTTTTCCGACCGGCTTAAAAAATGGCGCGCCAGGAGATTATATCCCGCACATGGCTCAGAGTGTCCTACGCCCACGGAGTCTCGCTGACTGCTAGCACAGCAGTCTGAGATCAAACTGCAAGGCGGCAGCGAGGCTGGGGGAGGGGCGCCCGCCATTGCCCAGGCTTGCTTAGGTAAACAAAGCAGCCAGGAAGCTCGAACTGGGTGGAGCCCACCACAGCTCAAGGAGACGTGCCTGCCTCTATAGGCTCCACCTCTGGGGGCAGGGCACAGACAAACAAAAAGACAGCAGTAACCTCTGCAGACTTAAACGTCCCTGTCTGACAGCTTTGAAGAGAGCAGTGGTTCTCCCAGCACGCAGCTGGAGATCTGAGAATGGGCAGACTGCCTCCTCAAGTGGGTCCCTGACCCCTGACCCCCGAGCAGCCTAACTGGGAGGCACCCCCCAGCAGGGGTAGACTGACACCTCACACGGCCGGGTACTCCAACAGACCTGCAGCTGAGGGTCCTGTCTGTATGAAGGAAAACTAACAAACAGAAAGGACATCCACACCAAAAACCCATCTGTACATCACCATCATCAAAGACCAAAAGTAGATAAAACCACAAAGATGGGGAAAAAACAGAGCAGAAAAACTGGAAACTCTAAAAAGCAGAGCGCCTCTCCTCCTCCAAAGGAGTAGAGTTCCTCACCAGCAACAGAACAAAGCGGGACGGAGAATGACTTTGACGACCTGAGAGAAGAAGGCTTCAGACGATCAAATTACTCCGAGCTACGGGAGGACATTCAAACCAAAGGCAAAGAAGTTGAAAACTTTGAAAAAAATTTAGAAGAATGTATAACTAGAATAACCAATACAGAGAAGTGCTTAAAGGAGCTGATGGAGCTGAAAACCAAGGCTCAAGAACTACGTGAAGAATACAGAAGCCTCAGCAGCCGATGCGATCAACTGGAAGAAAGGGTATCAGCGATGGAAGATGAAATGAATGAAATGAAGCGAGAAGGGAAGTTTAGAGAAAAAAGAATAAAAAGAAATGAACAAAGCCTCCAAGAAATATGGGACTATGTGAAAAGACCAAATCTATGTCTGATTGGTGTACCTGAAAGTGACGGGGAGAATGGAACCAAGTTGGAAAACACTCTGCAGGATATTATCCAGGAGAACTTCCCCAATCTAGCAAGGCAGGCCAACATTCAGATTCAGGAAATACAGAGAACGCCACAAAGATACTCCTCGAGAAGAGCAACTCCAAGACACATAATTGTCAGATTCACCAAAGTGGAAATGAAGGAAAAAATGTTAAGAGCAGCCAGAGAGAAAGGTCGGGTTACCCTCAAAGGGAAGCCCCTCAGACTAACAGTGGATCTCTCGGCAGAAACTCTACAAGCCAGAAGAGAGTGGGGGCCAATATTCAACATTCTTAAAGAAAAGAATTTTCAACCCAGAATTTCATATCCAGCCAAACTAAGCTTCATAAGTGAAGGAGAAATAAAATACTTTCCAGACAAGCAAATGCTGAGAGATTTTGTCACCACCAGGCCTGCCCTAAAAGAGCTCCTGAAGGAAGCGCTAAACATGGAAAGGAACAACCGGTACCAGCTGCTGCAAAATCATGCCAAAATGTAAAGACCATCGAGACTAGGAAGAAACTGCATCAACTAACGAGCAAAATAACCAGCTAACATCATAATGACAGGATCAAATTCACACATAACAATATTAACTTTAAATGTAAATGGACTAAGTGCTCCAATTAAAAGACACAGACTGGCAAACTGGATAAAGAGTCAAGACCCATCAGTGTGCTGTATTCAGGAAACTCATCTCATGTGCAGAGACACACATAGGCTCAAAATAAAAGGATGGAGGAAGATCTACCAAGCAAATGGAAAACAAAAAAAGGCAGGGGTTGCAATCCTAGTCTCTGATAAAACAGACTTTAAACCAACAAAGATCAAAAGAGACAAAGAAGGCCATTACATAATGGTAAAGGGATCAATTCAACAAGAGGAGCTAACTATCCTAAATATATATGCACCCAATACAGGAGCACCCAGATTCATAAAGCAAGTCCTGAGTGACCTACAAAGAGACTTAGACTCCCACACATTAATAGTGGGAGACTTTAACACCCCACTGTCAACATTAGACAGATCAACGAGACAGAAAGTCAACAAGGATACCCAGGAATTGAACTCAGCTCTGCACCAAGCGGATCTAATAGACATCTACAGAACTCTCCACCCCAAATCAACAGAATATACATTTTTTTCAGCACCACACCACACCTATTCCAAAATTGACCACATACTTGGAAGTAAAGCTCTCCTCAGCAAATGTAAAAGAACAGAAATTATAACAAACTATCTCTCAGATGACAGTGCAATCAAACTAGAACTCAGGATTAAGAATCTCACTCAAAACCGCTCAACTACATGGAAACTGAACAACCTGCTCCTGAATGACTACTGGGTACATAACGAAATGAAGGCAGAAATAAATATGTTCTTTGAAACCAACGAGAACAAAGACACAACATACCAGAATCTCTGGGACACATTCAAAGCAGTGTGTAGAGGGAAATTTATAGCACTAAATGCCCACAAGAGATAGCAGGAAAGATCCAAAATTGACACCCTAACATCACAATTTAAACAACTAGAAAAGCAAGAGCAAACACATTCGAAAGCTAGCAGAAGGCAAGAAATAACTAAAATCAGAGCAGAACTGAAGGAAATAGAGACACAAAAAACCCTTCAAAAAATTAATGAATCCAGGAGCTGGTTTTTTGAAAGGATCAACAAAATTGATAGACCGCTAGCAAGACTAACAAAGAAAAAAAGAGAGAAGAATCAAATAGACGCAATAAAAATGATAAAGGGGATATCACCACCGATCCCACAGAAATACAAACTACCATCAGAGAATACTACAAACACCTCTATGCAAATAAACTAGAAAATCTAGAAGAAATGGATAAATTCCTCGACACACTCTCCCAAGACTAAACCAGGAAGAAGTTGAATCTCTGAATAGACCAATAACAGGAGCTGAAATTGTGGCAATAATCAATAGCTTACCAACCAAAAAGAGTCCAGGACCAGATGGATTCACAGCCGAATTCTACCAGAGGTACAAGGAGGAACTGGTACCATTCCTTCTGAAACTATTCCAATCAATAGAAAAAGAGGGAATCCTCCCTAACTCATTTTATGAGGCCAGCATCATCCTGATACCAAAGCCGGGCAGAGACACAACCAAAAAAGAGAATTTTAGACCGATATCCTTGATGAACATTGATGCAAAAATCCTCAATAAAATACTGGCAAACCGAATCCAGCAGCACATCAAAAAGCTTACCCACCATGATTAAGTGGGCTTCATCCCTGGGATGCAAGGCTGGTTCAATATATGCAAATCAATAAATGTAATCCAGCATATAAACAGAACCAAAGACAAAAACCACATGATTATCTCAATAGATGCAGAAAAGGCCTTTGACAAAATTCAACAACCCTTCATGCTAAAAACTCTCAATAAATTAGGTATTGATGGGACGTATCTCAAAATAATAAGAGCTATCTATGACAAACCCACAGCCAATATCATACTGAATGGGCAAAAACTGGAAGCATTCCCTTTGAAAACTGGCACAAGACAGGGATGCCCTCTCTCACCACTCCTATTCAACATAGTGTTGGAAGTTCTGGCCAGGGCAATTAGGCAGGAGAAGGAAATAAAGGGTATTCAATTAGGAAAAGAGGAAGTCAAATTGTCCCTGTTTGCAGACGACATGATTGTATATCTAGAAAATCCCATTGTCTCAGCCCAAAATCTCCTTAAGCTGATATGCAACTTCAGCAAAGTCTCAGGATACAAAATCAATGTACAAAAATCACAAGCATTCTTATACACCAACAACAGACAAACAGAGAGCCAAATCATGAGTGAACTCCCATTCACAATTGCTTCAAAGAGAATAAAATACCTAGGAATCCAACTTACAAGGGATGTGAAGGACCTCTAAGGAGAACTACAAACCACTGCTCAAGGAAATAAAAGAGGATACAAACAAATGGAAGAACATTCCATGCTCATGGGCAGGAAGAATCAATATCCTGAAAATGGCCACACTGCCCAAGGTAATTTACAGATTCAATGCCATCCCCATCAAGCTACCAATGACTTTCTTCACAGAATTGGAAAAAACTACTTTAAAGTTCATATGGAACCAAAAAAGAGCCTGCATTGCCAAGTCAATCCTAAGCCAAAAGAACAAAGCTGGAGGCATCACACTACCTGACTTCAAACTATACTACAAGGCTACAGTAACCAAAACAGCATGGTACTGGTACCAAAACAGAGATATAGATCAATGGAACAGAACAGAGCCCTCAGAAATAACGCCGCATATCTACAAATATCTGATCTTTGACAAACCTGAGAAAAACAAGCAATGGGGAAAGGATTCCCTATTTAATAAATGGTGCTGGGAAAACTGGCTAGCCATATGTAGAAAGCTGAAACTGGATCCCTTCCTTACACCTTACACAAAAATCAATTCAAGATGGATTAAAGACTTAAACGTTAGACCTAAAACCATAAAAACCCTAGAAGAAAACCTAGGCATTAACATTCAGGACATAGGCATGGGCAAGGACTTCATGTCTAAAACACCAAAAGCAATGGCAACAAAAGACAAAATTGACAAATGGGATCTAATTAAACTAAAGAGCTTCTGCACAGCAAAAGAAACTACCATCAGAATGAACAGACAACCTACAAAATGGGAGAAAATTTTCGCAACCTACTCATCTGACAAAGGGCTAGTATCCAAAAACTACAATGAACTCAAACAAATTTACAAGAAAAAAACAACCCCATCAAAAAGTGGGCGAAGGCTATGAACAGACACTTCTCAAAAGAAGACATTTATGCAGCCAAAAGACACATGAAAAAATGCTCACCATCACTGGCCATCAGAGAAATGCAAATCAAAACCACAATGAGATACCATCTCACACCAGTTAGAATGGCAATCATTAAAAAGTCAGGAAACAACAGGTGCTGGAGAGGATGTGGAGAAATAGGAACACTTTTACACTGTTGGTGGGACTGTAAACTAGTTCAACCATTATGGAAGTCAGTGTGGCGATTCCTCAGGGATCTAGAACTAGAAATACCATTTGACCCAGCCATCCCATTACTGGATATATACCCAAAGGACTATAAATCATGCTGCTATAAAGACACATGCACACGTATGTTTATTGTGGCATTATTCATGATAGCAAAGACTTGGAACCAAGCCAAATGTCCAACAATGATAGACTGGATTAAGAAAATGTGGCACACATACACCATGGAATACTATGCAGCCATAAAAAATGATGAGTTCATGTCCTTTGTAGGGACATGGATGAAACTGGAAATCATCATTCTCAGTAAACTATCGCAAGAACAAAAAACCAAACACCGCATATTCTTACTCATAGGTGGGAATTGAACAATGAGAACACATGGACACAGGAAGGGGAACATCACACTCTGGGGACTGTTTTGGGGTGGGGGGAGGGGGGAGGGATAGCATTGGGAGATATACCTAATGCTAGATGACGAGTTAGTGGGTGCAGCGCACCAGCATGGCACATGTATACATATGTAACTAACCTGCACATTGTGCACATGTACCCTAAAACTTAAAGTATAATAATAATAAAAAAAGAACGCTATTATTCAAAAGAAGACATTGCTGTGACCAACAAACATATGAAAAACATGCTCATCATCACTGGTCATTAGAGAAATGCAAATCAAAACCACAATGAGATACCATCTCACACCAGTCAGAAAGGCGATCAGATGCTGGAGAGGATGTGGAGAAATAGGAATGCTTTTACATTGTTGGTGGGAGTGTAAATTAGTTCAACCGGTGTGGCAATTCCTCAAGGATCTAGAACCAGAAATCCATTTGACCCAGCAATCCCATTACTGGGTATATACCCAAAGGATTAGAAATCATTCTACTATAAAGACACTTACACACGTATGTTTATTGCAGCACTATTCACAATAGCAAAGAGTTGGAACCAACCCAAATGCCCATCAATGATAGACTGGATAAAGAAAATATGGCACATATACACCATGGAATACTATGCAGACATAAAAAAGAATGAGTCACATCCTTTGCAGGGACATTCTCAGCAAACTAACACAGGAACAGAAAACCAAACACTGCATGTTCTCAGTCATAAGTGGGAGTTAAACAATGAGAACACACAGACACAGGGAGGGGAATATCACACACTGGGGCCTGTTGTGGGGTGGGGACAAGAGGAGGGATAGCATTAGGAGAAATACCTAATGTAGATGATGGGGATGGGTGCAGCAAACCACCATGGCACATGTATACCTATGTAACAAACCTGCATGTTCTGCACATGTATCCCAGAACTTAAAGTATAATAATAAAAAAAAGAATGTTATTTAAAAAAGAAAAAAAAAACCAAGTGTTCATGAGGGTGTGGAGAAATTGGAACCTTGTGGATTGCTGGTAAGAATGTAAAACTGCAGCTGCTGTAGAAAACAGTTCGGCAGTTCCCCCAAAAAGTTAAACATAAAATTACCATATAATCCAGCAATCATTCCTAGGTATTATACATACCAGAGGAACTGAAAGCAGAGACCCAAATGGATACTTTCATGCCAGTGTCCATAGCAGCATTATTCACATAGGCCAAAAGGTGGAAACAATCCAAATGGCCATCAATAGATGAATGGATAAACAAAATGTAGTATATCCATACATGGAATATTATTCAGCCATATAAAGGAATGAAATTCTGATACATCCTACATAATAGGAACCTTGAAAACATTAAGTTGAAGTGAAAGAAGCCAGATACAAAAGGAAACATTGTATATGATTTCACTTAAGAGGTACCTAGAATAGGCAATTTCATAGAGACAGAAAGTAGAACAGAAGTTTATCAGGGACTAGGGGAGAAGAAATGGTATGTGATTGTTTAATAGGTACAGGGCTTTTGTTTGAGATAAATAAAAAGCTCTGGAAATGGATGCACAACACTTAATGGCCTTAATGGCACTGAATGGTACACTGAACAATTATTAAAAACTATAAAATTATATTATGTATATTTTACCATAAAAGACGCTGTAAAAAATCAACAAAAGAAATAAACGCAAATCCTAACTTAGATAAGGAGCTTCCACAACTCATTTGAGGAGCCACTACAGTGTGATGCAGTGCTTGAGACGACAAGTTCTGAAGCTTGGTCAATCCTGGTTCTACCCTTTCAGAGCTGTGTGATCTTGGGCAAGATGCTTCATCTCTGTGGTTAGGGTCTCCACATTCAAATGGAGACAACAGTGTCTTTCTCACAGGATTGTTGCAAAGATTAATGAGTTAATTCCCTTAAAGTCTTAAGGGCCTTATGATGAGTTAAATCATATAAAGCACCCAGAAATCAATAAGGATGAACTATTATTGTTACTATCTAAACACATCAGTCACACATCCAAAGTTCAATACGAAATGCCTTTAATCTGTGTCTATTTTGGTGTTCAAATTCAGAAAACACCTAATAATAATCGGTAAATTTTCAGAGGTACAGGTTAGAAAAAAATTTATTTTATCATTATATTTCTATTTGCTAACTCTATATGCTTTCCTAGTCTCCAGATTTCAGAAGGTAGCAAGAAACATTTATACATTAATTATCCTTCATTGTTCTTTCAATTTGTGATAAATCATATAAACTTGTTTGAAGTTGCAACTACTAAGAAATTTAAACGTATAGAAGGTTAACAGTGGTACGTTTGCTCTGACTAAAATTGACGGTAGATACTCATTCTTGTTATACATGTCTAATTAAAATTTTTTTAAAAACTTCATTTCAAAAACACATTATATACTTACCAACTGAAGATAGAAATCTCCAGGACTATTTATATGACAAACCGTTACTGAAACATCTGTCATTTCTTTAGGCAAAATAGGTGGATGATAGTGTAAAGTAGTATTTTTTTCAAAGTGACTTCTTAGTGATTGTGACTTAAACCTAATTAAAAGCATAATGAAAAGCGTAAGCAGGGTCTCACCCTGTCACCCAGGCTGGAGTGCAGTGGTGCTATCATGGCTCACTGCAGCCTCTACCCTTCTGGGCTCAAGCAATCCTCCCACCTCAGCCTCCCAAGTAGCTGGGACCACAGGGGCATGCCATCACACCTGGCTAATTTTTGTAGAGACAGGGTCTCCCTACATTGCCCAGGTTGACCCTGAACTCCTGGGCTCAGGCGACCCTACTGCCTTGGCCTCCCAAAGTGCTGGGATACAAGTGTAAGCCACCATACCTGGCCAAGCCATTTTCTTAGTCTCTTTTCTCTCAGTGACTTGATCTAAAGGAAGGACTTGTACATGTACTGACTTATTTACCAAAAGCGCTCATCTTCCAATTTCTTTCTTCTAACATTTCTTGGTATTGTCTTCAATTATCAAACCAGGTTAAATAAGATATCAAGTCTCAAAACTTTAGAGCTAGGCTTTCATGTCGTACTTAGATTCAAAGCTGCTTCTATTTTTTGTGTTACATTGATATCTGTGGTCTGTGTCAGCTGAAGGGTCTCTGTGGCTCCTTCCAGATCCAAGACTACTTGTATTTTTCTAGAATGGAACCTGCTTGGGTTCCATTCCCAATCACCCAAGGTAAAAATTAGAATCTTTGACTACCTCTATGGTTACTTAAGTCATCAGAAATGATGGACAGCCTAGGCACTGTGGCTCACGCCTGTAATCCCAGCACTTTGGAAGGCCAAGGTGGGCAGGAGTTCAAGACCAGCCTGGCCAACAAGGTGAAACCCTGTCTCTGCTAAAAATACAAAAATTAGCCGGGAGTGGTGGCGTGTGCCTGCAATTCCAGCTACTGGGAAGGCTGAGACATGAGAATCACCAGAACCTGGGGAGGCAGAGGTTTCAATGAGCTGAGGCTGTGCTACTGCACTCTAGCCTGGGTGATGGGATGAAGACTCTGTCTCAAACAAACAAAAAAGAAATGATGGACAAAGAAACTTTAAACATCTATTCTAGATTCATACATTGAATATAGGGTAGTGATCATGAACTCATTCCAAAGGCTACAAAATTGAGGAAAATTTAGGAACAGTTAAACTATAATTATTGAAATCCTCATACAGCTGCTAATAGTTATCAAGAGTCCAAAAGATGTTAGGTATTTATACATACTTTATATTTTGAGCTACCTTAATTTCTCTAATTTTTCTAATTTTCGTTTTTCTTTACAGACAGGGTGTCTCACTCTGTCACCCAACCTGGAGTACAGTGGCAAGAGCATAGCTCGAACTCCTGGGCTCAAGCAAACCTCCCACCTCAGCTCCTGACCTGAGAAGCTGGAACTACAGATGCATGCCACCACGCCTGGTTAATTTCTTTTTGTATTTCGTTGTAGAGACGAGGTCTAGCTATGTTGCCCAGCCTGGTCTCAAACTCATGACCCCAAGGAATCCTCCCTCCTCGGCCTCCCACAGTGCTAGAATTACAGTTGTGAGACGCCCTGCCCAGCCTATTTTCTTAAATCCAATTATCTGAATCCAGTTTTCACAGACAACAACTGTACTCAGAAAAGTCTAAGAGCAATATTTTTCACTTCTTCAGGTATGTTAAGGTTTACTTTACAGACATGGTTTTTAAAGGCAAAATCTGCTACTCTCATTTATAGCTATAATCTCAAAGAATATTTAAGTTTTAATAAGTTACTTACTTTGCTAGTTCCATAAAAACTAGCGCATCTCTAAGAGACACAGGCATATCACTGCTTATTTTATTCGGTGGTGGTTTTTGCAGATCTACAATAAGCACACCATCTTCTTCTCTAAAAACTTTCATTGAAACAGCCTTGTTATTTACCATTTTCAAAAATTCCACTTTAGCTTCCTCTTCCCAGCCTTCATTCTGTGCAAGAAAGTAAAATTCCATAGTAATTAATTGTAAGTATCGCTAATGTTACAATGTTCTGGATTTAGGTTTGTACCAACCACAGACGCAACTGCGAACAAACTGAACCAACCGCAGACATTAGGAAACAGCCAGGGCAGCCGGGCGTGGTGACTCACAAGGTCAGGAGTTCAAGACCAGCCTGGCCAAGATGGTGAAACCCTGTCTCTACAAAAAATACAAAAATTAGCGGGGCGTGGTGGCAGGTGCCTTTAATCCCAGCTACTCGGGAGGCTGAGGCAGGGGACTGCTTGAACCCGGGAGGCAGAGGTTGCAGTGAGCCGAGATCATGCCACTGCACTCCAGCCTGGGCGACAGAACAAGACTCCATCTCAAAAAAAAGAAGAAAGAAAAGAAAGAAAAATAGAAACAGCCAGGGCCACAAACTTAGGGGCAGTCTTTATGAATGTACAACGTGCATATACCTTCACTTTATAAATATATTCTCAAGGTTTTACTTTAGAATTTAGTTTCACTTTTGAATATTAATATGAAGGTTATAAAGAAAGATCTCAAAATGAAAGAAATAAGTATTCAATTTTCCACTTAGATGAAAATTCAAAAGGTAATTCTGAAAGTATAGGTATGCCTAAAATAAAATCTAAAAATTTACAATCATCAGTTAATCTAGCTTCCATTACTAGCAATGCATAAGATTTATGCTACTTAAGTGATTTAAAAAAAAATCCACCCACTGGGCAAACAATTTTTTCTTTTGAGACAGGGTCTTACTCTGTCACCCAGACTGGTGTGCAGTGGCATAATCTCAGCTCATGCAATCTCCGCCTCCCAAGCTCAAGAGATCCTTCCACCTCAGCCTTCATGGTGCACTACCACACCTGGCTAATTTTTGTATTTTTGGTAGACAGGGTCTCACCATGTTGCCCAGGCTGGTCTCAAACTCCTGAGCCGAAGCGGTCCTCCCATCTCGGCCTCCCAAAGTGCTGGAATTACAGCCTTGGGCCACCAAAACCAGCCAAAAAACTTTTTATGTTGATCTTTGAACATTTACGTAACATATTGAAAGTAAATTTCAGGATCAAAACCAGAAATTCCTTAAAAACAAAAAAAGAGAATAGCTTTCTGAAGTTTTTATGATTATAAATGTAAAATCTACTCAGTGTAAAAATGTGAAAAGTTAAAAAAGAGAAAATTAAAAACAAAACACTCATCATTTTAAAGAAAACACCAGTGCTGCTATTTTTGTGTTTCCTTTTTTTTAAATTAACTTATTTGTTATTTCAAGTATGTGTTGAATGCCTTCTATGTGGCATGTGATCTGCTAAATGCTGGGAATACAACGATGAGCAAAGACAGACTCCTCTGCTCTCATAGACCTTGTAAGAATACAACTGCTTAACATGTATTGTTACAATTTCTGTCTCTTAAGAGTTTACAATCTTGCTGGAGAATAGATTTTCATAAATAATACAAAACGCAGAATGCAATATGGCCATTAAATAGAATAATAAAGGGCAATGGAAATAAGAAAATACTGTAGAGAAACACACACATCATAAACTTATTTCTCTGTATAGTTGACTCCAAAATTACTGCTTTACTCAGATACTTAACCAATCATTATGTTAATATATGCTTATTCAACTCCATTTCCCATTAAAAATGTTTTCAATTGTGGAAGCCGAAGTTCATTTCCTTTTCTATTAGAACTAACAGTTTAATATGCACTATGTATTTATCAAGATTACTGGTTCCCTGAGCCTATACTTAGCAATCTAACTGGCAATACATAGCTAAAATTGTAATAACCTCTGAAGGAAAAAATAATTAAAGTCTCACTTACTGAATTCTGTGGAACAATGTCTTTCAATGAGCATGGTTGTGCTAATGGCTGGATGTCTTTTAGCAGCCCTTCAGTATATGGTTCAGATTTCCTTAGAACCAGACATAAATCATTTAGTGCAATATGTTGCTTAGCAGAGTGTTCTGGTCTCACATGGGTATCAACAACTCTAGGAGAAATTCAAGTAATATTTATTGAAAATAATGCTTCAAACTTAAATTTGTTTTCCCCCACAGAAGGTATGCATTTCTAAGTATAATTTTTCTTAAGTTACACCTTTTAGAAAGTTATAGTCCAAATTAATACTTTCTTACTATATAGACTTAGTTTAGCTTTTATAAGCAGAGACAGTTTTCCTCCACAGAAAGAAATCTCAGCTACATTTGCACTTTCACATACTCATGCAGTTTGAACTTAAAGGAGATAATGACACTTCCCCCCATATAAATCTACTTATTCATAAAGCTATAACCATTAAGTGATCATGCTATGGTTAATACTGGTCCTTACTACAGAAACATATCAGTTTGTATTATTTTCCTAGAAGACAGAGAAAACCATTTAAAATACCTACAGTGAGTTAGACAGTATGACACTTTGAAAAACATTAATGAAATTACAGAAGTCTGATTAAAAATTTAACTCAATCATCTGTTGCTAACTGTAACATTTAAAAGAATTAGTTTGTGTATTATTCCCTGCTTTAAAGTGACATAAGAAGAGTACTTAAGTTTGGAGTTCCTTTTCTAAGCTCTCCATCTAGTAATACTGGTAAATGATAAAGTTTTACTTATCAAGACAACAGTAGAGCAAAATAATAAAACGTATGTCTTGGAAGTTAAGAATGACAAATTACTCCTCTCTACCTCTAATTTCCTTTATTCTTTAACTCCACCTCCCTCCAAAATGTTTCTAAGCAGGCCAAGGATACATATTATAAAATATCATACCCAGTGACAATCAGGACTTCAGAATTTCCAAAATCTACCATGAATATTTGTATTAGTGCAACTTCATGGACAAATAATCTGGTTGGACTACAAGGTTTTCTGGTATTTCTACCCTCTATTGGAATTAATTCTGTGATAGTTCCTCGACACCACATTCCATTTTTAATACTGCTGACAAATATTCTTGCACCTAAATAATGAGGGAAACAAATCGTTATAAACATTTATCAATAAAAGCCACTTCATAAGTTTACAGACACGTTAGTTCTACCACGAAAAAGTCTTAATTCGTTTATTTAATGATGATATAGCACTGTGTTCAAGTGCTATAAGAAAGATATAATACAGCATATTATGATAGTTTGTTATACAGAAACAAGCTAAATAGGGAGATAAACACCTAAAGAATACTAAGTTAGCAGTCACTTAATGACAACCAGCTTATGAGCAATAAGAACAAAGATGAATGAGACTGTCTTGCCATCAAGAAGCTCAAGAAAGGAAGAGAGACAGGCAAATTAATTACCATAATTACACTGTACTTACAAGCAAGACCATCTGTCTTTGTGATGTACACATGTACACTGACATACACATATTAAAGTTTGTAATGAGAGAAGAAACAATTATCTTCTCTTTGTAAAGGGGAGTGAGAGTAAAACAATGAAAGGTAGCCTGTGAAATGCCAAAATTATTGGCACCCAGTGGTTTTCAGAGAAGAGGGAAGATGAACTAAAGACTTAGCTGTAGAGGAAGACCTTTGTAGGGACCAGTTGGATTACAAATTAACAACCAGGAAAAAAGAAGATCAAACAAACAAAAAAAAAGGCCCACAGGTGAATGCTTACTATGAGCTCAGAAATGTTCTGTGTTTTGTTTGAATTCACTTACTCCCCACAACAACCCTACGAAGGTACTGTTCCTATCATAGGTGAGGAAAACTAGGTAGAAAACCTAATCTAGCCCAACTCACATGGCTACTTAGAAGAAGTAGCAGGAGAACTCAGGTAGTCTTAGAGCCCATTTAAACTACATATTTTGGAAATGAATCTGGTAAATTCTGATCACTGATTATATACAGAGAGATGCTGTGTAATCTCCTCTGTATATGCTAATAACAACAGGATAGTTGAAAAGCACATTATAGGCAGCCTTTTAAGTCCTACCAAAACGTTTGATCTTCAGTTTGTCAGTGACCCTTCTCTTATTTTGCTACACTACTGTACCAACATTCTTAGTTTTAAAATATAGTAAATCCCCACTTAATGTCATTGATACATTCTTAGAAACTGTGACTTTAAGCAAAATGGCGTAACAAAACCAATCTTACCACATAGGCTAATTGATATAAACAAGAGTTAAGTTTCTACGTGTATTTCTGGTCACAAAAACATCATCAAACTTATAAAGACCCCAAACACTTCTAATATTAAATACTGAAACAAGTGTGAGCTAAATGTACATTTAAGAAAGATGAACAAGTAAGATATTTACTCAATTTTTGGTGAATCAGTGAGTGACGGCAGTCATAGTGGTAGTGGGTTAACTCAAAGAATTACAGCTTGCAAAGTGAGAATTGTAAGGAGTACCTCCTGGCACCACAGTTCAAAAACAATCATAAATAAGGTGGATTCACAGAGCGCTTTTGTACTGCATCATTTATTGTCATGTATTTGTATAGTTATCAAATACTTTATGAATTTTATGATAATATATATTTATTTATTCATTCTCCAACCCGCTTATTCTAGAGTCGAGGGTGGCTGAAGCCCATCCAGGCAGCTCAGGGCACAAGGCAGGAAACAATCCTGGTCAGAACACCATTCCATTGCAGGGTAAACACACACACACACACACACACACACACACACACACACACTCTTTGTCTCTCTCTCTCTCTCTCTCCCTGCCACTCAGACTGGGACAATGTAGACACACCAATTAACCTAACGTGTGCATCTTTAGGATGTGCGAGGAAACCAGAGTACCTGAAAAAACCCACACAGACACGGGGAGAATGTGCAAACTCAACACAGACATTTGCCCAAACCAGGAATTGATTTTTTTCTCATCAAAATTATAATGAGATAATGTTATTTGAAGACCTGCTGTATATATTCTATAAAACTATTCTTTCTTTCAATGGATAAAAGTCTGCTGAAGCCATTTACTGTTCTTCATGATGAAGTACAGAGGCAGGAAAAGGGAACAAGAGGATACTCTCCTCTGCTAAATCAACAATTCACATGTCTTCCCTTATCACTAATTTCTCAAAATATAAATGAGTGTTTTAATCAGCTGTATTTACTTTGCCAACATAATTATCATTAACAACTTAAAGCACAACTTTCTGGCTGTCTTAGAACATTTTCTGAAAATAAGCTATTTTTGGAATGTATTACATTTTAGACACATTATTTGCAACCACAAAAACTGAATTCAGTACTACACTTCCCTCCTCTTAGATACTAACAACCTAATGTTCCCAGCTCACATAGCATAAATGTTATTTTTTAAGTTTTAGAATTACTATTCATTTTTGTCAAAGTATATGATGATCCTACTCTTCTGATATTCTGAAAAGTTACACAGATGAGCTGAGAGTTAATCATACTTTTAAATGACAATCAAGACTAGACAGATAAACACTTTCTGTATTAGTTATATATAGGTATTGATTGCTACTAACATAATGAGAAAAATACTCTATTAATACAAATGAATCATAGCTTCCTCATATTACAAGGTACAATCAAATTCAGTCAACGTTATAAGAAAAATACTCGTAACAAAAGCCCGAAGCATGGCAAATTCACATATCCTCACAATTAAAAGACTGACTGAATTTACAATTATCCTCTGTAGGGCGCTGGGAATGGGTGCCACAGGCCTCCTGAATCTCAGGTGCTCAATGCTAGCCCCAACACTCACACATGGCGAGCAAGAGACTGGAGTTACACAAGAATCATCTTACAGGCACAGTTCTTCATGGAGACAAGGGGACAGGCTATATAATCTGTCATGGGTCTTGTAGTTTTAAAAGAAATTCGCCCTACTACATAATGGAGTTTCTGTACATATCTCACTCTAAAAAATGTGCCAACATTCCATCTTAATCCTTAGCTAATTTGCCTAAATAATTTATGTTAAATAATCCTAAAACTTTTATGCTTACTACAAATGAACTTAGAGCAAAAATCTATATTATAACAAGTCTTATGTGGGTTGGCCAAGTTATTATATTATTTAAATAAATTTGATATTTTAACTTGGACTAATATTTCATTACCTAGTTCCAAAATGTCTGAAGGATCAAGGTGTGAACTCCTATTGCAAAATTCATTCACCTTCTTCTCCAGTACTTTGGCGTCTTTTATTTGTGAATACTTCCGAATGTAGAAATGGCAAGGATCTATTACATGGCTTACAAAAACTAGCTCTGCAGAACCTGGATAAAAATGTTTAAGTCACATTAATAAACCATGAGTTAGAAAATAATTCATGAAAGCTGAACAACCATAATAGCCTCTAAAAGAGTGTCTTATGGCATTGTGAACTCTGGGAATATCGCACGTCGGCCCCAGGAAGTAGTGCAAGCCCTAAATGATTGATAAAACAAATGGATCACTTTCAACAATGAATTCTTTAGTAACCTGAACTGCAAATACTTCATAATACTTGCAAAATACGCTAAATAAATGAAATCATAGTCTATGTGATAGTTAAGATTCTAAAGTCAACGTATATGCTGTAACTCTACTGTATTACAAAAGTTCAGTTTCTTTATGAACATATTTGGAACTCAGAACCCCTACTGATAATGATTAGGTTTCTAGGATAACCTACAAAAGCCAGTTCCATCTATACTCTACCTATAGAACCAATACAGCTCATAGCCACTCTGACTCCCAAGTCTTATAAATCAGGTTAGTCTTATAAATCAGATGTGAAAAAATGTCTAGGCAAAGCCAAAGTACTGAGCAGCATTTAGGGGAATGCGTGTGCTTTTTGGTGGGGTGAGTAGAGGTAAAGACAGTCAGAAAATTTTCTTAAGCCAAGTGTCTTCACTAATATGAAAAGATCTCCAAAGTACAATGTTAAGGAAGGAATGCAAAAACAAAACAGTGGTATGCTACGTTTTGTGTAAAAAAAAAAAAAAAGACACCCCCGCCACACACACATAGAGAGAGAGAGGGAGAGAGAAGTTTGGAAAAATAATTTGTGTGTGTTTATTTATAAATGCATAAAGAAAATGTGGAAGAGATGGAGACACTGAATAGAATGGGAATAGGATGGGGGGAAGTTTCACATAATATTTTAATATATATTTAATTTCTGAATGAGGTAAATGTTTACATGGTAAAATTGTTTAAAAAACAAAGACTAGGAGGAGTGGAAATGAATATAGTCAAGTATAGATAGATGACAGAAACTGAACAAATGGGTCATTTTAACTATCCAATAGAAAATATAAAGAATAATGCCCATATTTAGGGTGGGGTAAAAAGATAAACACATACAACTGGGGTGACATCTGAGAGAAGTATAAATTTTGGAAATATTCCTGGCTGCGCACGATGGCTCACGCCTATAATCCCGGCACTTTGGGAGGCCAAGGAGGGAGGATCGCTTGAGGACAGGAGTTTTGAGATCAGCCTAGCTGACATGGTGAAACCTCATCTCTACTAAAAATACAAAAATTAGCTGAGGATTGTGGCATGTGCCTATAATCCCAGCTACTCCGGAGGCTGAGGCACAAGAATCATTTGAGCCTGAGGAGGTTGCAGTGAGCCAGGATCGCGCCACTGCATTCCAGCCTGGGCAACACAGTAAGACTCTGTCTCAAAAAATATTTTTTTTATTGGGGGGAATATTTCTGCCAGAGTCAAAACACTCATTCATTCATTTATTTGAGATGAGGTCTCACTGTTACCCAGGGTGGAGTGCAGTGGTGGGATCTCAGCTCATTGCTACCTCCGCCTCCCAGGCTCAAGTGATCCTCCCACCTCAGCCTCCTGAATAGCTGAGACCACAGTTGTGCACCACCACACTCACTTATGTTTTTGTACTTTTTGTAGAGACAGGGTTTCACCATGTTGCCCAGGCTGGTTTCGAACTCCTGAGCTCAAATCATCCATGTGCCTCGGCCTCACAAAGTGCTGGGATTACAGGTGTGAGCCATGGTGTCTGGCCCCGGAATTAAAACTTTTAACATTAGAAAGTAATATGTTTTAGTTATCAGTGAAATTCACTTTACTTACTACCTCACACTAGGTAAGAGCTACTTACTACACATACAGTAAACTCCACTACATCAAGCTCAGACAGTTGTTACAGTATCTGCTTTTGATCCAAAAGGAACAGATGAGTTTTTCTGAAGAGGCTTTTTTGGATATCTAGGTGTCTCCCCAAGATCATCTGTGCCGCATGCTTCATCAAAATAAGAAATAAAGACAACTTGTACTAACTATGTTAACAATGACATGCTAGTTTTTAAAAAGCTGTACTGAAATTGGCAAAACACTGGAATGGCAACATCCCTTGTATCAATGAATAAAGTTATTACAGGTATCTTAAGTAATTGAGACATCAATGATAATACAGTGGAAAGAAGTGTGTCCTTTTCTAAAATGCAATTCTGGAGAGTCAACCAATAAAATAGACAACGGGTAGGGGAAAATAAAAGCTGATCTTGAAAAATGGTCTTAAAGGAGACTATTAGTATAAAACTACATAGTGTAGTATCTCACTCCATGTTAATGGAAAGAATACTGACATTGAAAATCTAATCAAATACAACTGTGATACATTTAAATGTCATAAAATAGATAACATTGTAATCATGATAGTTTATATTAAATCTCACAACAAAGATTGAAGAGATGTTCTTAATTCAAAGAAAGTAATAAAACTATGTCCACAAATCACATCTCTCTATTTATATCTTTTATACAAGGCTTATATGTGAGAACACTAAAAAATCTCAAAATACCCTAATTAAACCAGATATTAATTTATACCTCAGAGGTTAGCTATATTACTGCATTAAAAATAAAAATTATCCTAACTCTGGAAAATGTGAGAGTAGGGGCATGGAATGAACAGGTTTTAACTCATAATGAGGAATAAGATTATAACAGCAATTATATTTCTGTTAAATGCATGGACGAAAAAGGTACCAACTGTGTCTAATTACAGATACAAGATCTTTCCCCTCTGCTTTTACATTTTAACTTACTTTCCACGTTGTCTTCAATAATTTCTTCAATTATCACATCAGGGCTAGATCCCATCTGAGGTAACACAGCAATGGTTTTAGGGGATGCTGTTGCAACGTCTTTCTGTGGCTGGAAGTTTTTTGCTTCTAAATGTACATCATTTGTCTCAGGTTGCAAAGGAGGTGGTGGTGCTTCACTGGTTAGGACAGACATGTCAACCTTTTTCTTTTCTAGCGGTGGGTATGTATCGTAACAAGAAAGTTCCTTTTTGTTATTATATTTCTTTTGAACATTCTGTCTAATTTCATTTTCTTGGGGATAACATCTGTTTAAAAATACAGAGATATAAGCTATGAATACAGAGGTATATGGTACAACCATGAATAAGTCACTAGAAACTCCCACCATGGACATTAATCTGAATCTTTTGGGCATGATTATTCAATAGCCACTGACCCACTGCCAGTTATTTATCCATTCTACTCCATATTTTTCTATTTTCTCCACATATCCAGACAGTTTTTAGGCTATCAAATCTACAAGTATAGAAATTTTACAATGAGATAAGATTGGGTTTCATGAAGTTTATATTTTAGTTATTCCATGATGGATTTAGCTTCTTCACAGATCAGTGTTTAAGAAGCCACTGTGGAAATAACGATCAACAAAGCCAACTGGATTTAGCAATGATGCATGTTTATCTGCCTCTTCCAACAGAGGACATACATTTAACTAAGTAAAATTGATATATGTTGAAGTCCAAACAACTGAGAGTCATATATATGTACACGACCTTGCAATCTAAATGTCTCTTTTCATAACAATTCTTATTAGACCTGAGACATGCAACATTATTAATCAGCTCCGGTGTCATAAACCTCTGCTTTGACTTATACAACACCACTTCTGTTCTCCTTCAACTTCTGTCTGCTCCTTCTCAAGTTTTTTTTTTACAGATTACCCTTTCTCTGCTTTAAATTTTAGTATCCTTCCAGGGTATTGTCCTTGACCTGTTTGAATACCTGCTCTTACTGTGCAAACCCATGGTTTAACTACCATTTGTAATCAGTACATGCAGGTTATACTAATACTTTCCCTAAAAACTAGGAAAAAATTTAAAAGGCAGCTCTCAGAGTTAAATTTAAAGTAGAAGATCAGTACAGATGCTTAAAGAGGCAGAATAGTTTTTAGTGTCTTAGAAATGCGGATAGTAACCATATTCAAGTTGTGAAAATGTCAAAAAGAACATATTGATTGCAAAGGTTGTTGATTATCCATGTAAGCATAAAGTCAAGTCACAGCAGTAAATATGGGGCAGGGCTCTCCCAAGCATGGAGAAAGATGACTGAGCCGAAGGACTGGTATTCCACTTCCTCTGGCAAGGTCTTCCCTCTGATGGAGAGGAATCTAATCAGCTATCTTAGCCTAATTCTGTTAACCTATCTGATTAATTTTATTCCCTTTATTCAAAAAAGATTACCAAAAAAGTAACTTCTGACAAGTTAGCTCCTCAGTTCTAGTCCCTGTTCACAATTATATTTATCCATTAAGTTAACAAACTGGCATTTTGACTACACATCAGTTTTGTGACCTTGGTTTATATGAATTTACCTGGCTTAGAGTATACATCATCCTATGTGCTTCTGAAATGGTAATACTGTGAGCCAGACTAATTTGTTCCCTAAGGTAACAAATGCGTTGCTTTTCTCAGGGGACCATTTCCATTGGAGACAATCCACCTACAATGAAAGAACTTATTTCTCTTTTGGTGGTTTCTACATCTATATTCTGATTACTCCTAAACCCAGAATCAAGACCAAGATCTCTTAAGTTTCAGCATTCATATCCAATTAAGCTGTACACATTTCTCTCCAGAAAGCTGGTAAACAGTAAGTACTCAACATACTATCTTCCCCCTCCCAACTTACTTTGCTTCCTGTATTCCTAATCTTGATGAATACCACAATCCATCGACTTAGTCACCAAAGCGTAACAAACCATTGATGATGCTTCCCTTTTCCTCATGCCTCACGTTCAAGCATTACTGAGTTTTATTAATTTTCCCTATTTTGCATTTGTCATATCTATTCTCAGTCCCTATCCAGTGCTATTAGTTAAGTTTTAGTTCTCATGAGTTGCTGAGTCTACTGATATGATGGCCTAAGTGATCCTTCAGCCTTCACTGTCATCCTCTTACGCCAAATAATCCCCCAAATGGCCATCAAAATTATCCCTAAAAAATGTAATCTAATAATTTTTACTTTCATGCTTAAAACCTTTTAGTGGCTTTCTACTCCCTAGAACTATACTGTACAACAGAACTTTTGGTGATAATAGAAATATGCCACATTGTCTAATATAGCAGTGCTTTGGTCTAAATGTTTCAAAATTCATGTTGAAACTTAATTCCCATTGTGGTGACATTAAGAGGTGGGGCCTTTGGGGAAATTAATGATCAAGCAATGAGGGCTCTGCCCTCATGAATGGATTTGTGCCTTACAACAAGTCTGGAGGGAACTAGCTTATGCCCTTTTTTGCTCTTCTGCTCTTCCACCTTGTGAAGATAGTTATTTGTCCCTTTTATGCTCTTCCATGCTTTCTGCCATGTGAGGACACAGCATTCAAAGTGCTATCTTAAAGCAGAGATCAGGGCCCTCACCAGAAACCAAATCTGCCAGCATTATGATCTTGGGCTTCTCAGCCGCCAGAACTGCAAGCAAATAAACACCTGTTCTTTATGAGTTACAGAAGAATAAACAACATCTGTTCTTTTTAAACTTTGTTATAGCAGCACAAATAGAATAAGACAGGTAGTCACTAACGACATGTGGCTACTGAGAACTTGAAATGTGGGCTAATGGAACTGAGGAACTGGATTTTAATTCTATTTAGTTTTAATTAATTTATGTTTAAATTTAAATAGCTACATGTGATTAGTGGCTACTATACTGGACAGCATGGATCATAAGGTTCAAACATCATCAGACAGCATACAAAGTCTTTAAGACTTAGCATCTATGTATCCTTGGGGACATAGAGAATGGAATTATATACACCATTCCCTGAACCTAGCATGCTATTTCACTGCCCATATATTCACTGCCTATAAGATGCATACTTCCTTTTTCTCCTCCTTTCTACTTGCTACTTAATTTTAATAGATAAGGGAAAAGAAAATATCTTTCCAAGTCCTGTTACCCCAGTAAGAACTGATCATTCCCTTGCTTGGCACCTCAAGTAAATTCTGCATACATTACCCTAGCAATTATGCATTTTATTGTTTGCATGTCCTTCTTCCTCTACTTATTGTAATTTCTCGGACATTTATCTCAATATCTAGGGTGTTAGTGCCTAGCAGTGTTCAATGCTTGCTGACTGAATCAATCTCAAAGATAACTTCGACATGTATATTGCTGAATACTGATCCCTTCTAGGCCTTTTAAAAAACATTATATGTAGAATTTAACTATAGAAACTATTTTGCCCTTTATTTTTCAGCTTTTGAATTACACTAAACATCAATTCTTCTGTCTCTTAGATAATGTAAGTACTGTCAGACACTAATGGCATGTTACCATGCTTATAAATACTTACTTTGTTGAGTCCCTAAATTCAATCTTTCCCATATTGTTGAACATACAGATGATCTCACTGCAATTCACACTCAACCTATAATAAAACATTAACATATACATAAATGTTCTAATACAAATGTATCATGTTCTCTAGACAAAAATCAATTGCTGACATTAATGAATTGAAAAGGAAACATTTAAATAACTTTCTAAGTTAGCACAAATTACACTTATCTTAATTTGGTTACTAACTTAGTAAACATTTGTGACCCAAAATTTCAATTTATTATTACTTGCTATTTTAATACATTTAAGTTCCAGCACATCTTTATACTTGTTATGGTCTCCTGAACTATGACTTACTTACCTGGGAGGGTTCCTTAGTTGTGGAGAACTAACTTGTGCTAATTCACTATCTGAAGTTAACTGCAAAGTCCGGATAATCTAGAATTTAAAAAAAAAATCATTCATGTGTGAATCTTGTCACAAATATTGCTGAACAGTAAGATTTTAGAAAGAAAACTGTATCTTTTAGGTATTTCATTAATTATTGCATTCAGGCTCAATTTGGGGCACTCAAAGGGATACAAATAAGTGTTTATGACTTTTGGAGATATGTATAAAAGGTAACAATAGACACTAAGAAATAGGATAGAGCTACATGATCAGAGAAAACTCGATCAGATTCATTTTGCAACTGTGCTGCTATCTTCAAGAGTTTTCTCCCTTTCTGCCCTATTTTCTTAGCTAGATTAACTAGGATAAAGACCAAATTTTATCATTTTTTTCATCACCTAGTGTTGCACGTGTAATACACAGGAAACAACTATTATTGTTTTAGAACTAAAGCCTGGGACACCTAGCCAAGTAGGGTCATGGCAAATTGTCCTTTCATTTAACGTTAGAGACTTTGGAGGCAGGTAAACTAATGGCTTCTCTTCTATACACCTGATTATCCACGGGAAGTGAGATCCTGAAGATTCAAAGATGACTAAAGCAAAACCTATACCCTTAGGGAGTGAGGCAGAAGTCAGCAAAGATCTGTGATTAATCTTGTCCTGTCAAAGTATAAGAAACTTTTGTTTTTTTGCCCAATTCTACCCCTCAGGCACATGATTAGATGATAGGAGATGGCTGAAGCTGTCTCTTGACTTGCACAATTTGGAATGGAATTGGAAGAGAAAAACTTGACTAGGATTTTGAATTAAATTTTAACGTTAAGAGTTGACAGCCACACCTAAATTGTTTATGTGAACAAAATAGAGTCCTATTCAGTTTGCTACCCTTATTTGTCCTCATTTTTTTAATCGGGTGTCCTAGAAACCTAAACTTTCACCTCAATGTCACCTTACTTGCTCTCAGATCAAGTGTTACAAAGACTTAATTGCACCATTTCCCTAACTGGTCAAAAAAAACAAAAGGTCATATAAATTTTACAATGTTTGTCTTAGATTTCATACATTATTTTATTATAACTTAGACTATCCTAACCTATATTGTCATCAATTTAGAATTCTAAATAATAATATAGGTTAGGATAATCTGAAAAACAAATTCTTGTCTTAAATATATTCCAAAGCATGTAAAATAAGCTACCACAGAAATAACTCACATTGTGAACTATTAAATTACCTGATTCAGGTCACAGTATGTTCTTAGAGAAGGCGATAATTGTAATGCTCTTGCTATGTTCATAGCTGCATTCAAATTATTTTTTTTCTCTTCAATGTAGCTTTTAGCCTTTATTAAATTTGATAGATAATCATCAGTAGTTCTTGCAAATTCTTCACACAGGTTCTTTTTCCTTCATTTAAGATTCCAAAGTTATTTTGCAGTATTTCATAAATATTTATAGAAAAAGTCGATCTATAGTATCTTGAAGAGTAAGTTCAGTAGTTGATGAATTTTACATAATATGGTTAAATGAGGCAAACAGTAACTGAACTGTATCTGAAAGGGTACTTTCACTTGTTGATAAAATTAACATATAACATGGTAAATGAGGCATTAAATTGAACTGAAATGTATTATAGTTAAAAGCTATGTATACATAATTAGAGAAAAGCAAATTTTGTGGAAGGCAGGAGATTATAAGTAGAGACATACAATAGACCATCTAAGGCCTGGAGGAGAATCTGAGCTCAGACTCTTTAGGACATTAAGGCATATAAAAGCAGTTATATATACAGGGGAATTGAAAAAGCCACACTGAGGCCCAGGCAAGATGCATGCTCAGAAAACATCTGAGAAGATCTTAAGCCTGACCTCAGGCTGATCTCAAGGCTCAGGGCACACACAACCACTCAGTGAAGGACTGTTACATCAAGAGCCAGTCTGCAAAGACAAGGGAAGGCAGCTATTTTCTCAAATGCCCAATTTCAACAAAAATACCACAAGGCACACCAAGGAACAGAAAAACATGACCCATTCAAAGGAAGAAAACAGAATGGTAAAAACAGTTCTCAAAGAAGCACAGGCGTTGGACTCAATAGGCTTAAAACAACTGTCTTAAATATGCTTAAACAGCTCAAGAAAAATATGGACAAAGAACTAGAGAATAATCAGAAAAATGATCTAGGGGACAAAATGATAATATCAACATAGAGAAATTATATAAAATAACCAAACAGAAATTCCATAGATTGTATTGAAAAATACAGTAATTGTAATTTTAAAAAATCCACCAAAGGTTCTACTGCAGATTTGGACAGGCAGAAGGAAAGAACGAGCCAACTTGAATATAGGACAATTAAAATAATGAAGCCTGAAAAAAATAAAAACAACAATGAAGAGAAGTAAACAGAGTCTAAGGTACTTGTGAGTCACTATCAAGCAGACTAATGTATGCATTATAGGAATCACAGGAGAAGAGAGAGACAAAGAGACAGAAATTATTTGAAGAAATAATGGCAAAAAACCTTCCAAAATTTGATGAGACATGAATCTATAAATCTAAGAGCTCAAGGAACTCCAACTGCTGAAGGACACAGAGAATCCTGAAAGCTGCAAGAAAAATGCAATTTGTCAAGTACAAGGGATCCTCAATAATATTATCTGCAAATTTCTCAGCAGAAACCTTGGAGGCCCGAAGACAATGTATATTTACAGCACCAAAAGAAAAAAAGCTGTCAAAGTATTCTTCAAAAGTGAAGGAGAAATTAAAATATCCCCAGATAAACAAAAGCTGAGGGAGTTCATTACCAGTAGACTTTCCCTATAAGAAATGCTAATGAAAGTGCTTCACGTTAATGTGAAAGAAGGCTATGCAGTAACTCAAAGCCATACAATGATAAAAATATCTCTGGTAAAGGTAAATACATGGGCAAACATAAAAACCAATATTAGTGTAATTTTAATTTATAATTCTACTTTTTATTTTCTACAGAATTTAAAGGACAAATACGTAAAATATCAATCTATCTTAACAGGTATACAATATAGAGGAATGTAATTTGTGACATCGAAAAAATAAAGGGGGGCAGATTTGTAAAGCAGTAGAGGTTTTATATGCAACTAAAGTTAAGCTGTCTACTACTCAAAACAGATTGTTATAACTTCAGGATGTTATATGTAATCCTTATGGGTAACCATAAAAACTATTTACAGACTATGCACAAAAAGAAATGAGAAAGGAATCAAAATTTGTGACTACAAAAGAAAAAAATCAAGTAAACACAAAGAAAGGCAGTAATGGAGGAAATAAGCAACAACAAATAAGCCATAAAACATACAGAAAACAAACCAAATGGCAAAAATACTTCCTTATCAGTATTTTAAGTGTAAATAAATTAAACTCTCTAATCCAAAGGCACAAATCTGAAGAATGGATAAAAAATATGACCCAACTATATGCTGCCACAAAAATTTCACTTTAGGTCTAAAGACATATAGAGGTTGAAAATGAAAGGATGGAAAAAGATAATACATGCCGATAATTTAAAAAGCTGGGGTGGCTCCACAAATTTTAGGCAAAATAGACTTTAATGTAACAATTATAAGCATATATGCACCAATATTAGAACCCCAAAACATATAAAGCAAACATTTGCAGAATTAAAGGGAAAAATAGACATGTCTACAATAATCATTAGAGACTTCAATATCTCCCTTCCAATAATGGATAAAACAACCAGTGTAGAATCAATAAAGCAATAAATTACTTGGACAACACTATAGACTGATTGGACCCAACAGACATATTTAGAACACTATACCCAACAACATGAGGATAAACATTTTTCTCAAGTGTGCATGTAACATTTTGAGACAGAACATATGTTAAGACCATGCTGACTAATGTTTAATGTTCATTAACATTTATTAGTAAGTCTTAATAAACTTAAAGATTGAAATCCTACAAGGTATCTTTTCTGACTACAATGGAATGACCTAGAAATAACAGGAAAAAAACCCCGGAAGATTCATAAACATGTAAAAATAAAACAATATGCTCCTAAATCCCAATGGGTCAAAGAATAAATCACAAGGGAAATTAGGAAATTATCTGGGGCAAATGAAGCAAGAACACAAAATTTATGGGATGCAATGAAAGCAATGCTGAGGGAAATTTATAGCTGTAAATACTCACATTTAAAAAGGAGCTCGCAAATGAACAACCTAACGATATACCATAAGTAACTAGAAAAAGACCAAACTAAACTCAAAGCAGAAGGAAGGAAATAAAGGAGAAGAGAAGAGATAAATACACAACAAAGAAAAATGAAAGCAAAAGTTTGACTTCAAGATTAGAATTAAACCTATAGTCACACTAAGAAAAGAGAATCAGGCCAGGCGTGATGGCTCACACCTGTAATCCCAGCACTTTGGGAGGCCGAGGCAGATGGATCACAAGGTCAGGAGATCGAGACCATCCTGGCTAACACAGTGAAACCCCATCTCTACTAAAAATACAAAAAAAATTAGCTGGGCGGGTGGCAGGTGCCTGTAGTCCCAGCTACTCAGGAGGCTGAGGCAGGAGAATCACTTGAACCCGGGATACAGAGGTTCTGGTGAGCCGAGGTCGCGCCACTGCACTCCAGCCTGGGTGACAGAGCGAGAATCCATCAAAAAAAAGGAAAAAGAATCAAATTACTATAATCAGAAATAAACTGGGTACATTACTATCAATTTTACACAAATAAAAAGGATTAAAAGGCTATTATGAACAACTGTACACAAATTATATAACTAGGTGAAACAGACAAATTTCCAGGAACACATAACCTATCACAACTGACTCATAAAAGTATTAAAAAATCTGTACAGACATGACTAAGGAGATAGAATGAGTAATCAAAAAACCTCCCAACAAAGTTTAGCCTTAGACCAGACAGCTTTACTGGTAAATTGAACCAAACATGTAATAATCAACACCAATCCTCCTCAAACTCTTCCAAAATACTTGAAGGGCAGAAACGTTCCCTAACTCACTCTATGAGGCCAAAACTACCCAAAACCACATAAAGAAAACTGTAGAGCAGTATCATTTATAACTATTGATAGAAAGTCCTCAGACAAACTAGCAAACCAAATTCAACAGCATAGTAAGAGAATTATACACCATGACCAAGTGGGATTTATTCCTGGAAAGCAAGGATAGTTCAACATACAAACATTAACATGTGATTGATGTAACATACCACATTAAAAGAAAAAAGCAAAAAGCCCAAGTGGTTTCTCAATTGATGCAGAAAAAGGACCTGACATAATTCAACACAATTTCATGATAAAACCACTCAAACTAGAAGATGACTACCTCACTATAATAAAGACCCTATATGGAAAAACCCATAGTGAACATGATATTCAATGGTGA
Organism: Homo sapiens; assembly: GCF_000001405.40. Classification (NCBI taxonomy): domain Eukaryota; kingdom Metazoa; phylum Chordata; class Mammalia; order Primates; family Hominidae; genus Homo; species Homo sapiens. The sequence continues at coordinate 24,783,976 of NC_000013.11, read as the reverse complement.
AGACTGAAAGCTTTTCTTATAACATTAGGCACAAGACGTACCTGCTTTTGCTACTTCTGTGCAACACAGTAATGAAAGTTCTAGCCAAAGCAATTAGACAAGAAATAAGGTTTTCGAATTGGAAAGGAAGAAGTAAAATCATCTTTTTGTAGGAAGTAAAATATTTTATTTGCAGATGACATGATCATACATGCAGAAAACCCTAAAGATGCCATAAAATAATACTAAAGCTAATAAATGCATTCAGCAAAAAAGTAGGACACAAAAATCAATATAAAAATAAGGTGTGTTTCTACACAGTAACAATGAATAATCCCAAAAGAAAATTAAGGAAATAATCCCTTTTACAATAGCATCAAAAGAAAGAAAATACTTAAGAATAAACAAAGGAGGTGAAAGACTTGTATATGAAATTGCTGAAAGAAATTAAGACACAAATAAATGAGAAGACATCCCATGTGCATAGATTGGAACACTTAATATCATTAATATGTCAATACTGCACAAAGTGATCTACAATTCAATGCAATCCCTAACAAAATCTCAATGACATTGTTTTGTGAAAATTGAAAAGTCCATCTTAAAAGTCCTATGAAATCTTAAGAGACCCTGAGAAACAATCTTGAAAAGGAACAAAGTTGTAGGACTCACACATTCTGATTTTAAAACTTACTACAAAACAACAGTAGTCAAAACAGCATGGTACTAGCATAAGGAAAGACATACAGAACAACGGAATAAAACAGAAATCCCAGAAATAATCCTTCACATATATGGTGAGCTCATTTTTGACAAGGGTGCCAAGAACATTCAGTGGGGGAAAGGACAATCTTTTCAACAAATAGTGCTGGGAAAACTGGATATCCAACTCAAAAGGATGAAGTTGGATCCTTACCTTATGCCATACACAAAAATTAACTAAAGATGGATCAAAGATCTAAATGTGAGAACTATAAAACTCTTAAAAGAAAACACAGGGAAAAGGCATCATGATGTTAGATTTGGCAGTGATATCTTGAATATGACACCAAAAGCACAAGAAACAAAAGAAACAATAAACTGGACTTCATAAAATTAAAAACTTTTGTGGATCAAAGGACATTATCGAGAGAGTGAAAAGACAACTTACAAATGGGAGAAAATATTGTAAGTCATATAGACAAAAATTTCATATTCAAAATATACAAAGAATTGCTATAACCCAATAGCAACAATTGGGCTCAAGCAATCCTCCCACCTCAGCTTCCCATGCAGCTGGGACTACAGAAATGCACACAATGCCTGGTTGATTTTTTTTTGTTTTGTACAGATGGAGTCTCGCTGTGTTGCCCAGACTGGTCTCAAACTCCTGAGCTCAAAGATCCCCCCCCCATCTCAGCCTCCCAAAGTGAGCTTAGACAGGATGATCACCATGTAATCCTACAGGTGTAAGCCACCACACCTGGCTCAAGCTTGTTTACTTTAACAGTTAACAGCTTCAGCTGGGCACCGTTATGTACACCTGTAATCCCAGCACTTTAGGAGGCTGAGGCAGGATGATTTCTTGAGGCCAGGAGTTTGGGAAAAGCATGGACAATGTAGTGAGACCCTTGTCTCGGAAAACAAAACAACAACAACAAAAAAAAAACACAAAATTAGCTGGATGTAGTGGTGTGGGCTTGTAGTTCCAGCTACTTTGAAGGCTGAGGTGGCAGGATCACTTAAGCCCAGGAGTTTGAGGCTGCAGTGAGCTATTATCACACCATTGCACCCCAGCCTGGGCAACAGAGCAAGACCCTGTCTCAAACAAACCACCATTAGCTTCAGCACCAGAAGGTAAATAGGCAAAATTTTTAAAAGCTTACACATTATTTTTCATTTTGCAGTTCTAAAGATCAGTCTGTAGGGACTACCAACTTCCAAACTTGTTTGAAAGTTACCCATTACAAACTTGTTTAAAAGTTACCCATTACCATTCTAAACAAAGGAATACAATGACAAGTTAGTGTTAGAAACTTCAGTTTCATTGAGTCCATATTTTTAAGTTACTAACCTGGAATCAAAAAAAGCCAAAAGTTGGTCAAACTGTTTCTCCACAACTTCTATAACTCTTTCTCTTTCCTCTATCGTTTGCTTCTGCATGTGTTCAAGTGCCTGGAAAAAAAAAAAACAAGACAAAAACTTAATTTGGGAATTTTTATTTTGTAGAAGTTGTAGAATTTTGAAAGTAAAAGGTACTTTCTAGACTCTTCAAAATAACACAAGAGGTAAAGAGATAATAATATAAATAGAATAAGTCACAAGGTTCAACATTAAGTTTTACTATTTGTGAGCAAGACCATATCTTTTTGTTTGTTTTACTGAGACCAGGTCTCACTTGGTTACCCAGGCTGGAGTGCAGTAGGCTGAGCATAGCTCACTGTAACCTTGAACTCCTGGGCTCAAGGGATCCTCCTGCCTTGGCCTCCTGAGTAGCAATGACCACAGGCACGTAGCCCCATGTCCAACTAATTTTTTTTTTGGTGGTGGGGAGGAACAAAGTCTCATTATGTTGCCCCGGCTGGTCTCAAACTCCTAGCCTCAAGTGATCCTCCTGCCTTGGCCTCCCAAAGCACTGGGATTACAGGTGTGAGCCACCACACCTGGCCTTACTGGCATTTTCTACTGATAATGTGGCAACAAGACCTAAAAAAAATCCACTGATGAGTGTACTAAATTTTTTTCTTTTCATCATTACAGGAAACAAGTCATTTTAAGTAGCTGAATTTCTCTTTGATAGGACCCCGTGGATTAAAAAAAAAACCGTAGAAACCATACTTGAATTAAAATGTTAAGTATTACACAATCTTAGTATTTTTGAAGTTTTAAGTATTGTTGCTTAGATCCATGACCCCTTCTTTCCTTCTGATTCTTCCAATTTAGAATGGGAATGTGGAATGTCTATCTTATTCCTGTTTCACCAATGTATTTTAGAAGCAACTAAGTTCTTGTCTCGTTTCACAGGCTCATAGTGGAAATGAATTTTGCCCTAGGATGAATCGTATATCGAGTCTTCACCCATACCTAACTTAGAAGGTGAGATTTTAATTTTTATTAATTTTTAATTTTTTTTTTTGGAAACGGAGTTTTACTCCATCAACCAGGCTGAAGTACAGTGGCACGATCTTGGCTCACTGCAACCTCCGTCTCCCGGGTTCAAGCGATTCTCATGCCTCAGCCTCCCCAGCAACTGGAACTACAGGTGGGTGCCACCATGCCCGGCTAACTTTTGAATTTTTAATAGAGATGGGGTTTAGCCATGTTGACAAGGCTGGTTTTGAACTCCTGACCTCAAGTGATCCACCTGCCCTGGCCTCCCAAAGTGCTGGGATCACAGGCATGACCAAGTGAGCCTGCCCAGAAGGTGAGATTTTTATATTTACAATTGATGCTGGAATGGGTTAAACTTTTGGGGGTGTCAGGATGGGGTGAATGTATCTTGCATGGAGAAGGACATGAATACTGAGGGCTAGAGAACACTCTGTTTTTAGTTGGATTGTGTCCCCACTATCCCAAATTCAGATACTGAAGTCCTAACCTCCAGTTAATTTACCACTGATTTGCTCTTCTCCACTATATCTGGTACTAAGTATTGCTTATCACAGGTGACATTATTTTTTCCCCTTTTCTCTCAATGTTGTTTTTTTCTCTCATAACTCTTCTATTACTTTTATCGTATTTCTCATTCCTCTTGAGAAATGACTTTTGATAGTGACCCTTAGCCAATCAAAAATGTCATGTCCTTCTATGCAAAAAAGCAGCCACAACATAATCAGCTATAACCTTTTGAACTCCTTAATTGTAAATTTTGTTGCTAGGTGCTGAAGAACTTGTTTTGTGTCACCAAATGAGAGAGTCTCTTTTGGAAGGTGGAGTAGGAAGAGAGAAAGAGACTCACTAAGGGGGATACAGCCAAACAATCAGCAAATGTTGAAAAGATAATCTGCAATGCTTCTGAGACAAAATTCAGCTCATAGCAAGGAGAAGTCATGGTTCCTTATTAAAGCTGGAATTTTATTAAGTTCCTAGCACAACAATGTTACAAGACCAATCTTGGCAGGCTATGGGAAAAGTTTTCCATTCTTTTTTAGATTATCATGCTTAATAACTCAGTGCTAAGCTCTAACCTCAGTGGTAACATCTCCAAATGTACACACTTAAAGAGGACATGCTTCACTTCATGATAGAATTTAATCCTGCAAAGTGCTTACTTTTCCAGCAATGCTTAACTGTTCGAAACTATGGTGTGCTGTATTCAATGCTTCATCAATTTCTTCTGCAGTATTAGTGTCCTAAGAAGGGAGGGAAATCACATACAAATATAAAACTAAAAAACAGATGCCTAGACATATATATATTATAGTTGCAAAAAATTCAGGCTACCGTTTTGGTTACAAAAGCAACATAGACTCACTACAGAAAAGTGAAAACAAGCAACAAAAATAACATTCAATCCTGCTAACCTGGAGATAAAAACCATTCATATTTTAGAGCTTTAGTTAGACCATTCCAGATTTTTTTCATAAAGATATTTTTTTAAATGGGATAATGCCCTGTAATTACCTTTTCAACTTAAAACTACCTTGAACAATTTATCATGGCAATACATGTATACATATAAAAATTATAAACAGTTCTTAAGGAAAAAAAGATTATAATTTGACTCCATTAAGATTTACACTTGAAGGAAAAGTCAGCAAGATTAAGTGCTTTCTCCCCTTCCCCAGCCCATTAATGATTTTTTTTTCTTTTTATTTTTTTTTTGAGACAGAGTCTCACTGTTGCACAGGCTGGAGTGCAGTGATGCTATCTCTGCTCACTGCAACTTCTGCCTCCCAGGTTTAAGAGATTCTCATGCCTCAGCCTTGCGAGTAACTGGAATTACAGGTGTGCACGACCACAGCACCACACCCAGCTAATTTTTGTACTTTTAGTAGAGATGGGGTTTCGCCATGTTGGCCAGGCTGGTCTTGAATTCCTGGCCTCAAGTGATCTACCCATCTTGGTCTCCCAAAGTGCTGGGATTATAGGCAGGAGCCACTGCACGTGGCCTCCATTAATGATCTTAACACAAAAACTTAATATCATTTTGGAGTTTGTTCTATTTCTAATCTTAATACATTATTTAAAGTTATCAGGAGTAGATAAAAGGTAAAACTCTATCTTCAGCAATAACATTAACAACAACAAACATAATTAGGCCTTTTGGTTGCCATTAAAATAAGTGAAAAATCACATTTAAAATTTAAAAACTCATGCTTTACATGTTTCACAGAACCTGGATTCAATAACTAGTTTCAAAGGGAAGAAGCTACACACAGGTAAATATCAAGAACTTTGAAACAGAGTCAGTCAAAGGTAGAACAGGCTGCCTTGGAAGAAAAGAGAACTGTCTAAGCATAGAACAAAAGAGATTCAAGTAAGAGGGTGGGTTAACTTGTTACGTATAAACTTCCAAAAGAATCTATAATTATAGGAGAAGAAAGTTGAGCTACTAGAGACAAAGTCAAACGTTTGCCTTCATCGTACTTCATGACCAATATGTTTCATACCAACATTACAGCTGATGAGTTCAAAAGAGTCTTGTCTGTGGAGGCTGAACGTTCTAAACCAGTAGTTAGCTGATCAGCAGTCTTCTTAAAGTCCTGAGAACAATTCTTTATCCTGAAAAGTATCAAGTATATTATTTTATTTTTTGTGACAGGATCTTTCTCTGTCACCCAGGCCAGAGTGCAGTGGCACCATCATGGCTCATGGCAGCCTCGACTTCCCAGGCTCCAGCGATCATCCCACCTCAGTCTCCCAAGTAGCTGGGACCATAGGCATGTGCCACCACACTCGGCTAATTTTTGTATTTTTTGTAGAGATGAGATTTCAAAATGCTGTCCAGGCTGGTCTCAAAATCCTAAGCTCAAGTGATCTACCCACCTCGGCCCCCCAAAGTGCTGGGATTATAGGTGTGAGCCACTGTGCCTGGCCCACGTACATTATTTTAAATACCAATATTACCTCATCAATCAATGTAATGGTTTTAATCTTCTATTCAGATTTTACCATAAAAAATAATTCATATAATGACTTATAAGAACATGTACAGTGAATTACCAATTAACCATAAGTGGGAAGAGAGAAACCATGAGGAAATATGCTTTCATACAAATTTTAATTTTAAAAAATTCCAAAAATAATGGCTTATATATTGTGTTTTAATTTCTTAATTACTGGTCCTTACGTGGTATTTTTTGGTACAGATGTTGATAATCAATGAAATGTGATAAGCTCACCAATTAAGTAAGTGTTTATATATACAAATGCCAGCTATTAAAAAGAAGGTACTTAACAAGTCTGGAGAATTAAAAAAAGGTAATGAATTTAACTAAGCAAGTTAATTGCAAAGAAAAAGTTAGTTGCATTCTCTAGTCTATAGAAGCCAGAGTTTTATTTATTATCTGTTTTAGAGATGGGGTCTCACTGTGTTGCCCAGGCTGGTCTCGAACTCCTGGACTCAAGTGATCCTCCCACCTCAGCCACCCAAAGTGCTGGAATTAAAGGCATGAGCCATCATGCCCAGCTATTTTTATCTTTGTATCACCATATTGGCTAGCACACAGTAACTAGTGTTTGCTGAGTTAATCATCAGCTTACAGCTTATGGGGAAAATATGATGTTTAAATGTTACAGAGAAAAAATACTACACCAAATAATTTTTAAACATTCTATTCTTTGAAAAGTGAATATTCATGTTCTTAAAAACATGAGTGCATTAGCCCTGAGGATTCCATTACTGAATTCCTGTTTCAAAATATTAAAGACAAATCAGTAAATGAGTCAAGGATTACTATAATTTAAAAATATACAACCATTTTAAAACCAAACTGTACCTTAGAGAATAGCAGTTTCTAAAATAGATATAATTGACATAAATTTAATTTTTAAAATGGTTATTTGGAACAAATTTGGGTACTTTCTGGTTAGGATGGATTCATATACCTCTGAAAGTAAAATTTCACTTTGCAACTCTAACAGACATTATACATATATAGATAAGAGTACATCCTGGTTTGACTGGCATCATGTGTCAGAAAATTTCACACACAAGTACAGATCTCGAGTTTGTCTTGAGAAAAAAAAGATGTGGCAACATTGGGTTTGTCTTAATACATACTAATAACTGGCTACAGCTGAGTAGGAACTGCCTCCTTCAGAGGGGGTGAGCCCTCGTCATCTACCGCAAACCTCACCACTCATTGTTTAAACTCAGTCGACCTCACCCAGTAAGTTAACTGCTTAATTCGTGTAGGTGTTCAAATTTGGGAGCCCTAAATTTGATAAAAATGGCTACTCCATGGGGACTCACGATGAGCCAGAATGATTCTAAAAGATCTATCCTAATAACTCTACACATATCTCATGGAGGAAGTGACCAGTGGTATAGGAGTTGGGAGCAGTACTGGTATTCAATAAACCTAGGTTTACATTCTGGTTCTGTGAATAACCAGCTGTCAGACTTTAGCTAAGTGGTTTTACTACCCAAGCAAATGGCTAAAACCATTCTTTTGTTTTTTTATAAGTACTCATTTAGGTCTGCAAAGAGAAGCTACGGTGGTAATGTGAAGTGCCAGGAATTCTACACTGAATAATTTTGAGTTTTAATTGAATACTTAATGAACAACTATAGCATTAAGGAAGAGTCTGACAAGGAGCTACACAAAATAACATGAGAATTAAATAAGGCAGTAGAAATGAAGATAGGTTATGGACATAGGAGATACTATAGAAGTCAGAATCTGCAGGAGGTAAAATGAATGTAATAGAAGGAACTAGAGTGATTTATAAATACTTGGTGCCATTAACAAAATTGGAAAGTTCCACATGAGATTTTTCCTTGAAAGAATCCTATTTTTTATTTCTTGCATAGTCTACTTACCATATTAAATATGCTTAGAAAGTTTAGTTATATACAAATTACCATCTGAGTACAGTTCCAGGAAATTGATCAGAAGATCCTTTAACACTTAAAAAGCTGCAAAAATCAAACATGTACTGTAATAAACATTACATGTTTACTCTGTGTCCCAAACCAGAGATATAAAGGGGAATAAAATGTGGTCCATTCCCTTAAAGGGGCTTACAGACTAGCAGGAAAAGACATACAGAAGCATTAGTAATTAAGTGAAATAGTCAGTAACATAGATACTCATCTCTGGCTGGGTGTATTTAAAAAGATATTACTAATTCAAAAAGAGAATCTATTAATGCATACATGTATAAAGTCTTATACAACAATGGAAAAATGAATAAAAGAACCCCAAAGGTATTATTTTTCCTTTTATAAATCACTTCTCAAACCAACTCTTCACAAAGTCTTCCATTGTACTATACTTGCACTACTTTTAAGAATCAAGAGAAGCTGGGTGCAGTGGCTCACGGCTGTAATTCCAGCACTTTGAGAGGCTGAGGCAGAAGGATCACTTAAAGCCAGGAGTTTGAGACCAGCTTGGGCAACACAATGAGACTCCATGCCTACAAAAAAATTTAAAAATTAGCTGTGCATGGTGGTGCATGCCTGTAGTCCTAGATACTCCAAAGGCTGAGGTGAGAGGCTAGCTTGAGACCAGGAGTCTGAGGCGGCAGTGAGCCATGATCAAAACCACTGCACTCAAGCCTGGGTGACAGAGTGAGACCCTGTCTTTAAAAAAACTTAGAATTTTAAAAATTTTTAAAAAGAATCAAGAGAGAACTAAGTTACTTTTTTTCTCTATAACTTCCTTCCATCCAGCACGAGTAACTTTAGCCAGTGTACTCTCAGCCTTTCTTGATGTGGTAATCCTTAACATTTTTTCTTTCTTTAAATAAGGACAAACAAACGCTGCTTCTTTAAAGAGCTGAAGTCTCCATTCCACTGACAGCTAAGATGAAGTATGAACTTAAAGAGCATTCCATAAACAGTAGGTTAGAAATGCAGACTTAAGGATGACATTTTATCAATAATTCTAAAACTATTTCAGTAACACATTGACTTTAAATACTCAAATAAGTACACATGGAACATACGTCTTAGGCTGCAGTTTTTCCATTATGGAGTCTTCCTTAATATATCCAGCCATTGGGTAGTAGCGTTGTCTAGTATTTACAGCTGTAGCAACCTTAGGACAAAATAAGGTTTAAAAAAACAAAGTCACCCAATAAATTATGCCTATCCAGAACCTAAACAACTATTTAAGTGTGCTATTCATAAAGTTAATGATAACCTTAAAGATCCTGAAATCCCCTGTAAATCAAGGAGAAAACCGTGCTTATATGAGTTTTTGACCCACTTTAATTTTTGGAAGCAATCACGAATTTGGCAACTATTAATTAATTTTTAGTTAATTAACCAAAACACTTCATTCTACCATAACTGTAAAGGAAATACTAGCAATACTTTCAATTTTACTTTAAAAATGTTAGGCCAGGAATGAGGGCTCACGCCCGTAATCCTAGCACTTTGGGAGGCCAAGGCGAGTGGATCACCTGAGGTCAGGAGTTCAACACCAGCCTGGCCAACATGGCAAAACCCCATCTCTACTAAAAATACAAAAATTAGCCAGGCATGGTGGCAGGCGCCTGTAATCCCAGCTACTAGGGAGGCTGAGGCAGGAGAATTGCTTGAACCTGGCGAGGCAGAGCGTGGAGGTTGCAGTGAGCCAAGATTGCATCACTGCACTCCAGCCTGGGTGAAAGAGCCAGACTCTATTTCAAAAAAAGTGAAAAAAAAAATAGTAACATATGTTCAAAACTCTAAAATATTTAATTTAAAACTTTTTAAAATCATGTGGTTCAATAGAATTCCTAAAGTCCACTGTGGCCCACAGACACTAGATGAAGAAAAATCCCTGCTCGAGACAGTGTTCAAGTAAAATGCAGTTAGAAATAGAAGAAAGTTGGATAGTTGATGGTTGACTTTTTTCTGAGAACAGTTTTCTTATGTTCATTTATTTGAGGCCCTGCGGTCTCTGATTTTTTTCCACATATTTTAAAAGCCACTCAGATCATGAACTGATACCTGAAAGAAAAATGAAGAAGGCAGAAGGAAATGCAACATCATTCTCTGGGTGCCTAGGTCCTACAAACTTGGCAAACTATCTCATTGAAACCTCACAATACAATACAAAAAAGAAAGAAAAGGAAACTGAAGTAAAGCTGAAGTATGTCCTCTAACTTCACTCAGTCAATTAAAGGATAAGCCAGGATGTGAAACTGAAATTATCTTTTTCTTTAAAATTTTAGATTCAAGGGGTACGTGTACAGGTTTGTGGCAAGGGTGTAGGGCATGATGCTGAGGTCTGGGCTTCTGTTGATCCCATGACCCAAACAGTGAGCACAGAACCCAACAGAAAGTTCTTCTGCCCTTGCCTCCCCTCCTCTCTCTAGCAGTCCCCAGTGTCTACTGTTTCCACGTTTATGTCCACGTGTGGCCAATGTTTAGCTCCCACTTGAAGTGAAAATGTGGTACTTGGTTTTCTGTTTCTGCATTAATTTGCTTAGGATAATGGCCTTCAGCTGCATCCATGTTGCTGCAAACAACATTATTTCATTCTTTTTAATGGCTGCATAGTATTCTGTGGTGTATACGTACAACATTTTCTTTATTCAACCCACCAATGATGGGACGCATAGGTTGATTCCATGTATTTGCTATTGTGAATGATACTGTGATAACCATATGAGTACAGGTATCTTTTTGGCAGAATAATTTATTTTCCTTTGGGTATATACCCAGTAATGGAAGTGCTGAGTCAAATGGTTGTTCTATTATTAGTTCTTTCAGAAATCGCCAAACTGCTTTCCACAGGGCCTAATTTGCATTTCCACCAACAGTCTATAAGCATTCTCTTTTCTCCACAACCTTGACAACATCTGTTAGTTTTTGACTTTTTAATAATAGACATTCTGATGTGAGATGGTATCTCATTGTGGGTTTTGATTTGCATTTCTCTGGTAAGTGATGTGAGCATTTTTTCATGTTTATTGGCTGGTTGTATGTCTTTTAAGAAGTGTCTGTTCACGACCAGGGGCGGTGGCTCACGCCTGTAATCCCAGCACTTTTGGGAGGCTGAGGCGGGCGGATCATGAGGTCAGGAGATCAAGACCATCCTGCCTAACATGGTGAAACCCCGTCTCTACTAAAAATACAAAAAATTAGCTGGGCGTGGTGGTGGACGCCTGTAGTCCCAGCTGCTCGAGAGGCTGAGGCAGGAGAATGGCGTGAACCTGGGAGGAGGAGCTTGCAGTGAGCTGAGATGGCGCCACTGCACTCTAGCCTGGGTGACAGAGCGAAACTCTTGTCTCAAAAGAAAAAAAAAAAAAGAAGTGTCTGTTCATGTCCTTTGCCCACTTTTTAATGGAGTTATCTGTTTCTTTTCCTGCTGATTGAAGTTATTTAGGAAAATTTAACAAGAAAACTATAAGCTGTAAGTAAAGAAAACTTTTTAAAAAATCGCACCTGGCTAGAGGTCATAAAACAAGAACAAAAAAAAAAAAAAAAAAAAATGGAGACTCAAACCAGGTTCCTGGAGAGAAAGACTGAATGTCCTAACATCATCTAATATGAAATTAATACAATTCTAAAATACGTATGGAAAAATATATTGTATAAGAACTGCAAAAACTTTAACATCGAATTCAGCATAAATTTATTCCACCAATTAATAAGACTATTATAACACTACTGTAATAATTAAAACACTATGTGCTAGCATAATAAATCAGTAGAACAAAGCCTTGAAACAGACCCAACTCTCTATGAGAACTTAATATAGAATACAAGTGGGATTTCAATTAAATGGAAGGATTACTCAATAAAAGGTATGACAAAATCAGCCAATCATTCTTAAGAATAAAGGTATACCTGCACCTTACATCACATAACACATAAAATAATTAAACATATACCGCCCCCACTTTTTTGTCTTCAGATGGAGTTTCGCTCTTGTTGCCCAGGCTGGAGTGCAATAGTGCGATCTCGGCTCACTGCAACCTCCGCCTCCTGGGTTCAAGTGATTCTTCTGCCTCAGCCTCCCGAGTATCTGGGATTACAGGCATGCGCCACCATGCCTGGCTAATTTGGTATTTTTAGTAGAGATTGGGTTTCTCCATGTTGGTCAGACTGGTCTCGACTCCCGACCTCATGTGATCCACCCACCTCAGCCTCCCAAAGTGCTGGGATTACAGGCGTGAGCTCAGCCAACATATACTTCTTTAAAAAAACGTAAGTATTGAAGATATATATATATAACTTTGAGTTAGGAAGGTCTGCCTAGTCAGAAAAAAAAAAAAAAGCCCTACCTAGAATTCATGAAGCAGGGGTAAAAATGACTAGTTAAGAAACACTTCTGAATGGCTAAATGCAATAAAATCAAAAGTGAGAGGCTGGGAGAAAACAGTTACACAGGATGAAATGTTAATATTGCTATCACATAAAGTACTCTTACAACTTAGGAAAAAAGACAGGCTGGATACAGTGGCTAACACCTGTAATCTCAGCACTTTGGAAGGCTAAGGCGTGACCAGCCTGGGCAACATAGCAAGGACCTAGCCTAGCCACATAGCAAGGATTCACCTCTTCCAAAAAAAAAAAAAAAAAAAAAAAAAAAGATTATCTGTGTGCAGTGGTACTCCCCTTTAGTCCCAGCTACTACTGGACTGGATGAGGTAGGAGGATTGCTTCAGCTGGAGAGGCTGAGGTTGCAGTGAGCTGTGATCACATCACTGCACTCCAGTCTGGGGGAACAGAGCAAGACCCTGTCTCCAGAAAAAGCAAACAACAACAAACAACAAGTTAGGAAAAAGACAATTCAAAAGGAAAAGATCCAAAGGATCTGAAAAGAGCTGTTAAAGATCCACACAGAAGAGGCACTGATAAGTCAAACATATGAAAAGTTGCTCAACTTCACTGATCATGAGGGAATTACAATTTACAACAAGGAAACAGCCATTTTTTACATCAAATTGCCAAAACACTAAAACAAATATAACAAGCTCAAAATATGAATTTCTTTTGGAGTTAGAAATTACAGAACCTACTGATGGAGGTGAGGTTGAGGAATTGTACACAATTATAGTGAAAAAAATTTTAAAACTAAATGTTTATCAATAAAGAAATTAGTTAAGAAAATTATAGTGCTTATTTTCATGAGAATAGATGAAGGTTGCTAAAAGAAACAAAGCAGATTACTAATTGTTATAGTCTCCCATTTTTGTGAAATATACATCTTTGGTGGGGAAGAGAATGTTCTTTCAAGGTTTCAAGTATTATGTACTTAAAACCATGTACTTGTAGCCATGTATTATTAGTTTAGTTAGGTTACTTTTAACAAATCTCACTGAGCTGAATGGTATTTTAAGTCCCTTTTCCCCAAAATTGGGGTTTAAAAACTTTATTTCTATATACCTCCTAGTTCATCACACTTTGGCTTAGCATTTCATAAGAGGTTAATGCTATTATCAGCAGATTTGATGCAGGACATTTCTTCCAGATAGTTTAAGAAAGTATTAAATACAACTAATTTAAAAGATTTTAAGTAAAAACTGCAGAAAGACTCTTAACTTGTAACATATATAATAAAGGTTTTCTTTTACCCCCTATAGCTTGTCATTTAAATTTTATTTATGATGGTGTTTTGCCTGCTTTTGTTGCTTGTAAATGAAAAACTGTGGTCAAATTTAACAAGCATTTATTCTGTAGTTTCTGATTTCTATTTGATATGCTTATCAATGCTTTCCTATCCAAGATTATACAATTATCTGTATTTCTGTCTAGTTTACATTTCTAATTTTTATATATTAATATTTCCAATCATGGGATTTTAGTATATATGAATTATCTATTGATTGGATGATTTATCCTTTCTTCATGGCCCAATGTATTTTAGACTCAGGTCCAAAAGTTAATAAAATGCCAGTATTTCTAATATAGCACCTAGGTATAATCCTATCGTTGAATAAAATCTGTCATTTTGCTGTGCAAAATTACAGAAAGATTAACCATTAACATCAATCAATAGCAGAGCAGGGATGTTATCAAAAACCATTCAACTATCAAAAATAAAGACTGTCAAATAAATGCACATTCACCCAAACTCAGAAATAAGAACAAAAGGATACCTATTAATCTTGAATGGATTTTAGGCTTACATTTGAAGTAAACAGCATTACCTAGGCCTCTGAAGTTAAAGATAAATTATAAGTCTAACGTGAATACAGGAATCTAAATCTTACTTTTTAGAGTAGATACCTTGTTGAAATGTAATAAACTACATTCCTCAAATATTCCATAAATTCAGACTTCACTAAATTTAAACTAGATTCTTCCATTCTCTGTATATCTTATTCCAAATAAATATTAGGTAATAATACAAATCTAAAGTTTAAAAAGAGTGATAACAATTTCAGGAAGGTTTCTTGAATGACTTCCTTTAATAGGGCCCAGCTCACCAGTGCGTCTGAAGAATGTGAATATAGTCACTTGTCAATTACCTCGGCTAACAGTAGGTGGGTGTGGGGATGGGGGAATAGGAACGGAGGATGGGACAGGTCACTTATCTCTAAAAGTTAGAGCAAAACTAGTCAATGATACAAAATAGATTTATCACAACCTTAAAATCAAAATTAGTATTTGTAAACACATTATAAACACTCCTACACATTATCCAAAATCCCAAAAATAGTACAAGTATAATGATTTAAGAACATTAAATGTGAAATCATTTGCCAAGTCTTTTTTTTTTTTAATATTAGAACAGGACGGATATGGACACAGACAGTTCCAGCTGCCTGCTCCTTTCCTTTCCCTTCACTTAATCTTCACCCACAAGACTGAATCCATCAGGGATCTACTACCACAACCACATGAGGAGGGCTCACTTCGTCTTACCCACATAGCCAGCCACGTCTAAGGAGCTCCATGTCAAAAAAAAAAAAAAAAAAGGGAAGAGGTTAGGAATTTCCCACAAAATAGGCAGCTACTAATATGTAATTTTTTGTTATAATTTAAACTTTCATTAATTACAATATATGGTTTGGGTTTTTTTTAACCATATTTAACTTGCAAGGCAGTTCATTCAAACCTAAATAATGAAGGGTTATTTTAGTAGTCTGGAAGCTTACGGAGAACTGTTACATAATTCAGATTTGATTCTTAGCAATCCTAGGAGATAAGACAAAGCAGGTATTATATCCATCTCACAAATGAGGAAACCCAGGCTAGACTGACAGAATGAGAACTGCATTCTAGATCTCATGCCTCCATAGGGTTTGCCACACTTCCACAGAAAACAAATGATACAAAGCCTTATCATCTGATTTATCCAGTAAAACATCAAGAATTTACAGCTTGGCCAGGCGCGGTGGCTCATGCCTGTAATCCCAGCACTTTGGGAGGCCGAGGTGGGCGGATCACGAGGTGAGGAGATCGAGACCATCCTGGCTAATATGGTGAAACCCCCTCTCTATTAAAAATACAAAAAATTAGTCGGGCGTGGTGGCACAGACCTACAGTCCCAGCTACTTGGGAGGCTGAGGCAGGAAAATCACTTGGACCTGGGAGGCGGAGGTTGCAGTGAGCTGAGATTGAGTCACTGCACTCCAGCCTGGGGGACACAGTGAGACTCCGTCTCAAAAAAAAAAAAAAAGGAATTTACAGCTTGAGTCAACTTTCCAGGAACAATATTATATAAGCTGAACTACACTTATATTTGTATTAAATGAATAGGATATCAAGTAAATTTTATTTTACATCCTTAATTTGTTCTCATTCTTATGGAAAGATTTCAGTCTTAATGGCTTCTGAAGTAAAAATTTTAGGCAGTAGTTTTGCTTCTCTACCTTGTTGTAGAATGGCATCTCCCAAATGTACATTTGATGACACACAAAGGTTGAGGGGCAGGGGGGGAGTTCAAAATGTGGTTGCATGGATTGGTGGGTAAAACAGGGGCTAGGGTTTTTAAAGGAATATACACCATTAAAATAAACAAAAGACATAATTTTCCACAGAAGTCACCAAAGAATCAAAATATGTAGGCCGATAAGTGTATGACTTTAGCGCCTTTTATTTTTCCTGATCACTTTACACAATTATAAAATGGATAGAAAAAGTTTTATCTTTTGTTAGGTTTCTTTGCTTAAAGATTCAGCAGCAAAAATGCAAGATTTTAGGGTTTTTTTTTTTTTTTTGAGATGGAGTCTTGCTCTGTCGCCAGACTGGAGTGCAGTGGTGCAATCTTGGCTCACTGCAGCCTCCACCTCCCAGGTTCAAGCGATTCTCCTGCTTCAGGCTACCGAGCAGCTGGGACTACAGGTGTGCACCACTAGGTCCAGCAAATTTTTGTATTTTTAGTAGAGACGGGGTTTCCCCATGTTGGCCAAGGTGGTCTTGATCTCTTGATCTCGTGATCTGCCCGCCTCAGCCTCCAAAAGTGCTGGGATTACAGGCGTCAGCCACCACGCCCGGCCAACTTTTTAGTTTCTAACTAGAAGTACGTTTTACTACTGTAGTATTTTTACCATTAACATTAGGTTGTGATATGTTTCATCTGAAAAATTATAACACTTACCTCACAATCAGGGCATATAATTGTGGTGCATTCTTCAGTCATTAACAAGCATAGTTCACAAAAAGCATGTCCACATTGAAGTTCACAATGGTGACCTATTGATGAAATTCTTAATTATTATTTTGATGATGATGATGATTATTGAGACAGGGTCTTGCTCTGTTGCCCAAGCTGGAGTGTAGTGGCACCAGCTCACTGCAGCCTCCACCTCTTGGGCTCAAGTGATCCTCCTACCTCAGCCTCCCAAGTAGCTGGGACTATAGGTGTGTCCCAACACACCCGGCTAATTTTACTGAAGAAATTCTATTGTGATTAAACTGCCCACAGTGTGTTAATGTTGAATGGGCAATACTGATACAAGGGAAATTCAAAGAGGATCCTACTGTACAGGAAAAGATACCTACTACAGTTTGAAATGGTTGACTTATTGAATATAAATCAGGAGTAACCAACTATTCAGGTCAGGAGGGAGAAAAATCAAGAAGAAAAACCAAGAAGAGCTATGTAATAGCATTTGCATTAATTCAGATGGCTATTTTGTACCTAGAATACTTTGAATCTGCCATATCTTACACAAAGTGCTCTGACACATTTTATTTGTTATTTGTAAATATCACAGTTAAGTGGGCTGGAGATGAAATAGCATTTTGGAGATTTGGTTAACTAAATGGTATAATCCAGACTCCTATCTAGCTCTGTTTCCAAGTCTAACATTCTTTCTGATTGATCATACTGCCCTCTACTACTTTATATTTCCCATCCTGTGAAGAGGTCAGGAAGGGCCAAAATGAGACACTGGCAAGACCGTGCTGTTAGAATTATTTAAGACACTGGCAAGGCCAGAAGCCAGATGCTACTATTATCACATATCTACAACTCACATTTTCACAAACTTAGCATTTATGAAAGGAAATATCGTAACTTGATTGAAAACCTAACATCATGATTAAATGCTCTAAGAATTTGAAGTTTATAATAAATAACATTTGTTTTAGCTATATAATTTCAAAAGGTTGTCATTTTTAAAGTTTTGCAAGAAAACTGAAAAGGGAAAAAAACTAGATAAAAATCAGTCATCTTTTACTAGCAAAATAATTATAGAGTTCTTGCTGAATTATAATCGCATTAATTTTATTTATTTATTTATTCATCCATTCATTCACTCATTCTGAGACGGACCACGATCTCGGTTCACTGCCAACTCTGCCTCCTGAGTTCATGCTATTCTCCTGCCTCGGCCTCCGGAGTAGCTGAGATTACAGGTGTGCGTCAGCACGCCTAGCTAATTTTTTTGTATTTTTAGTAGAGATGGGATTTCACCATGTTGCCTAGGCTGGTCTTGATCTCCCGACCTCAAGTGATCCGCCCACCTCGGCCTCCCAAAGTGCTGGGACTATAGGCGTGAGCCACTGTGCCCGGCCTTGCATTAATTGTATTTTTTAAAAACTTTACAAGTTTCCTATCCAACTGAAATACCTGAAACTTGCTTACAACCATGCTAAATTTTAAAACCCTATTTAACTTCCAGGGATAATATTGCCAAAGAAATAAAAACACTTAACTATTATAAAATTTCTGATACTGAATAACTCAAAATAACTTGTGGTGAATTACAGCTTAAAAAGCACTTTCAGGATTCTATATACATAACCACTACTTCTCCAGTTTAGTTTTTCTAAGCATTATAATACTAATGTATGGAAGAAGTACTCATTTTAAAAGGTTGTGTTCTAGAACTTTATTCCGTAATTTTAATTTCATTCAAAAATGGAAATTTTCTACGTAACGGTAGCAGTGATCTAAACCCCAAGTAGGAGAAACTTGGTTCTCCACTGAAATCACAACTTTTTCTGCAGAGGCTCACATCTCACAGAGTCCATCTTGCCAAGACTGAGAAAACTGATCGAATGACCTTAACTTTGAAAGTATAAACATTAAACAGTTACGCCAGGTAATACGAATTTTCAGTAGCTCCAGGAATTGAGATTCAACAACTCAGCTGTATTAAGAGCACACTAAGGTATTTTAAGTTACATTAAAATAACTTGAACCGGCCGGGCGCGGTGGCTCACGCCTGTAATCCCAGCACTTTGGGAGGCCAAGACGGGCGGATCACGAGGTCAGGAGATCGAGACCATCCTGGCTAACACGGTGAAACCCTGTCTCTACTAAATATACAAAAAATTAGCCGGGCGTGGTGGCGGGCGCCTGTAGTCCCAGCTACTCCAGAGGCTGAGACAGGAGAATGGCGTGAACCTGGGAGGCGGAGCTTGCAGTGAGCCGAGATCGCGCCACTGCACTCCAGCCTGGGCTACAGAGCGAGACTCCAACTCAAAGAAAAAAATAATAATAAATAACTTGAACCTGTGATCACTTGAGTAGATTGTAGGTGAACAGACCAATAATAGTGCAGTGTATTTTTCCCCTCACGTATAAAGACCAACACACACACACACACACACACACACACACACACACCCCACAAGGTGCACAAAAGAAACTATCATTTTCCAAACAGTGTTTTAGGCCAGTGTGAGCCATAATGTAAAAAACAAACAAAAAAACCCCCACAGAAACAACAAAATGCTAACAACAACAACAAAATCCAAAACCATTTCACAATGGTCTACTTGTTACTCCTACAACAAAAACTACAGGAGAAAATCAAGTTTCGTTCCTTCTTGATGACAAAACAATGGGCTACATTTTATGTCTACTTTTGCATGCACCCGCTAACCTGCCTTGTGAGGAGTAGATTAAAGCCACCCGGGCCCCCATCCTCCCGGCTGGAGGGTCGGTGAGGCCTGGATGGGTAATTGGAGAAAGCCGTGACAGGCGCAGGTGCTGCCCTTAACCAACCCAAGCACTGCCCTCTTAGAGGTCGGGTGCAGCTCGCGGGAGGCCTGTGACGCAGTTTCTGGTGACACCAGGATTGGATGCAGCTGACCAAGCCTCACGCGCCCACCAGCTCACCTGGCCCCCAGCGCTCCCTCCAGGCTGCCTCCCCGCTAGGTGGGCCCTTGGGCTCCTCACCGGATGATCTGGATACCCTCCTTCCACACCTGGTGCACTGGATTTCAGCGGCACCCCAGGGCTGACTCTTCCTCCCCATTCGCTGGTAGGAAGACCTAGAAGGCCCAGTCTTCGAAGCCTCTGCCGCCATCGCTGTCTCTTTCTTCTGGAACAACCGCCGAGTGCGAGTCCCGGCGGCCCTCGCGGCAGCGACCAATCATTGGAGGCCAGCCCCTGCAGATAGCCAAACAGTGGGCCGGGAGATTAAAGCCCGCCCCCAAGCTCGCTCCTGATGGGGCTGGGGCTGTTTTCCGTTATCCTGGGAGGTACCACTCCTAGAAGGGGCGCCTTGTGGCCGTTGAGGACCGTTCGTTTTTACGTTCTACCCAAAGAGTCACCACTTTAGTGCTTTTAGTCATCACAAATTAAAATTTCGCATATTATTACTTACATTGTGAGTGACTTTATAGATAATCATTTGGATTGAAACAATCCCCTTTCCCTATTACGTGTCAGGGCCAGAAGCCCTAAACCTGTGTGCTTCGGGCATCCAGGGCTTGGCCAATAGCAGCTGGAGTGGAGAAGCTAATGAGAAGCTATCGTTGGGGTAGATTCAGTGAACGCTTTCGAATTAAGGAGTGTTCATCATTACTAACTGCTGTTGAGCCTAATAATATACAAGGCAGCGTGCCAAGAGTGGTTGGGGATGCTAAGAATTTATGAACTAGCAGGTTTCTGCTTGAGAGATACATAACTCCTTAAAAAAACCCAGTAACTTCCGCCAAAATAAGTGTTATGTACCGGACCTGTGTTAGAGACAGTAAGAATTAGCCTTCTGGGCCCGGCGCGGTGGCTCACGCCTGTAATGCCAGCACTTTGGGAGGCCAGGGCGGGCAGATCACGAGGTCAGGAGATCGAGACCATCCTGGCTAACATGGTGAAACCCTGTCTCTACTAAAAATACAAAAAAAAAAAAAAAAAAAAATTAGCCGGACGTGGCGGTGGGCGCCTGTAGTTCCAGCTACTTGGGAGGCTGAGGCAGGAGAATGGCGTGAACCTGGGAGGCGGAGCTTGCAGTGAGCCGAGATCATACCACTGCACTCCAGTCTGGGCGACAGAGCGAGACTGCGTCTCAAAAAAAAAAAAAAAAGAGTTGAAGCAACTTGTCCAAGCATAGTTCACAAAAAGCAATGAAGAAATGAAGTCAATATGGTCTACGGTGGTATGAAAACTCTTCGTAGAGGATATAGGGTTTGCACTAGACCTTACAACCTAGGTAGTACTTACAGGAGTAAACAAGAACTAAGGGATTCCAAGAATAAAGAACACATCAGCGAGGGAAGGTAGATGTGAGGGAAGGTAGATGGAAGACACAGTGACTTCTTGAGAATTTAAAGACCATTTAGCCAGAGTATGAGTTTCCTTAAAGTAAGCTTCTTTGGAGAGGTGTGTCAGGGAAGAATTTCGGAGAATCTCGAGTGTAAGGCTGAGGAGTTTGGACTTTACTCTTTAAGCAGTAGAGTGCATGAGACGTTTTGTGAGCAAGGAATGAAGTAATCTAGTAGAAAGGTGGCAGGTGTATTTCAAACAAAACACCTGGAGGTGGCACGGTTGCCTTTTGCTGCTAAGAATAAAGCCTGCCCATATTCCTCATTTTCTTTTCTCTCTACACTGTGTGTGGGTAACTAGAAACTGTGAAGTAAGTATTCTCTTGAAAGGCTCACTTCGGCTCAAAAATCTTTGTAATTTGTTGTCTTCGAGAGAAAAGTACTGCTTCCCTAAATTACCCTCATTCTACTACTCATCCAATAGTTTCCACTACTAATCCATGATGGAACTGAGTACTAATCAAGCCAATATTCTCATGTAACATGTTGACTCTTCTACAGTTTTGTGAGTATTATTCCCTATTCCCCTCATCTGGAATACCTACTGTTCACTCTTCATCAATTCATATTCTCTTTTTTTTTTTTTTTTTTTTTTTTAGAAATGGAGTCTTGCTCTGTCGCCCAGGCTGGAGTGCAATGGCGAGATCTCAGCTCACTGCAACCTTGGTCTCCGGGTTCAAGCAATTCTCCTGTCTCAGCCTCCCCAGTAACTGGGACTACAGGCGCATGCCACCACGCCCAGCTGATTTTTTGTATTTTAGTATTGACTGGGTTTCACTGTGTTGCACAGGCTGCTCTCAAACTCCTGAGCTCAGGCAGTCTGCCCGCCTTAGGCCTCCCAAAGTGCTAGGATTACAGGCGTGAGCCACCGCGTCCGGCCCATATTCTCCTTATCCTTCCTGGATCAGCTTTAGAAGCACTTTCTCCTTTAAACCTTCACATTTCTCTCCACACTTAATGCTATTCTAGCATGTAGCAAGCCTCTTTTTCCTCTAGGATAGCTGTACTGTAATTTGAATAATGACAATCTCATTGCATAGGTGTTCATCGTGGGCCATAATGTGGATATTTAATGTGGGTCTTGAGTTTCATCAGAGATGCCTTTGGTAATCCCAGAAATTGAATTAATCTTGGATAAATCAGGGCCAGTGAGAAATACACTGATAGATGATTATACCACATTTGTTCATTTCTTAGCACTTACCAAGAACCCTCAAATAGAGCAGCCAGAAATGTCTTCTTAACATTCAATTTAGGTTGTTTAAATCCTTTGTTTGGAACCCTTTAATGGCTTCCTATGAATTACAACAAAACCTTAATGGCCTTGGAGGTTTGCCCTCTGCCTGCCTCTCTACCAGTGCCTTTCTAGTGCTCTAAAATCATCTCCTAAACAGCTGAGAAATGAGATAAACAGGGCTCCCTTCTTGAATACACAATTTTTATAAATTGCATCTGACCCACAGTGAATGTCTTTTAGAAAGTTTCACCAAAACTAAAGAGAAATTCAGAGATCAAATAGCAGCAGCAGATCAGAGAAAGAATGTAGAACTATGCAGTCACAGAGCTAACCTGCAGGCTGCCCTTAGCCCTGTGCACCTGAAATCAAATCCATGGTCAAAGTTAGGTTTCTTTGTTGTTGTTAAGCATATAACATATTTATTCCCAACATAAGAGTGGGATTAATAGAATAACACCAAGCCAAAATATTAATATTCTAAAACCAAATTATTGAATAGAAACATATAACATATTTATTCCCACCATAAGAGTGGGATTAATAGAATAACACCAAGCCAGAATTTTAATATTCTAAAACCAAATTAATCTATTGAATAGACGTATTTCAACATTTAACTAAGTTAACCCATTCAGTTACCTTCTCGAAAATATACACAACAAATAATTTATACTGTTTCCCATAATGGCTGTACTAATTTACATTCCCACTAACTGTATAAGGGTTCCCTTTTCTCCATATCCTTGCCAACAGTTGTTATCTTTTGTCTTTTTTTTTAAATAATCTCCATTCTAATACCGTCTGTAATTTCTCATTGTGGTTTTAATTTGCATTTCCCTGATGATTAGTGACATTGAGCATGCTTTCATATACCTATTAGCCATTTGTATGTCATCTTTTGAGAAATGTCTATTTAGGTCCTTTGCTCACTTTCTGTTTGAGTTGTTTTCTTCCTACTGAGTTGTTTATGTTCCTTATGTATTTTGGATATTAACCCCTTACCAGATGTATAGTTTGCAAATATTTTCTCCCATTCCATAGGCTCTTTACTTTGCTGACTGTTTCCTTTGCTATGCAGAGTTTTCTGTTAATAGTTCGATGTAATCCTGTTTGTCTATTTTTGCTTTTGTTGCCTGTGCTTTTGTTGTCATATCCAAAAAAATCATTCTCCAGACCAGTGACGTAGAGCTTTCCCACTATTTTCTTCTAGCAGTTTTACAGTTTCAGGTCTTTTAAATCTCTAATCTATTTTGAGTTGATTTTTGCATATAATGTGAGATAATGATCTAATTTCATTCTTCTGCATGTGGATATCTAGTTTTCCCAGCATTGGAATGACTTTTAAAAGGTATTCATTCTCTGTTAACATTTCTTTCTGGAAAACTTGTATTACTTGTATTTATATTCACATTCTTTCAAGTTTATTTTCCCCGTTGGATAATGTGACTAGGCCCTTTTTATCATAATCATTTTTCTCAGATATCCAGTTAACATACATTTTGTTTTACTCTTTAAGAGTCTCAATCACTACATCTTGTGTATATGTGTATGCATCTCTGTGTAAAACTAAGACTATATATATATTTTTTGAGATGGAGTCTTGCTCTGTCACCCAGGCTGGCGTGCAGTGGCGTGATCTCAGCTCGCTGCAACCTCTGCCTCCCGGGTTCAAGCAATTCTCCTGCCTCAGCCTCCCAAATAGCTGGGATTACAGGCGCGCTCCCCACGCCTGGCTAATTTTTTGTATTTTTAGTAGAGAAGGGGTTTCACCATGTTGGCCAGGCTGGTCTCGAACTCCTGACCTCAGGTTATCCACCCGCCTCATCCTCCCAAAGTGCTGGGATTACAGGCGTGAGCCACCGTGCCTGGCTGCGACTACATTTATTCTTATAGAAACCAATCTTGGGTCTGAGACACAATGACTTTACAGTCTCCTAAAGTTTTGTTATTGTTTTCTTTTTAACTTGGTGGTAGGAAATTCTTATCTCTCCCTCTCTCATTCCTTCACTCCCTTCCTTTTTTTCTTTCTTTGCTTAAATTACCTTTTTGGTAGGCTTCTGAGATTTCTGCCCATTCTGCAACCATTTTTGACTAGAGATAGTCCTATGATACATCTTTCTGAGAAAGTTTACCCTGCTGTTTAAATTTCTAGAGATGACAACTACAACATCTTGTGATAGCTTTAGAAACTCTTGCTTCCCTCACCCTTATTTTGACCATTTCTTGATTCCTCTGTTTAACTAATTTAGAATGTGCATGCTGGAGGCATAATACCTTGAGGGTTCTGAAAATAAATTATGTATGTGGTTAGCAATTTATTTTGGTCCAGAAGGAACTACTACAGTTATTACATCTTGGTTCCATATGCTACATTAACATATTTTATGTCCCAAAGGAATTTTTAAATTGTGTTTGTGGGTTATGCTACCAACAATGTAATATTAGCTTTTCTCCCAGCTTACTTTTCCCCATGAGAAGTATTCACTCAGAAGTTACAGTCTTGACCTCTTCTGTCTCCATAACTCCAGAGGTGTATGTCATGTGTCCTCACATTCATGGGCAATCCAGATCTCTTTTATTCCAGAGCTACTCAGCCACTCAATTCTAATTTAGAATGTAAGTGTTGTTTTTTTTTTTTTTTTTTTTTTTTGGAGACACAGTCTTGCTCTGTCGCCAGGCTGGAGTGCAGTGGCACGATCTCAGTTCACTGCAACTTCTGCTGCCCAGGTTCAAGTGATTCCCCTGGCTCAGCCTCCCGAGTAAGTAGCTGGGACTACAGGCACACACCACCACGCCCGGCTAATTTTTTGTATTTTAATAGAGACGGGGTTTCACGATGTTGGCCAGGATGGTCTTGGATCTCCTGACCTTGTGATCCGCCCACCTTGGCCTCCCGAAGTGCTAGGATTACAAGCGTGAGCCACCGCGCCCAGCCGAAGGTAAGTTGTTTTTGATAGTGGACATCTATCAACTCTGACTTCTATTTCTTTTTTATTTTGCCTAGTCATGGTAAAGATGCTTGCTCCAAAAATCAACCTTTTCTTCTTTGGCTCACAGAACTCAGAGATACAATATACAAATACCATATGCAATGGTACTAAAATTTAGTGGTTAATCCCTGGTAGCTCACTTTAAAAGGGCTATCACGTCTTCAGCCTTTGTGCTTTGTATTGGGTGAGATTCAGGTTATTAAGTGCTCTGAGACAAGCTGATCTCCTTCTGTATCAGCTTCCAATTAGAACCTTCTTCTTATACCAGTCATAGATGTCATATCTATGGTGTATCTATTTTTTAAATATATGTTTTTCAGATATCCTCATCACTATTACAGAAGTTATTAGTCATGATGTCTATCATCATAAAAAGGGTTTATATTTAGCATGATAACGCATGGAACAATTGATTATAAAATAAATAAGGTAAAAATTTGAGGTGGGTGGTCAGAGACCAGGGGAATCAATAAAGAATAAAGGGCAGATGGAAAGGGACAAAGAATGGGGAATGAAATGATCTTCCTGGAAAGTTTTATTAATCCATTCTCACACTGCTATAAAGAAATACCTGAAACTGGGTAATTTACAAATAAAAGAGGTTTAATTGGCTCATGGTTCTGCAGGCTTTACAGAAAGCATAGTGGATTCTTCCAGGGAGGCCTCAGGCAACTTACAATCATGGTGGAAAGTGAGGGGAAGCTGGCGTGTCTTACATGGTGGGAGCAGGAGGAAGATCTCATGAGAACACTATCAGGAGACAGCACCAAAGAGGCGGTGCTAAACCATTCATGAAGGATCCACCCCCATGATCCAATCACCTGCACCAGACCCCACCTCCAACATTGGGGATTACAATTTGACATGAGATTTGGGTGGGGACACCAATCAAAACCATATAAAAAGTGAAACATCAGAGCAGGAGGGGATGTTTTGTGTTCACAGAACTGCCCAAGTGGAGAAGAGGAAATACAGAAAGCATTATGTCATTCAAAATTTTGTATATTTTGAAAACATTTATAGAAATACTGAATATATAACAAAATATCCCCTAAAATATTTCTGCTCATAGATTTTTCCAACTATTATATGTTCTTTATACTTAAGAATATTGTCGGCCAGGCACAGTGGCTCATGCCTGTAATCTCAGCACTTTGGGAGGCTGAGGCCGGCAGATTGCCTGAGGTCAGGAATTCGAGACCAGCCTGGCTAACATGGTGAAACCCCGTCTCTATTAAAAATACAAAAATTAGCCAGGCATGGTGGCACACACCTGTAGTCCCACCTACTCAGGAGGCTGAGGCAGGAGACTCACTTCAACCCAGGAGGCGGAGGTTGCAGTGAGCCAAGAACACGCCACTGTACTCCAGCCTGGGTGACAGAGTGAAACTCCACCTCAAGGAAAAAAAAAAAAAAAAGAATATTGTCCTGGCAGAGCCCTGAATATGATTGTATGCTTATCAAGTACAGTAGAATTTCAGCATGGGATTTGTAGTTAGGAAGAATAAAGTGCAGATGGGGAGGGATGAAAGGACTGTTCTGTATCTCTTTTACTTCCTTTTTTCCTAGAATCTAACACAGAAGATATAAATTCACCTTTTCATTGTGAAACGAGGCTTTCATTCTTGTTCTGGAACATGGCAGCAATCATTCTCCAGTTAGACCTAAATGATTGAATTGCAAGGTGAACTGTCTTGGTGGCTAATTCATCTTCCCTCACCTCCAGCACCCTCTTTTCCCAAGATGAAGCCATGTTCTTTTGTAAGGAACTGTATCTACTATCAAGTGGCCTGGAAATTAAGAGGTCCAATGTGTCTTCCAAGTCCTTGTTTCTATTTGGTATCATGATGTCTTTCACTGCTACCTCGCTGATCTGTTTTCCAAGGCTATACAAAGGAGGACTGCAAAAATGAAGGGAATGGCAGAACAGTGTTACATATGGGGGAAGGCTTCGGTCGATTTTAAGTTATCAGGAAATAGTTTTCTAGCTAATGGGTTGTCAAATTATTTGCATCAGAACCTTTTATCTGGTTGATAAAAGGTAAGCTCTGTACTGACTAGCAATGGAAAGGGAACGGATGCCACAAGGACCTGCTTTAAAACCAACATCAACCTCCAGAAGTGGATCTGAGTGGTTTGATTTATGCCCATGACATACCCAAGTCTGGAGAAAGTAAGTTCAAAGGAGGACAAAAATGTATGTAAACTAAGTAATAAAGAAAAAAAAAACCCAACAGAATTCAAGCTATACATTTTCGGGATTCGCTATGACTTCCACAGACACAGAAAACAAAACGAGGAAGAATTATGATCAATTTATTTGATCAGCTCAAGAAACTATATTTTTTCATGTAGTCAAATTTTAATATTTATTTTAGCAGACAATATGTGAGTAATTTCTTCTACTAATCATTTCTGCTATTTATAAAGTTTATGCTAAATATTTGATGTTTTATATATTCATATATTACTTTTTGGCACTTACTGAAAATGTCATCAGTTAGCTAATAATGTCTGCCAGAAAATCTTCCATATTTTTATGACATTATTTTATAAAAAGTAAAAAAGATATTTACATGTGACTTTACCAATCAAAAGTATGATATCAAATGGGTACATTCAGGAAATGAGTTAAGCTACTAAAGAGAGAAGATACTTATTTAATGCCAGTAATTAATTCAATATACAGAAAATGACTAAATTCCACAACTATTTACAACATTAAAATAATGTAAATTGTTACTTGTAAGTAATAGCAAAACATGTCGAATACTGGTGATTTCAAATGTGTTTGCTTTACATACTATTTTAACTAGGAATGACTTTACCTATAACTAAAATATGACTACTGAAGGTGAAACAACATAATTATCTAAACCTATATAGCAATACTATAAAGCAATATTAGATCCATGAATAAAGTAATTTGGCTCCTTGTGGGCAATTTTTTTATGACCTGTAGGAACACCTTATAAAGTAACCTAGAAAGAAAAATGTGATTCAATTCAATTGTATTTGACAATTAATAGAACACCTTGTCCAAAGTCTAGGCAGATAATTTCAGAGACGAAACTTTTCATAAAACCAAACCTAATCCTTTGCAAAAACTTTCAGAAATAAAAAGCAAGTATTTTCCAAAACTCTATCCGGGTGAATTTAACATAAAAGAGCTTAACTAGGTTTCAAGATGCAGAGCCAGAAGGATCATCGATGTAATCCAGTATGGAATTTATTACATACTTATATGTTCTTGATTAATCTATATAAGGGTTTTCCCATATACATATTATAAAATATTGAACAATTCATATGTTCCAATCAGTGTGAATAAGCTACCAATTTTGAAAAATTTGTAATCATGGTGAGACAAACTCTTAACTACTGCTAGTGGCAATACCTCTTGGTGTAATCCTTTTGGAGAGTAAGCTGACAAAACATTTAAAAAGACAGCCATGTTTGTTCCCACTAATTCAGTAATTTCAGCTTTGAGAATACTTCCACAGGAAATGATCAAAAACCAAACAAACAAAAATGAAAACTATATCATAACAGTGTTTATTGTTAATAAAACAGAAAATAGGAAGTAATTTAAATCCATACCAATCTGTAACTGGCTTAGATCACAGTATATCAATTTAAGAAACACAGCAGTCAAATGGAAAAGGACAAATATAGATATTATATACCTATATAGGAAAATATATGTGATATATAAGTGAAAACAGCATACTACTAAATTATATGTAGTTCTCGGCATGTGCAAAAACTAGAATGTAATTATGTAACTATATAAATTATATATGGGAAAAAAGATTGAATAATGCAATCTTTTTTTTTTTTTTTTAAGACAGGGTCTTACTCTGTCACCCAGTTTGGAGTGCAGTGCCACCATCATGGCTTACTGTTGCCTGGACTTCCAGGGCTCAAGCTATTCTCCTGCCTCAGCCTCCCAAGTAGCTGAGGCTATAGGCACAGGCCACTACACCTGGCTAATTTTATTTTATTTTATTTCTGCAGAGATGGTGGCTCACCATGTTGTCCAGGCTAGTCTCAAACCCTGGTCTCAAGCGATCTGCCCAGCCTCAGCCTCCCAAAGTGCGGGACTACAGGTATGAGCCACCATGCCTGGCAGCAATCTTTATTGAATAATACATTCGTGGGTAGGAACAGGGAGGACTGTTTTTACTCCAAGCATCATATAATGTTGTGGTGGGAGATGCATACTTGTCTCCTCAGACGTCTTCTGATTGCATACCACCTTTGTGCAAAGCAGAAGGTCCTGAAAGAAAATGAAACAGAAGCACAGAGAGATGCAGAGGCAAGAAACAGAGAGGTGCTGCTTGCCTTTCTAAAGGTGTTCTGATGCTTTACATGTGAGACCTGGCCTGTATGTCTACTCCTGGAGTCTGTGAAAAAGACAAAAGCAAAAACAAAACTCTTGTGTCCTTATTATAAATTCCTTTAGTTTGACTTAGACCAGTTTGAACTGGATTAAACCAAGAATCAAAACTAAGACAGTTTTAATAATTTCTTTTTCCTTTTTTTCTATTTATTTTATTTTATTTTTTTTTTAATTTTATTTTTGAGACAGTCTGGCTCTGTCGCCCAGGCTGGAGTGCAATGGTGCGATCTCGGCTCACTGCAACTTCCGCCTCCCGGGTTCAAGTGATTCTCCTGCCTCAGCCTCCCAAGTAGCTGGGATTACAGGCACCCATCACGACACCTGGCTAACTTTTGTATTTTTAGTAGAGTCGGGGGTTTTACCATGTTGGCCAGGCTGGTCTTGAACTCCTGACCTCAGGTGAGCCCCCTGCCTCGGGCTCCCAAAGAGCTGGGATTACAGGCATGAGCCACCACGCCCGGCCAGTTTTCATATTTCTATCACAATCTTTAACTTGTATTTTTTAAAAGAATCTGTACTCCACTGTACTCCAGCATGTGCAACAGAGCAAGACTGTCTCAAAAAAACAAAACAAAACAAAACATTTTTAATGGGGGACAAGATCCTCTATATTGATTTCACTATCTGCTAAGAGCCACAGTGGCCTAAGAAATTCCATGTACAACACAATCCACAACCTTTTGCTCCACAAATGACCCTTCTACTCTAGCTTAATTGGTCTTATTACCCACAGATATTCTCAGACCCATCTCAGGCCTAGAATTGCCTCCATCTCCTCTCTCTTCCTCAACTCCTTGCCTTTCTTCCAGGTAAGCACAGTTCATGGACTGAGTCAGTCCCAACGTCCCTGGCCATCAGGTAAGGTTCCCCCTCTGCCTCCCCAAGCACTAACTGGCTCTCCTGCCCTTTGAGCACCAAACTATTCAGCACTGAAGTGTCTCTTTTAATACAGGTCATGTGTGATGCTAGATTGTTTATTAAGTATCAGGAGGCCACGTGTTTCCAGAGCCAAACAGCATCCCACACTTAGGTTATCAATACATAGAAGAACTTTTAGTTCATTTCTTCAGTTACATCCCCTATTCTTCTTCACATGAAAATTTAAAAAGGGATCACAAATATTAGTCATCTGATTTATGATGCTTCAGAAGTTCTATTTTGCCAGAACCTTCTTTTTTAGCATCAACATTGTAATTATCTTTTCAGTTAGATTAGAAAGTCTGATTGGAGGGCCCCTTATATCATCAGCCACATCCCCCATCCCTGACACTCATTAAAGAAAGAAATGTCCCTTTCAGATTTGACCTGCATGCACAGAACTTCTTGCCCAAGGAGAAGAATATATCTGGGCAGTGGCCTGGGCGAGGGGGAGTAGCATGAGATGATGGGGGCTAACGAGGGAGGGTGGGAGGACAGAAGCCAGATCAAGTAGGGCCACGCAGGCCACGCCGAAGATTCTGGTAATGGGAAATGGCTAAAGGTCTAAGCAGGGAACAAACAATCCAACTTACATTTAAGACTACTCTGGCTGTCATCTGGAGCAGGGCTCCCCCACCCCTGGACCAGTATCATCCCTGGCCTGTTAAGAACCTGGCAGCACAGCAAGAGCGAGCATTACCACCTGAGCTCCACTTCCTGTCAGATCAGCGGCTTCCATCCACAGTGCAGGATGAGGCAGCCGCAGCCTCGGCGGGCCATCTATGTTCCTCCAAATGACATCCTTTAATTATCTTGATGGCCAAAGAACATTCCTTTGTGTATATATATCAGAGTTTCTTGATCCCTTCATCTGTGGATGGGCAGGAGATAAAGCTTTTTGGAGTCCACATGCCTGAGGTCACGCAGTGTGGGACTTGCTCCACCAGGCTCATTTTCTTGGACCTAATGTCCTCTGGGTTTCTCCATGTGGCTGCGAATGACAGGATTTCCCAAAGCTTTATGGCTGAAGCATACTCTGTGTGTATCTGTATGGCAGTTTCTCTATCCCTTCAGCTGTGGATGGACAGGGCTGCTGTACGTTTGGCCTGTGCCAATGGCCATGTGGAAGTGGGGACTCTCCTGGTGAACTGAAAATGCCACATTGACATTGGTGATAAACAAAATGGGATGCCTTTGAGGAGGCTGTACATTGCCAGGAAGAGATTTGTGGCATCGTTCTGCTGGAACGTGGATGTCTACAGCAACACTGCTCTCCACTATGCTGTCCTATAATGAGAGTACATTCCTGGTAGAAAAACTATTTTCCCATGATACGGATATTGAAGTGCTGAACAATGATGGAAACACACCACTTTTACTTGCTGCAGTTTGCAAAAGACAGCAAATGCTGGAATTTTTAGTGAAGAAACAAGCAAATGCACATGCTGTTGATAGGTTGAGAGGAACAGCCTTCACGCCTGCTGTACATTATGGCTCGTTAGGTATAGTTGGCATTCTTCAACAAAATATTACTGTCTTTATTCAAGATATGTATGGACAGACAGCAAACAATTATGCTATTTGTGGTGTTTTGACTAGCATTCAACAACAAATTTTGCAACATAAAAAAAAAGATACTTGAAAATGGTCTTCAAAATGACAATCCAGAAGCATCAAAGAATGCAAGTTTGAGAGAAGGAGGAGCAAGTGCAGAAGATTCAGGGAGTTCTGACAAATCTGCATTCAGCATTTTCAAACAACTGTGTGTTGATTCATGCCGTAAACTAGATGATGAAGACTTGACTTTTACTACCAAGCAGTATATCCCTGAGACTGCTTCAGAGTCTTTACTTGAACCTTCATATAAAAAAGAAAAAAAATATGGTAAAAGTAGAAGTGTCTCCTGTAAAACATCTTTCCTTGAAGCCTACCACCGAAATGGAAGAGTCTGTTGTGAAGAATGCAGTAAAAAGAAAGGACGTATAAACATCCAGAGCAGAACAAGACTTAGAAGTGACTTCAAAGGAAGAACAAGAAAGGCCTGAGAAAAGTGAAAATAAATAACCACAGGTTGAAGGAGGAAGAAGCACAAAAGTAAAAAAAAATATATATATATATATACAAGTATCAGAAAACCTATATAATAGTACATCTGCTGACGATGATGATGGATCAATGCAACAAAATCAAGGTGCGAAAACTTACCATCAGCAATTTCCCAGGAAAGAGAAAGACGAGTATGACAGGCCTGCGAAGAAAGCGTCAAAAGAAAAAGGTCAAAAAGCGAACACATTTAAGGATGGCCTTGATGACTTAATTTGGCCATCTGAACAATACAAAATTCTCTGAGAGAACTTCTTGTCTCATGGAGTTTACTTTTTAGGGTATTGAATTTAATTCCAGCTTTAGAAAGTTGTTCAGTAACTTATTGTTATCTTTTGCCTCAAAAAAAAGTGTGCCAAAGGACCTAAGCCAAACACAGCATCAGATAAAGGAAAGCAAGACTATGTAGACGAGTGGATATCTCAACTACAACATGAAAATCTGTAGCTTGAACAGCAACTAGATGGTGCTCATAAGAAAGGGGATAATGAACAAATAGTAATTAATATCCAAGGCTGCTGTTTCGAGAGTGAAAAAGAAGGTCTGCTAGAAGAGAAAAATAAAGAATTAATCAATGAATGCCATCATTTAAAAGACTGTTTCAGTATAAAAAACAGAAATCAGAAGGCGAAGTAAGTATCAAGAAAAATAAATATTTTCAAGCTCCTGGAGAGAAAATTTAAATATTTGGTTATGGTTACATGTTAAACCTAGTTGAATATAAAAATAAGTAGATGAAAAAGATGTTTACCATACTGTATAATTCCATTTACATGAAACATCTGGAACAGACAAATGTATAGAGACAGAAAGTAGATCAATGTTTGCATAGGGCTGGGGTGGAAATGTGTAGTGACTGCTAATGGGCATGAGGCATCTTCTTGGAGTGATGAAAATGTTCTAAAGTTGGACTGTAGTGATGGTTGCATGACTCAGTAAATTTACTAATAATCTTTGAACTGTATGTTAAAACAGATAAATTCTATAGTGTATAAATCATGTTTCAGTAAAGCTGTTTTAATAAAAAACCAAAAGCCAAAACCAAACAAACAAAAAGGAATGTTAAAGAAATCTCTGACAGGCCACAGTGTGCCATCAAAATTTTGTGACATGAATTATAAATTATGTAGTTTTTATTTTTTCTGAAGTAGCGATAATCTGAAGAAAAAAATTTAATGAGAATTTTCACACCAGAGCAAACCCAGAAATGATAAGTCAATGAAAATGAGCTTAAGGCAGAGTCCCTTGTGAAAAACAGAGCAATTGGCCATGCATGGTGACTCACGCCTGTAATCCCAGCACTTCGGGAGGCCAAGGTAGGTGGATCACTTGAGGTAAGGAGTTTGAGATCAGCCTGACCAACACGGCGAAACTCCGTCTCTACTAAAAATACAAAAAAATTAGCTGGGTGTGGTGTCGCATGCCTGTAGTCCTAGCTACTTGGGAGCCTGAGGCACAAGAATCGTTTGAACCTGGACAGCAGAGGTTGCAGTGAGCCGACATTGCACCACTGCACTGCAGCCTGGGCGAAAGAGACAGACTCCATCTCAATAAAAAACGAAACAAAACAAAACAAAAAAGAGCAATTAATAACAAACTGGAGGTCCAGCATTTCTTCTCATCCTTTTGTCTGGCCATTAGCTTTTGGGTTCTCAATAATGGAAGTTTTCTCTGAGTTCAGTTTCTCTGGGTCCAACTCAATGATCTCATATTCCTTTTGAAATGAGGCATATAGTCAAAAGCTCATTGCATGGGTTAGACATTGTTTTTTAACTGCAGAGAGAAAAAGAATAAGGGAAATTGATTCTAAAATCTTAAGCAATTGTTTTACTCAGAAAGTTCTAGGCCAGCTGGATGTGGTGTTGCACACCAGTGGTCCCAGCTACTTGGGAGGCTGAGGAAGGAGAATTGCTTGAACCCGGGAGGGGAGGTTGCAGTGAGCTGAGATAGCACCACAGCACTCCAGCCTGGACAACAGAGTGAGACTCTGTCTCAAAAAAAAAAAAAAAGAAAGAAAGAAAGAAAAAAGAAAGTTCTAATGTTTGAACTGTGCTGCTGCACTCTTCATCTTTCTGCAAGTCAGCTGGAATCCTGTATATTGCTGAGAATATCAAATCAAAATTGAGTAACAATAGGTTCAGTAATTTTTAAAAATTCCCTCAAATCAAATGTTGTGCAAAAATAGATGAACTTAAGGGAAATAATTTTAAGGTGAGCAAGGTACACTTCTCTTCCAGTACATTTTAATTTTAAAAGGAATCTTGGCTGGGCGCAGTGACTCACGCCTGTAATCCCAGCACTTTGGGAGGCCAAGGTGGGTGGATCATTTGAGGTCAGGAGTTCACCACCAGGCTGGCCAACATGGTGAAACCCTGTTTCTACTAAAAAAGTACAAAAAAATTAGCCGGGCATGGTGGCACATGCCTGTAATCCCAGCTACTCAGGAGGCTGAGGCAGGAGAATCGCTTGGACCCGGGAGGCGGAGGTTGCAGTGAGCCAAGATCACGCCGTTCGTTGCACTCCAGCCTGGGTGACAGAGTGAGACCCTGTCTCAAAAAAAAAACAAAAAACAAAAAAAACCACCACCAACAACAAAAACCTTTTAGTTCTTATTACACTTATGAGGAATAAACCCTTGGCACAGCTTGTTGCAAAACACTTATCCCTGGATATGTTTTATCCTGTATCTCCACATAGACATTTCAGTCTCACTGCAAGTCACCTTACCATTTTACTCGTTGGTTAAAACAAAATGAAAACACAAAAGGATGCAGATTAAATCTGCAAAATAAGAGATTACCAAAATAAATTACGTGTGAAAAGGTTACACTAAATCCTTTTTGTTGTTTTTGTCTTGAACATTCACTATTGAACTTGAACAAGCTTCTGCCACCACCGGCAGTTACAGCTAACATACTTTTGTAGATTTTCTATTCAAACCCATTTCTAAGTCACAGGCTATCTGGGCTATGAGCCGCATGTGCCCCAGGTGTAAATCAAATGAAGGCTTAATTACTGCCACTTTTGATGTGTATCTAATTCGACCTTCTACCCTCATTAGCAGAGGGCTGTGGCTCCACTTGGTTGTGGAGAGGTTTCCCAAAGCCACAGGGTGTCACGATAACTCAATTAGGGGTGAATAATTCAAGGACAGAGTGCTTTCTTCCAGGACCCTGACCCTCGCTTCCTGCCTGGAGTCCGGAGCTGCGTGGTTCGCGGGCTGGAAAGAAAATGTTAAAGCTCGGATCAGTGCGGATGCGAGAGACAGATGTCAGGTCCAGCCCGGAGCGGGAGGGAAGTCCAGCAGCCCCGCCCCGGCAGCAGGGCCAGGCCCGACTGTGGTTCCGACGCCGGTACCGGGCCGAGGCTTGCCTCCTCTCACCTGAACCAGGCTGGGTAGGGCCCGAGCACGGGGGCCTTGGTGTCCGTACCAGGAACCGCTTTAGCCAACCTGGGGCTGCCTTTAGAGCCCCTGCGGCTTCCACCTTCTCTCCCGAGGTTTGTGCGCCCTGGCTGGAAATGCTGCGTTGGGCGGCCAGGCCGGCCGTTTGCGCGCAAACCGAAACTCAGCTAAGGGCTGTTCCATGGCGCGCGCCTCGCACCTGCTTGCCCAGAAGGGAGCGCGCCCGTTTGCAGCAGGGCCCGTGCCCCGCCGTGCCCCGCCGTGCGCCTGTGTGGCTAAGACCCCTGCTGCGCGTGCGCGCGGGTGTGACCCGCGTCCGCGGAGTTTGTGACGTCCGGGAGACTGCATGTACCTTCAGCCGTCCTCCCTTCAAACGCACGTCGACACAGTGTCACCTCCTCAAGCCATAGGGTGCCGAGTCTAAAGCACAGGGCCGCCCCATGCCCCTCTCCCAAGGGCCGCTCTGTCTTGCTCCATCTCACTTCAGGGCCCCAGTCCCCACTGATCCAGGCCTGCCTGCGGGAGCTCTGTTATTGGCACCAGTGAAGAGCAGCACCGTGAGAGGATGGTTCCAGGGCATGGGAGAGGCCCCTGATCCCTAGGATGTTCTGGCGTCAAAAGGAAGACAGGACGCGAAGATAACAGATTGTCTAAGCAGCTGTGTTCTCTGGAAACAGGATCAGAATTGGGCAAACCACACCCCAGCTGGCATACCGAAAATTATTTCAAAACCCTATTAGATAAGCTGTGCGTTCCTTCAATGCGTTTACCGCAGCATAAACGCGCACTGCGAGCTGGCCATACCCAGCGAGAGGCGCAGAGTGCGCTGAAGGGGGGCGGGAGCGGCGCCGCGGGCGCGGTCCAGCAGTAGAGCCTTGGGAAGAGGTCGCCGGCCTGCGCGGCTCCCTCCTGGGGAAAAACTCCGGTCTCCTCAGCTCGCCCAGAGCCCAGGCCTGGCGGATGGAGCACTCTCCATAACCATCGCACGACCCCCACAGCTTCCCCGCCGCGCTCCGCCGCCGCCAGTGCCCCCAAGCCCGTTCCCTCCCCGGGGCGAAAGCCAACAGCACCCACTGGTCGCCTGCGGGCTGCGAGGGCGGCTTTCACCGCTGCGCGGCGCATCCAGCCTTGGGACGAGGCCCCTCTCGGCAAGGAATCTGAAGAGGTCCAGTGTTGGGACGGGGGACACGTGGTAGGGGCGCCCAGGGGCTCAGGTCTCCTGTCCCCGCCTCCCCGCTCTCCCCACGCGCAGGCAGGCCCGCGGGTGGAGCGCAGCTCTCTGGGAGAGCACGAGGGCCTTCGCCTGGCTTTGCAAATTCAGGAAGGAGAAGACCCAGGGCTCGAGGCCACTGCCGCGCGCCCTTCCCTGCCCATGATGATCCTCACGACAGTCCCCACCACCTTCGCCAACGCCCGCCGGCCCCTCAAGGAGAACGCGGTGACGTGGGGAGCGCACAGCAAGGACCAGGAGGACGGAGGCCTTTTCAGCAGCGACACTGAGGGCGACCCCGAGAAGGCAGAGATTGACCCGGAGGAGCATCCATCTCCACAAGACCAACACGCACCATGGCGACCACAGCCCATTCTCCCTGCGCACCCCCACACCTCGCCAGGCCTCTCTAATCTCAGCCGGGGTCCAAGTGAACTTGGCATCAGGAGCTGCGCCTGGGAACGCGCGGAGCTGCGGGCCGGGGCCTGGTCTCGGTCTCCGCGGAGCGCCCCTGACCACCGCGACGGGCGGCTGCGGTGGTGGTGGCGCAGGAAGGGGAGGCCTCGGGAAGCCACACAGTGGGACAGGGATCCCGGAGCGAGGAAGGCCCCCTCCGTCCAGCTGGAGCCCTTGCCGGCGTGGCGGCAGTGCAGTCCGTGGCTGCGCGGGAAAGCCGGCTGTGGCGGAGGCGCGGGCTGGGGACCCTGCGCGCCGGGGTGGCCCACGGGCAGCGGCGTAAGCAAAGCGGTGGGCGGGCCCTGCGGGCGCGAGGCTGCCCTAGGCAGCCACCAGATCTTGGACTTCCCCGCGTGGCTCACCCTGCAGGCCGCCCGCTGCAGCGCTGGGGCTAACCGGCGCCTGCAGCCAGGCTCTGGGACCTCCTTGGCCAGACCCAAGAGCGAGCCTTGGGGTTGAGCACGTTGGCGCTGCCAGCCGGGAGCCCTGGTTCCGGGTGAGGGCGGCAGGGGCGCATGTTCCTCAGTCCTGTCTTCGTCGCCCTCGTTGTTCTGGTCGCCATCGTGGGTGTTGGTCTTATGGAGATGCATGCTCTCCAGGTCAATCTCTGCCTTCTCGGGGTCGCCCTCAGTGTCGCTGTCGAAGAGGCCTCCGTGCTCCTGGTCCTTGCTGTGCGCGCCCCACTTCACCGTGCTCTACTTGAGGTGCCGGTGGGCGTTGGTGAAGCTGGTGGGGACTGGCGTGAGGGTCATCTTGGTGATGGTGGCCAGCATTCTCTCCTCGCCTTTGGTGGGGAAGGGGTTCTTGCGGTGCCCCTTGAGCCAGACCTTGAGAGTGCTTGTGCTCTCGCACGCGGCTTTCTCGGGTCACCTGGAGATCCCCTTACTCGAACTGGCCATAGGGACAATGAGCCGGTACAGTGTGGGCCGAGAAGGTGGCAGGGTGCACCCCAGGGTTGCCCTTGAGTTTATCCTGCGAGCCCTTCAGCCACAGGGCAGAGCCAGAGAGGAGAGAGAGGAGGGAGGTGGAGAGAGAGAAAAAGAGAGAGTAAGATATGAGTCCCCGAAGCCGAAGCTGGGAAAGTCAGGAGCACCCGCCTGTGGACTAGAGGGGGCCTCCCTGGCGCTTTGCAGGGGAGAGGGCCCTGTTCTGCTTCCTAGAGCAGGAAGCCCTCTCAGCCCACCCACCCGAGTCCACTGCTGTGGGAAAAGGGGAATCAGAACCACTAGCTGACTCCAAGAACTGCCCTTTCACTGACCATGGAGATCTTATTTTTTCCCCCCACTCTAGAAAAGTTCCAAAAACCACACCTCTCCAGAAGAGCATGCAGGAGTTCTGCTCCCTACGTGCTCCCTAGGCCACCCTTGGTCCCCATTAACAACATCTCAAGAGACCCATCTTTCCAAGTTTTTATCTTACACTAGGAGATGAAAAAAAGTTTTCAACTAGGGTGATAAAACTTGCAAGCCCCCACGCACCCCATGACCCCTCCCTCACCAAGCCAGAGGTTTGGCAGGAGAGCAAAAAGGCAGCCACATCTTTCAGCAGCTGTTCCTGGTTCCAAAACGTCATCTTGGCAGGACTCAGGGAAGTGAACCCCTGCCTGGAAGAGGAGCAGAGAAGCTTGAATGAGGCAGAAGGGAGGCAGGGGGTGGTAAGACAGATGCTGTCTGGGGCTGGCAGGCGCCACACTCACATGGCTGGACAGGCACACCAGCACCGAGGGCCAAAGATGCTCCCCCAAAGAGGCTCTGTCTCACCCCACCGGGCTCCAGTGCCAACCAGCCCCCACCAGTTGCCTGATAAGATGTCCAGGTTGGAGGGCCTTCTGTGGAAGGCCAGGCTGCTGATGGAGCTGACTCCCTTGCACACGTTGAGGATCACTTCCTGGTGTCGAGGGTCTACTGTGGGGACAGGGCACATTGGGAGGTGGCCCACCTCCACCATTGGAGGAGTGGCTGCGTGAATCTCACCCCACAGCTCCCTGTGGAGGCATCTCCCTGCCTCTCTCAGAGGCTGGGTCATGAGCGATGACTGACAGTGACCAGCTGCCAGGACAGGCTGGGTGCTCTCCCCTGGCATCCAGAGCAACCCCACCTGTGCTGTCCTCTGCAGCAATGCTCTCAGCCAGCCCCTTCCCCTTGGCCCGGCTGCTAGCACTTCTGCCCTTCTCAATTCCTGCCTTGTGTCCCAGAGGGTCTTCAAGCTAAGACTCCAAGGAAGGAAGAGTGCTATTTTCCAGGGAGGTAGGGTGCTCCAGCCTGCTGGCTTTCTGCTGCATCAGGCTGCAGGGCAGCAGCTTCATGAAGAGGAGGCACTTGGAGTACACCAGACAGGGTGGAGCAGGAGATGGTAGAGGGGGATTCGGAAGCTTTGCTGGCCTGGCAGCGTCCTGGCCTGCTGTGGCTGAGGAATGTGGGGCTGCACAACCTGCAGGCATGGGGACATATCCTGCCCAGTGTGCACTTGCATGGGCGTGCACACACCCAACAGCATCAGGTCACAGCAAAACCCAACATCTACCCAGCCAGGAAGAAGACAGCTATAGTATGAAGGGGGCAGAGAGGGGCTCCCCATTCAGGCTGGGGCTCTCAACAGTGACAGGAATGCCACTGGCATTTGAGAAAGAGTTATTTCTGGCTTGGGACATTTGACATGGCCAACTCCTAAGCATGAAACACCAGTGGCACCAACACCCAGTGTCCCACCTGCCCACCCTTGACATGGTGATATTCACAGCCACCCAGTAGATTTCCACGTGCTCCTTAAGGGAACAGTACTGCCTCAGCTGGGTCACTGGTTTGGCTGCTCTCTAGTTTGCAACCAACGTAGATCTCTGCATTTGGGAGACTGACCACAGGGTGGGTGGGAGATGGGAAGGGGGCTCTAGTGAGTGTGGCTTCTTCGCTTTCCAAAGCTTCTCTCTTCAAGGATCCAGCCCCAGGACAACCCAGTGTGGCCATGCTCTCTGGCAGGATGTAGCCTGCTCTAGCTATAGCCTCCCAGGGCTGCTCCTCACCAGTGCTCTACCAAGCCACTCACTTGCTCCTGGTGCAGGCAGCAGAGCCCCTGCCGGTGGGCATGGGGGAAGCTGGCACAGCATCTGCGTACTGGGCACGGGCAGGAAGCTGTGGTCAGGGGAAGATGCACAGCAGGAGGAGGGTATACTGGTGCCTGTTTTGCCAGTGACACCCACCAAGAAGCAGAGCTCTACCTCCTCATCTCAATAATTGAATACACAGTGCCTCAGAATCTTGAGGTCTAACTTGAGTGACCCAGCAGCTCCAGGTACTGTGGCTGTGACGCCACCCTCTTGCCAAAGTCAGTGGAACCATAGATGAAGCTCTGCTTCTGGTTCCACTCCAAGATGCCGGGAAGATGATGGACTGGGCCATGACCTGGTAGCCACAGTTATTCACCATCACTGTGCCCAGCGTGCACAGCCCCTCCAGATGCACCACCTTGTATGTGTGCGTGCCATTCAGGTGGGTGGTGGGTGCTATGGAGGCCACCACATCCCTGCCAAAATCCTTACAGTAGTACTAGATGTCAAAGCCCAAGCTGGAGAAAATGTCATGGCAACCCCAATCCCCTAGCAAGTGACAAGCCCCATCACGTTGTGAAAACCTGCCTGACTCTTACAACAGAGCAGACAGGAGCAGGAGGGGCAGAAGTGGATCAGCTTTCAAGAAGCAGCAAGAGGGAGGGCGGGTGGGAGGAACCTCCCCCACTGGGTCCCTGAGAAAAGCTATGCTGGCTGCCAAGACCGGAGTGAGGGGAGAAGCAGGAAGGGCTTCCGCCCAATGTGCAGCAGCAGTTTTGAGCTGAGATCCCAGAAGCCGGGAGCCAGAGATCTGGACCTAGATGGGCAGCCTGTCCTTGGCATGTCTGGGATGGGAGGCATGGGGGAGGGGAGGGAAGACAAGGAAAGGTAGCCCCCGTTCTTCCTCCCCAGCCCAGGGAACCCTCCACCCCCATGGGTAAGATTTCAAAGTAATATGGCTGGTCCCCCAGGGACCTCCTATCACCGAGACATCCTGTCCTGCCCCTCCTTCTTCCTCCAAAGAACCCTGAACGTCTTCCTATCTCTGGATGAAAGCCAAGTGACCTCCCCAGCAAGAGGGTAGCCAACTGGTTCACGAGGCTCCCACTGCCCACCTGGCGCCACCCTCTCCTGGACTCTGGAGTCTCAGGATGGCCATGGTAGCGAAGTAGCCAGCTTTCTGGCCCAGGCCTGGCACTGCCTGTGTCCATCATTCCAGTCTCTGCCACTACCCTTGCCCTAATGCAGTCGTTGGTCCCCGGGCTGGAGCTCGAGCTGACTTTGTGTTTCAGTGGGACCAGGCCTGCTGGGGTGGCCCCAGGAAGGGTGCACTCCCCGTGACTTGCATCTAACTCTAGGTTGGCCCAAAGGACAGCTGTGGGCCAGGAGGCCTCAGTGGCTCCAGGATACCAGGGGGACCTGCTCCCTGCACTCAGGCCCACCTGCCTATAGCCTCAGAAAGGGGGCTGCTGCTGGTAAGGATGCTGGAAGGTAGGAGAGCCCAGCATTTGGGGTACATGGACCTGCAAAGATCGAGGGCCTAGGAGATTGGCTGACAGGGGCAGGCCCAGCAAGGGGGTCCTCTCCTCAGCTCCCACCCCAGGGGGACGGGCAGCTGCTTTGGCCAGCTGCTGGCAACAGCTGGTGCAGACCCAGTCCAAGGCCACGAGGCGCTACCCCAGTCCACCAGTCTCAGACACTGAGTGCCTTGTCTGCTTCCTGGGCTAAATGGCTGGCTGGGGCCTCTGGCTCCTGCTGCCCCCTGTAGGTGGCCCAGCAGGCACCTCCTTCCCGTGAGTCACTCATTCTGGTGGGAGGGAGGGAGATAGACACCCCCACCCCGTCTCCCAGAGGACAACTGCCCCCGTGCCCCAGTCCTCTGAACTCCACTAAGAAGCTGGCAGGCTCTACCTTTCCATCCTCACAGCCCCTGCCCTGCCAGGATGGAATCAAGTCTCTCCAGGGGGAACAGAGCTGGCAGCAAGAGGCTGAGGGCTGTGTGGCTGGGGGGAAGGAGCATGCCCAGCTCGCCAGGGTGTCTCCCCAGGGCCTCTGCCATGTGGTCAGGGCCCAGTCAGGACGGCTCCGCTTCCACCCTCACCAGGGTGAGAGGAGCCAGGCTCTCCCTCCGTCCCCGCCCCTTCAGGCCCAGGGACCCAGGCAGAACCTGTGTTTCTACATAGCTCCATGCAGGGTTCTGGACCTCACACAA
This sequence comes from Homo sapiens, assembly GCF_000001405.40. NCBI lineage: Eukaryota > Metazoa > Chordata > Mammalia > Primates > Hominidae > Homo > Homo sapiens. The sequence goes on along the minus strand of NC_000013.11, from coordinate 24,740,992 downwards.
CGATCATAGGGAAGAAGGGCCAGGCCTAGGCAGAACCCCTCTCCCAACCCCTCCCCAAACACACCCTCACCTTACAGAGAGAGAAGCGGCACAGGACGGCCAGACAGTGACCCAGAAGAGTATTGACAACCGCCCCCATTCTGGTTACCCTACAGTCAATATCACACTAGGCCCAGCCCATAGCTGGTCCCTAAATCGGCTCGACCACCCCATCTCACCCAAGGAAATGGGCTCCACAGGGCAGGGAAGCAGCTGCCCAAGGTCACAGAGGCGAGGGGCAGCCAAGCCAGGTCAAGAAACATTCAGATATGTCCGATGGCCAAGCCCATGCCTTTGAGTGCCACCCCCACTGAGCACAGGCCAGGCGGTCCTGCTCCCTGGGACCAGGCTGCAGCACCCAAATGTCAGCAGAACCCCCTTCCTCCTCCAGGCCTCAGGACCTGCCCAGGGGCAGATCTAGCCCAGTCATAGGACCTGCAGAAACCTCTACGCCTTGGGCCAGTACCCCCTCCTCTCATGTTCCAGGGCCACCTCTGAGGATCTGAGCTTTAAGGAAAGGGAAAAAGGAGATCCTCTCTGGAGAACAGGCCAGGGCTGCCCTCGTAGCACTCTGCACACATGCAGCTTGAACACGTGCCTCCCCAGCCTTAATGAAAGAAATTAGGGTGAAGAGATGAAGCACACCCTTGTCCTGGCCTGGGAGCACAGAAAGCCCACACAACAGACAGGAGCGAGAAAAGACACTTACGCCACCCCAGGTGGCCTGTGTGCCTCCCCAGCTTGGCATGGACCCACTTGGGAGACTATGCCAGGGCCAGGCCGCACCCCAGCCCAGGCCTCAGCAGGTGAAGCCCCAGCAGGAAGTAGGGCCCCAAAAGGCACATCACTCCATCCCATCACAGCAACCCAGAGCTTCAAGAAAAGAGGATGAGGCAAGCAGGCAGCCTGTGGAAGCCCCAAAAGAGGTGGGCACCTCTGTTTGCCTCCTCCCTGTCCCACCCAGGCCAGAGGCAGGTCTTCAGGGCCAGAGGATCACCTAGAGCTCCTCTAGTTACTCTCCCCAGATCTCATCCCAGAGAGCTTCAGCATCCTGTTGGGGAGCTCCCTGAAGCCCCCCACATCTGCCAGCCCCCTTCTCTTCCCCTCTGGGCCTCAGCTCTAGGGAGCCTTCCCCTAGGCAGAAGGAACTGGACACTCCCCTGTGAACTCAGAAATGCTTGCCTGTTCTCTTAACCCCTACCAGCTGCTTTATTCCTAAGAAGGTAACTGACCCTTGCCCCACCCCCAGTGGCTTTCATCGTCTCATCCTTGAGCGGACTGAAGAGTTTTATAGAGCCGGGTCCTGGGATCAGGAGCCTCACTTTAGGTGCTCAGGCGGGATCATGCTGAGGATCTTAATTAGGGCTTCCTTCAATAGATCCAGGACTGCTGTAATGGAAGCCCCAGCCATCTACACCAGCTTCCCAGGGACATGAGGCTGATGTCCTACCCACTAGTATGCTCCCAGTTTCCCCCAAATGAACAGCTGTGCCTTCCCCTGACCCAGTTCACCCCAGATAGAGGCCCTCAGTTGAGAAGGAGCTTCACTGATGCTGTCCCAGAAATTCTCCAACAGACTCTGCACAGCCCCTCATTCTCAGCATGAGATTCAGAACAACACACCAGTCCCCGTTTCCTCCGGGCCAGACCAGGCAGCTTTGGCTTGCCGGCCATGAGGTGGAAATCCAAGTGCTCCCCTAAGCAACTTGGTCATGGTGTGACCTTGGGCAAGTTGCTTCAACTCTTTTTTTTTTTTTGAGACAGAGTCTCACTCTGTCGCCCAGGCTGGAGTGCAGTGGTGCCATCTCGGCTCACTGCAAGCTCTGCCTTCCAGGTTCACACCATTCTCCTGCCTCAGCCTGCCAAGTAGCTGGGACTATAGGTGCCCGCCACCACGCCCGGCTAATTTTTTGTATTTTTAGTAGAGACGGGGTTTCACCGTGTTAGCCAGGATGGTCTCGATCTCCTGACCTCGTGATCCGCCCGCCTTGGCCTCCCAAAGTGCTGGGATTACAGGCTTGAGCCACCGCGCACGGCCTACTTCAACTCTTTCCCCCAATCTTTGCTAGGGGGAAGTCAGCCAGCCCCAATCTCCTCCTATCTAACCTGCCCCACTGACTCAGAAGCACAGCAGCACAAAGCCTGGTAGGTGGAGGCTGCCAACATTTGTTGCTCTGCCCAAACCTTGGCCTTGGTTAGGTCATCAGCAGAGCTGCCCTAGTACCTGTCTGTCACAACAAGTTAACTCCTCTGTGATGCGGACGTGGTCAGAGAGCCCCCCTAACACTGTCGCCATCCTGATTCCCAAGGCAGCCCTGGCCTGCTCACTGAAGCTGGGGAGAGAGGATGATGACAAGCTAAGACCACAAATCTCTCCTGAGGGAGTCAGGGGAGCAGGAGATGTGGGTGGTGCTGAGCTCCCACTGCCTCCCAGGGCAGAGAGGACCGCAGTCCAGTCCTCAACCTGTGCGAAAGGTTTGGGGAAATGACAACTGAGGTAGGTCTAGGAAGGGGCTTCTAGTCCCAAGGCCAGAGTCTGAGACATGATGGAGGGAACAGGGAGAACAGAAGGGGCCTGGGAGAAATGGAGAGAAGGCCCCACACATGCAAGCCATGGTGAGACCGAAGACAGGAGATGCCATCAGATACTGGGTTGGATGAAGCAAGAACCACAGGCCCCTGGCAGCAGGTTTTTCAGACAGGGCTTTCTCCCAGCACTGGGCCTGGCCCTGCCCTGGGGACATTTACATTTAACCTTGTGTATAAGATTATATTCATTTATAAGTTATATATATATATTTTATATATATACATTTTATATGTATATATTTTATATATATACATTATATATATATTTTATATAGATACATTATATATATTTTTATATAGATATATTATATATATATTTTATATAGATACATTATATATATATATTTTATATAGATATATTTTATATATATTATATATATTATATATATTTTATATATATATTTTATATATATTATATATATATTTTATAAATATATTTTATATATATATTATATATATTTATATATATTTTATAAATATTTTATATATATACTATATATATAATATATATATTATATATTATATATATATTATATATATTATATATATATTATATATAATATATATATTATATATAATATATATATTTTATATATAATATATATATTTTATATATAATATATATATTTTATATATATATAAAATTCACAAGTAGAAACAACATAATGACAATTATTTTAGAATTTTGGATTTTTATGATCTTCCTGGCCCCTGGTCCTTTGAGCAGGCAGCCTGAGATTTCAAAAAGGAGACAGTCTTCTAAGAAATAAAATGTGAACCATATGTGTATTTTAAATTTTCTAATAGCCACATATTAAAGAAACAGGTGAAATTGATTGTAATAATTTATTTGACCCAATATAGCCAAAATATGATCATTTTAATATGAGACCAGTATATAATTGTTAATAAAGTGTATAAGTTTTGGTACTAATTTTGGCAACTCTCTGGATTTTTAAGTTTCCAGCACACGTCAGTGCAAAGCAGCTTATTCCAGGTGCCCAGCAGCCCCACGTGGCCAGTGGCCACCACACTGAAGCGCAGCTCGGAGGACTCTGACTGCCCTGAGCTGAGGGAGGTGACGGGTCTGAAACACTCTTTTCTGCCAGAAGTTAGGGGACACCTCCTCCCTCCCAACAGCTCTCTTCAGGCCCAAGAGTGAGAGATGGTGCCTCTAGAGGGCAGGGGCTACAAGAACAAAGTGTCCACAGGTTTCCCTGCTGCCCACCTGCTGCCCATCGTCTTTCCAGAGATCAGAAAATGAACAAAGGATGATGGGGCCCCCAAAAGGAGGAAACCCAGTGTCTTCAGATCTGTCCACAGCCTTGACCTACGAAGTTTAGATATGGAGGGAATAGATTAAAGGCACACTTACTTTGCTATTTGGCCTTGACCCTAACGGTCAGGCTGTGTACATTTGTTTCCTCACATGCTGTGGAGGACTGCGTAGTTTAAGCACCAATTACATGCAGACATGTCTACATGCATTTCTGTGTAACTCGATGCCATCAAGCAAGAGGCCCAACTTTAAATAAGAGGAAAAGAAAATCAGCAACTGTAGGGTGTCTTCTGTTTGCAGGTAACTTGTAATCAACCTGTCCTTGAATCCTAGCATCCTATCTGCACTGGGTGCATGTATTATTTAGCTATTGCTGCATAACAAATCACCCAAAACTTATTCACTCATGATTGAGCTGTTCAGCCATTTGGGCTGGGCTCAGCTGGGCCATTCTTCTGGACCCAGCTGGGCCCCTTTGGACATGTGTGCTTAACTTTTGGTTGACTAGGCATCTCTGCTTCTGGGGGTGAGTTGGCTGTCAACTGTGGCACTTTGCTTCTCATGGTTTCTCGTCCTCCAACAGGCTAGCACAGACTTGCTCTTATGGAAATGGTAGAATTCTGAAAGAAAAACAAAGCATTCAAGAACTTTTGAGCCTAAGCCCCAAGCTGGCACACTGTTATGTTTGCAGTCTTCTATTGGCCACAGCAAATAAGGCCAGCTGAGATCCAAGGTTTGGGAAACAGAGTCTGCTTCTTAATGAGAACATCTGTACAAGCACACTGCAAAGGGTCTGGATACAGGGAAGGATGATGAATTGATGCCATTTTTGCAATCAGTATCACTATGCATTTTCTTGCAGGTGAGGTTTATATAAGTGTTTCAAGTCAGGGAACTTGTCCAAAGCCCCACAGCAACTAAGAGGCTGGACAGGGACTCAGGACCAAGTCGGCCTGACGTCGACGCCCATGACTTCCATAGCCCACACTACTCATGCAGCTTCCGTAAATTTTTGAAGTCCTGGAGGGTGACTCTTCTGCAGTTTAAGCAAGAATCCCATGGGATTCTCATCCATCTAGTACTCTTCACCATTTGCAATATTTCCCTCCAGAGAATGTTTCTGAAGTGTCTTGGGAAAAGTTGGAATAATTTGGGGAAATGGCGGAGGGCCATTTAGGAAATCAAGGCCCAATATTATATTTTTCATTCCTCATCATAGGAGAAATTTGAAAGCATGATAATGCACTCCACATGTGTGCAAATCCTTTTTTTTTTTTTGAGATGGAGTCTCACTCTGTTGCCCAGGCTGGAGGGCAGTGGCGCGATCTCAGCTCACTGCAACCTCCGCCTCCCAGGTTCATGCCATTCTCCTGCCTCAGCCTCCTGAGTAGCTATGAGTAGCTGGGACTACAGGTGCCCACCACCACGCCTGGCTAATTTTTTTGTATTTTTAGTAGAGATGGGGTTTCACCATGTTAGCCAGGGTGGTCTCGATCTCCTGACCTCATGATCAGCCCGTCTTGGCCTCCCAAAGTGCTGGGATCACAGGCATGAGCCATCGCAGCCGGCCAAAGTATTATGTGCAAATTCTTTTGATCTCTTTTTGGTATTTGTAGACTATTTATGATTGTCTTTTCTTTTTTTTTTTCTGAGACAGAGTCTTGCTCTGTTGCCCAGGCTGGAGTGTAGTGGCTCAATCTTGGATCACTGCAACCTCTACCTCCCAGGTTCAAGCAATTCTCCTGCCTCAGCCTCCTGAGTAGCTGGCATTATAGGCACATGCCACCACACCCAGCTAATTTTTGTATTCTTAGTAGAGATGGGGTTTCACCAGGTTGGCCAGGCTGGTCTCGAACTCTTGACCTCGTGATCCACCCACCTCAGCACGCCTGTTTATGATTTTCATCATAAACTACTGTGCCAGAGACAACCTCTTACTCAGAACGCAAGTGACATAAAGATAGATCTGCTGGGAGACACTTCCTCCTGCTGCCACTGAACCACACAGTTGAGTACATCTTGAAGTTGTTCTCTAATTTTTAACACAGCAAAGCTTTTTTCCAAAAATCCAAATGCAGCAATGGCCATGGGGCAAATTGCTACAGCACACATGGAAATGAGGCACAGCTAATGCACCTCTCACCATGAACCAGTAGTTCTCACCTCTGGCTGCACATTAGGATCACATGGGGGCTTTTAAAAATCCCCCTAAACCCAAGTTGCAACAGACCAATGAACCCAGAATTCCTGGAGTGAAACCAGGACATCAGTATTGTTAAAAGCTCCCCAGGAATGGAGAGGGGTGGTGGTTCACACCTCTAATTTCAGCACTTTTGGTGGCTGAGGTGGAGGATACTTTGAGCCCAGGAGTTGGAGGATGTAGTGAGCTATGATTACGACACTGCACTCCAGCCTGGGTGATGGTGACAGAGCCAGATTTCATCTTAAAAATAAATAAATAAATAAACAACAGCTTTCCATAGTGTGCAGCCAGTCCTCAAAACTGCTGCTTTAAACCAACATTTTTTGGTAAACTCTTTGCAAGTGTTTCTCAAATGAATGTAAAAACATTTGCTGCTGAGTTGCGGCCTTTCAATCTTCCTTGCATTACCTATTTACTTCTCTTGGAAGGAACTGACCTCTACTTCCTGTTTTGTCCCAAATCTAACCCAGATTTACAAGTTTCCCAGGGCACTGTGCTAGGTGCCAGGGCCTTGGTGAGCAGCACGGTTGGGGGAGGACTTTGCTGAAAAAAAGTGCATCATGAAAAATAAAAACCATGCCACTTACCAAGGGTTAGGACATGAATAAATATCTCAAAATATTAAAAGTCATCTGATAATGCCATGAGTGAACATATCCTGTTTTAAAACAAACAACAGTGCTGCCATTGTTCTGAGATGCTGTTAGGATTTTTGTGTTTAAATGTAATATTTAAAATTGTTATTGATATTGTAACATGCATACAGAAATGCATGCACAAAGCATTCATGTAAAGCTCAGTGCGTTATTACAAAGTGGATAAACTTGTGTGACCAAGGAATAGAATCAGCCTCTATCATGCCTGAAAATCACTTTTTCTTGCCCTCCCCTGAAAAGATAACCAAAATTTTAAGAACATTGTAGATAACTTGTCTTTTTAGACCAGTGTTTTATTATAGAAAATTTTAAACACAAAGTAGACAAAATAGTATAATAGACCCGTCACCCAGCCTCAAAAACTACTATTCATGTGCCTTTTTTATTTCATCTATACTTCAACCCATTTTCCATCCCATCATTTCTTTTAGTTCTTTTTTTTAAAAAATGAGCTCAAATGTACACATATTCATAGGCACAAAAATTAACTGTATATTTTTGACAATTAAATACACCCATATAACCTTCACCCATTTTAAGAATAGAATAATTAGGCAGGGCACGGTGGCTCATGCCTGTAACCTCAGCACTTTGGGAGGCCAAAGTGGGTGGATCACCTGAAGTCCGGAGTTCGAGACCAGCCTGACCAACATGGCAAAATTCCGTCTCTACTAAAAATACAAAAATTGGCCACTTGTAGTGGCGGGTGCCTATAATCTCAGCTACTCAGGAGGCTGAGGCAGGAGAATTGCTTGAACCCAGGAGACAGAGGTTGCAGTGAGCTGAAATTTTGCCATTGCACTAAGAATAGAATAATTTTGGCTGGGCGCGGGGGCTCACGCCTGTAATCCTAGCACTTTGGGAGGCCAAGGTGGGTGGATCATGAGGTCAGGAGATCGAGACCATCCTGGCTAACATGATGAAACAACGTCTCTACTAAAAATACGAAAAATTAGCTGGGCGTGGGGGCGGGCGCCTGTAATCCCAGCTACTCGGGAGGCTGAGGCAGGAGAATGGCGTGAACCCGGGAGGCAGAGCTTGCAGTGAGCCGAGATCATGCCACTGTACTCCAGCCCGGGCTACAGAGCGAGACTCCATCTCAAAAAAAGAATAGAATAATTCCATTATCCCCAGGAATTTTCTCATATTCCTTCCCAGGCAAATTTTTCTTTCCCCAGGGGTTATTTTTATTCTGACTTTTTTCACCATAGGTTCATTTTGCCTGAAATCACACAATATGTATTATTTGGTGTCCAGCTTGTCTCATGTAGCAAGTTTAGGAGATTCGTCTATGGTGTGTTCTTCAGTAGTTTGTTCCTTTCTGTGGTTGAAGAGTCTTCTGTTGCATGAATGCTCTACAGTTTGTTCATCTGTTTTCCTAGTGATGAACATTTTGTTTGTTTGTTTGTTTTACTTTTATTTTAAGTTCAGGGGTACATGTGCAGGTTTGTTACGTAGGTAAATGTATGTCATGGGGGTCTGTTATACAAAATACATATAATATTTTGCCTAACCCTCTCCCTCAATGCACCTCCACCCTCCACTAGGTCCGAGTGTATGTTGTTCCCCTCTATGTGTCCATGTGTTCTCATCATTTAGCTCCCACTTATAAGTAAGAACATGCGGTATTTGGTTTTCTGTTCCTATGTTAGTTTGCTAAGGATAATGGCTTCCAGCTCCATCCATGTCCCTGGAAAGGACACGATCTCATTCTTTTTTTATGGCTGCATAGTATTCCATGGTGTATATATACTGCATTTTCTTTATCCACTCTATCATTGATGGGCATTTAGGTTGATTCTATGTCTTTGCTATTGTGAATAGTACTAGATTGAACATACATGTGCATGTGTGCTCATAATAGAATGATTTATATTCCTTTGGGTAGATACCCAATGGGATTGCTGGGTTGAATGGTATTTCTGTCTTTGGGTCTTTGAGGAATTGCCACACTGTCTTCCATAATGTGTTGCAGGAAGTCATGGACCCCAAACGGCAGGACCGGCTGGAGCCACAGCAGAGGATCATAAATTGTGAAGATTTCATGGACATTTATCAGTTCCCAAATAATACTTTCATAATTTCTTATGCCTGTCTTTATTTTAATCTCTTAATCCTGTTATCTTTGTAAACTAAGGTTGTACATCACCTCAGGACCACTGTGATAATTTTGTTAACTGTACAAATTGATTGTAAAACATGTGTGTTTGAACAATAGGAAATCAGTGCACCTTGAGAAAGAACAGAATAACAGTGATTTTTAGGGAACAAGGAAAGACAACCATAAGGTCTGACTGCCTGCGGGGTCAGGTAAAAAGAGCCATATTTTTCTTATTGCAGAGAGCCTATAAACTGACGTGCAAATAGGAGAGATATTGCTAAATTCTTTTCCTAGCAAGGAATATTAATATTAACACCCTGGGAAAGGAATGCATTCCTCGCGGGAGGTCTATAAATGGCTGCTCTGGGAATGTCTGTCTTATGCAGTTGAGATAAGGACTGAGATATGCCCTGGTCTCCTGCAGTACCCTCAGGCTTACTAGGGTGGGGAAAAACTCTGCCCTGGTAAATTTGTGGTCACACTGTTTCTCTGCTCTCGAACCCTGTTTTCTGTTATTTAAGATGTTTATCAAGACAATATGTGCACTGCTGAACATAGACCCTTATCAGTAGTTCTGCTTTTGCCCTTTGTCCTGTTCCCTCAGAAGCATGTGATCTTTGTTAGACCCTTACTAGCAGTTCTGCTTTTTGCCTTTTGAAGCATGTGATCTTTGTACCTACTCCCTGTTCTTACACCCCCTCCCCTTTTGAAACCCTTAATAAAAACTTGCTGGTCTGAGACTCAGGCAGGCATCATGGTCCTACTGATAGGTGATGTCACCCCTGGTGGCCCAGCTGTAAAATTCCTCTCTTTGTACTGTCTCTCTTTATTTCTCAGCCGGCCGACACTTACGGAAAATAGAAAGAACCTACGTTGAAATATTGGGGGCAGCTTCCCCCAATAATAGTAGTTGAACTAATTTACATTCCCACAAGTGTTCCCTTTTTTCCCAGAACCTCAACAGCATCTGCAATTTTTTGACTATTTAATAATAGTCATTCTGTCTGGAGTGAGATGGTGTCTCATTGTGGTTTTGATTTGCATTTCTCTAATGGTTAGTGATGTTGAGCATTTTTTCATATACTTGTTAGCCACATGCATGTCTTCTTTTGGAAAGTGTCTATTCATGTCTCTTGCCTACTCCCTTCCACCCTCATTTTGTACCACTTCTCTTTACCCTGTTCCAGATATGCTAGCTCTCTTTCAGTTGTATAAGTAGGTCAAGCTCTTTCTAGCCTCAGAATCTTCTGCCTAGAACTCTTTTCCCTGTGCTACTTAAAAAAATACTATCAAATATTTTAGCCACACAAAAAAGAATAAAGAAGTATCTGTGCCCATGTACCTTCCAACCAATTTAATAAATAACCTAGTTTTATTAATAAATCTAGATTTATTCACGTGTTGGCCGATTCTTTATTCTTCCTTGTGTTTCATATCTTCTTTCTACAGTAATTTTTGTTCTTCAAGGACATTCTGAAGAAGTGCCTTTAGCTGAGGGTATGCTATTGGTGAATGATGTCAGTTTTTAATTGGATAAAAATGTATTTTTATCTCACCCTCATTCTCGAGTAATTGTTTAGTAATATAAAAGTCTAGGCTGACAGGTTTTTTTTTGTTTTTCTAAATTTGAAAATATAATTTTATTGATTTCTGACTTCTATTACTGCTATCGAGAAATTTTCTTACAGTCAAATTGTCTTTCCATATAGGTAAGTTATTATTTTTCTTTGGTATTATATACATTCATTATAATATTAAGGTGTAGATATTCATTTACCCTGCTTGGGATTGATTATAATTCTTGGATTTGAGCATTCTTGTCTTATTGGTCTGGGAAATTGTTAGTCATTTGTCTCTTTAAATTTTACCTCTTCCTTGTCATTTTCTTCTAGAACTGCTATTAGGCAGTAAATTGGACCTTCTCACTCTACACTTTGTTTCTGTTAACCTCTGTTTTATATTTTCCATTTCTTTCTCTCTCTGTGCTGCATTCTGAATAATTTTTTCAAATATATATTTCAGTTAATTAATTTTCTCTTTAATGTATTTTGTAATTTTAGATTATAAACTCATGTTTGAAAGGGTTGACTTGTGGGAATACTGTGAGGCCTGTATTAAGGGTACATTTCTCCAGATTTTGTTTTTGTTTTGTTAAGGTGCTCCAAGGCACTGTGAGTCTAGGGCTACTATAATTTCTTGGCTTGTATTTTCCTGGACTACTTGAAGATCATTATATTGAATCCTAAGCCCACCCGAGGGCAGGTGTGCTTAGATTATCAGGGGAGTTTTCTGGGTTTTTTCTGCACTCAAATGTATACAAGATAGAAAACTTTTTTGCTTTTTAGCCTCCCTGTTCACTCCCACCTGCAGTATATGAATCTTTTATGAAAATACTTAGAAAAACACTTGACAGCTGTTTTTTTGTTTTTTTTTTTTTGTCTTATTTTTGCTAACTCATTGAAGGCACTATGAGAGCTCCTTGTGGCTTTAGTTTGCATTTCTCTAATGACTAAGGAACCTAACATCTTTTTCATGTTTATTGGTAATTTAGGCTTTTGTATTATTACTTGCCTTTTGGGTTGTCTCTTACAGTTTTGTAGCTATTATTTATTTATTTTAGATCCCATTGCAAATATACTCTTCCAGGCTATGACTTGCTTTTTAACTTTGTTTATATCTCTTATTGTCGAAAGATGTTTTATTTTTCTATGGTATTTTCATTAAGATTTACGATTTTCAAGTATGGTTTGAGAAATCCTTTCTGATTCATTGTATTTATTTTCCATAATTTGTTTTGTATTCCATTCCATGTTTATTCCATAAATATCTTCCATATTTGTTCTCTTCCATAAGCTTTGTTGCCTTCTTTTCCTGTTTAAAATTCAGCTTTGTTGTTGTTAGTATTTTTGCAGGAGTGGGGTGCTGTTGGGTGCAATAGAAAACTCAAGAGCCCACTAATTGATACAGACAGGGTCATGAACCTTGATTTACCTTTTACACATTGCTGTAGTGCCATCTCAAAACATGGAGGGAGAGAGAGAGACAGACAGACAGACAAGCATAGATATTCTATGATGGCATTTTATTGGGTTGTTTTTTTTTTTTTTTTTTTTTGAGATGGAGTCTCGCTCTGTCACCCAGGCTGGAGTGCAGTGGCGCAATCTCGGCTCACTGCCACCTCTGCCTCCCAGGTTCACGCCATTCTCCTGCCTCAGCCTCCAGAGTAGCTGGGACTACAGGCGCCCGCCACCATGCCTGGCTAATTTTTTTGTATTTTTAATAGAGACGGGGTTTCACCATGTTAGCCAGGATGGTCTCGATCTCCTGATCTTGTGATCCGTCCACCTCGGCCTCCCAAAGTGCTGGGATTATAGGCGTGAGCCACCGCGCCTGGCCATTTTATTGTGGTTTTTAATAAAGGCTCAAGTATATTTTAACTTTGAGCCTGTTTTTGTTTTAATAAAACCTTGCATTTACCATTTTTCTTCTAGATTTACTGAAAGTATCAGGTGGTAATTAAAATAATTTATAGTCTGGGTGTGGTGGCTCATGCCTGTGATCACAGCATTTGGGAGGCCGAGGCGAGTGGATCACCTGAGGTCTAGAGTTTGAGACAAACCTGGCCAACATGGTGAAACACCATCTATACTAAAAAAAAAATATACAAAAAATTAGTCGGGTGTGGTGGCGGGCACCTGTAATCCCAGCCACTCGGGAGGCTGAGAAGGGATAATCGCTTGAACCCGGGAGGTGGAGGTTGCAGTGAGCCAAGATCGTGCCATTGCACTCCAGCCTGGGCAACAAGAACGAAACTCCGTCTCAAAATAATAACAATAATAATAATAATTTATAATACAGCACTCTCAGCATATACAGCATGTGCTCACATGTCAGACCACAGATGGCAGCAGGGAGAACTTAGCACCAGCCAGCATGACACAGTCTCAAAACACACCAGAGGGCGCCAGACCCACACCAAACCATTTTTTTTTTTTTTTTTTTTTTGAGACAAAGTCTCTGTTGCCAGGCTGGAGTGCAGTGGCGCGATCTTGGCTCACGGCAAACTCCACCTCCCAGGTTCAAGCAGTTCTCCTGTCTCAGCCTCCTGAGTATCCGGGACTACAGGTGCACTCTGCCAAGCCCAGCTAATTTTTTGTATTTTATTAGAGACGAGGTTTCACCGTGTTGCACAGGCTGGTTTCAAACTCCTGAGCTCAGGCAATTCGCCCGCCTCGGCCTCCCACAGTGGTGGGATTGCAGGCGTGAGCCACCGCGCCCAGCCACCAAACGATATTAGTAGTTTGGTTTTTGCAGTTAGTTTTTGAAGGTAGTTTTCAAGTCCTTTGCCACTTTGCCTCTGACCTTTCTATCCTTAGTCACTAAAAGCAGAGGTGAGCAGTGAAAAGGTTCAAGCTGTTCTCCATACATGTTTCAGAGGAGGTGGAATACCCAACTCTATGACGAAGTGGCTGGCTTTTTTCTTAGAAATTATAGGGCAGTGGAGTAGGAATGACTTTTAGAAATTCCAGAATCCCACCTCCTCGTTTAGGATGGGACAGCTGAAGCTAAGAACCACTCTAACCTTCTTGGGATTGAGCAAGAGCCCTGGGGGTCCTGATTTTCAGACATGCTCCTGCACTTAAAAACTCTTGCTTTGGGAATTACAACAGAGAAGGACTACACAAACATGAATTTTTGGATAAATGGAGAGATACTATTGCTGCTTCAGGCCAGATTTGAGGACCTTTTGTAGATCAGCAAACTTCAAACTTGCTGCTATGAGGAGTTAGGGGACAAGACAGGGGCTACTATTTTTTCTTGAGAAATAGCCCCATATTAAGCTCTGGGACATTATAACTAAAAGTTGGGTAGGTGACCTGCAGAGCCTGAGGACATGTGCCCTGTGAGCCTCCCTACGTGGGGGGCAGAGCATTAGGACCCACCCACTGTCCTCTCCCTCACTCCTTCAGGACTCCAACACTAGCCCTCACTGACCCTTCCTCCATCCATTCATCAGAGGCCTTCTCCATCTGCCTGTCAGGGTGGAGGACTGCTCTCCTGACCAAGCAGGATGTGGGCGACAGGTAGAGAGCTCAGACACCTCCAGCTTAAAAATCTCTTTCTTGGAGAGGCTGCAGATGTTCCAGCCCTGGAGGTTCTGATTCAGGAGGTTGGAGATGGAGCCCAGGCCAGTGTCCTTTTACAGCTGTCCTGGTGCTGGATGTGCCTGGACTGCATCCTGCATTGAGAGAGAGCTTGCCTTGCCTTACAGAGTTGAGGCTGCATCTTCTGACTCCTCGGTGTTTCACGTGCATTTCTCTAGTTCCTTCCATTCCCTGGCATACATTCACTGCTGCGAGCATCAGGGTTTCTCCTTCCAAAAACATGAAGCTGTAGACACTGTGAAACAATATCTATGTTTCCAGGGATTGCGTTTGTTTGCACTGAGGCAAGTTATTATGCTTAGGAAACCTCAGAAGGGCACCAGTCCTAGCCCATGCCCTGCGTCTACTCTATTGTGAGGCTGGCCAAGGGAAGCAAGTTTGGGATCGACTTTTCTTTCTTTTTTTCTTTTTTTTTTGAGTCTAAATCTCCCTATGTTGCCCAGGCTGGCCTCCAGCTCCTGGGTTCAAGTGATCCTCCTGCTTCAGCCTCCCCAGTAGCTGGGAGGGGCTGACTTTTAAGAGCAAAATGCAGCCTGTTGTTTTAGATGGCCACAGAATGGATCCATGTTAGTCACTGATGGTGCCCGCCACTGGCTGCTGGGTGCCGGCCCCAGGGCGTTTCCTGGGAGCTACCACAGGCACCTGGCTGGGGTGGAGTTGTGGGGGTCCACACACCTGCAGCTGCTCCTCCTGCATGGCCAAACTCTGATCTGGCCTCCTCTGTGGTGGGAAGACTCTCCATCCCTCCTTCCAGCGTCATAATAGAATAAGAAGTTGAATAGATCCCGAAGCAAAGTCCCGTCTCAGCTCTCATGGGCTCATCACAGCAGTTTTTGGCTACCACTTTCTGTCCTGCATGCCTTCCTACTCTCTCATTCTCTAGTTGGATGTGCATTCCATGCAGTTCACCAACCCTGGTTACGATTCCAATGCAGATGGATCCATTTCAACAATGGCTTCAGAGAGAAGATGAAGAAACAAATGAGGGCCTGTTGAAGCCTAATGGGGTAAGGGGAATTTGAGATTGTGGAAGAATGGCAGCCAGATCATGAGGTCAAGAGATCGAGATCATCCTGGCTGACATGGTGAAACCCCGTCTCTACTAAAAATATTTTTAAAATTAGCCGAGTGTGGTGGCACGTGCCTGTAATCCCAGCTACTGGGGAGGCTGAGGCAGGAGAATTGCTTCAACCCAGGAGGTGGAGGTTTCAGTGAGCCGAGATCGTGCCACTGTACTTCAGCCTGGCGACAGAGACTCCATCTCAAAAAAAAAGAAAAGGAAAAAGAAGAAAAGAATGGCAGCCCAGTGGAGTGGGCACCCTGAGACACAGCACGCTCACAAGGGGAATGCAATTCTGAGCCTTCTTTCCCCTCTCAGAGCTTCTCTTCTTATTTCTCCCCACTTCCTCTTCTTTCATCATACAGGCAAGTAAAACTCCCATCTGAATTGACAAGTATTTCTGAAAATACTTATTCCACATACATGAGCCTACCTGTTTTAGTGAAACAGTACTTTAATTGTCGAAGTTCACCACTGTACTGACACCTTAAGCTGCTTCCAAATCCCCAGTGCCTCCTTCAGACTTCCCCACTCACCAGCACCACCTGCTCTTCAGATCCCTGTCCTTATCAGCACCCTCCATCCTGGCACACAATTATGCATGCTCTTTTACTGGTCTTTAACTGTTTCACCTGGGTTAGTCTTGTTTTTGAGGCTAATTGCATGTTCCTAAAGACGGCCACCATCCGATGTCACCCTATGTGCTCCCCTTTAATGTAATATTGACCCTCTTCCAGTTGGTGGTGGGTCTGGAAGCTGGTGGATAAGGAAGAGAGTGATACCCAGTGATGCTGGGAAGGTGGGCAAAGGCAGGGCTGGCAGAGCGTGGCAGGTGTGATGAAACATTGTCCTTTATCACACAGGGGAATGATGTAATCCAACTGCTTTTTCTGTCTTTCATGCTATAAGAAGCAGTTGGTAGCAACGAATACAAGAGCTGCAGTTTTGTTTTTTTAGCTCCAGGATAAGGATGTTATAAAAATTATGAGGTCATTATTTTGGACTAAGATCCTGCACTGGGCTCCAGCTCACCAGACCAGAAGCCAAGATGGAGTCACTCATACTAAAGTTCCATGTCACCAAACCAAATCATCTGACTCTTGGAGAAATCAGGAGATAGAGATAATATCCCCAAATAGGCCAGTTTCAGTCAACATGATAATAAAGTTCCCTCTGCCTTTAATCTGCACAACAAAAAGTAACCTGAAATAGGCCAGGCATAGTGGCTCACGCCTGTAATCCCAGCCTTTTGGGAGGCCGAGGTGGGTGGATCACCTGAGGTCAGGAGTTCAAGACCAGCCTGGCCAACATGGTGAAACCCCGTCTCTACTAAAAATACAAAAATTAGCTGGCATGGTGGCGGGCATCTGTAGTCCCAGCCACTCGGGAGGCTGAGGCAGGAGAATTGCTTGAACCCAGGAGGTGGAGGCTGCTGTGAAGCCGAGATTGTGCCACTGCACTCCAGCCTGGGCAACAGAGCAAGACTCTGTCTCAATAAAAAAAAAGAAAAAAGTAACCTGAAATAACTTGATGTTAACTAATCAGTTACCTTTCTATTGTTCTGTTTTCCTGTTTCCACCTTACAAGGAAAGTAACTTTGAAAGGATCAATACTCCTTTTCTTGTTTGTTTCTGCTTTCTTCTACCCTTTTTTGTCTATAAAACCAACTCCTTCTGCTCAGTTTATTGGAACACTTATCCTATTTTACAGAATGGAGCGTTGCCTGATTCTAGAATCACAAAGCCAATTAAGATCTTCAAATTCATTCAAATTCTGTCTTTTGACAAAGAGCTATTATAGCTGGGAGACTCTCCTACCCAGGATCTTGTTCAGGAGGAGGAGAAGAAGGGAAATGGGCCTCCACCACAGGGCGGGGCAGTGTAGTAGGAAGGCTCAGGTCCAGCAAACTGGACTATATGGACACCTATGAGCTATGTGACCTTGGGGCAAGTTGTGTCCTCTCTGAGCCTCTGTTTCCTCATCTGCAAAATGGGGATGATAATGGTGCCCACCTGGACAACCTGCCCAGGATGGGGATGATAATGGTGCCCACCAGCACCTGCCCCACGGAGGGATCTGGTGAACACAGGAACAAGAACAGGAGCTCCTGATTCCCAGCTTGCTCAGCCTCTGGTTTAGTCTCTCCACCTTTAAAGACTTTAAGTGAGGTGTGCACTGGAGTCATGAAGGGAGGCAGGTAGGCGTGAGTCAGTCACTGACTATCTGAGCGACTTTAGGCAAATTGTTCTCTCAGGAACTCATTCTCTTCCCCTGTGAACTGCCCAGATCATTTCTAAGGTTGGTTATGAGGATCAACTTGAAAGGGCTTTGCAAACATCTGTTGCGAACGAGTGTGAAGTATGCGTGTTGCTCTTAATTGACATTTGACCTCCCATGTTCCCAGAGCTACTAATGTGTGGACAGAGTCTGCGGCCGTGGCAGGTGGCACACACTGGCAATGATGACCAGAGCCACGGTGACAGTGGCAGCCTGCTCCCTGGACTCTGCGTCCCGAAGCACGTGCCAGGCTGCAGCAGCATCCACAGTGGACAGGGAGCCACGGGAAGCGGGCTGCCATCAAGCCACAATTTCACCAGCTCTGCTCTTGGGTGGAACCACTACTTCCCGCCAGAGCTTGCAGATGAAGCAAAGAGGGGCCATGGAGGGATCCAGGGCTGACTGCTTGGAGCCTTGGTTTTCCTGCATTTTACAAATGGAGTTGTAGTCATAAACCTGCCACCTCATTTAATTTCCAGTGATGCTGTAAAACTAAACGAAATTTTGAAAATTGTGTAAGACCATTCAAATGCTTTTGAGGTTTTATTTTTTATGTTAATATATAGCTGTATTAATATAATACAATATAATAATGCAATACTTTCACTATGGAAAGTATTCTTGGGGAATGCGAGCTCTTCAAGTAGAAGAGACTCAACTAAATATTTTTGGATTTCCCAGGCATTAGTTAAGCTGCTGTTTATGAGAAATGGTGTCACACAATGACTAAAAGCACAGACTTTGGAGTCAGGCTGATCAGGCTTGATTCCTGACTTTGCTGCTTAAAGCTAATTTTGCATGCCTGGGCAACTTAGCCTCTCTGCATTGCAGTTTTCTAATCTGCAAGACAGGTTGATAATATAGTTGTCCCTCAGTATTCGTGGGGAATTGGTTCTAGTATTCCCCTTGGATACCAAAATCCACTGATGCTTAAGTCTCTGATGTAAAATGGTGTATTTGTATATAACCTACACACATCCTCCCATATATGTTAAATAACCTCTAGATTACTCATAACTCATACAATGTAAATGCTATGTAAATTGTTGTTGTACTGTATTGTTTAAGCAATAATGACAAGGAAAAATAGTCTATATATTCAGTACAGAAGCAAACCATCCTTTTTTTTTTTCCTGAGATGGAGTCTCACTCTGTCGCAGGCTGGAGTGCAGCGGCATTATCTCGGCTCACCATAGCCTCCGCCTCCTGAGTTCAAGTGATTCTCCTGCCTCAGCCTCCCAAGTAGCTGGCATTATAGGTGCCTGCCAGCATGCCCAGCTAATTTTTGAGTTTTAGTAGAGACAGGGTTTCACCATGTTGGCTAGGCTGGTCTCAAACTCCTGACCTCAAGTGATCCGCCCGTCTGGGCATCCCAAAGTGCTGGGATTACAGGCATGAGCCACTGCCACCGGCCATCCATATTTTTTTCCAAATACTTTCAATCCCCAGTTGGTTTAATGCATGGATTCGGAGGGCTGACTGTATAGTACCCACCTCTTAAGGTTATTATGAGAATTCAATGAGTTAACCTGTATCAAAGTGCTTTGAAGAGTGTCTGGCAAATAATAAGCACCATGGAAGGCCCTGCAGTGAGTGCCTAGCATGATTCTGGGCATGCCACAGGGGCTCTGTAACCTGTACCATAGTTTCTTTACACTTGTTCTCTTCTCCCACTGAGCAGACTGAATTCAGACATGCCCTGTGTAATAGAGTCTGACCCAATTTTTTTTTTTTCTTTTTTTAGACAGAGTCCGACTCCATTGCCTAGGCTGGAGTGCAGTGGCGTGATCTCGGCTTACTGCAACTTCCGCCTCTCAAGTTCAAGCAATTCTTGTGCCTTAGCCACCTGAGTAGCTGGGATTACACACGCATGCCACTAGGCCGGGCTAATTTTTTGCTATTTTTATTAGAGATGGGGTTTCACTATGTTGTCCAGGCTGGTCTCGAACTCCTGGCCTCCAGTGATCTACCTGCCTCAGCCTCCCAAAGTGCTAGGATTACAGGTGAGAGCCACCATGCCCAGCCTGACTCCATTTTTTTGATGTCTGCTGCTAATAGCTTTTAAGCATCACTCCTTTCTTTCCCTTTCTGAGATTCATTCTCCTCACCTGTGAATTGCCCCACATCTTGGCAAGCTGATCAGAAGGCCTGGATGTTCTCTCTTTCAGACACCTCTTTAAAAACTGCATGCCAGTCTTCTCTCCCTGCTCTCTCAAGCCATTTTTTTAGATGGAGTCTTGCTCTGTCACCCAGGCTGGAGTGCAGTGGCAAGATCTTGGCTCACTGCAAGCTCCACCTCCCGGGTTCACACCATTCTCCTGCCTCAGCCTCCCGGGTAGCTGGGACTACAGGCACCCACCACCACACCTGGCTAATTTTTTTGTATTTTTTTAGTAGAGACAGGGTTTCACTGTGTTAGCCAGGATGGTCTCAATCTCCTGACCTCGTGATCCACCCACCTCAGCCTCCCAAAGTGCTGGGATTACAGGCGTGAGCCACCGCGCTTGGCCAAGCCATTTTTGGAGTTGCTTGGGAACCACCTTGGGAGAAAGTTTCATTATGTGAGTAGTAAACCTTTTAACACCTTCTTGGTGTGTGTGTGTGGCATCAACAGTCTTGGCATCTGAACCAAATTTTGGGTGGAGTCTATTCTGTTTCTACAGAGTGGCTACAATGGTTTCTCTCTAATAATGCAATATGTGAAAAGGCCAATTACTGCTTATGAAGGAGCTAGATGAACTAATGTATAATATAAATGGAATGACTGCTAGCTTCTGGAGACTCTAGTCTAATCACAAGGGAAAGATGACACAAATTTGTCCTGTTGCCCTAAATCTTCCATTTTTGGTGGTAAAATACAGCTTTTTAGAGACAAACAGGACACATACTGGGATGCAGCCATCCTTAAGATAGCCCCAGCATTGGGTTTTAGTGTCTGAAGATTAAAGCAATTTGCTAGACCTGCCTTTGTAGAAGCAGGTTCAATGGGTGGTGGTTAGAGGAGGCAAGTTTCCCCTGAGAAAACATGACAGCTCTGTCCTCCTTCGCCCGACCCCCAAGTTTGCCCTCACTTCCCAATGGCACCCAATCCATCCCTGGCTCTTGCTTCCTGAGACCCTCCTCAGGATCTCCCAGCACAAACCAAATCCTATCATACGTCCCTCACAATGCCATCTTACCCAGAACCCCATGGTTTTCTTGGTGCACTCTCTCCATTGAAGCACAAGTTAATTAAACCTAACTCTGACCACAGGTGTGTTCCTGGTAGTCTTGGTTGGTGGCTCTGACAAAACCCAAGTGGTCTCACTCCAGGGCTAGCTTTTCCTGATGCTACTCTGACTTCCAGTGAAGTGTCACAGGTGTTTGGCAATGTCATATCAACATGGCCCACTCTCTGCCTACCCAGTGAGGGTGCAGAACCTGGGAAACCATAGAGAGAGGAATTTCTAGGACATGGCGTAAAATGCTGCTGAGAGGCCAAGCACCACGAGGACTGAAGAAGGGCCGCTGGACCTAGTGAGAGTAGCCACAGTGAAGAAAGAAGTCAGATCCCAAGGACAGGGGAGCAGGTGCAGCTGGGGACCCTACTTTGCCAATGAAGTTTGAGAATGCAGGGGACAGAGATCACTTCTCTCTGAGCTCAAACTACAAACTATAATGGCCATTAGTGACCTTTTACTAATGTACCCGTTGGACATAACCCGCCCCCAGCCTGAGCTCAGCTTGCTTGCTAATTTGTTTTTTGGATGAGTATTGAGAGCTTTTTATTTGTCTAAAACTAGACTCAGTTCCATGAAGAATATAAAAGAACTAGAGGACACTATCCCTAAGTCTAGCAGTTGAATACATCTGTTTTCTTTCTTTCTTTCTTTCTTTCTTTCTTTCTTTCTTTCTTTCTTTCTTTCTTTCTTTCTTCTTTCTTTCTTTTTCTTTTCCTCCTCCTCCTCCCCCTCCTCCTCCTTCTGCTTCTTCTTCCTCTTTTCTTATTTTGTAGACAGAGTCTTGCTCTGTCACTCAGGCTGGAGTACAGTGGCACAATCATAGCTCACTGCCTCCTTGAACTCCTGGGCTCAAGCAATCCCTCTGCCTCAGTCTCCCAGGTAGCTGGGAGTACAGGCGTGGGCCACCACACTCAGCTAATTTTTAAATTTTTTGTAGAGATGGAATCTCGCGATGTTGCCAGAGTCCATCTCAAACTCCTGAGCTCATGCAATCCTCCCGCCTTGGCCTCCCAAATTGCTGGGATTACAGGCACGGGCCATCACCCCGGGGCTCCTCCTGCCTTCTGAGTGCAGGTCTTTCCACGGTTCTAAGCCTCTTTTCTTGACTCGTTCCCTTGTTGACAATCTGTTCCACTCCCCCAGGATCCTTCATCAAACATTCACTGAGCGATCCTGAGTGCCAGGCACTCCTGTGGCTCCAGTGGGGACTCCAGGAGGCGAGGTCCCATCCTCCTGGAGCTAGCGTCCAGGGCTTGTAGGTCGGGAGGTGGCAATAAGAAAGCCGTGAAAATATGGGGTGTCAGAGGCTGAGAAAATTGTGCTGAAAAGCGAAGGTGGAGGGGGCAGGGAGTGTGGGGGGAGGGTACCGGGGTGTTAGTAGGGTGGGCAGGTCTGGGAAGGTGGGGGAAGAACTGAGGACGTTGGCAGAAGCATTCCCAGCAAGCAAGCAGCATGCGGAGGCCGTTGCAGAGGCTGCTGAGGTCCTAGGGGCAGGCTCCAAGCCCGCGTGCAGGGTCAGAGGCGCGCGATGCGGCGGGGAGCGCCAATGTGAGGACGCTGCGAACACCTTCCGAGCCTCTTGGGGGGCCCCGGGACTCTTCCAAGGCACTCAACGCGTCCACGCTTGTTCAATCCTCACAAGCCCCCCAGGAGCTGGCGCTTTGTGTCCTCCGCTGCCCGGGAACGTGGTCCTGACTCACCCCCTGCGCCCTCGTGCCCTCACAGCCGCGCTGCAGGCCCGCACCAGCCCTGCCTTCCCATGCCGGGGTCTGCCGGGGCCGTGGCCTCCGGGGCGTTGATGGCTCACAGAGGCTGATTCCACCACGACTAGGTGCATTCATACAGTCTCGGTGACATTGCCCAGGGCTAGGGGTCTTCACATCCCCCAGCCGGCCTCTTCCCCGGGTTGGGTCACAAGTCAGAAGGTTGGCAGGCCAGTGCGGAGTTAAGAGTCAGCAGATGTGGCTTTGCGTCCTGACACCCGGTTCCCAAATTAAGCCCAGGCCTGCCTGGGATGCCATCCTCATGCCTCAGCCTGACCAGGCCCCTCCCGTGCCAAGGGTTTGGGGACACACCAACGGGCCTCAGGGCCTGACCCTTTTCTTGGTCTCTGCTACAGATGGGCCCTTTTCTTCTTTTTTTAAATTTATTTTTTATTTTTATTTTAGGTTCAGATGTGCAGGTTTGTTACTTGGATCTATTTTGTGGTGCTGAAGTTTGGGTTTCTAATGATCCTGTCCCCCAAGGGGTAAACATACTGCTCAGTAGGTAGTTGTTCAATACCTGCCTCCCTTCCTCCCTCCCTCCACCCCCCTTTTGGAGTCTCCAGTGTCTGTTGCTCTCATCTTTGTGTTCGTGGGTACCCAGTGTTTAGCTGCTACTTGTGAGAGCATGCAGTATTTGATTTTCTGTTTTTGCATTAATTTGCTTAAGGTAATAGTTTCACCTGCATCCGTGTTGCTGGGAAGGACATCTTTTTCTATGGCTACATAAGCCCCTTTCTGATGGACAGCCTTTAGCATCCTGGCTCCTGTGTAAGGTGGCTTTCTGCAGATCTCTAATGTAGCCCTTGCTGGGCTGATTAGAGTTCTTCTCCCACAGGCAATCTTATTTCTGTCTGTAGGGATTTGGTCAATGGATACTGCAGCCCCCCTAGGAATACCAAGTGGAATGCTAGACCCAGGTCATGGGGTCTCTGCACCACATTGACTTTGTCCTGGAGGGAGCTGGCTCACAGGGACATGGCTGTGACCAACCTGGGCACATCTTTGGCCCCTGCCCTTTCCTCTGCTTCACCTCTGCAATTGGAACCCTACTCCTCAAGGCTGAGTTGGATGCCTTGCCTCCTGGCACCCTCCACTGTTGCCCACCAAAGATGGTCTCCCTGGAAACCCACAGCACTGTATACCTCTCAAGGCCTCGGCCAAATCCTGCCCCGATTGACAGTTTATTTGCAAACATGCCTGGTCTTCCCTATTGCGTCATTTTGTCCTCTCAGACCAGCACAGCATTGTTCTGCACTGTGCTGTGTACCTAGCAGGTGCTAAATTTGAAACAACGAAAGTGGTTGGGTGTGGTGGTTCACACCTGTAGTCCCAGCACTTTGGGAGGCCAAGGTGGGTGGATCACTTGAGCCCAGGGGTTCAAGACCAGCCTGGGCAGTATAGCCAAACCCCCTTTTTTACAAAAAATACAAAAATTAGCTGGGCGTGATGGAGTGCACCTGTAGTCCCAGCTACTCAAGAGGCTGAGGCTTGAGCCCGGGAGGCAGAGGTTGCAGCTGAGATCACACCATTGCACTCACTCTAGCACCCCAGCCTGGATGACTGAGTGAGACCCTGTCTCAAAAAAAAAAAAAAAGAAAAGAAAAGAAAAGAAAAAAGATTGAAAGCAGAGGCGGCGGGTGCGGGTGGAGTGGAAGAAATCCCTTTGTGTAAATAGAAAATGTAAAAAAAAAAAAAAAAATTAGAAAAAAAGAAATCCCCCAAACTACAAATAAACTCTTGCATTGAAGTGCTTCACTCCACCGAATCTCTATCTACCTGCACAGCAAGTCTGAGGAGGGCAGCTTCTATCCCTTTAAAATTAATCAGGCTTTTACCTTAAATTTCCAGTTAACTTTATCTTAGAACCTCTGGACCAAGAAGATAAAATCCCCCAAGCTTGGTTCTGGTATGTCAGAGGGGAGGGTGGGAAAGTAGGAATGGGGACGGGGAAGAAGGAGCTTGCTGAGAGAACTGGTCTGAAGCAGAAAAAAACGGCATCCCTGCCCAATAGCAGAATGGCCCTGGAGCGTGCGGGGGTTCAGGATCTCGGACGGGCTGGGTGCCTAGCTCCACGGAGGGGCTGAGAAGGACCCTAAATGAGGAGGGAATTGTGTTCTTCTTCCTCTGTTCATGGTGTAAGGATAATTTTTTCATACAGATATAACAGTGAACACATATTAAAGATTTTTTTTTAAAGCTCACCACTTAAATAGGAAACTAGGCAGTTGTTAAAATCTACTGAGAGGAGCAAAGAGGCACGCTTTTATCTGGAATCAGGAATGTTGGCTGATTGTGCAAAGGGAGCAAAACTGGCTTTTCCAAGGAGGAAAGATCTTCACCCACTGGGTAGGATTCATTTGCATATCTATAGAAATACTTTCTGTTGCTCTCAGTTATCAGTAACCTGCAGAGCTGTAAGACAGAACTCAACACCTGCAGGCTATGCTCTAGAGGCATCTATATTCCATCGAAGGGCAAACTCTCCCTAAACCACTTGCCAGATTCTACAGTGGAGCCTCTTAGTGGTCAGGAGAGGTCACAGTGCCAGGAAGTCACTGGGCCTCTAGGCTTAACTTCCTGAGTGTAAAGCACGGCTGATGCCACAGCTGACGGGGCCGTTGTGAGCGTTAATAAGATCATGCTGTTAGGAACCCAGAACATAATAGATACTTAACAAATATCAGTGATTGCCGCTGTCTTTTTTTTTTTTTTTTTTTTTTTTCAGATGGAGTCTTGCTCTTTCACCCAGGCTGGAGTGCAGTGGCGTGATCTCGGCTCACTGCAACCTCCGCCTCCTGGGTTCATGCCATTCTCCTGCCTCAGCCTCCTGAGTAGCTGGGACTACAGGTGTCCGCCACCGCGCCCGGCTAATTTTTTGTATTTTTAGTAGTTACAGGGTATCATTGTGTTAGCTGGGATGGTCTCGATCTCCTGACCTTGTGATCCGACCGCCTCGGCCTCCCAGTGTTGGGATTACAGGCGTGAGTCACCACGCCCAGCCAGCCACTGTCTTTTTAAGAGACATTAGATGCCACCAGTGGAATGATGATAGCAGAATGAACAAATGTGGAGAACTCATGATCTTTGTAGAGTCAGATGCACCTGTCCAGGCTCTTAAGGAGTGCAGCCGTGTACATTGAGACATATATCTTGTTCTAGACTCCTGGCGAGATGACACCTGCTTGAGCATCTCCTGTCTCTATCTTGATTGTGATGTGGGCAGTCAGGGTGGTTGTGAGCCTTTCTAGGAGCCTGAGTTGAACATTTATGTCTCGAGTCACCTAGAGGCAACCCCCCTTAAGAAACTCCTCCATTGAGTCTGTGTATTCCATTGAAGGTACACACACCAGTTACCACAGCCTGGTCTGCCTCCCATCCTCTACACAGAAGCCAAAGTGATCTGAACATGTCAACTGGATCAGGTCACCTCTTTTATTAATTGTCTTCAATAGCTTGTTTATTCGTTTTTGTAGAGATGGGGTCTCCCTACGTTGCCCAGGCTGGTCTCAAACTCCTGGTCTCAAGTGATTCTCCTGCCTCAGCCTCCCAAAGTGCTGAGATTAAAGGTGTGAGCCACTGCACTGGGCCTAATAGCTTGTTTTGAAATTAAATGCAACCTCCTTCATTTGGTCTCTGAACCCCTCTAGGGTGAGATTCTTGCCTGTCCCTCCAGTTCCCCGTTCCAAGGTCTTCCCTGGCTGTGTGTTCCTGCTAGGCCCCTCTGACCTCTCAGAGCTTTTGCTCATGCTGTTCCCTCTTCCTGTCATTCTGTCTGCTTCTTTGCATTCATCTCCTCAAAAAGGACTTTGCTAGGCCGGGCATGGTGGCTCACGCCTATAATCTCAGCACTTTGAGAGGCCGAGGTAGATGGATCACCTGAGGTCAGGAGTTCAAGAGCAGCCTGGCTAACATGGTGAAACCCCATCTCTACTAAAAATACAAAAATTAGCCCAGCGTGGTGGTGGGTGCCTGTAGTCCCAGCTACTGGGGAGGCCGAGGCTGGAGAATCACTTGAATCCAGGAGGCGGAGGTTGCAGTGAGCTGAGATTGTGCCACTGCACTCCAGCCTGGGCGAGAGTGTGAGACTTCGTCTCAACAACAACAACAAAAAGGACTTTTCTGACTACCCTATTTAAAAGGACTTAGCTGACTGCCCTCAATCCTGCCACCTGATTATCTAAGCCCCATTATGCCTTTTCAAGACCTTATCACAATTTGTATTTTCCTTTCACCCCTCTACTGGTGTACTGGCTCCATGCTCTATCTTGTTCTGGGCTGTGTTCTCAAGCCATGCAGGAGCACTTCCTACATCTTTGTCGAATTATGGAAAGCTCTTTGGTTGACTGAGCATTCACATCTTAATGATAGGCAAGATAAATATTCTTTTTCTATTGCTGGTGGGGGTGTAAACTGATACAGCTTATCTAAAGATAAATTAGGCAATGTGTGGCCAGAGCCTTAGGAATGCTCTGAATGCCTTGATTCCAATTTGAGGAATCTTCTATAAAATGGAGATGTGTGGTACAATATTGAGGATAAGATGCAGCCTTTTTGAGAAAGATGCCTAGTAGGAAATTAATGAGCTATCTCACCGTGCAGATATAGTTAGCGAAAGCACTCTCAATCTACAATACTGTGCAGTCATTAACACCATGTTTTTGATGTTAAATAAAAAAGGCAGAATTGAAAACTTTATTTAATTTTACCTAAAAATAAATATATGTGTGGAAAAACTCCAAAGAAATGATTACTCTTTCATTTAGGTATATGACTACATAGTGAGATTCAGGGTGATTTTAATTTACTTTTTAATCTCATTTATTCTAAATTTTCTATTTAAGAAAATAGCTCATTTAGAGCTGCAATTTTATAATCAGAATAAATTAGATTGTTTTAAAAAGCAAAGACTCTAGGAATTCAGCCTCATGTTTATGTCTCTGAGATACTCTACCACATCAATTAGATTTAAATTGACATTTTTTTTTCCTATAATAAAAGACATCTAGGCTTCAGAGGGTCAATTAAATAGTCCCTCCAAAAACACCCTCTGAAATGGATTTTATTGCCTTTTTCTGTCTACAACTTAATAAAGCTACTCAATAATGCTAGTGTCTTTTCTGGGATTTCTTAAGTTAGTTATTTGTTAATTTTATAAATATTTGAGTGTCAACTTTTTGCAAGAGTAAATAAGCACAAATAGGAACGTTATTTCATACATAGTTCCTGCTATGAAGAGGCTTCTAATTCCAAGTTAACTCCTTTCAACCCTAATCCAACCCCAAGTTAAACCTTGCAGCTTTGTGCTAAATTGATGGCCTTGTCCTGCTGGCATTGGCAGGACCAAGAGCTGCCAAGCATTGCAGCCATGAGCACTCAGGCAGCCTGTCAAGAAAGATTAAGTAAGGTCAAGTTATTCTTAGCTGAAGTCTAGAAAGCATTAGCTGCCTTGTCGAGACTGGAACGAGAAAGCCATGACCACACTGCCCAAACCACTCTGGGAAGTGTTTGCAGTTCACTGGAACTACTGATAGATTAGTCCAATGATAATTGTGGCTGAACACAGATTACAAATCTCCTGAGGACAGCAACATTATTTTAGCTTACATGGCTGCACACAATATGCACTGGAATCTATATACATAAAGTTACAAGGATAGTCTCCTTCCCTCTTTCCTGCTCCTACATGTGACCCCAAGAGCATGGTGACTCTAAGGCTGCCTTTTCCTGTCCAGGAGATGCCAACCTAGAGCCATCAGCCCCAGATGCCCCCGAGTGAGACTGTAATGGAGAGAGGTGACGGGGCAGGCCACTAGATGAGGAAAGCTTAACCAAACATAATTCTCACGTTCTGTCAAATGAGTTAGTGCGAGGTGTGCAGTTGATGGAAAGGCTGTAGAACCCTTCTCTCGAGTGCTGCTGCAGAAAGACGGGCCCTCCCACAGGCGTCCGACCAAGAATCGAGGGCACATCAGAGGCCCTGGCTGGAGCCCTGGGGTCATGAGGAAGAGTTTGAAAGAAAAATCCTACATTTCCAGATCTTCCACAGATAAGTAAAATGACCAGAAGGAGCAACGAAAAGAAAATAGGAAATCATATCTTATTTTTTTGTCCCATGCTCTTCATTCTAGAAAAATGTGAACCAATTAGAACACCACAATTAAACCTGGGTTTATAAAACATCTTTTAGTTAAAAATGAGGCCTTTCCGGGCCTGTCAACATGGAAGTGTCACACATGAATACACCTAAGTTAAAACATGAAACATGACTGACAAAACGTTATTGCTGGAGAGCACCTGGCAACTGTTTTACAAGAAATAAATATGACTATTGAAACCATAACAGCTCTCTACTAGGGTTGAATCCTGGTAAAGAAAGTCCCCTTGGATTAGCTGAGCATTTTGAGTTAGGATATGCAAAATGAACTGGGAGCTCAGTTTTGGAGGAGCTGATGTAGGGGTGGAGGGCGACGGGGCATAAAGGGCTGGGGAGATGACCAGAGGTGGGATGGGGTGGCGTGGCCAGGGAAACTGTGGCAAGGGCCTTCAAGAAGGACGTCTCAGAGTTAAACGAGTCAAAGCTGAGGTCATGCGTGCTGCTGTGATGTAAACCTGCCGCCACTTCCATCTCCTGCAGACCCTCGGGTGAGTTGGCCTTTTTCGAGCAAGGAGACCATGAAAACATACCTTCTCAGGGGATCTGCAGAAATCTTAGGGAGGTCATGGGGCCTTTAATAGGGTGTGGAAAGGAGTTCTGAGCAATCCTAGCTAGAGCTTAAGGCAGGCCCCAGTAGATGCCTGGGTTACACAAGACTATTAACATCAAGGAGTTTCAAATACACATAAACACATTCTTCCCTATACCATTACCTCGAAATGTACGTATTTTTTAATGAGGAGATGGAGATAGAAAAGAAAATCCTATATAAAGAGTTGAATTTCAGTTTTAAAGTGCAAAACATCAGTGAGCATCCTGCATACAGCTTTCTGCATGAAAATTTCCTCTTGTCTGAATTTTGACGATGTCTGCACTGCAGGGGAATAGCCCAGCAAACGGTCAGAAGATGAACAAGTGTGCCCCAACGTGCTGCTGAGAGACATAGGAAGGGAGGTGGTCTTAATAATACATGTTCTTATCCCACCAGCCTGTAGAGGTAGAAAAAAGTACATCAGAAATGGAGAGTCTGTTGAAGTGGGTAAACAGAGCCTCTAAAATCATAGGCTACTCACTTCCAGGGTAGAGCCTGATGAAGAGCTTCCGCACCTCATCATACACCCAGATCAGGATGGCGTGCGGCACAGCCACAAACCAGTACTGAGCCCTGGAAGCAAAGGGATGGAAAGTGAACCCTGACTCATCCACAGGGATAGCCCAACCCTGCCCAATGGGAATGGGGCTTCTCGTTCATTTGTCTTGCTTTACTGCAAAGAACGACAAATCCACGAGGTCCCACAAAATAAAGGTGGAAAGCTCCTTGTTTAACCTGCACTGTGACTGCTAGAAGCAATGTCTGCCTTTGAAGCAACCTGTTGGATGAGGATGAAGGCCGGTTGGTGAGGTCTAGAAAACCCATTTCCACTTCTGGAAAATGCAGATCAAAGCTTTGGGCTCACAGAGCATGGGATCAGTTTGACGTCTTTTGAAAGACTTGGGGAAGAACCCTGGGAATCCTCAGGTTTATTTAGGCTGCGACAGCTCAAAGCAGAGGCTGGCTCTTTCCTCCATGCTGTTGAGGGTGAACTCACCTAAGCATGGTGAAACTCAAGGCTGTGACACTTCCGAGGCCATAGGAGAGGATCAGACCAATGATGATCTGTGAGGTGATCCCCACCCAGATGACTTTATTTCTGCAAGACACACAAAAGCAGACAGACTTGGGATTCTTGTGGCTTCATGATCATACACCCAGCAGACCATGCCACCAGAAAAATCAATGCCTCTGGGGTTACAAGTGTGGCCAGAACTCTGTCTTGTGAAAAACAAATCATCATCATCCTTGCACGGCAGGCCCAGGGCTGCCCCAGGAGGCCGGGCACAGGCAGTACCTGAAGAGACCCTGCTGGAAGATGGAATTCCTCCGGGTTTTCCTGATGATCAGATCTGCTATTTGCTGGACTAGGATGCCAACAAAGAAAGCCGTGTAGCCCGTCCATTCTAGGTATTCCCTCTGGTACCTTGTCTGTTAATGGGCAGAGAAGGAAGAGACCTTGAGGCCTAAAGGAAAACTTCTAGGAAATTCCAATGCAGTTCTCTAAAGCTTCATGTTCTTTCCACACCTCACCCGGACTGAGAATGGACCACCTTCTAGTGTTTGGAAAGAAACATTTTTCTTTCTTGAACCAGCTGAGTAGAGAAAAATGTTAATTTTTTAAAAAATTATCATTACTATTATTTCTAACACAGGCAGGGTCTCACTGTGTTGGCCAGGCTGGTCTCAAACTCCTGGGCTCAAGTGATTCTCCCTCCTCAGCCTCCCAAAGTGCTGGGATTATAGGCATTAGCCACTGCACCCGGCCTGAAAGATGTAAATTTATTTGGCCGCACTGTGGGTGTGGCTGGGCTGGTCACTCTTCTATACCAATGGCAAAGCTAAGGTAAAAAAAGGGACCTCTTGTCATCTAGCCCAAGACAGGAGGCTGTGCCATGAGACCTGGCAAAGGCCAAACACGTGTCAGCAAGGGGGCCCTGAGCCCTATTAATTGAAGCTTTCCCAGGCTGTTCAGGGACATGGAGGTTCTATGTAATTCTGCGCAGGGCAATGAGCATGGAGAGAATCAGGTGGACTCTGCAGCAGGGCTCCCGCCACTCACCCATTCCTGCCCATAGCTGTCTTTCAAGTCATTCACGTAGTCCTTCTCCCATTCTACCCGCAGGTTAATGAGAGTGCGGGGCAGAAAGCCCTCTTGTGCATAGACGGTGAAATACACAAGGAAAGCTCCCAGGGCTTGCATGAGGCCTGAAAGAACAAGAGAGATAGGACACAGGTTCTATGATGGCCTCAGGAAACTGCCTCATCCTGTCTACTCTCGGTTCCCCCTCCCTCCCCAACCCAGGCCCCACAGGAAAACCACACTTTCTGGCTGTGCCCCCCACTCCAGTGAATTCTCGGGGCAGGCCCTCGTGTGATGGGGAAGACGCGCCCTCATCGTACCAATGTGCAGGTATGAGTACACAGCGAGCGGCTGGTTCACCAGCCTGTCCTTATTCTTGTGGCGAGGCTTCCTGTTCATGATGTCACTTTCAGCTTTCTCGTACGCCAAGGCAATGGAGGGGATCTAGAGGGGAAGAGGCTGGTGAGGTCTAACCCCAGGATGTTCTGCTCTACCCACAGTAGGGGAGGGGGGCTGGGGTGGGTGGGGCACTGGCTGGATGGGGTGGGGGGCATGGAGCTGGCCCATCCAGGCTATAGGCAGTAGAGGGCGTGTTGTCTGTATGGAAATTTAAGAATAGTGCCTTTAGAAATCAGCTGCTTTTTATCACCCTGTGCTGGCAGTTCTGAAGGATGCTGGTTATAAAACACTCTTCCCCTACAGGGAGAATTTCTTGTGCCGTCCTCTCCCTCCAGGTGGGAGGACCTGCTAAGAGACAGATCATTGCGCCCCACCTCCAGACTTCCCAATTCAGGAGGACTGGGCTGGGGCCAGAGAATTTGCATTCATTTCTCTTTCTCTTTCCTTCTTTCTTTCTTTCTTTCTTTCTTTCTTTCTTTCTTTCTTTCTTTCTTTCTTTCTTTCTTTCCTTTCTTTCTTTCTCTTTCTCTCTCTTTCTCTTTCTCTCTTTCCCTCTCTCTCTTTCTCTCTTTCTTTCTCTCTTTCTCTTTCTTTCTTTCTCTTTTTTAAAAGACAATGGGTGTACAACCTATTTCCATTCCTAGCCCAGTTATCTGGAATAAGATTTTTATTTTATTTGTTCTTAATTTTTATTTTTTAAGAGACTAGGTCTCTCTGTGTTGACCAGGCTGGACTCAAACTCCTGAGCTGAAGTAATCCTCCTGCATTGGCCTCCTGAGTAGCTAGGCTACAGGTGTCCACCAGTGCCCAGAGTGTGCATGTCTAACAAGTTCCCAGGTGATGCCCGCACCAGGCCTGGAGAAGCACTGCAGCAGAGCAAAGCAGGCAAATGTGAAGGGCTTGGAAAATGATCCATCAACTTTGGGGACCTCAATACCCCTCAAAGGGAAAGACATCTCCAGTCTCTCTAGGAATTAGGGATTACCTGGGTGTTGTAGAAAACAAGAGAGGGGAAGGGGGCAATTTGAAGGGGAAGGGGGCACTTCGAAGGGCCAGTTTCCTGCTAAGAATTCAGCTTGCTGTCTGTTGCTTTCCCTGCTTGCCCACGTAAGCCACAGCCACATGGGCAGCTTAGACGGGGCTTTCTTTAAATGGATACTGGAAAAGGGGAAGGTTTAGGTGACATTACTGTAGGGCAAGGCTTTATAAAGTCTTCATAACTGCTACTTCTTACTGTGTTTAGGTAAAGGTCTTCCATGTCAGACTCTCTTACTTAACAAGAGGTGGCTGTGAGATTATCACTTTAGTCACTGGGCCCCCAGTGGTTATTTGGGTGATTAATCTGAGTGACAGCTTCATCTTCCCAAAAGAAAAGGGAAGCCCATAGGCTGAAACTGACCAATGGCATTTCTTTTTTTTTTTTGAGGATGAAGACTCATGTCTTGAAAAGCTTGCTATAGCTCAGGTGCAGTGACTCATGCCTGTAATCCCAGCACTTTGGGAGGCCGAGGCAGGTGGATCACTTGAGGCCAGGAAACCCCATCTCTACTAAAAATACAAAAATTAGCCAGGTGTGGTGGCACAAGCCTGTAGTCCCAACTACTTGGGAGGCTGAGGTGGAAGAATCACTTGAGCCTGGGAGGCGGAGGTTGCAGTGAGGCAAGATAGCACCACTGCACTCTAGCCTAGGTGATGGGAGTGAAACTCTGTCTCAAGAAAAAAAAGCTCACTATAGAGTGTTTTTAATTTCCAAACATTTGGCAGATGCCTCTGGTCCCTTGCTTTGAGGTGTGGCATGTGGACTGGTAGAATGGGCACCACCTGAGAACCTGTGAGAAATGCAGAGCTACAGGCCCCATCACATGGAAGCTGAGAAGCCTTGAGTTAGTCCATCCCCGGCCCTTGAAGGTAGCGACCCTGAACTTGACCTCCCCTGGGGCAGGCATCACAGCCTGTTCCCTTCAGTGTCACTTACAATGTCTGTCCCCAAGTCAATGAACAGAATGGTGATGGTGCCAATGGGCAGGGGGAGCCCGACAATGATGTAGATCAGAAAGGGGCACAGCTCGGCAATGTTCTTGGTCAGGGAATAAGCAATAGTCTTCTTGAGGTTGTCAAAGATCAGGCGACCTAGGCAGAGAGGTTTCTCCTTCAGAACTTACTTCTAGTCCCCCAGACCACCCTGGCCCTTGGGAAGACCCCCTGAGACTCACTCACCTTCCTCCACCCCTGTGACGATGGATGCGAAGTTGTCGTCCAGCAAGACCATGTCGGCTGCATTTTTGGCTGCATCAGAACCTGCTATCCCCATGGCAATCCCAATGTCTGCCTTCTTTAGAGCCGGAGAGTCATTAACTCCATCCCCGGTCACAGCAACAACAGCATCCTATGGCGGGGGACCCAGGGAGAAAGTGGGAGTGAGCAGGCCCAGTGGGTTGCAGGCCTGGCAAGAGCAACAAGACTTCCCTTTCTCTTGAGGTTGCGAGGATGATTATAGCTGAACGGAAAGGCCCATTTAGGGGAAAAGATAAAGATGAGAAATCTTAGAAGCAGGAACAAGGGTCTCCAAACAAGATACGTGCAAATGAGGAAAACCTAATGCGCAGGTGTCTTGTATCTTATGTCTTCACATTTTTTGTTTTAAATCTTTGCATTTTAAATCTCTCTTTACTCACAACTACCACAGTGGCAAATGCTTCACCGGGCTCTCATGACAAAATGCAGAGAGCTGGGGTGAGCCTTTCGGGGAACATGTGGTGGGGGTCTCAAAGGAGGACAGGGGCCAGCCCACCTGAGAGGTTGGAGAGGTCAGGTGATGGGGATGAGCCAAGAACTCTCTCTTGAAGTTTCAAAGGCACCACAGCCTGATGTGAGATCCAGACCTCTGCACTTGCCCATGGACAGTGATGGGCCTGTCAGTCCTCTGGACACTGCTGTCCACCCACCTGCCTCTGACAGCCCTCCACAATGATCAGCTTCTGCTGGGGGGATGTCCGGGCAAAGACAATCTCCTGGTAGTTGGCTAAGATCTCATCCAGCTGTTCTGAGCTCATGTCCTTCAGCTCCATGCCAGTCACCACAGCGGCCTTGGCATCCCTAGAAGGGCCAGAAGAAACTGGGTGAGGCCCAAGGGCAGATCTTAGGTTGAAACACTGTTCCAGGCAGGATGCTGGCTGAAGCCTCTCTGACTTGACCTGGAACCCAGTGTCCTTGATACCTAATGCTCTAGTGAGGTAACAGGAGTCCTGGGAACACTTTAGTCTCCATTTCAAGAGGGCAAACTGAGGCTAAAATATAACACCATTTCTTGGTACCATATAACAATAGGAATAAAAAACCAGGTAGCCTTATCCCTACTAGAACAGGTGAGAGTGGTACTTCCTAGAGCAACGCTTTACTTCAGAAGTAAAAGGAAGTTAAAAAACTGCCCATTCATGGCCAAACGCAGTGGCTCATGCCTGTAATCCCAGCACTGTGGGAGGCTGAGTAGGAGGATCACTTGAGGCCAAGAGTTCAAGACCAGCCTGGGCAACATAGTGAGAGCCCCTGTCTCTACAAAAAATTTTAAAAAATTAGCCAGGTATGGTGGCATGTGCCTGTGGTCCCAGCTACTCAGCAGGCTGAGGCAGGAGGATTGCTTGAGCCTGGGGGGTTGAGGCTGCAGTGAGCCATGATCATGCCACTACACTCAAGCCTGGGTGACAAAGTGAGACCCTGTCTCAAAAACAAAAATAAAAATAAAACCCCCAAACTGCCTGTTCATATGTTTTGGGTCCTAGAATTCTTTTATGGCCAAACAAGGGGTAATAATTACTTGCCGTTGGGTATTTCAGATTTACAGAGTGTCATCTTTGTGCAATGTGCTACGTAGGCAGAAGTTTACTGAAGTCTTTGAGCAGCGCTATTGCCTGCTGACTATAAAAGTAAGGTTCTAGGGCCTATTGATTATGCAGAGCTGCCTGAGCCAGTCCCCTGCTAAAACTCTTCAGGGGCTTTCCACCGTGCTTGGAGCAGACCCCGGAATCCCTAACTTTAGCCAGCGAGCCCAGGTGGGGCCTGCGTTGTCAAGCTTCGCCTCACCTTGGGCTCTCCCTCCTGCCCGCTGGATGCTCTCAGTTCTGACATCCTCCATCCCCTGTACCCTAAGGCCTTCACGGGTCTCGCTCCCTGACCAGGAATGGGCATCTCTCACCTCAGCTTCTCGTGGCTAACACTACATTTCAGCCTTCAAATCTCAGCTTAAACAATGTAGGTACAAACTGCTGCAGGTCTTTTTCTTTACAATTTGCAAGTTTTGAGCTTTCTAGGTCTGTTTTACCTCTTGGTGCTAAATACTGGAATTCTAGCACTTGACTCAAACTACAGGTCTCCTTAACCGCTGGCAAAAAAACAAAACAAAACAAAACAAAAGAAAGTAAGAGAAGAAAGAAGGGGTGTTTCCTTTCCCCTTACACCTGCTAAGATGCAATTTTTATATGGTCATGAAACTAGAGCTGATGAAGTGAATAACTGAAAACATTCACAAAAGCATCCACTTCACTCAGTGTGGTGATTTGTATACAAATGTGTAATCCACTCTTCCCTTTTGTGGCCATGAGCAGAGTGGCAGTGACCAAGAGGAAGTGCAGTCCCTTTGTGACTTTTGACTGAGGCAAGAATCATAAAAGTCATTTCAATGCACCTTCCCACATTCGTAGGAAGATTATGTCTTTCTCTCGTTCCAAAGAGCTGAGACAGAAGCACATTCTGGAGTCTGCTACAAGCACAGTTCCATCCATGCCCATCTGAAAGGATGAGGAAGTTGAGGTTGCACAAAGACACTATACGGGCCAGCAAATTGGCAAAGCAGTCCAGGTTTATAGGAAGAAATGTGCCACCTATACTGAACAGGAGCACAGGAGGAGGCTAAGGGCAGGACCGTCGTGTGCACGTCACCAGCACATGGCCATCACCAGGCTAAAACTAGACAAAGACCACAAAAGATCCTTGAATGGAAGGCCAAACAAATCTTCCTAAGTAGGGAAGGAAGGGCAAATATAAAAAAGAAGCAATTGAGAAGATGCAGGAATAAGGTATCTTATATACAACTTTCATTAAAAATTGCTAAAATGGGCCAGGCGCAGTGGCTTACGCCTGTAATCTCTACACTCTGGGAAGCCAAGGCGAGCAGAACCCTTGCAGTCAGGAGTTAAAGACCAGCCTGGCCAACATCGTGAAACCCCGTCTCTACTAAAAGTACAAAAACTAGCCGGGTGTGGTGGCACATGCCTGTAACCCCAGCTACTCAGGAGGCTGAGGCAGGAGAATTGCTTGAACCCAGGAGGTGGAGGCTGCAATGAGATTTCACCACTGCACTCCACACTCCAGCCTAGGCAACAGAGAAAGACTCCATCTCAAAAAAAAAAAAATCTGCTAAAATTTTAAATTAAAGTCCCAGCTACTTGGGAGGCTGAGAGGGGAGGATCCCTTGAACCCAGGAGGTGGAGGCTGCAATGAGATTTCACCACTGCACTCCACACTCCAGCCTAGGCAACAGAGAAAGACTCCATCTCAAAAAAAAAAAAATCTGCTAAAATGAAGCTGGGTGCAGTGACACAAGCCTGTAGTCCCAGCTACTTGGGAGGCTGAGAGGGGAGGATCCCTTGAACCCAGGAGGTCGAGGCTGCAGTGAGCTATGATCACACCATTGCACTCCAGCCTGGGTGATCTGACAGGACACCTTGTATCTAAAAAAAGAAGACTCGGCTGGTCTGAAGGTAGTAGTGAATTAGCTCAACTGATTGTTCACAGTCAGTTACAGATCAAACTTCTACTCTTTCCCCTCTTCTCACTACTGCACTTGACTACTCTTAAAAAAATTTCTTTTAGTCCAGGTGTGGTGGCTCACGCCTGTAAGCCCAGCACTTTGGGAGGCTAAGGTGGGTGGATCACTTGAGGTCAGGAGTTTGAGACCAGCCTGGCCAACATGGCAAAGCCCCGTCTCTACTAAAAATACAAAATTAGCCAGGCATGGTGGCGGGCGCCTGTAATCCCAGCTATTCAGGAGGCTGAGGCAGGAGAATCGCTTGAACCCAGGAGGTGGAGATTGCAGTGAGCTGAGATCACACCACTGCATTACAGCGTGGGTGACAGAGAGAGACTCTGTCTAAATAAACAAACAAACAAACAAACAAAATTTGTTTAAAATTCTAAAGTGAAAAAAAGTATAATCCGATTATCTTACAAAACCAAACAAATAAACAAGCCCCAAAGTTGTTTTCATAGAGGGATGTTATGTATACTAAAGGGCACTGCAAGACTCTTAGACTTCAGGTACTGCTGCTGTGCCCAGAGGCGGGAACCCTGGTTGGTTGTCTAACGTGGTAATTTGTTATGACCTGACAGCTGTGTGTCCCTAAAAGACCTAAGTGCTTGGGGAAACTGAAGAGGTGCATTGGTCTTTCCCTCATCTCCCGCATGCGTGAAAACATAACCCAGCTAA
This sequence comes from Homo sapiens, assembly GCF_000001405.40. Lineage (NCBI taxonomy): Eukaryota > Metazoa > Chordata > Mammalia > Primates > Hominidae > Homo > Homo sapiens. The sequence goes on along the minus strand of NC_000013.11, from coordinate 24,702,927 downwards.
TGAACATTACTTCTCAACCTGAGAATTCGGAGTCTTTGACTCATGGAGACCAGGCACAGTCCAGGCCACTCTCCTGCATGCCCAGCTCCCTAGCCTTGTGTGGCTCCCTCATTACACTGGCCACATCATTGTTAGCTTTGTTTGTGTCTCCTTGGCTCGATGGAAAGATTCCCCAACGGTGTGGATAGTATTGTTCAGTTTGCTACTGTAGTTCCAGGTCTTGCCTGGTATATAGTTGGCACGCAGTAAATACTTGTTGAAAGAACAAATACATGAGTGAATGTACAGTTGGATGAACATGATTAAAAGAATAAGGATAAACATGATTAAAAGAATTAGGAGAAACAAGGAAAAAAACTTTCCTTAGGAAGCTTCCATTCTATCTATTACCAAATAAAAAAGAAGGGTGTGTTTACATAGCTACACGTTATGAAACCGGGTGGATAAATACCCAAGATGCTTACCAAGGAGGGTGCATGAAACAACCCACAGGGTTCTTACGATTCCAAATTATGCAACTGCATCTATGGCAAGTAATTTCACATAAACCCTTTGTTTCAGTTTTTCTTATTCTAAATTGGGCACATAGGTTTTGTGCCCAGGGCACACTGGATTTTGAAATTTCAAACAAGGAACACATAAAGGGTCATTTCATGGTATCAATACTGTGCCTGGCACATATTAGCTGCTCAGTGAAATTAGAGTGAATACATGGATATGCAAATAATAGCTCAAACAAGCCTAGCATAACTCTGAGAGCAAAAAGCTGATTTGTTCCAAGTAGTGCAGCTCTTTAGAGCCAGTGGGGCCCCATGGGTATAAACTGGAATTTTTACTATGCTGCTCCTGTGCTTACCGTTTGTTAACTTGCTCCACAGCAATGTTGAGGCGATGTGCAATGTCTTCCACTGTTTCACTGTTGGCTGAAATGATCCCCACACTCTTGGCAATAGCTTTGGCTGTGATGGGATGATCACCAGTAACCATAATAACCTAGAGCAAAGACAACGAGAAGGCCCACGGGTAATGAAGAACTCGGTTGGCCAAAGTGGGGATGGTTCAGTAATACCTACTCTGTAGTGCCCTGGGAGAACGTGGTTGGTGATTACAGTGGCAGCTCTGGATCTACGAGACAACTGTCTTTGGAGGAAACACTAATCCCATTGGGTCTACCCTTGCTCCTAAGCTTCATACGCTTCCTCCTCTGACATGAAAGGAAGCCCTTCCCCTTTGATGCCACTTTATTTGTGAAAGGGCTGGTGAGTGTCTACTTGGGGGTAGCCCCATGTTACTTCAACAGTCTTAATATTAACCTAGTAATGATGAACATGGATTATGGGGGCTGAGCCTCAAGACTGAGTAATAAAGCCTTTTTTCTTTCTTTTTTTCTTTTCTTTTCTTTCTTTCTTTTTTTTTTTTTTTTTTTGAGACAGAGTTTCACTCTTGTTGCCCAAGCTGGAGTGCAATGGTGTGATCTCGGCTCACTGCAACCTCTGCCTCCTGGATTCAAGAGATTCTCCTGCCTCAGCCTCCCGAGTAGCTGGGATTACAGGTGTGTGCCACCACATCTGGCTAATTTTTTTGTATTTTTAGTAGAAACGGGGTTTCACCATGTTGGCCATGGCTGGTCTGGAACTCCTGACCTCAGATGATCCGCCTGCCTCAGCTTCCCAAAGTGCTGGGATTTCAGGCATGAGCCACTGCGCCCAGCCAATAAAGCCTTTTAGTATCTACCATGGACTAGGGCGAGATATGGTCACTTCAAGGCACTAGGAGATTCTTCTCATTGCATTTACTGTTTATGTGGTTCATTCCACATAGACACAATCATTTTCTTTTTGTGGGACAGTTTCAGTAACCTTAGCACAGTGAAACTAGAAATAAAATAGGAATTATGATATTTACTTGAAGACACCTAAATACTGACCATCTGCTATGAAAACCATTATTAGAAAGGAACACGACATAAAGAAAGAACTTCTTGAGTCAGGAAAATAACTCCCACCTTGATCCCTGCACTCCGGCATTTGGTGACTGCATCTGGCACGGTGGACCGAGGGGGATCGATCATTGACAAGAGTCCCACAAAACAGAGGTTGGAGGTCGGAAAGTTCATAGCGTCTATGTCAAATGAGTAGGTTTCTGGAAACTCGTCTGCTGGCAGGTAGAGATGACAGAAACCTGTAATACAGATGAATTAGTGAGTCAGTGAAACTAGAATAGGAAACGAAAAAAAATAAGAGGAGAACATGCTCATACACCTTGGTCCTCTGCTGTTTTACCAATACATTAGAATAAGCCAGAATTGTTTAATTTCTTCAACTCCATAATGCATTTTTTTAGGAAAGACATATTTCATCCAAATATAATTCACTGTGAGCTCATTAGGCTCTGTGTTCTAGAAATATATCTTGCTATATTGCCAAGTTCTAGGGCAATACACAGTCTCGACTTCTGAAGTTTAGCGGGGCACAGAGTTAAAGGGATCAAGCATAGGGTACATCTCAGGGCAGAGACACATTTCAGCTGCCTGGAGGATTAGGAGAGACTTCCCCAAGGAGGTCACATGTGAGGTGAAGCTTGAGAGGGGCAAAGATGATTTCTAGGGAAAAAAGGGAGGGTGGAGGTGGGAAGGCCATTTTCAGCAGAGAAAACAGCATGTGAAGGAACAAGGGGGTTCAGCGGAGGGGCACAAAGTTCAGTGCTAGATCAAGATAAGCCCAAGAGAAAGGCCAGCAGGAATGGGGCCGAGCCATCCTTTTCTCAGAAGGCATCAGCCTCTCATAGGCTGAGGTGGAAGGGACTCTTGTGTCTGGTGGGACCTCCAAGATTGTGTGATCAGCTTTCACATCCAATTTATTTTCAGCCTGGCCCACTGCTTTGCAAATGTCAATGGAGCAGGCTTTGAGAAATCAAACGCAAGTGGGCATCGATCCCGTGTAGAATACCCGGTACTGTGGGTTATTGGATGCCTAAAGCATCACCATCTCATTTATATGCTTTATCTGATTTGCCAACTCCAATAGCCTTTAGAAACACACATTCCACAGACTGCATCTGTATTGGTGAGGACTTCCATGGTGTTTAATGAGCCGGATCGTCAACCATACACTTCTGTTTCCTTGAATTTGTCATTCTGTGGTCCTGATGGGGCACCATTCCGCCAGCCCTGGTGCTGACAACAGGACACACTGTCCCCTTTGACAACACCGCAGGCACCCCCATTGGGTCCTCCTCCTGTTGCATTTCTAAGGTTCCTTCCTTCCTGACACTTTGTCTGCATCACTGGCATCACTCTCTTCCTAGTCGTTAAATGGGAAGCTTAATCATTTTTAAACATTATCCTTCTCTGATAGGTTCTAAATCTTACCAAACTCTACCTCTATGAAGTCTCTTGCCCTGATCTCTCCTTCCCATTCCCATCACCCTGAAAAAATTCCCATCCCTTTTGCCTGAGCAAGGGCAGCTGCTTCCTATGGAGATGTGCATCTCTCCTCTCCCTGCTGCCGCCAAAGACATTTAAAGAAGTTAAAGAAATTTAACTCCTTCCATAAAGTCTTCCCCAGCCCTGCGACTGCCCAGCTCACTCTAGTGGCACAGCCCTCAGTGCTCTCTACTGACTGCAGGATGAAACCTGGCTCCTCACCCAGATGTTCAAGACCTCCATCTCATGACCTCCAGTCCAGCCCTTGAACCCTGTTTCTGTGACAGTGCCATCTCACCTGCTGGCAGCACCCAATGTGCCCCACGCCGTTCTGCCTCTGTGATTGGCCTGTGCTGTTCCCTGGGCCCTGGATACTTTCCCCTATCTCCCCTCAAATGCAGTCACTTAAGGCCCAGTTTGAAATTTAACTCCTTCCATAAAGTCTTCCCTGAGCTTGCCTCTCTGGAGGCCATCCCACCCTGCTTGGTGCTGTCACACAGCATCCTCTCCTTGTTCCCATCCTGCTTATCATGTTCTCCTTTACATGCTTCACGTGGATGCCATGGCCACTGGGCTAGGTCACAGGTCCTCAAGGCGCCTGCCTCATCTCTGTGCCCACCAGGTGATGGGCAGGGCCCTGCCGCCGCACTCACCCAGCACACGCTCGCCCAACCCGCCCAGCTCCATGTAGGCTGTGTGGAAGGTCTTGGCAGTGCTCTTGTCCAGTGGGTGCTCCTCGCCGTTGATCATGATGGTGCTGCATTTCTCTAGGATGCGCTCAGGGGCCCCCTTCATCACCATGAGGAAGCGCTTGCCGTGGGGGTCATCCATCTCGTGGATGGAGAGCTGGGAAGGAATGAACTGAGCGTGTTACTTACAGAAAGGTGAAACGCATTCCTTCTTCTCTACTGGTCCATTAAATGTAAAGGAGGAAGAGGCACAATGGCATCCTCAGCATGTTCCGCCCTTTTTCTTTCTGTGGCCAAGTAAGACGAAGAGCTCTAGACTTGGCCCCAGCCCAGAGTGGGGCACCCACTCTGGATAAGTGGAGCTCATCTTTCAAGCAAAACTGGCTGCTTTAGGCAGGCTAGTTGTGGCCGTCAGCGTGTGAAATCTTGTGCCTTGAACAAGATCTCCCAGGGTGCCCGTGAGAGTTAGGGGGCTGCGAGCCTCTGCATCTCACCTCCTCTACCTCCCTGTGGGGAGCAGCCGTCTTTCAGACCCAAACTATTCTGAGCTCAGGAGGGGAGGAGGCGACAGGAATTTCTGCACCTCCTCACCTCATTGTCCACCCAGTTTTCCTGCTTGGATGTCATAGAAAATGGCGGGGTGTGAGGAAGTGGACACTTCCACGTATAATGTTTCAGGAAGACAGCCGAGTCACAGGAGTCTCCATTTTAATAGGAATGCTCTTGACCCAGCAATTCTACTTCTAGATCCATCCTAATAAGATATGCAAAAAAAATCGATATACAAGAATAAAAGGACTAACTCTTATCTAGCCCTTCTGATAAGCCAGGTACTCTTCTAAGCACTCAAGAGGAATCTCAGGAAGCTGGAGTGTTTGGGAGAAAATAAGTTGCAAAGAAAAGTGCTACAATTTTGGGTAAAACAGTTCTTTACAAATCAGTATTTCTTAGACTTCTGGGTATCAAAGATGAGTACAAAAAGAAGTATAGGGCAAATAGGGTTACCAGCTGCTGCTGCTGCTTTTTTTAATGATCAAGTAAAGACATTGAGAAAACCAACCAACCAACAAAAACCAAACCAAACAGAAAACCTCCCAGCTCTATCACTTTCTAAAATATAGGCCTTTTCTTTTTCTTTCTCTCTTTCTCTCTTAAATTTTTTTTTTTTTTTTTTTGAGACGGGGTCCCACTCTGTGCCCCAGGCTGGAGTGCAGTGGCACGATCACAGCTCACTGCAGCCTCGACCTCCCAGGCTCAAGCAATCCTCCCACCTCAGCCTCCCAAGTAGCTGGGACTACAGGTATGTGCCACCATGCCCAGCTAATTTCGTTTTTTGTTTTTTTTGTAGAGATAAGGTCTTGGTATATTGCCCAGGCTGGTCTTGAACTCCTGGGCTCAAGCAATCTGCCTTCTTCGATCTCCCAAAGTGCTGTGATTACAGGTGTGAGCCACTGTACCTGGCCAAGATAAGGCTTTTTACATTTAAAACATAGGGATAATATGAAACACTTTTATGGTATGTACCACGTGCCAGGCACTGTTCTAAGTGCTGTCCACATCGACTTATTTATTCTCAAAACAACTTTAAGGCCATGGGTACTATTATTATTCCCTTTTACAAAGGAGGAAACTGAGGCACAGAGGTTCAATGCTTCACTCAGGGTCACTGAGCAATAGGTGGCTATCTGGTGGCTGAGCTGGGATTTGAGCCCAGGCTAGCAGGCTCCAGAGTCCCTGCCCTTAATCATGGTGGCTACAAAGGATAATCTTTTAAATTAAATACATTCATCTTTATATAAAACTTTATAAAACATTTTCCAATTTGCCGTAAACTGTTTCAAATGTCTTAACAGACCAGTGTGTTTGGGGCATCACCATTCTAATCAATAAGACACAGGCTTTCCATTTTATTTCCTTCCCGCAGAGACGTCTCCTTCCAAGGCCATGACATCTAAAGCCCTGGTGAGGCTGAGCACCGCTCATGTGTAGATATAAAATGACCCTAACAGCATCCAGACAGCACCTCCGACCTCTTCAGCAGGAACTCACACAGCCCCTCTCCCCTTTCTTTTTTTTTTTTTTTTTTTTTTTTTTTTGAGACGGAGTCTCGCTCTGTCGCCCAGGCCGGACTGCGGACTGCAGTGGCGCAATCTCGGCTCACTGCAAGCTCCGCTTCCCGGGTTCACGCCATTCTCCTGCCTCAGCCTCCCGAGTAGCTGGGACTACAGGCGCCCGCCACCGCGCCCGGCTAATTTTTTGTATTTTTTTTTTTAGTAGAGACGGGGTTTCACCTTGTTAGCCAGGATGGTCTCGATCTCCTGACCTCATGATCCACCCGCCTCGGCCTCCCAAAGTGCTGGGATTACAGGCGTGAGCCACCGCGCCCGGCCCCCCTCTCCCCTTTCTAGTCCCACTCTGTGTAGCCACTTTCTCCTCCAACTTGTACATGAGGCCTCATGGAACCTGCTTTTTCTCCCTTTTGCAACTGGGCATGCCTTTACCTTGGGAGATGGAGCTTCAGCAGGGCTCCAAGTCCTGCTGCTGATGGAGGCATCATCTAACCCCATCTTCACACTGTGCACTGATGCGCGGCACCTCAACCTCCTCATCCTCTAGCCACCCCACAGTGTTGTCGTGCGAATGAATAATTTAATACTTGTGGAAATTAGCACAGAATAGCTCCTATTATCACTAGTATTATTAGTATAATAATACTCATCCTAAAACAGTCTTTTAGGACTGTTGCGCACTCTATTTTCACTTTGGTTTTACGTAAGAGATGTGGTTTCTTGGCTTGAGTATTTTACATCATATGTTTCTGGTTAGTTGTCTATTTAGCTAACTGTGATTCTCTGTTGGCTCACTATCCACAAAGAAGACATTTGCAACACAAGAGTTCTTCTCTAGGCTGGGCTTGGTGGCTCACGCCTGTAATCCCAGCACTTTGGGAGGCCAAGGCGGATAGATCACCGGAGGTCAGGAGTTCGAGGCCAGCCCAGCCAACAAGGTGAAACCCTGTCTCTACTAAAAATACAAAAAAATTAGCTGGGCAGGGGGTGCATTCCTGTAGTCCCAGCTACTCAGGAGGCTGAGGCAAGAGAATTGCTTATACCTGGGAGGCGGAGGTTGCAGTGAGCCGAGATCGTGCCACTGCATTCCAGCCTGGGTGACAAGAGTGAAACTCCTTCTCAAAAAAAAAAAAAAAAAAAAAAAAGAGTTCTTCCCTAACCCTAAATTCCATCCGAACTAAGACAGGTGGATAATCACCAGAAATCTCCACACGTACAGTTGTGGTTATTCCATTTCTATACTTTACTGTTGTGCAAAGCCCAAGTCCAGATCCAGTGTGGGCTCTGTGGAAAATCCCATCTGCATGGGGACCTGGGGCTCCCAACTGTCATTTGTCTTAACATGGGGAGGCTGTGATGGCTGACTGTCGGCCAGCCCTGCTTGCTGAGATAACCAGGCAAGGAAGGCCGTCTTCTACCTGAGCAGGGGATGGAAAGGAGACCCCCACCCACAGCACAGGGGCTGGCCCCAGAAAACGACGGGGCTGTCACCCCAGGGGCTGCTCACCGGTCTCCCCAAAGGGCAGGGCTTGCTCCCATGGCCTGAACTGTGCCGCACTCCCTCTGTGTGATGGTGGAAGAATCGTGGACCTGGTGTCAGGCTTGGGAACACTGGGTGCTGTGTGACTCTGGTCTCTCAACACTTTCTAAGGGCCTGCTTCCTCCTCTGAGTCAGGATTCGTCAGTCCTACCTCACAGGCCGGATGCGAACATGGAACAAGGCCACGTAGGTCGAGGGCCTGATGCACTAGAGGTGAGAGGAGCAGGTGTTCGGCCTCCCTGCTGCCCACCTGGCATTTATGCTTTGGAGTATGGCTGCTGCTCCTCACGGCAGAAGGTACCTGATAGTGGTGGTGTGAGTGTGTGTGTGTGTGTGTGTGTGTGAGAGAGAGAGAGTGTGTGCCTGTGACAGAGATGGCTCATTCATAGGAGCAGCCAGGCCCTGATGAAGTCCTTGCCTTTCTTTCTTTCTCTGCCCTGCTTCAGGGTTAGGAAGGAGGCCAGCAAGGGAGCTTGACCTAGGGGACCAGATGCCTGGGTGCTGTATCCCTGACGACTGTCTTTGAAGCCAGGTATCCTTCAAAATATGAGGTAAGCAAAGGATGCATGCAAGTAGAAAGGTCATGCTGCCGATGACAGAGATTACCGGTTGTGAGGAAAAACTCACCTGAAATTTATTAGTAGAGTTAAAAGGGATTTCAGCTACTTTGCGGTTTCTTTTTCTAATTTCCATCACATCACCCAAAATGACCTCTGAGAATTTTAAAAGAGCAGTTTCTGAGGCATCTCCAATCACAGCTTTCTGGGAATCAAAGAAGAAAAATATTTGCAGCACATATTTAATGAACCAACATGCCCTCAGCATAGGACCCAAAACACACCCTCCTGATCCCATTACCACCTAGCTGGAGAGACATTATCACGTGATCAGGGAGGGCCGCAAGACCGTGGTAAGCGTGTAAACAACAGTGCCACCTACTGGCATTAGGGATGTTTGGAGAAGCTGGACCTCTGCGAGGACTGAAGATTTCGTGGAAAAAAGCAGCTACGAACTAGATCTTGATAGATAGGTGGGTTACCGATACACAGAGAAGAAAGCCTTCCAGAAACCAGGATGCGGGTGCAGGGGCATGAGGGGCAGGCTCGTCCGTGAGTGTTCAAGGTACAAGCGGATGTGGAGGGTGTGGCAAGACCTGGAGGGCCCTGAAAGGTAGCCTGAGGTCTAGACTTGAGAAGCAGAAAACAGGGAAGTACGGAGAGATTTTGAGCAAAGTTAAGTGACTATAAAAGCACCATTAAGGGAAATTAGTGGCATTCGAGAAAGACCCCAGGAGGGATAAACCGGAATCAAAGAGGTTTAATTCCAATCAGCCGGTAATCGGCTATTTAGATGCAAGGTACTGCTGACAAATACTAAAGTTATGTATATTTTGAAGCAAGAATGATAGAACTTGGTGGCTTACTGGATATAAGGAAAGGATAAAGTCAAAGATGACTTCCAAATATTCTGTTCCAATGACAAATAGAATGGTTATATCATAGACAATTAGAAAATTGCGGCAAGGCACTGATGTGCAGCCAGGCTGGGTACGGGTGGAAGTTAACAAGCATGATTTGTGCAACTTCCTAGCGGAAGCACACAGCCAGCCAGAGATTCGGGTTGGAGTTGAGGTAAGAAATTAGAGCTGGACATAAAGATTTGGAAGATATCGACAAAGAAGCAATTGGCCAAAAAGAGCATTCATGAGCTGTCTGACGGAGAGAAAAGCAAACAAACAAACAAAAAAATAAGAAAGAAAAAGAGTCAGGGAAGGAAACAGATGGCAAATAGAAAAGCCAGGAGAACAGGGATTCAGTGACTCATTGAGATGGAGAGGAAAAGGGAGGAAGGGAAGGAGGAGAGGGAGGGAGGGGGAGAGTTTATTGTATGTTCCGATATTCCAGGACCCCTTAGAGCTTTGTCTGCAGCCATATTCTAGTTAACAGGAGTCCTTTTATTTTTATTCAATCACACTTTAAATTTCCATGAATGGTGTGTATATTAAAAGGAACTTTGATTATATCCACTTAGCTGGCAGAAAAGTCAGGAAAGTAACTTAGAAGTGCATTCATTTCCAGAATTTTCTGAAGACGCTAAAGCAATATTCTGAAACCTTTTAAGCATCTTTGTATTCTCAAAGCTAGTGTGCATAAAGAAAAATTTCTGGATGTCTTGTGAGTCTGACTTGCTCTTGCAAGCACTGAACAAACTTTAAGCAACTGGAGAGATGAAATCAAGCACCCAATCAGACCTCAGCAAGTGACTACAAACTGGCTGTGATTTAAGACCAAGTGCTGCAGAAGCATTACCTTCATGATGGGGACATTTTCCTGTCCTGGCTTGAACTCTGCTCGGTTACACAATGTTATTATCTTGGATAAGGAGGCCCAAGTCCTAGAGCTTTGGTCAAAGACTTGGTCTGGAAGACAGAGAAAGAACAGTGGCTGCTGTGGGTTGGGCTGGCCGTCCATGAGTCACTGTCCAGCAATCCTCTGGCTGCAGACCCTGCTGTGTGCTCAGCTCAGCCCCAGGATGGAGTCCACAGCTTTGGCCAGACCGAGCTCTCCATAAGACTTACTTGAATGGTCCTCACTGGTGTCAGCCACAAAGATCTGATTGTCGAACCACAGATGGGCCACTGTCATCCTGTTCTGGGTCAGTGTCCCAGTCTTGTCCGAGCAGATGATGGAGGTGGAGCCGAGGGTCTCCACAGCCTCCAGGTTCTTCACCAGGCAGTTCTTCTTGGCCATCCGTTTTGCTGTCAGCGACAGGGTCACCTAGCAGGAGAGGGAAGGACGCTTTGGGAAAAATCCTCATTTGAACTCAGGTCCAATAATACAGAAATAGCCAATGTGAGCTGTGATTGAATTTTAGGAGAGAGCTGGACTAGTTTTAGGGGAGAGGTGTGGTTGTCAGCGCAGCTAAGCTGACCTGGTGGCTTATACGCCGCCAAGAGCCCTCTATGCCACAATCCTTTTTTAAAGATTAAATATGAGATGCTTTTCTTGTTCCTTCATGACTTGAAGAAAACAAGGGACCCACGGGCAGCAAACACGGACACGCTGCTGTGGCTCGTGTTCACGTACAATCACGACGCCTCCTGTGATCCCTAAGCAGGAGTGTGTAAGAGAGACTGACCAGTGCATGCCAAAGAGTTGTCCCAAAGGACACACTTGTTGCTTTGGGGAATTCAGCAGCCTTTATGTTGTTTCATTTTAAAAGCTCCATATTTTAAAGATTCTTTTAAACCCCTAGATCTCAAAGGGTTCTTTTGGCTCCAATTTCCCCAAATTACTATCTCCTGGAGTCAGAGGAGACCTGGACTTCAAAAACTTCTTCTCTTTTCTTTGGTCAGGACAATAGCAGGCCAATGATCATGTAGTCACAAAACTGGAAACATAAACCCCCTCCTCTCCTACCCCTTGAGACCCCCACAGGAGAGACTGAGGAGGAGGGGGCTCTTCTCTAGGGACTGAATGACATGGGCCCATACAAACAGCTGGGTCTGGGGTTGGCCAGGAAAGGGCTGGAGTCCTCGGCAGGAAAAATGGGAGGAATTTTTTTTTTTCGTAAGAGAGGTAAGTGGAGTGTGGCAATGTGCCTAAATGCCTAAGTTGTAGAAACTGCCAAAGAAATGTGCGGAAGGCATCAAGCTTCTAGAAAACCTGTGAATGGTGGAGTCTGTCTTATCTAGATCTTATGGGGCAGAGTAAGCTGTGTGAATTGCAGATTGAAAGCATAACGTTTTCAAGGAAAACGCAGTCAAATATTGAAAATATGACAAATTTTTTGTCTCTGTAAGGAACAGTCTATGCAGAATGTTCCAGGGTTGTCGCTGGCGGGGAGGGCGTGGTGCTCTGGACTTGGGGGAGATTGCAGTTTGTGTGGGCGCCTCCCCAGCACCAGTGCTGTGTCCACAGGGCCAGGTGCAGGCTGTCTAACAGCATGGACTCACAGTGACAGTGGCCAGGAGGCCCTCGGGCACATTGGCCACAATGATGCCAATGAGGAAGATGATGGAGTCCAGGACTTGATACTTCAGGGACACAGCGATGATGAAGAAAAGGATGCCGATGGAGACAGCCACTCCTGCCACAATGTGAACAAAGTGCTCGATCTCAATGGCAATGGGCGTCTTCTCATTTCCAACTCCTGAGGCCAATGAGGCAATATGGCCAATGATGGTGCGGTCACCCGTGTTGATAACCATGCCGGTGACAGTGCCTACAGGGGAAGTAGATGCTTTATTCCAGGGGTCCTCAGCCAGGAGGGGTGTGCAGCCAGCTTGCAGCCCTCTCTGGGGGCTGGCACAATCGATAGGCACACCACATTCCCAAGGCCAAGCATCGTCCTCTAGGCCCTTCAGTTCCATGCTTCCTCTGGGATGAGCTTTGTAACGGGGTGTGGCAAAGGACAGACCTGAGAGCCCAGGAGGGAGAAAGGACACAGGTGGACATGTGGGCTGAGAGCCAGAGGCCTTTTACCTTCCAGACACGTTGTGGAATAGAAGCAGATGTTCTTTGTTTCCAGGGGGTTTTCATGGGTAAACTCAGAGGAGCGGGGCTGGGGCTCAGACTCCCCCGTGAGAGATGAGTTATCCACCTAGAAGAAATGTTGAAGGTGGTTCACAGCTGGGTACCTCATTCCCTGCCTCTTATACTGATGCTGGGAAAGACCCCAGAGCCAGCAGGTTTGGAACATGGTCCTTGGGGTGGATACCCCTTGCCGCTTACCCGACACCCCTGAGAAGACAGCACCCTGATGTCTGCAGGGATCTGGTCTCCTCCTTTGACCTCCACAATGTCCCCCACCACCAGCTGCTCTGAAGGGATGGTCTTCTTCTCGGAATCTCGGATGACGAGAGCTTGCTGCAGAAAAAAACCATGACAGATGCCTCAGACCCTGGAAGGACACCGGCCCTCCCCCAAGTCTGTGCCGCACCGAACCCCAGGACAGAGGCCTTGGAACTTCCTGATCACTCTCACTGTTGAGTCCATGCTGTTATGCAGCCTGCACCTGGCCCTGTGGACACAGCATTGCTGCTGGAGCATGAGGCTGTCAGAACAGCAAGAATGAAACAGAAGACTGCTTCACCCGAGGCCTGAAGACTCTAAGAACTACTTTTTCTTGAGCTTATGGAGAGTTCTTGGAACAGAAGAGTCGCTGTTGGCCAGATCTGGCCAAGCCAGAGCCCTGGGCCTCCTAGAAAAGGAGACCACTAAGGGTGAGCAATCCTGGCTGGGCGTCTGGGCAGAACACTGAAGGTGGGGCTGGGGAGGCTGATAATCTTGCGAGTGTCAGGGAAATTTTAACGAGGTGATCTCCTGCTTCAAGCTTGGCAGGAGGCGTCTTTTCCACCCAGAATCTCTCCAGCCCACAGTTCTCTGGGCCAGAGACAGTGTGGACACCTGACAGGGGTTTTTGGGGAAGAAGGGAGCACTGGGCTTCCCCACCAAATGCATTCTGGGGCTCAGGAGCAAAAATGGTCACAGATAAACAATTGCAGGCTGGTCTCCTTGGCTGCCAGTGAAAGAACACTCCCTGACCTTCCACAGGTCCCTTCCAGAACCCAGAAGGACTATCCACAAACACTGAGGAGCAGGAACAGAAGATGCCTTGGGCTAACCAGCACTGCCCTGGGTGGTGCCTCATTTGACCATCAAAATCCTGTGAGGAACTGGGGTTCTGACAGATGGGTTAATTCGCCCACGATTGCTCCGACAGGGAAGGAAGTGGAAACCCGTAGCCCTCAGGGCCCTGTGCCCCTCCCAGCTGAGGCTTCCTCACCTGGGAGTCACCAGAGGCCAGAGGATAGGTGGCTGCCACTCACCTGAGGGATCATCTTATTGAAGCTGGACATGATGTTGGTGCTTTTTGCCTCTTGGTAATAAGCAAAGATCCCCGTTAAAATGACCACCAGACCAAGCACACAGCCCAAGTACACCTGGGTGAGAAGGAGGGCGTCAGTCAGAGAAACCAGCAGTGGGAAGCAGCCGGGCCCTGGGGCTAGAGCTCTCCACGGGAGGATGCAATGCTGGCAGTTACGCCCTGGTATAATTTACAGGCCATGGAATTCGCCCATGTTAAGTGCGCAACTTATTGATTTTTTTTTTTAAGTTTACAGAGCCATGACACCACCCTCCACCGCAGCCTCAGAGCATCTCCATCCTGCCTGGAGATCCCTCCGGCCCCTCTGCCGTCACTCCCTGCTCCTGTCCCATGCCCTGGCATCACCGATCTGGTTCCTGCTTCCAAGGATGTGCCTGTTCTGCACATTTCATGTCAATCCAATCCTATGACATGTAGCTTGTTGCCTCTGGCTTCTGTCTCTTGGCATCACGTTGGCCAATTCAGTTTTGTGGATTTGGTACTCATGTCTCGGCAGGCACAGCTGCTCTCCGTGTTAAAGGAAGAGGTTAGCTTGGGGGAGACAGAACCCCAAACTACTTCACATGGATGCAGATTTTCTCCCCCTTAAAAATTCAAGGTGTTTTGTGTATCCCTCTTCATGCCCACACTGCCTCTAGAAGATCAGAAAGCCAGATAGAATTTCTGTTTTACAGCTGGGAAAATGCCTGACTTTCCCACACCTAGGCAGTGGCATTCAGCCCCCAGCTGTGCCCCCAAGGCCTCACTGGATGGCTCTGCCAGCAAAACCAGGAGGGGACACCCCAGAGCCTTACGTTGTTCAGGGATGCAGACTTGTCGCTGGAGTACTGAATCCCATATGCAATCCAACAGAGAAAGGCGCCCACCCACAGGAGGATAGAGAACCCCCCCACCATCTGCTTGAGGAACTTGACGATCTCAGGCGTCTGCTTGGGAGGGGTGAGGGAGTTGGGCCCATCCCGGGCCAGGAGCTCGGCAGCTCTGGTGCTGGAGAGACCCTGGGAAAGCCAAACAAAGCACATGCACAACCAAAACAAATACGAATTAGACATTCCTCCTCCCTCAGGGGTTGGGCTGCATATTTTTGCAGCTTGGGGTGAGGCATTAACGTGGCCAAAGAAGGTCCCGAGAAAAGCAGACCGTGCCTCACTTCTCCAGCTGCCCAGCTTTTTTGAAAGACTATGTAATGCTTAATACCAGCCAGGCACTGTGCTCTGTATATTCACTCATTTAGTCTTTAAAATAACCCTTGAGGCAGGGGCCATTATTCCTCCCTCTCGTCATTCGCAGAGGTGGAATTTGAGGCACAGAGAAATTACGTAACCTGTCGAAGGGACCTGGCCTGTCAATGGTAGCGACCAGGTTCAACGTGGTGACTGGGTCCAGAGCCACTGCACTCTGCTCTGCTAAGGGGTTTTAGTTTCTTAGAGGTTTATCCGGTGAGAGGACTAATTTGATGAAGGAGGACTTGGAATGAAGAAGCTGCTCACCAGGGCTAAGGGCAATGCAGTAACTCCCCAGGAAATAGGGAAGCTTCTGGAATCCTGCACAGAGAGCATGTGGCTTTAGTTTCCATCCTTACGCCTGCTCCTTTTCCACCTTTCTACACATCCAGCCTAAGTTCTCATTCATCTTGACAGGCATAAATCCTACCCAAGCCCTGAGCCCATGTGAGCAGCCCCTGCCCTGGGGGGCCTGCCATCCGTGAGGCACCCTCACCTTTGAAACCCTACATGTTCACAGGAATTTCCCCCACAGACGATCTTTGGTGGACAAGTCTGTAGATACCTCTTCTCCCTAATTATGTTGTAAGCTACTTAAAGGGCAGGACTCTGTCTTGGTCTTTTTTTTTTGAGACAGAGTCTCGCTCTGTTGCCCAAGCTGGAGTGCACTGGTGCGATCTCGTCTCACTGCAACCTCCTCCTCCTGGGTTCAAGCGATTCTCCTGCCTCAGCCTCCCAAATAGCTGGGATTACAGGCAGCGGCCACCACACTTGGCTAATTTTTAAAATATTTTTAGTAGAGACAGGGTTTCACCACGTTGGCCAGGCTGGTTTCGAACTCCTGACCTCAAGTGATCTGCCCACCTTGGCCTCCCAAAGTGCTATGATTACAGACCTAAGCCACCATGACAGGCCAGTCTTGGTCATTTTTGTGTTCTCTCCCGGGTCTCATGCTTTTTCTGTGGTAGTGATTCAAATATCTGTTGAATGGCTAGATTCAGGCTCACCACCTCGATCCCATCTCCCTCCACTCCAATTCCTTTTCCAGAACCCCAGACTCATCTTTCTGAATAACTGTGGAACATTTCCTCAGGGGTGTTCCGGAGAGACTTCTCCTGGTATAACTCACAATAAGTTCATCATCGCCTCCACCCTCCTGCCTTCCCTGCTCTCACCTCCCTGCCCCCACCCCAGCCCATCACCCGACCGGCTCTCCTCCTCCTGCTGCTGTGACATGACTAGCGAGATGAGGGGCTCAATAAAAATCCCCGCAAGTCCTGCTGGTTGTGTCTCTCTGCAATTTCTTTCTTTCTTTCCTTCCTTCCTTCCTTCTTTCTTTCTTTCCTTCTTTTCTTTCGACAGAGTCTCGCTCTGTCGCCCAGGCTGGAGGGCAGTGGCGCGATCTCCGCTCACTGCAAGCTCCGCCTCCCAGGTTCACGCCATTCTCCTGCCTCAGCCTCCCGAGTAGCTGGGACTACAGGCGCCCGCCACCGTGCCCGACTAATTTTTGTATTTTTAGTAGAGACGGGGTTTCACCGTGTTAGCCAGGATGGTCTCGATCTCCTGACCTCGTGATCCGCCCGTCTTGGCCTCCTAAAGTGCTGGGATTACAGGCGTGAGCCACCACGCCCGGCCCTTTTTTTTTTTTTTTTTGAGATGGAGTTTTGCTCTTGTTGCCCAGGCTGGAGTGCAATGGCATGATCTTGGCTCACCGCAACCTCTGCCTCCTGGGTTTCAGAGATTCTCCTGCCTCAGCCTCCTGAGTAGCTGAGATTACAGGCATGTGCCACCACGCCCTGCCAATTGTTTGTATTTTTAGTAGAAACGGGGTTTCACTATGTTGGTCAGGCTGGTCTCAAACTCCCGACCTCAGGTGATCTGCCCACCTCAGTCTCCCAAAGTGCTGGGATTACAGGCCTGAGCCACCACGTCTGGCCCCTGTAATGTCTTTCGACATTATTTCAGATCCTCATTTCACAGTCCTGGGCTGTTGTTCCATTCTTCTAGACCCTTCCATTTCTCACTTTAAAAAAAGAATCTTCTATGAGAACTGCCTTTTGAAAACCAATGAAAGCACCTCCATGTGTGGAAACCATGTCCCTTCTGCCTCTAAGACAGCTCCTACTCATTAGTTTAATGTGAATACTTTGACAGCTTCACCCAGATGACCTTCCTGGCTTCATTCCTGCTGCACCTGTCCCCTCTCCACACATACTAGCTTCCGGCAAGCCCAGATTCTCTCCAAGCAGGCTCTGTGCTTACTGGCCCTGGGGTCCCCCACCAGCTTAAATCCGAAGCATTTTGAGTCCCAGCGCAAACATGGCAGCAGCCCGAGAGCTGGCTCTGGCCCCTTCCATCAGAATCCACCTTTGTCCCAGCATAGCGTTTCTACTTCTTGTAGCCATCCCAGGGGGATAGAGTGAATCTCAGGACACTTCCATACACATTTGCCTCCCCTACCCGGCCACTTTCTCCTTGAGGCCAGGGGTCATCTGTCCCTCTTGGTCCCTCTCACTGCCAGGCCAGTGTGAGCCCCACAGTAGGTTTTTCTGTTGACTTGAACTGTGTCCAGATGCAAATAACTGCAGTCTCAAAGGCGCTGCAGGGGCCCCTCCTCCTAAAGGTGCCGCTACTCTTCCACACAGCCCCCCGCCACACACAGCCTTCCCTCTGTAGAGTTGGGAGGCTTCTCTTCCAAATCCCTGGTTCCCACGACTCACCATAATGATGTCTGTGCCATATTTCTCTTCCAATTCCCTATTGCTGAGTTTGTGGTCATCCTGAAGTCCATGAAAGGAAGAACAGAGTGAATTAGATAATTCCAAAAGACTCAAGCCCCAAGCTTTGACCAGCCATGGAAGCTGGGAGTAGCAGCCCTGAGGATGGGAGGGGATCGAGGAGTGTGGGGGACAGGAGAGAAAGAACCCCTGTGCCAGGCAGCTGCCCAGCGAAGGATGGCACTGCCTCAGGAGTGACTGTCCCTGAGTCGGCACAATCCTGCACTTGCTGTTACTACCCAGAAGCTGCCTGCAGCTTTTCTGAACAAAGCCATGCACCTCGCTTCAATCTGAACTCCAGGGCATACAGGTTCTGGCACCCTCATCTTCCAGGTGCCAGTGAGCTGGAGGCTTCCCTCAGGCCTGAACCCTGGGATTGGCTGGGGCTGATGGCAAAACCACACTAGAACCGCTTCCTGGGCTGGCACAACTCCTCCTCCTTCGCTGTGTGGGCTCTGGCAGGGAAAAGCAGCTTCCCTCACTCAAGCTGTGACGCTCAGGGAGCTCACTGGGCAGAGAAACCCTGCAGGGAAAAGTTCTGCTGAATAAACCCACAGCATTGTGGCTGCCACTTGTGAATTCTGCTACAGAATCATTAGACTACAGCAGGGTTTCTCACCCGTGGCCCTGCTGCCATTCTGGGAGAATAATTCTTTGTTGTGGGCTCCACCCACTAACATCCTCCCCTCAGTTGTGGTAACCAAAAATGTTTCCATTTTTCCCCTGGGAGAGGGGTGGGGGAATCCTCTTCTCCTCTCCCTTTGAGAACCACTGGGCTAAAGGACAAGAAGTCTCTTCCTGTAGCAGAAAACCTAGGGTAAGTCTTCCTCACTCCCCCTAGAAAGTCCAGCACTCAGGATTTTTTAAACCCTGATTGTCTGAAACAAAGATTGATACTGTTGACTGGTGCTCACATCATCTCTTTTCTTAAGTATATGCAAAAAATAGTTCCATGTTGCAGTAAGAGACTAGG
The DNA here is from genome assembly GCF_000001405.40 of Homo sapiens. Lineage (NCBI taxonomy): Eukaryota > Metazoa > Chordata > Mammalia > Primates > Hominidae > Homo > Homo sapiens. The sequence goes on along the minus strand of NC_000013.11, from coordinate 24,684,343 downwards.
CCTTCCAATAAAGCAGAATTCATTATTATCATTATTATCTTGCTTCTAGCCCTCTTCTCAGCCAGATTCTGTTTTGCTCCTTCATCCCTTCTACTAATACTGATTGAGTGTGATATTGCTGGGGATTCAGAAGATTAAGGCTGTGTTCTGCACAGAGCACAGCACAACCCACTAAGTTTTGGGCAGATACAAGTAGTGGATGATCCGAGCCATTGTTTGCATGCATGGGACCTCAGACTTCCTGGGCTGGGGGATGAGAGCATGGGGGAGGGGTGGGACGAGGTGGTGGTGGTTATCTGGGGTGCCCTCTGCTGGCCAGCACTGGACTAGCACAGGGCAGCACCCCACCCACCCCTCGGGTCACTGCCTGGCCCTTTCATTCAAAGGCCGGGATACTTCAGTTGTCATTAGGCACTAATTTGCCAAGAAAGGTTGGGAGGCAAAAGCATTCAATATGCTGCTGAAAATTACAGGACCCTTGTAATGTCAAGGGAAAAACAGATATGTCTTCAATCTTAAATGCTAGAGATAATGGGAAATAATAAGAACGATCTATCGTCTGGTGCTGTGCTGTCTTTTCCCTGTTTTATCTCATTTAATCTTCCTAGTAACCCTTAAGAGGTAGAAAAAAAAATCTTATGTTTTTCAAAATAGGAAACTGAACTTCAGTTACACTGGGATTTGAATTGAGGTCAGTCCAGTTTCAGGGAAGCGTTCTTAAATGTCTCTCATGATAGATACGGACAAATGCCCAGTGGTATACTGTTAAATGTTTAACAAACTCTCCAGGAACGATCAATACAAAGCTCGGATTTGTAGAGTTTGCTGATTTCTCACTAGAACCAAGTTTGAAGCTGCTAACAGGATGTCAGTCAGCCTGCCAAGTTTCTGAATACTTAACAAATGGCTCTCTAGCACAAAAGAGACTCCCCTCAGGAGTCACAGAGCTTTAAGATCTGCCAAGGACGGTGGGGACAATCCAGCCCATCTCAAGCTCCGTGTAGAAGTTTCCCCTTCGGTGTTCCCAAGATAAAATCTGTCACATTTCAGACCCAAGGCAGTTTTATTATTAAAGTGGCCAGTTTGGGCTGGACACAGTGGCTCACGCCTGTAATCCCAGCACTTTGGGAAGCTGAGGCGGGTGGATCATCTGAGGTCAGGAGTTCGAGAGCAGCCTGGCCAACATGGGGAAACCCCGTCTCTACTAAAAACAACAAAAATTAGCTGGGTGTGATGGCGGGCGCCTGTAATCCCAGTGACTCGGGAGGCCGAGGCAAGAGAATCGCTTGAACCCAGGAGGTGGAGGTTGCAGTGAGCCTAGATAGCGCCATTGCACTCCAGCCTGGGCAACAAGAGCGAAACTCTGTCTCAAAAAAAAAAAAAAGGCTAGTTTTAATAACTCCAGAGCTCTTCCTTAATAATAATAATATTGTACTCCCCTAAAGCACGTGAATTACAAAATCCTCATCTCATTTTTTCCCCTCATAGACCCCAGCAAATTATTTATTTCCCATTTTACATAAAGGAAATGGACCTTCAGTGAGGGTCAGTCATTTGTTGCCAGTTTCAGCTCAGTGGAGAAGTGGGACTCTGATGGGGCCCGAGGTCCTCCCAATCCAAGCTCCACATTTTTACCACTGAAACTGCTTTTCCATGAGGTTTCACACCTGCAATCTAGCATGGCCTAGGGGCTTTGGTTTTCCTCCTCAGAAGTTCCAGCTCAAATAGTTTTACTAATCAATTGAAAACTGGCAAGTGGTTACTTAACTCTCACTGAAGCAGCTGCGGGGAGAGAGGTCTGGCCATGCCTGTGGGGCCTGGAATCAGAGGCTCTTCCTTCTGAGTTCTACAGGGACTGCCTCCAACCAGAATGCAGGAATCCTGCAGAGGCCCTGACCTCTGGGTGGATACTATCACACCATTCAAAACACACACACACACATACACACACCACACACCACACACACACCACACACCACACATATACACCACACACTACACACACACCACACGCTACACACACACCACACATACCATGCACATACACACACCACACATACACACCACACACTACACACACACCACACGCTACACACACACCACACATACCATGCACATACACACACCACACACACCACACACATATATACCACACACATACACACACCACACACATACACACACCACACACACACCACACACATATACACACCACACACACACACCACACACACATCACACACACATCACACACACCACACATACACACACCATACACACACACCATACACACACACCACACACATACACACACCACACACTACACACACCATATACACACACCACACACCATACACACACACCACACACCATACACCACACACCACACATACACACACACACCACACACTACACAGACACACCACACATACACACACACCACACATACACCACACACACACACCACACAGACACACCACGCAGACACCACACACCACACACAATCTCAAGGGGATTTCAAATCCCTCAGACTGAATGTCTGTGGTAAGAGGTGGGTTCTAGGGGCAAGCTCTTGCGGGGAAGGGCCATAGCCGGCAGGACCCCGTGGCTTAAGGCTACTGACCAGATGGAGTTCTTTCTGAAACTCCTCTTTGTGATTTTTCTTTTTGAGTTCCAGGCAGTTGTTCTTCAGACCCCTATACTTCTCCTTGCCATCCCCCTTGTCTGTTTTCACGATGTCCTTAGTTCCGCTGAGCTCCACGGAGTAAATTTCTGGGGTTTTCTGAAAGAGAAGCCCAGGTGCAATATTGGCCCCAAATGGGGTTTCCGAAGAGGTGCTGAGCGCCCCTCTGCGGGGTCAGGACCTGCAGGAGTCAGGAGCCCCTTCTCCCTTTCCTTCCCTCCTCTGGGGAGGCCGGAGGGAGTCGGACAGTGGAGTCTCTCCCCCACCTCCCGCCGACCTTGGCTTCCTCTCCGTCCGTGTAGAGGGGAGGCGGGGTGGGCACAGGCCAGCCAGCAGCTCCTCAGGGTGACCCTTCTCTGGGTGGAGCAGGTGGGAAGTTACCCCCCCAACTCCTGACTGATGCCTCCAAGGAGCTGTGAGGTTTCCTTAGAACCTCGAGGTTCCTTAGGCACCTCGAGGTTTCCTCTGAGGTGTCCTTCCCAGGGGACACAACAGCTGTGCGTCCTGTTTCTTGGGGAGGAGGCACCCACTAAGCTTACGACCCTCAGTCCTGATCAGGGGGCCCTAACCGGAAGTCTTTTCAGACCGCAACGAATCCATGTCACCCCATCCTCCGAGTCGGAGCCCGCAGGTGCCATGGAGCTGGCCTAGGACCCCTTGGCCCCTTCTCGCTCCTCTGGACTGGCTTCTTTCCCCAGCCAGCCCCGGCGGCCGCACGGAGCCGTGGCGGGGAGTCAGAGAAGCGGTGCCCAGGCCGGGGGGCGCTCAGAGGAAAGGCGGCCTCCCCTTGCCCCGGGACGGGGCGTTTCTCCTCTTCGCCTTTTCCTCGCTTCCCGTCAGCCTGCTCCGGTCCCCGGGGCCTTGGCCCAGCGTCTCGCATCCTCGGCCGGCGCGGGGGCTGCACGCACCTGGTGCATGCTGGGCTGGTGGCGCCGCGGGCTGCGGGCGTGGAGCGCGGATCCGGGACCGCAGCGGCGGAGCGCACGGTGGGGGGCCTCGTGTGGCTGTGGCAGTGGCAGTGGCTGAGGTGTTGGCGGTGGAGATACCGGCGGCGGCGCGGGCCCTGCACGCACCTCCGCGGCCGATCGCCAGCCGCTGCACCGGGGAGGTGGCACCAGCCTTAAATGCCGCCCGCCCCGCCCACGTCCCCGCCAGGGCGCAGGCCAGCGGACGCCTCGGAGGGTAGGAAACCCGCCGGCGCGCGCGCAGGGAGGGGGACCGACAGCTAGGGGTCGGGAGAGTCCAGGATTGAGGACCCCCTGGGAATCCCCTTCCCTTTAGTAGCCGAACGCCAGGGGGCGGGGTCTCTAGGGGGCGGGTCCGGCATCCAGGTGAGTACAGCCCTGGTTCCGCTGGGCGCCCAGAGCCGGACCAGCTGCTCCGGCGAGCTCCCGGCACGCCCACGTCCTGTCCAGGCTTCCCTGAAAACCCACACATGCCTTTTTTTAAAAATGTAATTTGCCTACCAATAAATCAATTTATAAAAATGTGTATGCAGAGAAGGGGAAATTGCAGTTTCTAACAGCAACTACTGTTGGAGATGTCCCGGCTAGAAAAGGCCAATGTGTTTTTGAGAATGGATTTAGATAGGTAAATTCAAGCTTCCGAGAGAATTTGGGAATAACTGAGAGACTCTGAAGAGTAGCTGAATTAATTTGCCGGATCCAGATAAGAATTTGGAATTCTGAAACAATTTGGAGAGGGAATGGGGAGGAGAGATGAGAGGATTAGGGTCGGTGAGACCACAGGAACCTGGGGCCCCAGGCTGCGGGTGCGCAGGAGCGGAGGCTGTTGGCTGGACTGGGCTGGAGAGGTCTGTCTCCACCTATTTATGTCACTCCCAGCTGAGACTCTATACATGAAGGAGAAAAGAATTTCTGACCCTGAAAGTTGATGTGCATACTAAAGCAGTGGTTGTTTTATACTGCTAAGTTTGGGTTGGTTTGTTATGCAGCAATAGATAACTGGGACATGCTCCATGCTCTTAGTGCCCAGCATGAGTTTTTGCACAGGATAGAAAAGGTATTTTCCCCCTGACACTTGAAACATAATTACTCCAGATGAGAAAGATAGCCTGAAAACAATATATCAGAGAGATATTTAGCAGTTAACAGTGGAGGAAATCAAACACGTTCTTTTAAAAGAATGAATCGTGAAGTCTTAAAGTCAGTGAAGAATATTAATTAATGGAGAGGAACATAAAAAATAAAACCCACGAATAGAGTTTAGTAATCAGCACCTATTTAGAAGAACAATAAGAAATTGACATGATTGAAATATATGAAAGGGAGTAGAGATAAGTTTCAAAAGAGGGGGCACTTTATTGGGCCCTTGATGCTCTGCTAATAAGTTTCCATTTAGATAAGGACTAATAGGAGGGTGCTAAGTTTTATTCTTTTTGAAAGTTATATATCAAATATGGTAAGAAAGATTGTCATTTTGACCATATTTAAAATGACTAAGAGTGAGGAGTCCAGAGAAGCAGCAAAAGTAACAATCCCATCATGCAGTGACTAGAACATCTGGCAGAAAACATGAAGAGCATTGGGTACATTTAGAAAAGGTAGAAGAAAAACAATAAGCTTGTGCCCGGCCGGGCGCGGTGGCTCACGCCTGTAATCCCAACGCTTTGGGAGGCCGAGGCGGGCGGATCACGAAGTCAGGAGATCGAGACCATCCTGGCTAACACGGTGAAACCCCATCTCTACTAAAAATACAAAACAATTAGCCGGGCATGGTGGTGGGCGCCTGTAGTCCCAGCTGCTCGGGAGGCTGAGGCAGGAGAATGGCATGAACCCGGGAGACGGTGGAGCTTTCAGTGAGTGGAGATCGCGCCACTGCACTCCAGCCTGGGCGACAGAGCGAGACTCTGTCACAATAAAAAAATTAAAAAAAAAATAAGAAAAAAAAGCTTGTGCCCAATTCTAATTAGGAATTAATTATAACTTCCTGTTCCTTTCAGATGCTAAATTTCCATAATAATTTCAGAGCATGACTATAGTTGGTGGTGAGGGACAATTGGGAAAAGAAGCTTATTTTGAGGGAATTTGAAGTGTTAGCAGTTAGAGACGTGGTTTTGTAAAGTAGCAGTAGAGACAAAGATACTTTCTCATGGCATATTTGTGATCTTAGATTTTCCACACCTCTCTGTTCATCATGGCTTTCAAATGAGACTAAGGGAATGTGTTGTACCCGACATAGTGAACTGTCTCCATAGTGCTGCACACATAGGTCTTTCCCCGCTCTCCCTCCTTCTTCCGTTCCAAAAGGGCAGAATCTGAAGCCTGGGTTCCTCCCTCTGTGAAGCAAGGATGACAGCAATGAGTCACTTCTTAACTAAAATGATAAGGGACAGGAAGACTCCTAGTGGCATCTGGTGTAAAGATACACATCATGGATTCTCTAGAGTTGGAGGGAACATTAAATTCTAGTCCAAACCCAAGCAACAGTGTGCTTCTGGGGAGCTCTGGGTTCCATTCTTGGAATACTCTTCAAAGGAAAGGTTTGCAGATGGGGTGAGAAATACAAAATGTGTACGAAACTGATGTTCCACTGTCTGCTGATAATCCAAGCTAAGGGTTTTTTGGGAACAGGTGGCTGCTGCTCACCTTAAGCTGTTCCAGCCCCTGCTCCAACTATTGGGACAGATGTAGAATAGAGAAGCAGGGTCCGCAGAGAGATGTCTCTGAGCTCAAGGCCAGTTCAAGCTCCAAAAGCAAACTCAGATCCTAGGGACTTGACTGAGGGATGGGGAGCGGGGAGGGGAAGTGGGCTAAAAAGAGATGGTGACACAGCTTTAGAAAGTACTAACTGATGGCACCCTCCCTTGATCCTTGGAGAAGATTGCCGCTTTTTTTTTTTTCTTAAGACGGTCTTGCTCTGTTGCCCAGGATGGAGTGCAGTGTGATTACAGCTCACTGCAACTTCCGCCTCCTGGGCTCAAGCCATTCTCCCACCTCAGCCTCCTGAGTAGCTGGGACTACAGGCACAGCTAATTTTTGTGGTTTTTTTTGGTACAGAAGGGATTTCACCATGTTGCCCAGGCGGGCCTCCAACTCCTGGGCTCAAGCGATCCGCTCACCTCTGCCCCAGAAATACTGGGATTACAGGTGTGAGCCATTGAGCCCAAGATTGCTGCTTATTCCTTTTGGTATCAAGGGTGGAAGACGGTTTATTACTACAAGCAGGACAAAAACATTTCCATGGTCAGGTTCTCTGGCACCTCTCTGATCCTGCAGAGTTCTTGGCTTCTGCCAGGGACTAGTCTCAGCTGTCACTGCTATGGCCCTTGTGGCAGCCTCTGGTGCCATTCAGGTGTCCTGGAGTGTTGACTTCTACCAAAGAAGGAAAATGGGGCCATTCCCCAACCCTAACTCCAGAATCGTGTCCTTTGCTGCCTCTAGTCATCTGGATACCCGACTCTGCCTTGAGGTGGGTAGGCCCTGGGTAACTGTGATGCAGGCATCTGGAGGCACTTACCTGTAGAATCAGGAATTGGATTTCTCCTGAGACACGTTCGGTCCCAGGGCCATCACCCACAATGTTCTGAGCAATGTACCCTGATCCCACCCAGTGCAAATGGCTCCTAGAGGGTTGGCCATAGAGGCCAGGCTGCAGCCGGGAGACTTCCTCAGCCCACATGTGCTAGTAGCAGCTTCTGCTTGAGGTTTTGCTGCTTTTCAAAACAAGCCTATCCACGCCAAGGTTCTCTATTATACCTGCTCATATTGACGAACATTATATATTTGGGATAGGATGTCATGATATATGTATTTTCAGCCTGTTTTAATTAAATTATATACTTCATGTATTTAAGCTGTACTAGATATAGGGGTGGTGGGGAGATATGGTACTAAAATCATGCCATCCTCTGCCCTCTAGGAAGTTGGACTTGAGTTGGAGAGACCAAATTAGTGAAGAACCAATAGTAAACGGGCCAAAAGGGAAAATAATTTAGCACTAACTGGTATGGGCTCTAAGTGCCTTCAGAGTTTAGAGGAAAGAGGTTTCTCTGGGGGAAATGGCATAACTTGTACTACTTAGGATTAGTTATTCAGATTTTTTTCCATCCCTTTGCACCCGCCAAGAAAGTGGGGAGAGAGTCTGGGAGAGCAGCTGAGTTGGGGCCTTGTGTGTGTGGCTTCCCTTGGGGACCCCAGGAGGTCCCTCCTGTGCGCAGGCTGGCCACCAGCTGGCTCAAAGAGGTGTGACTGTGAGGATCCCCACACGGAGCGGGAGGATCCAGATGACAATGGGAAGAGGAAGCTCCACTTCCTGCTTTGCGTCCGACTGGCCTGTCCCTCTGCTGCCCACTCGGCCTCTCCCTGTCCCTGGATTCCTCTCCTACACATGGGACAGTCCCCACCTGGAGCCCTCCCTACGCACCTGTATCCAGTCAGCACGACTGGCTGTGACTCGGCCAGTGTTCCTCTCCCGACGAGAGGAGGGCCGCCTGGGGTTGGAGCCAGGATGAAAAAACAAAACAAAGCTTCAGGCAAGCACGCTTCCACACTGTGTCCTCATTTCTTCATGCACAGGAAATCCTGAGATTGGCATATGAACATCCTCCAGAAAAGAAATACTGGCTTTTCAGAAATTAGCAAGTCAGCTCCAGTGATGATCCTGCCTGGAGCTGTAAACACCATGACTGATGGGAATCAGCAGTGGCGTTTCCAGAAGCAGGTGCGGGCCTGTGAGGGGCTCAGACAGGCACACCTTCTCCTTCTGTGGGTACAGCTCCCCCGAAATGTCACAATGGCTGGGGTACTTTAGGTTCCCACAGTTTTCATTCCCTGTGACTTATGTTGTGTAATAAGATGCTTTTTATTATATTTAAAGTGTACAACATGATATTTTGATATACTTATGCACAGTGAGATAGTTATGATTATCAAGCAAATTCTCATATCCATCCCCTCCCACAGTTACCCTCTGTGTGTGGGGTGGCGGGGAGAGGGCCTGTGTGATAGGAGCATGGAAAATCTACTCTGTGCACATTTCCTGGATCTAATACAATGTTGCCACTATAGGGCTCATGCTGGGCCTCGGATCTCTAGACTTCTCACCCCACATATCTGCGGCTTTGGGTCCTTTGCCCTACATCTCTCCATTCCCCCAAGTCCCCCATAATGAGATGCTTTTTCAGAAAATTACCATTTTCCATTTAATAGGTGATTGAAAAACAAACTTCATTCTGAGTTTTTTGATTTTTGTTTTTCAATCTTAGAATGAAAACAGGTTCACCCCATGTGAATCATCTCCACTTTTATCATAGAAAGTTGTAACACATATAAGCCCGGGCGAGGTGGCTCACGCTTGTAATCCCAGCACTTTGGGAGGCCGAGGCAGGTGGATCATGAGGACAAGAGATGGAGACCATCCTGGCCAACATTGTGAAACCCCGTCTCTACTAAAATTACAAAAATTAGCCGGGCGTGGTGGCGGACACCTGTAGTCCCAGCTATTCAGGAGGCTGAGGCAGGAGAATCACTTGAACCCAGGAGGCAGAGGTTGCAGTGAGCCAAGATCGTGCCACTGCACTCCAGCATGGGGACAGAGCGAAACTCCATCTCAAAAAAAAAAAAAAAAGTTATAACACATATAACACATACACAACACATATATGTATGTAAACTGTATATAACAAAAAAAACATTATTCACACAAATATGCTCGTTAACTCGGGAGGAATGTGGCTCTTTGATAAGTGAGAGGCTGCCCTCTTGGTCATTGGCTCCCACGCTTTCCAGAGCTGGGGGGACAAACACAGACACACAAACATTTATTTATTCCTGAACTATTGATTGGAGGCTTGTGACATGTGTGCAGCATCATACCAGGCCTATCCCCTGAAAGAGCTTTCAACCTGTCTAGGGAGATAAGACATCACCCTTAGATGAGAATATTGACGTAAGAGGAGTCCGAAGCCAGCCCAAGGCCAGTGCTGGCTCAACAGGTCAGACCTTTTGTTCAGAGCAGCAAGCAAGGGATGAGCTCTAGGCAAGGAAAGAGGAGCGATTCCGGAAGGGGCTCAAGTTCAAGTGGATTCTGAAGGCTGGGTAAGCTGAGGAGGAGGGCAGTGTGTAATGTGGGAGAAAAGGAGGCAGGAGGAGACTGGCTCCTGCAGAGTCCAGGGTAGGTGCATGGTGGCCCAGCAGACAGTCCCATCAGAGCACAGCAGGAGTCTGGCTGTCAAGCCAGGTGGGCTTTGCAGACACTGGGCTTTATCCTTGTGCTTTGAGGCCCTTGAGAATGAGAGCAGCATGATGGAAACAACATTTAGGAGAAGATGAGAGGTTCTGTCACAAAAAACAAGAGCCCTCCTGACTTTGTGAAGTTGCTTGGCCTGCAACTGTTCCAGCCTGAGACTCCGGCCTGGGTTCCCCTGTGCTGGCTCCCACCAGGAGCAGATCTGTACCAGCAGGCTCCTGCTTCTAGCAGATGCAGTTGAGCCCCCCACCCTGCCAATTTCCCTGAGACCATTTCAGACACTATTTATTTGCCCTATCAAGAGTCTTTGAGATGAAACCAGGAAAAGGGCAAATGCCAGTCACCCAATCTAAGTTAGAGAAATTTCTATGTCTCCTCCCCTCTCCATGCCCCTGATACATGGATATTTATCCATGTTTCCAGGGTGAACCAAGCTGCTCTAAGAGTTGCGTAGGGAAGCGGGAGCTAGGGAATGAGAGAATGTCACAAAGGACCTGGCTGCCTTGGTCATAAAGATTAGCTTCAATCTAATAATGATGGGGCTGTCATTCTTAAACGATGATCTAAATTAATTTTTTAAAAAGTAGGATTTGAGATCATCGCTTTTTTTTTTTTTTTTTTTTTTGAGACGGAGTTTTTTCGCTCTTGTTGCCCAGGCTGGAGTGCAGTGGTGCAATCTCAGCTCACTGCAACCTCCACCTCCCTGGTTCAAGTGATTCTCCTACCTCAGCCTCCCAAGTAGCTGGGATTACAGGCACCTGCCACTATGCCCAGCTAAGTTTTGGTATTTAGTATAGATGGGGTTTCACCCCATGTTGGTCAGGCTGGTCTCGAACTTGTGACTTCAGGTGATCCACCCGCCTTGGCCTCCCAAAGTCCTGGGATTACAGGTGTGAGCTGCTGCGCCCGGCATGGTTCTTTTTCTAGTTAATAGAGCTGTGTTCATCCCCCCACATTTTCATGCCAGATCTGTCCCTTGTGAGATGCCAGGCTGGGTTTTGGGGTGCATTAGAATGACCTTGTCCTTTTGGGGCCAGTGTCCCTCCAGGGCAGGCGCAGATGATAATGATTACTTCATTATCTTGGCCGCCTTTCTTTCTCTCTGAGGTGCTTTAAATAACTGTCTATGGTAACCCAACATCTAAGTCAGCATGAAACAAGCTGGTCTAGCTCTGTGAACACATCGATCTTGGGATCAGCTCTTCACAAAGACAGGACATTTACTCTTGGGAGAAGTGGGAAAAAAAGAGAAGGAGCACAGCCCACATCCCAGTCTCACACACGCCAGGCCCTGACTTAGTCCTTGCTAACCCAGAAAGGCACACAGAGTGGGCTGTCCACTGCCAGTGAAGGGTTTAAAAACACACCTAGGGATTTTAGGCAAGAAAAAAACAAGTAAAGAGAATGAAAAAACAACTGTGCTGTCATGGGATGACCAGGAGAAAACTGGTAGCTGCTTGGCTGCAGGTTCTCTTGGAAAGTCTGCCTGAGATGTGGCGGTGGCTGAGGCCCTGAGGTCTCATCCACCACTCACGTACGTTGGGTGGTGCCAGGCCAGCTCCTAAAGTGGACTTGGGTGCAGGGAGATGGAAGTGGGAAAGGCCCAGCTTAAACTCAGTACACCCTCTCCTGGTTCATGTGAGGGGAAAAAAGGTAAATTTATGGGTGATCTTTTTGTGCCTGTGAAATGTCCCCTTAGGAAATAAAGCCACTGGCTGCTGAAGCACAGTATGTGTTAATATGCAACCAGCATGAGTATAGCCTGGGAAACAGGCGAAGTCACACAAGCAGGACCAGTGGCATTTGATTAATCAGTTGATAAATGGAGGAGCAGGGCCTGGCTGGAGGAGGTAAAACTGCAGGGAAGAGCTCCATAACACTGGGATTGAAACCAAGACTTTGAAGATGATAAGACCAAAGTATTTTACTAAGGTTCTTTAAAGTGTCTCGTAATAAATAGGTCGTGTAAAAAAGACAAGGTGGTGGGATTTAAATCAGCCCTGCAGAGATGGCAGAGAACAGATTCTTCCCAGTCTGAGCTCTTGCAATAGCACCCCACACAGAAGACTTATGCCGGGGTCTCCGTGGGGCAGTCTATCATCTCTGGTCTAGTGGCTCAGCTGTCACCAGCTTCCAGGCACCAGCACGTTTGAGCAGTTGGCATCCAAGAGCCTTTTAAGCCTCTAGACTGAGCTTTCTCCTCCTCCTAGTTCCTCTTTCCTCACCTTTAGGGTTGCCTGATAAAACACAGGGAGCCTTGTGAGATTTATTACTATGTCTCAAGTATTAAATGGGACATACTTATACTTTACACACTGTTTGTTGTTTAACTGAAATGCACTTTTTTTTTTTTTTGAGACAGTCTTGCTCTGCAGCCCAGGCTGGAGTGTGGTGGTGCAATCATCAAATTCCTGGGCTCACGCGATCCTCCCGCCTCATCCTCATGAGTAACCAGGACTACACTGAAATGCATATTTAACTGGCCCTCTGGTGTTTTTATTTGCTGACTCCGGTGGCCCTCGTCCTCCTAGATACCTTAGGTGTGAGTCCTTTACAGCTTGTCCGTGGGCACATCTGAGGACATTGCCCGAGCTGCCCTGCTCTGCTCGTTGCTGGGCCAACTATGAAAATAAACACATTCTGATTTTCTCTTTTCACCATAGCATTCTCTTCCAAGGGCCCATGTGAGCCGGATTTGTCTAAGGTGGTCAACCTGAATGAGTCTAGGAGTCAGGTTGTTGTTGTTTTAAACAAAAAATCGCTTTAGCCAGAAAATTCTAATCACTCTGCAGAGGTCAGATTCTTGGATCTGAGGAGAGAGCACTGTGGGAATTCAAATCCGTTTCAAAACCAAGTTTTCGTTTTTAGAGGGAACCAGCAGAGGGAGCACATTCTACAATGCTCGGGGCTCCAGACACAGGGATGAGATCCTCATTCATGCAGGACACCTGGAATCACTCAAGCACCAGGAATTTATAGAACAGCCCCAGGCTTCGCAACCATGTGTCAAATACTTCATTTCTGACTGAGCAAAGGATTGCTTGGGTGAAAGACAACCCCAAGCAAACTAACAAAAATCAAAAGAAACAACAAAACACTCCAACAATGACAGCACCAAGGAACAAGGAACTAGAAAATCTAAAAGAAAAATCAAACGGTGACTGTTTCCCTTCTTCTAGGGTTGGATGGGGCTTGGAGCCGTATTCTGCCTTTCAGGCTTGTTTTGCTAAAGGAGCATTGTCTGAGCAACGCTCTGCCCACTCTCCCAAGGGCTGAGGCATCATCGTGTTTGCCCTGCCACCCTCTGGGGGCTCCATATCATTTGTTTGTCTTCCTGGGAAGGAGGTGTGCCCCTGGAGGCCACGTCTTGTACTTCCTTCAGGTCTTTCAAAGGCACCGCCACAGTGACAGGCATGTCAAAGTGGCTTCTGCATCTCAATTCTCTTGGAGAAGTGAAAGAATGTTTTACAAATATCATTTTACAAGGAGCCCTCCCACGTCACCCTTGATTCCAGTAATTGACTTTTGCAGTTAGGAAGGTCTTCCTTATAAGCAACTGAAAACACTCAATTTGGGGCTGGAGTTTATTTCTAGATGAGGGGGTGTTCCTTGATGAAGTAGAAACAACATGTTTTAGTTTTTTGTGACCACTAGCATATGTTTCTTCCTAGCTTGAGAGAGAGATATAATAATTTTTCATAAATGATGCTGAACTGCGAGTTCTGTAGACCTGAATTCTAGTCCTGCTTTCTTGTTTGCTCACTGAATTTGCTGGGAACGGAATGAACATTTTGCCTTTCTGTGGCCTCAGACAGTGTTGGAGCTGAGAAGATCAATGGGTCCCAAACCTGAAACAATCTCCTGGGGAGCTTTAAAAATACAGATTTCCAGACCCCACGTCCAAGTAATTCTGAGACAAGCCCTCGAGGTTTATCTTTATAAAGCTCCCCAGGTGCTTCTTATGAACCAGTGGGCTTGAGAACCCCCGGACCACATCACGTCACTGGTCCTCAGCCTGCCTGTATGGAGGCTGGGGCAGCCCCGAGAATCTAACTGCAGTGGTTAGAGGGAGCTGAGGCCGCTCCCTGGAGTTGTGTTCTAAGGTCAAGGGCCCTGGATTAGATGCCGTTTAAGATCTCTGTTGACTCTAGCACTTGCTGGTCTGGACACTGTCACTTTGCCTTGCCTTTATGTACTTATGTGGTAGTTCTATTGCATTTAATTAAAATGGGGTGCTGTGCTCTTATAGCTCCTACCTGTGGACTAAGGGGCAAACATCTCATAGCCACCCCCTGAGAAAGGATTTCACTTGTTAAAGAAAAAGGGGGGTGTGGGAGTGTGGGTGAGCCTGCACAGCCAGTTACACCAGCAGCGGCAGCCCGAGATGAGGTGCACGGCTCACCAAGGGCAAGTTCAAGCATCCTAGCAAGTGCTGGCTTCTGGTTCTTGTGTATTGTTGGCATCCACAGAAAACTTTTCATAAATAAAGATGTAGATTTCATTCTATAAGCAATATATTGAATTAGGATGACCCCACAGTCATCACAGTTCCAATTATTTCTACATTCTTTTTTTTTTTTTTTGAGAAGGAGTCTTGCCCTGTCACCCAGGCTAGAATGCAGTGACACCATCTTGGCTCACTGCAACCTCCACCTCCCGGATTCAAGCGATTCTTCTGCCTCAGCCTCCCTAGTAGCTGGGACTGCAGGCTCGCGCCACCACACCCGGCTAATTTTTGTATTTTTAGTAGAGACAGCGTTTCACCACATTGGCCAGGCTGGTCTCGAACTCCTGACCTCATAATCCGCCCACCTCGGCCTCCCGGAGTGCTGGGATTACAGGTGTGAGCCACCATGCCTGGCCATTTCTACATTCTTAAATGTAACTAGCATGTGTGTGTTTTGCACAAGGGCAGAGGAACACGTTATCAGCATGGCAGGGTTTCCAGCTTGAGCCTCACTGTGTCCAGCACCGGGATTAAGTGCTTTCCAGGCATGTCTGGTTAACTACCAGAGTGAACCAAAAGGAAAGCAGCCGGTGGAGGTGCCCCCTCACAGAGAAGAAGGTGCCAGGCACACAAAGGTTGGTCCAGGCCAAATCCTTAGTCCCTGGGAGGACAGGAGAGTGTGTTGTAATGTGTATGGTCTCACAGCCTAGCTCATGAACATGTCCCTGGCCCGGGGATGCTGACAGGAAAGCTTCAATGCCTGTTTCACAGACCTCTGTCACTGCTGAGGTTTTGGCACCTGCAAGCTCTGGGTGGTGCCTGGAAGAGTGAGCTGTTCAGCAGGAACCTGCAGGGAGTGGCCGCAAACCCTTGTGTCTGGTGATGTGGAGTGAACTGTGGGGTGTGGCCAGGGCTGGATCCCAGGAGAGGAAAGAGAAAGACTCCACCTCTCCTGGTGTCTGGAGGCTGCTGGGGGCCTTGTAGGCATCAGGATTCTGAATTAGCAGAGGACAATGAGGCCAGCAGGACACAGTTTACATCCACTTTGTCAGTTTCCAATTCCATAGACCCCCATCTCGGGTCTGGGCACCTGTCATCTCTATGAAAGATTTTCCAGTTCAGTTCACTGAATCCTGGGCTTTGTCCATTGCTCTCTACCCTCTGTGGCAGGTTGTTTGGCCTGAGGCTGTCATCAACATGTGGGAGGGCTGCTCTGCTCAGCTGCAGGGCCAGCGTTGGTCCCAGTCTAGACAATCGCAGTTGCTCAGATCTCCAAGATCACACACATTTTCTCACAAAATGCCTGTGAAGCTTACCAGCACTTGAGTGGCAACATAGGGGCATCTTTCTTCTCCTTTACCTGCCTCCATGCCTAGGAAAGACTAGTGTGGGTAGGGTGTAGGCTAGTCAGGAGGAGTCAGGCTGGGGGCTATGCCCTGAGCCTTCCCCTTCCGAGGGACTGGATACTGGCTCCTCTGCCGAGAGCATCATCCCCTCAGCCTCAGCAAGCAGTGAAAAAGGCATGCCCTGCAGAAGTGAACACACTTGTCTCGGCTCAGCCACTCCACTCACTTTTGATGCAACCTTTCCCTTCTCTGGGAATTCTACATGAATCTTTGGGAAGATTTATTTTACGTGTCAATGTGGCTAATTCACGGTACCCAGTTGTCCAAACACCAATCTGGAAGTCTCTGTGAAGGTGTTTTTCAGATGTGATTAGCAGTTGGATCAGTAGATGTGAGTAAAGCAGAGTCTGCTCCATAATGGGGGTGGGCTTTACCCAATGAGTTAAAGAAGTTAAAACATTTGGGTCCCCCAAGGAGGAGGGAATTCTGCCTTCAGACTGCCCTTGGCCTTTAGCTACATCAACTGTGCCTGGGCCTCCAGCCTCTCCTGTAGACTGGATTTGCCAGTCTCACAATCATGTGAGCCAATTCCTTCAAATCTTTCTCTCTTTTTTCTCTCTCTCTCTCGACATCCTATTTGTTTTGTCTCTGGAGAACCCTAATACAATCTCCTTAGGCTCATTAGCCCAACAAACCACATAGAGAACTTCTAGTGTATAGAGAATAAATCAAATCAAATGGCAGTTTTCAGCCATTTGTGGGCATCCAGTAGGAGACCTGTAGGATCCATTTCTTTTTAGAGTGGGGTTTACCTGAAGAAGCTAGTGATGAACGGCCAGATGTTATCAGGAGACTGCTCCATTTTCATAAACCAGATTTCCTTGTGGTTTGCTCTGAAGCCGGCTTCCTCACGTTGGAGTGACTGGGAGCAGTGGACCAGCAGACAGTGACAGTGAGTTCCAGGCGAGAGAAGCACGGAGTAGGGGCTCTGCTTTCGACTCACTTGAGAGGCTGCAAGGAAGTGATTTGAATTCTGAGTTTTCCCACAAATTCCATGAGGTCAAGTTACTTCCGCTAAATTTCATATTGGTTATGAACTCTGTTTTCAAATGCAGCATGTAAACTCCTTCTGTAAAATAAAAGGAAGTAGGATATTCAGCAATTCTTTACTGGATGTGATCAGCAAAGACAAGACATCTGCAGCTGATGGGATCACCTAGATTTGGAGGTTGGGGAACAGGGAAGATCTAAACACCCTTGTTTTCTTGGCCTCTTTGGTCTCAGCCACATGGAATCAGATTATTTGACTAGGACTATTAATGCATAAGAAGGGAGAAACACAAAAAGGTGATTTCTTGAGGTTTCAGCTTACCTTGTCAATGATTCTGCAACTGTGTGCCATGAATTCTTAGTCCTGCAACATGGTCATAAAGACAGAAACATTCCACAAAGTTGTATATGATGGTCTTCTCCTCCTACTTGGAGAGTTCCCTGCTATTGTTAGCCCTTCTAGGGCCCCCTACTCTCCCTCAAAAGAGCATTTTCTCAAACAGAAGTGCCCACTCTAGAAGACCACTTTGTTTTTGATTTGGAAAATCAAGCTTGGCTTTGGTAAGTTCATGTTAAATCTGAAAGAAGATGTTGATTAGTCCAGCTATAATTAATAACAGTAAGTATATCATTAGCATGTACAGAATCTAACCAATAAATTATGGAAACGTTTTCTGTCTTTTCAAGCCTGAAGGTTCTTTCATAGATGGCCTGCTTTGGGAACTCGGTGGAGACCCAGTATTACACACACGCCAGGAAGCCCGGGAGGACCTTCATCTCACCCTTGCCACGTGCCCCTCAGGCAGGTATGCAGTTGGCCCTTGAACAACATCAGTTTGAACTGCCTGGGTCCATTTATACAGAATTTCTTTCCAATAAATATATTGGAAAATTTTTTTGAGATTTGTGACAATTAGAAAAAGCTCACTAATGAATTGCATAGCCTAGAAATATCAAAAAAATTAAGAAAAAGTTAGATATGTCATTGATGCATAAAATATATGTAGATACTAGTTTATTTTATCTTTTACTCCCATACAATATATAGAAATCTATAATAAAAAGTTAAAATTTATCAAGACTTATAACAGAATATACGGGACCATTTGCAGTCAGGAGAATGTAAACAAACATAAAGATGCAGTTAAATCATAACTGCATAAAATCAGCTGCAGTGCTTACTGTAATGCTGTAATCATTTCATTGCTAGCGGTGAGCTCAAGTGTGAGCTCAAGTGTGTATCTGCTTAAAACGCTGTGTGGGGCCAGTCGCGGTGGCTCATGCCTGTAATCCCAGCACTTTGGGAGGCAGAGGTGGGCAGATCACTAGGTCAGGAGATCGAGACCATCCTGGCTAACACGGTGAAACCCCGTCTCTACTAAAAATACAAAAAATTAGCCGGGCGTAGTGGCGGGCGCCTGTAGTCCCAGCTGCTGGGGAGGCTGAGGCAGGAGAATGGCGTGAACCTGGGAGGCGGAGCTTGCAGTGAACTGAGATCAGCCACTGCACTCCAGCCTGGGCGACAGAGCGAGACTCCATCTCAAAAAAAAAAAACGCTGTGTGACGCTCATCGTCTCCACATGAGCAGTTCATCTCTCTAGTAAATTGCAAATTACCATTGGTAAAAGGTGATCTCTCAGGATTCCTGTGTATTTTTCATCGTGTTGAGTGCAATACCTTGGTTAACACCATAGGACCCATACAAAGTGTGACTAGTGATGCTGGAAGTACTCCTGGAAAGCAGAGAAAAATAATGACATTACAAGAAACAGTTGAATTGCTTGCTATGTACCATAGACTGAGGTCTGCAGCTGCAGTTGCCATCATTTCAGACAACTCATCTTGTAAACAGACCATGCAAATTCACAATATTGATAAATACAGTATAGTACTATAAATGTATTTTCTCTTCCTTATAATTTTTCTTAATAACATTTTCTTTTCTCTAGCTTGCTATATTGTAAGAGAATATAGCAGATAATACGTATAACATACACAATATGTGTGAATGGACTGTTTATGTTATCAGTAAGGCTTCCAGTCAACCGTAGGCTATTAGCAGTTAAGTTTTAGAAGAGTCAAAAGTTATACATAGGTTTTTAACTGTGCAGGGGATCGGCACCCCGATCCCTGTGTTCTTCAAGGGTCCACTGTAATTGCAGTGCCTGCAAAGGCCTTGATACTTTGGAGGCTCTGAAGGAGTGGTAAGAATGGCTTTTATTCTCAAGTAGCTTCTGATCTAGCTGAAGAGATGCTAGTTAGGAGGCAGCGTATAGTGAGTGCGGGACATGCTGTGGGGGTTTACACAGGAGGAAACCAGGACAGAACATCACTGCAGTCATGCCTTACTTAAGGGTGGGGATACAGTCTGAGAAATGCATCGTTGGGCAATTTTGTCATCCTGCGAATACCATAGCATGTACTCACACAAACCCAGGTGCTATAGCCTACTACATACCAGGCTGTATTGTATAGCCTGTTGCTCCTAGGCTACAAACCTGTACCACATGTTACTGTACTAAATATTGTAGGTAATCACTACACAATGATAAGTATTTCTGTATCTAAACATATCTAAAGGTAGAAAAGGTAGAGTAAAAATAGAGGGTAAAAGATAAAAAGTGGCATGCCTGCATAGCACACTTACTATGAATGCACACTTGCAAGACTGGAAGTTGCTTTGGGTGAGTCAGTGAGTAAGTGGTGGGTGGATGTGAAGGCCTAGGACATTACTATACACTCCTGTAGACTCAATAAAGCTGTACACTTCGGCTACACTAAATTGATACAAAATATTTTTCTTTCTTCAATAAATTAACCTCAGCTATATTTTTTAAGAGATAAAGTCTCCCTGTGTTGCCTGGGCTGGTCTTGAATTCCTCATCTCAGGCAATCCCCCAGCCTCAGCCTCCCCAGTAGCTGGAATTGCAGTCATAAGCCCACCATGCCAGGCTCTTTTTAAAACTTTTTGATTCTTTTGCAATAACACTTAAAACACACACTGTACAGCAGTACAAAAATATTTTCTTTCTTTATATCCATAATCTATAAGATTTTTCTTATTTTAAAATTTTATTTATTTTGCTTTTTAAATGACTGGCAGCAAAGTAGGTTTATTCACAATAGCATCACCACAAACATACGAGTGATTTTTTTTTTTTTTTTTGAGATGGAGTCTCGCTCTGTCGCCCAGGCTGGAGTGCAGTGGCGCAATCTCTGCTCACTGCAAGCTTCACCTCCCAGGTTCACGCCATTCTCCTGCCTTAGCCTCCTGAGTAGCTGGGACTACAGGTGCCCGCCACCGCGCCTGGCTAATTTTTTGTATTTTTAGTAGAGACGGGGTTTCACCATGTTAGCCAGGATGGTCTCGATCTCCTGACCTTGTGATCGCCTGCCTTGGCCTCCCAAAGTGCTGGGATTACAGGCGTGAGCCACCGCGCCCGACACGAGCGATGTGTTTTAATGCTGTGGTGTTATGAGAGCGACCTCACTAGATGATAGGAATTTTTCAGCTCCATTAAAATCTCATGGGACCACCGTCATTGACTGAAACATTATGTGGCACATGACTGTATTTGGGAAAAGATGCTTTCTGATGGTTAAGGGGCTGCATCTTTTAAGATCAACATGTGCTTTTTGAAATTAAATAAATTTTAGGAAAAGAACCATTGAAATGATAGCAGAGCTTTAGGATAACAAATGTTCTTATACATTTTTAGATGCGTTATGAATCAGTCCTGTCCTTCTGTAAAGCAATCCAGCTGTACATAATGGTGGCTACAAGCTTCTTTACATCTTTTGGCCCAGTAATTCTACATTTGGAACCAATTATACTTTAGTGAAATGACTCAAAAGTTAAACACTGATTTGTGTAAATATGTTCACAATAGTGCTTTTTAAATTGCAGACATTTAGAACTGTTCAAATGGCCAAAAAAGGGGCTAGTGCTTAAAACTATAGTACATTAACATGAATAAATGCTATAAAATAATTGGGAAAAGTGACCTCAATATGTAGAAAATATCAATGCCAGGACATGCTTACACCAAATAAAGTTAAAGGAAAAGAGCAGAAAGTTATGTTGCTGTGTACACTGATTACAACTATGTGGAATTATATGTATGTATGCTAACTAATATGGGAGCATTGAATGTTCACAGTTTAGAAATTAATATTCTTAGGTTCTTTTCATCAATTTCTGAAGCTTCTAAAAGAGCACGTTTAAAACCTCCGAAGTATTACTTCCCATTATTCGGGGTTGGCAGGAACAAACATTGCTGTGAGGGTCACCTTGATGCATCCACCTGGTGAGGCTACAGTCCCAGGTTATTCAACCAAACAGTCATAGAGGTTGCTGTGAGGTATTTTGAAAATGTGACTAATGTCCATAATCAGTTGACCTTAGGCAAAGGAGATTGTCCTGGCTGACGTGGGTGGGCCTGATCCAAACAGGTGAAAACCTGTAAGAGCAGAGCTGAGGCTTCCTGAAGAAGATGGCACAACTGCCACTGTTATGGCAGCCTGGGCTCACGCCCTGAGCTCCAGCCTGCCCCTGGTAGCCCCCATAACTGTATCAGCCAGTTCCTTGCAGTCAGTCCCTAACTGTATACCTCCCTTGGTTCTGTTTCCCTGGTTGCACTCTGAGAGATACAATTGGCTCTAAGTGCTCTACAGATGGGAAAATGGAAATTCAGTGGGGTGGAGTGGCTTTCACAATATCTCAGAGCAAGTGAGTGGCAACACAAGGACCAATTCCAGGCCTGCAACCTGGAGTTCAGTCTGCTCCATAGCCTGACTCTGGGCAAAAGGGAAGGGAGGATTTGTTCAATATTCTTTATAAAGTTCCATGAAAAATTTTATGAGAACTAATAGAAGCAAGAAGCCTTTGTTTGAGATCCTAAAGAACTATTTGCCCAGCCTCTCCCTTCTCCACACTCCAAGAATAGCACAGGCCCTTTAAAATCATTATAGGAGATGAATTCATTTTATTGCTGCTCACAGATAAAGTGCTGGTGTTGGTGACCTGGAGCTGAAGATAGATGGCAAGTAGCCCCACTGAGGGCTCAGGGATGGGAAACTTGGCTGGCAGTGCCCCAAGAACAGGAGAGAGAAAGGGTTTCCCAGGAAGTGGCAATTATAGCTGAGTGAACGTAATTCCCATCTCCTAGTTAGGGGGAAATTTCAGTCCCACAGTCCAAGTGTATGACTGGGCTGGAGATAACAAAGCAGACAAAGTGAAGGTAGATGGTAGAACACTTTCAGACAGGTGTTATGCAACATGCTTTTCTTGGAAGCCTGGAAAACTCAGTTAATCAACTCTGGAGATAGGGAGATGAATTAGAAGGTCTTGGAAAGCTCCTTCCAGGAAAAATGAGTTAGTAAGTAATGAAGTACAAAATTCATCATTCTAAAAAGTAGACAAATGGGATCACATCAAGCTAAAAAGTTTCTGCACAGCAGAGGAAACAGTCGGCAGAGTGAGAGACAACCTACAGAACAGAAGAAATCATTCACGAACGATTCATCCAACAAGCAGTTAATAACCAGAACTCAAACAACTCAACAGCAAATGAACCTAAATAATCTGAGTTAAAAATGGCAAATGATCTGAATAGATATTTCTCAAGAGAAGACATACAAATGGCCAACAGGTGTATGAAAAAATGCTCAACATCAATCATCATCGGGGAAATGCAAATCAAAACCACAATGAGATATCTCACCCCAGGCTGCTTTCAAAAAGACAAAAAGTAACATATGCTGGCAAGATTGCAGAGAAAAAGGAACTCTCATACACTGTTGGTGGGAATACAAAGTAGTACAGCCATTATGGAAAACACTAGGAATGTTTCTCAAAAAACGAAAAATAGAACTACCATATGACCCAGCAATCCCGTGACTGAGTATGTATCCAAAAGAAAGGAAGCTAGTATATTGAGGAAGTCTCTGCACTTCCATGTTTATCCCAGCACTATTCACAATAGCCAAGGTATGGAATCAACCTAAGTGCCCATCAAGGGATGAATGGATAAAGAAAATGTGATATATGGCCGGGCGCGGTGGCTCACGCCTGTAATCCCAGCACTTTGGGAGGCCAAGGTGGGCGGATCACGAGGTCAGGAGATCGAGACCATCCTGGCTAACACGGTGAAACCCCGTCTCTACTAAAAAAATTCAAAAAATTAGCCGGGTGTGGTGGCGGGCGCCTGTAGTCCCAGCTACTCCGGAGGCTGAGGCAGGAGAATGGCGTGAACTCGGGAGGCGGAGCTTGCAGTGAGCCGAGATCGGGCCACCGCACTCCAGCCTGGGCGACAGAGCGAGACTCCGTCTCAAAAAAAAAAAAAAGAAAATATGATATATATATATATATGTATATATATGTGTGTGTGTGTGTATATATGTGTGTTATATATATATGTGTGTGTGTATACGTGTGTTTTATATATATATATAATATATATACACAAAGGAATATTATTCAGCCATAAAAAAGAATGAAATCCTGTCATTTGTGGCAATGTGGATGAGCTTAGAGGACAGTATGTTAAGTAAAATAAGCCAGGCACAGAAAGACAAATCTCACATATTCTGACTCATATGTGGAAGCTAAAAAATTTCACCTCATGGAGGTAGAGAGTAGATTAGTGGTAACTAGGGGCTGGGAAGGGTGTAGAGGATGGAGAGAGGTTGATTAATTGGTACAAACAGACAGACAGAAAGAGTAAGTTCCAGTGTTTGGTAGCATAGTAGGGTGACTATAGTTATCCACAGTTTATTGTATATTTTTAAATAGCTGCAAGAGAAGATTTGAAATATTTCTAACACAAAGAAATAAAAGCTTGTGGTGATAGGGAGACCCTAATTACTTTGATTTGATCATTACACATTGTATGCACGTATCAAAATATCACATACATCCCATAAGTATGTATGAGTATTCTGTATCAATTTAAACAACCTGTCTAGGTCAGAGGCATGGCTCCTCCCAAACCAGATAAAACTCCTGGGTATAAGGAGGAAGAGAAAGTTTCTCAGAAATATATCCACTGAGATTTGAACTTTGTATTTTCTTTATGAGTTTACCATATCCTTAAAATAGATTTTTATTTGTCTTCTCATAAAGTCTGCATAAATATGGATTCTAATATAGGTTGTAAATTTTTACATCTTCAAGACCAGATGTGTAAAGTGTGTGTGTTGCACACAAGATTTGGTTTCCTTATGTGATCTTTTCATCTGGGGGCAAAAGCCAGGGATGATAAGAGTTTTTTTTTTCTAATAAAAATTTAAATTACAAAAGCAATCTAGTACTGTATAATGTAAACATGAAAGTTTCTACCTCCCCTCCTACCATCCTTGTTCTGAGAAACCGTCAGCTTGCTGGGGAGGGTTATCACTTATGGAGATCGTCCAGGCTGTGGAGCCCGGGGCTTAAGTTAAGGGTCATGAATCCTGAATGTTTATAGTGTTCAAGTAGCAAGGATGAGACTCAGACCACAAGCTTGGGTGTGTGAGAAGTAGAACTTTCTTTATTTTCTGAATAACTATGTTTAATTTCTGTTTCAAAATCCATTTGCCAGATGATAGAAAGTCAGTATTGGTTGGTATATTGGGTGTCACCCCAGCTTTCCCTAGTATTGGGACTGGGTGGTACAGAGGGAATTATGGGGTTCAAGGTGTCTTGGGAGAGACCTGTTTCCAGAATTTTCTGTCCCCTAGAGGGACAAAGCTGCTGTGGGTGTGATGTGGGGGAAGGAAGCCCTAACTATAGGACATGGGGCATTGGGGGTTTGGGGGAGGTGTTTGGGGAATGCAGAGCTGACGGGCACAACTGCACAGCTGGATTGTTTGGTACTGTATGTCATGAAGTTTGGTTTGGGTTCTGAATGACACAAACCTTTTAGTTCTTTTCTCCAAACTGCAGAGCCAGTGCATCCTAAGGAACTTGCAGAAGGACCTGCCGAATTCTCCACTTCCCTTCTCCTCTACAGTGGAGAAGCAAACGGAGGATCCCCTTAGTAGAAAGGAGAAGGAAAAGCAATAGAAGGAGATGGCTTGAGAAACTGTAAAGAAGGACCTGAGCCACAGCCTCTGTTCTTTTGAGGCCAGAGGCAGGCAGTGGAGTTGCAGTCCATAGCTACTCTGTGGGTTTGCTTTGATTTAGTTGGTAAACAAGCGTGTCATTTGTAAATAATGACTTTTCCCCACTTGTCTCCAATCCTAACATATTTTGCTTCTTTATCTTATTGCACTGAGTTAACCTTCAGTATAATGTTGAATCAGGTGATGAGAGCAGGCACCCGTGTCTTGCTGCTGACTTTAAATGGAATACTTCTAATGTTTCACAATTAAGTTTGATGGTTTTGGTAGATATCCTTTATCAGGTTAGGGAAATTCTTTTTAATTCCACATTTGCTAAGAGCTTTTATTATTTATTTTATTTTATTTATTTATTTATTTATTTATTTATTTTTATTTTTATTTGTTTTTTTTTGAGTTGGAGTCTCGTTCTGTCGCCGAGGCTGGAGTGCAGTGGTGCAATCTCGGCTGACTGCAAGCTCTGCCTCCTGGGTTCATGCCATTCTCCTGCCTCAGCCTCCCAAGTAGCTGGGACTACAGGTGCTCACCACCACACCCAGCTAATTTTTTGTATTTTTTAGTAGAGACGGGGTTTCACCGTGTTAGCCAGGATGGTCTCAATCTCCTGACCTCATGATGCCCCTGCCTCAGCCTCCCAAAGTGCTGGGATTACAGGCGTGAGCCACCGCGCCCGGCCTATTTATTTATTTTTTAAGACAGGGTCTCACTCTGTCACCCAGGCTGGGGTGCAGTGGTGTGATCTCAGCTCACTGCAGCCTTGACCTCCTGGGCTCCAGTGATCCTCCGGCCTCAGCCTACACAGCAGCTGCGACTACAGTCACGCACCACCACACCTGGCCAATTTTTGTATTTTTTTGTAGAGGTGGGGTTTTACTCTCTTGCCCAGGCTGGTCTTGAACTCCTGGGCTCAAGCAACCCTTCTGCCTTGGCCTTCCAAAGTGCTGGGATTACAGGCATGAGCCACTGTGCTTGGCCTGCCAAGAGCTTTTTTAAAATAATTAATGTATTTATTCAATAATAAAGTCAATCAATAGAACCTACTATTTTACAAATAATGAACAATTGCTGGATTTTAATTAGTTTTTGCATCTGTATGAAGCAATCACGGCTTTTTAGTTACTAGAATATTTTTTAGAAGTTTTAGATTTACAGAGAAAGTGAGCAGATAGAGAATACAGAGCATTTCCATCTTCTTCTCCCCCCAACATACACTTTCCCCTATTATTAACACTTTATATTAGCATGGGTACATTTGTTACAATTAATGAATGAGTATTGAGACATTATTATTCACTAAAGTCCATACTTTATTGAATTTACTTTGTTTTTCCCTAATGCCCTTTTTCTGTCCCAGAGTGTTCTACAAAATGCCACATCACCTTTAATTGTCACGTCCCCTTTG